>NC_000023.11:63712542-64962542 GCF_000001405.40 Homo sapiens
TATATATATATCAAAACATTACATCCCCCAAATATATACAGTTTTATCTATTAAAAATGATTTTAAAAATATGTTCCAGAATTAGACAATGGTGATGGTTATACAACTTTGTGAATATACTAAAACCCACTAAACTGTATACTTTAAAATGGTAAATTTTATGGTATGGAAATTATATCTCTATTAAAATAAATACATAAAAAGCTAAAACTGTCTAGATAAGGTGAAATTTCCCCTGATTGTTCCTCATCCTAACCATATTCTACCTCTCCTGAGGAAACCATGGTTATGGATTTTGTGTGAAATCCTTGTCAACCTCTCTCCTTGCATTTATATACCTATATGCATATTCCAATAGACTCACCATTGTTCCATATGATAAAGTGATGATTACCCAGCCCTTGGTACAACCTCTTCAACATCTTTAGTAGCCCCTCCCTGCAAATGGATCAGTAGTTCTAAAAGAAAACTACCATAATATCCAGCCAGTAATTCCTTCATAAAGTCAATAAAGGCTCAAGGAGTGTCTTAGAAAGCCAGCCGGCCCCTGTCTCCAGCAGTGTAATATTTCTGAGAAGAGAATGGGTAAGCGGTATTGTCTAAATCTCACCTTGATATTTTCAAAGGCCAAATCTAATCAACCAGAGAGGAGTAAAAAGCAAGACATCCTTTGAGAAGGTGAGGGGTTATTGCCAGTCTTATTGAACAATAGACTCTCAGAGCTATAGAATCAGTTTATAAAGGAAATGGAAGGTGGACTAGTCCATGCCACCCCTTGCTCCCCAATCAATACATAAACTCCCTTGACAACATACCCTGCCAGCAATTGCACAGCCTATCTGCTTGAACACAACGAATGATGAGATTACTGTCTCCCAAGGCAGCCCTTTCCTTTTTCAGATAATTCTAATCATTCTAATCATGAGCTCTGTCTCTGTCTGAATAAAGTTGCCAGCCAAAAATCTCAGCAAACACTACAAAAGGGCAAAACACAGATAAAGGAGAGATTGGAGGGAACGTGAACTCTTCAATAACAAAGGTCACCAAAAGGCCTTTTCTCTGCCACCACAGTGAAGCAATGGTGAAGTGTGGATACAAAGGTGAATGTGAGGGACTGAGAGGAACCTGGTTAGTTGCAAGCAGAGCTCCCACTTCACATACACACACACACACACACACACACACACACACCCAGTTTTGGAGCCCCAGTCTCAGCTTTCAGGAGGATCAGAAGTGCTTAGGGATTCCTGAATGTGCATGCCAGGAAGCACTTAGCATTCCTGCCTGGCACAAAGACAATCAGCACGGTATGTACAGTCAGACACAGAAACTACTCCTCTACCCCTCAAGGGAAGATTTAATAACTCTCACTAATTATATGAAGTATCATAATAAGAAGGCTGCTAACAAATTGTTCTCCCTCTCCAGCACCAACACAATGAGAAATAAGGAGCTTCAACCAGAGCAATGAAAATTTTTGTTATATAACAGACAAAAAGAGAAAAAGAAAAGACCTGTGTGAATATACTGTTTTTGCATTCATGGCTTCCCATCAGCACATTAAAATGGGACCGACCCACCGAGTTTCACTGCTCTTCAACACAGACGTGTGACCTCAGGCAAGCTACCCTTCCCATTCATTCCAACACATTCTGTTTATTCACACCTCTGTACCTTGTATCCTTCTAAAGCCTGCCCCCTACTCCTTCTTCAGGAAGGCCTTCCCTACTCTTTTCTATCATTCTTCTTTTGTCCCTGGCTTCTCTGAAAACCTAGTTCAAGAACAGTGTCTTCCCACGAACTCTCTTACTTGGACTTCAAAACAGCCCTGCAAGGCAGGCAAGCAAACCTTTTTATTTCCATTTCCCAGATGAGAAATCCAAGGCCAGACAGGGGGATGCATCAAAGTGGCAGTCAGGATTGAAGCAAAGTCTCTGGACTCTTAGGCCAAAATTAGGAGAGACAGTCTGTGACAGTGGTAAAGGGTGAAGACTCGGGATCCTGATTTCAAATCCTGGCTCTACAACTACCTCTGAGTAACACAGAGTAAGCAACTTTAAGTTTTCTGATCCTCAGTTTCCTTACCTCTGAAATAGAAATAATATCTATCTATCTCATGGGGCTGTTGTGAGGATTAAATAAGGTAGTTTATTTAATCCTTATTAAACTGTGCATGTAAAACAGTTTCTAGCACAGAGTCAAATATTAGCTGTTCTTGTTATTATCCCCTAGGTTGGCATCATCTGCCCCTAGAACAATGAAGCAACATATGAGAAACATTGTCCTCTCTAGTCAGGGAAGAGTTTTAGGAAGTACTTTTGTAATTGCTTTGCAATTGTCCCAAATTTCTTATACCCCAAATGCCACCTCCTTGACAACCAGACTCAAAAACCCTTCCCAACGAATGGAGACTTACTTAGTCGAGGCTGGAGGTATTGATGATTTCTGCCCATGACAAGGCTTCTTAAAGTGAGAACTCAAGCTAGAATGGGGGTGGATTGGAGTGTAGGGAAACCCTTCACAGATAACATAGCTTCCTTCCCAGTCAAGAAAACTAGATGCCTCTAATAAGAACTACACTCCACTCTACCCCTAAGTCTTCTCCTTTCATTGGTTTTCATGGAATTATCCTGCTTAGACGTTGATAGAATTTAGGTTAATTAGTTAAGTAGCCAAAAAAGGAGTGCTCTGCCAGGACCTTTAGAAGTTCATTTATTCTGTATTTCCTTTGATTTTCTTTCTATTTGAGCTAAAATGAAGAGAAGACTTCCATTTAAGCTATTCAGATATGGAAGTACCGATTTCATGATGAAAGCCACGCTAAGCAGAATGCTGAAATCAAGCTGACCTGAGTTACCCATCTCACAGAAAGCTTGCAATTATTTGACAGACATTTAGAAAAGAAAAAAAAAAAACACTTCAGGATGGTGATGTGGCAAACACTGGCTTTGGAGTTGGAATGTGATCTTGTTTGGGCTATGCCATTTACTAACAAGTTAAAGGCAAGTCTGGCAGGGTCTCATTTACTTTCTGATCCTCCAGGATAGTACCAATGCCTTAGATGACACCTGTTCCCTATTGAGGCTTTTCCCGCAACATCTGTCTTATGTTTTTTACTCCTTTTAGCCTGTATCCAGGCTGATGTAGTCTCCTATAGCTACTGAAGTCATATGCCTCTTCCTGACCTCAGTTCCTATGAATTTAATCCCTTCCCTAACTATCCTGTATTTTCTACCTGCTAACATTTGTACAAAACATTATACCATCTACAGACTGAGAGGAGAGAGGAGTGAGGAATGAGTGTGAATGGGTATGGAGTTCTTTTTGTGGTGATAAAAAAGTTCTGGAATGAGATAGTGGTGATGGTTGTACAACATTGCAAATGCATTGAATTGTATACTTTAAAATGATTGAAATGGGGAAGGTGATGTTATGTTTATTTTACCTCAACTAAAACAAGATTAGCCAGGGTGGTGGCTCACACCTATAATCCCAGCACTTTGGGAGGCTGAAGCAGGTGGATTGCTTGAGTCTAGGAGTTCAAGACCAGTCTGGGCAACATGGTGAAATCCTGCATCTACAAAAAATACAAAAAATTAGCTGGGTGTGGTGGCAGGTGCCTGTAGTCCCAGCTACTCAGGAGGCTGAGGTGGCAGGACTGCCTGGGCCCAAGAGTTTGGGGCTACAGCGAGCCATGATCACACCACTACACTTCCAGCCAGGGCAAAAGCATAAGATCCTGTCTCAAAGAAAAAAAAAAAAAGAAGAAGAAATTATGGAGAATGGGCTAGAAAAGTTCTTGGAGTATATCTGTTCCAACCCCTCCATCTTTCAGGGGAGAAAAGTGAGATTTGGCAAAGGTAAAGAACTTGACTAAAGTGACAGAGCTTTGGCAAATCACCTCCCTTATGCATAAGTTTTCACATCTACTATCAGACTCTTAGAGGATGGGCTGAAGTTCTAGAGTACCTCTGTATCTTCTCAGTAGCCATTTGATGATCATCTGTTGGGTGAATGAATTTTTATTAAGTCCTTCATTCTACAAATTAAGAAACCATTTTCACTGCATACTCCCTGCCTCTGGATACCTGGTCACCATGCTTTACCTGCTTATTGAAGCACACTAAACAACCTGACGTTGGACCAATAATACCAGTCACTTGTCATGACAACAAACCACCCTCTGTCTGCTGCCTACTGATGCTACACTCTACCTACTGGGCTGGACTTTCTCCCAATATTTTCAGTTGGGAGGGACCTTACCCACTGCGCACACACTCTCAGCCTATCCCAACCCACAAGGGAAAGTGAACCTCTAGGACCTGCCCCAAATTCAAGTTCATCTGGCTGCACTGTTTTTCAGGGCTACTGCTGGCCCTGTCCCGTATATAGCATCTTTATTAAATGTACGCTTAACAGTAAGCTATGCTTACTTTATATAAATATGGGAATGAGTCCATCGCACACATGGCACATGGCATTCAGGGCCAAGCTCTACTGAGCAGCAATGTCAATAACTGTACTACCTTAATAAGCTTATCAAAACAAAGAGTTGGACCAATGGGCAGAATGTTCAGGTCTATTATTATGGCTTTTTTCCCCAGTATATTTTAAAAAGAAGTTTTTCAATCCATTCTTGGGTTCCTACATATAACACAATGTTCCACCATTTATTTGTTCCTAAATGGAAGCTAACTGCTGATGTATGGCCCCAGTAACATTATTATGCCTCTTGGTAGAGGTCAGAACAGCCAAGAAAGAACATTGTCCAATTACATGTTCAGCAGGGTCATTAGTTGTAATATCATTCCTATTAGTCTTGAAAGCCTGGCAGTGTCAGCATGTCCAGGCCTCCATGTAGCCCATGTTCTCATACAAGTGGCTGAATGGAGTGGGCCTTGCATGCCCGGATGGCCTCAGTCTAGCCACTCACACATAGCAGCAACAAGAAACTGATTCATCCAAATAATGGCTAAAAGGTGAAAGCTCAGAAGCCTGGAGGACAGGAGAGGCTTGGCTGACCTGGTCTGAGGTTTCAGATCTCTGATGGGCTATAGACAGAGTGGAGAGTCAGTATATTCCAAGAGGGTTTGAGAGAGGAGCAGGGAAAAATGAGGACATTATTTCTACCATTTACATTAAGAGTTTGCTGCAAGTATTACCAGTATTATTATTGAGTGTTTCCTATGTGTCAGATCCCATTGTCAGTGCTCTTCCTGTATTTTGTTTAGTTCTCCTGACAACTTAATGAGATAGGTGTTGTTATATCCTCAATTTAATGATGAGATCACTGAAGCATACAATGGCCACTTTGCTAATAAATGGAAAGGCTCTGATTCTAATCCAGAAAGATTATCTCCAGAGCCAGTTCTCTTGGACATTTACACCCTTCCCATGAGTAGAAGCTCCAGAAAGACAGATTCTAGTTCAACTTAAGGACAAACTATTTCAGATCTGTCCTGAGGTATAACTGGTGGCCTGAAGAGGTATGGAGCTGTCAGTTTTCACTTCTGAAAACTAAAAAAAGAGACCAACCCACTTCTGAGTATTGTTTCTCTAGTGACCCTCTAATATAGAGGACAACAGACCTCTCAAGATGCCAGATACCCTTAGTACTTGTCTAGACCACTCCAGGAGGTGGCTGTTGCTAAGTGCTAGACAGTCACTTTTGTTCAGGACTTAGTAAATACTGGTGAGAAGATATTAATAGCACTAGAGCCATGTAAAGATAAGTGGTTTCACTCTTACTCATAATGATAAATATACTGATGAAAAAAGAAAATATATATATACAAGTATGATGATTTTCCAAAAATGTTGTACTTTACAAAGAGCCACAGAAACAGACCTCATCTCCAGGTACTCAGTCATGGTCCTCCTCTCCTCAAGTCATCACACCACCAAGGCAGTATATACACGATGCTAGGAAGGTCTAAGCTAATCCCCAAATAAACCCGGGGGTTGATTACACAGAGAAAAACAGGTGCCAGGCCCAAGATCATAGCCTCAACTCAGGCAGCCAACCAGGTTACAAATCCATGCTATGGGTCAACAATAGGGCCTTGGAAAGCCCCAGAGCCAAGAAAACCATTCAGAATGTCTCCTACTGGTGTCAACTCTTAAATACCATCTTCCTATTGAAAAAAGCAACATGTTTCAAGAAATTGGCTCAGACTACAGCATAAGGGCTAGTAGCTGGAAATAACAGAGTAGTTCAAGCTTGGTTTACAGATGCTGGCCAGGTTCTCAAAAGCCCAGGGTAATTTTAGCTCTGGTCCTGCCTGGAGGCTGAGGGATAGGCTATATGACTCTCAAGGTTGCTTTCAACTTGGGATTTCTATGAGGGTGACCTGTGCTACCTAATTTGGAGGAATCATCTGGGTGATGTAACAGCTACATTTAAGATTCTCTCTGAGCTGAAGAGGTCTCCATATTAAAAGAAAAAAATAAAAAACCTCCAATTAGCCAAATGATGTACTAGATGATGTAATCCAAAAAATGTGCATAGTGAGAAGCCATTAAGATGGATTATGTGAATGCAAATGAGTTATAATAATGTCATTTGAAATTCTAGTACAGGGGAGAGAAATAGCCATAATCCAGGGAGAAAGACTCTCCCTGTTAATGTCAGCCTAAACTCACAACCTATAATGTGTTACCTCTAGGGCCACAAGCAAGACCTTCTACATAAATGATATAAATGTTTAAGACTAGAGACTTATGAACACTTTGAAGCTTGAATGGATAAACAAGGGTTGGTATAGTGAAACTCCTCTCAAGAACGCAAAAACACTATTGCCTTTAGTCTGGAATGGAAGGTAAGTCCTCAAGTGTTAACAGTCTTGTTAGCAGCCCAAGCCTGCCCTTTCTTGATTATGCTATAGGCCAGAAAGCACAGGATTAAGATTCAGAAGGGGACAACATCACTAAAAGTGGTGGAGCAGGGCACACAAAGAATCAGTTCTTCCACTGAAACAACCTTAAACTGGCAATGAATGACAGAACACATTGTTTTGGAACTCTAGAATCTAATCCAAAACTTGCAGCAACTTACAGGGGACTGTGTAATGCAGAAAAGGGCAGCAAAAATTTGGTAAGAGAGCATTGAAGCACTTTTGCTTATCCTCTTACCATTCCCCATTCCCCAGTGGCTGAGGTGACAGTGGCCCACATTCCTGGTGTGGCTTGCTGGTGCCAGGAGATAATGACCTTGTTCTTTACAATATTGTAGCTGTGCATTTTGACCTTTTTGGCACTGAGGGACTAGCACAGAGGTTGACCTCTGGCTGGAGAGGCTTTCCAGGCTGTGGCTGCCTTTGTTGAAAGATTTAAAGACATACACTGCTCATGCCCACTTGGGACAAGGGATTGTGGACAGGACAAATAGCAAACACATGCAATAGCACAGGAAGGAGGAAGCTAAAAAGGAAGTTTCTTTGGGGAATAAGGATTCATAAGGGCCACCATGCATACCAGGGAAGTCACACTATAACACGCATGCCCAGGACCAGATGCATGCTCAGAAAAAAACCTCAGAGGACCATAGGCTTATATTTCTGGAGGATGTGTGATCTACATACAAACAGGAGGAGAAGGCTGAGACAGAAGAGTTGATGACCTGGCACAGTCTCAAGTGGGTACTCCAGCTCAGAGTCAAGCTACAAAAACCAGGAAAGTAGTATTGTTTGTTTCTTCTTGGATCCAGATGTTTAAAGAAATGTCAGGTTATTGGCTGACCAATGAGATAAAAGAACAGAGACTTCAGTGACCATATATAACAAGAATACGGTCTTGCAAAAATAGTTGGAAAAAGTCACTAAACAAATGGACAACCACAGCCCTCAACAATCAACAGTAGAAAACCCTGGGGAGAGAAGAAAATCTGATTTCTAGAGTTACCACATTATAATATTGAAAATGCCAAGTTTTCAACAAAAAATTGCAAGGCCTACAAGAAAACAGGAACATGTGACCTATTCACAGGAAAAAAATAATTTGGCAGAAAACATACCAAAGGAAGCCAAGACATTAAACTTATTAGACAAAGACTGTCTAGTAAAATTGTCTTAAGATTCAGGAGGCCTGGGTTCAAGTCCTGGCTTTGCCACTAATTCCCTACATGAGAAAGCAAGTCATTTCCATTTTCTGGGCCCATGTTGCCTCAGTATTTATACAACGTGGAGGTAGGGTGACCAATGGCAACAAGCTGGGTCCTTGGGAGATAATTTATCCTACAGATGTGTTTTGTTTGACTCTCACTGTGCTTCTTTAAAAATATGAATTCCTCATTAACATTTTTTTAAATATAAAGAGTTTTACATAAAAATCCAATTCCCGGCTTTTCTTGAAATACTAGAAGATCTGGCCCCTCTGGGCTTTCCTCTCCACTATATCCCACTCTAATGATGGGAACCATCCAAGTCACTTTTGCTGTCTTTAGATGGGGCATGGATCTCCCAGTTGGACACAGGTGCCCACTTACCCCTTGTCTCAATTTGTTTCACTCACTTAATTGGCCCCTGTAAGCATCTAAGTTGGCCACTCTTGGCTAAGATGGTTATTTTCAGTTCTAAATCTACAGTGAATCTAGGGTTTCATAGAGGTGAAAAGCTTTTCCCAAGTATCTCTTTTTGCAGCCAAAAAGAGATAATACATAAATAAAAGCCAGGTCACACTCTGGAACAATGGGCTTTCCTTTGAAAAGGAAAAGTTGGGTTTCCATGACATCTGGTCTGTAGAAAGCCAAGAAATGATGGTAATGATTGGCTTAGGTGATCCTTTCATCTCCATACTTCCAAGCAGGCCAGAAACCAGAGAAATAAAGAATTTGAAAGAACAAGAAAAGTATATATCCAGCTCCTGATGACACCTCAGCAAGCTCTTTACTTTCTGACCAAACCCATGCCTTGTCACACGAGCCTCACCTCCCATCAGTAACAGGTTGTCATGTGTCCTGTCCACAACCTACCCTTAATTAGGCAGCAAGCTCTCCTCAGGCCATGGCCCAAAGTCAGAAAAAAAAGGTTCATTTTGTGCACAGTGACAAAGGAAAAGAGCCTGAATGACTTGAAGTTAGGGTCTATTAGACAAAAGGAGGCCCACCACAGAGGTGGGATTTGCTACTTAGAGACACAATCATATCCTAGCAGTCTACCCTTAGCTCCTAGCAGGGAAACCAGCCCAGGAAAACAGCTGACGATGTCGACAACTAGATATGAGGACTGATGTTCAGCAAGTTTAATTCATTTAACCTTACCAACTACTGGGAAGGTATATCAGCTCCTACATTGCTCTTGTGAAGCCATATCCCCAGTACAGAAAGGAAAGAACCTGAGAACACACACACACACATATACACACACATAAGCACATACAAGTATGAAATTCTGAACAACAGAGGAGACAGGTGTGAATAGGTCAAGACACATATACCTGGTAAGTTCCTGTACAGTGGCTAAATGGTATTATAATTCCTCTTTACAAGTATCCAGCATATCACAGGTAACAAAGCATTTTTACAAGACTGAATTGTCCCCATTTTACAAGGAAGAAAACTGATATTTGAAGATGCATAGGAAGCTGCTCAAGTTGCATTTCTAATAATAGAACTGAGGCAAGCATCTGGGTTTCCCAGACTGCAGGTTGGGTTTTAATGTGTAACAACAGGTAGGGCTAACTTGAACAGAACCACACTAACCACCCTTGATTATCCATCCTAGGGTTCAAATGTCAGCAATGAGACTTCCAGGTAGGGAATGAAGATACCTCACCATGTCAGTTACCAATTTAGTCAAATGATCTTATTTTACTAGCCTGGAGGCTGGGTGTTAGTGTTTTTGTTTGTTTGGGTTCTTCTTGTTGTTTTTTGTTTTTTTTTTTTTTTTGTGCTACTGAAGTGATTCTGTTGTATAGCCAGGGTTGAGAACCACTTGAGCTAGACTCTGGCTGCTGGGGCTTTGTTCCTGTAGGAACACTCCTCCCGGCCTTGGACTTAGGGGCATTAATGGCTGCCCACTGATATTCTGAAGTCTGGCTCTGTCATTTGCTTCCCTGAGCCATCCTGGCTTGCTCAATCATTTCCCCCCATCCTTGGATTTACTATTTATTATAAAAGTAACATTTCCTTGAAAATGAAATGCATTTGGATTTGGGTGACATCATCATTTGGTACAGTTTAATCCTTCTTTTAAAGAGGGAGGTCTGTAAGCACAAGACATACCAGCTGTATGCGTACAGGGCCTCACATTAGTCCTGAAGGTCTGTGGTTATTGATACGCTTTTTCTGACTATCCCTGGGACTGATTCTTTAACCAGCAAAGATGAGATGGGACACAGATGGCATTTGCAGACTCTGACTGAAGAGAAGAAAAGATTGGATATTTCATTAGAAGATTCTCATGATAGAAGGGAATGAGAGGTAATTTTGTCCATTCCTCTGCTTCTAGGCAGTGCCCTCACCTAAACTGTCCCAACCAGGTAACAATACTTTCTGGATTTTTTACCTTGAGGAAGGAGGCCTCTATCAACCTCAAGGGAAGCCTTGATACATGGACCTTCTTGGAGCTAAAAAGGTAGTGGTGATGATTATAATTATGATGATAATCATAAAATAAGTTACCATTTGCTAAGTTCCTAATATCTGTCTAGCACTGTGCTAGACACCTTATTGGCATGTATGATCTAATTCCTTATAAAAAGTCTGTTATCCCTATTTTTCAGATGAGGAAATCAGGGCTCAGGGAAGTTAAAAATCTTACCAAAAGCTATAGAGCTAGAAGGTAGTAAAACTGTATCTAGAGTTTTCTAACTCCAAATGCCCTGTTCCTTTCTTTATATCACATTGCCATAATTCTAATATTGGGGCCCTTCAACCTCTAGGAGCCCTAGCTAGCCCTTCTGACCTTTTGTTTGGGGTCTAGAAGACTTCAGCCTAATTTTACAGGAGAAACTAACAAAACGTGATAGGCTGTCGTAAGGATAGTTATAAGACACCCTCATGTAGCTTCAGTACTTGTCTTGCCACAAAGCAGTTTTCGCATGTTTTATCTCATTCACTGTGACATGCCCTGGCATTAAAGAACTGTCAAGACCATTGTGCAGATGAGGAAAATCAGAGCTCAAAATAGTCAAATAGCTGATTCCAGCTCACAATTCCAAGAAAAAATAAGAGCTGAGACACCTAACCAATGTTATTCTCCCATAGCACCCTGAGGTCATAAGCACATTGGGATCACTTCCTTTACAGTGACCCAGAAAAAGCAAAAACTGCTGAGAAATTCCTCCCAAGAGCCTCTCTGTTAAGGGCCAGGTTCTTCATGGTACAATGTCAAAGAGGCAGAAGGCTTGCAAGACCTTACATGCCACTTGCTTCCCACCCCCAGCACATTTAGATCCCAGCCACTTGATTCTCTTGAAAAAAGTAAAATTTGATATCAGTAAGCTCTAGCGCCTGGGGGGCAGGGAGCTCACACTCTTATATTAACATCTGAATACACAGTGACAACACACAGGGGTGTGAGAGGCAAAGAAGTAGACAGGAAGGAGAGAAGAGCAGAGGAGCAAGAGGAGGAGATGGGAAGAAACTACGAGAAGAAAGAATAAAAAAAAGATGAGAAATAGAAAGCAGAAAAAAGAGAGATAAGAAAGACAAAAGTTCACAGCAATATAGGGTTAAAAAGTCTTATTCAAAAACCACCAAGGCCAACCCCAAAAGAGGAAACCAAGACCCAGACAAGGTAAGTGATTTGTACAAAGGTGGGAGGTGGTGGGGCGGGGGTGTTAAACAAGAGACAAATGAAAAGTCTAAAAATTAAAAGGGCACAGATTAAAGGAAGCCCAGGTTCTCTGTATGAGACAATTTTAAAAAAAGGAAAAAAATATGAGAAAAGCCACCAGGAGAGAAATAAACAGGAGAACAGAGGCTGGTGAAGGGGAAGCCAGGTACAGGCAGCCAAGGAAATAGGAGAGGAGAGTGAAGACTGACACTCACCCTCACAAAGCTGGCAGGAAACCATCCCTCCTCATCGTCGATCTGGCCCCACCACCAATCCTTGTTGGAAGCATCCAAGACTTTGATGACGTCGCCAGCTTTAAATGCCAACTCCCGGTTGGCCATGGTGACGTGATCCCATACTGCCTCAGCACTAACGATGGAATCTCCAGTGATCAGCTTAGGAGACAAAATGAGAATGTGTTCAGTCCACACAGCTACCTTGCTTGCCCCTTCCCCCACCCACAGAGCTCTACTACTTACAGAGAAACTCATATACTCAAGTGGTGAGAGATAGGGGTGAGGGGGATGGCACTGGAACAAAAGTTCCATTAGACCGCAAGACAAACAATACTGTCAACTCTCTGTTAGCCAGTGCATGGAATGACCCAGAATATGAATATGTACTACATATGCCTCATGCTTTTTATCCCTAATCATGAACTTCTCCTGTGCAGAACAAAGAAAGCTCCAGTCCATCTCTCCTTGGTGCTTCAAGGCAGCTCTAGGTCAGGAATGGGTGGAGAGGCTGACAGCAATGGCTAAAATGAGACTCAAGCTTATTTGCTTTCAATTCCCTGTGCTCCTCCCCCTTTCCTCCTCCTCCTTGGAACTGACCAATTGAGAGTTGGTGGTACATTATTTAACCCCACCGTGACCCTCCTCCTGGGGTAACAGACCATAACATTCCTCACGCATAATGGACCCCAGTCCTGCAGCCTCCTCCTCTCACTCACACATGATGCCATCCAGAGAGGTCATGGGTAGGAAAGAATATGGCTTTCTGTGATGCCTTGTACCCAAGAAACTCAACTTTAGCACACATTCTCTCAGTGATTTGTACAACCATCCTGTGAGATACAGTAGGGGGAGAGGTCTGGGTTGAATTCTGCATTTGATGGATGGCAAAACTGAACAAGCAAGTGATGAGCTGGAGATCAGCTGGCAAGGCAGGACCTGTGCATGGAATGCACGCTAACCCTGCTCACTAGACTTCACGGCTAGCAGGACTGGGCTCCACACAAGAGCAGGCAGACATCTATTCCACTGCCATACCAGCAAACAGACATTCATGAAACTCATCTAAGCACGGTGATAGGGATGGGGTGGGGGTGGGGAGGTAGTCTGCCTCTCTTTACCATCCTGCTCACTGTGTTATTTGTTCTTTTTCCCTCAACTGTTCCAGCTTGTATGGGCCATCAGTCTTCTCAGCATTTGGGGTAACAGATTCCAGAATAGAGAACACATGGCCTATCAGGCAAAGAGACTCAAGCACTCTCTCCCAAGCATTGAATTTCTGAACAAGTCCTCTAGAAGTCAGCTTTTCCATCAGCCTACTTTGCTCAAGGCAATAATGGCTCCATAAGACCAAAACTAAAACAACTTTAAGACAATAGAAATAGTCTATAGAATATACATCCTGTCTCATATATCTACCCTCCAACATGCTAGCCACAGAATAACCCTAGGTTCTCAAAATAAATGCACAACACATACGAACACATATATATGAACACACACACACATACACACATGCTGATCTTTGACTTAAGTTAACATGTTTTGTTCAGGTCCTGCCAGATGCATCTGTCATGGCTCAGGATTCATCTTTGTGCCTTCCACAGAAGGTAAGGCATAGGGTGAGCTCTTCAGGATAGATAAAAAATAAATTTCCAGCAGGACCTTTCACAACACCACCTTTCAAATACCTCATGCTTTACGCTTTGCTAAGTGTTTTCACATCTACTACATCACTTGATCCTTACGGAATCAACTGGGCCTCACTATTACCATTCATTCATTCATTCATTCATTTTTATTTTTTGGGACGGAATCTCTCTCTGTTGCCCAGGTTGGAGTGCAGTGGCGCAGTCTTGGCTCACTGCAACCTCCACCTCCTGGGTTCAAGCGATTCTGGTGTCTCGGCCTCCCAAGTAGCTGGGACTACAGGCGCACGCCACCATGCCCAGCTAATTTTTGTATTTTTAGTAGAGATGGGGGTTTTTCCATGTTGGCCAGGGTGGTCTCAAACTCCTGACCTCAAGTGATCTGCCCACCTCAGCCTCCCAAAGTGCTAGGATTACAGGTGTGAGCAACTGCACCTGGCCATTTACCTATATTTTAAAGATGAGGAAACTGAGGCTCAGAAAGGTGACCTAGTCCTTCAGCCAATAACACAAGTAATACATTATGAAGCTGGGTCTTCTAACTTTGTGTGCTCTTACAATTATCAAACTGTACTACCAATGTCTACTCATTATCTATACTGAACTCCATCTATGATATCATAAGCCAGTTGGCTCCTATTCTTAAAGAACCCTACAGGAGATGTACACAGCCACCTTTAATCATAGGTGCCCCTGATGCTGAGGACATTCATTTTTATGTTGAACTTGCTTTCTTCCAATTGTACTAAAAGTCAATTTCTCCTTGTTTTGGCCTCAGTGAAGAAAAAGAAAAGCTGGTCACTGGCTTACTAAAGTAAATTTTTATAGAGAAGTCTCCCCTCTCCTGGAAAAGATGGGTCCCAAGTGGGCATTGTTAGAACTCAGTAAGCACATACAGCCCCAACCCAGAGCACCATTAAGACCTGTAGTTTAAAGCTATATCCATAGCTTTTTATCAAGGGTCAAAGAGTATCTCAGTATCAATTACCAACCTTCTGCTCAGGACACTATCTGTGGTGCTCTTTGAGGTCTCCCAGGCCCAGATCTGGCTGATTCCACTGTCTATACTTTTTTACTTTGCAGTCTTCTTTTCAGGAACTCCATGCCTGGCTTTTCCCAGAAGCAGATCGCTGACTTTTGTCCCCCATTTAGTCCAGCTGATATACCTGGGCCCTCAGGTCACAAGGCTCAGCTATACCCTGGACAAAGCCAATCTAGGACCTAGTGGTCACAAAAACAACTAACCAACTTGCAAGCCTGTTGTCAGGGCCTACTTAGAATCAATGACTGTCAGAATTGGACAGAATTTTAAAGATCATCACCTTCATGCCCTCATTTTATAGATGAGGTTTAACAAAAGTAACTTGCCTACAGTCATCAAATGGTCAGCCTTCTGGACTAGTGTTTTTTCTAACATAACACCACAGAGAGGGAATACAGGTAGAAAAAATAATCTGAATTTAAGACCTTGTTATACTACTAGCTAAAGGTGTAATGATAATTATGATGATGTTAGCTAATAAAGAGCGCTATTATGTCAGGCACTATTCTAAACACGTTATATACATTAATTCATTCAAGCCTCACAGCAGCCCTTTAAGGAAAAACTATTACTATTCATATCTTACAGATGAGGTAGCTGAAGCTCAAAGAAGTTAAATAATTTGCAGTTCACACAGCCAATAACTACTGAAGCCATTATTCCAGTAGAGGCACAGTCTGGCTCTAGAGACTCTGCTCTTAACTTATAAACTATTCTGCCTCTGGGTCCCAGTTTCTTCACCTATAAAATGGGGATAATTCTACTCTACCATCTGCTTTGTAGGGTATAAAACACTGAACTGAGAGCTGACAGGTATGTGCATGGAGGTGAGAGGAACGCTAATCCAGAAGGCGTTAACAGCTGTGTGGGGCTTCTGTGTTCTCTCCTCACAAACACAAGCCGGAGCAAAGGGATGTTCCTCCCTCATCTTCTGAGTTGTTTTGAAAATGTAAACTAAACTTAACCTGGAAATTGGTTCCAAATCTTCCATTTGTGTACAGAATTAACTTTTAACTTGCTACAATTTTTGTTAAAATGCACTTTGCTCTGCTCATCCATCTTCCATCCAACATTCATTCATTGAGCTCCTACTGTGTGCAGGGATCTGCTCACTGTGACTCAGCTGCAGTCCTTACCTGAAGAACAAAGGGTTTCCAGGTACCAACAATGCATATCTTTCCAGCAGGACGCAAAGGTGGTTTTATGGGCACGCATACCTACCTTCGATTCTGGGCTTTACTACTTTAGAAAGTAGCAATGACAATAGGAGGTGAGGAATAGAAGAGGAGTCAGAAACACAAACTTAAATGTAATTGTCAGCATGTAATTATGACATCTAGGAGTATAATTTCACAAAAGCCAAAGAGTTTCTAACTATACAACCTTGGGTCTCAGTTTTTTCATCTGCAAAATGGGGGTAATAATGTTTGCCTCACAGGCAGGGTTATAGAGAGGGTGAACTCAGATGGTGGATATACAGTGCCTGGCATGTGCTGGCCTAGTACAAGACTTCAGAGAAAGGAGGTTGATTACACATGGGTATTGGGCTATAGAAAGGTTTTGTGTGGCAATGAAGATAGCCCTTAAAGGATGGGTAGGATGGTACCAGATACAGGAGGAAAGGGAGGGGCATTTGAAGCAGAGAAATGAGATTAAGCCAAGTCTCAGAGAAGAAGACTGGGAAATGTGATGGTGAACAAGTAGTGGAGTTTGGAGAGGTTAGGGTTGGGAAAGGGGAGTGGAGGGAGTGATGGCTAAAAAGGTGAGTGAAGTCATGTTTGAAGGACCTTGAATCTAGTCTGAGGAAAAGAAAAAGGTCAAAGTTAATTTTTGGGTGCAAACGTCAATTAAAGCATAGGACAAATTAGGAGGAAATATTGGCTTGGCTTTGCAAAAGAAGTGATGACAAATTTTCTCTTTAAGGTGTTAAATATGGGGGGCCAGCAGGACATGCAGGTGGGTGGGAAGCTCAAGAGAGATTAGGGTATATATACAGGGTTGGGAATCAATGGCCCAGAAGAAATTGTGAAAATCAGAGTTTGCCCTGGAAAAAAGTGCTAAGGCCAGAAGCCTTGGGAAATCAAGATTTATGCTTAAAGATGGAATGTGAGGTAAGGAACAGAAAAAGAGCTACATAAATAAAACTAAAAGAAGCTGTTAGCACATCATTAGGATACAAAGGAGCATGATCTCTCAAAAGTCAAAGACAAGAGTTTCAAGCAGCAAGAGCTCATCAACATTATCAAATGGTACAGAGCTATAAAAAAGAAAACCAAGAAAAGGCCATTTGGGAGTAGCTATAGCAGAGATTATATTCTCTATTCCCAAACTGGTTTATATTCCCTCCCTGCCAAAATCCAACTGTTACCATCCTTCATCTTGCAAGCCTATCATAAAGCCAGAAGATGGAGCAGCATCATTCTAGCAAGGTACTCAAAGAGCTCTGAGCCTTAGGACAGCACTACTGTGGCTTCTAACAAAATAATTCCCAATCCCCAGGACATTTCAGAGGAAGCACTAAATATAGGGAAGCTCTTGCTCAGACTTACAAGTGAGTGGGACACATAGTGTTTCCCACTCCCACATCAACAAAACTTTTGGACATGAATAAGAGGATGGGGAGGGTTAAGAGTCCTGCATTATGCTTAAAGACAGAATAGGATATTATTTCTTTGTATCCAGATTTCCGAAGACAATCCTAATATCAAATATTCTATCTAATTGCTCCCCAAAGTAGATATATCTGTTTATCAGCTGTCATGTGCCTTGATTTTTAACCTAGAAATATGATTGCTATACCCTGGAGGCACTGGGAGTCTGAGATCTAAGGCTGGTCTCTGTGACCAAAAAAGGCATGTGTGTTTGCAGTGAGCTTGGGGTGGCCAGTGGACCCTTTCAGTGGGAACAGAAGAAGAAATGGGAAAGACAGAAGGAAAGTAAAAGAGTTATAAAGGGAAGGACGAAGCAAGAGAAGCTTATACTTGTAGAAAACATATGCTGCAAACTGGATAAAGGGCTTTCTTTTGTGATTTCAACCTCTATAATTCTCCAATGTAAGCATTAACATCTCCATTTTTACTGAAGATGACTTGTGAGATAAAACAAGTAACCCACAGTTACCCAGTTAGTAGGTGGTGGAGCAGATTTAAATCTCCAGTTGGCCTTACTCTACAGCTTTGCTATTTGCCAGTCCCCCATGGAACCAGTCAAATGGCAGGGAGGGGGACCAGCTCACCCTGTGAATGACCTACAGCAGTGATTCTCAGTTCCTCAGAGGTCTTGTTAAAACACAGGTTGCTGGGCCACATAGGCCTTGAGTATTGATTAGGTAGGTCTGAAGTGCAGCTTGAGAACCTGCATTTCAAATAGATCCCCAGGTGATACTGATGCTGCTGGTCTGGGAATCACATCTGGAGAACCACTGCCCTAATGGACTGTCCTAGTGTAGGCCCTACCCTTGCCTCTTCTGATGCCTCATTCTTCACAGATTTCCCCATGCCACACCATATGTTGTGCTCCCTGCCTCCAGCACTCCCTTCCTATCTACAAGGCCTTCCTCAGTTGTTGGTAAATGTCTGCAAAAGGGTATTTGGGGTCATGTAAGCAGCATGCCCAATGTCAGGCTGTGTTAACACAGGAAAAAACTTGGGATTATGGCTGTCACCCAGTCTTTTAGAGCCATGCCACTTATCTACAACTTCTTGTTCTTCCCCTCTAGTTCAACAGCACCACCCCCAAAATAGACATTTAATTAGCCTTGGTGGCTGTCAGAAATATTAGTGTTTTAATAAGAAGCAGCAGAAGGGAGAATGGGTTAAAAAATGTGAACCTCACATGTATGGAATAGCAAATATGCCAATTGCCATGAAGGTAGATGAGCTGGACCTGCCTTCCAAGAAGCTCCGTAGGAGGAAAAGGAGGGACATGACAGGGGTTTGCCTATGAGGTTTTCTCAGGTTGGTGTCTGCCCGTATCCTCTCAGAAGGCCCCCTTCTCCTGAACAGCTAAACTTGGGCAAGAGCAAATTATTTTCCCTTGCTCCCTTAAGCATATCTAAAACAAGCTGAGATTTTATGCTCTCTCCTGAAAAAGCTAGATTCCTTTTAATACAGCCTTGAAAACGCTCTGGCTATCTTGCCCAAAGTGTTGAAGGATAATCATCCTCCCTATTTTTGGGAAGGTGTGAACCAGGCTGCCCCAACAATAGCTATGAGGTACCATGGTGTACAGTAAAGACTCAGATTGGCTATTGGAAGAAAATCTGCCAGTAACTCACCAAATGATCTTGGACAGGTCCCTTTCCCTGTCTCAGTTTTTTTTTTTTTTTTTTTTTTTTTTAGATAGAGTCTTGCTCTGTTGCCCAGGCTGGAGCGCAGTGGT
Source organism: Homo sapiens (assembly GCF_000001405.40). Classification (NCBI taxonomy): domain Eukaryota; kingdom Metazoa; phylum Chordata; class Mammalia; order Primates; family Hominidae; genus Homo; species Homo sapiens. Next base: position 63,731,621 of record NC_000023.11, read on the forward strand.
GCAATCTCGGTTCACTGCAACCTCCACCTCCCGGGTTCAAGTGATTCTCCTGCCTCAGCCTCTAAAGCAGCTGGGATTACAGGCATCTTCCACCACACCTGGCTAATTTTTTGTATTTTTCGTAGAGACAGGGTTTCACCATGTTGGCCAGGCTGGTCTTGAACTCCTGACCTCAGGTGATCCGCCTGCCTTGGCCTCCCAAAGTGCTGGGACTACAGGCGTGAGCCACCGCACCCAGCCCGTCTCAGTTTTTTTACATGTCAAGTGACAGACTGGAACCATACAGATGACCTCTCAAGTCCCTTCCAGCTCTGGTATTCTACTGAGGCTAACACTTACTCTGCAAAGGACGGGGATGTCATTATTGCAGCTTAATTCTCCTCACCCTTCTTTGTGCTTGATAGGATGCTTTTACTGCTTTCTGCTCAAAAAAATGAGAACTTTTTCCTGAAGATAACTCACTCAAGCATTGCTGGCAACACAGTCAGACTACCTGGGAAAATTGAGAAGTGGGCTTCCCACTTAAACCCTTGACTGCCGCATTCAAAAGTCAATAGGGACCTTTGCTTTTTGTTCTCTCCACTTAGTTCTTCAGATGAATCATCCTTCTCATGACATCAGTTCTCGCTCACCTCCAGTCCCATATTTCCTACTGCCTGCTCCACATTTCACTGGATGGCCTGCTACCACCTCCAATAAAATGCAAAATTCATCATATTCCCCCATTCTCCCTCCTTCTCAATTTTTCCCATTTAAGGAAAATCTTCTGGCCCTGCTATTTCTTTCTTCTTCATGTCTCTCCCTCTCAGATACAACGCATTCTCTTCATTCCCACTGTCTTATCCTGGTCCTCATCAGCTCAAACTGTCTCCCAACCGGCTTCCTTGGCCCTTACAGGTCTGTCCCTTCCTCAAGCTATGCCTTAATGATGCGAATCTTAAAGCATTTTTGCTAGTATCACTCCTCAAGCTCAAGAAGCTTCAGTAACTCCCCACTATCTCAAAGCTCTCCTTAATCTAGCCTCATCTCTGGATCCAACCTTTACCTCTAACAAGGCAGGGGCTTTCCACCACTCTTGTCAAAATGAGTCTCTTGCATCCTTCTCATGACATCAGCTGTCACTCACCTCCAGTCCCACATTTCCTACTGCCTGCTCAACATTTCACTGGATGGCCTGCTACTGCCTCCAATAAAATAATGATCAATCCTACTTCTGTGCCTCTGATTTGGCCATATCCTTAGCCAATGGTTACACGTAGCGACACTGGGGCCAGGCTGCTTCTTCCTAGCTGTGTGATTGTGGCCGACCTACTCCGTAATCCCTTCTCTGATGACTCCAGGCTGCATCCTCTCTCTCTCTCTGCCTCTTTCAGTAACCTTATCTACCTAGGATAAGCAGAAAACAAAAATTTGGAAGAGCTATTCAAGTTGCTGACCAGAGTGTTATTCTTCAAATAACCAGAGTATATACTTCTGAATGATAGGTCTAAAACATAAGCTTAATCCATAATGAACAATGTGTATACTCCACTTAAAGTTCTGACTTGAGTTCTAAAAGCAAGCAAACTCTGAGGCAGAACACAGCAATAGAGTAAGCATCTCTGTCAGGTGGCAGAACAATTTATGGGGCCAAGGAAATTGTTTACATAATATGTACCCAGCTGCCCTATATGCCAGTCCATTGTTGCCAGGATTTATTGCTAGGTGGCTTCTATGGCAGGCCAGTTTTTGCTAAAGATCTGCACTGGTGCCCAGTGATCACCAGGGAAAGAGGCAGAGATAGATGCTAGGTAAGAAAAATCCCACTGTGAATATCAAAAACATCCCAAGAGTTGCTTTTTCTTTTCCTCAGGTTTTAACATTTTGCACTTGATTGTTTCCAGTTTCAATGTGGGTGTTGCTATTGCCCACAAGTAAATAATTTCATTTCTTGGCAGAATAATTAATGCACTCAAGTGATAATGACTCTAAATATGCTGAATGGAAGTATGTACATATATTTTTTCATGACACAAAATCATCTTTTTCCTAATTTGGGTGTGTGATTTGTGAGTCATTACACATCAGTTTCCTTCAATATCCCATTATACTATCCAGTTTTCACTTTAATAAAATGAAAGATCTACTGTTCAGCCACACCTGGCAGACACAAAAGGTAGGCCTAGATGGGGTCAGCCTTGAGCAAGACAGACCACCTGATCTAGAGCCCAATATGAACAGTGGTCATAAGCCGATTCACACTTTCCAGGACCTTTTAGGACATTTTAGCTTGGAAAACCCAGAGAAGCCCCTTAGGGCATGATGCCATCCAGAATATTTTCTCACTGAGGCTAATAACAAAGAACAGCTTCTTCCTGCACTTCTTCCAAAGGAAGTTAAAAGGTGATCTCTGCTCTAATGGTGACCCAACAGATGAGAAAAGGGTTGTTGCTTGCTTGTCTGGACCTTAGCAATAGATGGTAAGAAACCCAAGCCAGTAGCTCAGCCAAATGGGCCCAGGAGTTTCTGAAGTGAGACCCAGCTGCTGCCTCAAAGTTCACAATGTTAAGAACTTGGTCTTGTTTAGAGAATGATCCCCTTTAAAGAAAATGCAGCCAAATGGGCCAAGGATTGCACAGATCAGAGAGAAGACATGTTTCTGAATGGCCAACCTAGATGATGTTGGCTAGAGAAGGTCCTATATACTACAACAGCTCCCAATCTGATAAACATTAGCTTGTATCTACAAAATATCTTGGAAACAGGAGTAATTGTCAAGTTATTCTGGGATATTTTGGCACTTCTGACGCATTACAACACTGTTTCTTAATGTGAGGTCCACAGACCCCTGCTCAGAACCACCGTACCATATTTATTAATAACAAGCAACCAGAGTGATTCTGAATCACGTGCCACACTGAAACCAACTGTCTTAATCTTTCTGGGACCAGAGAGTTTATATTGCAGGAATTTCCTCTTACTGCACTGGGCCACTCAAAAGAAACCAGAATCTCTGGAACTCCAACTCTAGGCTTATCCTTCTTGTGTCAGATTCCAGAAAGGCTGAGGAATTACGGTGGCCTGTCGGAGAGGATTTCTCCCAGCCTGCCTTGAGAGACTATTTGCTTCTGCTCTGTTCCACCCTCATTCCCGTCCCAACCTTCAGGCACTGAAGCTACCACTAGTTCTAACAGCAAGTCCTAGCAGCATCTCTCTATGCTATAATCTGGAAGAAATTTCCTAGAGCTGTATTAAATCTCCCCAAGGCAACCTCCAATATTCTAAGAGACAGATGGTTAGTAAAAATAATAATAATGGACTCAGCAATGCCCTCTCCATGAGTTCCTGAGTCAGAACATGCCATCTCAAGCTTGAGGTTACCCTGACCTTCACCCATCTGTTGAGCCAGCGTGGGTCTTATACCCAAAATGTCCCTGCCCTGGGAGCCATGCTCGTCTTCTTGGACTTGGTGTGAATGCCGAGCTCCAGCTACCCACTGGAGACTTTTGTTGCCTTACTACCCTGAGATATGGGAGCTGACCAGGACAAACCTAGGGAATATGCAGGGATGCTCTAAGAGCCACAGATCCCTTAGGCGACCTAAACTCATCTTAAGGTCTGCATCTGGGTTCCTGAATTTCTTCATGTAGTCGCCTTAGGACCAGTCCTGGGAGCTTTAACTTTTCCTGGACTACGACTTGAAGCCAGGCCTTGGAGTTTTCTGGGCAGGGGTGGGGTTCCTTTGTTTCCAGAAGGTAGGAGGAGGGGGCTAGAACTACAAGAAGAATCTGTCCTCCATGACTCCCACATGCATGGTTCTATACTCAACACCACAGGCAGAGGGTGGGTGGGCAAGGCAGAGAGAAAAAGGGAAATTCATTTTTTATCCATTTGTCAGATGTCGTGTTAAAATCTTGTAGAGAAAGGAGAGCTGAAGGTAGCGGGAGGAGCAGGGGAGGAGATAGGTTGGAACTAAGGGTCCTAACGTCGTTAAATGTGACCATCTGGTTTACAGTGACAAGAACAGAAACAACATTTAGTTAGGAGCACTGTGACCTGCTCCTATATCTAGAGATGAAGCAGGAAAAATGAATATATTTCAATTAACTGAAACCACCTTTACGTCTACTGAGCATGCCCAGCAAGGACACAGGCTTGCAAAAACTCTAGACCTTGGCATACGTTTCCAAAGAGAATGTAAGTATCTCCCAGGGAGTTTTTACAGCCCAGAGAGGACATCTGCATTTAAACAGCCCATCAAAAAGTGGAAGATAGTTTCCAGTGGTGCAATGATTTCCCTCTACCTATTGGCTCACTGTGAGAGAAAAGACATCCAGCCAAGGCCAAGGCACCTAGCAATGCCTCTAGTCCATGTCAGAAGCCTTTTATGCTCAGGAATGGACTATGTTCTCCTAAAAAAGTCTAGCCCAGTCCTGGATGAGGAAGTGGCAGAGGGATTCAGTGAGCAGCCATTGGGTCAGGCCCCAAGGGACTCAAACTGGCTGAGCTGGCTTCCCCTCAGACCTTGAAACCAAAGACTTAGCCAGAGGGATACAACGACTAAACCTAGGCTGCCAGAGAGGACAAAATAGAAGCAAAATCAGACACACCCTCAAAGCTCAGAAGGGATGGCACCAGGTCTGTGTCTACAGGAAAAGTGGTTGTGCTTGTAACAAAACAATGTCAAGTAGGTTCGCTAAACTTATGTAAGGAAGCATCTACCAGTCTGGGCTAGGTGAAAGTGGTGGGGGTAGAGAAGGGAAGGAAACCAAGGCAGCTGATAGAGGGATAAAGCATCTAGTAAGGTGTCAGGGCTTGAACTCCTTTTAACTGTCTCAGCTCAAGAGCCCCAAAGGCAGTGGATTCTTATACTCAGAGGTGGTCAGGATTGGAGATTTCCAAGTAACTAGTTAGCACACCTAGCTCAGTCCTCCCTTTCTTACAGGTAAGAAAAATGAGGCTCCAATGAGAAAAGCTTCCTAAGGCATCAAGTTAGTTAGCAGCAGAGCTGCCAAGATTAGAAACCAAGCCTATAGTCTTAGAAGAATGGTAGCCAATAGTTTTTGGATCATGTACCTCTAATGTTAAAAACAAAAATACAAACATTTAGCTATTCTTGTCACAAAAAAGTAATTCTGTGAAATGACAGATATGCTTCACTACAGTAACCATTTTACTATCTATCTATATTACAATATCATGTTGTAAACCTCAAATATACACAATAAAATTTATTTTACAAAAAACAAAACAAGAAACACCTATCCCAATATTTAAATATTAATGTAGTATGTGTTTTATAAAAAAAAACTCCACAAAATAGAAATTAAATAACAATGAGATTAACAATTTAATATATAAAGAACTAATATTTTCTCCCTAAGTCTCACCTTGGAGGTTACCGCTTTCAACATTTTCTGGTGCTCTTCTCTCCCACTGCTCTATAGACATCATCCCTTCAGTACTAAAACCAGAACCTGACTTTCCCTCCCTGCTCAGGGTCCCAAACAGGTCTGACCCTGAAGATTAAAAGATAAGAACACTTCAGTATGAAGGATTAGTAAAGATACTTCCAGAATCTCCCCCACGACCAGATGATTTTTGCTAAGGAATCTCAAATTCAAATTCACACTAAAATGCAAATGTCAGTAATAAAAACTGGGATGGGAAGAATGAGCTCTAGGTGTAGCTTGATTCTGGACTTGCTGTATGAACTTGGGCAGATCCAGCGCCTCTCTGAGCCAGCTGTATTAAATTATTTCAAATGGAAAGTTGAGGTCATCTTTGACATATGCTGCTGCTTTGCTTCTAAAAGCAGGTTTTGACAGGGGTGGGGTGGCCCCCCAAAAAAAATGAAACAAGGAAGTCAGGAGAGGGATGGGGTGGAATAAAAAAGGTCAGAAGACAAAACCTGAGTATTTCAAAATTTTGCCATGGGCTATCTCCCACTCAAAATACAACACCAGTACAGGGATGGCTTTTGGGTTCCACTGGCAGAAGGAAAAACACTGCCTTTTCCACCCAGTTCAGACCACTGGGTTCAAGCCACCCAAAGTAGTGTCTATGAAAATATTAAGTTGCACTTCTTCCATCTGCTCAGAACATCACAATTGCTAAGTTGCCTTCATATTCATGAGCTCACTGGACCCACCCAGAAATCCTGGGGATAAGCAGAGTGGGGATGAGTTGTTCCATTTTAAAGGTAAGGAAACTAATTTGTGAACAAAGGAAGTTACCCAGCTATCCCAGGAGCACAGAGGCCAGGAGAAAACCTAGATCTACTGGCGCTGGTCCAGTGGGGTTTTTTTCCTAATAATAAAAAATGGCTAACATTTATTGAATGTTTACTATGTGTCAGAGACAAATCTAAGTTTTTACATATAATAACTCATTTGATCCCTAGTTTAAAGATAAGGAAACCAAAGTTCAGAAAAACAATGAAGTAACTGTTGAAGTTCATAGAGCCAGAATCCAAACCTGAACCCAGACAGTTTCCCTCTAGAATCAGTGCTCTTAACCTCTACTTTCCACAGCACATCTTCACATCCCCAAAAGGTGAAATTCAATGAAGTATCAAAGAATCTCCAAAGCATAGCAAGGTACAGAACAATATGTGTTGTATATTACCATAAAAAAGAGAAAGAGGAATATATTCATATTTGTTTATACATCCACATAACATTTTTCTGGAAGGACTCATTGGTGGCCTCTGCAGAGGGCAGGGAGTGGAAGGGAGACTTTTCACTGTGCACTCTCTTGGACCTTTTGAATTTTGAAACATGTGAATATATTTCCTATCCAAAAATAAAATTTTAAAAATAAGGTATCTATGGTCAAAAGAGATTAGGAAACTGCATGGCTACTTCTTGGCAGGGCTGTGCCAGCTAACCTTTTCCTATTCACTTCTCTGGGCTCTCAAATTTGAAGAAAAGAAAGTTCCTCTCCCCATTTTTCCTGAAGCACCGCATTCCCCCCACCCCACTTCCCTGCCCCACTGCTTATCCAATCCCACAGAAGACATCCCTCAAAATGAATACTGTAGTCATTTTGGAGGTTTGAGCAGCAAAAGTGAAGATAACAACAGATTGGATTAGGCTCCCACAGCCAATCAGTGGAAGATAGGAAAATAATGCATCAGCAGCAATACAAATGAAGAGAGACACAAAAGCCCTTTTCCTCCAATGCCTGCCCCTCAAGGCCTGAGCTCATCAGATTCCTCCATCTCTTTCCTCTCACCACTCCACTCAATGTGTCACCCCTTCCCTCTTCTGGGCTCAGAATAGCAAAAACAAGCAAGCTAGAAAGACTCCAGGAAATCTGACTGAACACGAGAATCTGTGGTGTACAAAGGAAAACCACACTAAGGGAGAAAAGGTAAGCCCAGCTGGGTTTTAATGTCCTCATTGAGGCCAGGTGAAATTCAGCCCAAATGGTCTCCAGAGACACTCCCAGTTTTGGTTCTTGGATTATTTCCATAATCTTATCCCTCAACTATTAGCACAATCCTCCAGAGATCAAGGCCCTCAAATATATTTCCTTAGATCCCTTTCAGCCAACCCCTTAGGCAGGTCAGGGGTACCCAAAAAACTGTGAGGAGGTGCGGGTGACCAAGGTGGATTTTGTGCCTCCAAGAATCCTCCTATTGTCTTGAAGTGGCTTAAACCGGCAGAAGGATTGCTTCTCACAACAGCCTAACATCTCCAATTCTTCACTGCTTCCAACATGCAGGAGACAGCAGGACATGAGCTGCTGTAGGAGGGATGAAGGGACAATCAGCGTGTCTCTCTTGGGCAAGCAGGGAGAGTGCTGGGTAAAGCTGTGCCCCAGAGAACCCCCTGTACTGCTTGTCAGAGAAAAATCTAACTCTTTATATATATTTACTTAAGTAACCTCTGGCAGATTCCTTTAGCACTGGAATTCATTGGTGGCAGCCCAGGGCCAGAGTACATTGGGTTGGGAATCTGAAAGCATGGCTTCTAGTCCTGAATCTACCACCACCTAATCCTGCCACCTCAGACTTGTTTCTCTTTTCTCTGAGCCTCAGTATCCCCATTTGTAAAATGGATATAATAATGCCTTAAAAGAACGGTATGGGAAAGGGGTAGAGAAATAAAGTGAAGTTTCTCAATTACCTCCAAACTATGTGTAATTACAACCTGGATGAAATCTTAACAATCCAAACAGCAGGAACACATGTTCAACATTTTACAAGACACTTTTCACATCCTATGTCACAATGAAGTCTTGCACTTAAAACTCTTATGAGAGACTACAGTTAAGCCCATTCCACAGACCAGAAAACTGAGGGTCAGGAGAACTTTGCCCACAATGTCTGCAGCAGGGGGAAACTTGAACTACATAGTCTAGTTTCTGACCTTCTCCCTCTCAGCAAACCAGATAAAATGGCCATGAGCACAAACACAAAGAGGATTCTCTTAGAGCCAGAGCTGGCACTCTAGGCTGCCTCCTCTGGCAGGTGGCAGGTACAGGTGACCTGGTCTTGCATTTCCTAGTTTAGGAAGAAATCCCTGCTCCTGATGCCTCCCCTTCTCTCATTACCTAGGAGATTCCTGAGGAGCCAAAGCTACATGACCACCTAAATGCTGCAAATCTGTTTTCTTTCCCAGAATGACTGACCTGGCATTGAAAAGCATCTGTATATGTGGGGGTAATCTCAGCATGACTTTGACCAACCTGACTCCATGAGGGTGTCTTCTCTTGGCTCCTTTTTTTTGGCCTTTGCTGTCTACAGCTACTCCAATAGGAGTCAGGTCCAATTGTTGGCAGGAATTGAATCCAGCTTAGGGACAATGATGATGCAGCTTTATGCATGGAGAAAAGTGTATCTTCAAAACATTTTCTCAACTCTTAGCCTAGCTGAGCCTTTCCATCATCTAAGGGCAATACTGGATGTTTTATAAATAAAGCAAGTAAGACTCAGACAGCAGAGGGGAACGTGACTGAGACACACTGTAAGAGGCAGAGTAGCAACTGAAACTCATGTTTCTTGACCTCAAAGCCAAAGCTGAGAAATGGGCATGAGGCTGTTATAGTTAATAGTAACCCAACTGAGGCTCTGAGGATGCTGCTCCCAGGAAAGCCTGGTATTCCCCAGCTACGTGTCCCCCTGCTTCCCACCCTTCACTCAGACCCAATCTAGGGCCCTGTCTTTCCAGCTTCAGCCTTAGGTACCAAGGACCACAAAGGCTTCCCCAGGACACCATGACCTGGTTTCCAGCTTGAGGAACTCTAAAAATAGCAGGTATTCATTAGTGGGGCCAGATGACCCAAGCTGCTGTGCCTAGGGGCTAGGTTGTGGTCATTAAGGATGAGGCTGGTCTCAGACCACCACTAACCCAGGAGAGGATGGGCCACTGCCCAAAGGGATCTCCCGCTTATGCATCCTACCACTTCCCCTCACACCCTAACACCCACAATTTAGATATCTTTGCTCTAGTCCAGACTGTTATTTCATTCCCAAGAAAGATAAACTTTAATATCCAGTGACTTTAGGCCTTCTTTGACATTGCTTCATAACCATATCACTCCACAATGGTTTGTAAGTGAACTGGGGGATGAAGGAGCAGGCTCAAGCTTTCTGCATTGATCAATCCCAATTTGTGTTTTCCATTCTTCTGCATCTGCCTGTTAACTCACATCTGAGGGCTCTGCTCTGAACCCTGTTTACCTTACAGAGCCTGCTACAAAACATGCCATCTTGAACATCCATTTTATTACTGAGCATACTGCCCTCTCAAGTCTAATTTCAAGGTTAAAGGAGAGCCAGAGCAAACTTATGGAGGCCCACCAGCTGGGACCAGTTCCCTGTCATGCCCACTTAGGAAAAAGTGACAGCTGGCTGGCCCTAAGGGAAGGACGTGTTCTGCATCAAAATATGTCCCACATGGCTGTGTGGAGCATGTGGATATGTCCCATAGGTGTGTTCAAGTGTGACTCAACACTCAAGTGTGGAGTGTTGTTTGCCCAAGTAGTCTTTAGGAGTGTGTATCTCAGGTATAGGAGTGCATGTCCTGGGTAACAGTATATCTGAGAGTGCATCTCAGCATGCCCCATATGTATGTGGGTGCACAATTGTGCCTTATATGCATCCATGTGCATTCACACATGCAGATGCGTACAAGTATCCCTCATGTGTGTTCCTGTGTGTGTATCCTGCCTGTGCTGAGAATGTGCAAGTGTGAATATTCCTCCCATGTTTAACTGAATGTGTGTTCCAAGTGTGTTAATGTGAAAATATGTTCCAGCTGTGTGTCCCATGTGTGTCCCAAATACATCCCATGTGTCTGAGTATGTGTAAGTGTGCATCACATATGATCTATCATGTATGTGTATGTGAAGGTACGGGCATAGAGCATGGATAGACAGCAAAGCTGAACCAATTTTCTTCCCCATCAATTTGTTTCTAACAGCCTTCCTTCAAGTCTGGGTCAATCTGCTCTTAAGCAGGACAAAAGACCTGGGTTCAGATTTCATCTCTGTCACTTCCTGAATGTGGTAATCACAGGTGCTTTTCCCAAGAGGCTTAGCCACCCCTCATTCATCTAAAGAGCCTCACAAATGTAAGGTAAATTAGCCATTGGCTGACTAGAGAGAATAGGCAAAGATCACGGACAAATTCTGAGACTCTGGGCAAGTTCCTGCCTCTCCTTAGACCTCAGTTTCCCCAGAAGTACACTGAAGGAACGAGCTCAATGCTTGGGTTCCTCTCACTGTTACCCAGTCACTTCTCAGCTGAAGTACTATGGACAAACTCTGCTTGCTCCCCCCAACACCACAAAGAATCAGTGTGTAGATATGTGCACGTGGATTAGCACCTGCAGATGTCTCATCCCAGCTAGGCCCCCTCTAACCCTCAGCAAGCTATTGGTTGTCTCCCTATTCTTGTCATTCCACACTCATTTTCCCAGTGGCCTGAACCAACTGGAGTAAAAGGAATGGCATACAATCTCCACCAAAGCCCAGGCAAAATGACATGTAGTTTATCCAAATCATTCTTCCCCATCCTTTGGGATGACCATAGAAACTGGTAATGGTAAAGAGCCTGCTTTTAGGATCAAGGCCCAGTCTTTAAGAACATGGCCAGATAAACCCACAGAGAGAAAGCGTCCAAACTAAGTAGGTCACCAAAGACTACAGAATCTGGGGCCACTTTTCTTCATTTTGAAAGGCCTCTCATGTATCCCTGGACAATGTGATATCCAGATGAATTTATTGTAGATCCAGTAGATGCACCAAAATACCAATTAATGGTTCAATGCCAACCTATCCAATTATCCAGTAGCATATGCCTACTTCTTTCTTCTATCTTGATTAACTTTTGTAAAAATGCTTAGAGCCAGGTGTGGTGGCTCACTCCTGTAATCCCAGCATTTTGGGAGGCTGAGGTGGGTGGATCACTTGAGGTCAGGAATTCAAGACTAGCCTGGCCACCATGGCAAAACCCCGTCTCTACTAGAAATACAAAAATTAGCTGGGCATGGTGGCGTGCAGGAGAATTGCTTGAACCTGGGAGGCGGAGGTTGCAGTGAGCTGAGATTGTACCACTGCACTCCAGCCTGGGAGACAGAGCAAGACTCCATCTCAAAAAATAAACAAACAACAACAACAAAATACTTAGACAGAAGCAAACTACAGAGGGAATCTTAAATGGCTTGCCTAGAGACACTTGGTACTGGTGAGTTGATAATACCTAACGCTATATACTATGTTCTTCCTAGCTCACCACTGACTTTAAGATGCAGTACTGACCTGAGTCAATCAAAGCAATTCTCTGAGCTTCAATTTCCTTAGCCATAAAATTGGGAAAATAATCTTGGCTTTGGCCACCTAATAGTGTAATGGAGAAAAGAACATGTGTCAGGAGCAGAAGGCTATACAGTAGTCTTTATCTTCTTGTCCTGCCCCCAGATCAGTGAGATGTTTCCAAACAAAATAATGCGAGTATAAGTGAAGAGTGTTGATTTGTTCTACACAGCTCATTGGGCAAGAACCTGCAATTTCTAAAACAGTTTTTGATCATATCATGAAAACCCAGTAATCCATCACAAATCCTAGCCAAGGATCTAGGGGCCAAGAATTGTTTTTTAATTGCCATGTGCCTAAGTGGTTTATGGCTTGATGGACTTAAGAAGGTGCTAAATAAAAACACAATTAATTTTGGCTTTCTTCCAAGTTCCTCTTTTAACTTTGCAGGAGATGAGGAGAGACAAAGTTAGTCTGCTCTTCATAGCAGCGAGTGTGTGACTGCATGGGAAATGGAGCTTGGGATAAATAAAAGAAAGCTTATTTAAAAACAACAACAACAACAAAAATCAGAAAACAAAACAGCTTTCCACCAAGCACCCAAGACATGGGCCGGGTCACAGGGCCTTTCTTCTTCCAAGGGAGAGAAGTAAAAAGAGTCCTCCAAAAATGACAGACAGAAATGAGGGACAGAGACAATGGGATTTGTTCAAGGTCACACAGCAACTGACTTCACATTTGCACCTCCTTTTTACTCATGTGTACATCTTCCATTCAACCAAATCTTTATAGAGGGCTTACTGAGTGTCAGGCCTCCACTGGGGCAGTCACCCACAGTTCTGCCTGAACTGAAAAATAACAAACTCCTAGTTCTGTGACACTTTGCTTTCCATCACACCACACAGGTTTCCCAAACAACCCTTGAAAGACCACAGTGGCTTGCACATCTTGCAGGTCCAGGAATTCACATCCTTGCATGGCAATGTTCTAATTCCAGCACTACTACAGATGTACTACATTTCCTGGGGCAAGTCCTTTTCTTCTCTGGACCTAGTTCCCCAGCTTCCACAATGAGGAGATTAGAATCAGGACAGCTCCAGCACCTATTTTTCTAGAAAATATAGCTGTCTGCAGTGACTTTAAGTGGCACTGTAACTTCCAGAGCTGAAGCCCAGAAGGCCAGGCTAGAAGCAGCTATGTGACAATAAGTCTTTGAACATTCTTTTTCTCACCTGTGAAATGGAGATAATCTCTGCCCTACCCACTTCACAGGGCCACAGAGAAAATCAAGTGAGACGATGTACAAAATCCACTGAAAAGTGTAAGACTGTTCAAGAGGAGTAGTTAAGAATCAAGTGAGTACCCACTAGCCCCAGTTGCTTTCCTCTTAATCCAAGTAGAGTGTAAGTCTTCCCATGCAGTTCAGTCTAAATTTACAAGACATGAACTTCAGCTGGTTGCATGCTCCAAAGGAAATTAATAAATCCCTCAACTCCCTTTGGGTCCTAAGCACAAAGCAATCTCATCATTTTGCTTTTGTTCTAAGCCCTCCTGCCATGCAGGGCTTATCAGAGCCCCTCCTAGAGATGCCTAGCTCCTCCTCTGCCTCTATCCCAATGCCAAGGCACCTACTCCCCAGCCTTCTTGCCATCCTGCACAATTCACAGAGGGAGGAGGGAGAGAGTGGGTGGAGGAGAGGCTGTGGGAGGTTCAGCTAAAAGTAGCTACTGCCTTTAGGCACCACACTCTGAGGGGGTGGGGGGTGGGCTCTTAGTACATCCTTCCTGCAGCCAGCTGGGCACGGAGGTACATGGCTTTCCTTTCTCTAATGAAGGCAGGCAGGCGGAGAAATCAGCTGCCAAAGCCATTCCCAGAGCTGGCTATGGATGTGCAGTGCTGGCCTCCTCTGGGCCCTGAGGGTAGATGGCCACTCACAGGGCTGCATCTACTGCTCTGCCTCAGGAGAGCTAATGTGGCCTTCAGGAGACTCTGTGTTCCCCTCATCCCCATCCTACTCCCTGGAACTCCAAGGACTACTAACAGGCCTGCTCCCTCTCCAGGAGGTTATATAAAGCTCTTGTTCTCCCAGCCTCTCGTCAGCTTGCTTTCTCCAACCAAACCTGAAAGAGCATTCAGGTCTCTGATCCAGCCAAGGGAGCATAGAGCCAGAAACCTATAGGGGAGGTAGCAAGTTACAGCAGGCAAGAGCCCTATCTAAAGAATCAGAATTCCAGAACTATCACTGCAACCTTGGACCCATCCCTTTCCCCTCCTGTGCCTTAGTTTTCTCACTTGTAAAAAAAGGAATGGGGGCAGTGTGTTGTACTAGGCACTTTAATATCTGCCCCTAAGTGATTCTCTGTAAATCCTGGCCACTTAAATGAAATACCCACCCCCATCACACAACTCTATCCAAGGATGCTCTATCTCCCCAAGCACTATGGCTGGGCTTGGCAGAGCCATCTCCACTCTTCTAATTCCAGTTCCCCTAATGACCAAAATCTGCATACGCAAGATGGTTCCCTGGAACTTTAGACTCTGTCCTCCATACCTGTCCCATGCCCATTTCAACCAGACCATCTGTGCTTTTTCCTGTTTTATATAGAAGCTTCTGGCTAACATTCCATTTGAGAACATAGTTCTTCTACTGAAACCACTCTCATTTTAGTGACGTGGAAGCTGACGCCTAGGTGGGAAGGGCCTTGATCAAGATCTGGCAGCAAGGTAGGTACAGAGCCAGGGCTTAATCCTAGGGCTCCTAAGGCCTTTTCTTGTTTTTTCTCCTACTGCAAGTCTGCCTTCCCTATGCTATCCTTCTGCCATGCATGTACAACTTTCCTTCTTCTCTGCTACCAACACTCAACCTTGGTGCTCAAAGATCAATGGCCAATTCCCATCAGGGGCCTGGAACTAGCACATAAGAGTGATAAGGGCAAGAGAAAAACTGGCCTGAACACATCCCTCTCTAAACCTTTTTTCTTCCTCCACATTGCCCCTTTTGCTCCTTTCTTCAAAGCTTCCTCCTGAATACTGCTCTATGTCAGTAAAACCCCTTTAATTCTCAGAGTCATGACTGCATCCTGACCACAGAGTCCACTATGCAGGCTATACCAGAAGCACTGCAGGATGTGGTATCAAGACGCCTAGGTTCTAGGCCACTAGAACTACCACTACCACTAGTCACTACCACTACCTGTTTGACACTGAGTAAGCTGCTTAATCTTTATGAGCCTCACTTTCTTAACTACTTTTAGGTTTGAGGAAGAAGCCCATGAAATACATAGGAAACCTTATTTGTTGAAATTCTTATTAATAGAAGTAGTATTATTAACCAAGTGAATGGCTACTTAAAATACTGCAGGAAGGGGCTCTGAGCTGTCAAAGCAATCCATCTTTTTCAGACCTATGAGACTGGTATTATATCTATGAGAGGCAATTCTCAATTATCCATGACATATCTCTTTAATAAACAGAATCCCAAACTGGCATACCCTAGCTACTCAATTCACTGTACCACTTCCTTCCCTGTTTGGCAGCCAATGCGTGTTCATACAGTCTCCTTTCCTGCTTGGCGGCCAGTGTGTGCTCAAAGAATACAACCTAAGTTCACTTGTTCTAAAAGAAACCTAAGCCAAGTATAATTAAGAAGGCAAAACTGCTATCCTTAAAACCACTCTGTGTATTCTAAACCTGCTAAAATGGATCTCTGGATTACCTGCTAGATTTAAATAATATCTGTACTCGTGTTGATCATTAATATTAATCACAAAATAAGCACATATTGTTGGAGCTAGAAGAAATCTTTGAAGTCATCAAATCCACCTATCCTTATTTTGCTGATGAAGAAAACCAAATTTCAGAGGAGAGAAGTAATTTGCCTGAGGTCACTAGCAAATGAGCAGAATCTTCCCCATCATTACAGCAAATGTGTAGGAACTGACTTTTTTTTTATTCCTGAAGTGTTCAAACCATCTCACAGCTGATTATTTTAAATACAATTAGGTCTCCAGACTACTCATTCCCTAGGGTTGATTCCTCCTTTTTAGAGTGAGCACAAGCCCCTGGGACTTATCGAGGCTCCCACAGTCCTAGAATAAAATTTCACCATCTGTGAAGCTTGCCTAGTCACATGTGTGATAAGTCAGACAGGCTGAGCTAACATTTCCTATGAAGCATTCCATAGCAGTCATTCTCACCCCTGGCTGAACATTCCCATCACCTCAGGGAACTCTTAGAAAAATATTGATGCCAGGAAACCACTATGATCAACTCAATCAGATCTCTCCCAAAGATTCTAGGAATTGTTGTTACTCTTAATATTCCAGGTGATTCCGATGTGCAGCCAGTGCTGAGAACCACTGGGTTAATGGAAACAATTAAGCAAAACAACAAGAGAAACATACACAAAGAATTTCCGGAACTCTTTGAGCACAAAATATATTCTGTTTTAAAGCTAAATCCATTATGTCCTGCTTTTTCAAAGAGGAGAAAGTAATACACAGAAACTACAGTTGTAGTACTGACCCTCAGCCAAGTTCTGAACCCAGTTTAGAAACATTTGCATTGTAGGCACAGAAAGAAAACAAGAAGCTCTGGAGCCTGCAACCAGATTTACCATGAGTAAGAGGCCAAGTAACTTATACTGCTTTTTCTGATGGGGCTATCAGTTTGGCAGATGCTTGCTATGAACCTAGCATATCTTGATGCCCACAAAGCATACAACAAATCTATCGTGCTATGTTATTCACATTAACACCCTGGTAGGATAAATGCTGGCACAACCAGGTGCAGTCTGCACTGGTTGACCAGATACATACAAAAATTAACAAGTCCCAACTCCAAGAGGGGCTCTGGTGAGGTGACAGAAGAGCTAGCATTAATCATATCATAGTAAACATTTCTTTGAATCAACGACTCGAATGCCATTTATTTGGTGTTCAAATAATGCAACACTAGAAGAGGCTGCTAACCTGTTGTGTGACATGAAGAAAAAAAATAAAAACCTCCCAAAGGCTAGAACAATAGTCCAACCAAACAAATAGAATTTAACTGATGCAGTGCTAGAAGGGACTGCTAATTTGTAGCACAGCATGAAGAAAAAATTTTAAAATCCACAGAAAGCTAGAATAATGGACCAACATGTCAAGATAAAATGTAGCAAGTTTGGTTCAAAAAACCCTGAAGTGGCCAACTTCACAAGAGAGTAGAGGACTGGACTAGACAGTAAATGGTTTGGACCTACATGCTCAAAAGGCTAACTCTTAACCCTGGCTGCACATTTGAATCACCTTAGGGAACTTTAAATTAAAAAAATAAATAAATAAAGCTCCCTGGGATCTAGCCCATGAAAATTAAATCAGAATCTTTCAGATAGGGGACCTGGCATGGGTATTTAAAAAAAAGCTTCCCAAGTGATCTGAATGTTCAGTGAGGGTTGAGAATCAGTAGAAGGCTGCATTATTAGACATTTCACAGACAAAACAAAGTTCTTTTGCACTTGATCTCAGTCAGGTGGCACCTAGAGTAGCATGAACAGTTCTAGGCAGCAGATTTTTAAAGAAATATAGAAAAATAAGTGTGCTTCAAAGAGAAGAACAATTGTATTAAAACTACAGTTCCTTGAAAACATTCTGTATTTTAGGCTTCAGCAATTCACACTGGCCTCTCACCTTGAAGATCCCAAATAGTGAGTTTTCATAAAACTAAACAGAACTCTTTGATGCATATTCAAGACAAAAAGGCATTTTATAGAATGAAAATTCTGAGCAAAAGTGCTATACAAATGAAAGTTATTAAAAATGTGAGTAGCTGAGGAAGCTAGTATGACTTCAGGGATGACTCCCAAATCTCCTTTCTTTCTTTTGTTTCCTTTTCTTTCTTTTTTTTTGGGACGGACTCTCGCTCTGTCACCCAGGCTGGAGTGCAGTGGCATGATCTCGGCTCACTGCATCCTCCGCCTCCTGGGTTCAAGTGACTCTCCTGCCTCAGCCTCCCAAGTAGCTGGACTACAGGCGTGTGCCACCACGCCCGGCTAATTTTTGTATTTTTAGTAGAGACAGGGTTTCACCATGTTGGCCAGGCTGGTCTCGAAATCCTGACCTCAGGTGATCCACCGGCCTCAGCCTCCCAAAGTGCTGGGATTACAGGCGTGAGCCACCACGTCAGGCCCTCCCTCCCTACATTCAACATCACACTAGTTAGGAATGACCAACTCTGACTCTCCTCTCTATTTGAAAGGCAGACCCACTCCCATCCCAACAATCTTGCTGACCTTTACTTTCCTCATCTGTAACACTGGGAATTACAATCATCTCTACCCACTTCACAAGGCTGATGTGATGCTCAAGTTAGAAAGGATGTGAAATTCCTTCATAAACGCTATAGGCCCGTGCACTGATAAGGAGTTATTAGTATTGTCATTACTGGACTGCTTCCTGAGCCTTCTCTCCCCTCTATGTTCTTCCCCTTCTAGTTTTTCCTCTTTGTACTTTCGTGCTAGAGCAAAGTACAATAAACTAAATACTCTATGGAGCTAGATCCACCTAAGACAGAAGGAGACACTCTGAGCAGATACTGGAGAAGCTAAACCTTCATCAAGGATTCTTGGAAAGCCAGAGACTCAGTTGGCCTAGAACAAGTTGCAGAGCTGGAAATAAGAGCTAGAGAGTCCAAGATTCCCCTCCTCCATCCCATTTCTTGGGGCAAAGCCACTGGAGCAAGATCCAGATGCCTTGTAGGAGGTCTTCTGAGGAGGCAGTTATTTTGGGAGAAAAGGCTCAATTCTTATATCCCTGCCCAGAGCAAGCACTCTGCAGGTCAAGGGACCAGAAACTGAGATGGCAGACAAAGGCTAAAGAGGAAGACATGCTTTGTTACCATCCTTCAAACCACCAGACTGTGCCCTCTGGTTGCTCTCAATCTGGGCCTTACCTCAAGGGCAGAAGAGCACCTCACCTACAGCCTTTTTGGGATCTTTCAGCTCCCTAGTAGCTGAATCACACACACACCGGTGGGTGAGAGTCTCTGAGCCAGGGTCCAAGCCCTGTTTACCAGCTCCATTATCAAACTTGCTCTTTCAACTTGTCCAGCCTCCCCCGTCAGAAACTACTACACCAAAACCACAGAAAGAAAAATTCCCAAATTCTATAAAGCTAGGCTGATCAGGATTCCCCAAGCCACAGACAAAATTGGGGCACACTGCACAAGCACACTGCAGGTTCTGACAGATGGAGGCTGTCTCAATGGAAGAAGAATGCTGTTCAGTTTGTTCCCACCAAGATATCACTTCACCCCCTCCCTGATGCAGCCAAAAGTTAGGGTGAAAAAAATTGTTTTTTCAGGACCGGCAGAGCTTCTGGCACTAAAGCTAGGCAGTAAAATGGCACAGTTAATCTTAAGGAGATGGGACTGACTAGAAAGGAATTTGAAACCAGGAGTTTTCTAATAAATAATCTCATAGCTGGACGAGGCTAGGCTCTACATGTCTGCTGTGGACATGTTTCCGAGGCATTTGCAGGAAATTGGGATTCTGTTCTTTCTTTGTTCCCTCCCCAAAAGCATCTCTCCAAGTCCCACTAGGCTCTAGTCCCCTTTTTCTAGAGTTATTGGTGCCTGGGCCTTTAAAGGGTGGGCTCTGGAGCTCAGTGGGTGCTCAGTGATACAGGGGTTGCTAGGATACCAGTAGAGGGCATTTTCTTTAATTCTTTGATGGGGATCCAGGAGCGAAAATCCCTAAGCTGGGATTTTGCCCCTCCTACATGGCAAAAGCTTATCCTCTACTCAAAGGGGCCAGAGAGGAGGGAAGGGAATGGAGGAGCTTTATTGGGAAAAGTTGGGACAAATCAGAGAGGAAAAGTCCTCTTCTCTTTTTTACTTCTCACCCATTTACAGTGGGGAGGTGGGAGGAGGAGGTGGTGTCAGGGGTGGGAAGAAAGGAAGAAGGAGAAAGATTAAGAGAGAAGGCAGAGGAGGAAGGAAAAAAGAAGACAAGTCAAAATGCATAGGGTTCCGCTTCTCTGGGCTGCATTTCTCATTTTCTCCCACTCTTTTCTCTTTTTGCTAGAGAAAAATATCCTCACAAGTCTGAAGCAGAAATGCCAAACCTTTAGGATTCACACAAGTAAAAAGTCACACTGCTACCTTTTGTTCTCTACTCTCAAATTCCCTTCTGGTTGCTAGATGGTGGCCTGCCATCTGGCTAGCAACATCCCTTTATTTGCCTGGAGACAATTTTAAAAGCGCTAACCCATTTCAACAGCTAAATTACTAATGGAAGGGCTCATTCAAGACACCTCCTTAGCCTGAGGGGTTTTAGGTGGTGAAAAGAGGAATGGCATGGGTGATACCCATCCATCCCAGCATTTGTGAAATCCTTATAGGTCCTAGCACAAGGAGGCTATTCAGAACTGTGGAACTCAATACTGTCTTTCTTCATTCCTACCACCACACCCCGCATCCACACTCAGGAGTGTGCTCCCCCCCACACACCCCCATGAACATACTGCCACACACCCTACACACACACATACATTCCCAGAGGCTTTCTGCCAAAGGTCTGTCAGGCTCACAGAGGAGAAGGCATTTCGTGACACTATTTAAGTCATAAACCTAGATCAAAGACTAGTCTCAGAGACCCCTTCTCCCCTTGGGGGAAAAAAAGTCAAAAAGCATTCCCTTATTGCTGTCCCAGTTTCCTTCCCAAATAACTAGGCAAAAAAAACCCCTTCGCTTAAACTTGTTATCCAGGCTGTAGTACCAGATATCCTTCCCCTCCTCCCATCACCCTTTGATTAACATTTTCTTTTCCTTTTCACTTGTCTTTCCAGCTCATCCCCCCCACCCCCCACAACTTCAAGTGTCTAGGGGTCATAAAATCATAAAATGCAAGAACTTGGAAGTCACCTAGTGGAGCCATCAAAAAATGCCAATGTTACTGGGAATCCCAAACCCACCGAGGAGGAAAAAAATTGTCCAAGGTCAAACAGCTGCTGAATGGAAAAAACAAAAAACAAAACAAAACAAAACAAAAAAACAGGTCTGCAGCTGCCCAGCATAGAGCCATTCCCCACTCTCCAACACTGTATCAAAACAAAGTGCCCAGAAAAGATATAAGCTTACTTTAAATAATACAATGAAGCTAAGGGGGGAAAAAAACTCACTAAATTATCTTTGCAAAGAAATAGGTTCTCAGTTCCATCCAGGGGGTCTCCACAAACGGACCAAAGAGTAATTAATAAGAACCAATGCCAGCAAACCTCCCAGATCATGTTTACACCATGGTACTAATCTCACAAAAACCTCAGCTTCTCACCCACACCAAGTCAAGGATAGCATGCTTTGAGGCCCAAAACACCCTCTGACGCCATTAAATAATACTCTCTGGGTCCTGTGGCCAAGACAATTTCAAAGGCCCCCTTCACAGCCCCTCTCCTTTCATAATCATTTCCAAAGAGACTGAACAACCGGACATGGAACTTGACAGCATAATGCCAGCAGATTTGCACATCAGACATGAACAGCCACCCACATGGGTGGAGGGGGAGCATGTGTGTAGATGTGTATGTGTCCTGATTCACTGCTATAATACATGAGCCATAAATGGCATTATTTCAAGCCAGGTAAGCAATGGAATGGGGAAAGCCTGCCTACATTAACAGGGGAGAAAGAAAATCAAAACGCAAAAAAACAAGTATTATACAGACTGGCATGAGACATTTTTTTTCCTGGCTCTGCCAAGAGCTTTCTCAGAGGAAACAGAAATATAAAAATAATAGCAATAGCAATAACAACAGAAACCACCACCACCATCTGATACAGACAAGCAGTCATATCTCAAACTGGAATGTTGCTTCCAGCTCATGTTTTCCATGCTCTCATCCCTTTCCTTCTAGACGTTTTTGGGTTTTGGTGGTCAAATTTAGCACCAAAATTTGATAACTCTTAATTTAGCACATTACAGACTTTCAGTTTGTTATGGGAATGTTTCAATTACAGAGACCTCTGATCTTAAAGTAACAAACGGGAGCAAACAATAGCATCACCACTTTCTCATCAGCCTTATCAAGTTACATTTAAAATGTAGTTCAAGAACATCATTGCAAACGAGATTATCCCAAAGGAGCCATATCCAAATACTATTATTCCCAAGGTGGATAAAGAGCTGTTTTTTCTTTCTTGTGGGGTTTTTTTTTTTTTTTGATGAGACAAACAAAATCCCCAAACTCAAATCCAGGGGTACAATCTTTGGGAAAGGGAGCCCAAATAGCTCCTGTCAAAGTCCTCTCTTGCCAGTTCAAAAAATCAGAGAATGCTTTCACATACTATTTCATGATTCCAAGGAAATTGACATTTTAAATATCTTAAAGCTTTAAGGTTCAAGAAGTGTTTTAAATGTGGCTTCTTTCAAAATTGAAAATTGTGAACCCTGGAGAGCAAATTGAGATTCAAAGGACACAGTCACCAACTGCCAGCACAACACACCCGTGTCACTTCCCAAATTCTTGCTTCTCCTTAGACACTAAAGAAGCATTTTCCCTAAATCCATTCCTTGCATCGATTATTTTCCCTCTAAATATCCACTGCAAAGACTGTCTTTCCTATGATGTCAAATATTCATCATGCTCTTCCACAAACCCTTTTCCCCTCAAACAAACCCAAATGCACTCCTGATGGCAAGAGAGAAATTTTGACTAAAATTCCCTGATGGAGTTTAAAGGTAGTCTTCAAGGAAATGAGTTAAGACACCACAGACAGCAAAGCCACTGTTTAAGGACGCAGAGCTTGCTCCATGAACGCCACATAGATTAAAAATGCACACACGCATGCACACTTAAATAGAAAGCATTTCTTCATCAACAATTTCACTCAAGCAATAGGCAACTATACGCGCAGGCATTCTTAAAAGACAAGACACGACAAAAGATTTAGGGAGAGATAATATACCAACGTCATACATATCACAGCGAGGCCATGTTGAAGCTCAAAACGTTTTCCCCCCTGAGTAAGAAAGCTTGTTCTTTCTCTCTCTTTCCCTGTCTCTGTCTGTGATTTTTTTTTTTTCTCGGTGGCTCTCGGGATGAAATCAAAGCGAGAGTTCGCGACAGCTCAGGTGGCTGGACTCCATTCAGCGCGTTCCCAGGAAAAACATGAGTATGACATTGACAAGCAGGAGGACTACAATCACGGCAAAAACGACTACAGTTTGCACATCCAGGGTCATGGTGCAATGCAGAACACTGTAGTGTTCCAGGTGGGGGGCCGGCAGATTGGGAGATGTCAGTCTCTGTTCTGTCAGACTGTCCATACAGCCACCATGCTAGAAAGGAGAGGAGGAAGTAGGGTGGTTAGAGAAGGGCTGGGTTTGGCGCCCGAGTTTAGTCGGGGGAGGGGAGGGGGATGGGGACGGGGTGCTTGGTTCCCCCCTTCTCAGGATTGGGCTGATCGTTTGTCCCTAGCTGAGAAATCTTAGCTTGCGCTGAAGTCGGCAGAGTCCAGCATTCTCTCTCGGGCGCCACGGGAAAGGCAAAATCCTAGCTTTCAAAGGGAAAGGCGGGGGGAACCTGTGAGTGGTTCTCCGGCGCCTGCTCAGTCTGTCCGGGCGTGCGTCCGTCCGCCTGCCTGGCTACCGGTCAGTCTCAGTCTCCCCTACTCCCTTTACTTCGCTCGTTTTCCTAAGCTTGCTCGCTCTCTTCGCTGGGCTCCCGGCTGCCAGACACTCGTTCGATCCCTGCCTTGCTGGCCCTATCCCTCTTCTCTCCCCATCCCCCGCTCAGCCCATAGGCTGCCTTTTTATTCACCGAGCGACTGCGGGCGCTTGCGTGAGGCGCGGCCAGAGCCACTGACATACCCGCCGACCAATAACAGATGCCGCAGTAGCACGTTCGCTGCCCAGGGGCGGGACTTGCGCTGGCGTGCTAGCCGCGACCGCCAATCAGAGCCTCAAGGCTCCCAAGCAAGCTCGCTCTCCCCAGACCGGCGAGAGTCACCAGCCACCAGTTCTGGTTTGGGGGTGGGGAGCTTCTTGGGGGCGGATAGAGGGGGTATATAAGGAGATGGGGAGGAAAAGGACTGGGAAAGAGGGAGGGAAGGGACCCAATAGGATGCAAGGGGAGGAGATCACGTGAAGAGGGAGAAAAAGAAGAAAAGACGAGGAGGAAGGAGAAGAGAGGGAAGATAATGAAGAAAGAGAATTGTGGGGAAAGGCAGAAAAAAGGATGGTGAGGAGAAAGAAGGAATGGGGGAAAAACGGATAGGTAGCTGTGGAGAATGCATGTGCCTAGCAGCCACTTTGTTTGGAGCCTGGGCCAAGGAGGAAGCAAAGGTGCTTTTGGCCACTGCCTAAGAATTTACAGGCAACCCACAATTAGCTATAAAAAGCCAACAAACCAGTGTTGTGGACAGAATCACAGGGACACACGACAGAATTTCCAAAATCCAATTCTATTTGGCTTTCCCTGATACCACTGCCCTTACCTGGTCAGATTTCCTTTCTTGATTATAGATTCTTCAGACTAGGACAGTTAGCTTGCAATTTTCCAGCATTCTGGGTACTATGAAGGGAAGCCAGCATAGGGTTAAACATTCGCCATGGAAAATCCTCTACAGAACTTGCAATCTGCTTCTAATCATTGCCCTGCTCTGTGACCTGGTATCTAGAGCTAAGGAGGGAAAAGCCATGGAGTGGAGACCAGAAGGTTTCAAATTTACTCTCAGCCCTACCTCAAACTTGCTGTATGACTTTTGGGCAATTCCCTTTTCCTCTCAGGGGTCTGTCTTCTGTCTCCCTCCTGTCAATGAGGACTTAGACTTATCTGAGAATTCAGTTAAACCTCAGAACACTCACCTCAGAAAAAAACAATTTCAGTGGTTCCCTGGGCCTTCAAACCAAGGATTCCCTTATACAGGAGATCTCTCAGAGCCTTTTTGCTCTTATATTATAGGATTATATGACTGAACAGATAGGTATATACCTAAGAAAAATGAAAACATGCCAACACAAAAACTTATACATGAATGCTTATAACAGCATTATTCACAATAGCCAGAAGATGGAAACAATTCAAATGTCCAACAACTGATGAATGGGTAAACAAAATGTGGTATATACATACAATGAAGTATTATTTAACCATAAAAAGGAATGAACTACTGATACATGCTACAACATAGATGAGCTTTGAAAACATGCTAAGTGAAAGACGTGAGAAAAAGGCTTTTGTAAGATTCCATTTATAGAAAATGTTCATATAGTTAGCGTAAATACTGTTTCATGATGCTTTTGTTTCAGTTATATATAAATATAAATGTACTGGCCTGTAATGTGAAATGTGTTTCTTATAGCAAGTAATAGTCAAAACGGTTTGAAAACTACTCTTCTAGATTATGTTGAGACAGATACTGGTGATCAGGACAGTACCATAATATAAACAACTACAGTCTTTCTCCTAGTCTTTGAAAGTTCAGTCTTATCCTGTCTCTATTTCCTCATTATCTTTTGACCCCTCAACCCACTGCATCCTGGCTTTACCCTCATTGTCCTATAGAAAACTGAAACCTCTTGTGAATAGGAAAAAAAACAACCAACTTGTTACTAAATCTCATGGCCAACTTTCAATCTTTACCTTTCGTAACTTTTCTCCCATTTGACTCCACTGATGCCTTCCTCAATCCTGAAATGCTCCTTTTCCTTGGGAACACCATCCACATGACCTGTATGTTTATGCTGTCTTCACTTCCTGCATGGGTTCTTCTTCATCCAGTCATTAATGCCATGATTTCTGAGTTCTTCTGATTGCAGTCCCCTTTTCTTCTCATTCTGCATTTGCACTGAATGGGCTCATCTACTTCCAAGGCTTGAACTACCATCTACATTGCACATTGATGCACCTCCTTTCTACAAAATTACACCACCACTGGGAAACAAAACAGACATAGGACCTTGCTTGCACGTAAGCAGAGAGCTGCTGATGACTCCAAGGTAGCTCTCCTGGACCCCAGAATGAAAGTTCTACTGCTTTCTGGATATCTCCTCCTTAGTATCTCACAAGCATATCAAACTTAAAAAGTCCCAAATTGAAGTCATCTCCTCCCACTCTTGCTGGTTTCCTTCTTCCCCTGAGTCCTTTGTCTCCTGGGAATGGCAGTCACACACTGAGCTTGCCAGAAACCAAGAAAATATCTACAAGTTTTTTCTCTCCCTCACCTCACTGGTGGCCAACAAGTCTTTTAGTTCTGTTGATCCTCTTCCTCCTTAATCTCTCTCATTTGTCCCTTTCTCTCTTCCTGCTGTCACTACTTTTAATCAGTTCCTCATCATCTCTGATCCATCACAATTCATTACCAGTTATCTTATGCTGCTCTCCCTCCCCAATTAAGCCTCTACTCTTCTGCCCAAATTCTTTCCTCAAAAGCAGTTTTGCTCTTGTCAATCTTGGGTAGATACTCTGGATTGGTTTTTAAGGATCCACTCCTTCTAGCCTGCCTTCCTATATTGCTGAAAAGCTAAAAACCAAAAAAACTACAACAACAATAAACTGGCATTTCCAAGATTCCTTTGCAGCCAGCGTTCTGGATATGACATAGTGATGCCAATCATATGCACATGCACAGTATTTAGAAGGAGGTGGTTGGTGAGCCAGAAGTCATGTCTCTGTTGCTTCTGTTGGAAAGCACAATGGTGAAAGTGTTGGGGTTTTTTTGTGTGTGTTACCGTAGGTTCCAGTGTCTAGCCATTGGCTTTGTGCATTCTGAGAGCCAGAGAATGGGACTTTTTTTTTTTTTTTTTGTCACTGAGGATCTGGTAGGCATAGTGATACTCTAGCCAACAGATGGTTAGAGCTGTGGCAGCTTCCTCATTCCTAAATTGCAGACAAGGCAGCATGCTCCTAGAGCCCCTGACGCCTCATCTTCCTGCTTGTCAGAGAGAGCAGCTACCCTGACACTGTTCTTGGAGGCATAGCCTAAAGCTTGCCCCTCCAGCCCTCCCACCAATTTTGTAAGCACTTTATTTTCTATATTAAAACTCCTTCTGCTGAAAAGAACTACAGTGGTTTATTTTTGCAGCTGAAACCTGACTTATATAATGCCTCTGTTCAAAGGCCTTCAATAGCTCCTCGGCGCATTTAAGGCAAATTCTGTAGTGTGGCATAAAATGTCCTGCCAATCTGATGTCCTTCGGCCTCTGTATCCTCAGCTCTTACCAGTGCCCTCTCATTCTCTGTTCTCTAGCTACATAGAACCTACAGTAGTTCTCATAACTCATGAGGTTCTCTTGCCTCAGGGCCTATATAAACTGCTGCTTTATTTTTCCAGCTCCCCATTTCAAAGCTCAGCTGAGGTGCCACCACCTCCAGAAGGCTTTCTCTAATGTTCTCTTCCTCAACAATATTCTGAATGATAGTCCTCTCCCATAGGATCCTACGTTTAGCCCTCTTGAAACATTTATTAAACTGTATTGTATTTTTTTCTTGTTTGTATCCTTTACTGGACTGTGAAGCTAGGAGGGCAGAGACCACGACTGTCTTGTTCACTGCTTTCTCCCTTTGTGCCCAGCGCAGTGTCTGACACTTAGCAGGTGCTTCATAACAAACACCTATTGGATGCATGAATGTCTCCTTCATCCACTGGTCTCCACTCAAAGACTCATATCTTCCAACCACAGAAGGCAGGACCTGATGGAACCACAGAGAAAAATCTAAGCCCTTATATTCCAGGTTCACAGAGAAGGGAAGCAACTTGTCAAAGATTATACAGCTAATTGCTGGCAGAGTGGGAACCAAAGCCCTTGTATCTTAAGTCTCAAAAGTACTTTTGAGAGATTTCAGACCCTGGAACACGGTATTTGATACCAGCCCTGTCCATGTGTGGGTAGCTTTCTGAGTTATGTGACCAATCAACTTTGCTCACAATTTTTTTTAATGGAGTCCTCTACATTTGGAGTAGCAATACCCCTCCCGAGATCTATTCCTTCTTGCTGACAAGTCTCAAGGAATTAGATAATCTCTTGGTCTAGCACAACTCCAGTTCCATCCTGCCATCCCTTCTGCAACATCCCCACTAATTGGTTATCCGGTCTCAGCTCCAACACCTATAATGATGGGGCAGTTCCTCCCTCCCAAGACAGCCCCTTCATCTTTGGGACAATCTCAGATGGTAGAAAGTTCTTCCATCTCTTTGAGCCAGATGTTGTCACTACTTCTACCACAGCCAGGGCTGAGGAGCTAATCACTCCATGAGAGGGTCTGGGATAATAATGCCCTCAAATTCACACTAGTTCTCAGATCTGAAAGGCAGTTCAATAGATTATGATAATGATAGTTAACACTTACAAACTGCTTACTCTGTGTCAGGCACTGTTTGAAGCCCTGTACATACATAAACTCTTTTAATCCTCACAACAACTCTATGAGGTAGGTACGGTAGGTACTATTATTGTCCTTATTTTATAGATGAGGAAACTGAGGCAGAATGAAGTTAAATAACTTGCCTAAGGTCACATGGCTAGTAAGATATGGAGCGCAGATGTAAACTCAAATTGTCTAGCTCTAGAGTCTGCTATTAAACACTATTCTATATAAATGCCAATAAGTGACACATGTCCCATCTTTCAATAACATCTGACATGATGTCTCCTAGGTCACAGGGATAAACTGTTTCAGTGTCTTCATCTGGGCCTCAGTGGCCTACCTCCCAAACCCAAGATCCCTAGTTCTCAAACCTTTTCCTTCTGTCAGGGAAAAAAAAAAATTCCTGGTTGTCCTTTGCTTCTCATGTTTTGCATAGCTCCCAAAGACCCACTTCTGCCAGGAAGCACTCCCAGGCAAAGTTCCATTTTTTTTTGTCCCGATCTCCACTGCTGCTCACTTCCCATCCAACCCCTACCCTAGCTTCCTCATAGTCCCTCATGCTTGCTACAGTCTACAGATACTGAATCCTGTCTGTTTATTGTCTTAGCTACTGATACGACTAGATGCTCTTGCATGTTCATGGGTATCATCTCTATTTAAGACAGGCTGCCCCCTAAGGACAAAAACTCCTGTTTAGTTCAATTATTCAGCACAGAAATCACTACTCCTCCAAAATCAGTTCAATTCAATAAGCCCTTATTCTGACAGCTAAGGGATACAGAGTGGATCTCAGGGATTTTACAGTTTAGTGGGAGAGCTAATCAGTGATGCACATAATTTCAATGTCATACAGTAAGTATCCCAAGCACAATCAGGTGATGAATAAAGTTGTTGATGATTACGAACAAATAAATAATTTTATGTTCAAAAGGGAAAAAGAGATCATCTCCTCCCAACCTCCCTGTGTAGGTATCCTCTCTATAGTACATGAAAGGTGAGGGGGAGGAGGAGAAGGAAACACCTACTCACCTACTTTGGGCCCACATGGTGCTAGGCCTTTTAACATATTATTTTACTTAATTATCCCTAGAAGTTTGAGAAGAAGAAATTGTTATCATTATTTTAAAAGAGTAACTATACCTGAGAGTGTTTACATCATTTGCCCATAACCATACAAGTTTGAGGAAGCAGTAGCAGGATTTGAATTGAGATCTCTTTCCAAAGCCACTCTTCCAAAGCAGTTTGTAAGTGTTAACTATCATTATCATAATCTATTGAACTGCCTTTCAGACCTGAGAACTAGTGTGAATTTGAGGGCATTATTATCCCAGACCCTCTCATGGAGTGATTAGCTCCTCAGTCCTGGCTTTCCAAAGCCACAAATCACCCATGGTCATTTGTGCAGGTTACCGCCTGAGACCAAGGGTATGCCTGCCACACCTTTGGCAAGGCTGTTGAAGATTTAAAACTACCAATGCTTTTAAAAATCTACCACTAAAAATAAGTCAGCCGTTTGAGCTTTTGGGGAGACAAGAGACTTGTTTGAGGTCACACAGCTACCAAGAAGCAGAGGCTGGACTTACATCTGCCTAAAATATTACATATTTTTATTGTTTATTGATTTATTGTCTCCTTTATAAAATGTAAGCTCCATGAAAGCACATTGCTTTGTTCATATCTGTATCCTCAGCACCTAAAATAGTGCTTAGCACTCAATAAATATATTTTTAATGACTGAATAACTAAATTAATGAATGAATGAGTGAATGAAGAGCAAGGCATAGCCCTGAGGACTCGCAATGTAAAATGTAAAGGAAGTCTTGTTATGGAAAGTATTCTCTGCTACAGCCTGAGAATACCAATCTTCACCCTTCTCCCACCCCAAGGGCCTTCATTAGTAAGTACTCCTCCAAAAGGTACTATAAAGATTACAGTTTGAGAATTTCAAGATCTCTTTAGTTTTCTGTTCTCCGATGACATAGTTGCCACCCTAAACCACCACCCAGAAACTTTTCCCTCAAGAAAAACTGCCTATACCACCCTCCTGTGGCTAATGACTGAATAAATACCTGAGTAAATACCCAGGAAACAGCAGTTTCCTTCTGTTCCTTCACATGAATCTATTTTGGGCCTATTTCACATTTATTTTAGGCCTCTTTCAGTTCTATTTCAAGCAAGCTAGTAGGCCAGACCATCTGGCTCTACTCAGGGTAGAGAGAGAACTGGTTGGAAAAGAGCAGCAAAGGTCTAAAAGCCCCTTTAGAGGAAGTACAATGGTTTTCTGTCAAGCTCAGGATCTTTCTGGGGTAGCTAAAGTCAATCATGCATCAGTTCAAGACTGTGGTGGGGAGTGAACATTTCTCTCAGTATCAGAACCCAGTGTTTAGTTGTAGAGCCTAATCTCCTGGATAATTCCACTCCTGAGCCTCATAACTCATTCAGTCAGCTAAGCCCCTCTGACCTCCATGTCCAGGTGTATTTGTTTACAAGCTTTATTTGAACTGCAAGCCATTGGACATTCGGGACACAATCACTCATCATCAAATTAAGCATGGAGCTTTGCTTATAAGAGGTACTCAACAAGAATCACATAGATAAGCAGGTAGGTGGGCAGGTAGGTAGCCAGGATATGGTAATATG
This sequence comes from Homo sapiens, assembly GCF_000001405.40. Lineage (NCBI taxonomy): Eukaryota > Metazoa > Chordata > Mammalia > Primates > Hominidae > Homo > Homo sapiens. The sequence goes on from NC_000023.11 coordinate 63,762,346, forward strand.
TTGAAATTGCAAAACAAGAAAGGAGGTAAGTATAGCTGGGGAGTTTGTAAGAGGCTAGATTATATGTCGGAGGGAGACTAAGGAATTCACTTTGAGGAGCTGTATTTTCTGTAGAAGGCCAAGATAGTCTAGCAATGAGACTCTAAGTGAAGATGTTAAGAAAGGGCTGGACATCCCCAAATATTGGTAAAGAAGAGAAGAGTGCAGGACACATAAATAGATGGGGGCTTATAGAAATTCATGAGGGCCTAGCTAAGACTGCTGAAGCTCTCTGTGGACTGATAGGGAGAGATTTTGAAGATATGCAATGTGGAAAAAGCAAGATGCAGAATACTGTTGACCCTTGAACAACACAGGTTTGAACTGCACAGGTCCACTTATACCGGGACTTTTTTCAATAAAAGTTAATACCAAGTATACCTGCCTCTCCTGCCTCCCATTCTACCTCCTTAACTTCGTCTGCCTCTGCTATCCCTGAGACATCAAGACCAACCCCTCCTCTTCCTTCTCCTCTTAAGCCCACTCAATGTGAAAACACTGAGAATGAAGATCTTTGTGGTGATCTACTTCCACATAATGAATAGTAAATATATTTTCACTTTCTTAGGATTTTATTAATAACATTTTATTTTCTCTAGCTACTTTATTGTAATAATACAGTATATAAAACATATACAAAATATGTGTCAATCAACTGTGTTTGTTATAGATAAGGCTTCCAGTCAACAGTAGGCTATTAGTAGTTAAGTTTTTAGGGAGTGAAAAGTTACACGTTGATTTTCAACTGCATGGAGGGTGGGATTTGGGGCCCCTAATCCCCATGTTGTTAAAGGGTCAAATTTAGTATTATGATGTGTGATCTTTTAGGTAAAGAAGAGGGGAAAAATATATTTGGATTTGCTTATATCTGCATAAAGAAACTCTGGAAGGATACATAGAAAGCCATTAAGTTTGTGATCTCTGATGGGTAGATAGAGAGACAGACTGTACACATTTTTATAGTTTGATTTTTTAGCATATAAATATATTATGTATTAATATATTAAATTTTAAAATGTTAAATCCATTATGTGATCTTAATAAGTTCTCTCTCTCTCTCTCTCTTTCCCCACCCCCTCCCTCCACCCCGTGCTTCAGTTTATCAAGCTAGGAAGATCCTAAGAGTTAGAAGTAGTATATAGCCTAATGGCTAAGAATACAGGCTCTAGAACCAGCCTACTGAGATCCAACCTTAGTTCTTCCAGTTGCTAGTTGTGAGAACTTGAACAACTTATTTAATGTCATCGAGCCTCACTTTACTCATCTTTAAATCAGGGAGAATGGTATAATGTCATGATACTCATGCTGCCCCTCATTTCGAGCAAACCCCTGACTCTCAGTCACCTAGTTTCCTCATTTACAAAACAGGGGTAGGTTTTCATGAGGATTTAATGAGTGAAAAGCTGTAAAGTACTTAGAACAATGTCCAGCACATAGTAATGCTCAGTAAATGACAATAAATACTATTATTTGAGGGTGTGATTATATGTGCCTAGCTTTAGGCAAATCATAACCTCTCTGAGCCTCAGTTTCCTCATCTATAAATAGAAGACATAATACCTGTCAAAGAGATGATGAGATCATGGATTTGAAAGTACTCTATGGAATGAAAAATTCAGTTAGTATGTCAAAAATTGTCATAGTTCAACTTACAGAATGGAGGAACATTGTTGCAATGAATCCATCTGACAAAGGTCTAATATCCAGAATCTACAAGGAACTTAAACAAATTTACAAGGAAAAAACTAACAACCTCATTAAAAAGTGGGCAAAGGACATGAACAGACACTTCTCAAAAGAAGACATTCATGTGACCAACAAACATATGAAAAAAGCTCAACAATACTGATCATTACAGAAATGCAAATCAAAACCACAATGACATACCATCTCATCGCCATTCTGACTGGCAATTATTAAAAAGTCAAGAAACAACAGATGCTAGCAAGGATGTGGAGAAAAAGGAATGCTTTTACACTGTTGGTGGGAATGTAAATTAGATCAACAAGTGTGGAAGACACTGTGGCAATTCCTCAAAGATACAGAAGCAGAAATACCACTTAATGCAGCAATCCCATTACTGGGTATATACCCAAAGGAATATAAATCATTCTCTTATAAAGATATATGCACGTGTATGTTCACTGCAGCACTACTCACAATCACAAAGACATGGAATCAACCCAAATGCCCATCAATGATAGGCCGGATAAAGAAAATGTAGTACATATACACCATGAGATACTATGCAGAATTAAGAAGGAATGAGATCATGTCCTTTGCAGGGACATGGATGGAGCTGGAAGCCATTATCCTCAGCAAACTAATGCAGAAGCAGAAAACCAAACACTGCATGTTTTCCCTTATAAGTGGGAGCTGAATGATGAGAACACATGGTGGGGGAACAACACACACTGGGGCTTGTTGGTGGGGCTGGGGGAGGGAGAGGATCAGGGAGAATAGCTAATGGATGCTGGGCTTAATACCTGGGTGATGGGTTGATCTGTGCAACAAACCACCATGGCACATGTTTACCTATGTAACAAAGCTGCACATCCTGCACGTGTACCCTGGAATTTAAAAGTTGAAGAAAAATAAAACAACACAAAAGAATTGTCATAGTAGAAAAAGGTGAGGTACTAAATGAAGATCTCACCTATTCAAGGCTCCCCCTTCCCACCCCCAGCATTCCAAATGAGATTGTATCACAGGGGCAAGTGGAAGTCTTTAAAGGCCATGAGTCATTTGTGTATTAAGTTTCAGGAAATGAGTCCCAGTTCCCACCTCCCAAAAGCAGAGTGGACAAAATGAGCTGCACATCAGTGGTTGCCAGTCTATCATGAGATGCCAAGTGTTTCCATGTAACTGTTCCTATTTCTAGGAGATGCTGGGGCTCAGTGCTGCCCCTGCTCCCCTCAGCTGCTTCTCAGAAAGGAAAGGAAGTAGCACCAGTTCCAAAGGCTCACTCTCACCACTCCACACATACACCCAGTTAACAAGGATAAAAAAAATTAAAAAAAAAAACCCTCGCTTAAGCAGGAGCACCAACTCTCTAGATCTTAGCAACCTTAGCAACCAGCCCTTACAATCTTATTTTATGACATAGAAAGTTGTTTCATAAGCATTATCTGATTTGTACCTCACAAAAGCCCAAGGAGACTGGAAAGGGGTAGTGGTGGGGGTGGGGTGGTTCATCATTCCCATTTTCCAGAAGGGAAAGACTGTTTCTGAGGAAGCAAATGAGTTGCCACTGCTCTTACTGCTTCATGGAAGAGTGGAAAGAACAAAGGATTAACAGCCAGAAGACCCAGTTCCGGGAAAAGTGTTTTAGAATCTGTACAGTTCTACACATTTGGGATTTTTAAAAATTGTCATGCTAGAGTGAAGCCTAGAACCTGAGTTTCCCATCCTCCCGGCCAGAATTCTTGAAGCTTTACTATACTGTTAATGGAGAAGGGAAGAGCAAATAAGGAACTAGAAAAAATTATCGCCCAAGAATAACTGCACCTTACATGTAAACGGAACTTCACAGCTTCCTAAATACTGGGCTTTTTATCACATATCAACCTCATGACAACCTTGTGAGGGAAATGCAGCAGGAAATAGGAACCTAAAATTTTAACCACCCACATACATATTTCTTATCCCTCTTCCCCGCTGTATTTTTTCTCCTTAGAATGTAAAACTACCATATTACATATTTAGTCATTTACTTAGCATATAACTTCCTTCTAGAATATATGTTCCCTGAAGACAGAATTTTGGTCTGTTTTGTAAACCATCTGTTTTGTCTGTTTTGTACACACATCTAGTGCCTAAAACAGTGCCTGCTACATAACAGATGCTCAATAGTACTGAATGACTGAATGAATGTGTGTGTATGCACACTGAGAGGAGGAAATGGAGGGAGGGAGAAAGGCCCCATTTGTGTGTGAATAAACTGATATCCAGAGGAGTTAGGTAATTTTTCTAGGAATGACTTCTGAAGTGTTTTGTTTCAGCCTGTTCCCCTCACCCTACTGCTTGGCTGGTTCAGTGGCATCTTACCTGGGCCAAAAGAAATGTTTGCTACCAATGCCTCTGTCCTCTCTTAGGGCCAGCTCCAGGCTTGATGGCTACAGGTTGCCTGAGGTTCACGGTAACAGAGTGCCTGTTATGTCTACAAAATGCATTCTGTCAGGCATCACTGCCTTTACATACCCCAATGTATGCACCTCACAAACACTCAAAGGACTTCTCTGAGTTTTCATCCTCTCTGGAATGTACAATGGTGAAAGAAGAAAGGGCAAAAGTCATTTGAGTCTTCTCAGCGTATGAACTGAGTGTCCCTCTCCTCCATGCCCTACCTGCATTTTCCTCACTAAAGAACTGTGCCCCTCTATCTCCCATCTTGTGTCTCTGCATGTGCGTGCCTAACCTCAGCTGAGCCATCCAAGACCCCTGATCACCAACCCTAGTCCCCCACGCGGCCCCTCATCCACTCCGACAAGATGAAAGAAACAATCATGGGCCAGGAAAACCCACCAAACTGCAGGAAAGGAACTGCTCACAGAAAGAAGGAGGTGGTTCATAAAACAGCCACAGCAGATGATTAAAAACTTCAGTTCTCCTTAAAGAAGTTAGAGGTAAACACTGTCTCTGGTATTGAAGAGGTGAATATGTTTACAAACCAAGGAACAGTGATCCACTTTAACAACCCTAAAGTTTAGGCATCTCTAGCAGTGAACACTTTCACCATTACAGGCCATGCTGTGACAAAGCAGCTGACAGAAATGCCATGCAGCATCTTAAACCAGCTTGGTGCAGTTTGGCTAGTTTAAGGAGACTGGCTGAAGCTCTGCCTAAACAATACGTGGATGGAAAGCACCACTTGCTACTGGAGAGGATGACGATGATGAAGTTCCAGATCTTGTAGAAAATTTTGATGAGGCTTCCAAGAATGAGGCAAACTGAATTGAGTCAACTTCTGAAGAAGATAAAACTTGAAGAAGTTACTGGGAGCTGCTATTTTATATTATGACTGCTTTTAAAAAATTTTTGTTTATGGATCTGATAAAATCTAGTTCTGTAATATTTTTAAGCCCAAGCCCCTTGGACACTGCAGCTGTTTTCAGTTTTTGCTTATAAACAATTCACCCTTTGCAGCTAATTAAGATGAAGAAGCCTGGGAATAAAGTTTGAGACAAAGGTTAATAAAGTTCTTTAGTTAAAAAAAGAAGAATTGTGCCGACCTCATAAGATTGTTGAGAAGATTGTATTAGATACACATGCAAAAACATTTAGAACAGTGCCTGGCACAAAATAAACGCTGGCTTGGGAAAGGTAAGCTATCTTTCTTAAGACATACTGTATTTATAACCTTATTCCTGGTACCCCTCACCTCTAGAATGAAGGAGGCTGGGCAGCGTTCACTCCTGGCAAGTGAGAAGAGTAATGACCAAATAACTACTATGGTGTTACACACCTGGTTTTCATTCTGGCTCTGTTTGGAGATAGTTGCATGGAGAAGATATTCCCCCTCTTCCAGCCTTAGTTTCCCCACCTTTAAAGTAGGGAGAGTGTTGTTGTGAGGATTACATGAATTCATGCATGTCAAGGCACTTTTTCTTTATTTCAGTAGCTTTTGGAGAACAAGTGGTTTTTGGTTACATGGATGAATTGTATAGTGGTGAAGTCAGATTTTAGTGCACCAGCCACCCAAGTATTGTACATTGTACCCAATATGTAGTTTTTTATTTTTTGTCCTCCAACCCTTCCCCTTCTGAGTCTCCAATATCAATTATACCACTTTGTATGCCTTTGTGTACCCATAGCTTGGTTCCCACTTATAAGTGAGAACATACAGTATTTGATTTTCCATTCCTGAGTTACTTCACTTGTAATAAGAGCCTCTAGCTCCATCCAAGTTACTTCAAAAAACATTACTTAGTCCCTTTTTATGGCTGAGTAGTATTCCACGGTGTTTATATACCATATTTTCTTCATCCACTCATCAATTGTTGGGCACATAGGTTAATTCCATATCTTTGCAATTGTGAATTGTGCTGTGATAAACATATGTGTGTGGGTGTCTTTTTGATATAATGACTTCTTTCCCTCTGGGCAGATACCCAGTAGTGAGATAGCTGGATCAAATGGAAGATCTACTTTTGGTTCTTTGAGAAATCTCTATACTGTTTTCCATAGAGGTTGTACTAATGTATACAATATTGTTTGACTCTGTGTCACCAGGCAAATTTTACCTTTAATTGTAATAATTCCCACATGTTAAGGGAGGGGACAGGTGGAGGTAATTAAATCATGGGGCAGTCTCCCCCATATGGTTCTTGTAATAGTGAGTGAGTTCTCATGACAGCTGATGGTTTTATAAACATTTGGCATTTCCCCTGCTGGTACATTTTTTCTTTGCCTGCCACCATCCACTTAAAATGTAACTTGCTCCTCCTTGCCTTCCACCATACTTGTAAGACCTCCCCAGCCATGTGAAACTGTAAGTCCAATTAAAACTCTTTCTTTTGTAAATTGCCCAGTTTCAGGTATGTATGTATCAGCAGTGTGAAAACAAACAAATACAGTAAATTGGTACCGGGAGTGGGGTGCTACTAAAAAAAAATCCCAAAAATGTGAAAGAAACTTTGGAACTGGGTAACAGGCAGAGGTTGAAACAGTTTGAAGGGCTCAGAAGAAGACAGGAAAATGTGGGAAAGTTAAAAACTTCCTAAAAACTTGTTACACGGCTTTGCCCAAAATGCTAATAGCAATATGAACAATAAAGTCCAGCTGTGGTGGTCTCAGATAAACATAAGGATCTTGTTGGTAACTGAAGCAAAGGTAACTCTTGTTATGTTTTAGCAAAGAAACTGGCGGCATTTTGCCCCTGCCCTAGAAATTTGTGAAACTAAACTTAAAAAAAAAAATTTAGGGTATCAGGTGAAAAAAAAATTCTAAGCAGCAAAGCATTCAAGATGTGACTTGGGTGCTACTAAAGACATTCAGTTTTATAATAAAAGCAAAGCATAAAAGTTTGAAAAATTTGCAGCCTAACAATGCAATGAAAAAAAAAAATCCCATTTTCTAAGGAAAAACTGAAGCAGGCTGCAGAAATTTGCGTAAGTAACAAGAAGTTAAATGTTAATCCCCAAGACAATGGGGAAAGTGTCTCCAGGGCATGTCAAAGGTCTTCATGGCAAGCCCTCCCATCATAGACATAGAGGTTTAGGAGGAAAAAATTGTTTCTTGGGCCGGGCCCAGGGTCCCTCTGCTGTATTCAATCTAGGGACTTGGTGCCCTGTGTCCCAGCCACTCCAGCCATAAATAAAAGGGGCCAAGGTACAGCTCAGGCTGTTGCTTCAGAGGGTGCAAGGCCCGAGCCTTGGCAGCTCCCATGTAGTGTTAAGCCTGCAGATGCACAAAAGTCAAAGATTAAGGTTTAGAAAACTCCACCTAAATTTCAAAAAATGTATAAAAATGCCTGGATGCCCAGGCAAAAGTTTGCTGTGGGAGGGGGAGATGCATAAAAAACCTCTGCTAGGGCAGTGTGAAAGGAAAATGTGGGGTCGAGCCCCCACACTGAGTCCCTACTGGGCACCACCTAGTGGAGCTGTGAGAAGAGGGCCACTGTCCTCCAAACCCCAAAATGGTAAATCCACTAACAGCTTGCATCTTGTGCCTAAAAAAGCTGCAAACACTCAATGCCAACCCGTGAAGGCAGCCAGGAGGGAGGCTGTTCCCTGCAAAGCCACAGGGGTGGAGCTGCCCAAAACCATAAAAACCCACCTCTTCCATCAATGTAACCTGAATGTAAAATATAAAGTCAAAGGAAATCATTTTAAAGCTTTAAAATTTAACTGCCCACCTCTTACATCAGCGTAACTGGAATGTAAAGTATAAAGTCAAAGGAAATCATTTTAAAGATTTAAAATTTAATTGCTCCGCTGTATTTGAAACTTGCATGGGGCCTGGAGCCCCTTTGTTTTGGCCAATTTCTCCCATTTAAAATGGCTGTGTTTACCCAATACCTGTACCCCCACTGTATCTAGAAAGTAACTAGCTTGCTTTTAATTTTGCAGGCTCATAGGTGGAAGGAACCTGCTTTGCCTCAAATTTTAAAATGTAAACTTTTGGGTTAATGCTAAAATAAATTAAGGCTTTGGGGGACTGTTGGAAAGGCAAAATTGGTTTTAAAATGTAAAAACATAAAATTTGGGAGGGACCAAGGGCGGAATAATATGGTTTAGCTCTGTGTCCCCACCCAAATCTCACCTAAAATTGTAATAATCCCTACTTGTTCAACGGTGGGGCCAGGTGGAGATAATTAAATCATGGGAGTGGTTTCCTCCTACTACTCTCATAATAGTGAGTGAGTTCTCACAAGATCTGATGGTTTTATAAGTACCTGGCATTTCCTCTGGTGGTACATTCTCTTTGCCTGCTGCCATCCACATACAATGTAACTTGCTCCTCCTTGCCTTCTGCCATAATTGTGAGGCTTCCCCAGGCATGTGAAACTGTAAGTCCAATTAAACCTCTTTCTTTTGCAAATTGCCCAGTCTCAGGTATATCTTTATCAGCAGCGTGAAAACAAACTAATACAGTACATTTCTACCAGCAGTATATAAGTGTTCCCTTTTCACCACATAAACGCCAACATCTATTGTTTGTAGACTTTTTAATAATAGCTATTCTGGCTGAGTAAGGTTGTATCTCATTGTGGTTTTAGCTTGCATTTCCCTGGTCATTAGTCACACTGAGCATTTTTTCATATGTTTGTTGACCATTTGTATATCTTGTGAAGGTACTTTGAAAATATGAAATACCAAATGAATGTGAAGGATTATTATTACATTGAAATAGTAAAGGCTATCATTAATTGGGCCCTTGCTATATGAAAGACACTGTACCAAGTGCTTTAAATGAATATTATTCACTTAAATTCATATTATTTCATGCTCAAAACAATAGTACCAATGACTGGATATTATCATTTTTCCAATTTCATAGGAAAGGCATGATGGTCAATTTTATGTATCAACTTGGCTGAGCCACCGTGCTCAGATAATTGGTTGATTATTCTGCATATTTCTGTCAAGGTATTTTAATAGACGAGATTTACGTTTAAATTGGTGGACTTTGAGTAAGGCAGAATACCCTGCATAATGTAGGTGGGCTTCATCCAGTCAGTTGAAGAACTTTTTTTTTTTGAGACAGAGTCTCATTCCATCATCCAGGCTGGAGTGCAGTGGTATGATCTCAACCCACTGCAACCTCTGCCTCCTAGGTTCAAGTGATTCTCATGCCTCAGCCTCCCGAGTAGCTGGAATTACAGGCATGAGCCACCGCGACTGGCTAATTTTTGTATTTTTAGTAGATACAGGGTTTCACCATGTTGGCCAGGCTGGTCTTTAATTCCTGACCTCAAGTGATCCACCTGCCTCAGCCTCCCCGACTGCTGGGATTACAGTCATGAGTCACGATGCCCGACTTGAAGATCTTAATGCAATTAAAGTCTGACCTTCCCTGAGCAAGAAGGAATTCTGACAGCAGACTGCCTTTGGACTCTGACTGCAACTCTTCCCTGGGTCTCCAGCCTGCCTACCTACCCTGCAGATTTTGGACTTGCACCACCAAAACTGTGTGAGCCAATTCCTTAAAATAAATCTCTCTTTCTCTATGTATGTACATATCTTATTGGTTCTGTTTCTCTGGAGAACCCTCACTAATAAATATGGAAACTGAAGCTTAAACAGGTGAAGTCACTTACTCAAAATTACACAGCTGGTCTGTGGCAGAGCCAGAAACCTAGGGGTCATCTTCCTTGTTACCTCTCTGTCTTATATGTCTCTGAATTAATTCACCAGCAAGTCCCATTGATTTTATTTCAAAAATGGATGTCGGTCTTCCTTCCTCTATCCAACTCCAATAGCTGCATGGATTTTTGCAGCAGCCACTCAATTGGGCTTACCATCTCCTATCCATTCTCTACAGGGCCTGCAAAAGTCCTTTTCTTGTATCACAAAGCAGACCCTATCATTCCACTCTTTCGAACACTTCCTATTGTGTTTAAAATAAATAATGCTTGCCATGTGCCTAGTACTGCCATGCACACTGTGAGCATGTTAACTCACTTAATCCTCACAATAACAGTATGAATAGTGTCATTATTTTCCTCACTTTTCAGAGGGCATTACTGAGGCACAGAAAGATTAGGTAACATTCTCAAGGTCACATAGCTAAGAAGTGACACAGTCAGAATTTGAACCCAGGGAGTATGGTTTCAGAGTCTGTGCTATTGACCACTGAACCACACTAACTTTGAGTATAGCCAATGCATACTTTCCTAGGGCTTACAAGGTTCTCTGTGAGCTGGTCCCTGCCTTACTCTCTACCCTCTTATCATGCCACTTGTCCCCCTCTCTCACTGTGTCAGTAACACTAGCCTTCTTTCTGTCTCTCAAGTGTACCAAGTTGTTTCAACCTGAAGCCCTTTGCATATGCTATTCCTGCTGCCTCCCCTCAACTTCCCGTAAGCCTCACTGTCTCTTCCTTTTTTTAATTGTAATCCAAATGTGTCAGGATCTTTCCCCAAGTCTCTACACAACTGACTCAGCTGAAATGTCACTTCTCTGGTGTGCTAGGATGACCCTTTGACAGTATATGTCCTCATGGCAATAGGATCTCTTAGAGATAGCTAAATGCATTTCTCTCCTCCACTGTCTAGTTTCCATCATCTAGCAGCTTAACCACTTACAGAACTAACCACATTCTAACACACATACACACAAACACAAAAAACAAAATCAGCATCATATGAAAACTTTAAAAGCAATGATATCTTAAGAAGAAGCTCCTCACATTATATCATAGGACTGTTTGGTGTTTTCTCAGTCTTTTCTCTAGCACAGAATCCAGGAAGCCTTGGGTTGGGGCAGGAGGGATTGTTCCTTGTGAATAAAATTCCTATTGGATTTCTTAGCACTCATAGAAGGAGAAGGTATGATCTTCTAAGGTATAAATTCAGGGAAGTGGGAAAGATCATACTCTGCCCACCCAAGTGTGTGTCTCCTCTGTCCTGTCAGGAATAATAATTACTCCCCACACAGATACAGAGTAGCGCAGTTCACACAACACTTTCCCATCTATACCTACTCAATCATCTGATTCTCACAGCAGACTGGGAAGACAAGCAAGGGCTATGTGATAGTTAATTTTAATGTATCAACTTGACTGAGCCACAGGGTGCCCAGATATTTGATCAAACATTACTCTGGGTGTGTCTGTGAGGACTTTTCCAGATGCAATTAGCATTTGAATCAGTAGACAAAGTAAAGAAGATTGCCCTCCACAATGTGGATGAGCCTCCATCCAATCAGTTGAAGATATGAATAGAACAAAAAGGCCAAGTAAAGGGGAATTCCTCCTGCCTGACTGCTTGAGCTGGGACATTGTTTTTTTCTAGCCTTAAGACTTTGGACTGAAACATCAATTTTTCTTGTGTCTCAAGTCTGATGGCTTTCAGACTGGCATTCACACCATCAGTTCTTCTGGTTCTCAGGCCTTCATACTAGGGCTACACCTACACATTAACTCTCCTGGGACTTGAGCTTGCAGAATGCAGATCTTAGGACTTATCAGCCTCCATAATCATGAGCAAATCCATTATAATATCTATCTATCTATCTATCTATCTATCTATCTATCTATCTATCTATCTACTTATCCACTCACCCATCCATTCTATTGGTTTTACTTCTCTAAAGAACCTTTACTAATACAAGGTATTACCCTCATTTAATTGATAAGGATCTGAAGTTCAGAGAGGTTTAGGATTCTGGCCAAGGACACATTGTGACAGCTGCTGGTGGAGGCAGGACTCAAACCCAGGTCCATCTGACTTTTAATCATACGTTTTTCCCATGAAACTTCTACAACAGACATTCATTTCAGTCAGAGTATTTGAGATTGCCTATCATAATATCTGTGTAATTTGCCTCTGGTTGTCAAATGCAACCCCTCTCCTTTTCCAACCCACTCTGCCAGTGTCCTGTGTTGCCAAAGGAATCCTCCACTACTTTGTTTCATCATGTATCCTTTCTACCAAGCAAAGCTTCTGAGCTCTTGTTCTAGCCCCAGTACACATTGCCAGAATTACAGGCTCCAGCCACACCAGAACACTAATGTGCTATTTCCAGAACTTATTATTCCTTTAATGCCTTGATTCTTTATCTTATGTTGTACCCTCTGCTTGGAACAACTCATGCTTCACCTACCATGCCTACTCCCCATCCTATGCAACTGTGCTATGTGAAAGGCTGTAAAAATGCAGTTTATATAAAAACCCTAGAAGATAACATAGAAAACACTATTCTGGACATAGGCCCTGGAAAAGATTTCATGACAAAGACACCAACAGCAATTGCAACAAAAACAAAAGTTAACATATGCAACTAATCAAACTAAAGAGCTTCTGCACAGCAAAAGAAACAGAGTAAACAGACAACTTACAGAATGGGAGAAAATGTTTGAAAACTATGTATCCAACAAAGTTCTAATATCCAGAATCTACAAGGAACTTATACAAATCAATAAGCACACACACAAAAAAAATACAACCTCATTAAAAAATGAGCAAAGGACATGAATAGTCATTTCTCAAAAGAAGACATACATGTGGCCAAGAAGCATATGAAAAAATATTCAACATAATTAATCACTAGAGAAATGCAAATCAAAACCACAATGAGATACCATCTCACACCAGTCAGAATGCCTATTATTAAGAAGTCAAAAAATAACAAATGGCTGATGAGGTTGCAGAGAAAAGGCAACACTTATACACTGTTAGTGGGAATGTAAACTAGTTAAGCCACTGTGGAAAGCAGTTTGGAGATTTCTCAAAGAACTTAAAACAGAGATACCATTTCACCTAGCAATCCCATTACTGGGTATATAGCCAAAGGAATATAAATCATTCTACCATAAAGATATATGCACATGTATGTTCGTCACAGCACTATTCACAATAGCGAAGACATAAAATCAACCTAGATGCCCGTCACAGTGGATTGGATAAAGAAAATATGGTACATATACACCATGGAATACTACACAGCCATAAAAACGCGAGAACATGTCCTTTGCGGCAACATGGATGGAGCTGGAGGTCATTATCCTAAGCGAATTAACACAGAAACAGAAAACCAAGTACTGCATGTTCTCACTTACAAGTGTGAGATAAACATTGAGTACACATGGACACAAAGAATGGAGCAACAGACACTGAGGCCTACTTGAGGGTGAAGGATGTGAGGAGGGTGAGGACTGAAAAAATACCTATTGAGTAATATGCTTATTACCTAGGTGAAGAAATAATCTATACATCAAACCCCATGACACACAATTTGCCCATATAACAAACTGGCACACATACTCCTTGAACCTGAAATAAAAATTAGAAGATAAAAATAAAAAATAAAATCAAAAGTACATTTAAATACTGTCTCTTGGAAGCCCTACACAATACCCTGAACCCCTCACCCACCACGTTCTTGCTCCCCTATTTCCTTACATTATCTTCTATATACATTCCTAAAGCATTTAGTCCAGCCTGTCTTTATTTCCCCCCTACTCAATACTAAGCTGCTTGAAGACATAAGCCACATCTTCCTTTGACTCTCCCACACCTCAGCCCAGTACATTTTGTGTGGGGGATAGAGGGAATGCAGGATGAGAAAAACCCCTTTTTCCAAAATCTTAAGCAACAATCCAATGTATAAAGCAAAGGCCCCAGGTGCTCTAGACCAGAGGTGAGAGATCCACACTCCTTTCTGCTCCTTTCTCCCCCTCACCAAGGCACTGCCATGGTAACCCTAGGGTTCAGAGCCAGGAGTCTGCAAACCTTTTCTGTAAAGGGCCAAATACTGAATTTTTTAAGCTTTGGGGGCCATATGGTCTCTGTCACAACTATTCAACTCTGCTTTTGTATCACAAAGGCAGCGATACACAATAAGCAAATGAGTGGGCATGGCTGTGTTCCAATGAAGGTTTATTTTTGGATGCTGAAATTTGAATTTCATTATAATTTCATATACTTGTACCACCAAACACTATTCTTCATTTGATATTTTCCTAACAATTTAAAAATGTAAAAATCATTCTTAGCTTGTTGGCTAGATTTGGCCAGCAGGCTATAGTTTGTTGACCCCTGATCTAAGGAGTTGAGCTAGATTATCCCCAAGGTCATCCAACTTGGACATTATAGCTCAGGCAGTCCAGAAGCAACATGAGCACTGTGCAGAGAGTAAAGCCTGAAACAATAGTGCTGACATGTAAATTCTAGAAAGTAGATAACAAAGTGGACTGTTCCAGGTTAGGAGAATTAAAAAAGAAGGAGATTCAAGTTCTGCTCCTACCTCTCACTTTCCCAAGCTGTACGGCACTTTTAAATGCTAGGTAGTTCATCTACCCTCAGAACTTCAACTGTCATCAATACCTCCCAATCCCTCTGAGCTCAATATCTGATCACCAACTGCCTATTAGATATCTACAATGTAAGATTGTCCAAGCATCTGAAACTCATCAGGGCTGAGACTGTACTACTGTACTAGTCATCTCCTCCCGCTAAATCCTCCAGAAACACTGCTCTATTTTGCACCCCCTATCTCCAGGAAGCATGTCATGTATTAGCCCATTCTCGAACTGCTAATAAAGACATATCTGAGACTGGGCAATTTATAAAGGAAAGAGGTGTAATTGACTCACAGTTCAGCATTGGCTGGGGAGGCCTCAGGAAACTTACAATCACGGCAGAAGGGGAAGCAAACACATCATTATTCACATGGAGGCAGCAAGGAGAAGTGTAGAGAAAAGAGGAGGAAAAGCCCCTAATGAAACCATCAGATCTTGTGAGAACTCAGGCACTATCACAAGAATAGCATGAGGGTAACTGCCCGCATGACTCAATTACCTCCCCAGGTCCCTTCCATGACACATGGGGATTATGGGAACTACAATTAAAGATGAGATTTGGGTGGGGACACAGCCAAACCATAGCATTCCACCACCGGCCCCTCCCAAATCTCATGTCCTCACATTTCAGAACACAATCATGCCCTTCCAACAGTCCCTCAAAGTCTTAATTCACTCCAGCATTAACTCAAAAGTCCAAGTCCAAAGTCTCATCTGAGACAAGGCAAGTCCCTTCTGCCTATGAGCCTGGAAAATAAAAAGCAAGTTAGTTACTTCTTAGATACAATGAAATTATAGACATAAAGATGCCTAGATACAAAGACATTGGGTAAATAAGCCTATTCCAAATGGGATAAATTGGCCAAAAGAAAGGAGTTACAGGTCCCATGCAAGTCCAGAATCCAGTGGAGCAGCCAAATCTTAAAGCTCCAAAATAATCTTCTTTGACGCCATGTCTCACATCAGGTCACTGTGAAACAAGAGGTGGACTCCCACAGGCTTGGGCAACTCTGCCCCTCTGGCTTTGCAGGGTACAGTCCCCCTCCAGGCTGCCTTCATGGCTGGCATTGAGTGCCCATGGCTTTTCCAGGCACACAGTGCAAGCTATTGAATCTATCATTCTGGTGTCCGGAGGACAGTGGCCCTCTTCTCACAACTCCACTAGGCAGTGCCCCAGTGGGGACTCTGTGTGGGAGCTCCAACCCCACATTTCCCTTCCACACTGCCTGAGCAGAAGTTCTCCATGAGGGCTCCACTGCTGCATTGAACTCCTTCCTGGACATCCAGGCATTTCCATACATCCTCTGAAATCTAGGCAGACTTTCTTGGGAAGGTTTGGCCTCAATTCTTGACTTCTGTGTACCCGCAGGCCCAACATCATGTATAACCTGCCACGGCTTGGGGCTTGTACCCTCTGAAGCAATGGCTTGAGCTCTACGTTGGCCCCTTTTAGCCACAGCTGAGATGCAGGTCACCAAGTCCCAAAACCTTACAAAGTAGCAAGGCCCTGGGCTGGCCCATGAAACCATTTTTTCCTCCTAGACCTCCAGGCACTTGATGGGAGGGGCTGCTGGGAAGACCTCTGACATGCCCTGAAGACATTTTCCTCATTGTCTTGGCAATTAACATTTGGCTCCTTGTTACTTATTCAAATTTCTGCAGCCAGCTTCAATTTCTCCCCCAGAAAATGGGTTTTGCTTTTCTATTGCATGGCCAGGGTTGCAAATTTTCCAAACTTGTATGCTCTGCTTCCCTTTTCAACATAAGTTCTAATTCCAAGCCATATCTGTGTGAATTAATAAAACAGAATGCTTTTAAGGGCACCCAAGTCATCTCTTGAATGCTTTGCTGCTTTGAAATTTCTTCCACCAGATATCCTAAATCATCTCTCTCAAGTTCAAAGTTCCACAGATCTCTAGGGCAGGGGCAAAATGTTGCCAGCCTCTTTGCTAAAACATAGAAAGAATCACCTTTGCTCCAGTTCGCAATAAGTTTCTCATCTCTATCTGAGACCACCTCAGCCTGGACTTTTTGGTCAAAACCATTCAGTGGTTGATCAGTGTCAATTCATAGTAGATCCTCTACATTTGTGTTGAATAAATTAATAACCTGAAAGTACCTATAAAAAGGCACTTTATCCCCATTTTATGTAAGATAATACTGAGAATAAAGTAGATTTGCCAATTGGTAATAGTTTCAGGACTGAGAAACGTAAAAGCCAGGTCCTAAACCTAGGCCCTAAACCATTCTCTAAGAAGCTCCAAACTTTCCCACATCTTCCTGTCTTCTTCTGAGCCCTCCAAACTGTTCCAACCTCTGCCCGTTACCCGGTTCCAAAGTTGCTTCCATATTTTGGGGTATCTTAATAGCAGTATCCTACTCTACTGGTACCAATTTACTGTATTAGTCCATTTTCATACTGCTATGAAGAAATACCGGATACTAGGTAATTTATAAAGAAAAATAGGTTTAATGGACTCACAGTTCCACATGGGTGGGGAGGCCTCACGATCACGGCAGAAGGTGAAGGAGGAGCACAGGCACATCTTACATGGTGGCAGACAAGAGAGCCTGTGCAGGGGAACTGCCCTTTATAAAACCATCAGATCTTTTGAGAACTCACTTACTATCATGAGAACAACATGAGGGTAACTGACCCCATGATTTGATTACCTTCCCCCAGGTCCCTCCCATGACACATGGGGATTATGGGAACTAAAATTCAAGATGAGACTGGGGTGGGGACACAGCAAAACCATATAACCATCCATCTAGTTTCACAAAAAGACTGTCACTAGAAGGAAGCATAGGAGGACTAGGATATGTCAGGTGTTTATTGAACCTTCACAAGATTGATAGCAGCATTTTTACTATTAGCAACATCTATCAGGCTTTGGCCCACAGTCCAAAGCTGACTACAAGCCCTTAGATTCTGTGTTTCTACAATCGCAGGCATATAGTTCAACTAATCATGACAATGACTGCAGGTTGTCTCCCAAAAACATCGTTTTTCCCTTCTTCCTCTGTATTAGAAACCCTACTCCCAATTTTTAGGTGTACACTTGCCACCTAGTTTATATAACTGCATTTCCTAGCTTCCCTTGCAGCTAGCAGCAGCCATGTGACACAGTTCTTCAATGAGACATAAGTAGAAGTATTAAATAGGACTTCTAGGAAGACTTCTTAAAAAGGAGGGGTGAAGAACTTTTCCTTCTCTTTTGCCTTCCAAAATTATGGATGTTAATAGATTTTCTTGAGCTTTAGCACTCATCTTGGACTATGAATAATGGAAGCCAAGTGCTATGGATGATAGAGGAGAAAAGTCTCTAAAGACTTCCTGAAGCTGCCATACTGGCCCAGGTATGCCTGTCTCCTGATTTTTTTTTATGTGAAAAAATAAAACCTGTGTGTTTTAAGTCAGTATAGATATACTTCTGTTATTCATAGCTGAATAAAGTAAAATCAGCTGTTAAACCTTGCAGTTGGTCATTCCATCTGGAGAGATGGCCACCGAGTCATATATGACTCTTACACAGGTCATATGGTATTTGGCATGGAATTGGTCCACAATTCCATATTCTTATCCAGAGTGGTGGCACACCAAAGGTGTGGCAATGGGAGCAGACAACCCTGAGTGCAAGCAACAAGAGTACACTAGCTATAGATAATTTTTTTTAAGACTAAAAGTCAAAGCGTTTTATATCACCTTGCACCAGCAATTTTAAACAATGTTAGAAATAAAACACTCCTTCCTTAATACAAAAAACAAACAACAACAACAACAAAAACAAAACAAAACAACTTTGGTTGGTCAAAGTTTAAAACAATTGTGGTTACTTTTAATAATATATATGAAGCTTGAAATTAGCACCTTTTTATTTATCCTTTAATCGACACTTTATTCTACATGGAAGTTGACTCAGAGAGCTCCCAGTTGCATCGTTGGCCCCTGACGCACACAGTTGTAACTACAAGTGTTCGTTCAGCTCATTTCAGTTTGTAAAGGTTCAAAATCATTCAAGATACCATTAGGTCAGTTTTGTGTCCACAATCCCTCTGGTACTATATGTTCCAGCATTTACACAGTAGGTTGAAAGTAAACAATAATAACATAGTGATTATAAAGACAAAAAAAACAGAATGTGGGTCACTTCAATTCTGTCATTCTGTGTGACCAATTGTAGTTTTATGTGTGCTTAAAATCTAAAACAGTGAAACAATGAAAATTGAAAGGTGTAATACTTCTATTTAGTGAGTGCACATTGTAGTTTATACATGAGTTAAATTTTGAATTTGAATATCTTTACCATTAAAATGTATTGTTTTCCTCGGTAATTGAAAATAAAAGAATAAATCAAGAAAATAATAAATAGTACTGATTATTACTGAAAATAATTTTTTCATATATAAGACTATTAAAAATGATCCATTCTAGATATTACAGATAAACAGTAGGTGTACCACAACACTGAAGTGCTAATAATACACTTAATCTTCTTCTCCAGAATTCCAGAAAGCAGGGTATTAATTTATTGGTAATCCACATAGAACCAAGTCTCAATTAGCCCTACCATGGTCAGAAGTCCAAAAGCAGATCACTCGAACATTGACTTAGATATGAAATGCCCCTCCATGTATAGACCCACTCTATGTTCTTTCTAGCCCCACTCTTAGCGATCTGAGGGTCCGAGCAGGTGATCAGAAAGGAGAAAGACACGTATCATCTATAAACAATGATGTCAGTCATTTCATATAGATCATCTCCACCATTATCACCCTGATCCAAGCAACCATCACGTCTAACCTGGGCCTCCTCACAGTTCTCGTCCTTGTCCCACTACAATTTAGCCTCCTGTTAAAATTTAAGTCAGATCATGTCCCTCATCTGTTCAAAACCTTTCAATGGCTCCCAATCTCACTCAGAATAATGCCCTATAAAAGTGGCTGTTTTCTCTCTGATTTCATCTATCCTTCTTCCATGTACTAATTCTTTATCCCAAGGACATTGGCCTCCTTGCTGTTCTTTAAACAAACCAGTTGTGTTCTTTCTGGATGTTCTTTATGCCTAAAATCCTCTTCTCCTAAACATATACACAGAGCTTGTTCCTGCACTTCCTTCACATCTTTGCTCAAATGCCCCTTAACTAGTGAGGCTTTGATGGATCTAATATACCATCCAACTTCCCATGTGTCTCTATGCTCTTAACAGGTTTTATTTTTTTTCCTAGTGATTACCACCTCCTGACATAGTGTATATTCATTTCTGTTATGGTTTAATGAACTTCACAACCCCTAGAATATAAGCTCCATGAAAGTGAGGAATTTTTTTTCATTGTGATCTCCCCTGAACTTAGATCAGTGTCATTTCATAGCAGATCCCCTACATTTGTGTTGAATAAATTAATGACCCGATAGTACCTATAAAAAGGCACTTTATCCCCATTTTATGTAAGAGAATACTGAGAATAAAGTAGGTTCGACAATTGGTAATAGTTTCAGGACTGAGAAACATAAAAGCCGGGTCCTAAACCTCTGATTTGTTACTCTGAGAACAGTGTTCTTTCCAATTTAGGCATACTGGCTAACCCAGCACAAACTGGCATTGCAGAAAGAAGCCAAGAATAAATAACAATTTACCGTCCAGTGTGAACTCACAGTTTAGCATCCTGTATCTATGAGACAGATTTTATTCTGTAAAATCTTGAACAATGTTTTATGTTCAAGGCCCACGATTTACATGTAACACTTGAAATAAGTTACTACAGTCAAATGTACTAAAAAGAAATCTCACTGTTATAAAAAGCTCAGTTTGTACTTCGGGCACCTTGCAAACGAAAGAACAAGGAGCAAAGATCTTTCAGCTAGCCACGTTATAAAATGGTGGCTAGATACACAATCCCTATTTGTTCGTAATGAGCCACTAGTTAAATTTTATCCAACACATACTTCTAGGAATCTGAGAATCTAAGGCCTAGAAGGAATTTTGGTGCTTATTAACATCCGCATTTAATAGGTAAGAAATCTGAGGCCCAAAGGATTTCTGTTAGTGGCAAGGCCAAAACTTAGAGGTTCCCTGCCTCTCAGGCAAGAATAGAGTTTACTACTCCCATCTCTTGAATTCTGGTAAACAGCTAAATAAATGCTTTCATCATATAATATTCATTGTCTCAGTCCTCTAAGAATATTATGAGATTTTTCCCCATCAACCAATCCTTAATTACACAGTCTCCACAAGATGTCTGCCACCCTTTTCTCTCTCATACACTGTTGGCAAAACTTCAAATTTCTTCATTAATTTAACCTGTTGTCAATGAGTGGCTCTGGGCCCCTATACTTCAATATATTTGGGAGAGGAAGTAAGTCTCACCCTGACCCAGTTCCCAGTTGCCAGAAATGCCAGGACTGGCATGGATTTTTTTCGGGTAATTTTTTTTTTTTTTTTTTGAGATGGAGTTTCGCTCTTGTTGCTCAGGCTGGACTGCAACGGCACAATCTCGGCTCACCGCAACCTCCCCCTCCTGGGTTCGAGTGATTCTCCTGCCTCAGCCTCAGGCATGTGCCACTACGTCCAGCTAATTTTGTCTTTTTAGTAGAGACGGGGTTTCTCCACGTTGGTCAGGCTGTTCTTGAGCTCCCGACCTCAGATGATCCACCCGCCTCGGCCTCCCAAAGTGCTGGGATTACAGGCGTGGGCGGCCGCGCCCGGCTTTCAGGTAAATTTAATGGCACTAGATCATCCTGAAGAAAGTCCTTTCCCAAGATCATGACTATGTTCCTTTCTTCCCCTCTCAGCACCATTTGAGCAAATGATTGGTGGAGCAGTGGGGAAGGACTGTGGCAGTCAGGAGACTCAAGTGCTAGACTCAGCTTTGCCTCCAAGGAGTTTGTGGTCCTGGGCAAGTCTCTCCCACTCTCTGGATCCCAGCTTTCCTGGCTGGACAGCAAGGACTCTAAGGTCTTTACCTGCTCTAATCTTTTCTGGTTCTACAAACATTTGATGCAGCTTTAATGGGACCTCAGGGAAGTAGGGAGGTCTGGGAAGAAGGGTCTTTTGAAGCCCCAGCACATAGGCATATGAACCGGATGCCCTTAAGAACCACTGAAACAGAGATCTAACAAAACTCTGAGGAAGGGAAGAGGACAGCCCCTCTGAATATAGTCCTAGCCCACACCAGATTCCCTCTTCCCCTCCACAATGAAAGCAAAAATGGAGTTAAATATCAGTTTTTGCCCAACCACTTCAGGCTACTTTCCTTCATCTGCGGGTTATGGGTGGCAGCGTAGAAGTGTGGGCTATTGCCATCAGTGCCTGCTGACCCAACCTAACTGCCTTCTAAGGCCCTTTTGCTTATGCCTCCCAGCTGAGGACAAAGTCATGGGGGCCTCCCACTCCCCAGAGGCCCTAACCAGGCTTAAGCTGCTCCTGGCTAAGTCAGAGAGGCATCAAAATGCAGCCACCACTTCCTCTCTGCAAAAGGAAGTCATTCCAAGGTCTCCAGGTGGAGAAGGGAACACCATGGCATAAAATGAACTGTTGGAGGATTATACTAAACACACACACAAGCACACACTCCTTGGGAGGGAGAGAAGAGCTCTGTTAACTGACTGTGGCCCAAGCCCATTTCCAGAATGTGGGTTTCTGCAGCTGTCTCTCCTTGACAAAGCCCCAAGTGTGGACAGGGTGACCCCAGCCCGGACAAGGAAGGGCTTTAGGGCTCCCTCAGGCAGCTTCCTGAGAGAGAGAGAGTGGCTCTCTGGCCCTCATGCTCTGGGGCTGACCAGGGAAAGGAGTTGCAGAAAATCTAGTTGGGGGCAGGGGGGAGTCATGCAGCTCTCCCATAAGGCCCCCTCCACAATTCCAGGCTTTGTGACCGTCCCCTCCCCCCACAACCCCGTGCCAGCTTGTCAGCCTCCTGCGAGCTTCACTGCTTCCAGAGAAGCCCTCTGCCATCCCCCTTCCCTCTCTGGCCTCCCAAGTGACCCCTGGGATGTTCCTGGGCACATAATCTGGCCCCCACCCCTATTCCACCTTAATCTCAGAGGGAGATAGAAAAGTGGAGGGGGATGGTAGGGGGGTTTCCTGGGCAGGCAGGCTAGCAGGGACTCCTAAAATGGCCACAGCAAGCTCACTGGTGTCTCAAGGACGGCGGCTAGGGCGGTGGGCAGAGGCCAGGGTGCTCACTGCCTTGTGGCTCGTTGGAGGAACTGGAGGTGGGGCTGGGGGACTGAGAGGCTCAAGCAAGGGAAGCCAAGGTTACATGCACTCACCATTCCCGATCCGCCCCTTATCCACTGCATGGTGCTTGCGAAGTCCGGCTTCTCTGAGGCCCCGTAGCTGGCGCGAGTTGTCGCGGGCTGACTAGAAGGGCTGGGCTGAAGCAAGCGAGAGCCCCAGCGCCCCCTCCGCCGCCCCTCCTCCACAGCCCTACAACCCAATCCCCTCCGCCCCGGACCTCGCCTTCAGTCAGTTTGTTCCATGCCAACCGGCAGGCTCTGTCTCTCCGCCCTGCTGCTCCTAGAGGTCTTGGCAGGGAGAGGTGCGAGTGTGGGGGGGTCCTAATGGGCTGCTTTTGTCCCCCACCAAGGCTTGAGAACTGTGGGGGTGGGGTGCAGGGAGAGGATGGGGGCGAATAGCCTCCGCCCGCCCAGGAGAAGGCAGCTGCTACCTCTGCCTGCCTCCCGCTGCGCTGGAGTTAGATGCTGTTTATTGTGGGGCTTCCCAATTGTGTCGAGTCAGCGGAAAGTCCTTTCCAAAGTTACCAGAGGTGTTGTGCCAATCTCCAGAATAATAAGATCCTGCCCCAGTGGAGCCAAGCCAGCACTCTCATGCCTCCCTCCCCCACCCTCCCTCTGCATACTCCCCTAGGGTCTTCTCTCTTTGTGTACTATCTGAGAGCTTTCATCTGCATTACTTTCACTTCTCAGAACAACCCTGTAGAGGCAGCCATTAGTATCTCCAAGTTATAGATAAATAAATGGAGGTTTGGAAGAGGGAAGGGGCATAAGGTCACATTAAAGAAAAAAAAAAGATAAATCCTCGACTTTACCCTCTGCGGCTTTCCAAGCCTCTTTCGGCTATCTCTCCCTTTCTATCTCACACACACCACTCCAGGCTTCTCCTTCATGCCCTTAGGAACATGAAAGGTAGCTTGTTGATGGACGAATTTTCCATTTGCTTATTTTGCTGAGAATGAGTTGAATGCACATCAGCGAAACAGGCAAACGGAGAAACCACCCACCTCTTTATGATTCCCCCAACTCTGGGGAACACAACACAGGCTGGTACCTTTGCTTAGGCTAAAAATTGACTTTGTCAGTCACACTAACATCTGTTATTATCCCTTATAATCCTCACAGTAACTCTATGAGATGGACACAACAAGGATTCTTAATTGCCCACCATTACAGACTTGAACACTGAAGCCCAGAGATTGAAAGACTTCTGCTTAAAGTAGCACAGCCAAACAAGACAAGAATCCAAGGCTCCTGACTAGAAGAGCAGGTCAGGCAAAGACAGAATTGCAAAAACAGAGGTTGCAACCAAAGTAAAAGGAGTTACAGTATGATATTAGAAAGAAGTTCCTGGAGATAATTGACATGAAGACATCACTGGCCTGTTACACGTACTTTATTTGTCCTCTTCTTTTTAGCACAACTTCTGCACTTCATCCAACCTGTTGTTTTGTCCATGCAGAGCTGGGCAAAGATAGAAGCAGTACCTTAATGAGCACCCCATCATGGGAGGTGTACAAGCAGAAGCTGAATGACCCTTTGGCAAGGGATTCCTGAATCAAATGGGAGGTTGCCCTGGATGACCTTTCAACTTCCCTCCCAAGTCTGGTAACCCAGGCATCAGTGATTCCACAATGTTCTCTCACTTTCCCATCTCTGGGCCTTCTTTCATGCTCAGTATCTTGGATGCACCTCCCCTGCCAACCAGCCCATTCAAACTGTCATGACTGTTCAAGATCTGGCACCAGGCACACCACCTTTAGAAAGCTTTCCAGGAATACCTCCAGGCCCTGATTTTGTCATCTTTCATTTGATTCCTATAGCACTACGATTTCACTGTCTCGATTAAAAATGATCTTTTTATTTCCTGGATGTTACGGGCTGAATTGTTTTCCCCCAAAATTTATATGTTGAAGTCCTTCCAGTACCTCAGAATCTGATGACTCGGAGAAGACAGTCATCTAAACAGCAAGCCAAGGAGAGAGGCCTCAGAAGACCCAACCCCACTGATACCTTGTTCTCAGACTTCTGGCCTCCAGGATTATAAGAAACTCAATTTCTGTTGTTTAAGCCACAGAGTCTGTGGTATTTTGTTATGGCACAGCCCTAGCGAACTAACACAATGGTCATATGAACATTTTACTGTCCCCTTTCACTTAAATGGCATTATGTGTTTTTGAAGCAGTGGCAATGAATTACTAATTTCTGCATCTTCTACAACAGTGACTGGCACATAGTAAATACCCAATAAAAACTTGGAATTTTTTGATGGATGCATTCATTCAACATTATCATTTAGCCCCTGTGTGCCAGGCATTGTGACAGATGCTCAGGATACAAGACAAAGTTCCTCATGGACCTTACAATCTACTTACAGAAGAGAGATAGACAATAAATAAGTAAACAAACAAAAATATTTAGAGATTGTAATATGTGCTCTGAAGGATATAAACCAATTTATGTGATGTGAGTAGCCCTGGAATTGTGGAAAGTATCTGTGCCGGTCATGGTCCAATCAGGAAAATAAAAACCACCCTAGGTCTTTTAAACTGCGAGCATTTAATGCATGACACTTACAGAGCTAACAAGCCAGACAGAGGATGAGGATGCAGCAACCTAGCATTTAACAAACACAGAAAGCTGCTACCACTCGTAGGGATGGACGGATAACAGATGAAGCCATGCAGAAGCTAAAATCATGGGTTGGACAGCCTATTGGAAGCAGGTGCCATGAATGGAAGAGTTGTTCAAGAGGAGCTGGAGCCATGGAGGAATACAGCTACCACCAGAAAACACCTCTCTGATACAGGTGGTGGGAGAAATACCCTGGGTTCTCCCTTCCTCCTAGCCACCAATCTCCTGTACATGTCTCCCATTGGACAAAAGAAGTGAGAAAGCAAGGAAATCTAACAAATGTAATTTTCAGGAGAAGAGTGGAGAATGGATCTGGATGCAAACAGGCCAGTGTTAATATAAAGCCTAGGGACTCCTGCAAAAAACAGGTGCCTAGAGACTCCTGCAAAAAACGTGTTGATCCCAGAGGTGTAAATAGATGCTGTTGAATCCAGTCATTATGTCTTGAGCACCTATTTGCCTAGAACCATATGAGTAGTTAGAGGAGACATAATGTAGTTGGTAGGGCATAATCTCTGAAGTCAGAACAACTTGGATTGTATTCAGTTATTGGCTTTGCCACTTACTTGGGCAGATTATTCAATGTTCTATGCCCTGACAGTTTCTTTATCTGTGAATAGGGCTGACAAGATAGTTACAAAGATTTGATAAATTTGTCCAAGGAAAGTACTTAGCACAGGGCCTGGAAGCCAGTAAGAATTCAGGACAGGACAATAGAAATCTGGAAAAGGGGTTTCCATAATCTCTGTGTTCACTCTCTTGAAGTCCTGTGATCTCCCAGAAGCCTCTTTGGTACCTAGCCAGGCACCAGCTCTCCACTCTAGTAGAGGGCCATGAGCAAAATGAAGAGAAAGACAGTCATGTCCCAGCTTATCTGTGACTCAGGTTCTCCAGTCATACAATGAACACACTAATTGTGTACCTAAGAGTGTTAAAGAATCACTGATCCATAGATATCAGAGTTGGCCTTAATAATTGTAAAGATTATTTCCTCCAACAGTCTCATTTTACTGATGAGAAGATATAGCCCCAGGGAATGGAAGGAGCTCCCAAAGTCACAAAGTAAGTTAGTGGCTGAGCTGGGATAAAAACTCAAACCCTTGATTCTCCAGTGAGTGGAGTGCAGTAGTGAAAACGGGTAAATACTGAAAGGACACAACTACTATAATTCCAAATATTGGAGGCCCAAGACTAACGTGTATATTATAAACTCTTATCTTTACAAAGCAATATTTCGTACATACATTACTACCTATTTTTATTTATTCATAAAATCAATAAATATGTGTGCCTACAATGTGCCAGGTATAGTATGTTAAGCACTGATGCCATAGCAGTGAACAAGATGGACAGAGTTCATGCCCTCATTTCTATTCAATAAACAACTAAATCTGGTAAGCAAATGTGCTAATACAGATGGTGATAAGTGCTATAAAAGAAAGAAAGTGAAGGGATAGAGTAACTCTGGGGGAGGAAAGGGAGTTTAGATAAGGAAGGCTTCTCCAAGGAGAAGGTATTCAAATTAAGGCCTAAAGGCTTAAGGCGAGCCAGCCATGTAAGAGGTAGGGGGAAAGTATTCCAGGCACAGAAAACAGAAAGTACAGAAGCCCAAAGGATTGAACTGGCATGTAATGTTGCAGGAATTAGAAGCGCAATGAGGCTGAAACCTAGAAAGAAAGAGGGAGAATGATAGGAGACAAATTTGACAGAAGCCAGGTCATATAAAGCCTTGAAGACCATAGTAAAACAATCTGGATTTATTCTATGAACTACAGGGAGAGAGGCGTGGGAACTGAGGGATTTTTAAGCAGGAGAATTAACTGATCCGATTTACATTTTTAAAAGATTTACATTGTCTTTTAAAAAACTGTTGTTTTTACAGGGGAAAGATGATGGTGACTTGGACTGGAAGAACAGTAAAGATGATGGACAGAGGTAAAAAGATTTGAGATATATTTTAGAGATAGAAATAACAGAGCTTGATGATGGATTGGATGTGGAGTGTGAGGGAAAAAAATGAAGAAATTCCAGAAAACTTTAGGTTTTTGGTTTGCAATACTGGGTAGATGGTGGCACTTTGGCTAATGTGGGGAGACTGGCATAAGCTCGGGTTTGAAGAGGGAAAAAACTCAAGACTTCCATTTGAATGTATTGAGAGTGAGCTGCCCAATAGTTATATTATTAGAGGGGATGTCAGGAAGACAACTAGATATGAAAGCCTGGAGCTCAGGAGAGAAGATCTAGCTGGACATACACATTTTGGAGTCTTCCTCATATTTATGATATTTAAAGTCCCAAGACAGGATGTAATCATCTAGGAGGGAACATAGATTTTAAAAAGGGCCCTGGACAAATCCTGAGGTTCTTAACAATTAGATAAAAGTTCCACAGAGAAGGAGAGATTTATCTATAGAGACTGAGAAGCAGTGGCCAATAAGGTAAAAATAAAACGAGGATAAATCATATTCAGGTGAATGTTTCAAGACTAGGTGTGTGAAATGTTGAAAAGTTAAATGATATGCCCATTGTACTGGCAACAAGGTTGGTGATTTTGACAAAAGTAGCTTCACTGGCATGAGAGTAAGAAAGATCATATTGGAGGGGTAGAGGAGTGAATGAAGGGAGTAAAGAGTGAGCAAAAGTAAACAAGTAGAGACAATGAGTGTAGACAACACTTTGAGAAGTTCTCCTGTGAAGGGAATAAGACAAGACAATATTTGGAAGGGGATGTGAGGTCAAGGAAGTCCTTTTTATTCTTTTAACATGCAAATAAGGACATATTGATATAATGATGGGAATGAGAGGAAAGGCTTATCACATAAGACCTTGCTAGTTGAAGCATGGTCGACAAACCAACAACAACATCATCACCTGGGTGTTTGTTAGAAATGTAGAACCTCAAGCCCCATCCCACATCTACTTAATCATAATCTACATTTCAACTAGATCCTCAGATGATCTGCATGTACATTTAAGTTTGAGAAGCACTGGTTTAAGAGAGGGGATACCTGCAGGAGCAAAGTCCTTCAGAAAGTGAGAGGGGATGGATTCCAGAGCAAAAAAGATTTGCCTTGATAGGAGCAAAATCACTTCCTGAACTCTAGCAGACAAGAAGAGAAAATGGGTAAATGTGCAGGTGATGGTGAGCCTATAGATTTGGTGAATAAAAGGGAAGGAAATACCCCTACAACGTTTTTAAAATTTTTCTCCATGAAGCTGAGAGAGGATTATGGAGGGAGGTGTCAGTGGAGGTTACAGAAAGGAGGAGCAAGTGTGAAATAGTTCTTTCAGCACAGTGGCTCTCAATCTTGGCTGCACATTGGAATTATGTGGGAAGCTTTAAAAACCATAGATGTCTAAATCCCACCTTCAGGGATTATTATTTCATTGGAATAGGATACAGCCTGGGCATCAGGATTTTAAAAAGCTCCCCAGATGATTCTAATGTGCAACTAAGGTTGAGAGATGCTGTCTGAGAGGCAGTGGAAAAGTAAGCACATCAGGGACATACGGTAGGGCTTGCAGGAAATGTTAAGTATCTACAAAAAAATAAATAAAAATCAGTATATCTTAGGAATAGGGGCACACACACAAAAAATAAATGTTGAGTGCCTAATTCAGACTTGTGGTAAAGAAAAATAAATCAGCCCAACTGTAGCAATTGTCTCCAGTCTATTTTTATCTTCAGGCACGGGTATAGAGATGACAGGTGGGTGGGTGAAATCTAGAGGAGATTTGCCGTGCAAATACAATGGGAAAATAAATGGATAATAGAGTTGCAAGCATTTGCAAGGAAGTGATCATAATAGTGGACCAAGGAATCTAACCCAGACACAAGGAAAAAGAGGTCATGAAAAAAGGTGTTGGGTAATGGGGTAAGGTCAATTAAATGGTAGGGACAATGAATTGGAGATTCTGATATGTGGACGAATTGTTGGAAATGTATCAAAGTGAACTGGAATAAGAGGACACAGTAGTCAGAGAGAAGACGCTTGAAATAAATCAAGATTGTGAAAGTAATCCAGTTGGTTACTGGTTATGACAAGATCTAGAGTGTTATCACAGAAGTGTTCCGGCTGAGTGAAGTGCAGAAAAAAGCTGTGAAAGGTGAGGTCAAAGTTGAATAGGCCACCTACAGGAATGTTGAGGTCATACAGACAGAAGAAAGGATTAAGACAAGTGATGATCTAGAAGTTAAAGTCTTCGGTGAATGAAAAAGAATGTCCAGAAAGACAGTCTATGCACCAAGAATTATGCACCAAGTGCCTACTATATGCCAAGGTCTGTTCTAGGTGCTGGGTATATAGCAGTGAGTAAGACAGACTAGGCCTCTATCCTCCAGGAGCTTATGTTCTAATACAGATTTAGACATTGAACACAAAAACAAAAAATAAGGTAACATAGGTACTAAATAATTATTATAAAAATAATAATGTAATAGCAGGTGACTGGTAGAGGGAGATACTGCTTTACCTAGGCACACAAAGTAGGCCCCTCTAAAGAAGTGACATCTGAGTTGACACTGGAATAATTAGAAGAAACCATTCATTCAAAGGTCTGGGGAAATAGCATTCCAAACGAGAAGGAACAACAAAAGCAAAGGCCCAGAGATGGAAATGAGGCTGAGATGCACAAGGGATAGGAGAAGGCCAATGTGACAGAGTTTGGGTAACTATAATTATTGATAGAAAATGATATCAGGGACTCAGGCAGGGCCAGAACGTCAGGAAATGAAAGCACAAGGAAGAGATAGTGGGTGGCAGAGGCAGATGGCATGTGCTGCAAAGAAGCCGGGGTTCTGAAGGCAGAGGGGAAGAAATGGGAAACATGATAGATGTTATCCTCAAATAAGCTAATACAAAATAATTTAAAGCAAGATGTTAGTGCAATAGGAAAAGTGCATATAGGTACATACATAAATATAATCTTAGACTTTGAGAAGAAAAATCCAGCTGAACGAATTATCAAGGTAATCTAGCCCCTTGATACTACTCAAAGTATGGGGCTTGGAATAGCAGCATCAATATCACCTGGGAGGTTACTAGAAATGCAGAATCCCAGATGTACCCCAGACCTACTGACTCAGCATGAAGATTTTCATAAGTTCGCCAGTGACTCATGTGCACATTAAAGTGTGAGAAGCTCAGCTCTAGACCAAACTCCTGTCATTGTGTTGGAGCCATTAAGGTAATTTTATTTGCCCTCCCCCGACCTCAAAAGGAAACATCTTTATCAGCATTTGGAAGCACGATAGTCAGAGATGCTGAGGACAGGCAGAATTCCTGATTTTAAAAAAAGGTTTACTGAGCATGTGGGCTCCCATCTCCTCTGTGGGAATATCAGCTAGGTAGTCATTCCCCTCAGAACACAATTCTTCATCCCCATGTTTTCCAAACATGTCCCTGACACTGTAAACCCATGATCCCCAGGGAAACTTGAAGCAAGCTCTTGAAGCAGCTCCAAGCAGATCAAGGAAGAGCAGGAAGTGGTCATGCTTGTCTTCCTTCAGACAACAACAGTCAAAGCTTGGAGACAGGATCAGATGCTGCTCAATAGGCTGCTGTAGAAAGCATCACCCTGGAAAGTAGGGGGTCTTGGCCCAGTACTCTTCCCCCAGGCCACTTCAGCTTGATCACCCAGTCAAATGAAAGGCCTGTTCCTTCCACCAAGGTATATACCCACTAGTTAGTCTCGTTCTTTAAGCTCTCCATGGGCTCTCTACTCTCAAATTTGTAGAACTGAAGTGACTTTAAGTTCACTTCTTCCTAACGTCTGTCTCTTTTCTCTTTACCTCCCTCTTATCTTCCTCCCATGCCATGCCTTCAGCCTCAAACAGCTTCTTGTCTACCAAATAATTTGCTCTCCAGTTCACTATTGATTTTCAGGACAAAGGCAGGAACTGAAATAATGGCATGAGGAGTTTCAATTAGATGAGCAGATTTAACCTCTATCCAGACAATGGTGTTGATTAAATCACTTGGGTGGATTCAGGACCTGCAAATCTCACATATATTATGTATCTCTTCAAAGATTCTCTGAAAAGCTAAATTCAAATATTAATGTCCAACCTTATGAAATCCCATCACTGAAGGTATCCAAGCAGAGTCTAGAAAAGTACCTGCCAGAGATGCTGTAGAATGACTCTTCCATTGATAGAAGGCTGCACTGGAGAACCATGCAAAGAAGTCAGTGAGCCAAGGGGAGAAGGGCACCGGACTAGCAGTTGGGTGACTGCTAACTTCCTATGTAGCCTCGGATAAGCTACTCAGTCTCCTCATCTGTCAAATGATGTGTGTGATTAGAACCTCTCAATACTTTTTGACCTCTGCTTTTGTAGAATGTAGGGAGGGTCCTTCAGAGGCTACTTCTTGTCCTGGGGTACATGTGGGAGGCTGACTGGGAGGAGCTCTAGGCTCCACTTTAACCAAAGTGGTTCTCCTTTCACCTGTTTTACACATTAAGCTTCCAGGTAAGATTATGATTGAACATAGTTCCTGCTTCTAAAAAAACAAAGTGAAACTACATCAAATGGAAAGTCTGGGCAACTGACCTCCTGTTTTATTTGCCCACCACAGTGTCTTAAATGCTTGTTGGAGGCTAAACAATATGTATTTCAAAAAGCTCAATATATTTTACATAAAAATCTGGACTTCATATAAAAATACAGCTTCTCTTGAAACACTGGAAAGTCTGGAAGCCCTGGGCTTGTATTCCCACCTTGCAATAATGAGCTTGAGCTCGGCAGCAGCTACGTTCCTTAAAGCCAGAGCCCCTGCCCACTGGCCCCTGCCCAGCTTCTGCAGGCATCTGCATGGTGACCAGATGCCTGGTCGCCAGAGACCACTGCCCTCCAGGTCTCTCTGATTTTCAGCTTCTTTACCCCTCCACAGGTCTAGGAGACCAAACCCAGAATGGGTTGTTCTAGAAATGGCTGTGTCCATACATGAGGGGTGAGGTCTATGTAGAGCAGTGCTTCTCAAACTTTAATGTTCATGGATGTTTTTGTTAAAATGAAAATTCTGATTCAGTAGGTCTGGGGTGGTGCCTAAGGGTCTGCATTTCTAACAGGCCTTCAGGTAATGTGGATACTGCTAGTCCAGGGACCACACTTTAGATGTTAGGGGCCCGTAGAAAAGAGAAACAAGTGAGGAAACAAGAGGGTTGGCCTTCAGCCCCTATTCTTACTAACCTTCAGTATTCTGGGGAAACCACTAAACCTTCTGTTTGGTGGGCCTGCTAAGCCTTTCTCCAGTGAGGTGGTGAGAAGACAAAAAGAGAATCTTCCAGCCAGAGGAATGCTTGAAGAGAAAAAGAATTACAAAGAAAGCCAGCATGGTGTCTGTTTAGAGGGAGGTGAGGCTTCTTCCAGGGGATCTGACCCCCTTCCCTGACCTCAAATGTCTTAGGCCATCTCTCAGGTTTGAGGAGCTGATTCCTGAGCTCCAAGGGAAACTTGCATTACTGGTGAAAGTTTTGAGAGGGTGAAAGAAAGGAGAAGAAAAGGAGGAAAAGGAGGAGGAAGATAAACAGGAGGATGAGGAAGAGAGGGAGGGGACGAAAAGGAGAGACAAGAAAAATGGAAAAGAAGGAGGATGAAGACATGGTGATGAATGAGGAGAAAAGAAGAGGAGGAGGGGGAAGGAGAGAGGAGAAGGGAAAGAAGGAAGGATGAGGAAGAGGGAACCTTAAGAGATCAAGCCTGAGGTTTTTCCTAAAGTCCCTGTATTAGTTCATTCACATGCTGCATGAAGAAATACCCGAAACTGAGCAATTTATAAAGAAAAGAGGTTTAATTGACTCACAGTTCTGAATGACTTGGTGGACGGTGGCTCAGGAAACTTACAATCATGGCATAAGGCACCTCTTCAAAGGGCAGCAGGAGAGAGAATGTACAATGAGTAAAGGGGAAGCCCCTTATAAAACCATCAGATCTCATGAGAACTCAGTATCATGAGAACACCATAGAGGAAACCACCCCCATGATTCAATTACCTCCCACCAGGTCCCTCTCTTGACACATGGGGATTTTTACAATTCAAGGTGAGATTTGGGTGGGGACACATAGCCAAAACATATCAGGCTTCTCCCTTGCTAGAATCCTCTATCCTCATCGGGCCCCTCCTCACAGTAAGGCATTCTCACAGGACAATCCTAAGGTCCACTTTCCAGCTCTAAAATTCAATGCTTTTCTGAAGTGCTATGACAACAGAATGAGCTGGCTCCATCCAGCCTGCCTATGGTGAGCTGTCTCCTCTTCCTCTCCTGTCTCACAGCAGGAGCCACCCAACAAAGCCAATGCTTCATCTTCCTGATACGATAGATTCCCAGAGATCATATAGGCTGCTGTGGAATCCCTAATGGGGTAAACTGGGAAGGAGAAGAGAAGGCATTGCCTCTACAAATATACATATTAGTTGCCAAGGCCTGTTACCTCTACTCCTATGGCATTTCTTCTGTGTGCCCCCTCCTCTCCATACCCATAACCATTACCCTGGGTTAGACTCTTGTTTATTATATCTCTCCTGGACCATCCCATCAGCCTCCTATGTGTCCCCTCACCTCAATTTTTGCTGCCTTCCAATAAATTCTCACAAGGCTGCTGAAGTTATATTCTGAAAGCACTGCGTGAATCAGATCCTCCCCTGATCAAACACTTTTAATGACTCCCAACTGCATACAAGATTAACTTCAAATTCCTTAGCAAGATATTAACAAGTATCTACAACCTGTCCCTAAGTACTCTTCTACCTACTCTTTAGTCTCTTTGTATATTCTTTCAGAATTTATTTTCCCCTACTTCTGGCTGTCTACGTCCTAGCCATCCTTCCAGGCCTGGATCAAATGCCATCTATTAATTAAAGCCTGGACCCAAGTTGAAATCCATCTCCCTTTCTGTAAATGCAAATGATGTTTTGCTGGTGCACTTTTTCAGCCACTTGCCACAGCTTCGTTTATGTAGTTAGCCATTTATGAACTTGTCTCCTACATATAATTTTGCTTGCTCATAGCCTCTGTCAGAGCCCCTAGTGTTGAGAGGCTCTCAGAAAATGTTTGTTGAGTGAATTGGTGTTCAGAGAAAGGAGAAAAAAAGGCCAGAGCTTGGGTTCTGAGAAAGGCAGAGCAAACTCTGAGAGGACTAGAGCAAGCCATGCAGGGTCCAACTTTCACTACTCTGAGGCTTGCTAAGGATGCCTCCATCTCCTCTCATGCCTCTCTTGATGCCTGAAATTCTGCAGAGTGACACCTTTTGGGGTTGGAAACATTTTGGAGGTATCTGAGAAATGCAAACAGCCTTGAAAGAGGGACACACCTAAGGCAGTGATTCTCAAAGGGTGGTTTGCAAACTTTTAGTGAATGATGAAGTGGATCCATATGTGTGGTAAAATCAATTAGATATATCCTGATGAGATTTTTTTTTGACAGGAAATATCAGACTACAGGTAAGGTTACACCAACATCAGCTGGAAGCAATATAGAACTTGAGCTAGTTTACCTCTCTGTACCTCAGTTTCTCCATCTGGAAAACAAGAATAATATTAATACCTATATCAAAAAGTTGCTCTGAGGAGTAAACAAGTGAGTTCATGTAAAGTTTTTAGCACAATGCCTGGCATATGTTAGCTCTGTTGGGTGGAAGTAGAGGTAGGGTTGAGGGGATTGCAGAAATGACCACTAAGGATGGTGAAGGACTTTGCCATACCTGATGCAGACCATGTGGACTGACACCCATTCATGATGGGTGCAGATATAAAAAGACTTGTGTGGGCAGCTGGCAAGATGGCCAAATAAGAAAAGCTCAGGTCTGCAGTTCCCAGCAAGATCAACACAGAAGGTGGATGATTTCTGCATTTCCAACTGAGGTACCAGACTCATCTCACTGGAACTGGTTAGACAGTGGGTGCAGCCCACAGAGGGTGAGCAGAAGCAGGGTGGGACATCACCTCACCCGTGAAGCTCAAGGGGTAGGGGAATTCCCTCCCCTAGCCAAGGGAAGCCATGAGGGACTGTGCCATGAGGAAAGATGCATTGCAGCCTAGATACTACACTTTTCCCATGGTCTTCACAAGATATAGACCAGGAGATTCCCTCCAGTACCTATGCCACAAGGGCCCTGGGTTTCAAGCACAAAACTGGGTGGCTGTTTGGGTGGACACCGAGCTAGCTGCAGGAGTTTCTTTTCATATCACAGTGGTGCCTGGAATGCCAGCGAGACAGAACCATTCACTTCCCTGGAAAGGGGGCTGAAGCCAGGGAGCCAAGGGATCTAGCTCAGTGGATCCCACTCACCATCTTAGCAAGCTAAGATCCACTGGCTTGAAATTCTTGCTGGCAGCACAGCAGTCTGAAGTCGATCTGGGATGCTCCAGCTTGGTGGCGGTAGGGGCATCCACTATTACTGAGGCATGAGTAAGCAGTTTTCCCCTCACAGCATAAACAAAGCCACTGGGAAGTTACAACTGGGCAGAGCCCACTAGTCCACCTCTCTAGATTCCTCCTCTCTGGGCAGGGCATCTCTGCAAAAAGGCAGCAGCCCCAGTCAGGGGATTTTAGATAAAACTCCCATCTCCCTGGGACAGAGCATCTGGGGGCAAAGGCGGCTGTGGGTGCAGCTTCAGTGGACTTAAACATATTTCTGCCTACCAGTTCTAAAGAAAGCAGTGGATCTCCCAGCACAGCACTTGAGCTCTGCTAAGGGACAGACTGCCTCCTCAAATGGGTCCCTTACCCACGTATCTCCTGACTGGGAGACACCTCTCAGCAGGGATTGACAGACACCTCATACAGGAGAGCTCTGACTGGCATCTGGTGAGTACCCCTCTGGAACGAAGCTTCCAGAGGAAGAAACAGGCAGCAATCTTTGCTCTTCTGCATGCTCTGCTGGTGATACCCCGGCAAACAGGGTCTGGAGTGGATGTCCAGCAAACTCCAGCAGACCTGCAGCAGACGGGCCTGTTAGAAGAAAAACTAACAAACAGAAAGGAATAGTATCACCATCAACAAAAAGGACATCCACACCAAAACCATGTCCAAAGATCACCAACATCAAAGACCAAAGGTAGATAAATCCACAAAGATGGGGAGAAACAAGTGCAAAAAGGCTGAAAATCGCAAAAACCAGAATGCCTCTTCTCCTCCAAAGGATCACAACTCCTCACCGGCAAGGGAAGAAAACTGGATGGAGAATGAGTTTGACAAATTGACAGAAGTAGGGTTCTGAAGGTGGGTAATAACAAACTCCTCCGAGCTAAAGGAGCATGTTCTAACCCAATGCAAGGAAGGTAAGAACCTTGAAAAAAGGTTAGGCAAATTGCTAACTAGAATAACCAATTTAGAGAAGAACATAACCTGATGGGGCTAAAAAACACAGCATGAGAACTTCGTGAAGCATACACAAGTATCAATAGCTGAATTGATCAAGCAGAAGAAAGGATATCAGAAATTGAAAATTCACTTAATGAAATAAAGCGAGAAAACAAGATTAGAGAAAAAAGAATGAAAAGGAACAAACAAAGCCTCCAAGAAATATGGGACGATGTGAAAAGACCAAATCTACATTTGATTGGTGTACCTGAAAGTGATGGGGAGAATGGAACCAAGTTGGAAAACACTCTTTAGGATATTATCCAGGAGAACTTCCCCAACCTAAAAAGACAGGGCAACATTCAAATTCAGGAAGTACAAAGAACACCACAAAGATACTCCTTGAGAAGAGCAACCCCAAGACACATAATCATTAGATTCACCAAGGTTGAAATGCAGGAAAAATTGTTAAGGGGAGCCAGAGAGAAAAGTCGGATTACCCACAAGGGGAAGCCAATCAGACTAACAGCAGATCTCTCTGCAGAAACCCTACAGAAGAAAAGCCAGAAGAGAGTGATGAATATTGATTCAACATTCATAAAGAGAAGAATTTTCAACCCAGAATTTCATATCCAGCCACACTATGCTTCATAAGCGAAGGAGAAATAAAATCCTTTACAGACAAGCAAATGCTGAGAGATTTGGTCACCAAATCTGCCTTACAAGAGCTCCCGAAGGAAGCACTAAACATGGAAAGGAACAGCCAGTACCAGCCACTGCAAAAACATACCAAATTGTAAAGACCATCGGCACTATGAAGAAACCGCATCAACTAACAGCCCAAATAACCAGATAGTATCATAATGACAGGATCAAATTCACACATAACAATATTAAACTTAAATGTAAACGGGCTAAATGCCCCAATTAAAAGACACAGACTGGATAATTGGATAAAGAGTCAAAACCCATTGGTGTACTTTATTCAGGAGACCCATCTCATGTGCAAAGACACACAGGCTCAAAATAAAGGGATGGAGAAATATTTACCAAGCAAATGGAAAGCAAAAAAAGCAGGGGTAGCAATCCTAGTCTCTGATAAAACAGACTTTAAACCAACAAAGAAAAAAAGAAGACAAGAACATTACATAATGATAAAGGGATCAATGCAACAAGAAGTGCTAACTATCCTAAATATATATGCACCCAATACAGGAGCACCCAGATTCAGAAAGCAAGTTCTTAGGGACCTATAAAGAGACTTAGACTCCCACACAAAAATAGTGGGAGACTTTAACACCCCACTGGCAATATTAGACAGATCAACGAGACAGAAAATTAACAAGGATATTCAGGACTTGAACTCAGCTCTGGACCAAGCGGACCTAATAGACATCTACAGAACTCTCCACCCCAAATCTACAGAATATACATTCTTCTCAGCACCACCTCACACATATTCAAATATTGACCACGTAATTGGAAGTAAAACACTCCTCAGCAAATGCAAAAGAATGGAAACCATAACAAACAGTCTCTCAGACCACAGTGCAATCAAATTAGAACTTAGGACTAAGAAACTCACTCAAAATTGCACAACTACATAGACACTGAGCAACCTGTTCCTGAATGACTACTGGGTAAATAACGAAATTAAGGCAGAAATAAAGATGTTCTTTGAAACCAATCAGAACAAAGATACAACGTACCAGAATCTCTGGAACACAGATAAGCAGTGCTTAGAGGGAAAATTATAGCACCAAATGCCCACAAGAGAAAGCAGGAAAGATCTAAAATCGACACCCTAACATCACAATTAAAAGAACTACAGAAGCAAAAACAAATTCAAAAGCTAGCAGAAGACAGGAAATAACTGAGATCAGAGCAGAACTGGTAAAGGTAGAGACACGAAAAACTCTTAAAGAAATAGGTGAAACCAGGCGCTGGTTTTTGAAAAGATCAACAAAATAGATAGACCACTAGCCAGACTAATAAAGAAGAAAAGAGAAAAGAATCAAATTGATGGAATACAAAATGATAAAGGGGATAGCACCACTGACCCCACAGAAATACAAACTAACATCAGAGAATACTATAAACACCTCTATGCAAATAAACTAAGAAATCTGGAAGAAATGGATAAATTCCTGGACACATACACCCCCTAAGTCTAAACCAGGAATAAGTTGAATCCCTGAGTAGACCAATAACAAGTTCTGAAATTCAGGCAGTAATTAATAGCCTACTAACCACAAAAAGTCCAGGACCAGATGGAGTCACAGTCGAATTCTACCAGAGGTACAAAGAGGAGCTGGTACCATTCCTTCTGAAACTATTCCAAACAATATAAAAAGAGGGAATCCTACCTAACTCATTTTATGAGACCAGCAGCTTCCTGATACCAAAACGTGGCAGAGACACAACAGAAAAAGAAAATTTCAGACCAATATCCCTGATGAACACTGATGCAAAATTCCTCAGTAAAGTACTGGCAAACCGAATCCAACAGCACATCAATGTAAAAGCTTATCCACCACAATCAAGTTGGCTTCATCCCTGGGATGCAAGTCTGGTTCAACATACACAAATCAATAAACGTAATCCATCACATCAACAGAACCAATGACAAAAAACATACAATTATCTCAATAGATGCAGAAAAGTCCTTTGATAAAATTCAACACTGCTTCATGCTAAAAACTCTCAATAAACTAGGTAATGATGGAACATATCTCAAAATAATGAGAGCTATTTATGACAAACTCACAGCCAATATGATACTGAATGGGCAAAAACTGGAAGCATTCCCTTTGAAAACTGGCACAAGACAAAGAAGCCCTCTCTCACCACTCCTATTCAACATAGTATTAGAAGATCTGGCCGGGGCAATCAGGCAAGAGAAAGAAATAAAGGATATTCAAATAGGAAGAGAGGAAGTCAAATTGTCTCTCTTTGCAGATGACATGATTGTATACTTAGCGAACCCCATCGTCTCAGCCCCAAAACTCCTGAAGCTGATAAGCAACTTCATCAAAGTCTCAGGATACAAAATCGATGTGCAAAAATCACAAGGATTCCTATACATCAGTAATAGACAAACAGAGAGCCAAATCGTGAGTGAACTCCCATTCGCAATTGCTACAAAGCTAATGAAATACCTAGGAATACAACTTACAAGGGATGTGAAGGACCTCTTCAAGGGAAACTACAAACAATTTCTCGAGGAAATAAGAGAGGACTCAAACAAATGGAAAAACATTCCATGCTCATGGATAGAAAGAATCAATATCGTGAAAATGGCCATACTGTCCAAAGTAATTTATAGATTCAATGCTATCCCCATCAAGCTACCACTGACTTTCTTCACAGAATTAGAAAAAAACTACTTTAAAGTTCACATGGAACCAAAAAAGAGCCCACATAGCCAAGACAATGCTAAGCAAAAAGAAGAAAACTGGAGGCATCATGCTACCTGACTTCAAACTATACTACAAGGCTACAGTAACCAAAACAGCATGGTACTGGTACCAAAACAGATATATAGACCAATGGAACAGAACAGATGCCTCAGAAATAACACCACACATCTACAACCATCTGATCTTTGACAAACCTGACAAAAACAAGCAATAGGGAAAGGATTCCCTATTTAATAAATGGTATTGGAAAAACTGGCTAGCCATATGCAGAAAACTGAAACTGGACCCCTTCCTTACACCTCATACGAAAACTAACTCAAGATGGATTAAAGACTTAAATGTAAGACCTAAAACGTTAAAAACACTAGAAGAAAACTTAGGCAATACTATTCAGGACATAGGTATGGGCAAAGAATTCACGACTAAAACACCAAAAGCAATGGCAACAAAAGCCAAAATTGACAAATGAAATCTAATTAAACTAAAGAGCTTCTGCATAGCAAAATAAACTATCATCAGAGTGAACAGGGAACCTACAGAATGGGAGAAACTCTTTGCAATCTATCCGTCTGACAAAGGGCTAATATCTAGAATCTACAAAGAACTTAAACACATTTACAAGAAAAAAACAAACAACCCCATCACAAAGTGGGCAAAGGATATCAACAGACACTTCTCAGAAGAAGACATTTATGCAGCCAACCAACATGAAAAAATGCTCATCATCACTGGTCATTAGAGAAATGCAAATCAAAACCACAATGAGATACCATCTCATGCCAGTTGGAATGGAGATTATTAAAAAGTCAGGAAACAACAGAAGCTGGAGAGGATGTGGAGAAATAGGAACACTTTTACACTGTTGGTGAGAGTGTAAATTAGTTCAATCATTGTGGAAGAAAGTGTGGTGATTCCTCAAGGATCAAGGACCAGAAATACCATTTGACCCAGCAATCCCATTATTGGGTATATACCCAAAGGATTATAAATTATTCTACTATAAAGACACATGTATCTGTATGTTTATTGCAGCACTGTTCACAACAGCAAACACTTGGAACCAACCCAAATTCCCATCAATTATAAACTGGATAAAGAAAATGTGGCACATATATACCATGGAATACTATGCAGCTATGAAAAAGCATGAGTTCATGTCCTTTGCAGGGACATGGATGAACCTGGAAACCATCATTCTCAGCAGACTAACACAATAACAATAAACCAAACAGCCTGTGTTCTCTTTCATAAGTGGGAGTTGAACAATGAGAACACATGGACACAGGGAGGGGAATATCACATACCGGGGCCTGCTGGGGGTTGGGGGCTGGGGGAGGGCTAGCATTAGGAGAAATACCCAATGTAGATGACGGGTTGATGGGTGCAGCAAACCACCATGTCACGTGTATACCTATGTAACAAACCTGCACGTCCTGCACATGTATCCTAGAACTTAAAGTATAATTTAAAAAAATTTTTTTAAACAAAGACTTGTTTGTATGCATTCACACAGACACACAGAGTGGACTCACAAGCCCTTAGTCTCTGTCAGGAGCCAGGTATGCTGGTTGCTTCACTCCTATGAGGAATCTGTGCCTGTCACAGAATTAAGGTGCTTGAGGCCAAGAGGAGAAGGAGGCCCAGGCTTGTGGCGGCAACTATTAGAAGCAGTGAAAATATCCCAGCCCCAAACCCCGGAGCCTAGATTGAGAAAGTCTCATGAAACCCTGGCAGCCAGACAAATTAAATCCAGGCAGGCATAAGACAACGTGTTTATTTTTCTTCACTCTTTCTCTCCTTTTGTGCTATGATTCTTTTGTGAGCCTCCCTCTAGAACCTCTCAGGGTGTTTAGGTTTATTTTATATTCTTGAAGAGAAGGAAAGCAATAAAGGGAAGGATACAGTGGGGGAAGCATTTGTTTTATTTATTTATTCAAATAATATTTATCTCATACCTTCTATGCGCTAGGCACTGTTCCTTTTCCAGGCATTGGGGATATTTTGGTGAATAAAACTGTCAAAATCCTTGCTCTCATGGTGCTTATATTCTAGCAGGGAGAGACAAATGACAAACAAATAAAATATATAGTATATCAGATGGTTATAACTGCTACTGACGGGAAAAGCAGAGAGGGTGGGGAAAAGTATTATGCAATTTTTAAAATGATGGACAGGGTAAGTCTCATTGAGAAGATGACTTATAAACAATACTTGAGCAAGGTGAGATGGCCAGCCATGCAGACATCTGAAAACAGAATGTTCCAGGTGAAAGGAATAGCCAGCAAGGCCTTAAGGCTGGCATGTGCCAGGCAACTCTAAAGAAGAGTGGGGAGGCTGGTGTGACTGAAGTGGAATGAGCACTGAACTATAGTAGAAGATAAGGTGACTGAGGTA
The DNA here is from genome assembly GCF_000001405.40 of Homo sapiens. NCBI lineage: Eukaryota > Metazoa > Chordata > Mammalia > Primates > Hominidae > Homo > Homo sapiens. The sequence goes on from NC_000023.11 coordinate 63,804,828, forward strand.
ATGGGGACCTGATCATGTAAGGTCTTAAATATCATTGTGAGAATTGAGCATTTACTCTTAGTGAGATGGGAGACAACTGAAGGATTCTGAGCAGAAGAGTGACATGTGATATGATTTGACTTAAGTTTCAATACACTCAGACTGGATATTGTGTAAATAATTGACTGTAGGACGTTAAGAGAGGAAACAGAGCAGTAAGGAGGATATTGTAGCATTCCTAGATAACAGTAGTTTAGACTAGAGTGACAGCAGAGGAGGTGGTGAGAACTAATCAATTTTAAATATATTTTGAAGGTAGAACCAACAGGATTTCTGGAGGGATTAGATGTGGGATGTGGAAGAAAATGAGCCATAAGGCTTTTATTCTGAGCATCTGGAAGGAAGCATCTGGAATTTGCTATTAATTGAGGTAGGGAGGGAAAAGTGCAGAAGAACTTGATCTTGATTTTTGTATCAGGAGTTCAGTTTGGGACATATTAAATTTGTAATGCCTATTAGATATGTAAGTGGAGAGGTTAAGTAGTCAGTTAGATATACATGTTGAAGGAAAAGGCCAGGCTGGAGATATAAATTTTGGAGACATTAACGTGTTAGTTTTACTTAGAGTAATGAGTCTAAATGAGGTCACCAAGGAAGGAAATAGAAATGAAGAAAAGAAGAGGTCCAATGACTAACACCTGAAGACTTCTAATATTTAGAGGTTGGGGAGGTGAGAAGAAAATAGCAAAGAAGTCTGAGAAGGAGCAATCAGTGAGGTGGGAGTGAAACTAGGAGAGTCTTGAAAGCCAAGGAAGTCTAGGAAGCCAAGGAAGAAAGAGTTTCAAGGAGGAAAGAGTTGTCAACTTTGTCAAGTGCTGATGAGAGGAATTCTTTTGTGGTTGAGAAGAGGTCCAGCTCCATGACAAGCTGATACAATGGTGGTATATGTTCTCAAGGAATAGGGGAGGTTGAAAACTCCTTGAGTGGCTTATACAGAGGCAGTGTGGCATTCAGGTTCTAGGCTGAAAGGCACACTAACCTAGGCAAGATTGGCCAGCAATTCTGTGTGTCTGGTGTGTCATCTGAGGCATTTAATACAGACAGCAGAGCTGATGGAGCAGCGAACCTCACTGGAAAACCTGGCCCACCAGTCACAGATGTAGAGAAAGTGGCTACTCATAGGGTACAATCAGACGCATGTTAGAGAGGTCTCTGTTTCCAAACATACCTCCACCCTTTCAACATCAGAGTCTAGGGTCTCTTATTTATCTGACAAGAACTTATGTGTGAAGCACTTTTCTAAGCATTTACAAATAACAACTTAGTGAATCCGCACAACAACCCTGTGAGGTAAGTTCTATACTTATCCCATTTTTACGGATGAAGAAATGGAGGCAGAGAAAGGCTAAGTACCTTCCTCAATTGCACATAGTTATAAGAAGTAGAGCCCAGAGTCAAGTATTATAATAATAATAATAATAATAATAATAATAATAATAATAATAATAAAGAAGTAGAGCCCAGACTCTAACTCTGCTGTCTCCAGTGTCCATGCTTTTAGCATTTACACGTAGGCACTGGCCAACTACAGTGTGAGCCAAATCCTGCCTACAGCCTGTTTCTGTATATTTTTGTACTTTTCTATAGGATTGTTTTAAAAGAAAAGAAAAACATGCAACATGCACCTAGTTTGGCCCATAAAGCCTAAACTATTTACTGTCTGTCCCTTCACTGAAAAAGTTTATCATCCCCTGCTTAACACTATAAAATGGGCAAGACTACACCTCTAATTCGTTTGTGGGTAGATCAAATGATGTAATTTATAGGAAGTGTTGGTAGGTATTCAAAAAATAACAGATTTTATGATTAATTTTATACTCCTTCTGCCATTAGCTCTTTGCTTCCTGCACTCTCCCCCAAAGGAATTCCTCTTAGATTTGACTCATTCCCAGCCCTCATGTTTCCCTCAGCCTTTCCTGAAAAGTTATTATAGACAGCCATACCAATCATTATTTGTTGAACATATACATTAAAAGAATAAGTTAGTAGGAATTTCAGTAGCTTTAAAATACCTAAGTGAAATGGATGAAGCAAGTAGGTTCTAACTAAGGAAGTCTTGGCAATAAATGCTCAATAAGCCACTAGATGTTTTTCCCAAATGGCAATTGTAGAGTTAGCAAATAAATATATAATGGGTTATGTCCCCTAAAAGGTAAAATTTGAAATCAGCATTAAAATTTTTTAAAGCAAGTAATCTTTCATTTGGTTATTAGATATAAGGAAAAATTATAGAACATCAGAACCTGAAGACTCCATAGAAATTCTCTAGGCAAATACCTCAGATTAAAGATTGGAAACGTGAATCCCAGAGACCGAAAGATACTTGCACATGGCCACACAGCAAATTGAGCTAGAATCTTGTTCTCCTAATGTAGTGTTCTTTCCATTACACCAGTGCTTGGAAACTAGTTATGTGGGGCTGGATTCTATGTTTAGTTTGTCCCACATAATGTAAAAATGAAGTTGATCCATTATTTAAAGAGCAAAATATTACATAAGAAAATCTGGATTTCCAGATTCCATTGAAGAAAATCAGAAGATCTGGCCATTTAGGAAAATCAACTAGAACTGGGTAGTGGCTGGCTTCATTTAGACACAGCATGTGATCTCTAGTTTGACATACTCCCCATCACTCTTTTTTTTTTTTTTTTTTTTTTTTGTGAGATGGAGTCTTGCTCTGTCACTCAGGCTGGAGTGCAGTAGCACAATCTTGGCTCACTGCCACCACCGCCTCCTGGGTTCAAGCAATTCTCCTGTCTCAGCCTCCCAAGTAGCTGGGACTACAGGTGCACGCTACCACGCCTGGGTAATTTTTGTATTTTTAGTAGAGAAGAGGTTTCACCATATTGGTCAGGCTGGTCTTGAACTCTTAACCTCAGGTGATCCACCCGTCTCGGCCTCCCAAAGTGCTGGGATTACAGGTGTGAGCCACTGCACCCAGCCCCACCACTCTCAAATGCAATGTCTTTGTCTTTCATGTAACTTACCAACCAATTCTATATAAGATTTTGCAGTTGACCTTCCCTGCCCTACAACTTGCAGCGTTTTCCCAAACAAGGGGTGAAAGCTTCCTTCTAAGGGTTCCCAGGAGGACCATGGGCTGAGGCATCATAGCCATGGACTATGGTAAGACACTAGTTTTTCATTCTTGATAGTTGTGGTAGAGAGACTACCAGTTACCTACTGAAAATCAAATTTCCCTGAAAGCTGTCATGCACCATTTTTGTTTTTCCCACTGTTTGCAATGGGGATATGATAACTGGAGCTCCACCAGCCATCTTGTGACCTTCAGGATAAAAACCATGGTATGAAGTTACCATACCAACCCTGAACAGCCTATCTCTAGATCTTTTTTACATAATATAAAAATAAATGTCTGCCTCATTTAGGCCACATTTATATCCCATTTCTGTTACTAGCAGTCAAATGTAATTCCTAATATATAAAACAAGCATAAAAGTTCTTGGCCTTGGGGTGGTAAAAATAATTAAATCATATAACTACTTAACCTCTGCATGCTTCAGTCTCCTTGTACGTAAAGTGGAAGTAGTAATACTGTCTACTTCAGAGGATTATTATATGAGTTTGATACATATGAGGATTAAATAAATTTAATACATAAAAAGTACTTAGAATAGTGCCTGATGCAGGGTGTGGTAGTTATAATAAAGACCCCCTCCCCCATCCACCAAACATATTCACATACCACTAATCCCTAGAAACTGTGAATATGTTAGGTTACATGGCAAAAGGGGCATGGGGAATTAGAGTAGCAGATGGGATTAAAGTTGCTAATCAGTGACCTTAAAATAGGGAGATTATCCTGGATCACCCAGGGGACACAATGTAATTGCAAAGGTGCTTAAATGTGAAGGAAGCAGCAGAGTTAGTTTCAGAGTACTGCAGTGTGAGAAAGACTTGCCTAGCCATTGATGGCTTTGAAGATGGAAGGGAGCCATGAGTCAAGGAATGCTAGCAGCCTCTAGAAGCTTGAAAAAGCAGGAAAGTTCCTCCTCTAGAGCCTCCAGAAAAGAATGCAATCCTGTTGACAACTTAATTTTAGCCACTGAGATAAATTTTGGAATTTTGACTTCCAGAATTGTAAGATAATAAATGTTTGTTGTTTTAAGCCATCAAATTTGTGGCAATTTCTTCAGGAACAATAGGAAACTAATATACATGGTAAATGCTCTATAAATGAAAAATATAAAACTAAATAATTCAATCTAAGTTTGTATTTGCAGAAAAGAATGAAGACATTTTTCATTTGATATTTGCAAACTAGTCCCATTTTATAGCTGGGAAAACTAAGGTTCAGAAACAAGTAATGACTTACCTAAATTCAGCCAGTGAGTTAGCAGCAGGGTGCTTTCTCCTTACTTGCTACCAGCAACTGCCTGGCTACCCTGTAACTTGCATCTCCAGCTCCAGCAGTGGCAATTTTGCAGACAGACGCCCACATCTGCTGTAACTAAAGTGTGATAATTGGTTGCTAAGCCATGCAATCGGTTGCTAGGCTCCTTTCCCCCTTTCAGGCTCCAACACACTTCAGCAACTGGAAGTTAATAATCTGCCAGCAAATTAAATTTGGTGAAAAGATCAGACAGCATGTTAATCGAGAACCAGGCAATCCAGGCTCATCTCAGAGGACTGTGTGAGCTTCTACCAAGTACACTCCCTGTGTGGGCTGCAGCTTCCATACCAGATACATGAACTCCTGGACCTCCGTGTATCTAAAGGGGGTTAGATACATTTCTTTGAGCTGCTAACGAATATCTTCATGCCTTTTCCTGAGCATTTCTCTGTCTCAAATGCCCGAAGCTTGCTCGTGTTTCCCAGAGTGTTGTAATTAAAGGGGTGATTATAGATGGGTGGCAGAGGCCTTATTGCATAGGGCAGATGTTCTCACCCCTGGCTGTACATGAGAATCAGCTGGGGAACTTTGCAAAGACCCAGATGCTGGAGACCCATCCCAAATATTCTAATTTAATTGGTTTGGGTGGGGCCTAGACATGGGTATTAAAATAAAAACAAACACAAAAACTCCCCAGGTAACTCTCACATGCAGCCAAAGGTGCTCTCCCCTGAGCACTGCTGGAGAAGTCAATCAGCAAAGAGACCTGGAGCACAAAGCCCAACTTTGCTACTTACTATTTGTGCAACCCTGGTAAATTGCTCAAATCCTCTGGGCTATAGCTTCCCTGTCTATAAAACACGGAAGACAATACCCCCATAGCATAACACTGCCACAGGGATTAAATGAGTTAGTACACATAAAGCACTTAGGAACGAGCTGTGTCCGGGCAAGTGAAATTATTGATTTGTAGCACTTAGAACTGCTCCTAGCAGTACTCAACAAATGCTAGCTATTATTACAGTAACAACACATTTAATAGATGTTTATTTTTAATGTGTATTTAAGAACAGATAACTAAATCAATTTACAGCACTAGAATAAAGCTCTCTTTTTAAATTATTTAACTTTCCAAAATTGAGTCACTTTAGGGAAAATAGTATGCAAAATGATGTCTGTAAATGACAGAAATTATTGTGTTTGAAAAACAGTGACCTAACCTCTTCCCATCCTTCCTCTCCTCACTAACTCCGTATTCCCAATCCTACGTCTTTTTCCAAGCCCAGAATAGCATAGTTGCCACCTTCACTGGAAAACCCCCTCCAATTTCCTCACCTGGAAATATGTTTCTCCTCCTCTGGATTCCCAGTTTTTTTTTTTTTTTTCTCTTATATATGCATCTTAAACTTGGCCAGTAAAGGCTCTTGAGTTTCACTGGTTTCATTCCCCTCCCCCACCCCATATTCCCCATTTCTTCAACTAGCAGTGCCACCATTCATGTAGTTGATGGGGCCAAAATGTAGCAGTAATCCTTGATTTCTCACTTTCCCTCACACTCCCTACCTAGTCTGTCTGCAAAGCCTGTTGTTTTACCTTCCAAATATATCCAGTCACTGGCCACTTTCCATCCGCCTTGCTCTAAGTCAACACCCTCTCTCACTTGGATATTACAATAGCCTCCTCACTGAGCTTCTGGCTCCCTTGACCCCTACAGACCATTCCACACACAGAAACCAAAGAGCCATTTACGTCATGCCACTGCCTAGCCCAAATCTTTCCAGTACATTCTCATCACAGAATAAAATCCAAACTCTTTATTATGGCTTCCAAGGCTCTTGCAGGATCCTGCCAACCTCTTTGACTTCATTTGGCTACCACTACCTCCCAACAGCTATAGCCACATGGACCTCCTTAAGGGTCTAAAGGGCCTTTGTCCAAAAACCAAAGGAGAGCCATTTAACGAAGTTTGTTTATATTTACATTTCAAACACACTACTGGCTAAAGTGTGGAGAATAGATACAGAGGGGCTATGAAGGTAGACAGTTGGGAAGGTTTCTCTACCCATAGGCTTGGCTGGAGGAAAGACAAGAGTTCAAATGCCAACTCCAACACCTACTAGCTTTGTGATGTTGTGTCTCCGCTCTTAAAACTTATGTTATTTGGTGGGACTGTAAACTAGTTCAACCACTGTGGAAGTCAGTGTGGCGATTCCTCAGGGATCTAGAACTAGAAATACCATTTGACCCAGCCATCCCATTACTGGGTATATACCCAAAGGATTATAAATCATGCTGCTATAAAGACACATGCACACGTATGTTTATTATAGCGGCACTATTCACAATAGCAAAGACTTGGAACCAACCCAAATGTCCAACAATGATAGACTGGATTAAGAAAATGTGGCACATATACACCGTGGAATACTATGCAGCCATAAAAATGATGAGTTCATGTCCTTTGTAGGGACATGGATGAAACTGGAAACCATCATTCTCAGCAAACTATCGCAAGGACAAAAAACCAAACACCACATGTTCTCACTCATAGGTGGGAATTGAACAATGAGAACACATGGACACAGGAAGGGGAACATCACACACCGGGGACTGTTGTGGGGTGGGGGGAGGGGGGAGGGATAGCATTAGGAGATATACCTAATGGTAAATGACGAGTTAATGGGTGCAGCACACCAACATGGCACATGTATACACATGTAACAAACCTGCACGTTGTGCACATGTACCCTAAAACTTACAGTATAATAATAATAAAATTTTAAAAAAGGAGTAGGAAGTTACACTCAACCTCTTTGAGAGTAAAATATCTATTATAAATAAATCATTTTGAATTATTCTGCAAAAAAAAAGAAAAAAAAACTTATGTTATTTGCTTGTAGTAGTAACTCATGTAACCTTTCTAATTCTCAATTTCCTTTTGTCAAATGGGGATTTAAAAATACAGTCCCTGACTCTCAGGGTTATTGTCAAGATTAAAGACATTGTTCATTTGTAATGACTGTTATCACAGTGTCTGATAGTCAGCACTCAATAAATGTTAATTATTTTACCAATCTAGGCTTCAGAAACAGAAAAGAATATAAAGTGAATGTATTTAGGCAGTAATTTATGAGAGATGAGCACAGTGGACTCTGAGGCCAGACTATCTGAGTTGTGAATCCTTTCCCTTCCAAATCCCATGTTGAAATGTGATCCTCAATGTTGACGGCAGAACCTAGTGGGAGATGTATGGGTCATGGGGGCAGATTCCTCATGAATGGCTCGGTGCCTTCTCCACAGAAATGAGTTCACAAGAGATCTCGTTGTTAAAAAGAGTCTGGGATCCCCTCTCTTGCTCCTTCTCTAGCCATATGACATGCCTGCTTCCCCTTTGCCTTCTGCCATGAATAAAAGTTTCTTGGGCCTCAACAGAAGTCAAGCAGTTGCCAGTGTCATGCTTGTACAGCCTGCAGAACTATGAGCCAAAAACTGCCCAGCATCAGGAATTCATTTATAGCAACACAAATAGACTAATACACCCTACCATTTACTAGCCCGTAGAACCCTCGTCACAGTATATAACCTCCCAGTGCCTCATTTATCTCATGTGTAAATGGGTATGATAACAAATGCACCTATCTCCATAGAGTAGTTGTAAGGATTAAGCGAATTGATATGCATACATTGCTTCGGTGTTTGACCCATAGTAAATGATGCAATAAACTCAATAAGCATTTAACACGAAAAAATGTTAGCTATTTTCACTACTGTTGTGGTCTGAGGCATGTCTGCCCCATTCTGCTGAGTCAGTGATTTTATTTGCCCATTTTTTTTTTATCATCATAGATTCAAATTTCTTACAGACTCAACTCATTTCAGTTAGCTGTTAGGTTTTGTTTTCATGTGTATATGTTTTCGTTTTGTTTTTTCACTTGTCACTATTTGGCCAGTGGGGGCGCTTTTCAGGCTGGATTGTCATTAAACAACAAAATTACCTTACAACTCTAAAAAGACCCTTTCTGAAAGCTTGTAGCACAGTATTTACAAGTATGCATTCCAAAATCAAACTACCTAGGTTCAGATCCCAGATCTGCCACTTACTGGCTGTGTGACCTACAGCAAGTGATTTCACCTGTTTGTGCATCAGTGTCACCTCTGTTCAACAAGGTTGAAGATGATACTAGTAATTACCCGCTAGAATTGTTGTGAGAACTAATTCATGTGAAGCTTACAGAATAGCATCTGACAAGGAGTAACACTACAAAAGTGTCAGCTACCATTATTAAAAACATGTAGCCCAATATAGATACTCAGTACATAGTTAGAGTTAATATTACTGTTAGCATTCATACATATATATCATTTTATAATTTTTTACTCATTTTGACATTCATGATCACATCTTAGTTATACCATGGTCCTGCTGAACAACCAAAAAATAGATTATCAATTCCAGTTTACAGATGGGAAACTAAGGCTTGACTAAACTCTTTATTCACATTTCTCATGCTTTACATGGTCATTTAAAAATTTTGCATGAAAATCCCAAAACTCCAATGTAAGATTAGGTGTTGTTTACCACAATGTTATCTTTTAAAGAAAGTTTTTAAACTAGTAAATTATCTATGATTCCTTTAAGAAAAGTGACTGAATAAAAGTACTCTGACCTTATTATTAAATATCAGCTGTAACCTAACTACATGAAAGTGTTAAGCTGTAATAGTCAAAAGTAACATGTAGCTGTGAAATCCTTCACTGTATAAGAAATTAAAGGTGTGTAGGTGTGTGTGTGTGTGTGTGTGTGTGTGTGTGTGTAAAAGAGAGAGAGAGAGACCTCCTAATGTCATCCAGAACGTAGCTTGGTGCCACCCTCCACAGATAATCTCAGATATCTAACTCACTATATAAAGGCCACTAGTCTTATATACACCTTAATTGTCTCAACTTGCATTATAACTATAGCCAAAATCCCACTGAATCCTGTCCCCAGGGAGGGTGCCCCCGATACTGCACCCCAACCTCAGAACACTGCATCTTGTATGACTTCTCTTAGCATAGTGCTTTCTCGTCCATTTGGTCCCTCACCTCAGGAGCTATACAGGGTAAGCATTATTGCATTGCACAGATGAGGAAATGGAGGCCCCCCAAAAGGGGCAGTGATTAGAGCAAGTTCTTAACTTATAACCTATAATCTATGAGCTAGGCACAATTCTAGCAACTTTATCTGGAGGAGGAGATCATTGAACCCTCACAACAATCCAGTGAGACAGGTATTATTATCATCCCCAATTTATAGACAAAGATACTGATGGTAGAGAGATTAAATATATTGTCTAGATCACACAGATTGGCAGTAACAGAGGCAGGCTCCAAACACAGCAGTTTGTTTTCAGAGCCCACACGCTTTCACCATTATGTTCACAGCAAGCAAATGACAAGGAGAAAACCAGTGATCTTGCCATGCAATCTGCTCCTGCCATAAGGGGGAAGAAAGGCAGTCTTATATGGCAGCCCTATCAGTGGTATCATAAGAAATGATAAGCCCACGTTGGGGTCCCAAGTAAGCTCTCCTTTCCCCTCCACTGAGAGGCCAAAGGTCTGGAAGCCATTCCTGACTCTGTCTCACTGGAACACGGGCTGGAGACATGGCACCACCAGGGTCTTGCTAGCTTTCAGTGGGGAAACAGGTACTATGGGACTGGAGGGGAAAAAGCCAGAAGAGAATGTACTTGGACTCTAGACATTGAATCACCTTGGCCAGTATTTGTGGCCCTTCCAGTTCCCTAGACCCACTATGCCTCTGGGTTTGGTAGGCCTGACTATAGCTTCAGCAGATCTCTGTGAGAAATTCAGCTCAGAACAGTAAGGACTTGTATGTCTTTTGCCAAGGATCAACACTGGATTTATTCCCTCGGCGGGACTTGCTAAAATTCTGGTCACTTTATAAATACATACACCAACACAAACACACACACATCATGGAACTAAAGCTCTGTCACTCACCTCCAGTCTCAAATATGGGAAAATAAAGATCTCTTACCCTTAACCCAGTCAAAAAATCCCCAGTCTGGGATCATTTTCTTACTTTATCAACATCTCCATACTGTGTTTCAAATCCCAAGGGCCTGGGAAGTCTTCGGCCTGGCCTGTCAGGGCCTTTCCAGCTCTTTCCTCTCCCGCTCATTTATAAGGTCAAGCTCAAATGCCATTTTCCTTCACCTTCCTCTGAGCTTGGACACCTGTCAGGACAGCATTCTGAAGAGGGCTGGAGTTAAATGGAAGGGCAGACAGGTGGGCACAATATTCACTGCTCTGACACATCCCTTTTGCTAAATTGTAGTTTAGCCTAAAGCATTCATTAGGTACTATGTCTGTGCCAAGCACCTTGCATGCATTCTCTCATTTACCCCTCCCCATATGCTGGGAGGTGAGGAGATTGTTTGTAAATATTCCCCCTACTGGAATGTCAGCTCCACAAAGTTAGAGATTTCTGTCTGAAGTGTTCATTGTTGTATCTCAGGTACATAGAAGAGTACCTGACTGGTATGTGTTCAGTAAACATTTGTGAATAATGAGTTCCATTTTCTAGGTGAGGAAACTAAGGCTTGGAGAACTTAACTGACTTGCCCAAGGTCACTGGGCTAATATGTAGTGAAATCAAAATTTGAACCGAGGCAGACTAGTCTGGAGCCAATGCTCTTACATGCTACCTAAGAAGTGAGGGACTACTGCAGCCCTTACAATCATATTATATATTCATGCAACAAACTACTTCTCTTTCTGTGGCCCTTAACAACATACATTGGGTCATTTTTTTACTGCCTGTCAGATTCCAGGCCTGCATTCTAAGGCTGTAGGCAATACATTTTCCTTGCCATTTGTTGCAGTGATGCTCTTAGGTTTTCTAGGCCTCAGATTTTTGCCTGGAGATGCCTCTTGACCTGCTCCCTTCAGTCCTTTGGAGGCTCCATTCCCAATCATCCATCACTTCATCCTTGGACTCTTGTAAAGAGAAATGATGGCAAGGGCAGCTTCTGATTTCCAGTCTGGGCCTGCCCTTGCCGTGTGACCTTGGGCAAGTCAGTTCTCTTTTCTGATGTCTCCAGCTCCACAGCTGGGAAGCAGGCAGAAGAAATAGTTTTGTGTCCAGATTTAACAACACAGTATGTAAAAATGATGACTTTTGTATACTAAGTGACAGCTTAGGAGCAAAAAAAAAAAAAAATAGCCATCATTTCAAAGAAAGGTCAAAAGAAGATTCAAATGAAGAAGTTTAAAATGGGGGTGGGCTGAAGAGGTATCTGCTGCTAAAAGTCTAAATGGGCCCTCAGCTACTGTAGGTTTCACATGATAAGCTATCTTGCCATTAAGGTCACCATGCATTTTTTTCCAGCATAAATCAGGTTTTGACCTGCATATTTGGCCTTGTTGCTCTCTGAGCCTCCCCATCCTACTGCTGAGCAGCTGCTGCTAGATGGGGGGAGCTCGTTCAATCCCTCTTTGCCCCCACCTCCCTATCCCTCTCTGAGAGGTGCTTGCTGAGTTGGGTGCTGAGCATGAAGCAGCTGATAAGCCTAGTCTATAAGCTGACCCAATTTGGAAGATTTTTTAAAAACCTGAGAGTGCTGCTTTTTATGCTGCACTACAGCAGTACACAGAGAGACTTGAGCAGAAAGCTTCAACGTTTTCCAAGTCACTCAAGCAATATTTATTAGGCACCTGCTGTGAGCCAAACATCGTGTAGAACACTATGATGAGGAAGACTCAGACTCTGCCTAAACACAATCATATTGTGTTAGTGTATGTTTGGAAGAGTGACAAAGGAGATATGTAGTTCTGAGACAGGGTAGAATATGTTAAGTGCTACTGAAGAGATATAAACACAGCCTGAGGAACAAAAGGTCATATGGGATGTAAGGGCTTTGTGGAGACTGTGGCCTTTCAGCTAAAAATCTACTTAGGTGAACAAAGGGGAGGACATTATAGAGAACAGGATTGGCACAGGACAAGGCTCAGAGATTGGGAAAGCAGCTGTTTCTGAGGAGAGAAGCCACTGGCAGATCTGTGCTTGATGATGGTGACTCTTGTATGTCAGACAGGATAGACCAGAAGGAGAGGCTAAATGGGAGGCAGGGAGAGCAGCTGGGAGGTTACTGTACCCTTCCAGGTGAGAAGAAATAATGCCATTTGATTAGGGCAGTAGCAGGGGAGAAGCAGGGCAAGACAAAATCAAGACATCATAAAACTAGAATCTGCAAGACCTTGCAAGTGATAATACAGAGAGAGAAGAGAGGAGGAATTAGAGAAAACTCTGAGGTTTCATAGCTGCATAACTGGGATGATGGTAAAGCTAATAACCCAGAGGGATCACTCAGGAGGTGAGCCAAGTTTAGGTGAGGTCATAGCAGTGGTAGAAGGTAAAGCATATTGATTAGGACAGAGATGCTCATGGGATTTGTAGATATACTTAGTCCAGCAGGCAGTTGATATATAGGTCTGACTATCAAGAAACAAACTGATACTGATAGTCTTTGGGGGAGAGTCATCAGATGATGAGTGTCATGGGGTAAATTGTGTCCCTCCCACAAATTATTATGTTGATATAACTCCCAGGACCTCAGAACGTGAACTTATTCAGAAATAGGGCGGCTGCAGATGTCATTAGTTAAGAAAATATGAGATCACCCTGGAGTAGGGTGGGCCCGTAATCCAATATGACTGGTGTCCTTATAAAAAGGGGAAACTTAAACACAGACACAGATATACACACACACACATACACACACACACACACACACGAAGAACACCATGTGAAGATGAAGGCAGAGATCTAGGTGATGCAGCAGAATACAAGGAATGCCCAAGATTTCCAGCAAACCACCAGAAGCTAGGAGAAAGCCATGTAACAGATACTCCCTCACATCCCTCAGCAAATGGGAGTTCTAGTGCTGGCTGAGCAATTAACTTATCTCTTCAGGGAGGTCACTTAACTCCATAGCACCAGAAAACTTGGGGGAAAATTTAAGATGGTGGTATGGGTTATCTTCATGAAGCTTTGGTGGAGTTGGTAAGTTTGTATTCACACTGTGAGGAGATTGCTGTACCCCGCCCGCCCGACCCAGGGTTGCCTTTTGCCTCTTTCTGTCTCTCTCATCTGCATTTGCTCTGACAGCCTGGAATAGTACCAGATATGCTTGTCACTATTTACTGAGACCTTGTTTTCCTTCCATGCCAATTTCTAATTAGTCCCCAGTTCCAACATCCCTTGACCGTTTTCCTCTTTCCCTTTTGCATGTTCCTGTTACCATAACTTGCAATGACTTCCTAGACCATACCCACAATATTCTCAAGGTACCCCAGGCTGGTTCACAGCCCCTCTAGTCCAGATCTCCTTCAGTGGAGATTCTGTAAGGGCAGGGCTTGAATGACCAGATGACAGCAAACCCCAAGGCCAAGGAAATTGCCTAACATCCTTGTTTTCCTTAGTAATCTATTATGCTGCTGTCATTCGACTACTTAGCTCAATCTTTTTTATTTTATATTTTTATTCACAGATAAAATTGTTTGTATATGTCATGTAGAGCATGATGTTTTAAAGTATTGTGGAATGTCTAAATCTAGCCAAATTAACATAACTTTACCTCACACGGTTATAATTTTTGTGGTAAAAGCACTTTATATACACTTTCTTAGCATTTTTCAAGATATATTAACTATTGTCACTATGTACTATAATAGATCTTTTGAACCTAATTCCTCCTATCTAACACAAATTTTGTATCTTTTGACCAACATCTCTCCAACCACCACCTCCTCAACTGTCCCAGCCCATGGTAACCACCATCCTACTCTCCAGTTCTATGAAAACATTTTTTTAAGGTTCCAAATATAAGTAACATCAAGCAGTATATGCCTTTCTCTGCCAGGTTTATCTCACTTAACATAATGTCCTCCAGGCTCATTCGTCTTGTGGTAAATGGCAAAATTTCCTTCTGTTTATGGCTGTATAGTATTCCACTATGTATATATGCCACATTTTCTTTATTCATTCATCCACCCGTAGACACTTAGGTTAATTCCATATTTTGGCTGCAGTAAACATGGGAGTGCAATTATCTCTTCAACATTACTGATTTTATTTCCTGTGGACATATGCTCAAAAGTGAGATTGCTTGCTCATATAGTACTTCTGTTTTTAATTTTTTGAGAAACCTCATAAAGATTTCCATAATGGCTGTACTAATTTACATTGCCACCAACAGTATGCAAGGGTTCCTTTTTCTCTATATCCTTGCCAATACTTGTTTTCTTCTGTATTTTTGATAGTAGCCATTCAAACAGGTGAGAGGTAATATTTTCTTTTGGTTTTAATTTGCATTTCCCTGATTATTAGTGATGCTGACTATTTGATCATATAATTTTTGGCCATTAGTATGTCTTCATTTGAGACATTTCTATTCAGACCCTTTGTCCATTTTTTAAAATTTAACTTTTATTTAAGTTCAGAGGTACATGTGCAGGTTTGTTAAACAGGTACACTTGTGTCATGAGAGTTTGTTTTACAGATTATTTTGTCAATCAGATAATAAGCCTAGTACCTATTAGTTATTTTTCCTGATCCTCTCCCTCCTCCCACCGTTCATGCTGAAGTAGGCCCCAGTGTCTGTTGTTCCCCCCATGTGTCCATGTGTTCTCATCATTTAGCTCCCACTTGTAAGTGAGAACATGTGGTATTTAGTTTTCTATTCCTGAGTTAGTTTGCTAAGGATAATGGCTTCCAGCTCCACCCATATTCCTGCAAAGGATATAATCTTGTCCTTTTTTATGACTGCATAGTACACCATGGTGTATATGTACCACATTTTCTTTATCCAGTCTACCACTGATGGGCATTTAGGTTGATTCCATGTCTTTACTATTGTGAATAGTGCTGCAATGAAAATACCTCTGCATGTGTCTTTATGTCTTTATGACAGAACAATTTATACTCCTTTGAGTACATACCCAGTAATGGGATTGCTGGGTCGAAAGGTATTTCTGTTTTTAGGTCTTTGAGTAATCGCCACACTGTTTTCCACAATAGTTAAACTAGTTTACACTCCCAACAACAGTGTATAAGCATTCCTTTTTCTCCTCAACCTTGCCATATCTGTTATTTTTGATGTTTTTTAAAATTATTATTCCTATAGGTTTTTGGGGATCAGACTGTGTTTGGTAACATGGATAAATTCTTTAGATGTGATTTCTGAGATTTCAGTGCACCCATCAACGCAGCAGTGCACACTGCACCCAATGTGTAGTCTTTTATTCTTTATTCCACTCCCTCCCTTCCCCTAGAGTCCATTATGTCCTTCTTATCCCTTTGCATACTCATAGCTTAGCTCCCACTTATAAGTGAGAATATATGATGTTTGGTTTTCCATTCCTGAGTTACTTCACTTACAGTAATAACCTTCAACTCCATCTAGGTTGCTGTGGATGCCATTATTCCGTTCCTTTTTATGGCTGAGTAATATTCCATTATATATATATATATATATATATATATACACACATATATATTATATATATGTATACATATAATATATATGTATATATATACACACATATATACATATATACATATAATATACATATGTATATATAATATATATAGTATATAATATATACATATATAATATATAATATATACATATATAATATATACAGATATAATATATAATATATAATATATATTATATATACATATAATATATAATATATATTATATATACATATAATATATATAATATACATATATATTATATATACATATAATATATATATAATATACATGTATATTATATATACATATAATATATAATATACCTGTATATTATATATACATATAATATATATAATATACATGTATATTATATATACATATAATATATAATATATAATATATACATATAATATATATAATATACATGTATATTATATATACATATAATATATAATATATAATATATACATATTATATATATTATATATCCATATATAATATATACATATTATATATATTATATATCCATATATAATATATCCATATATAATATATACATATTATATACATAATATATCCATATATAATATATACATATTATATATATATTATATATCCATATATAATATATATTACATATATATAATATATACATATATAATATATATACACATATATATATGTCACATTTTCTTAATCCACTTAATCCACTCATTGGTTGATGGGCATTTACTTTAGTTCCACATTTTTTCAATTGCAAATTGTGCTGCTATAAACATGTGCATGCAAGTGTCTTTTTTCATATGATGACTTCTTTTCTCTGGGTAGATACCCAGTAGTGGGATTGCTGCATCACATGGTAGTTTTTTAGTTCTTTAAGGAATCTCCATACTGTTTTCTATAGTGGTTGTAGTAGTTTACATTCCTACCAGCAGTGTAAAGGTATTCCCTTTTCAGCACATTCATGCCGACATTTATTATTTCTTTGATTTTTAAATTATGGCCATTCTTGAAGGAGTGAGGTGGTATCACATTGTGCTTTTGATTTGCATTTCCCTGATTATTAGTTGTATTAGACTGCTTTCATGCAGCTGATAAAGACATACCCAAAACTGGGAAGAAAAGAGGTTTAATTGCACTTACAGTTTGGGATGGCTGGGAAGGCTTCAGAATCATGGCAGGAGGTGAAATGCACTTCTTACATGGTGGGAGCAAGAGAAAATGAGAGAAAAAGCAAAAGCAGAAACCCCTGATAAACCCATCAGATCTTGTGAGACTTTCACTATCACGAGAATAGCACGGGAAAGACTGGCCCCCATGATTCAATTACCTCCCTCTGGGTCTCTTCCACAACATGTACAACATGTGGGAATTCTGGGAGATACAATTCAAGTTGAAATTTGGTTGGGGACACAGCCAAACCATATCATTAGTGATGATGGGCATTTTTCATGTCTGTTGGCCATTTGGATATCTTCTTTTGAGAATTGTTTATTCATGCCCTTAGCTCACTTTTTGATGGGATTTTTTTTTCTTGCTGATTTTTTTGAGTTCCTTGTAGATTCCAGACATTAGTCTTTTGTTGGATGCATAGTTGCAAAGATTTTCTCCCACTCTGGGAGTTGTTTGCTTACTCTGCTGATTATTATTATTATTTTTTGCTGTGCAGAAGCTTTTTAATTTAATTAAGTCCCATCTATTTATCTTAGTTTTTGTTGCATTTGCTTTTGGGTTCTTAGTCATAAAGTCTTTGCCTAAGCCAATGTCTAGAAGAGTTTTTTCAATGTTATCTTCTATAATTTTTATGCCTTCTGGTTTTAGATTTAAGTCTTTCATTCATCTTGAGTTGATTTTTGTATAGGCTGAGAGATGAGGATCTGGTTTCATTATTCTATAAGTGGCTTGCCAATTATCCCAGCACAACTTGTTAAATAGGGTATTCTTTCCCTACTTCATATTTTTGTTTGGTTTGTCAAAGATCAGTTGGCTGTAAGTATTTTGTTTTACTTCTGGGTTCTCTATTCTGTTCCATTTTTCTATGTGTGTATTTTTATACCAGTGCCATGCTGTTTTGGTGACTACAGCCTTATAGTATAGTTTGAAGTTGGGTAATGTGATGCCTCCAGATTTGTTCTTTTTGTTTCGTCTTGCTTTGGCTATGCGGGCTGTGTTTTGGTTCCATGTAAATTTTAGAATTGTTTCTTCTAGTTTTGTGAAGACTGATGATAGTATTTTGATGGAAATTGCAGTGAATTTGTAGATCGCTTTTGGCAGCATGGTCATTTTTACAGTATTGATTCCATTCATCCATGAGCATGGGGTATGTTTTCATTTGTTTGTGTTGTCTATTATTTATTTCAGCAGTGTTTTGTAGTTTTCCTTGTAGAGGTCTTTCACCTCCTTGGTTATGTCTGTTCCTAAGGATTTTATTTTATTTTTTGCAGCTATTGTAAAAGGGATCGAGTTCCTGATTTGATTCTCAGCTTGGTCACTGTTGGTGTATAGCAGTGCCCCTGATTTGTGTACGTTAATTTTGTATCCTGAAACTTTACTAAATTCATTTGTAGAATTAAGGAGCTTTTTAGATGAGTCTGTAGGGTTTTCTAGGTATACGATCATATCATCAGCAAATAGCGACATTTTGACTTCCCCTTTAGCAATTTGGATGGCCTTTATTTTTTTCTCTTGTCTGATTCCTCTGGCTAGGACTTCCAGTACTATGTTAAATAGAAGTGGTGAAAGTGACAGCTTTGTCTTGTTCAAGTTCTCAGGGGGAGTGTTTTCAACTTTTCCCTGTTCAGTATAATGTTGGCTATGGGTTTGTCATACATGGCTTATGTTACCTTAAGGTAAGTCTCTTCTGTACCAGTTTTGCTGAGGGTTTTAATCATTAAGTGATGCTGGATTTTGTCAAATCCTTATTGTGCATCTATTGAGATGATCATGTGATTTTTGTTTGTAATTCTGTTTATGTAGTATATGACATTTACTGACTTACATATGTTAAACCATCCATGCATTTCTGGTAGGAAGCTCTCTTGATCATGGTGGATTATCTTTTTTGGATATGCTGTTGGATTCCATTTGCTAAAATTTTGTTGAGGATTTTTGCATCTATGGTAATCAGGGATATTGGTCTGTAGCTTTTTTTTATGTCCTCTGGTTTTGGTATTAGGGTGATACTGGCTTCATAGAATGATTTAGGGAGTATTCCCTCTTTCTCAATCTTTTGGAATAGTTTCAGTAGGATTGGTACCTATGCTTCTTTGAATATCTGATAGAATTCAGCTGTGAATCCCTCTGGTCCTGGACTTATTTTTGTTGAAAATATTTTATTACCATTCAAGCTTCTTGGAGGCTTTGTTCATTTTATTTTTTTAATTCTTTCTTTGTCTTTGTCAGGTTGGGTTAATATGAAAGCCTTGTCCTCAAGCTCTGAAGGTCTTTCTTCTACTTGTTCAATTTTATTGTTGAAACTTTCCAGTTTAGTTAGCATTTCTCTAAGTGTGGCTTTCATTGCCAGAAATTGCGATTGTTTTTTATTTATGCTATATATTTCTCTAAAGATTTTTTATATTCTTATCCTGTATTATTATTTTATTTTCTTTAATTTGGTTTTTGCCTTTCTCTGGTGCCTCCTTGAGTAGCTTAATAATCAGCCTTCTGAATTCTTACTGACAATTCAGAGATTTCTTCTGAGTTTGGATCTATTACTGGTGAGCTAGTGTGATCTTTTGAGGGTGTTAAAGAACCTTCCTTTTCCGTATTACCAGAGATGTTTTTCTGGTTCCTTCTCTCTTCTCATTGGGTAGGCCATGTCAGAAGAAAGATATAGGGCTCAAGGGCTGATGTTCAGATTATTTTGTCCCACAGGGTGATTCCTTGATGTGGTGCTCTCCCCATTTGCCTAGGGATGGGGCTTCCTGAGATCCAGACTGCAGTGATGGTTATTGCTCTTCTGGGTCTAGCCAACCAGTAGAGCTACCAGGCTTCAGGCTGGTACTAGGGAGTGTCTGCAAAGAGTCTTTTTTTTTTTTTTTTTAGTATTTATTGATCATTCTTGGGTGTTTCTTGGAGAGGGGGATTTGGCAGGGTCATAGGACAATAGTGGAGGGAAGGTCAGCAGATAAACAAGTGAACAAAGGTCTCTGGTTTTCCTAGGCAGAGGGCCCTGCTGCCTTCCGCAGTGTTTGTGTCCCTGGGTACTTGAGATTAAGGAGTGGTGATGACTCTTAACGAGTATGCTGCCTTCAAGCATCTGTTTAACAAAGCACATCTTGCACTGCCCTTAATCCATTTAACACTTAGTGGACACAGCCCATGTTTCAGAGAGCACGGGGTTGGGGGTAAGGTTATAGATTAACAGCATCCCAAGACAGAAGAATTTTTCTTAGTACAGAACAAAATGGAGTCTCCTATGTCTACTTCTTTCTACACAGTCACAGTAACAATCTGATCTCTCTTTCTTTTCCACACATTTCCCCCTTTTCTATTTGACAAAACCGCCATCATCATCATGGCCTGTTCTCAATGAGCTATTGGGTACACCTCCCAGATGGGGTGGTGGCCGGGCAGAGGGGCTCCTCACTTCCAAGACGGGGTGGCCGGGCAGAGGTGCCCCCCACCTCCCAGACGGGGTGGCGGCTGAGCGGGGGCTGCCCCCCACCTCCCGGACGGGGTGGCTGGCCGGGCGGGGGCTGCCCCCCACCTCCCGGACGGGGTGGCTGCCGGGCGGAGACACTCCTCACTTCCCAGATGGGGTGGCTGCCGGGCGGAGGGGCTCCTCACTTCCCAGAAAAGGTGGCTGCCAGGCGGAGGGGCTCCTCACTTCTCAGACCGGGCGGCCGGTCAGAGACGCTCCTCACCTCCCAGATGGGGTGGCGGTGGGGCAGAGACACTCCTCAGTTCCCAGACGGGGTCATTGCCGGGCAGAGGCACTCTTCACATCTCAGGTGGGGCAGCGGGGCAGAGGCACTCCCCACATCCCAGACGATGGGTGGCCGGGCAGAGACGCTCCTCACTTCCTAGACGGGATGACGGCTGGGAAGAGGCACTCCTCACTTCCCAGACTGGGTGGCCGGGCAGAGGGGCTCCTCACATCCCAGATGATGGGCAGCCAGGCAGAGATGCTCTTCACTTCCTAGATAGGGTGGCGGCTGGGCAGAGGCTGCAATCTCAGCACTTTGGGAGGCCAAGGCAGGTGGCTGGGAGGTGGAGGTTGTAGCGAGCCGAGATCACACTACTGCACTCCAGCCTGGGCAACATTGAGCACTGAGTGAGCGAGACTCCGTCTGCAATCCCGGCACCTCAGGAGGCCGAGGCTGGCAGATCACTCACGGTCAGGAGCTGGAGACCAGCCCGGCCAGCACGGCGAAACCCCGTCTCCACCAAAAAATACGAAAACCAGTCAGGCGTGGTGGCACGTGCCTGCAATCCCGGGCACTCGGCAGGCTGAGGCAGGAGAATCAGGCAGGGAGGTTGCAGTGAGCCGAGATGGCAGCAGTACAGTCCAGCCTCGGCTCGGCATCAGAGGGAGACCATGCAAAGGGGAGAGGGAGAGGGAGAAGGACAGGAAGAGGGAGAGGGAGAGCCTGCAAAGAGTCTTATGATGTGATCAATCTTCAGGTCTCTCAGCCATGGATACCACAGCCTGCTCCAGTGGAGGTAGTAGGGAAGTGAAGTGGACTCTGTGATGATCTTTAGTTATAGTTTTGTTTAGTGTGCTGGTTTTCTCAAATGCTGGTTGTACTAGCAGTGAAGATGTCAAATAGGCAGACTCAGGACCTCTGGATAGCCAAGATTTTAGCAGGTGGTGAAAGTAGATGTTGTTTTCTCCTTCCTTGAAGCAGGGTTGCTCTGTTATGAGTTGCTGTAATGGCTTGAGTTGGTTGGCCTACAACCAGGAGGTAGCATGCTAAAGAGAGCATCAGTTGTGGTAGTATGGGGGGATACAAGCTTGACCTAAGGTCGCCCAGATAAGTATTCTTTTGACATTTTAATAATAGCCATTTTGACAGGTGTGAGATGGTATCTCATGTGGTTTTGATTTGCATTTCTCTAATTATCAGTGATATTGAGTTCTTTTTCATATGCTTGTTGGCTGCACGTATGTCTTCCTTTAAAAAGTGTCTGTTCATGTTCTTTGCCCACTTTTTAATGGGGTTGTTTGTTTTTTTCTTGTACATTTAAGTTTCTTACAGGTGCAGGATATTAGACCTTTGTCAAATGTATAGTTTGCAAAAATTTTCTCCTACACTGTAGGTTGTCTGTTTACTCTGTTGATAGTTTATTTTGCTGTACAGAAGCTCTTTAGTTGAATTATATCCAATTTATCAATTTTTGCTTTTGTTGCAATTGCTTTTCGCATCTTTGTCATGAAATATTTGCCCATTCCTATGTCAAGAATGGTATTGCCTAGGTTGTCTTCCAGGATTTTTATAGTTTTAGGTTTTATATTTACATCTTAATCTATCTTCAGGTGATTTTTGTATATGGTGTAAGGAAGGGGTTCAGTTTCAATCTTCTGCATATGACTAGCCAGTTATCCCAGGCACTATTTATTGAATAGGGAATCTTCTCCTTGTTGCTTGTTTTTGTCAGCTTTGTCAACAATCAGATAGTTGTAGGTGTGTGGCCTTATTTCTGGGCTTTCTAGTCTGTTCCATTGGTCTATGTGTCTGTTTGTGTACCAGTGCCATGCTTTTTTGGTTACAGTAGCCCTGTAGTATAGTTTGAAGTTGGGTAGCATGATGCCTCCTGCTTTGTTATTTTTACTTAGAATTGCCTTGACTATTCATGCTCTTTTTCAGTTCCACATGAATTTTAAAATAGTTTTTTTTTCTAGTTCTATGAAGTATATTCTTGGTAATTTCATAGAAATAGCATTGAATCTATACATTGCTTTGGGCCATATGGCCATTTTAATGGTATTGATCCTTCATATCCATGAACACGGAATGTTTTTCCATTTGGTTATGCAATCTCTGATTACTTCAAGCAGTGTTTTGTAGTTCTCCATGTAGTAATCCTTCACCTCCCTGATTAGCTGCATTCAAAGGTATTTTATTATTTTTGTTCCTTGCCCATTTTTAATCATGTTATTTGTTTTCTTGTTATTGAGTTGTTTGAGTTTCTTATATATTATGGAAATCAACCTCTTATCAGATACAAGATTTACAGATATTTTCTCCCATTCTATATGTTGTCTCTTCACTCAGGCTTGTTTCCTTGGCTGTGCAGAAGCTTTTCAATTTGATACTATCTCATTTGTTAATGTTGCTTTTGTTGCCTGTACTTTCAGGGTCATATCCAAAAAACCAATGTCATGGAGACTTCCCCCTATGTTTTTTTCTTGTATTTTCATAGTTTAGAGTCTTATACTTAATTCTTTATCCGTTTTCAGTTGATTTTTTTTATATAAAAGGAGGTCACAGTCTAATTTCATTATTATACATGTGGATATCCAGTTTTTAAGCACCATTTATTGAAGACTGTCTTTCCCTCAATGTGTGTTCCTGGTACTTTTGTCAAAAATCAGTTGGCTGTATACAAAAAGGAATAAATTAATAACACTTTCAGTGACCTGGATGAGATTGGAGACTATTATTTTAAGTGAAGTAACTCAGGAATGGAAAACTAAACATTGTATATTCTCACTGATATGTGGGAGCTAATCTATGAGGATGCAAAGGCATAAGAATGATATAATGTACTTTGGGGACTTGGGAGGAAGGGAGAGGGGGGCAAAGATAAAAGACTACAAATATGGTGCAGTGTATACTGCTTGGGTGATGGGTGCACCAAAATCTCACAAATTACCACTAAATAACTTACTCATGTAACCAAATACCAACTGTATCCCAATAACTTACATAAAAAAAATCAGCTGACTACAAATGTGTGAACTTACTTCTGGCTCTCTATTCTGTTTTTTTGCTCTATATGTCTGTTTTCATGCCCTTTCCATACTGTTTTTGTTACCATAGCTTTGTAGTACATTTTGAAGTCAAGTAAGTGTGATGCTTCCAACTTTATTCTTTTTGCCCAGGATTGCTTTAGCTATTCAAGATCTTTCATGGTTCCATACAAACTTTAGCATTGGTTTTTCTATTTCTGTGAGGAATGTCATTGGTGAGAAGAGCCTGGTTCCTGGGGTGAGTGATGTTGCTCCTGAAGTGGTGCAGACTGGAAATGGACTCTGCCTCACAGACGTGAACTGGGGCTGTAAGGTCCCACCTGCTACCAGGATAGGTCTGGTGTCTAAGTCTGCAAGTTCCTACCTGGAGTGTGGAGCCCTGGTGACCTGCCTGGTGCTTGATTTTACTGTGGCAGGCCCAGTGTTCCAGTCTAAGGCAAAGGTCTCTGCTCACTTCCTTCTTTTCCCCAAGCAAGTAAAATATCTCTCTACACTGTGCTAACTGGGGTTGAGGGAGGGGTGACATGGGTCGTATAAGACTCTCCTTCCTACCCACTTCCATGTGTTTTTACTTATTATTGTGCTACAATCCGGTGCTGTGGTTTCCTTAGCTCCTGTTAAGATATTTTCATCTGTAGATAGTTGTTTGAATTGATGTTTCTGTAGGAGGGCTATGACTGCAGAGTCCCATTCCACCACCTTCTGCTGCCTCTCCTCAATCTTATTTATTTATTTAATCTGGGAAAAGTGGTGAGATATAGTGGAAAGAGCACTGAACTAGGAGTCAGAAGACTATGCTTTTGCCTTTCTGCCTTTCTTCAAGAAGTCTACCTACCTCAGTACCTTCCACCAATCTACCTCTTCTCTTCTCCCTTCACTCATGAGTGATCAGTGCATTTTATTCTTCACCATTCCTCACTCAGGATAAGGCTCTATGTCACATGCTCAGAGTGTAGAGAATAAAAAAAAAAACACATAAACTGACCTTGATAACATGTTTCTGACCCTGAGGATACGTTTCTTACCTTGAAGAAACATTCCTGAACCTGAGGAGCAACCAATGTGGTAGGAGGTCTGTGTTCTGGAGGACACAGCACAAAATTTGGAGTTAGAAACCCTGTCTACACTTCCCCACTCTGCCACTTAACATTTCTGTCACCTTGGAGTAGCCATTTTAACCTATTTGAGCCTTAGTATCTGTATTTACAAAACAGAATTAATAATATTTTACTGATAATTTGGCTGTGTCCCCACCCAAATATCATCTTGAATTGTAGTTCCCATAATCCCCATATGTTGTGGGAGGGACCTAGAGGGAGGTAATTGAATCATGGGGGCAGTCCCCCCATGCTGCTTTTCTCATTATACTGAGTGAGTTCTCATGAGATCTGATGTTTTATAAGGGCCCTTTCCCCTTTTTGCTTGGCACTTCTCCTTGCTGCTGCCATGTAAAGAAGAACATGTTCGCTTCCCCTTCTGCCATGATTGTAAGTTTTTGGAGGCCCCCCAGCCATGAGAAACTGTGAGTCAATTAAATCTCTTCTCTTTATAAATTACCCAGTCTTGGGTATGTCTTCGTTAGCACTGTGAGAAAGGACTAATACAGTAAATTGGTACTGGCCAGTGGGTTGCTACTGCAAATTCCCAAAAATGTGGAAGCAACTTTGGAAATGGGTAATAGGCAGAGGTTGGAACAGTTTGGAGGACTCAGAAGAAATCAGGAAGATGTAGAAAAGCTTGGAACTTCCTAGAGACCTGTTGAATGGCTTTGACCAAAATGCTGATAGTGATATGGACAAACAAGTCCGGGTTGAAGTTGTCTCAGATGGAGATGAAGGACTTGTTGAGAACTGGAGTAGGCATGACTGCATTTTGCCCTTGCCCTAGAGATCTGTGAAAATTTGAACATGAGAGAAATGATTTAGGATATCTGGCTGAAGAAATTTCTAAAGAGCAAAGCATTCGAGGGGAGAAAGAGCATAAAAGTTTCAAAAATTTGCAGCTTGGTGATGCAGTAGAAAAGAAAATCCTGGCTGGGTACAGTGGCTCACGCTTGTAATCCCAGCACTTTGGGAGGCTGAGGCAGGTGGATCACGAGGTCAGGAGTTCAAGACAAGCCTGGCCAAGATAATGAAACCCCATCTCTACTAAATGTACAAAAAAAAAAAAAAATTAGCTGAGTGTGGTGGTGGGTGCCTGTAGTCCCAGCTACTTGAGAGGCTGAGGCAGGGGAATCACTTGAACCTGGGAGGTGGAGGTTGCAGTGAGCCAAGACCATGCCACTACACTCAAGCCTTGGTGACACAGCGAGACTCTGTCT
The DNA here is from genome assembly GCF_000001405.40 of Homo sapiens. NCBI lineage: Eukaryota > Metazoa > Chordata > Mammalia > Primates > Hominidae > Homo > Homo sapiens. The sequence goes on from NC_000023.11 coordinate 63,831,001, forward strand.
GAAAAAAAAAAAAAGAAAAGAAAAAGAAAAACCCATTTTCTGGAGAGAAATTCAAGCCAGCTGCAGAAATTTGCATAAGTAATGAGGGGCCAAATGTTAATCACGAAGACAATGAGGAAAATGTCTCCAGGGGATGTCAAAGACCTTCATGGCACACCCTCCTATCACAGTCCTTTAGGCCTGGGAGGGAAAAATGGTTTCCTGGGCCAGGCTCAGTGCCCCCCTGCTCTGTACAGCCTTGGGACAGGGTGCCCTGAATCATAGCTGCTTCAGCTCCAGCCATGGCTAAAAGGGGCCAAGGTACAGTGCAGACTATTGCTTCACAGGGTGTAAGCCCCAAGCTTTGATGGCTTCCATGTGGTGTTGAGCCTGTGGGTGCACAGATGTCAAGAATTGAGGTTTGGGAACCTCCACCTAGATTTCAGAGGATGTATGGAAATGTCTGCATGTCCAGGAATAAGTTTGCTGAAGGGGAAGAGCCCTCATGGAGAACCTTTGTTAGGGCAGTGCAGAAGGGAAATGTGGGACTGGAGTCCCCACACAGAGTCCCCACTGGGACTCTTGCATCAGAGTAATCTGGATGTGAGACATGGAGTCAAAGGAGATAATTTTGGAACTTTAAGATTTAATGACTGCCCTATTGAATTTCAGACTTGCATGGGGCCTGTAGCCCCTTTGTTTTGGCCCATTTTTCCCATTTAGAATGGGTGTATTTACCCAATGCCTGCACCCCCATTGTATCTAGGAAGCAACTACCTTGCTTTTGATTTTACAGGCTCATAGGTGGAAGAGACTTGCCTTGTCTCAGATGAAACTTTGGACTTGGTCTTTTTGGTTAATGCTGGAATTAGTTAAGATGTTTGGGGGCTGTTGGAAAGGCATGATTGTGTTTTTAAATGTGAGGACATGACATTTGGGAGGGGCCGGGGTGGAATGGTATGGTTTGGCTGTGTCCCCACCCAAATCTCATCTTGAATTGTAGTTCCCGTAATCCCAGCGTGTCATGGTAGGGACCTGGTGGGAGGTAATTGCATCATGGGAGCAGTTACCCCCGTGTTGCTTTTCTCATGATAGTGAGTGAGTTCTCATGAGATCTGATGGTTTTATAAGGGGCTTTCCCCCCTTTTGCTTGGCACTTCTCTTTTTTGCCTCGATGTAATGAAGGATGTGTTTGCTTCCCCTTCTGCCGTAATTGTAAGTTTTTTGAGGCCTCCCAAGCCATGCAGAACTGAGTCAGTAAAGTCTCTTTCCTTTATAAATTACCTAATCTTGGGTATTTCTTTATTAGCAGTGTGAGAACAGACTAATACACTTACAGTGTAACCTACCAATGTTGTTGTGAGGTTTACATAAGCTCACATATCTTGCTAAACTTTTTAAACCAGGAATTCTTAGCCCTGGCTATGCATCAGAATCACCTGAGAAGATTTAAAAATTAGAAATTTCCAGTCCCCACCCCAGACCAGTTATGTCAGAATCACTAGGTATGGCACTCACGACTCAGTAGTTTCTAAATATCCTTAGGTGATCCCAATGTACAGCCAGGACTGAGACTTTGATTTTTTTCTTTTTTCTTTTTTTTTGAGATGGAGTCTCGCTTTGTCACCCAGGCTGGAGTGCAGTGGCGTGATCTTGGCTCATTGAAACCTCCACCTCCCAGAGAACCTTTGATTTAAACAGCAAAACATACAGAAATAATACCATCCCCACTGACTGAACATTGGACTGAATAGTAGGTGTGTTTCAGGTAATTTCTCTTACGGTAGTCCCATTAAGATAGTCACATGTAAATGATGACAGCACATGGCAATATACGGGGATGTTATAAGGGCTGTACAAAGAAAATTGTTCTGGAAATATAGGAAAGAAAGAGATTGCTTCCAACTGAAGAGCCCAGAAAAGGTTTCATATAGGAGGTAGCATCTGAGCTAGACTTAAAAGCAAGGTAGTATTTCAAGAAACAGAAATAGAGGGACAGTATGGAATGATTAGTTCAGGCATAAAAATGCATAGCCTAAATTATGTATGTGCCTTATACATATTTAATCTTCACAAACACTATATAAAGGTTGTTAGTACTATTTTACATATGGGGAAACTGAGGCACAGATAAGTTGAGGTCATACAGCTAGGAAGTAGCCCAACCAGGATAGTTGTCCAAGCAGGCACCAAGATGTAGAGCATCTCTGACATGTGCAGTGCTTTTCCTTGGGAAGATTAATCTGGCCATAGTATAGATGATGATGACCGAAGGAGTGAAAGATGAGGCCGAGAGATAGGCTAGTGCAATATTTAGCCTCGGATGTGACAGAGGTTTGAACTAGAATATTAAGCCCTTGAGTTATTACTATAGGTAAGGCTGCTCTTCTCTATGAAGGAGAAGAGGAAATGGGCTTATGTTTTATCAGGAAGGATTTGAATTAACTCTGAGAAAGGACTGCCCTATGGTGAAGGTTGGTAGAAAAGGAAACAGAACTGGAGGGGAAGGAAATTGGGGTATCTCTTAGGAAGGTTGGGAGATGGAGAAGACCTCCTAGCGTCCATCCAGGTCTTAGACTCTCTGAATCGGCTATGCTTAATAAATAGCCCACCTGGATCCATGAAACATGATGGAAATCTAAAATGTACACAAATGAGCAGAAAAACCATTCTTTTCGTTAAGAGTCTGAACTTGCTAATGAGTAATCTTCAGGCAGAAAGGGTTTTTCTTAGCTAGGCTGGAACTCCCTGCTTCCATTCCGCAAAGAACAGTAGCGCCAGAGGCTGACCTCTTCCTTCAAGGTGATTCTCCAGAATTCTATGCTCCATACTTTCTCTTGCTTCTCCCCTCTCTCCCTTCCCTTCCTTTTCTCCGATCCATTGGCACTAAGCCCAGGATACTCCTCCTACAAGGAAGGGCAGTAGGCTCATCCACCCAGTTTAACCAGTTTGCAAGCACATCCCACCTTGCTGTTCTGAGACCAACAACCCGTTTCTTCTCCCATACTGAAAGACCACTTTGCCCCACTCTGTTTGAGATTTGCCAGAACAAATAGGGAAACCTACCTCGATCTATTTTTTTCAGATGGGGACTTCCCAAACTATGCCATAGGAATACTGGGTTGGAGTGGGGGCTAGAGAGCCCTAGGAAACTAAGAGGATGTTCTGCTTAAAACAGAAAAAGTAGGCAGCCCTTCCCAGTGTGGTCTTCTTGACCTACTCATGAAGTGCCTCAGTCAAGAGCCTGGTGGTATGTGGCACAGGGCATAGAATACTACATGGAGAGTCAGAAGACCTGGGCTACATAGAGTGCCCAGTTCTGTCAGTCTCATCCTGGTTTGAATGTGTTTCCCTCATCTGTAAAGAAAAGAGATGATGTTATCACAGAAAGAGAGCTTCCAGATGGAGGGACACAACACTATCTGTGAAGGAGTTTTGCCAAAAAAACTGAATCGGAATCTGATCAAGTCTCTATATCACCTCAATTTACAGGGAATAGAACATAGAAAAACATTATATCAAAATATATGTAGTCAGTAAAATGCCTTTCACATTGTGCAAAATGCTAAAACAAACAAAGAAACAAAGAAAAAAAAGCTTCCCCAATAAATACAAGGAGGGAAGGATAGAGGCAAGGAGAGGGAGAGGGAGATGGAACCCAGAAACTAAGCTTAACAGAGCCTTAAGAGACATATCAGTCATTCGTAATATACGGACCTTTGTATTCTTATGGGAACACAGCTGTTTGAAAATTAAATTTGTGAGACACTCAGTGAAATCTGAACACTGAATGAATACTGTATGATATTAAGAATGTATTCTTAGTATTTTTTTAGATTTGATAATGGTATTACACTTATAATTTTTAAAGAGTCTATATTATTCAGAGATACATGCTATTTTCAGACAAAATGATATGATGACATCAAGGATTTGCTTCACAATAACCCAGAGATGTGTGGTGAGGGAGTGAATGGAGAAATAAAGTTACTAGTTGCTGAAACTGGATAATGGGTATATGAGGGTTCATTATACTGTTTTCTCTACTTTTGTATGTGTTTGAAAGTTTCAATAACAAAATTTAAAAACAGAAAGGATCGTCTACTCCAGCAATTTTGGAGTCCCAGAATTCTGAGAAAAGACCTGGAAGGCTATTATAAGGTAAGAGGATGTATGTATGGGAATGAAGGCATATAAAGCCCATCCCTGCTTCATTCTCAGCAATGCCACTTTAATATGTTTTCTGGATAGCTTGAATACTCTATCTTTGGCAGCCCAGGCATACTTGAGCTTGGTTTGAGGCTAGCCAAGCTGCTTACGCTTTAGCCTGAGGGAGATCCACTTTCAAACTTTTAAATACAAGCAAAAGTAGAGAAGAGTATAAACCGTAGATTTTCCAGCCAGCATTCTTGGGCTGCTCTGCAGCCTGAGGTCCCTGGAATTTATTGCCTCCTGAATCAGGGGTCTCTAAGACCTCTACCCTGGTTCTAGGCACAGTCTGTAAGTGTCAGGAATATAATTTCCAGTTTGCCTCAGAGAGCCCTCCCTCACTGCCAGGCCTCCTTCTCTCCCCTAGTGAATAAGGCACACCGACACCGCCAGCCTAGATGACTCATTCTTCAGAGGCCTACCTGCCTCCACTCTTCCACTCCCAGTAGTTTTCTGGAACCAATCATTACCTTTGTGTTGAAAATGCCTTTCACATACAATACAACGAAAAGTCATAATTTTCAGGAATAGGAGAGCTAGAAAGACTTTAGGGGAGGGCCAGGGGAGGGTCATAATTTTGTGTCGGGTCTGCCTTGGCTAGGGAATAAATGACTGTGCGACTTAGAATGTGCAATGACGTGAACCCTACTGATATGGTTTGGCTCTGTGTCCCCACCCAAATCTCATCTCTAATTGCAATCTTCATAATCCCCATGTGTTGAGGGAGGGGCCTGGTGGGAGGTGATTGGATCATAGAGGCAGTTTCCTTTATGCTGTTCTCATGACTGTGAGTGAGTTTTCACAAGATCTGATGGTTTTATTAAGTGTTTGACAGTTCCTACCTCACACACGCACACTTTCTCTTTTTCCTGCTGCCTTGTGAAGAAGGTACTTGCTTCTCCTTCACCTTCGTTCATGATTATAAGTTTCCTGAGGCCTCCCCAGCCATGAAGAACTACGAGTCAATTAAACATCTTTCATTTATAAATTACCTAGTCTCTAGTAGTATCTTTATAGCAGTGTGAAAATGGACTAATACATCAACCAAATGAACATGTCAACAGGCAGGCATATTGTTAAATATTCTGTTGGGGTAGGAGTCAGCTATGGATGCTGAGCTGGAAGAACAAGGTCACTCTCAGAGCCTGGATGAGACAAAACGTGGTCCTCAGTTGATGCCACAGTTTAGATATTTGAGCCTTCCAAAACTCATGTTAAAATTTGATCCCCAGTGTTGGAAGTGGGGCATGGTCATGGGGGCAGATTCCTCATCAATCGCTTGGTGCCTTCCTCGAGGTAATGAGTGAGTTCTTGCTCTATTACTTCTGCAACAGATGGTTGCTTAAAAGAGCCTGGCACTCCCTCCTGTCTCTCGTGCTTCTTCTTGCCATGCGATCTGCACATACCAGCTCTCATTCATGTTCCACCATGAGTAGAAGCTTCCTGGGGCCCTCATCACAAGCAGATATTGATGCCTTGCTTTCAGTACAGCCTGCAAACCATGAGACAAATAAACCTCTTTTCTTTATAAATTACTCAGTCTCAAGTATTCCTTTATATCAATACAAAAATAGGCTAAGACAGCTGGAAGGGAAGACCCTGTCAGACTGCCCCTCTCATTCTCTAACTTCATAGACCTCTCCTATCCTATGATAGCCCTAAAACGGAAATAGAAGTAGCTCTGAGAGACAATTCTAGAAGCACTGAAGGGGAAGCTTCAGTGACTTGGCGGCTTCCGAGAGTCAGTCAATCAGATGGGAGCTAGGATGCTGAAGTAGGGCCAGTCTACCAGCCACACTTTCTGAATTTTACTTCAAACCTGTGAAAAACAAATCCTTGCCTACCCAGAGAGGTATGCAGCACCTCATTCCTGCTCCCAATTCTCGCTGTTGGCTTGCAGCCATCAGCTCTCTGCAAAATCCAGCAAGCATACTGTCATATTTAGAACCAATATGAAAGGACAGCTTTCACATTCTCCCCAAATTTACTTTTGCTGAATGTCAACTTGGAGGAAACATTTCCCTACTTGCCCTTATCCCAGTCTCTGTTCATCCCTAGCAATAGATTCTTTCCAAACAGCTTGGGTTGGAGATGCCTGACAGGGTATCCTTTCAGTGTGTCAGGATCTAATGAGATGATAAGTTCTGCTTTACAGAATTTGGTACTCATCTTCAAGCCTTCTCCTCCCTCAATTGGTGGAGGCACCAGAATGCTAATTATAAAAATGCAAGGCAGCTCCAAGCACCAGATACTCAAGCTCTTAAGGAGAGGAAGCATCTTTTCCTGGGATTGGAACCCAAGCTTCCCTCCTGCCTGGGACCCATACAGCTGCTGAGCATTTATGCACATGGCCCACTCCACCAGTAAGTGAAATCCACAAAGAATCTGAAAACCTAATTTCAGCTACTATCATATTACCAGAACTCCCTGCTCCACTACGCTTTTCCTCATTTTACTTTTTAATATGGAAATATTCAGACATCCATACAAATAGAATCATATAGTGAATCCCCATTTACCCACTACCCAGCTTCAAAAGTTAAGAATTAATGGCCATTCTTGTTTCAAACTTCCTTTCTGGAGTATTGTAAAGCATATTGCAAGCACACCATCATATCTTTTCACCCATATATACCTCAGATTATACCTTTTATACTTTTTTTTAACCAGATATAAACAAAAGATATAAAAGGCCTCTTTAGAGGTAGATAAATTCTGGTCTTAGTTCTGCCACTGACATACACTTTAATTTTGGGATAGTCCCTTTCCCTCTCTAGACCTCAATTTTCTCATCTGTGTAATGGAGTAGAAAACGTTGAAGCTGTGTGTGTGTGTATCTGTGTGTGTGTGAGTGCACGTGCCTTTGTGTTGTGAGAATGGCATACTAACCTAGTGCTTTTCAAGTTTTAAAGTGCACAGGGGTTCCCTGCTACAATGGATATTCTGATTCAGTAAATCTGAAGTGGAATCTTGGATCATGCATTTCTAAGTTTTCAGGTAATAAAACTGCTGCTGATCCACATGACACACCTTGAGTAAGAAGGCTAAGTATCTCAAAGTCAGGGATATTCCAAGTTTTGCAATTCCACAAGACCAAAATTCCTGATAATTTTGTCCATCTTTCTACCAGTAGGTGGGAAGCATGGATTAAATCCTCCCAGGCAAACTGGCCCAATTTTTAAATCTTCAAGTGAAGGCTAATCACAGATTCCAGGCAATGGTGTGTTAAAGCCAGCTCACACCAACTCTCAAGAGCTGATTGTAAACAATTTTCAAGAAATTTGTGAGCCAGTTGTCAAAAATCAAACCATCATTAAAAATTAAATTAGCATCCATATTCCTAGTGGTATTATTTGCAATAGGCAAAAGATCTGCCCACAGATAAATGGATAAATGAAATGTGGTATACACACACAATAGAATAGTATTCAGCCTTAAAAAGGAAGTAAATCCTGGGGAGGCAGCCAAGATGGCCAAATAGGAACAGCTCCAGTCTACAGCTCCCAGCGTGAGTGACGCAGAAGACGGGTGATTTCTGCATTTCCATCTGAGGTACCAGGTTCATCTCACTAGGGAGTGCAAGACAGTGGGTGCAGGACAGTGGGTGCAGTGCACCATGAGCTAACCAAAGCAGGGCGAGGCATTGCCTCACTCGCGAAGCACAAGGGATCAGGGAGTTCCCTTTCCTAGTAAAAGAAATGTGTGACAGATGGCACCTGGAAAATCGGGTCACTCCCACTCTAATACTTCGCTTTTCTGACGGGCTTAAAAAACGGTGCACCAGGAGATTATATCCCGCACCTGGCTCAGAGGGTCCTACGGCCACAGAGCCTCGCTGATTGCTAGCACAGCAGTCTGAGATCAAACTGCAAGGCGGCAGCGAGGCTAGGGGAGGGGCGCCCGCCATTGCCCAGGCTTGCTTAGGTAAACAAAGCAGCTGGGAAGCTCGAACTGGGTGGAGCCCACCACAGCTCAAGGAGGCCTGCCTGCCTCTGTAGGCTCCACCTCTGGGGGCAGGGCACAGACAAAAAGAGAGCAGTAACCTCTGCAGACTTAAATGTCCCTGTCTGACAGCTTTGAAGAGAGCAGTGGTTCTCCCAGCAAGCAGCTGGAGATCTGAGAATGGGCAGACTGCCTCCTCAAGTGGGTCCCTGACCCCTGGCCCCCAAGCAGCCTAACTGGGAGGCACCCCCCAGTAGGGGCAGATTGACAACTCACACGGCCAGGTACTCCTCTGAGACAAAACTTCCAGAGGAACGATCAGACAGCAGCATTCGTGGTTCATGAAAATCTGCAGTTCTGCAGCCACCGCTGCTGATACCCAGGCAAACAGGGTCTGAGTGGACCTCTAGCAAACTCCAACAGGCCTGCAGCTGAGGATCCTGTCTGTTAGAAGGAAAACTAACAAACGGAAAGGACATCCACACCAAAAACCCATCTGTAAATAACCATCATCAAAGGCCAAAAGTAGATAAAACCACAAAGATGGGGAAAAAACAGACCAGAAAAACTGGAAACTCTAAAAAGCAGAGCACCTCTCTTCCTCCAAAGGAACACAGTTCCTCACCAGCAATGGAACAAAGCCAGACGGAGAATGACTTGGACAAGTTGAGAGAAGAAGGCTTCAGATGATCAAATTACTCCGAGCTACAGGAGGAAATTCCAACCAAAGGCAAAGAAGTTAAAAACTTTGAAAAAAATTTAGACGAATGTATAACTAGAATAACCAATACAGAGAAGTTCTTAAAGGAGCTGATGGAGCTGAAAGCCAAAGCTTGAGAACTACATGAAGAATGCAGAAGCCTCAGGAGCCAATGCGATCAACTGGAAGAAAGGGTATCAGTGATGGAAGATGAAATGAATGAAATAAAGCGACAAGGGAAGTTTAGAGAAAAAAGAATAAAAAGAAATGAACAAAGCCTCCAAGAAATATGGGACTATGTGAAAGACCAAATCTACATCGGATTGGTGTACCTGAAGTGGTGGGGAGAATGGAACCAAGTTGGAAAACACTCTGCAGGATATTATCCAGGAGAACTTCCCCAATCTAGCAAGGCAGGCCAACATTCAGATTCAGGAAATACAGAGAATGTCACAAAGATACTCCTTGAGAAGAGCAACTCCAAGACACATAATTGTCAGATTCACCAAAGTTGAAATGAAGGAAAAAATGTTAAGGGCAGCCAGAGAAAAGTCGGGTTACTCACAAAGGGAAGCCCATCAGACTAACAGCAGATCTCTCAGCAGAAACTCTAGAAGCCAGAAGAGAGTGGGGGCCAATATTCAACATTCTTAAAGAAAAGAATTTTCAACCCAGAATTTCATATCCAGCCAAACTAAGCTTCATAAGTGAAGGAGAAATAAAATACTTTACAGACAAGCAAATGCTGAGAGATTTTGTCACCACCAGGCCTGCCCTAAAAGACCTCCTGAAGGAAGCACTACACACGGAAAAGAATAACCGGTACCAGCCACTGCAAAATCATGCCAAATTGTAAAAAAACATCGAGGCTAGGAAGAAACTGCATGAACCAATGAGCAAAATAACCAGCTAACATCATAATGATAGGATCAAATTCACACATAATAATATTAACTTTAAATGTAAATGGACTAAATGCTCCAATGAAAAGACACAGACTGGCAAATTGGATAAACAGTCAATACCCATCAGTGTGCTGTATTCAGGAAACCCATCTCATGTGCAAAGGCACACATAGGCTCAAAATAAAAGGATGGAGGAAGATCTACCAAGCCAATGGAAAACAAAAAAAGGCAGGGGTTGCAATCCTAGTCTCTGATAAAACAGACTTTAAACCAACAAAGATCAAAAGAGACAAAGAAGGCCATTACATAATGGTAAAGGGATCAATTCAACAAGAAGAGCTAACTATCCTAAATATATATGCACCCAATACAGGAGCACCCAGATTCATAAAGCAAGTCCTTGGTGACCTACAAAGAGACTTAGACTCCCACACAACAATAATGGAAGACTTTAACACCCCACTGTCAACATTAGACCGATCAATGAGACAGAAAGTTAACAAGGATACCCAGGAATTGAACTCAGCTCTGCACCAAGCAGACCTAATAGACATCTACAGAACTCTCCACCCAAAATCAACAAGAATATACATTTTTTTCAGCACCACACCACACCTATTCCAAAATTGATCACATAGTTGGAAGTAAAGCTCTCCTCAGCAAATGTACAAGAACAGAAATTATAACAAACTATCACTCAGACCACAGTGCAATCAAACTAGAACTCAGGATTAAGAAACTCACTCAAAATCACTCAACTACATGGAAACTGAACAACTTGCTCCTGAATGACTACTGGGTACATAACAAAATGAAGACAGAAATAAAGATGTTCTTTGAAACCAATGAGAACAAAGACACAACATACCAGAATCTCTGGGACACATTCAAAGCAGTGTGTGGAGGGAAATTTATAGCACTAAATGTCCACAAGAGAAAGCAGGAAAGATTCAAAATTGACACCCTAACATCACAATTAAAAGAACTAGAGAAACAACAACAAACACATTCAAAAGCTAGCAGAAGGCAAGAAATAACTAAATCAGAGCACAACTGAAGGAAATAGAGACACAAAAAACCCTTCAAAAATTAATGAATCCAGGAGCTGGTTTTTTGAAAGGATCAACAAAATTGATAGACCGCTAGCAAGACTAATGAAGAAAAGAGAGAAGATTCAAATAGACACAATAAAAAATGATAAAGGGGATATCACAACCGATCCCACAGAAATACAAACTACCATCAGAGAATACTACAAACACCTCTACACAAATAAACTAGAAAATCTAGAAGAAATGGATAAATTCCTTGACACATGCACCCTCCCAAGACTAAACCAGGAAGAAGTTGAATCTCTGAATAGACCAATAAGAGGCTCTGAAATTGTGGCAATAATCAATAACTTACCAACCAAAAAAAGTCCAGGACCAGATGGATTCACAGCCGAATTCTACCAGAGGTACAAGGAGGAACTGGTACCATTCCTTCTGAAACTATTCCAATCTTTAGAAAAAGAGGGAATCCTCCCTAACTCATTTTATGAGGCCAGCATCATCCTGATACTAAAGCCGGGCAGAGACACAACCAAAAAAGAGAATTTTAGACCAATATCCTTGATGAACATTGATGCAAAAATCCTCAATAAAATACTGGCAAACGGAATCCAGCAGCACATCAAAAAGCTTATCCACCATGATCAAGTGGGCTTCATCCCTGGGACGCAAGGCTGGTTCAATATACACAAATCAATAAATGTAATCCAGCATATAAACAGAACCAAAGACAAAAACCACATGATTATCTCAATAGATGCAGAAAAGGCCTTTGACAAAATTCAACAATTCTTCATGCTAAAATCTCTCAATAAATTAGGTATTGATGGGACGTATCTCAAAATAATAAGAGCAATATATGACAAACCCACAGCCAATATCATACTGAATGGGCAAAAACTGGAAGCATTCCTTTTGAAAACCAGGACAAGACAGGGATGCCCTCTCTCACCACTCCTATTCAACATAGTGTTGGAAGTTCTGGCCAGGGCAATTAGGCAGGAGAAGGAAATAAAGGGTATTCAATTAGGAAAAGAGGAAGTCAAATTGTCCCTGTTTGCAGATGACATGATTGTATATCTAGAAAACCTCATCGTCTCAGCCCCAAATCTCCTTAAGCTGATAAGCAACTTCAGCAAAGTCTCAGGATACAAAATCAATATACAAAAATCACAAGCATTCTTATACACCAATAACAGACAAACAGAGAGCCAAATCATGAGTGAACTCCCATTCACAATTGCTTCAAAGAGAATAAAATACCTAGGAATCCAACTTACAAGGGATGTGAAGGAACTCTTCAAGGACAACTACAAACCACTGCTCAATGAAATAAAAGAGGATACAAACAAATGGAAGAACATTCCATGCTCATGGGTAGGAAGAATCAACATCGTGAAAATGGCCATACTGCCCAAGGTAATTTATAGATTCAATGCCATCCTCATCAAGCTACCAATGACTTTCTTCACAGAATTGGAAAAAACTACTTTAAAGTTCATATGGAACAAAAAAGAGCCCGCATTGCCAAGTCAATCCTAAGCCAAAAGAACAAAGCTGGAGGCATCACGCTACCTGACTTCAAACTATACTGCAAGGCTACAGTAACCAAAACAGCATGGTACTGGTACCAGAACAGAGATATAGATCAATGGAACAGAACAGAGCCCTCAGAAATAACGCCACATGTCTACAAATATCTGATCTTCGACAAACCTGACAAAAACAAGTAATGGGGAAAGGATTCCCTATTTAATAAATGGTGCTGGGAAAATTGGCTAGCCATATGTAGAAAGCTGAAACTGGATCCCTTCCTTACAGCTTATACAAAAATTAATTCAAGATGAATTAAAGACTTAAACGTTAGACCTAAAACCATAAAAACCCTAGAAGAAAACCATGGCATTACCATTCAGGATATAGGAATGGGCAAGGACTTCATGTCTGAAACACCAAAAGCAATGGCAACAAAAGCCAAAATGGACAAATGGGATCTAATTAAACTAAAGAGCTTCTGCACAGCAAAAGAAACTACCATCAGAGTGAACAGGCAACCTACAAAATGGGAGAAAATTTTCGCAACCTACTCATCTGACAAAGGGCTAATATCCAGAATCTACAACGAACTCAAACAAATTTACAAGAAAAAACAAACAAGCCCATCAAAAAGTGGGTGAAGGACATGAACAGACAGTTCTGAAAAGAAGACATTTATGCAGCCAAAAGACACATGAAAAAATGCTCATCATCACTGGCCATCAGAGAAATGCAAATCAAAATCACAATGAGATACCATCTCATGCCAGTTAGAATGGCAATCATTAAAAAGTCAGGAAACAACAGGTGCTGGAGAGGATGTGGAGAAATAGGAACACTTTTACACTGTTGGTGGGACTGTAAACTAGTTCAACCGTTGTGGAAGTCAGTGTGGCGATTCCTCAGGGATCTAGAACTAGAAATACCATTTGACCCAGCAATCCCATTACTGGGTATATACCCAAAGGACTATAAATCATGCTGCTATAAAGACACATGCACACGTATGTTTATTGCGGCTCTATTCACAATAGCAAAGACTTGGAACCAACCCAAATGTCCAACAATGATAGACTGGATTAAGAAAATATGGCACATATACACCATGGAATACTATGCAGCCATCAAAAATGATGAGTTCATGTCCTTTGTAGGGACATGGATGAAATTGGAAATCATCATTCTCAGTGTACTATCGCAAGAACAAAAAACCAAACAGCGCATATTCTCACTCATAGATGGGAATTGATCAATGAGAACACATGGACATAGAAAGGGGAACATCACACTCTGGGGACTGTTGTGGGGTGGGGGGAGGGGGGAGGGATAGCATTAGGAGATGTACCTAATGCTAAATGACGAGTTAATGGGTGCTGCACACCAGCATGGCACTTGTATACATATGTAACTAACCTGCACATTATGCACGTGTACCCTAAAACTTAAAGTATAATAACAAAATAAAAAGTAAAAAATAAATTAAAAAAAAGTAAGTGAATCCTGTCACACGCTACAACATGAATGAACTTTGAGGACATTTTGCTAAGTGAAATAAACCAGTCACAAAAAGACACTGTATGATTCCACTCATATGAGATATCTGAAGTAGTGAAATCATAGAGGCAGAAAGTAGAATGGCGGTTATTAGAGGCTGGGGGAGGGGGAAATGAGGAGTCGTTGTTTAATGGGTATAGAGTTTCAATTTTACAAGATGGAGAAGTTCTAGAGATCTGTTTCGCAACAATGTAAATATACTTAACACTGCTGTGTTTTTTTAGTGCAATTGAATTTTCATTAAATTATATAAACTTTAAACTATATTAGAAACAAAAGTGATAACTATTCAGCATTCATCATTTCCAAAATATTTTACTACATTTTACTATTGTCTGTCATATTATTACTATATTATACATATGTATTATATATGTAATATATAACAAGTATTTTTACTATTTTATTTGCATGTTAGGAACACTGTATAATAGTGTGCTACTGTGTGTCTCTTCCCAATTCTGTATTCAGTAGCATGGAGTTGATAGTTTGAAACTGGCAAATGCTGCACATTAGGTTGCTCCCTTCCATCCATGTCCTGGAGAGCTGCTTGTTAAATATCTACCAGCCCACCACTTGTTCCAGGGCCTAACAAACTCTCACTGCTAGTAAATGCTTCCTCTAGAATTACCTCAAAACCCACCTGTTGCATTTTAAAATTTCTTTTCCAGAATGGAGGTGGAAATCAAGTTTTTGTTAAAGCATAGCTTTAAATTGACCTTCCAGCCACTATGGTAAGGAAATAAGAATGAGGCTTAGAACAACTCATTACTCAATGAATATTAACTGAGCATCTATATGTGCCAGACTCTGAAATATTAAAACTGCAAATAATTTAGAAAACCTATGCATGACAGAATTCATCTTTGAAGAATAATCTGGCACTGGCCAAAACTGGTTCTGTGACTTCTATTAAACCATTTTTTTGCATGAGTGGTTTCACCTTAGTATAGAAAGGGCACTGGGTTAAGAGACCTGGGCACAAATATTGGGTTTAACACTAGCTGTAGGACCTTAAGCAAATTATTTCAACTCTCTGTGCCTCACTTTCCTCATGTGCCACATGGGAGTAGAAAGCATCATCATCATCATCATCATCATAGCTAACACATATATATATATGCTCACTGTGTGTCAGGCACTGTTTTAAGGGCTTTATGTAAATTCACTCATTTAATCCTCACAACAACTCTAAGAAGTTATTTGCTATTAGTTTCATCGCCAGTTTACTGATAAGTAAACTGAGGCACAGATAGGTGAAGTTGCTTTCTCAAGGTTATAACAGTTAGTAGATGAAGGGGGGTTATTATAGGACCTCACAACTCAAAGAGCCATTCAATTCTCTTCTGAAGGAACCATTGCCAAGCTGAAGCTGGGAGCCCTGATTAGGCCTCAAGGCTACACTCTGTTGATTAAACCTGAGTCACAGGGCAGGACCTCACAGATCTGAGAAGCAATGAGGGCAGATTTGAGTCTCTTGAGACTTGGGAAATGAAGCCAGGACTTATCTGTTCAAATTGAAGCAGGAAATCCAGAGGGCAGGACAGGTGGTGGGAAGTCCCCTTCTATAGCTTCAGTCTAGAGACAGAATGTCACATTTTCATTGGCAACCCAGATTCCAGCAGGTTCCATCAAATGTTTTACATGGAATGTTCTCAAGGTTGATGTTTGGAACTGAGCAGGGTCAGGAAACTGGTTCTATACTGTTTCTTGGTGGACTTAGTTTGTTCTCTGGATTTGAGTGATTTGTATGCATTTCCCTTGACCCATGGAGGCCCCAAAGGACAAAATGATAGGTGTTCCTAATTGGAATCTGCAGTGAATTCACTCTTTCACTGAAAGAAAAAAATGTTACAGAGTTACGTGTCAGGAACTTGGGTATCATTTGGCTTGGCCAAAGGCTCTCATGAACCATTCCCCAGCCTTCTCTTCCATGGACAGCTTCTTTACTTGGCTTCTTGCTTTTTGCCTCCAACCTGAAAACTATTTCCAAGCACCACAACAACGTAGAGAGCCACTGCAATGTTCATTTAAAAAAAACCCTTTTCTCATTTGTCCATCTACCAAAATGTCCCAGGGAAAGGTAATATGCCCACCTGTAAGAATAACAAAATATATCAAAATGTAAAGAGTTAAAAATCAGCTTGTTCTCAAAGGCACCAGAGCCATTTCACCCAAAATGAAACTTTGTCAGAGGCCAGAATATTAGCTACTAATAGTGACTCCAATATCTTATTGTCCAGAAAACAGGAAGCTAGAAATGACCTTGAGGCATCATCTGATCCAGCCCCCTTTTTTTTAGTTGAGTGACTATACCAGAGATCGGCTCACTTATAGGGACAACTTCTGGGGTGTTGATGACCAATTTGCTTTTAACACAAATTGGCTTATCTACCAACTTCCTAAGGGATGCTACAGGTTATGTTCATTCCACTGGAGAGACTCTATTATGCTTCAGATCTCTCTTGGTCTCCAGTCTATTGTGATTATAATTTCATCTTCCACATTGCTGCTGTTGTTTGGAAAATGACTACTTTGTGGAGAACAACAAACAGAGGCTAGTCCATATAGTGTCATACAGTTCAGAGATCTATTATTATCCTCTAAATGTTCATTGATACTGAAGACAAACCTGGAAATCTGATACCTGTCCTTGGAAGCTTATAATTCTTCCTTTTATTCTAACTCAAATCTAACCAAGGACCTCACACAAGGTCACTCTCTAACAGATGTAAATGCATGCCTGCACCAAATGAGAGGCAATGTGGAGGAGTGGAATGAGCACGGGTTTTGGAAACAGGCTTTTGGTGTCTCAGTTTCCTCATCAATAAAATGAATGTAGTGTATATAAAAGTCCTGGCATGGAATAGGAATTTAGTAAGTGTATGAGTTCTTAGCAAATGATAGTCCAGTACAGGGGTGATCATTTCCCGCTTTCCTTCAACAGTGCTCCCCAACTCAATTCCACCCCAAAGGCATTGAGGACACTGGAGCCATTCTAGCCTGACCTTCCCATTTCTTGTTCTTTCTTTTTTTTCTGTTTATTCCTCCCCATTCCCCCTCATCTTTAATTCTCCTCTTCGTCTTTAATTTCTCACCATCTCCTTCACCTTACTTCTTTTACCTCCCCCTCTAGCTAACACAGTGAGTTCTGTTTGCACACAGCAGGTGTGAAAATGTAATTCAGCTAGATGGCAAATGACTTGCCAAGTGGATTTGAGGGGTTGCAGTCCTCCTTCCTGCTGTGGTGTGTGATTATTATTTTGATTAAGCCTCTGGAGAAAAGAGTGACAACTGAGACAGATACACCAATGTATGCCTATCCCATAGGCTTTTGCTGTAGGCCTAGCAGTTGACCCGTCCTTATCTACGGGACTTATCTATGGGATTCAGGCAACTCCCAGCCCCCAATTTAGAGTGCCAGAAAAATTAGCTCCTGATCTTAAAACACTCTGTTCTTGGGGGGAAGAGGAGGGAGGAATACAGTCTCTGTAACTAAAAGGGTTATGGAAATTGCCTAGCTAGGGGATCATTTCTAGGCAGAAAGTGATGATAAAAATAGTCACTTGTAACTGAAATAAAGCTACACCCGGGTGGCTTCAAATAATGTTTCCTTCTTCTTTTACTGACACAAACACATTTCTGCTACAGTTAGCACCACACAGGCAACTGGACAAGAATAGGGCAGTGTGAATCCAGACCCTAATGCGTCTGCAAAAGGGCTGTCAGCAGAATGCCAGCAGCAGCAGCAGCTTCTGCTGGTGCATTTTGGGGACTGATGACTGAAGCACAGCAAACAGGGCTGAATTCCCAGGAGACAGTGAGGATCCTCGGACTCAGGTGGAGTTTGTTGGACTGTGTATTAGTTAGTATTGCCATAATCCTGTGTATTAGGATTCTACCACAGACTGGATGACCTTTACAACAGAAATTTATTGTCTCACAGTTTTGGAGGCTAGATGTCTGAAAGTGTTCGGAATCAACTTAAGTGTCCATCAACAAATGTACAGATAAAGAAAATGTACTAATACCATACAAACCAGAATACTCTCCAGCTTTAATAAAGAAGAAAATCCTGCCATTTGCAACAACATGAATGAATCTGGAAGACATTTTGTTAAGTGAAATAAGCCAGGAACAGAAAGACAAATACAGCATGATCTCACTTATATGTAGAATCTTAAAAAGTTGAACTCATAGAAGTAGAGAATAGAATGGTGGTTACCAGGGGCTGGGGCTGGAGGT
Source organism: Homo sapiens (assembly GCF_000001405.40). NCBI lineage: Eukaryota > Metazoa > Chordata > Mammalia > Primates > Hominidae > Homo > Homo sapiens. Next base: position 63,849,123 of record NC_000023.11, read on the forward strand.
GTTGAGGAGATGTTGGTCCAAGGACACAAAGTTTCAGTTAGATTTAAGGAATAATGCAAGACATCTATTATACAACATGGTTACTATAGTTGATAGCAATGTATCATATACTTAAAAATCACTAAGAGAGGAGATTTTAAGTGTTCTCAACACACAAAAAAAGTTTGAGGTAATGCGTACATTAATTCGCTCAATCTAGCCATTTCATATTGTATACATATTTCAAAACATGTTGTACATGATAAATATACGAAATATTTACCTGTCAATTAAAAGGATAATTAGATTAGAAAAAAAAAGAAAACCTAAGTGCTGTGGAAATGAGGGCTTATTGATAATCCTGAGGATGAAATAGCCAGTGTCTGTTGTTATTCAAAGCCTATGGTAATATCCTGAGCTCTAGTAACATCCACCTAGCCTGGGCCACCTAGTTTGAGGCCATTATCTTACACTGTACTTCACTTAACTCTTCACTTTCCAAATTCCAAAATGAAACCACCGGAGTGACCTCCCTGTACTTTTAAATTAGTTGAGAATGCTTCAATTTTCTCTAATGGATGATCTGTCCTTTTTCCTAAATGAAATTAGCTGGTAGCAGGAAGCTGGAGAATAAAAAACAACATTTTTCATTAATCAGAAAGCTATTTTGTAAAAGTTGGAGATGCAGAAATTATTCCAGAGAAATGGTTGCTAGCTATGTCTACTTTCACTCTTCCTATATCTGTGGATCATAAAATTGCACCATTTCTATTCTTTCTTGAAGTTAAACTGTCAACTCAATGTTTTGCACATATTTATCTCTCAACACATGTTTGCTAATGGATTGACTCATGCTACTCAAAACTGAACCATCATATAAATGTGTGGCCTGAGAGCTACATGAGAATGGAGTCCAAAACTTGGCTTCATGCAGCAAGATACACAAGATAACTTCACATGACATGGATATTGATAAACTTTTTAATTTGTAAATATTGTACATTAGATTATATCTTCTTATTGGGGAGAAGAGTTCTCAAAACCAACTCTAGGATTCCAATACGTTTTGAAACAATTGACTAAAACTTCTGCTAGTTTTTAGTAGAGACCTAAGGAACCATTTCAGTTGGCAAAAAGCTTCCAGGCCATGGTGTCTCTCAATTCAAGTACTGTGAGGAACGAATAATGTCTTTCTCCCCCTACGCCATACTACTCTCAGTGTAATCCCTAACATAATTAAAATTTATGGAAAATTAGAGCTGGCTGGTAGTTTTGGGAAAATTTAGTGGCTAAGCTTATTGCTATGGTTTGAATGTCCCCTCCAAAATTCATGCTGAAATTTAATTGCCATTGTGATGGTATTAGGAGGTGGGACCTTTAAGAGGTGATTAGGTGATAAGGGCACTACTAATGCTGTTATTACAGGAGTGGGCTCCTGATGAAAGGATAAATTTGGTCCTGATTTTCTACCTGTTGCATACACTTCCTCACCATGATGCCTTCAACCATGGGATGACCCTCATTATATGCCAGTGCCATGCTCTTGTACTTCCCAACCTCCAGAGCAGTAAGCCAAATAAATACCATTTCTTTATAAGTTGTCCAGTCTGTGGTATGCTGTTATAGCAGAAAAAAAAGACTAAGACACTCATCTTGTCTTCAAAAGTGAAGATGAAATCCTTACCAATGAATAATGAATATAGCACTCCCTTCACAGTAGGTTGGCAGGCCATCTGCTGCCAATTTGAGGTTTTGAGCAGCTTTTGCCTTGTGCCATTGCCTCTTGTAGCCATTCCCTACTAGACAGCCCCTGGAGGAGGCTGTTGGGTCTTTGAATTGGCCAGTCTACCTGTTGGGCTGGCCTTCTGCTGAGATCAGACTGGCCAGCCTCCTCTATGTAAACTTGCCAAGTTACCTCATTCTTTTTACTATCTACTGTTGTCCTAAAGTAAGACTTTCCTGAGAATTAATCAATGGAGAAAAATTAAAGGACTTGGGGTTAGTTGATGGAACAAAGAAAGAGAAAAGTAAAGAAGGATAGTTAACACTTTATTGAATTAAAAGCCATTTTATTTATTAAAGAACATTGTTCTTGGTGAAAACAGAAAAAGATAAACTAAACTAGGGCAACAACTTTAAATACTTAAGTTATATTTAAAGAATCATTTTGGGAATTGAATTGGAATGATAACCAAGAGAGGAACATCTTCCTGGAGCTCTTTAGGGATAAAGATGGGGGAAATGTGGAGACAGGCACCTCACAAGGGGCTCCTTGCCCATTTCTGATGCTTACACACCTCTTTACGGTTTAAAATGCCATTTCCCATGGACTTAGTGGAGGAAAGCGGGAATATTAAAGAGGCAACTCAGCCACTCTCTAATTTCAGGTCCATGTTTACATTCTCCCAGGAGGAAAAAAATCTATCCCATGTAAAAGAACTCCAGAGAAGAAAGTTCTGAGGGCTCTCTCTCATTCATCTTAAAGTTTAACAGCTCTCAATGTCAAGAACGTTGCTTTATATTTATCCCAAATCTTTCTTATTAAAAAGAATCCATTTTCTTTTGTTCTAGCCTCTGGAAACAAAGAACAATTGGTCATACATGTGAAGACCATTTTTCAATAGCCTCGAAGTCTCCTTTTCTCCAAGATAAACATTCTCAGCTTCTTTAATCTTTTTTGAAGATGTTCCCAATGCCCTTTGTGCCTCTCCTCAGGATTCCCTTCACTCTCTCTTCATCTGCCTTTAAGCATGGAACCTAGAATTATATAAAGTCTTCTAGTACGTTTTTGAGTACAATAGAAAGCTCCCTTTTTCAGTGATCAGTCTGTTTTTGCATATTCAGGTTGCACAGCCTGTACTGTGATAATAGCTACACTCCTGTTATTGGTCACTGAGGTTGTCTTCCATTATTTTTGCTTAGTAAATTATGGAATCACTCAATGGAATATTATGCAGCCACTGAAAAGGATCATAATTATTAAGAGTGCATAGCCACAAGTGGAGAAAAAGTTTATTTTTAGCAGATGGGTAAGTGAAAAGATGCAAATTACAAAATTATGTGGCCTCTTATCTATGGACACACGGTACTTTATACACCACTTTATTACAGCACTTAGCATTTTCTATTACTGTCATTTGTTTCTGTGCCTATCCATTCTTCCAAGCCAATGAACTCTGAGGGCCTAGGTAGTACTTGAGTCAACTCTGTTGTGCCAGCACTGTGTGCAGTTCCAGGCAGAGAGTGGGTGCTCAGATGTGTTTGTTAAATGAATAAAGTGGATAAATTTCATGCTATATAAAAATACCTAAGCATGGAAATAGAGACTTGGATATAATAAGAGGAAATCAAAATAAGTGTGCTAGTATGGTAAAATTACAAGGGTTTCATTCTTCTCAATTTTTTTTCACCTATTGTTATTACCTGGAAAAAAAGGGAGGACAGGAAATCAGGCTTACAGTGTTTACTCCTGGCTGACAGGTCTCTCAATGTCCTACTTTCCATGCAGCTTGTTTCATTGTTACTGGACTGTGCACTGTCTTAGTATCTGAGTGGACCATTTGGTTTACTTTTAGTAAGAACCCTCAGAAATTTTGAACTGCCTTCCAAAGGCACTGCTTACCAACATCCCCTTTCCCCCAACCTGGTCCTCCTTCTCTCAAACCACACACAGTGTGACCATAATAAACAAGTATTAGGGACATCGTCTCATTTTAACTTTCTAACAACGTTGGAAGGTAGTCAAGATAGGGACAAATCTATGTTTGAAAGATGTGAAAACAAAGGCTTAAAGAGGCCCATGGTGACAGAGCTAATAAAGGGAAGAAAAGAACTAGAACCCAGGTTCTGACTTCAAACCCATGAATCATACTGTCCACTACTGTGCTGCAGGAACTCAGATCTAATGACCCTCAGATTCCCTATGCCCCCAAGCCTATAACTACTTGATCCTTTCAGCTGCTAGGTGAAAAGGCAGGTAGGGATAGAAATGAAAAGTTAACATTTACTGTATGCCTACTATGTATCAGTTAACCAATCTCTGGTATGTACTATTATTATCCAGACTTTTTAGAAAAGACGCAGCAGGCTCAGGGGGGTTAAAGTGATTTCCCATGGTCACACAGCTGGTAAATGGCAGAGCTGATATTCAAACACAGATCTGTCTAACTCCAAAACCCACGCCCTTGGCACTACATCAGATAGAGTATAAGCTTTACCTCAATTTAGTAACATGACCCAGGCTCCAAGATCAACCACCGACAAGCTCTTTCCTTGAACCCCATCTTAGACATATCTCTTGGAAGGGAGAAGGCGGGCTTGGAAGAAAAAGCCAAGCTTGGCAGGTAGCAGCTGTGGCTTGAATTTCTGTTGAGTGACATTAACTAAGTCAACCATCTGCTGCTCCCCAGCCTGCAGGTGTCACTCTGAAAGGGTTTAGCCTTTCTACCAGGTCCAGAATTATGCTATTTCAGTTTTAATCCTATGTCAAACTAAGTGTCCCTTCTCACCATCACCAACCTCTTTGCTAATCTGTGTTAATATGGGTAGAATAATGGAAGGAACATAAGCCACTGCATTCTCAAAGTGCTCTGTGCCAGATATGTTCTAAACGCCTAACATATTTAATCCTTACCACAACCTTATGAGGTAGATACTCTCATATTCTCAATTTTACTAAGGAGCAAGCTGAGGTACAGAAAGGTTAAATAGGTGCCCAAGATCACACAACCAGTGAGTGGCAGAGCTGAGATTTGAACTTGAACAAATCTGCAAGAGTGCACGCTTTTAAGCACAGCAATGTATTGATAGCCCAAGAGTGATGTGATAGCAGCAAAAAAGCAGGACAGGAAAGGCCTAAATTATTGCTAAAGCTGACAATAGCAACAATATAGCTTCCATCTAGACAATGCTTTACAGTTTGCATAGCACTTTGCTCATCTATAGACTCAATTCGTCCTCACAACAATGGCATGGGGAAGGCAGCATTAATTTTATGAGCCTCCATTTTTAAGGAGGCAGTATAGAACAAAGGTTCCATATCCATGTTCTGGAATTTGACTTGGATTCAAGTCCTGGCTCTGTTCTTTCTTAGTTATGTTTCACTAAACATATCTTTTCTAGGCCTGAAGATTTTCATATGTAAAAATAGCTTCATAGTGTTATAGGGAGGAATGAATGCAGCAATATACATACCATGTTTCACAGAGTTCCTGACCTAAAGAAAGCCATCAATGAATGTTAGCTATTATGATTAGATGATGGAACTAAAGGCCTAAATATAGAGGTACTCATATATACAGCATTCAGGAAGGCAGGAGCAGAGCAGTCTAGATTCCATGCTCTTTTCCCCATTCCAGTGTTCTTCTAGGATTTCTCACCCTGAGGCTGCCATTTTGTGTTTTGACAGATAGGCCAGTGGCCTGCCACAAGACTGCTGAGGATGAGCATATCAGATCAGAATGTTCACTTTGTCTGCCACTTCCACCCCCTCCTTGCCACTGATAATTGAAATACAGCACCTGGCATAAGGCTGGCCAATAGCAGGCCCTCAGTAGGTATCTACTGAATGAATGAAATACCTGTGCCATGAAAGTGTTCCCATTGTATCCGAGAGAGAGAGAGAGAGAGAGAAGAGAGAGAGGAAGAGAGAGAGAGACAGAGATAAATTAAACCACAGTCTTTGCCTTCAATAAATTTACAGTCCTACAAGAAATGTAGATTCCCAAATCAATGATTGCCCAATAATGTGATAAATAATGTACTATAAGGATAAAAAGGAGCTACAGGAATACCTTGGAGGGGAGGAAAGCCTCTTTCTATCCATTTGTTACTAATCCCACCATCCTCTGGAAGCAAAGAGAAGAAAGTGACAAAATTATTTCTAAGAAAGTGGATACCCTGAGGTGACAGCCAGAGCTCAATTTCTGACCTCAAATCCAAAGTGTTTTCAGTGATAAACTTCTGTATTTCTAGATGAGAACTAGCTTTCTTTACTATCAAAAAAGGGCAAGCAGCAAGGGACCTGTATTGACTTATCCAAGGGGACTAAAGTTAGCTTTTTTTAAATTAAGAACTCTTTAAATAAGGAGTTGGGAGACATTGCATGGCACCGATCCAAGGTAGGTTTTAAAATCTCATGGCTGTGTCAAAGCCTAGAAGATTGCCTGTCCAAGATTATTAGGGTGTGAACTGGAGGCAAAAGGAAATCCTTCATACCTTTGATAGGGCTCTACTCTAATAATGACTTGGAGCATCAAAATGGATTTCAGTTCTGCTAAGTAAATGGGCCTCTTAAATCAGGGCTATAGATTAGGCATTCTGAGCTCACTGGGCATTGAGCATGGCAATCCATTGCCCACTGGGAGTTTATGGTCAGAGATAACAAGAAAACTGCCAGTTTTATTCCATGTCTATTTGGCATCACTGCAGAACTATATGTACCCCTCAACCTGCTGCAGGAAGAAAACATAAAAATGATTACTCTGATTATTAGCAGCATTATCTTATTCAGTTATTCCACAGAAATTACCACTCAGCATCAATACCTAAAAAGAAGAACTGCATTTTGTGCCCTTTCTAGAGAAACAAAGGGGGTTTTGGCATCTCTGCCCTAACCCCTCAGACCCAACAGTCTCTCTCTGTTTCACTCTCTCTCTCTTCCCTTCTCCCTCTCTCTCAGTCTCTGTCACATGGACACACACACACGTGCGTGCACACACACACACACACCATTTCCTTCAGCTCAGTTTGATATCTAGGCCAATTCATTAAACACTAGTTCAATTATTTATTAGCTGTGTGACCTACAGAAAGTTACTCAACCACTCAGAACTTTTTTTAATCTTTAAAATGCAAATACCATTATCTACCATAGAGAGAGCTTGGTACCCAGTAGGGGTGTTCAATAGCTGGAAACTGAGTCAGAGTAGGTGCTACCTCCTGGATGGTAGAGAGGGAGTGTCTCAGCATGGAGGAATGTGAGTTGAAAAGTGCTGGTTTTTCTAGGCATTTGAGAGACTGAGATGGGCTGACTCATTAGGCATTCTGCTTGCATCAGGCAGCATCAGTAATCTTAATGCAGGCTATTATATAAGTTACAAGACAAAGCAACTCTCCTCTGGTATTAACACTTACTTGGACAACAAGACTGCTGTAAAAGCATGATTTCAACTCTTCACCTCCTTTCCACCTACCCCAGACCCCTGCCATTTCCAGATCCTTTCACTCACTGTCCCATGCCCACCACATCCTGTAAAACTCCAAACTCATTTTGTCACTCACTTACCATCCCATCTCTCCCAATTAAAACAACACACGTTTCTTCAATTATCCTCCTCCTGCTGGCAGATGACAAGCGTGGGCTGTTATAACAATGGATTCCCTAGGTAGGTTTTCAAAAGAAACCAGGGGATTGAAGATGATGTATACAGAGTTTTGGAATATTTTAATTAAAGTGTATAAAAATGAACTGTTTCACTCCAGATACAGTGGTGCTGCTGCTGTGTCTTGTCACTGCAATATTTATCTTCTGGCCATGTGATGAGAGGACTTGTGCTCCCCTCTACCTGACAGGCCAATAAGTCCCCCGTGCTCTCCTCCCCTGGGGCCAATGTGTGGGCAGAATTTTCAGCAGGGTCAGCTCTTTAAGCAGACTGCAGCAAGAGCAGCCTGGTAGAACTGGAGCAGCAGTGTTGTAAAGGGCCCTCAGAAACCCAGTGCTCCATAACTTCAACTGGCCACTATAGACAAAAGGGAGAGAGGAAATGAAAAAGAACAGATCCTGAGGAAAGGACAGACTCAGAGAGAGATTCAGAATAAGATCCATGGGCTACAGAAAAATAAAGGAAAGAGGGAAAAGTCAAGTAAGAGAGAGAAACTAAGCATGAGAAAGAACAAGAGAAAGACTGGCCAAATGTGAGAATTTGAGACAACAGAAAGAAAAGAACAAGATAAAGAAAAACTTAGAAAAAGACAAAAGTAGCAAAAAGGCCTTTGAAGAGAGGAAAAATGAGAGGCAAAATGAAAAGAAAGATAAAAAAGAAGCAATTACATGGGCTGTTTGGGGGAGGGGCAGAAATTACCAGGGCCATAACTAATCTGTTTCTTACTTGGCAGTAAATAACTCTTGCTATATTCATAATAGGATTACACTTGACAGATGTCAGGGTTATCACCTTGACAAGCAAGTGTGGAAGATATTTGTTTTGATATCCACTGCACACCTGTCGACATTTAGAAGCTGCAGTAATTAGGGCAAGTTGGGAAGAGGCAAAGAAAGAAAAGCTAGGAAGAGTCTTGGCAAGCCCAGAACTTTTGCCCAAAGGTAGGGAGGAGAGAGAGAGAAGAAAGAAAGAAAGAAAGAAAGAAAAAAAGAAAGAAAGAAAGAAAGAAAGAAAGAAAGAAAGAAAGAAAGAAAGAAAGAAAGGGAAATAGAAAGACAAATGTACACACATGCACACTTTGACGCTAATTTTTGTTTGGAAATTAATAGCTTTGCCATACACTCTTCTAGCAAATGAAATTGGCCACTTTTTCTGTACCTCCATTTCCAAAGTTGGCATCCTTTTCTCCATCACTACAACCCAGCCTCTATACAGGTGCTCCTAAATCGTCACTTGGGGTGATTGGAACCCTATCCTTCCTAGCCTCCCTGCCTCCAGCCCTGCCTGCCTATCTAAACCCTTACTCCCAGTCATGTTCTGGACCATCCTGCACTCTGGGATGTTTATCCTGGCATGCTAGAGTTGGGGGTGCCATGGCGGCAGTGACAGACTTGTCCCAAGTTGAACAGTGGTGACTGGGCTATAGTCTGAAGAGGCTTTCACTCTTTTTTTTTTCCCTGTAAATAAAAGAGGTAGAGGGTTTGGGAGACTGAGGCAGGAGGATTACTTGAGGTCAGGAGTTCAAGACCAGCCTGGCCAAAACGGTGAACCTTCATCTCTACTAAAAATACAAAGAATTAGTCAGGCGTGGTGGCATGTGCCTGTAGTCCCAGCTACTTAGGAAGCTGAGGTGGGAGGATTGCTTGAGCCTAGGAGGCAGAGGTTGCAGTGAGCTGAGATCATGCCACTGCACTCCAGCCTGGGTAACAGAGCAAGACCCTGTCTCAAAAAAAGAGGGTGGAGAGGAAGAAGATTTTGTGTTTTCTACCGAACTGTTTTTCTATCAACTTAATTTACATCATTGTTCTATTAAAAACACAAAGTTAAATTAGTTCAGCCCAAATGGTCTCCAATTACATACAGACAATTAACATGTTCAATGATTAAGTATAACTATGGTCTAGTATAGAGAAAACATAACTTAGAGTCAGGCCAATCCTCCAACCTTTCCCCTTTCATGTGCCTGAATGCTTCGTTCCCACCTTGCCAATGGCATGTATATAACATGTGTATAATTAGAAGTTGACTTTCTTGTCTCCTCAGCTGGACTCTTGAGTTTCTAAAAGGTAACCATTCCTCTTTCATCTCTGGACAGCCTAAGAGATTCATAAGAGTTGGCCTTAACAAACATCTGTTTGTGAATTAGAGCACTTTCTTGTCTAGTTAAATCCTGTAGATCCAATCACCGTTTAGATAAGCAATGAAATTCTTCTCTTGGAAGGGGGCAGGGAAAGGGGACAAATTGAATGAACATTTATTGAACACCTATATATCAGGCACTGTGCCAATCCTTTTCACACACTATTTCCTCCAATTCTCAAAATAATACTCAGCAGTAGAGATTACTCTCATTTGATAGAAACCTGAGGTCCTAAGAGGTTGAATGACTTGCCCATTGTCACTCAGCTTATAATTACCAGAGTTTTAGGTTTGGATGCAGGTCTACTCAATTGCAAAGCCCATGCTCTTATCTCTAGAATACCTTAGCTCCTAAGGTTAGTAAAAACTCTATGGCCAAAGCCAACTGCCTTTTTTTTTTTTTTTTTTTTTTTTTGGGGACTTACCCTATTCAATTCCTCTGAATACTGATACCATGAAATTATTTCTACTTCTTGAAAACTTTTCTTCCTGTGCTTTCTGTGGCACTTTTCTGCCCTGATTTTATTCCTATGCCTCTGACCACTACTTCTCAGTTTTCTCTACCCTGCTGTCCCAGACTCTTAATTCAAGGTCTTCATATTCTCTTTGGGCAGTATCATTAAATCCTACATTTTCTCCAAGCATTTAGATGTGCTAGGCTCCCAAGATTGTATTTTCAGCTCAACCCTTTTCCCCAAGGTTAGACTAAAATCATTACTGCCTCCTGAGCCTTACTACATGAATAGGGTACTGTCACCTCAAAACCAACATCACCAAAGTTCAACTTACCAGCCTTACCCCCACCAAGCCAAGGTGGGGGCTTCCCCACTTTCTTCCCATCTCCAGCATGACAATTCCAGTATGTGAATTATATCTTAATAAATCCCTTATCTCAACAAAAATATAAAGATTTTCACTAATGCACTATCTTTTTATTGTAGTAAAATATACATAAGATATAATATATCATTGTAACCATTTTTTTTTGAGACAGAGTCTCACTCTGTCACCCAGGCTGGAGTATAGTGGTGTGACCACAGCTGACTGCAGCCTCGACCTTCCAGGCTCAAGCAATTCTCCCAAATCAGCCTCTTGGAGTAGCTGGGACTATAGGTGCACACCATCACATCTAGCTAATTTTTTGTTTTTATTTTTTATAGAGACAGAGTCTCACTATGTGGCCAGTGCTGGTCTATTGTTATTATTGTTTAGAGACTGGGTCTTGCTCTGTCACCCAGGCTGCAGTGCAGTGGCACTATCATAGCTCACTGTAGCCTTGAACTCCCAGGCTCAAGCAATCCTCTTGCCTCAGCCTTCTGAGTAGCTAGGACTACAGGCATGGGCCACCACACCCAGCTGATGTATGAAAAAAAATTGGTAAAGACTTGGTATGTTGCCCAAGCTGGTCTCAAACTCCAGGGCTCAAGCTATCCTCCCACCTTGGCTTCCCAAAGTGCTGGGATTAGAGGGATAAGGAACCATGCCCTGCCTATTATAACCATTTTTAAGTGTACAATTCAGTGGCGTTAATTATATTTACAATGTCATGCAACCATTTTTCACTATGTATTTCAAGAACATTTTCATCAGCCCAAACAGACACTTTGAATCCATAACTCTCCATTACCTACATCCTGCCCCTTGGGCCTTCTGTCCTTATGAATTTGACTACTCTAAGTACCTCACATTAGTGGAATGACACACAATCTGTCCTTCTGTGTCTGACTTATTTCAGTGAGCATAATGTTTTCTTTATTATTATTATTATTATACTTTAAGTTTTAGGGTACATGTGCACAATGTGCAGGTTTGTTACATATGTATACATGTGACATGTTGGTGTGCTGCACCCAGTAACTCGTCATTTAGCATTAGGTATATCTCCCAATGCTATCCCTCAGCCCTCCTCCGCAAAAAACAGTCCCCAGTGTGTGATGCTCCCCTTCCTGTGTCCATGTGTTCCCATTGTTAAATTCCCACCTATGAGTGAGAACATGTGGTGTTTGGTTTTTTGTCCTTGTGATAGTTTGCTGAGAATGATGGTTTCCAGCTTCATCCATGTCTCTACAAAGGACATGAACTCATCATTTTTTATGGCTGCATAGTATTCCATGGTGTATATGTGCCACATTTTCTTAATCCAGTCTATCATTGTTGGACATTTGGCTTGGTTCCAAGTCTTTGCTATTGTGAATAGTGCCGCAATAAAAATACATGTACATGTGTCTTTATAGCAGCATGATTTATAATCCTTTGAGTATATACCCAGTAATGGGATTGCTGGGTCAAATGGTATTTCTAGCTCTAGATCCCTGAGGAATCGCCACACTGACATCCACAATGGTTGAACTAGTTTACAGTCCCACCAACAGTGTAAAAGTGTTCCTATTTCTCCACATCCTCTCCAGCATCTGTTGTTTCCTGACTTTTTAATGATTGCCATTCTAACTGGTGTGAGATGGTATCTCATTCTGGTTTTGATTTGCATTTCTCTGATGGCCAGTGATGATGAGCATTTTGTCATGTGTCTTTTGGCTGCATAAATGTCTTCTTTTGAGAAGTGTCTGTTCATAACCTTTGCCCACTTTTTGATGGGGTTGTTTGTTTTTTTCTTGTAAATTTGTTTGAGTTCATTGTAGATTCTGGATATTAGCCCTTTGTCAGATGAGTAGATTGCAAAAATTTTCTCCCATTCTGTAGGTTGCCTGTTCACTCTGAGGGTAGTTTCTTTTGCTGTGCAGCAGCTCTTTAGTTTAATTAGATCCCATTTGTCTATTTTGGCTTTTGTTGCCATTGCTTTTGGTGTTTTAGACATGAAGTCTTTGCACATGCCTATGTCCTGAATGGTATTGCCTAGGTTTTCTTCTAGGGTTTTTATGGTTTTAGATCTAACATTTAAGTCTTTAATACATCTTGAATTAATTTTTGTATAAGGTATAAGGAAAGGATCCAGTGTCAGCTTTCTACATATGGCTAGTTAGTTTTCTCAGCACCATTTATTAAATAGGGAATCCTTTCCCCATTGCTTGTTTTTGTCAGGTTTGTCAAAGATCAGATAGTTGTAGATATGTGGCATTATTTCTGAGGGCTCTGTTCTGTTCCATTGGTCTATATCTCTGTTTTGGTACCAGTACCATGCTGTTTTGGTTACCGTAGCTTTGCAGTATAGTTTGAAGTCAGGTAGCGTGATGCCTCCAGCTTTGTTCTTTTGGCTTAGGATTGACTTGGCGATGCAGGCTCTTTTTAAGTTCCATATGAACTTTAAAGTAGTTTTTTCCAATTCTGTGAAGAAAGTCATTGGTAGCTTGATGGGGATGGCATTGAATGTATAAATTACCCTGGGCAGGATGGCCATTTTCACGATATTGATTCTTCCTACCCATGAGCATGGAATGTTCTTCCACTTGTTTGTATCCTCTTTTATTTCATTGAGCAGTGGTTTGTAGTTGTCCTTGAAGAGTTCCTTCACGTCCCTTGTAAGTTGGATTCCTAGGTATTTTATTCTCTTTGAAGCAATTGTGAATGGGAGTTCACTCATGATTTGGCTCTCCGTTTGTCTGTTATTGGTGTATAAGAATGCTTGCGATTTTTGCACATTGATTTTGTATCCTGAGACTTTGCCGAAGTTGCTTATCAGCTTAAGGAGTTTTTGGGCTGAGATGATGGGGTTTTCTAGATATACAATCATGTCATCTGCAAACAGGGACAATTTGACTTCCTCTTTTCCTAATTGAATACCCTTTATTTCCTTCCCCTGCCTGATTGCCCTGGCCAGAACTTCCAACACTATGTTGAATAGGAGTGGTGAGAGAGGGCATCCCTGTCTTGTGCCAGTTTTCAAAGGGAATGCTTCCAGTTTTTGCCCATTCAGTATGATATTGGCTGTGGGTTTGTCATAGACAGCTCTTATTATTTTGAGATACATCCCATCAATACCTAATTTATTGAGAGCTTTTAGAATGAAGAGTTGTTGAATTTTGTCAAAGGCCTTTTCTGCATCTATTGAGATAATTATGTGGTTTTTGTCTTTGGTTCTGTTTATATGCTGGATTACATTTATTGATTTGTGTATATTGAACCAGCCTTGCGTCCCAGGGATGAAGCCCACTTGATCATGGTGGATAAGCTTATTGGTGTGCTGCTGGATTTGGTTTGCCAGTATTTTATTGAGGATTTTTGCATCAATGTTCATCAAGGATATTGGTCTAAAATTCTCTTTTCCGGTTGTGTCTCTGCCAGGCTTTAGTATCAGGATGATGCTGGCCTCATAAAATGAGTTAGGGAGGATTCCCTCTTTTTCTATAGATTGGAATAGTTTCAGAAGGAATGGTACCAGTTCCTCCTTGTACCTCTGGTAGAATTCGGCTTTGAATCCATCTGGTCCTGGACTCTTTTGGGTTGGTAAGCCATTGATTATTGCCACAATTTCAGAGCCTCTTATTGGTCTATTCAGAGATTCAACTTCTTCCTGGTTTAGTCTTGGGAGGGTGTATGTGTCGAGGAATTTATCTATTTCTTCTAGATTTTCTAGTTTATTTGTGTAGAGGTGTTTGTAGTATTCTCTGATGGTAGTTTGTATTTCTGTGGGATTGGTGGTGATATCCCCTTTATCACTTTTTATTGTGTCTATTTGTTTCTTCTCTCTTTTCTTCTTTATTAGTCTTGCTAGCGGTCTATCAATTTTGTTGATCCTTTCAAAAAACCAGCTCATGGATTCGTTAATTTTTTGAAGGGTTTTTTGTGTCTCTATTTCCTTCGGTTCTGCTCTGATTTTAGTTATTTCTTGCCTTCTGCTAGCTTTTGAATGTGTTTGCTCTTGCTTTTCTAGTTCTTTTAATTGTGATGTTAAGGTGTCAATTTTGGATCTTTCCTGCTTTCTCTTGTGGGCATTTAGTGCTATAAATTTCCCTCTACACACTGCTTTGAATGTGTCCCAGAGATTCTGGTATGTTGTGTCTTTGCTCTCGTTGGTTTCAAAGAACATCTTTATTTCTGCCTTCATTTCGTTATGTACCCAGTAGTCATTCAGGAGCAGGTTGTTCAGTTTCCATGTAGTTGAGCAGTTCTGAGTGAGTTTCTTAATCCTGAGTTCTAGTTTGATTGCAATGTGGTCTGAGAGACAGTTTGTTATAATTTCTGTTCTGTTACATTTGCTGAGGAGTGCTTTACTTACAACTATGTGGTCAATTTTGGAATAGGCGTGATGTGGTGCTGAAAAATTATATTCTGTTGACTTGGGGTGGAGGGTTCTGTAGATGTCTATTAGGTCCGCTTGGTGCAGAGCTGAGTTTAATTCCTGGATATGCTTGTTAAATTTCTGTCTCGTTGATCTGTCTAATGTTGACAGTGGGGTGTTAACTTCTCCCATTATTATTGTGTGGGAGTCTAAGTCTCTTTGTAGGTCACTCAGGACTTGCTAGGATAGTTAGCTCTTCTTGTTGAATTGATCCCTTTACCATTATGTAATGGCCTTCTTTGTCTCTTTTGATCTTTGTTGGTTTAAAGTCTGTTTCATCAGAGACTAGGATTGCAACCCCTGCCCTTTTTTTGTTTTCCATTTGGATGGTAGATCTTCCTCCATCCCTTTATTTTGAGCCTATGTGTGTCTCTGCATGTGAGATGGGTTTCCTGAATACAGCACACTGATGGCTCTTGTCTCTTTATCCAATTTGCCAGTCTGTGTCTTTTCATTGGAGCATTTAGTCCATTTACATTTAAAGTTAATATTGTTATGTGTGAATTTGATCCTGTCATTATGATGTTAGCTGGTTATTTTGCTCGTTAATTGATGCCGTTTCTTCCTAGCCTTGATAGTCTTTAAAATTTGGCATGTTTTTGCAGTGGCTGGTACCTGTCGTTCCTTTCCGTGTTTAGTGCTTCTTTCAGGAGGTCTTTAAGGCAGGCCTGGTGGTGACAAAATCTCTCAGCATTTGCTTGTCTGTAAAGGATTTTATTTCTCCTTCACTTATGAAGCTTAGTTTGGCTGGATATGAAATTCTGGGTTGAAAATTGTTTTGTTTAAGAATGTTGAATATTGGCCTCCACTCTCTTCTGGCTTGTGGAGTTTCTGCTGAGAGATCCGCTGTTAGTCTGATGGGCTTCCCTTTGTGGGTAACCCGACCTTTGTCTCTGGCTGCCCTTAACATTTTTTGCTTCATTTCAACTTTGGTGAATCTGACAATTTTGTGTCTTGGAGTTGCTCTTCTCGAGGAGTATCTTTGTGGCATTCTCTGTATTTCCTGAATCTGAATGTTGACCTGCCTTGCTAGATTGGGGAAGTTCTCCTGGATACTATCCTGCAGAGTGTTTTCCAACTTGGTTCCATTCTCCCCGTCACTTTCAGGTACACCGATCAGACATAGATTTGGCCTTTTCACATAGTCCCAAATTTCTTGGAGGCTTTGTTCATTTCTTTTTATTCTTTTTTCTCTGAACTTCTGTTTTTGCTCCATTTCATTCATTTCATCTTCCATGACTGATACCCTTTCTTCTAGTTGATCACATTGGCTACTGAGGCTTGTGTATTCGTCACGTAGTTCTTGTGCCATGGTTTTCAGCTCCATCAGGTCCTTTAAGGACTTCTCTGCATTGGTTATTCTAGTTAGCCATTTGTCTAATTTTTTTTCAAGGTTTTTAACTTCTTTGCCTTGGATTTGAACTTCCTCCTTTAGCTCGGAATTGTTTGATCTTCTGAAGCCTTCTTCTCTCAACTCATCAAAGTCATTCTTTGTCCAGCTTTGTTCCATTGCTGGTGAGGAGCTGCATTCCTTTGGAGGAGGAGAGGCACTCTGCTTTTTAGAGTTTCCAGTTTTTCTGCTTTGTTTTTTCCCCATCTTTGTGGTTTTATCTACCTTTGGTCTTTGATGCTGGTGACGTACAGATGGGTTTTTGGTATGGATGTCCTTTCTGTTTGTTAGTTTTCCTTCAAACAGTCAGGACCCTCAGCTGCAGGTCTGTTGGAGTTTGCTGGAGGTCCACTGCAGACCCTGTTTGCCTCGGTATCAGCAGTGGTGGCTGCAGAACAGCGGATTTTGGTGAGCCACAAATGCTGTTGCCTGATCATTCCTCTAGAAGTTTTGTCTCAGAGTAGTACCCAGCCGTGTGTGGTGCCAGTCCACCCCTACTGGGGGGTGCCTCCCAGTTAGGCTACTTGGGGGTCAGGGACCCCCTTTGAGGAGGCAGTCTGCCCCTTCTCAGATCTCCAGCTGTGTGCTGGGAGAACCACTACTCTCTTCAAAGCTGTCAGACAGGGACATTTAAGTCTGCAGAGGATTCTGCTGCCTATTGTTTGTCTGTGCCCTGCCCCCAGAGGTGGAGCCTACAGAGGCAGGCAGGCCTCCTTGAGCTGTGGTGGGCTCCACCCAGTTCGAGCTTCCCAGCCACTTTGTTTATCTACTCAAGCCTTGGCAATGGCAGGCACCCCTCCCCCAGCCCAGCTGCCACCTTGCAGTTTGATTTCAGACAGCTGTGCTAGCAATGAGGGTGGGCATAGGTCTCTCTGAGCCATGTGCGGCATATAATCTCCTGGTGTGCTTTTTGTTAAGCCCTTTGGAGAAGCACAGTATTAGGGTGGAAGTGACCCAATTTTCCAGGTGCCATCTGTCACCCCATTCTTTGACTAGGACAGGGAATTCCCTGACCCCTTGGACTTCCCAGGTGAGGCGATGCCTCGCCTTGCTTCGGCTCACGCATGGTGCGCTGCACCCTCTGTCTGGCACTCCCCAGTGAGATGAACCCAGTACCTCAGTTGGAAATGCAGAAATCACCTGCTTTCTGCATCGCTCATGCTGGGAGCTGTAGACTGGAGCTGTTCCTATTCGTCCATCTTGGCTCTCTTCCTCAGTGAGCATAATGTTTTCAAGTTTCCTCCATGTGGTAGCATGTATCAAAATTTTATTCTTGTTTATGGCTAAATAATATTCCACTTCATGTGTATATACCACAATTCACATATTTTTATCCATTCATCTGCTGATGGACACTTGAGCTGTTTCTACCTTTTGGCTATTGTGAATAGTGCTTCTATGCACATAGGTAGATAAGTATATGTTTGTGGTCCCTGCATTTAATATTTTGGGGTATAGTGCTAGGAGTAAAATTGTTGGATCATATGGTGATTCTATATTTAACTTTTTGAGGAGCTCCAAAAATGTTTTTCAGAGCATCTGCACCATTTTACACTTCCACCAGCAATGGAAGGGGGTTCCATTTTCTCCACATCCTTGTCATCACTTTTTTTTTCAGGTTTGTGTGTGTGTGTGTGTGTGTTTTTTTCTTTTGATGGTGTCTCCCTCTGTTTCGCAGGCTGTAGTGCAGTGGTAACCTCTGCCTCCTGGGTTCAAGAGATTCTCCTGCCTCAGCTGCCCAAGTAGCTGGGATTACACACTTGCACCACCAAGCCTGGCTAATTTTTGTATTTTTAGTAGAGATGGGGTTTCACCATGTTGGCCAGACTGGTCTTGAACTCCTGACCTCAAGTGATCTGCCTGCCTCAGCTTCCCAAAGTGCTGGGATTACAGCCATGCACCGCTGCACCCAGCTTGTGTGTTTGTTTTTTAATAATAGTCCTCCTAATGGGTGTGAAGTGGTATTTCATTGTGGTTTTGGTTTGCATTTCCTTAGTGACTAACAATATTGAACATTTGTTTTTGTGCTTATCAGTCATTTGTATATCTTCTTAGGAGAATTGTCTATTCAAGTCCTTTGTCCATTTTTTCATTGGCTTGTTTGATTTTTTATTGTGGATTCATAAAGATTCTTTATATATTATGGATATTAATCCCTTATCAGATATATGGTTTGCATATATTATCTCTCATTCTATGGTTTTTCTTTTCACTTTCTTGATAGCGCTCTTTGAAGCACAACAGATTTTAATTTTGATAAAGTCCAATTTATTCTTTCATTACCTGTGCCTTTGGTGCCATTCCTAAGAAATAATTGACAAATACAATCATAAAAAGTTTCCCTTATATTTTCTTCTAAGTATGTTCTAGTTTTAGCTGAAGCATTATCTCCAATAGTAAAAAAAAAAAAAAAAAAAAAAAAAACAAACAAACAAACAAAAAAAAAACAGTAAAAACCTAAATGGCCACCAACTGAGTCCTGGAAAATAGTTAAAATATTTAAAAGTGATGCGTAATGTAAAGTATTTGGTAACATTTTGTACTTTTTCTGGGTAGAAATCATTATTGACTCGGTAGAATAAGGTAAACATCCTCAGGCAACATTGATAATAAGTAATTATAATAAAATAATTAAATATGATTAAATGTTTATATGAGATGAGCACAAATCTAAGCACTTTTCATTATCTCCTTTAATCCTCACATGAGTCTAAAAGGGGAGGTGTAGTGTCATTATAACCATTTTACAGTTGAAAAAACTGAGGCATATCCATGTTCAATACCTTGGCAAAGATTACACAGCTGAGAAGTGTTAGGTCAAGATATGAATCCAACCAATCTGGGTTTCAGAGCCCACATTCCAATAAAACATTATTCTGTATTGTCTCACATGTGGGTCAGAAAACTACTTGGGAATGCAGGCATGATGAGGTAGAAAAGACTAATTTTTGCTTTCTTGCAACTAGAAGAAACAGGGCAGAACTGAGAGGAGAAGGCAAAGGAAACTTGCCTGATATCATGTGAAGAAAGATTTAAGTTGAGGGTAAGAGGAGACAGATTGAGTTGCCACAGGCATGCTATTTCTCCCACTGACCAGGCCTCAATAAACCACGTATTCAAATTAATTGATGCTACCTATACTAGATCACCCACGGACACCACATGATGGTCCAGAGCTCAGGACTACAAAGTTAATTAATCCCTAATGGCTTTGGAGAAGTAACATAGGTTACTAAGTTACTGTGGCAACCTGAAACTGTGACTGTTTTCCCTACTCCTTTGCATTCTCATGCCTCACTCACCACTTGCTGAACAAATCAAGAGAATTGATTCCTCTGTGCCTTTACTTAGGCTGTGCATTCTCCCTGGAATGCTTGTCACTAGCCCTAACGTTTTGTATAGTTGGAAAACACATACTAAAAAATTCCCTAAAAAATCCCATTCACATGCCATCGGCCATGATAGCTTATAAATTAATGAGTTCCTTCATTGTTCTCTAACACTTGTTATTTCATCATATGTCTGTATACCGTTCCTACCCTTCATTAGACCATCTGCACTTTGAGAGAACATACTGTGCTGTGTCTGACTCATCTCTGTAACCCTCGTACATAGCATAGTGCCAAGAGGGGAAAGGCAAGAGCAAATATTAAATTTTCATCACCATCATGGTTGTGGTATCTCCACCCCAAAGGCCCAATCTGAACTTATCTAGTCATGGGGCTGAGGTAAACCATCTATAGGTGCACAGCTTCATGAAAGCATGACCTTCAGAACCAGGTAGATGTGGGTTTAAATCCCAACTTTACCACTTACTGACTATGTGACCTTGGATACGTCATATTACCCCTCTGAGCTTCAGTTTCCTCATCTATAAAAGAGAAATAATAATTGCCTTTCCCTCATAAGTTTGTATAAGGATTAAATATAATCATGCATGTACAGCACAGAGTATTTAATAGACACTTAAATAGTAGCTCTTATTAATAGGGGAGTGTACCTGTGGGTACAAGTGGAGACCTGTGTCTGCTTAGGCCCAGCTATTTGTCTATTATCACTCATTTTCTCAGCAACTCCACAGCAGAAATGTTGTATCAAGCCGTCCCAGGGGCCTTGAACAGGCCCACAGATGACAAAGGAGCCAGAGTATAAATTTCTGCTATGGACGCAAGAAAAACCCCTGTGGAGTTAGTAGCCCATTGCTTAGGAGAAGAACTTGGTCCCCAATTCCTGAGAGGACTCCAGTAAAACTGTTACATCTGTCATCATCTAAAAAAATCTTAGCGTGGAGATGTGAGTCTGAGGGACCAAAGTGAACCTAAGATGGAAAAGATGACTCTTTCCTTCCCCCATAGCCTGGCTTCTGGCCTTAGCTCTATCACAAACTGGACAAGTTACCTCCCTTCTTTTGACCTGTTTCCCCAGCTGTGCAACAGTGCTATTGGATAAAATGTTCCATCCAGGCCTTTCAGCTCTGACACTTGAATTCCTGTTTTTCCTCCTTTCCTACATGGCTCTCTGCCCTTGGCTAATTCTAATGTCTCAAGAGCCAAGGTGGAATCTACTGACTGAAAGGATAGAAAAGATATACTCTCTACAACAGGAGGTGGCCGCATCCCAAAGTAGAGCAGCAAGACCCTGGCGTTTGACATTCTAAGTTATGGCATGTGTGCCCATACTTGCATGCCCAGAGTGATGGGGCATGCTGTCTCCTAAGTGAAGAGGGCAGACAGAAGAACACAAAGAGAGGAGACCCTCCCAAGGGTGCTGGTGTTTTTAGCAACCACCACGTGACTGACAAGTAGCCAAGCCTGGGCTAGGATTTTGGTCTATCCAACTCAGTCCACACCATCCCATGAAAGAAAAGGAGAAACTAAGGGAGACAGGGACCCTGGCCTCCAGAAGTGCCGCTCTCCCTCTGCTTGCATCTGATATCCAGAGGCTGACTGATGTGAAAAGCCATCCCATTAACTCACAAAGATTTAGGCAAAAGCCTCAGGTCCTGTGGGCTAGAAGAAACTTGTCAAAGGAGTAAATGCAATTAACATTTGTTGAATCTTTGCAGTTGTCATGTAAGCACATGGTAACCTTAGAGTAACCCAAGAAAAGTAGGGTGGAAAATGCTTGCCCAGATGTAAAAATGCAGTGAGGATTTATATTTCAGAAGCTATGAATATTTTTATTTTCTCAAGAGATCTCTGTCAAGAAAACAGATGTCTAAGAGTGACTCCTCTTCTGGCAGAGACAGGAACTAGAACTAAGTGTTGATATAGAACAAAATAGTAGGAATGGGCTATAGTGGATCCAGCTAAGTGTCAAGAAGGGAGGTAAGTGGCCATTATACAGGCCAGTAAAAAGAAAGAGGGGAGCTACATTTCAGAAGTAAAGTGGCAGAAAGAGAGTTAAGTGGTAGTGAAAGGTATTAAGAGAGAAGATGGGGCATAGAAAGTATATAAGGGTTTAGAGAGAAGTTGGAAGCTTCAAGAAGGAAGCGAGCCACAGCTAAAAGATAGGGAACTGGCAGAGAACCAGCGGATAAGTGAGGAAAGGAAAGAGTTTGAGGGTTATAGAAGAGGGCCAGAAGGAGGTTGCTGGGGCCAGCAGAAAAGGATTCCACCTACAAAACTAATGCTTCCGCAATGGGAAGAAAACAAGCAAATGTAGATACAGAGGGAAGAGTGTCTTAGAAGGTAGTCAAAATAAATAAGGGGTTGGGAACTCAATGATTGGATAGGGGCTTAGAGTGAGGGAGTTTCTAAGAGAGGTGACCAGGGCTGTATGAAGGGTAAGAAGTACTGTCATGAGATGATGTTAACTGAGGGATAAAGCTAATTAAGCCATGAAGACATGTGAGGGGTAGGGATAGGAAATAAAGAAAAGAGAGGGGGTCGTAGTGAGCAAATGTGAGTAATCCAGGGGATTAGGATGAGTGATAGAATGATCATCGATCATTATGCATATGGGGGCTAAGAGAAGGGACAGGACCTTCAGGATGAGGTGCAGTTGACTGTGGAAAAGGTAGCTCAAAGAGAAAAAGAGGGCTCAGGAGAAGGGGATTTAGTAAGGAAAAATGAATTACAAAAGAAGGAAGATTCACTAGGGAAATGGGAGCTCTGTGAGTGACTACGGTTAAGTGAGAAGGGGCCTCAAAGAGAGATGAGGCTTCAACAATCATCAGTAAGGAGAAGGGAATTCACTAGGAAAGGAGTTCAGTGACAGAGTATGGGTTCTGTAAATTTGAAAGTATATGAGAGATGGAACTGCAGTTTGGACTGGATGTTGAAGACCCATTTCTCTCTGATCCTCTTTGTTAAGACGACTATAAACCCTGGAAATAATACAGGAAGCAACCAGAGGTTAACTATGAAAGGTAGTAAGAGAAAAGCAGTCTGGTTAGGGACATCAGGACTAAAGGAGTAACACAGAAGCCTGGCATCGTATGACTCCCTCCCATCCAACAGAGGAAGGCAGCCCAAACCCAACATTTCACAACCTCTATTCTAGCAACTGAAGGCAGCCTAGGTAGATTCATCCCTCCCCTGATTGAAGGGAAGTTCCACCAAAAAGGTAAACTAACAGAATGAACAAGGAGGATACATTGAGATCCCCACTGACAATAAGCAGTCAGATCAAGCACTCCTTTGCTGGAGCTGACACTACCTACTGCCCCAAGAGATATAGGGGCAGGCAGGCAGAACCACAAAACCAACAAAAGAGACTCAGCTACAGTAAGCAGCCTATTCATGAAGTCTCTATGTACCCACATGTCTGAGAGTGTCCTTCCCCTCCTAGACAAACCAGGACAGCTGGGAATCACCAGGGAAGAGATCTAGTCACATGCACTGAGCTAGAGAAGCTTCTTTGTTTCCATGGGCCTCAGAATCCAGTCCCCACCAGTTATACTGGGCTGCCAAGGGACACGAGCAAGGGGGATCCACCAGAACAAGAAGCCCAATCCAGAAAGCTTCTTTGTCCCAATAGCACTAGATAATTTAAGGAAACCATAAGAGCACCACAAAAGGCTCTAAAAATTAAATCGTCATTGGAATGGCAGCTCACAAAAATAGGTAAGGACCTGTGTGCTAGAGCCAAACATGGTGACAGCCTATTAAAAGAAAATATGTAAGAAAATATTTAAATAAGATCCAGAATTGTCACACATGATAGCCGATATGTCCAGGATACACTGAAAATCACCCATCATACCAAGATCCAAGAAAATACAATCTAAATTAGAAATGACAACCAACAGATGCCAATGCCAAGATGAGTAAGATGTTGGAATTATCCAGCAATGGTTTTAATGCAACTGCCATTATAATGTTTCAAAAAACAATTACAAATTTTCTTGAATTTATATTTTTAATTTTTATCTTTTTAATATATAAAGTTGTAAGAAAAGAAATAGAAGTTGTAAATAACAAATGAAAATTATAGACTAAAAATGTACATTAGCTGAACTAAAAAAATGCTGGATGGGCTTAGTAGTAGAGAGATGACAGAGGACAGAATTAGTGAACATGGAGACTGACTAACACAATTTATGCAATCTAGACAGAAGTGAGAAAATAGAATTGAAAAAATGAACAGAGACTCAGGATCCTGTGGGACTATAACAAAAGATTCTCACGTCCATATCATCAGATTGGCAGAAGGAGATGAAAAAGAAAGTAGAGCTGAAAGTGTATTGGAAGCAATAATGGCTAAAAATTTCCCAAATGTGGGAAGAGACAAACCTACAGATTCAAAAACGTGCATGAACTTCAAACAGAATATATCCAAAGAAATCCATGGCAAGAAACATTATAATTAAACTTATGAACACTAAAGACAAAGAAAAGTAGATGAGTAAAGAGATTGAATTAGTAGTAAACAATACCCACAAAGAAATGCCCGAGCATAGATTACTTCACTGGTAAATTTTATCAAGTATTTAAAAAAGAATTATTAACAATACTTCATAAATTATTCCAAAATATAGAAGAGAACACACTTTCCAACTCCTTCTATGATGCCAGTATTAACTACCCTCAAACCAAAACCAGACAGAGAATAAAGAAAGAGGAATGGGGAGGGAGGGAGAAATGGAGGAAAGAAAGGAAGAAAGAAAAGTAAACTACAAACTTACATCGCTAATGAACATAGAATCACAAACTCCCAAAATATTAGCAACTGAAAACCAGAAATGTATAAAAATTCATATATTATGAGCAAATCAAATGTATTGCTGGAAACAGAATGGTTCAATATCAATCAATGTAATTCCCCAAATCAGGAAGCTAAACAAGAAAAATCATATGATCATAACAATTTATGCAGAAAAAATATTTGACAAAAATCAAACAAGAATTCATGATAAAAACCTGTCAACACAAGCAAGGAATACAGGATAATTACTTTAACTTGATAAAGAACATCCACAAAATCCCTACGTTAACATCATATGTAATAGTGAAAGACTAATATGTTTCCTCTAAGATGGAGAGCAAGACAAGTATGTCTACTCTTACCACTACTATTCAACATAGTACTGGCAGTTCCAGCCACTGCAGTAAGGAAAAGAAAAGAAATAAAAGACATGTGAATTGGAAAATAAGAGATAAAAATATCCTTGTTTAAAATAAGCTAATTAAGACAAGAAATATAAATAAAAAGCATACAGATAGGAGAGGAAGAAATAAAACTGTCTTTGTTAAACAGAAGACATCATCATTCACATAGAAATCTAAAATCATAAAAAAATTTTCCTGGAACTAATAAGTGATTATAGCAGGGTTGCAGGATTCAAGATTAGTACACAAAAGTCAACTTCTTTTTTTTTTATCTTTTTTCTTCTTTTTTAATTTTATTATTATTATACTTTAAGTTTTAGGGTATATGTGCATAATGTGCAGGTTAGTTACATATGTATACATGTGCCATGCTGGTGTGCTGCACCCATTAACTCGTCATTGAGCATTAGGTATATCTCCTAATGCTATCCCTCCCCCCTCCCCCCACCCCACAACAGTCCCCAGAGTGTGATGTTCCCCTTCCTGTGTCCATGTGTTCTCATTGTTCAATTCCCACCTATGAGTGAGAACATGTGGTGTTTGGTTTTTTGTTCTTACGATAGTTTACTGAGAATGATGATTTCCAATTTCATCCATGTCCCTACAAAGGACATGAAGTCATCATTTTTTATGGCTGCATAGTATTCCATGGTGCATAGGTGTCACATTTTCTTAATCCAGTCTATCATTGTTGGACATTTGGGTTGGTTCCAAGTCTTTGCTATTGTGAATAGTGCCACAATAAACATACGTGTGCATGTGTCTTTATAGCAGCATGATTTATAATCCCTTGGGTATACACCCAGTAATGGGATGGGCCAAATGGTATTTCTAGTTCTAGATCCCTGAGGAATCGCCACACTGACTTCCACAACGGTTGAACTAGTTTACAGTCCCACCAACAGTGTAAAAGTGTTCCTATTTCTTCACATCCTCTCCAGCACCTGTTGTTTCCTGACTTTTTAATGACTGCCATTCTAACTGGTGTGAGATGGTATCTCATTGTGGTTTTGATTTGCATTTCCCTGATGGCTAGTTATGATGAGCATTTTTTCATGTGTCTTTTGGCTGCATAAATGTCTTCTTTTGAGAAGTGTCTGTTCATATCCTTTGCCCACTTTTTGATGGGGTTGTTTGTTTTTTTCTTGTAAATTTGTTTGAGTTCATTATAGATTCTGGATATTAGCCCTTTGTCAGATGAGTAGGTTGCAAAAATTTTCTCCCATTTTGTAGGTTACCTGTTCACTCTGATGGTAGTTTCTTTTGCTGTGCAGAAGCTCTTTAGTTTAATTAGATCCCATTTGTCCATTTTGGCTTTTGTTGCCATTGCTTTTGGTGTTTCAGACATGAAGTCCTTGCACATGCCTATGTCCTGAATGGTAATGCCTAGGTTTTCTTCTAGGCTTTTATGGTTTTAGGTCTAACTTTTAAGTCTTTAATCCATCTTGAATTAATTTTTGGATAAAGTTGTCCCTGTTTGCAGATGACATGATTGTATATCTAGAAAACCTCATCGTCTCAGCCCAAAATCTCCTTAAGCTGATAAGCAACTTCAGCAAGGACTCAGGATACAAAATAAATGTACAAAAATCACAAGCATTCTTATACAGCAATAACAGACAAGCAGAGAGCCAAATCATGAGTGAACTCCCGTTCATAATTGCTTCAAAGATAATAAAATACCTAGGAATCCAACTTACAAGGGACGTGAAGGACCTCTTTAAGGAGAACTACAAACCACTGTTCAATGAAATAAAAGAGGATACAAACAAATGGAAGAACATTTCATGCTCATGGGTAGGAAGAATCAATATCGTGAAAATGGCCATACTGCCCAAAGTAATTTATAGATTCAATGCCATCCCCATCAAGCTACCAATGACTTTCTTCACAGAATTGGAAAAAACTATTTTAAAGTTCATATGGAACCAAAAAAGTCAACTTCTTTCTTACATATCATCAATAAATTTGTGTAATTTGAAATTCAAAATACAATGCCATTTACATTAGCACCACCCCAAATGCAACACTTAGGTATAAATCCAACAGAATATTTACAATATTTGTAAGAGAAAAAACACAAAACTCTGATGAAAAATAAAATAACTAAATAAATGGAGACATATTTCATGCTTATAAATACGAATACTCAATATTGTCAAGATGTCAGTTCTTCCCAACTTGATCTACAGATTCAACACAATCCCAATAAAAATCCCAGCAAGTTGTTTTGTGGATATCAACAATGTGATTCTAAAATTTATATGAAAAAGCAAAAGACTGGGAATAGTCAATTCAATATTGAAAGAGAAGAACAAAATCAGAGGACTGACACTATCATACTTTAAGCCATACTATAAGGCTACAGTAGTGAAAACATTGTGGTACTGAAAACGAAACAAAACAAAACAAAAAAACAGAGTAATGGAACAGAATAGAAGGTGCAGAAATAGACAAACATAAATATAGTCAACTGAATTTTGACAAGGGAGCAAAAGCAATAGAATAGAGAAAAGATAATCTTTTCAAAAAGTCGTGCTGGAACAACTAGACATCAACATGACAAAAAATGAATCTACACACAAACCTCAGGTCTTTAACAATTAACTCAAAATGGATGAACTTAAAACAGATCTAAATGTAAAACATAACATGATACAAATCCTAGAAGACAACATAGAAGAAAAATCTAGATCATCGTGGGTTTGGCAATTTTTTTTTTTTTTGACAGAGTCTCACTCTGTCGCCCAGGCTGGAGTGCAGTGCTGCGATCTCAGCTCACTGCAAGCTCTGCCTTCTGGGTTCACGCCATTCTTCTGCCTCAGCCTCCCAAGTAGCTGGGACTACAGGCGCCTGCCACCACGCCCAGCTAATTTTTTTCGTATTTTTTTAGTAGAGACGGGGTTTCACCATGTTAGCCAGGATGGTCTCGATCTCCTGACCTCGTGATCCGCCTGCCTTGGCCTCCCAAAGTGCTGGGATAGCAAGCGTGAGCCACCACGCCCGGCCCGCGATTACTTTTTAGTTGCAATACTAAGGACACAATCCATGAAAGAAAAACGTGATAATCTGGGCTTCATTAAAATTAAAATTTCCTATTCTGCAAATGACACTGCCAAGAGTATAAAAAGAAGGCAAAAGACTGAGAGAAAATATTTGCAAAAGGTATTACATAAAAGACTGTTATCAAACATATGCAAATAACTCTTAAAACTCAATAAGAATGCAAACAATCAAATTTAAAAATGGCCTAAAAATCTTAACAGACACTTCATTAAAAAAGACATAGAAGGTTCCTGACTTATGATAGTTAAATCTATTATTTTTCTACTTTATGAGGGTGTGCAAGTGATATATATTCAGTAGACACTGTACTTTGAGTACTTATACAACAAATTTGTTTTTCACTTTCAGTACAGTATTCAACAAATTGCATCAGATATTCAACATTTTATTATAAATTAGGCTTTGTGTTAGATGTGTTAGATGATTTTATCCAATTGAAGGCTAATGTAAGTGTTCTGAGTATATTTAATGTAGGACAGGCTAAGCTATGATATTTAGTAGGTTAGGTGTGTTAAATGCATTTTCTATTTATGATAGTTTTAACTTATAAATGGTTTATCAGGACATAACCCCATTGTAAGTCAAGGAGCATCTGTGCAGATGAAAAACAAACATGTAAAAAGATGCTTCACATTATATGTCATAAGGGAAATGTTAGTTAAAACAACAATGAAGTACCATAGCACATCTGTTGGAATGGCCAAAATTCAAATGCTGAAAACACCAAATGCTGGTGAACAGGTAAAACAGCAGAAATTGCTGGTTGGAATGCAAAATGGTGCAGCCATTTTGGAAGACAGTTTGGTGGTGTCTTACAAAACTAGACTCTTACCATATGATCTAGCAATCGGAATCCTTGGTTTTTGCCCAAAAGAGTTGAAAACTTATGTCCACATAAAAACCTGTACATAAATGTTTACTTCAGCTTTATTTATAATTGTCAAAGCACAGAAGCAGCCAAGAGGTCCTTCAATAGGTGAATGGATAAACAACCTGTGATACACTCATGCAATGGAATTTTATTCAGTGATAAAAAGAAGTGAGTTATTAAGCCATGAAAACCCGTGCAGGAAACATAAATGCATATTAGTAAGTAAAATCCAAAATTAAAAGGCTGCATATGCTATGATTCCAACCATATGACATTCTGGAAAAGGCCAATCTATGAAGACAGTAAAAAAAAAAAAATATCAGTAGTTGCCAGGGGTTAGTGGGGAGGGAGCCATGAATAGGCAGGGCACAGAGAATTTTTACAGCAATTAAAATAATTGGTGACACTACAATGGTAGATACCTGCCATTAAATATTTGTCCAAACTTATAGAATACACAACACCAAGAGTGAACCCTAATGTAAACTACAGACTTTGGGTGATAAGGATGTATCAATGTGGGTTAATCAATTTTAACAAATGTACCACCCTGGGGGAGTTGTATACGCATGGTGGTGAGAGGCAAGGAATATATGAGAAAGCTCTACCTTCTGCTCAATTTTATTGTGAACCTAAAACTGTTATAAAAATAAAACCTATTAAAAATGTCTATAGGGGAGGGGCTTCAAGATGACTGACTAGAGGCATCTGGTATTTACCTCCTCCACAAAGAAGAACCAAAATAGCAAGTAGATAATCATACTTTGAATAGATCATCTAAAAGGAAACACTGGAATTTTCGGGAGAAGTGACAGGAAGCATCTAAGGCAAGGGAGGAGAGGGAAGTGAGTGAGGCAGCCTTCTCATCCAGGATTGGCTGGGAGCCCAGAGAGGCTTCCCAATGCAAAGAAAAGGTGAATGAGACATCTCCAGCAATCCACATTCCCACTGAAGACTCCTGCAATCCTAGCCACAGGAGAGTCCCTCGACCCTCGTGGGCCCTGAGACTAACACAGGGAGATGCATGGAGATCATATGACAACATTGCTCCAGAGACAGATAGCTCATGCTGAGTCCCACACCCCACAAGTCCTAAACATTTACACCATAGAGCCATTTTGAGAGCCCAACATCCCACCAGACTGCATCCTGTTCTGGGGCCCAACAGCTCTCACACCTCCACATCCCTGGATCCCCATTAATTTCCACCATCCACAGCCACTGACACTGCTGGCTGCTGCCACCAAGGTAGGAGCCATTGGCAGTGACCATGCCATCCCCAGCAGCACGGCTGCTGCACATTTTCACATGCCCTGAGTACAGACTTTCCTAGCCTGTAACCAACAACACTGCTGGCTGCTGACACCAGGGCAGAAGGGTGAGCCACTGCTGGCAATCCTACCATCCCCAGCAGGACCTCTGTGCATTTACAATCACCCCAGGGATAGGCTACCCCAGGTACGGATGCCACCTGAAACCAAAGTATGTGCTCCCCAGCCACCTACCAATGGCTGCTGCCACTGAAAGAAACCTGACCCTTCTCAGCAGAAGGGCTACAACAAAGCCATTGCTGCCCCTACCTGAGCATTCTGCTGGAGGCCTAGGTATTATTCTTCCCTTGCTTACCATAGCCAGTGCCTACATGCACTGAGAAGGAGGCTGAGGGCACATCCACCTGTACTGGCTTTGTCCTCGGTGCCCAAGTACACCATTTGGGGACTTAGAGAATACCTTGCTCCATCACCACCATTAGTACCTGAGCATTCCTACCAGGGGCCTGAGGACAGGTTCATCCAACCTGCCACCATGACCACAGTTGGCACCCACTTACATGTGTCACCTGTGAGCCTGGGGATTGGCATGCACAGCCAACTGCAGCCACTGCCGACACCAGTGTGAACTACTTAAGAGTGAGCGAGTTGTGTACCATGGTTACTGCCATTGTCCAGACCACACCCACTGCCAAGGGGCCAAGAATGTGCCCACCAGTCCATGCCACCACTGCCACTGCTGGCACCTGAGGACCAAGAATCAGCCTGCCTGGACACACTTCCACCAGTGGAAGGATATGCCATCATGGAGCCCCAAAACAGGCATGCTCAGCCTACAACTGCCACCACTGGGGCCAGAGAACTGGCCCAGCTGGTGTCCCTGTGTCCAACAAGACATCAGCAAAGCCTTCATTAAGAACTGCACCCCAAGCTACTGAGGAAATCACAGACATCACTAACATTGTTTACAGTCAAATAAATTATACAAATGGAATACTGTGTGCACCCAGGATCAAAGCCAAAGTGCCCTGCTCAACCAATACCATAGATGTATCTTCAGGGAAAAGTCCTCCCTTGCAAAAATAAAGCAAAAAAAAAAAAAAAAAAATTAAAAGAAATGACTGTTACACCAGATGCACAGATATCAAGGTAAGTACCTAAGAAATATAAAAAAGAAAGAAAATATAACATCTCCAAAAGAACACAGTAATCAAAAATTTAATACAACATGATCAAGTGGAATTTATCCCAGGGATGCAAGGATGAGATGTAAGCAAATCAAAAAACATGATCCACCACATCAACAGAAAGAATGATAGAAACCATGTAGTCATCCTGTAGATACAGGAAAATCATTTGAAAAAGTTCAAATCCCTTTATGAAAAAGACTACGCATAGAAGGAACATACCTCAACATAATAAAGGCCATAAATTACAAACCCACAGCCAACATCACACTAAATGGAGAAAAGCTGAAAGCCTTTTCCACTAACAACTGGAAAAAGAAAACAATGCCCATTTTTACAACTCATTCAATATAATACTGGAAGTCCTGAATGGTAATGCCTAGGTTTTCTTCTAGGGTTTTTATGGTTTTAGGTCTAACGTTTAAGTCTTTAATCCATCTTGAATTAATTTTTGTATAAGGTGTAAGGAAGGGATCCAGTGTCAGCTTTCTACATACGGCTAGCCAGTTTTCCCAGCACCATTTATTAAATAGGGAATCCTTTCCCCATTACTTGTTTTTGTCAGGGTTGTCAAAGATCAGATAGTTGTAGATATGTGGCATTATTTCTGAGGGCTCTGTTCTGTTCCATTGATCTATATCTCTGTTCTGGTACCAGTACCATGCTGTTTTGGTTACTGTAGCCTTGCAGTATAGTTTGAAGTCAGGTAGTGTGATGCTTCCAGCTTTGTTCTTTTGGCTTAGGATTGACTTGGCAATGCGGGCTCTTTTTTGGTTCCATATGAACTTTAAAAGTAGTTTTTTCCAATTCTGTGGAGAAAGTCATTTGTAGCTTGATGGGGATGGCATTGAATCTATAAATTACCTTGGGTAGTATGACCATTTTCATGATATTGATTCTTCCTACCCATGAGCATGGAATGTTCTTCCATTTGTTTGTATCCTCTTTGATTTCATTGAGCAGTGGTTTGTAGTTCTTCTTGAAGAGGTCCTTCACATCCCTTGTAAGTTGGATTCCTAGGTATTTTATTCTCTTTGAAGCAATTGTGAATGGGAGTTCACTCATGATTTGCCTCTCTGTTTGTCTGTTATTGCTGTATAAGAATGCTTGTGATTTTTGTACATTGATTTTGTATCCTGAGACTTTGCTGAAGTTGCTTATCAGTTTAAGGAGATTTTGGGCTGAGACAATGAGGTTTTTTAGATATACAATCATGTCATCTGCAAACAGGGACAATTTGACTTTCTCTTTTCCTAATTGAATACCCTTTATTTCCTTCTCCTGCCTAATTGCCCTGGCCAGAACTTCCAACACCATGTTGAATAAGAGTGGTGAGAGAGGGCATCCCTGTCTTGTGCCAGTATTCAAAGGGAATGCTTCCAGTTTTTTCCCATTCAGTATGATATTGGCTGTGGGTTTGTCATAGATAGCTCTTATTATTTTGAGATACATCCCATCAATACCTAATTTATTGAGAGTTTTTAGTATGAAGAGTTGTTGAATTTGGTCAAAGGCCTTTTCTGCATCTATTGAGATAATCATGTGTTTTTTGTCTTTGGTTCTGTTTATATGCTGGATTACATTTATTGATTTGTGTATATTGAACCAGCCTTGCATCCCAGGGATGAAGCACACTTGATCATGGTGGGTAAGCTTTTTGATGTGCTGCTGGATTTGGTTTACAAGTATTTTATTGAGGATTTTTGCATCACTGGGCAAGGACTTCATGTCTAAAACACCAAAAGCAATGGCAACAAAAGCCAAAATTGACAAATGGGATCTAATTAAACTAAAAAGCTTCTGCACAGCAAAAGAAACTACCATCAGAGTGAACAGGCAACCTACAAGATGGGAGAAAATTTTTGCAACCTACTCATCTGACAAAGGGCTAATATCCAGAATCTACAATGAACTCAAACAAATTTACATGAAAAAAAACAAACAACCCCATCAAAAAGTGGGTGAAGGATATGAACAGACACTCCTCAAAAGAAGACATTTATGCAGCCAAAAAACACATGAAAAAATGCTCACCATCACTGGCCATCAGAGAAATGCAAATCAAAACCACAATGAGATACCATCTCACACCAGTTAGAATGGCAGTTATTAAAAAGGCAGGAAACAACAGGTGCTGGAGAGGATGTGAAGAAATAGGAACACTTTTACACTGTTGGTGGGACTGTCAACTAGTTCAACCGTTGTGGAAGTCAGTGTGGCGATTCCTCAGGGATCTAGAACTAGAAATACCATTTGACCCAGCCATCCCATTACTGGGTGTATACCCAAGGGATTATAAATCATGCTGCTATAAAGACACATGCACACGTATGTTTATTGTGGCACTATTCACAATAGCAAAGACTTGGAACCAACCCAAATGTCCAACAATGATAGACTGGATTAAGAAAATATGGCACATATACAACATGGAATACTATGCAGCCATAAAAAATGATGAGTTCATGTCCTTTGTAGGGACATGGATGAAATTGGAAATCATCATTCTCAGTAAACTAGCGCAAGAACAAAAAACCAAACACCGCATGTTCTCACTCATAGGTGGGAACTGAACAATGAGAACACATGGACACAGGAAGGGGAACATCACACTCTGGGTACTGTTGTGGGGTGGGGGGAGGGGGGAGGGATAGCATTAGGAGATATACCTAATGCTCAATGACGAGTTAATGGGTGAAGCACACCAGCATGGCACATGTATACATATGTAACTAACCTGCACATTATGCACATGTACCCTAAAACTTAAAGTATAATTAAAAAAAAAAAAAGAAAATAATACTGGAAGTCCTATTCAGAGCAATCAGGAAAATAAATAAATAAAAGGCATTCAAATAAGAAAAGCAGAAGTCAAACTGTCCCTCTTTGCAGATAACATGATCTTTTATCTAGAAAATCCTAAATACTCCACTAGAAAACTCTTAAATCAGATAAATAAGTTCAGAAAGGTTTCAGGATAAAAAATTAATTTACAAAAATCAGTAGCATTTCTATACACCAGTAATGAACTAGCTTAAAATGAAACCGAGAAGACAATCCCATTTACAATAACTACAAGAAAAATATCAAGGAATAAATTTAACCAAGGAAGTGGAAGACATCTACAAGGAAAACTACAAAACAGTGGTGAATTAAATTGAAAAGAACACACAAAAAAATGGAAACCATGCTCACGAATTAAAAAAAAAAAAAAAAAAAAAAAGGCTGGGCTCAGTGGCTCACGCCTGTAATCCCATCCCTTTGGGAGGCCAAGGTAGGTGGATCATTAGGTCAAGAGATTGAGACCATCCTGGCCAACATGGTGAAACCCCATCTCTACTAAAAATACAAAAAATTAGCTGCATTTGGTGGCACATGCCTGTAGTCCCAGCTACTCAGGAGGCTGAGGCAGAAGAATCTCTTAAATCCAGGAGGTGGAGGTTGCAGTAAGCCGAGATTGCACCACTGCACTCCAGCCTGGTGATAGAGCAAGGCTCCGTCTCAAAAAAAAAAAAAAAAAAAAAAAAAATGTTGTCTAAATGACCATACTACACAAAGCTATCTTCAAATTCAATTTAACCCCTATCAAAATACCAATGTGACTTTTCACAGAAAGAGATGAAACAATCACAAAATTCATATGAAAACAAGAAATAACTTCAATAAAAAAGAAATCCTAAGCAAAGAGCAAAAAGTTGAAGGAATCACACCACCTGATTAAAAATATATTACACGGCAATAGTAATCAAATAGCATTAGTATAAAAACAGACACATAGACCAACAGATCAGAATAAAGAACCCAGAAATAAATTCACGCATTTACAGCCAACTGATTTTTTCAAAGGTGCAAAGAATATATACTGGGGAAAGGACATTCTTTTCAGCAAATAGTTCAGGAAAAATGTGAAATCCATATGCAGAATTATGATACTGGATCCCTATCCCTTGCCATATACAAAAATTACCCCAAGATAAATTAAAGACTTAAATATAAGACCTAAAACTGTAAAACTACTGACAGTACATAGAGGAACCACTCCAGGACATTGGTCTAGGAAAATATTTTCTGGGTAAGACATCAAAAGCACAGACAACAAAAATAGAAATAGTCAAATGGAACTATGTTAAACTACAAACTTTTGCACAGCAAAGGATACAGTCAACAGAGTGAATAGACAAACTCTGGAATAGAAGAAAACATTTGCAAACTATTCATTTAATAAGGGAGTAAATATTCACAGTATACAAGCAACTGGGGAAGAGGAGCCAAGATGTTCAACTTGATGCAGCCAGGAAGAGCATCTCCCACTGAGACCAGACCATCAAGAAGACTGGAACACTCTGAGCAGATATTTGGAAGGAAGGCCTTGACAGTAGTTGCAGCTAGGACACAGACCCTGGGATTAAAGAGGAGGAAGCTGGGAACCCTGCACAGGGCTGCCAAGCACCAAGACTTGTTCCTTGCCCCCAGAGATTCTTCAGGAAGGAGTGAATTAACTAGGCAAAGGGTGGCCTACTCTCACCATGGACCCCTTGAGTCCTAGCTGCAGGAGACTCCATGACCCTCACATATATTTGAGTTGATGGGAGAGCTACTTGGAGAGGTGACAGGGACAGCAGTCTAGCCTGTGGGGATCTCCTAGAATTTGGCATGGAAATGGCTGCAAGGGAACAGAAACAGGGAATGCCCATCCTGTAAGGCTCACCATGCTCCTCTAGGTGGATGTGGCCTTTGTTGACTGTCAGACCTGCACAGAGCAGGGCAGTCTTGCCCGTGGGACAGGGCCAGTCTCATCTGAGCACTGCCCTGTCTGCTGGGCACTCTTGGGGACTCTGTCTGGCTGTGCCCACTTGCAGTGCAGCCTCAAATGACAACTCATGCTCCTTTGGTGACAGACCACACCTGACCATCGGGGGCTACAGCAGGAGGGCACTCCTCTTTTGATGTGCTCGCACCCACTCACAGGCTCGTCCCACCACACACTGCCCCCAGTGCTTTTCCTGGGTAAACTCACCCACAGGGCTCCTCCATGGCATTGCCAACACACACTTGCCCACAGCCACCCAGTTGCTCTGCAAAAGCACGCGTACAGGAGGATCTCACTGCCTTGCACCTGATGGCACTTGTGTGCAGACATTGCCACCACACCCCTTCTGGTATGCACAAGCTGCTGCCCTGCCCCTGCTGACAGGTGCAGCATACTGTAGCCACTGTCACATACACATGCGTGGGTATTGCAACCCTGCATCCATGAGGACGCTGCTCTTATCCCCACCAACATACACAGAAAATCCTGCCACACCCCCGCCGGCACCACAAACCTGCTGCTGTGCCTGCATCCTGCCATGTGCTGCCACTGGGGACACACATGCATGAGCATGGACCCTGCTGCCACCACCCTAATGATGTGATTTAGTTGGTACCCCCCACATCAGAGTGTTGTTGCCAGTGGAACAGGAACACCTTAGCCCTTCCAGTGCAGCAGGTGCTTAACTTTGAGGGGCAAGATAACAAAGCTGTGGGCCTGGTACCAGCACCCCAGGGTTAGAGCATGCATCCTAAGAGTGTAGAGCTGAGCCTAGGCTCACTGAAATCTTTCAGAAAAGAAGACAGTAGACAGAACCCACCATATACCACAGCCAAACCCTCAAGGGCATCAAAGAATATAAAAGCCAAAAGCCCTTTCCAAAGGAGAGCAAATTCAAACATTAAAGGGACATCAACCCACATAGATGAGAAAGAACCAGTGCAAAAACTCTGGAAATTCAAAAATCCAGTGTCTTCTCATCTCCAAATGACCACGCTAGCTCCCCAGCAATGGCTCTTAACTAGGCTGAAAGAGCTGAAATGAAAAACATAGAATTCAGAATCTGGATAGGAATGAAAATCATCAAGATTAAAGAGAAATTCGAAACCCAATCTAAACAATCTAAGGCATCCGAGAAATCAAATCAAGATCTGAAATATGAAGTAGCCATTTTAAGAAAGAACCAAAGTGAACAAAAGGAGCTGAAAAAGACACTGCAAGAATGTCATAAAATACAGTTGCAAGAATTAACAGCAGGATAGACCAGGCTGAGGAAAGAATCTCAGAACACAAAGACTAGTACTTCAAATCAACTCAATAGGACAAAAATGAAGAAAAAAGAATTTTAAAAGAATAAACAAAACCTCCAAGAAATATGGAATTATGTAAAGAAATAAAACCTATGACTTATTGGCATCCCTGGAAAAGTGGAAGAAAGAGCAAGCAACTTGGAAAATATGTTTGACAATATTGTCCAAAAGAAAATTCCCTAACCTTTCTAGAGAGGTCAACATTCAAATTCAGGAAATGAAGAGAATACAAGATTACCATCCCCAAGACACATTGTCATCAAATTATCCAAGAACGATCTGAAAGAAAAAATACTAAAGGCAGCTAGAGATAAGGAGCAGGTCCCCTACAAAGGGAACCTCATCAGCCAAACAGCAGACCCTTCAGCAGAAACCCTACAAGACAGAAGAGATTGGAGACCTATATTCAGCATTCTTGAGAAAAAAAAATTCCGATCAATAATTTCATATTCAGTCCAACTAGGCTTCATAAGTGAGGGAGAAATTTGTTTATCTTTTTCAGATAAACAAATCCTAAGGGAAGAAAATTTGTTACTACCACATCTACCTTACAAGAGGTCCTTAAGTGAGTGCCAAACATGGAAATGAAAGACCTGTACTGGTTAGCACAAAAATATATGTAAGTACATAAATGATTGACACTATAAAACAACTACAAAATCAAGTCCGCATAATGACCAGCTAATATCACAATGACAGAATTAAATCCTCACATATCAATATTAAACTTGAATGTAAATGGGCTAACTGCTCCACTTAATAGGCAATGAGTGGCAAGTTGAATAAATAATTTAAAGCATAATGAAAAAATATATTTTAAAAAAAGAAGCAAGTCTCAATGGTATGCTGTCTTCAAATGACCCATCTCAAATGCAAAGATATCCACAGTCTTAACGTAAAAGGATGGAGAAAAATCTTCCAAGCAAACGAAAAACAAACAAAGCAATAAAGCAGGAGTTGCTATCTTAATTTCAGACAAAACAGATTGAAACAATGATGATCCAATAAGACAAAGAACAGCATTACATAATTATAAAGGGTACAATTCAACAAGAAGACTTAACTATCCTAAGTATATATGTACCCAAATCTGGAGCACCCAGATTCATAAAACAAGTCCTTAGAGACCTATGATCAGACTTAGATAAACACCCAATAATAGTGGAACTCTTCAACAACTGGCAGTACTAGATAGATTATTGAGACAGAAAACTTACAAAGATATTTAGAACCTGACCTCAACGCTTTACAAAATGGATGTAACAGACTTCTACAGAACACTCAACCCAACAATGAAATATACAATTTTCTCATCTGCACATGCCACATATACTAAAATTGACCACATAATTGGTCATAAAACAATTCTCAACCTATCAAAAAATCTGAAATCATATCATCCAAACTCTCAGACTGCAGTGCAATAAAAATAGACATCAATACTAAGAAGATATCTCGAATCCACACAGTTACATACAAATTTAAAAACCTGCTCCCGAATGACTTTTGGGTAAAACATGAAATTAAAGCAAAAATCAAGACATTTTTTAAAACCAATGAAAACAAAGATAAGACATATTAGAATGTCTGAGATGCGGCTAAAGCAGAGCTAAGATTAACAAGCTAAGATCACACCTACAGGAACTAAAAAAAAAAAACACACACACAAAACAAAACAAAAGCAAACCAACCTCAAAGCTAGCAGAAGATGAGAAATAACTAAAATTAGAATTATACAGATTGAAATTGAGATGTGAAAAAACGTACAAAAGACCAACACAACCAAAAGTTGGTTATTTGAATAAATAAATAAGATTGATAGATGGATAATTAGACTAATAAAGAAAAGAAGAAGATGCAAAAAAGCTATCAGAAGTGACCAAGGGGACATTACCACTGACCCCATAAAAATACATAAAACCTCAGAGACTATTGCCAACGTATCTATACAAACAAACTAGAAAACTTAGGAAAAATTGATGAATTTCTAGAAACATATAACCTCTCAAGATTGAAATGGGAAGAAACTGAAACCTTGAACAGACTAATAATGAGTTCCAAAACTGAATCAGTAATAAAATACCTAATAATCAGAAAGTGTGTCGGACCAGATAGATTTACAGGCAAATTCTAATAGACACACAAAGAGCTGGCACAAATCCTACTGAAATTACCAAAATTGAGAGAAAGGAACTCTCCTCAATTCATTCTATGAGGCCAGCATCATTCTTGATACCAAAACCTGGTAAAGACACTACGAAAAAAGAAACCTCAGTCCAATATCTCTGATGAACATCGATGCCAAAATACCAGCAAATTGAATCCAGCAGCATATCAAAAACTAATCCCCCATGATCAAGTAGGCTTTACTCCTGGGATGCAAGGTAGATTCAACATACACGAATCAATAAATGTGATTCATCACATAGACAGAACTAAAAGAAAACCCACATGATTATCTCAACAGATGCAGAAAGGCTTTTGATAAAACTCAACATCCTCTCATGTTAAAAATCCTCAAGAAAGCAAGGCACAGTGGCTCACACCTGTAATCCCAGTACTTTCAAAGGCAGATGCCGGCAGATCACTTGAGCTCAGAAGTTCAAGACCAGCCTGGGCAACATGGTGAAACCACATCTCTACCAAAAATACAAAAAAAAAAAAAAAAAAAAAACCACAAAAATTTCACTGAGTGGTCTCAGCTATTCAAGAGGCTGAGGTGAGAGGATCAATTGAGTCCTGGGAGGCAGAGGTTGTAGTGAACCGAGATCACACCACTACACTCCAGCCTGGGTGACAGAGCAGGAACCTGTCTCAAAAAAAAAAAAATCCTCAACATACCAGTCATTTTAAAAACATACCACGAAATAATGAGTCATCTGTGAAAAAGCCAACAGTCAACATCTTACTAAATGAGCAAATGCTAGAAGCATTCTCCTTGAAAACTGGAACAAGACAAGAATCCCCACTCTCACCACTCTTATTCAACAAAGTACTGGAAGTCCTAGCTAGAGCAATCAGGCAGGAGAAAAAAAAAATCATCCAAATAGGAAGAGAGGAAGCAAAATTATCTCTCTTCACAGACAATCTGATCTTATATCTAGAAAGCCCCATAGTATCTGCCCAAAAGCTCCTAAATCTGATAAATAAATTCAGTGAAGTTTCATGCTACAAAATCAATGTAAAAGAATAAATATCAGTTTTGCATACTAAAAACATCCAATCTGAGATCCAAATCAAGAATATAATCACAGTCACAATAGCCACAAACACAAAAAAAGAAAATACCTAGGATTATGGCTAACCAAAGTGGTGAAATATGTCTACAAAGAGAATTACAAAACACTACTGAAAGAAATCAGTGATAACAAAAACAAATAGAAAAACATTTCATGTGCATGTGGATAGGATGAATCAATATTGTTAAAATGGACATACTCCCCAAATCAATGTAGATTCAATAATATTCCTATTAAACTACCAATGATATTTTTTCACAGAACTAGAGAAAACTATTGTAACATTCCCCTGCAATGAAAAAAGAGCCCAAATAGCCAAAGCAATTCTAAGCATTAAAAAGAAAGCTGGAGACATCACATTACCTGATTTTAAACTATACTACAAAGCTACAGTATCCAAAACAGCATGGTATTTGTGGAAAAAAAAAGAGGCCCAAAGACCCATAGAATGGTTAGAGAATCCAGAAATAAAACTGCACACCTATGACCATATGAATTTAAATACTGTCTACAAAAACAAGCAATGGGAAATGACTCCTTATTCAATAAATGGCACTGAGATAACTGGCTAGCCATATGCAGAAGACTGAAACTGGACCCCTTCCTTACACTATATAAAGAAATCAACTCAACATGAATTAAAGACTTACACATAACACCTATGGGTAACAAAGGAAATACC
This sequence comes from Homo sapiens, assembly GCF_000001405.40. Lineage (NCBI taxonomy): Eukaryota > Metazoa > Chordata > Mammalia > Primates > Hominidae > Homo > Homo sapiens. Next base: position 63,890,237 of record NC_000023.11, read on the forward strand.
ATTTTGGACATAAGCCCTGGCAAAGATTTCATGACAAAGATGCCAAAAGCAATCATAATAAAAACAAAAATTGACAAATGGGAACTAATTAAACCAAAGAGCTTCTGTGCAGCAAAAGAAACTGTCAATAGAGTAAACAGATAACTTAAAAATGGGAGAAAATATCTGCACTCTATGCAGCCGACAAAAGTTGAATATCCAGAATCTATAAGGAACTTAAGTCAACAAGCAAAAAACAAACAACCCAATTAAAAAATGAGCAATGGACATCAACAGACACTTCTCAAAAGAAATACATGCAGCCAACAAGCATATGAAAAAATATTCCATATCACTAATTAATAAAGTAATGGAAATCAAAACCACAATGACATACCATCTCACATCAGTGGGAATGGCTGTTATTAAGAAGTCAAAAAAATAACACATGCTGTGCTGGTGAGGTTGTGGAGAAAAGGAAACACTTATACTCTGCTGGTAGAAATGAAAATTTGTTCAGCCACTGCAAAAAGCAGTTTGGAAATTTCTCAAAGAACTGAAAGCAGAGCCAACATTCAACCTAGCAACCCCATTACTGGGTATTCACAATAGCAAAGACATAGAATTAGCCAAAATGCTCAATAGTGGACTGGATAAAAATATGTGGTACATATACACCATTGAATATTGTGCATCCATAAAAATGAAAGAAATCATGTCTTCTGTAGCAATATGGATAGAGTTAGAGGCCATTACCCTAAGCAAATTAACACAGGAACAGAAAAGCAAATACCACACATTCTTACCTATTAGTGGGAGATAAACATTGAGTACACATGGACACAAAGAGGACAATAGACACCAGTGCCTACTTGAAGGTGGCAGTGGGAGGAGGGTGAGGTTTGAAAAACTATCTATCAGGTACTATGCTTATTGCATGGATGATGAAATAACCTGTACACCAAACCTCTATGACACAAAATTTACCCATATAATAAACCTACACTTGTACTTTTTGAACCTAAAATTAAAGTTGGAAGAAAAAAAAGAAATTGAAACAACTCAACAGCAAAACAAAACAATTATCCCATTAAAAATGGGCAAAGGATATGAATACACATTTCTTAAATGAAGACATACAAATGGCCAAAATTTATATGGAAAAATGTTAAACATTAGTAATCAGCTGGGAAATGCAAATGAAAACCATGATGAAATATCATCTTACTGCAGTTAGAATGGCTATTATTAAGAAGCCTCACAAGAAGATACTTGTGAGGATGTAGATAAAATGAACTCATACACTGTAAGTGAGAATGTAAATTAGTATAGCCATTATGGAAAACAATATGGAGATTTCTCAAAAAATTAACAACAGAACTACCATACAAACCAGCAATACCACTACTAGGTATTTATCCAAAGGAAAGGAAATCAATATCTCAAAGGGATACCTGCATCCCCATGTTTATTGCAGCACTACTCACAATAGCAAAAATATGGACTCAACCTAAGTATCCATCCACAGATGAATGGATAAAGAAAATGTGTGGTATATATACATATAAAATAATATTCAGCCAAAAAGATATGAAATTATGTCATTTTCAGCAACATGGACAGAACTGGAGGTCATCGGCTTTTAGCGTGCCTCGGCCACTTGGAAATAGCAAAATTAGTACATAAAGATCCACACTGTCAGCTTTAATTCAAGAAAGAGAACAGGAATTCCCTGGGGAAAAAAAAGGATACACTAAATCTCTGGAGCCAACCTGTTGCAGGATGGCGCCATTTTGAGAGCAGAACCAACAGTGTACTGTATGCTGCCCTGAGGCCCAATAGCCCCTGCATTTTCGCATCTCTTGGACCCCACAGGCTTCTCCTCACATCTACTCAGAGGGCCACTGTGTTGTGGTACCCACTGGACCCAGTAGTGCAGCCACATCACAGGTTCCCAAGCCCGTGCAGCACCCAACACCCTAGGAAACACAAAATCCAGCACATCAGGGATGCTGCCTCCAGAATATATGGAATGAAAGAATATGCCCCCCAGAGCCTGAGAGAAGACTGCCTGGGACTGCGGCTACCTAGAGCAATCCCATCCCACTTCAGCAGCAGGATAATACTCACCACTGCACCCTGCCTGGTGACCTGGGTAGTAGCCTGCCTGCCATGCTGCAGACATTGCTGGTGCCCACCCAACCAAGCAGAGAGCTCAGGGATAGGCAGGTCTCCACATCCTATCCTTGGGCTTGAGTATCTACCCACCCACCCTGCCACTGACGCTATCAGCACCAATGCATACCACTAAGGGATTCAAGTATTGGCCTTCCTGTCCCATTCCTACCCCCATCAGTGCAAACATGCACCATATACGGGCCTGAGGACCAGCCTGGCTGATGACCTATCATCAGCAAAGCCTCACCACAGCCTCCTCAAACAACTTGAGTCCAAGCCCGTAAAGAACTCATAGATACTGCTGATGTTGATTACACCTAAAGTAATCATATGGAGACTACACCATAGTGCCCACCCAGAACCAAAGCCAAAGCACGCTGCCCAACAAACATTGTAGATACATATACATTAAATGGCTTTCCCTATGGAAGCTATTCCATAAAATTAGAAGAAACAGCAGTTACACCAAATGCACAGATGTCAATGTGAGAACACAAGGAACATAAAAAAGCAATGAAACATAACATATATAAAAGAACAAAAAACTCCCCAGTAACAGATATCAAAGAAAAAAATGAAATTTCAGAAAAGGAATTCAAAATCATGATCTTCAGGGAACTCCGTGAGATATAAAAGGAAAACAAACAATACAAAGTACTAAGGGAATTACCTCTGGATCTGAATCAGAAAGTCAACAAAGAGATAGATATCATATAAAAGAGCCAAATAGAAATCCTAGAATTAAATAATTCAATGAATGAAATAAAAAATAGAATCGAGAATATAGGTTAGATCAAGCAGAAGAAAGACTTTTGAATATCAAAAAACGTCTTTTGAAATAACTGAGTTGGACAGGAAAAAAAAGAAAGAAGAAAGTCCACATAACATATAGGACACCATCAAGTCAGCAAATATTTGAATTTGGGGAGTTCCAAAAGGAGAAGAGATGGGAAAAGACATTGAAAACCTATTTATGAAAAAATAGCTTGTAAATTTCCCAAGTCTTGGAAGAGGTATAGACATTGAGACCCAGGGAAGCTAAAAAGTCCCCAAATAGACTCAACCAAAATAGGTCCTCAGTGAGGCACATTATAGTCAAACTTTTAAAAAATGAAGGCAAAGAGAGAATTATAAATATAGTAAGAGGAAAGCATCAACTTCCACATAAAAGTATCCAAATTAGATTAACAGCCAATTTCTCAGCAGAAACCTTACAGTCCAGGAGACAATAAAATAATATATTCAAAGTGCTGAAAGAAAAATACTCCTAGCCACGAAGACTATACCCAACAATGCTATCAGTAACGAAGGAGAAATAGTATTTCCCACACAAGCAAAAGCAGAGGAAAATCATCACCACTAGAATGACCCTACAATAAATGCTTAAAGTAGTATTTCTATATCTGAAAGTGAAAGGATGATATCTACCATCATGAAAATACATAAAAGTATAAAACTCACTGGTAGAGCAGAAACACAGATGAGAAAGAGAAAGGAATCAAACATTTTCAATAGAGAAAGCCACCAAATCACAAAGATAAACAGTAAGAGAGGAATAAATAAATTAAAAATATAAAAAAATTATAAACCAATTGACAAAATGAGAAGAGTAAGTCTTAACAAACCAATAACAACCTTAAATTAAAACAAATTAAATTTCCAAATTTAAAGATACAGACTGGCTGAATGGATTAAAAAAAAAAAAAAAAAAACATGACCTGACTACATACTGTCTACAAGAACCTAACTTCTGTAAAGACACACATAGACTAAAAGTGAAGAAATGACAAAAGATATTCCACAGAAACCAAAAGTGAAAAGGGATAGCTGATATCAGGCAAAATAGGCTTTAAGTCACAAAACATAAAGGAATATAAAGAAGGTCATATATAATGATAAGGGGATCAATTCAGCAAGAGAATATACCAATTGTAATTGTATATGTACCCAGCACCAGAACACTCAGATATATAAAGCAAATATTACTAGAGTTAAAGAAAAAAATAGAAGCCAATACAATAATAGTTGGAGAATTAAGCACCCCACTTTCAACATTGGACAGATCATCCATACACAAAATCAACAAAGAAACATTAAACTTAAACTGGACTATAGGCCAAATGGACCTAACAGATATTTATAGAACATTTCATCCAACAGCTACAAGATACACATCCTTCTCATCAGCACGTGGATTACTCCAGAATAGATCATGTGTTAGGCAAGAAAACAAGTCTCAACATATATTTCAAGAGTCAATATCACATCAAGTATTTTTTCAGGCCACAATAGAATAAAACTGGAAATCAATAACAAGAGGAACACTGGAAACTGTACAAATGCATAGAAATTAAATAATATGCTCTTGAATGACCATGAAGTCAGAAAAGAAATTAAAAGGAAATCAAAAAATGTCTTGAAACAAAGGAAAATGTAAATACAACATAACCAAACTGATGGGATACAGCAAAAGCAGTGCTAAGTGGGAAGTTTATAGCAATAAATGCCTACAACAGAAAAGAAGAAAGATTTCAAATAAACAACCTATCCATGAACCTCAAGGAACTAGAAAAGTAAGAACAGGCCAAACCCAAAAGTAGCAGGAGGAAGAAATGATAAAGATCAGAGCAGAACTAAACAAAAAAAAGAATTTTAAAAAACACAAAAGATCAACGAAATAAAAAGCTGTTTTTTTTAAAAAAGATTAAAAAATCCACAAACTATTAGCTAGAATAACTAAAAAAAATTAGAAGCCTCAAGTAAATGAACCAAAAAATATTAAAAAAGGAGGTACTAAATCTTATACCACAGAAATACAAAAAATCATTAAAAACTATTATAAACAACTATGCACCAACAAATTGAAAAACCTAGGGGGAATGAACAAATCTCTAGGCACATACCACATAGCAAGACTGATCCAAGAAGAAATAGAAAACCCAAATCAACTAATGAAATTAAATCAGTAATAAAAAGTATCCCAACAGGCTGGGTGTGGTGGCTCATGCCTGTAACCCCAGCACTTTGGGAGTCCAAGGTGGGTAGTTTGCTTGAGGTCAGGAGTTCAAGACCAAACTGGCCAAGATGGTGAAACCCCATCTCTACTAAAAATATAAAAAGTAGCTGGGCTTGGTGGTGCACACCTGTAATCCCAGCTACTTGAGTGGCTGAGGCAGGAGAATCGCTTGAACCCAGGAAGTGGAGGTTGCAGTGAGCTGAGATCATGCCATTGCACTCCAGCCTGGGTTACAGAGCAAGATTCTATCTAAAAAAAAAAAAAAAAATTATCCTAACAATGTAAATCCAGATAGCTTTACCACTAAATTCTACCTAACATCTTAGAAGAACTAACACCAACTGTCCTCAAACTATGCCCCAAAGTTGAAGAGAATAGAATTCTCCCTAACTCATTTTACAAGGCAAGCATTAGCCTGATGCCAAAACCAAACAAGTATATGACAAATAGAAAACTACAAAACAATATTTCTGAGAAACATGGATGCAAAAATCCTCAATGAAATACTAGCAAACCGATTCCAACAGCACATCAAAGAAAAATACACCATGATCAAATAAGATTTACTCCAGGAATGCAAGAATGGTTCAACATATGCAAATCAATAAATTTGATACATCACATTAATATATCAAAACAAAAACTATATGACCATCTCAAAAGATGCAGAAAAAGCATCTGATAAAATACATGGTTTCTTGATAAAAACTCTCAATAAACTATGCATAGAAGAAACATACCTCAAAACAATAGAGTCCATATATGACAAACCCACAGGTAACATTAAGATGAATGGGGAAAATTGAATACCTTTCCTGTAAGATCTGAAACAGGACAAAGATGCCCACTTTCACCACTTTAATTAAACACAGCACTGGATGTCTGAGCCAGAGCAATTAGACAAGAGAAAAAAATTAATGGCATCCAAATTGGAAAGACGAAGTCAAATTATTCTTTTTTACAGATAAAATAATTTTACATTTAAAAAAATCTTTAGAACAAACAGTTTTTAGCTGCTAAAAATGAGTTTCATAAATGAATTCAAAAAAGTGGCCAAATACAAAATCAACATGCACAACTCAGTAGTATTTCTATATGCCAACAGTGAATAATCTCAAAAGGGAATCAAGAAAACAACCCCATTAACAATAGCTACAAAAATAAAATACCAAGGAATAAATGTAACCAAAGAATGAAAGATCTCTACAATAAAAACTATAAAATGCCAATGACAGAAATTAAAGAGGAAACAGAAAGAAATGAAAAGATTTCCCATAGTTCATGGAATGGAAGAATTAATATTGTTATTAGGTCCGTACTTCACAAAGCAATCTGTATATTTGTGTAATCCTTATCAAAATACCAGTGATATTCTTCACAGAAATAGGAAAACAAATCCTAAAATTTGTGTGGAACCACAAAGACCCCAAATAGCCAAAGGAATCCTGAACAAAAAGAAAAAAGCTGGAAGTTTCACATTACCTGACTTCAATATGTACTACAGAGCCATAATAACCAAAACAGCCTGATACTGGTGTAAAAACTGACACATAGGCCAATAGAACAGACTAGAGAACCAATAAATAAATTCATGCATTTATAGCCAACTTATTTTTGATAAAGTCATCAAGAACTTACACTGAAGAAAGGACAGACTCTTCAAGAAATTATGCTGGGAAAACTGGATAATGATATGCAGAAGAATAAAATTAGACCCCTATATCTCACCATATAAAAATAAAAATTATTAAAGACTTAAATGTAATACCCCAATCTCTGAAAACACTAGAAGAAAACATTGAGAAAATGCTTTAGGACATTGGTTTGAGCAAAGACTTTTTAGGTAAGATTTCCAAAGTGCAAGAAACAAAGAAAAAATAGACAAATGGAATTACATCAAGCTAAAGAGCTCTGTATAGCAAAGGAAACAATCAACAGTGAAAAAGACAACCTACAGAATTGAAGAAAATATTTGCAATCTATCCTTCTGACAAGGAATTAATAACCAGTATCTATAAGAAACTTAGCAGCAAAAAACCAAATAACCCAATTAAAAGAGGGCAAATGATCTGAATAGACATTTCTAAAAAGAAGACATGCAAATGGCTATCTCGATACATGAAAAAGTACTCAACATCACTAATCGTCAAGGAAATGCAAATCAATACCACAAGGATATATCATCTCACCTCCGTTAAAATGGCTATTATCAAAAAGACCATAAAAATTACAAATGTTGGCAAGAATATAGAGAAAGGGGAACACTTGTACACGGTTGGTGAGAATGTAAATTAGTATAGTCACTCTACGTAACCATATGGAGTTTCCTTAAACACCTAAAAATAGAAATGCCATATGATCCAGCAATCCTAGTACTGGGTATATATCCAAAAGAAAGGAAGTCAGTGTATTGAAGAGATCTGCACTCCCATGTTAATCTCAGTATTATTCAAAACAACCAAGATATAAATCAACCTAAGTGTCTATCAACAGATGAATGATTAAATAAAATGTAGTATATATACAAAATGGAGTATTACTCAGACAAAAAAGAATGAAATCCTGTCGTTTGCAGCAACATGGATGAGCCTGGAGGATATTATGTTAAGTGAAATAAGCCAGGTTTAGAAGGACAAATACTGCATATTGTCATACATGTGAGCTTAAAAAGTGGATCTCATGGGTATAGAGAATAGAATAGTAGTTACTAGAGCGCGGGAATAGTAGGGAAAAGGAAGGATGAAGAGGGGTTGGTTGATGGGTTCAAAAATACAGTTAGGCCAGCCGTGGTGGCTCAAGCCTATATTCTCAGCACTTTGGGAGGCTGATATGGGCAGATCACGAGGTCAGGAGTTCAATTCCAGCCTGGCCGATATAGTGAAACCCAGTCTCTACTAAAAATACAAAAATTTGCTGGGTGCGGCAGTAGGCGCCTGTAGTCTCAGCTACTTGGGAGGCTGAGGCAGGAGAATCGCTTGAACCCAGGAGTCGGAGGTTGTAGTGAGCCAAGATCACATCACTGCACTCCAGCCTGGGTGACACAGCAAGACTCTGTCTCAAAAAAACAAACAAACAAAAATATGGAGGATTGCTGGCAAGATGGCTGAATAGGAACAGCTCCGGTCTGCAGCTCCCAGCGTGATTGACTTAAAAGGCGGGTGATTTCTTTTTATTTTATTTTATTTTATTATTATTATACTTTAAGTTGTAGGGTACATGTGCACAACGTGCAGGTTTGTTACATATATATACATGTGCCATGTTGGTGTGCTGCACCCAGTAATTCGTCATTTAGCATTAGGTATATCTCCTAATGCTATCCCTCCCCCATCCCCCCACCCCACAACAGGCCCTGGTGTGTGATGTTCCCCTTCCTGTGTCCATGTGTTCTCATTGTTCAATTCCCACCTATGAGTGAGAACATGCAGTGTTTGTTTTTTTGTCCTTGAGATAGTTTGCTGAGAATGATGGTTTCCAGTTTCATCCATGTCCCTATAAAGGACATGAACTCATCATTTTTTATGCCTGCATAGTATTCTATGGTGTATATGTGCCACATTTTCTTAATCCAGTCTATTGTTGTTGGATATTTAGGTTGGTTCCAAGTCTTTGCTATTGTGAATAGTGCCACAATAAACCTACATGTGCATGTGTCTTTATAGCAGCATGATTTATAATCCTATGGGTATACACCCAGTAATGGGATTGCTGGGTCAAATGGTATTTCTAGTTCTAGATCCCTGAGGAATCGCCACACTGACTTCCACAATGGTTGAACTAGTTTACGGTCGAAGGCGGGTGATTTCTACATTTCCAACTGAGGTACCCAGTTCATCTCATTGGGACTGGTTGGACGGTGGGTGCAGCCCACGGAGGGTGAGCTGAAGCAGGGTGGGGCATTGCCTCCCCTGGGAAGCACAAGGGGTCAGGGAATTTTCTCCCCCACCCTAGGCAAGCTGTGAGGGACTGAGCCTGAGGAACTGTGCATTCTGGCAGAGATACTGCGCATTTCCCACTGTCTTTGCAACCCACAGACCAGGAGATTCCCCCTGGTGCCTACCTGACCAGGGCCCTGGGTTTCAAGCACAAAACTGGGCAGTGTTTGTGCAGACACCAACATAGCTGTAGGAGTTTTCTTTTTTTTTTTTTTCCATACCCCAGTGGCGCTTGGAACACCAGCGACAGAGAATAGTTCACTCCCCTGCAAAGGGGGCTGAAACCAGGGAGCCAAGTGGTCTGACTCTGTGGGTCCCACCCACACAGAGCCCAGCAAACCAAGATCCACTGGCTTGAAATTCTTGCTGCCAGCACAGCAGTCTGAAGTCGACCTGGGACACTCGAGCTTGGTGGGAAGAAGGCCATCCGCCATTGCTGAGACTTGAGTAGACGGTTTTACCCTCACAGTGTAAACAAAGATGCCAGGAAATTCAAACTTGCCAGAGTTCACCACATCTCAGCAAAGCCACTGTGGCCAGACTGCTATATTTCTCCTCTCTGGGAAGGGCATCTCTGAGAAAAAGGCAGCAGCCCCAGTCAGGGACTTACAGATAAAACCCCCATCTCCCTGGGACAGAACACCTGGAAGAAGGGGCGGCTGTAGGCTCAGCTTCAGCAGACTTAAACTTCCCTGTCTGACAGCTCTGAAGAGAGCAGTGGACCTCCCAGATAGCGTTCCAGCTCTGCTAAGGGTCAGACTGCATCCTCAAGCGGGAGCCTGAACCTCGTGTATCCTGACTGGGAGACACACCCTAGTAGGGGCCGACAGACACCTCATACAGGAGAGCTCTGGCTGGCACCTAGCAGGTGCCCCGCTGGATTGAAGCTTCCAGAGGAAAGAACAGGTAGCAATGTTTGCTGCTCCGCAGTCTCTGCTGGTGATACCAGGCAAACAGGTTCTGGAATGAACCTCCAGCAAACTCCAGGAGACCAGAGGCAGAGGGGCCTGACTGTTAGAAGGAAAACTAACAAACAGTAAGAAATAGCACGTCCACTCAGAGACTCCATCCGAAGGTCACCTACGTCAAAGACCAAAGGTAGATAAATCTACAAAGATGGGGAGAAACAAGTGCAAAAAGGCTGAAAATTCCAAAAACCAGAACGCCTCTTCTGCTACAAAGGATCACAACTCCTCAGCAGCAAAACAAAGCAACACTGGACAGAGAATGAGTTTGATGAATTGACAGAAGTAGGCGTCAGAAGGTGGGTAATAACAAACTCCTCCAAGCTAAAGGAGCATGTTCTAACACAAGGCAAGGAAGATAAGAACCTTGAAAAAAGGTTAGACTAATTGCTAACTAGAATAACCAGTTTAGAGAAGAACATAAATGAGCTGATGGAACTGAAAAACACACAACAAGAACTTCATGAAATATACACAAGTATCAATAGCCAAATAGATCAAGCGGAAAAAAGGATATCAGAGACAGAAGATTCACTTAATGAAACAAAGCGAGAAGACAAGATTAGAGAAAAAAAATAAAAAGGAATGAAGAAAGCCCTAAGAAATATGGGACGATGTGAAAAGACCAAATCTACATTTGATTGGTGTACCTGAAAGTGACGGAGAGAATGGAACCAAGTTGGAAAACACTCTGCAGGATATTACCGAGGAGAACTACCCCAACCTAGAAAGACAGGCCAAAATTCAAATTCAGGAAATACAGAGAACACCACAAAGATACTCCTCAAGAAGAGCAACCCCAAGACATATAATCTTCAAATTCACCAAGGTTGAAATGAAGGAAAAAATGTTAAGGGCAGCCAGAGAGAAAGGTCGGGTTACCCACAAAGGGAAGCCCATCAGACTAACAGTGGATCTCTTGGCAGAAACCCTACAAGCCAGAAGAGAGTGGGGGCCAATATTCAACATTCTTTCAGCTGTGAATCCATCTGGTCCTGGACTCTTTTTGGTTGGTAAGCTATTGATTATTACCACAATTTCAGAGCCTCTTATTGGTCTATTCAGAGATTCAACTTCTTCCTGGTTTAGTCTTGGGAGAGTGTATGTGTCCAGGAATTTATCCATTTCTTCTAGATTTTCTAGTTTATTTGTGTAGAGGTGTTTGTAGTATTCTCTGATGGTAGTTTGTATTTCTGTGGGATTGGTGGTGCTATCCCCTTTATCATTTTTTATTGCATCTATTTGATTCTTCTCTCTTCTTTATTAGTCTTGCTAGCAGTCTATCAATTTTGTTGATCCTTTCAAAAAAGTAGCTCCTGGATTCATTAATTTTTTGAAGGGTTTTTTGTGTCTCTATTTCCTTCAGTTCTGCTCTGATTTTAGTTATTTCTTGCCTTCTGCTAGCTTTTGAATGTGTTTGCTCTTGCTTTTCTAGTTCTTTTAATTGTGATGTTAGGGTGTCAATTTTGGATCTTTCCTGCTTTCTCTTGTGGGCATTTAGTGCTATAAATTTCCCTCTACACACTGCTTTGAAAGTGTCCCAGAGATTCTGGTATGTTGTGTCTTTGTTCTCATTGGTTTCAAAGAACATCTTTATTTCTGCCTTCATTTCGTTATGTACCCAGTAGTCATTCAGGAGCAGGTTGTTCAGTTTCCATGTAGTTGAGCGGTTTTGAGTCAGTTTCTTAATCCTGAGTTCTAGTTTGATTGCACTGTGGTCTGAGAGACAGTTTGTTATAATTTCTGTTCTTTTATATTTGCTGAGGAGAGCTTTACTTCCAACTATGTGGTCAATTTTGGAATAGGTGTGGTGTGGTGCTGAAAAAAATGTATATTCTGTTGATTTGGGGTGGAGAGTTCTGTAGATGTCTATTAGGTCTGCTTGGTGCAGACCTGAGTGCAATTCCTGGATATCCTTGTTTACTTTCTGTCTCATTGATCTGTCCAGTGTTGATAGTGGGGTGTTAAAATCTCCCATTATTATTGTGTGGGAGTCTAAGTCTCTTTTTAGGTCACTCAAGACTTGCTTTATGAATCTGGGTGCTCCTGTATTGGGTGCATATATATTTAGGATAGTTAGCTCTTCTTGTTGTATTGATCCCTTTACCATTATGTAATGGCCTTCTTTGTCTCTTTTGATCTTTGTTGGTTTAAAGTCTGTTTTATCAGAGACTAGGATTGCAACCCCTGCCCTTTTTTTGTTTTCCATTTGCTTGGTAGATCTTCCTCCATCCTTTTATTTTGAGCCTATGTGTGTCTCTGCACATGAGATGGGTTTCCTGAATGCAGCACACTGATGGGTCTTGACTCTTTATCCAATTTGCCAGTGTGTGTCTTTTCATTGGAGCATTTAGTCCATTTACATTTAAAGTTAATATTGTTATGTGTGAATTTGATCCTGTCATTATGATGTCCGCTGGTTATTTTGCTCGTTAGTTGATGCCGTTTCTTCCCAGCCTTGATGGTCTTTACAATTTGGCATGATTTTGCAGTGGCTGGTACCGGTCGTTCCTTTCCATGTGTAGTGCTTCCTTCAGGAGGTCTTTTAGGGCAGGCCTGGTGGTGACAAAATCTCTCAGCATTTGCTTGTCTGTAAAGTATTTTATTTCTCCTTCACTTATGAAGCTTAGTTTGGCTGGATATGAAATTCTGGGTTGAAAATTCTTTTCTTTAAGAATGTTGAATATTGGCCCCCACTCTCTTCTGGCTTGTAGAGTTTCTGCCAAGAGATCCGCTGTTAGTCTGATGGGCTTCCCTTTGTGGGTAACCCGACCTTTGTCTCTGACTGCCCTTAACATTTTTTCCTTCATTTCAACTTTGGTGAATCTGACAATTATGTGTCTTGGAGTTGCTCTTCTCGAGGAATATCTTTGTGGCGTTCTCTGTATTTCCTGAATCTGAATGTTTTCCTGCCTTGCTAGATTGGGGAAGTTCTCCTGGATACTATCCTGCAGAGTGTTTTCCAACTTGGTTCCATTCTGCCTGTTACTTTCTGGTACACCAATCAGACGTAGATTTGGTCTTTTCACAGAGTCCCATATTTCTTGGAGGGTTTGTTCATTTCTTTTTATTCTTTTTCCTCTAAACTTCCCTTGTCTCTTCATTTCACTCATTTCATCTTCCATCACTGATACCCTTTCTTCCAGTTGATCTCATTGGCTCCTGAGGCTTCTGCATTCTTCACGTAGTTCTTGAGCCTTGGCTTTCAGCTCCATCAGCTCCTTTAAGCACTTCTCTGTATTGGTTATTCTAGTTATACATTTGTCTAAATTTTTTTCAAAGTTTTTAACTTCTTTGCCTTTGGTTTGAATTTCCTCCGGTAGCTCTGAGTAGTTTGATCATCTGAAGCCTTCTTCTCTCAACTCGTCAAAGTCATTCTCCGTCCAGCTTTGTTCCGTTGCTGGTGAGGAACTGTGTTCCTTTGGAGGAGGAGAGGCGCTCTGCTTTTTAGAGTTTCCAGTTTTTCTGCTCTGTTTTTTCCCCATGTTTGTGGTTTTGTCTACTTTTGGTCTTTGATGATGGTGATGTACAGATGGGTTTTTGGTGTGGATGTCCTTTATGTTTGTTAGTTTTCCTTCTAGCAGACAGGACCGTCAGCTGCAGGTCTGTTGGAGTTTGCTGGAGGTCTACCCCAGACCCTGTTTGTGTTTGCCTGGGTGTCAGCAGCAGTGGCTGCAGCACAGTGGATTTTCGTGAACCGCGAATGCTGCTGTCTTATCGTTCCTCTGGAAGTTTTGTCTCAGAAGAGTACCCGGCCCTTTGAGGTGTCAGTCTGTCCCTACTGGGGGGTGCCTCCCTGTTAGGCTGCTCGGGGGTCAGGGGTCAGGGACCCACTTGAGGAGGCAGTCTGCCCGTTCTCAGATCTCCAGCTGTGTGCTGGGAGAACCACTGCTGTCTTCAAAGCTGTCAGACAGGGACATTTAAGTCTGCAGAGGTTACTGCTGTCTTTTTGTTTGTCTGTGCCCTGCCCCCAGAGGTGGAGCCTACAGAGGCAGGCAGGCCTCCTTGAGCTGTGGTGGGCTCCACCCAGTTCGAGCTTCCGGGCTGCTTTGTTTACCTAAGCAAGCCTGGGCAATGGGGGGTGCCCCTCCCCCAGCCTCGCTGCCACCTTTCTGTTTGATCTCAGACTGCTGTGCTAGCAACCAGCGAGACTCTGTGGGCGTAGGACCCTCCGAGCCAGGTGTGGGATATAATCTCCTGGTGCACCGTTTTTTAAGCCCATCGGAAAAGCGCAGTATTAGGGTGGGAGTGACCCGATTTTCCAGGTGCCGTCTGTCACCCCTTTCTTTGACTAGGAAAGGGAATTCCCTGACCCCTTGCACTTCCCAAGTGAGGCAATGCCTCGCCCTGCTTTGGCTCACACACAGTTCACTGCACCCACAGTCCTGCACCCACTGTCTGGCACTCCCTAGTGAGATGAACCCAGTACCTAAGATGGAAATGCAAAAGTCACCCATCTTCTGTGTCACTCACACTGGGAGTTGTAGACCGGAGCTGTTCCTATTAGGCCATCTTGGCTGCCACTCAGCATTCTTAAAGAGAAGAATTTTCAACCCAAAATTTCATGTCCAGCCAAAGTAATCTTTATAAGTGAAGGAGAAATAAAATACTTTACAGACAAGCAAATCCTGAGAGATTTTGTCACCACCAGGCCTGCCTTACAAGAGCTCCTGTAGGAAGCATTAACATGGAAAAGAACAATCAGTACCAGCCACGGAAAACACATACCAAATTGTAAAGTCCATCGACACTATGAAGAAACTGCATCAACTAATGGGCAAAATAACTAGCTAGGATCATAATGACAAGATCCAATTCACACATAACAATATTAACGTTAAATGTAAATGAGCTAAATGCCCCAATTAAAAGACACAGACTGGCAAATTAGAGAAAGAGTTAAGACTCATCAGTGTGCTGGATTCAGGAGACCCATCTCAGGTGCAAAGACACACATAGGCTCAAAATAAAGGGATGGAGGAATATTTACCAAGCAAATAGAAAGAAAAAAAAGCAGGAGTTGCAATCCAAATCTCTGATAAAACAGACTTTAAACCAAAAAGATCAAAAGATACAAAGAAGGACATTACATAATGGTAAAGGGATCAATGTAACAAGAAGAGCTAACTATACTAAACATATATGCACCCAATACAGGAGAACCCAGATTCAGAAAGCAAATTCTTAGAGACCTACAAAGAGACTTAGACTCCCACACAATAATAGTGGGTGACTTTAACTCACCACTGTCAATATCAGAGAGATCAATGCAGCAGAAAATTAACAAGGATATCCAGGACTTGAACTCAGCTCTGCACCAAGTGGACCTAGTAGACATGTACAGAACTCTCTACCCAAAATCAACAGAATATACATTCTTCTCAGCACTACATTGCACTCATTCTGAAACTGACCACATAATTGGAAGTAAAACACTCCTCAGCAAATGCAAAAGAATGGAAATAAAACACTCCTCAGCAAATACAAAAGAATGGAAATCATAGCAAACAGTCTCTGAGACCACAGCGCAATCAAATTAAAATTCAGGATTAAGAAACTCACTGAAAACCACATAACTACATGGAAACTGAACAACCTGCTCCTGAATGACTACTAAGTAAATAACGAAATGAATGGAGAAATAAAAGTGTTCTTTGAAATCAATGAGTACAAAGATACAAGGTACCAGAATCTCTGGGACACATTTAAAGCAGCGTGTAGAGGAAAATTCATGGCACTAAATGCCCATAAGAGAAAGCAGGAAAAATCTAAAATCGACACCCTGATATCAAAATTAAAACTAGAGAAGCAAGAACAAACAAATTCAAAAGCTAGCAGAAGACAAGAAATAACTAATATCAGAGCAGAATTTAAGGAGATTGAGACACAAAAAGCCCTTCAAAAAAATCAACAAATGAAGGAGCTGGTTTTTTGAAAAGAACAACAAAATAGATAGACCGCTAGCCAGACTAATAAAGAAGAAACGAGAGAAGAATCAAATAGAGGCAATAGAAAATGATATAAGGGATATCACCATTGATCCCACAGAATTACAAACTAGTATCAGAGAATACTATAAACACCTCTACACAAATAAACTAAAACATCTAGAAAAAATGGATAAATTCATGGACACATACACCTTCCCAAGTCTAAACCAGGAAGAAGATGAATCCTTGAATAAACCAATAACAAGTTCTGGAATTTAGGCAGTAATTAATAGCCTATCAACCACAAAAATTCCAGGACCAGATGGATTCACAGCCGGATTCTACCAGAGGTACAAAGAGGAGCTGGTACCATTCCTTCTGAAATGATTCCAAACAATAGAAAACAATAGAAAAAGAAATTATTCCAAACATCAACAAAACCAATGACCAAAACCACATGATTATCTCTATAGAGGCAAAAAAGGCCTTTGACAAAATTCAACACCCCTTCATGCTAAAAACTCTGAGTAAGCTAGTTATCGATGGAATGTATCTCAAAATAATAAGAGCCATTTATGACAAACCCACAGCCAATATTATACTGAATGGGAAAAAACTGGAAGATTTCCCTTTGAAAACTGGCACAAGACAAGGATGCCCTCTCTCACCCCTCCTATTCTACATAGTATTGAAAATTCTGGCCAGGGCAATCAGGCAATGGAAAGAAATAAATGGTATTCTAATAGGAAAAGAGGTAGTCAAACTGTCTCTGTTTGCAGATGACGTGACTGTATATTTAGAAAACCCCATCATCTCAGCCCAAACTCTCCTGAAGCTGAAAAGCAACTTCAGTAAAGTCTCAGGATACAAAATCAATATACAAAAATCACAAGCATTCCTATACACCAATAACAGACAAACAGAGAGCCAAATCATGAGTCAACTCCCATTCACAATTGCTACTAAGAGAATAAAATACCTAGGAATACAACTTACAAGAGATGTGAAGGACCTCTTCAAGAAGAACCACAAACCACTGCTCAAGGAAATAAGAGAGGACACAAGCAAACGGAAAAACATTCCATGCTCATGGATAGGAAGAATCAATATTGTGAAAATGGCCATACCGGGCATAGTAATTTATAGATTCAATGCTATCCCCATCGAACTACCATTGGCTTTCTTCACAGAATTGGACAAAAACTATTTTAAACTTCATACGGAACCAAAAAAAAAGCCCGCATAGCCAATACAATCCTAAGCAAAAAGAGCAAAGCTTGAGGTACCATGCTACCTGACTTCAAACTATACTACAAGGTTACAGTAACCAAAACAGCATGGTACTGGTACCAAAACAGATATGTAAACCAATGGAACAGAACAGAGGCCTCAGAAATAACACCACACATCTACAACCGTCTGATATTTGACAAACCTGGCAAAAACAAGCAATGGGGAAAGGATTCCCTATTTAATAAATGGTGTTGGAAAAACTGGCTAGCCATATGCAGAAAACTGAAACTGGACCACTTCCTCACACCTTATACAAAAATTAACTCAAGATGCATTAAGGAGTTAAATGTAAGATATAAAACCATAAAAATTCTTTAAAAAAAACCCGAGGCAATACCATTCAGGACATAGTCATGGGCAAATACTTCATGTCTAAAACACCAAAAGCAATGTCAGCAGTAGCCAAAATTGACAAATGGGATCTAATTAAACTAAAGAGCTTCTGCACAGCAAAGGAACCTATCATCAGAGTGAACAGGTAGCCTACAGAATGGGAGAAAAGTTTTGTAAACTATCCATTTTACAAAGGGCTAATATCCAGGATCTACAAAGAAGTTAAACAAATTTACAAGATGAAAACAAACAACCCCATCAAAAAGTGGGTAAAGGATACTTCTCAAAAGAAGACATTTATGCAGCCAACAAACTTATGAAAAAATGCTCATCATCACAGGTCATTAGAGAAATGCAAATCAAAACCACAATGAAATACCATCTCATGCCAGTTAGAATGGTGATCATTAAAAAGTCAAGAAACAACAGATACTGGAGAGGATGTGGAGAAATCGAAATGCTTTTACACTGTTGTTGGGAGTGTAAATTAGTTCAACCCTTGGGGAAGACAATGTGGCGATTCCTCAAGGATCTAGAACTAGAAATACCATTTGATGCAGCAATCCCATTACTGGTATATACCCAAAGGATTATAAATCATTCTACTATAAAGACACCTGCACACGTATATTTATTGTGGCAATATTCACAACAGCAAAGACTTGGAACCAACCCAAATATCCATCAATGATAGACTAGATAAAGAAAAGGTGGCACATGTACACCATGAAATACTATTCAGCCATAAGAAATAGTGAGTTCACGTCCTTTGCAGGGACATGGATGAAGCTGAGAACCATCATTCTCAGCAAAGTAACACAAGAAGAAAAAACCAAACACCTCATGTTCTCACTCATAAGTGGGAGTTGAACAATGAGAACACATGGGCATAGGGAGGGGAACATCACACACCAGGGCCTGTCAAGGTTTGGGGGCTAGGGAAGGGATAGCATTAGAAGAAATACCTAATGTAGGTGACGGGTTGATGGGTGCAGCAAACCACCATGGCTAGTGTATACATATGTAACAAAACCGCACGTTCGGCATGTGTACCCCGGAAATTAAAGTATAATAAAAAAACACAGTTAGGTGAAAGCAATAAGTTGTAGTGTCAGCACAATCACATGACTATAGTTAATAATTTATTGCATATTTCAAATTACATTGAAGAGAAAATTTAGAATGTTCTCAACAGAAAATAATCAGAAATGTTTGATGTGATGAGTATTCCAATTACTTTTTAAATTATTACACATTGTATTCATGTATCAAAATATCACATGCACCCCACAAATATGTAAAAAATTATTATGTAGCAATAATTTTCTTAAAGAATAGTCCAGCACGTTTTGAATAGTTTGGATAGATCCGTACAAATTAGTTGTTCTCAACCCAAATTTCAAAACTATTTGTCACAGGCATCATAAAAAATGGAAACAAATTTTAAACATCATGTACTTCATCTCTCTGCCTCAAGCAAAGCTGCACCTAAGAACTTTCAGAAGCTCTGATAAAACAGCAGTAAGAATTACTCAACAATCTGCCTCAGTCACCTACTGCAGTACCACTACATATCTTCAATAAGTTCTAAACTAAATTCTTCCTACATATAACAAGAGTAAATGTTCACTAGGCACATGTCACATGCCCAATTCTTTGTTTGGATATTTACGCATATTAATTAATTTAACCCTCAGAGAGACCCCATGAAGTAAGTACTGTCATTATCCCTATTTTATGGAAGAGGAATCAGGGACACAAAAAGTTAAATAATTTTTTCAGGGTCACACAAGTAATAAGTAGCAGACTTAAATACTTATATGCTGGCTGTCTAGCTCCAGAGGCAATACTCTTCTTAACCATTATGCTTTTCTACACCTCTTATTATATACCAGCCACTTTTCTTTGAAAGCAAGCCCTAAACCAATGCAGATACTCTCCATCTTGGATCCCTAAGTGAGGCATATTTGCCTACTGGGGAGAAATGCAAGGAGCCTGAGCAGTGCTGTGCCAAGCCATATCGGAGCCCAAGGCAAAAGGAAAAATCAGTAATACTAGTCCTGTCTTTATTTAAAATTTTGATGTTTTGTTAATGGTGGATTTTCATATTAATTTTTATTTTTAAAAATATTGTATTAAAATATTATTTATCTTGATTACTGATTTTTTTTGGCACCCCTTTATATTTTCCCCCCAAGGTAAGAGCCTCACTTGCCTCACCCTAGTCCCAGCCCTGGGACTAAGTGGGGCAGAAGAAAAAGAACATCCTTGATCACTTTTTTCTATCCCATGATGTTCTCTCCATGGATCTCAAGCACCTATTTCCTGAGCAATTCAGACAATAGTTAGGCCTGGTTTTATTAAGAAAGCTATGAGGACCTCCTTGGTCACCAAAACATGCCTTTGGTAACACTGGAAAGGACCTCTGAAAGCATTCAGTTGAAGTTGGTCATGTCCAGATCAGGAAACTTGACTTCTCCCAACAGAATTAATCACTTCTATAGTCCTATGTTAGAGTCCTTGCTTTCTCCTAAGGCTCAGTGGTGGAAGGGAAAGAAGGGCCCTCAAGTTACCCAAGGCCAGGACTGGAGCCCAGGGCTCTTGACTCTCCATTCTGGCTTTTCTATG
The DNA here is from genome assembly GCF_000001405.40 of Homo sapiens. Taxonomy (NCBI): domain Eukaryota; kingdom Metazoa; phylum Chordata; class Mammalia; order Primates; family Hominidae; genus Homo; species Homo sapiens. The sequence continues at coordinate 63,910,494 of NC_000023.11, forward strand.
GCTTGCCATGAGAAAGGCCTCTGGGTCTCTATCCAGCCAGGTTGAAGATGGAAACCCCTATCTTTCTCGCTCCAGAACCCAACTTCTGAGCCTTATGCCAAGTGGTTGAGTGAGGGAAGCAACTCCTTCAGGGAAGGCTTTGGCCTCTGCAAAAGAGAGGTTAATCTACTTCTACAGGCCATAGTGAGATACAAAAATGCTGGCACCTTAACAGTTTCATGACAAATATATCACTCCTGGTTTTGAGATCACTATCATCTGAAGCCTCCGTAATATGTAGCCAATGGTAGGGCTGGGAAGAATAGCCTCTAATGTTTCTATCCTCCTGGGAAAACACAAATGATAAAAAATGCTCCAGGTCTCTGGGATAACATCTCTCTGCTATCTGAGCAAAAAATGAAAGCTGGCCTCAATACTGAACTTTTCTCCAACTCTGAACATGGTCGAAAGCCCCAATACCTTAGAGATTCATAAAATAGCGATCACTGGCACTGCCTGAAACTTTCCAACATCAGGTCAGGATTATTATGAAGCCTACTAGGATTTTTGCCCTTTGGAACTCCTTTAAGCTTTTGCCAGAATGTCCACCATCTCATCCATCCATCTTGTAGTTCCCCAAGCCCAGTATGCTAGTTCTTGTCTCAACACCTTTGCCCTATCTTGGCCTGGAAAGAGTCTCCAATCCTATCCCTCTCAATCCCTCCCACCTGTTTCAGAATTCCTGATCATTTTCAAAAGAATATCTCCTCTGGGATTCAAGATCCAGTCTATTTCTTTGACTAAGCATGATTAAACATTCTTAGTACTGGATTCAAGCTTTTTTTTAGGACATACCACAATACTGTGATTCTTCATTGATGTATGAGTTTCTTCTGATTAGACCGTGAATTGAACACAGATCTTTTAAAATTCAGTATTCCAGCATACAGCATGATTCCTGGAATAGAGGTTTCTGAATGAATAAATAAGCAAACAAACAAATAAATGTATAGGATGACAGAGAAATTCATTTCACTTGCCTGTTAAGTCTCAAGATTCAGAAAAAGGATGATTATTGTCCTCACACCTTTTTCAAGACAAACTAATTATTAATTGTTACCAGTTTAAAAATTCTGGCAAAATTATAGATGTAGAAAAAGATCAGTGGCTGCCAAGGGAAAAAGGGAGGGGGACTGATTACAAAAGAACGTGAGGAAATTTGAGGGAGTGAGGAAAATGTTCTACATCACAACTGTGTTGTGGTTATATGACTATACAAATTTGTCAAAATGTATCAAACTGTACACTTGGTGAGTTTTATTATATGTAAATTACAGATTAATAAAGCTCACTTGAAATTGTATGGAATCTCAGGAAGAAAGGAGCTTTGACATCCAAAGCCATGAAAGTAATCCATGGCTGTAGCAAAAGAACACAAACATGATTGTCAAGATACCAGTTTCCAAATCTGGAATAAACTATTTAACCTCTCTGAGACCCATCCTTCTGCCTCTATTAAATAGAGACAATAATATCTCCTTTGTCCTCCCACAGTGTGGGGCTCCAAAGAGATAACAGATGTGGCTGGACTTTGAACAGCTCAACACTTTTCTTATTATGTTCAGAATACATAATCTGTACAGCCAAAATTTAACCAGATTCAGAGCATAGTTTGCCTAGAACTCAGAGTGAAGGGAAACAGACTAAATCCTGAATCCAGAACTTACTCCAGCTCCTCTGAATCAATTTCCTCTCATCAACAGGTTAATACATTTCCTTTAAAAATATATTATTTTCAGGCTACACTTCAAGAGAAAAGGAGACTGGCCAATCTTAACTTGTGGAAGAAGGTTTGGCCAGCTTTTTGACAGAAGACACACAAGGGTTGCAAAAGAAAAAAGAAACAACCGATAGAGAGACAAAAGAGAAAGATTCTTCCCTCAGAGTGCTGGAGGTCTATCTGGGTGCTGGTCTTGCCTTGAGAATGTCCCCACAAGAGCTTCCTCACTTGGTAAGATGGGACAACTGCCACAGCAGGTTTTCTTAGCTGAGATCATCAGCTGATGCTCAGCCTGCCAAGGCCAAGGCCAGCCAAGATGGAGACCCAGAAAGGCAGCAAATGGTAAGAGTGGTAGAGGCAGAATATGGCTACATCTATATGGTTTGAGACCTACTGCAGATATCCTGCATCTTCCTCAAGTGGGGATATGAATTAAGTATCAGGTCACTGGGCTTTGGGACACAAGGTCCACCCAGACTCTGATATCAACCTGCTTTCCGACCTTAACAAATTCCTTTCTTTTCTTTTAGCTTCATTTCCTCATCTGAAAAATGAATATTATTTAGTGTTCTCAGGGTAGTTGTGATGCACTGATATGTCACCAACCAAACCTCATCTTGAATTGTAGCTCCCATAATTCCCACATGTCATGGGAGGATCCTGGTGGGAGATAATTGAATCAGGGTGTGGTTTTCCCACAATACTGCTCTTGTGATGTTGAATAAGTCTCAAGAGATATGATGGTTTTATAAGGGGTTTCCCCTTTTGCATGGCTCTCTTGTTGGTGACAATGTAAGTTGTGACTTTGCTCCTCCTTTGCCTTCCACCATGATTGTGATGCCTCCCCAGCCACGTGGAACTGTGAGTCCATTAATCCTCTTTCCTTAAAAAATTACCCAGTTGCAGGTATGTTTTTATTAGCAGCATGAGAACAGAATAATACAGTAAATTGGTACTGGCAGAGTGGAGTGCTGCTGTAAAGATATCCAAAAATGTGGAAGCGACTTTGGAACTGGGTGACAGGCAGAGGTTAGAACAGTTTGGAGGGCTCAAAAGAAGTTAAGAAAATGTGAGAGAATTTGGACCTTCCTAGAGACTAGGAGGGCTCAGAAGACAGGAAGGTGTGGGAAAGTTTGGAACTTGCTAGAGACATGTTGAATGGTTTTGGTCAAAATGCTGATAGTGACATGGACAATAAAGTCCAGGCAGACATGGTCTCAGATGGAGATGAGGAACTAGTTAAGAACTGGAATAAAAGTGACTCATGCTATGTTTTAGCAAAGAGACTGGTGGACTGGTGGCATTTTGCCCCTGCCCTAGAGATTTGTGGAACTTTGAATTTGAGGGAGATGATTTAGGGCATCTGCCAGAAGAAATTTCTAAGCAGTAAAGCATTCAAGAGGTGACTTGGGTGCTACAAAAAGCATTCAGTTTTAAAAGGGAAACAGAGCATAAAAGTTCAAAAAATTTTGAGCCTGATGATGCAATAGAAAACAAAAACTCATTTTCTGAGGAGAAATTGAAGCTGGCTGTAGAAATGTGCATAAGTAATGAGGAGCCTAATGTTGATTACCAAGACAATGGGGAAAATATCTTCTGGGCATGTCAGAGACCTTTGTGGCAGTCCCTCCCATCACAGGCCTGGTGGTTTAGGAGGAAAAAATGGTTTCATGTGCCAGGCCCAGGGATCCTGCTGTCTGCAGCCTAGGGACTTGGTGCCCTGCATCCCAGCTGTTCTAGCCATGGCTAAAAGATGCCAAGGTACACCTCAAGCTGTGGCCTCAGAGAGTGCAAGCCCCAAGCCTTGGTAGCTTCCACATGGTGTTGACCCTCTGGGTGCACAAAAGTCAAGAACTGAGGTTTGGGAACCTCCACCTAGATTTCAGAGGATGTGGGGAAATGCCTGGATGTCCAGGCAGAAGTTTGCTGCAGGGGTGGGGCCCTCATGCAGAACCTCTGCTAAGGCAGTGTGGAAGGGAAATGTGGGGTTGGAGCCCCCTATGCAGAGTCCTCACTGGAGTACTGCCTAGTGGAGCTGTGAAAAGAGAGCCATCATCCTTCAGACCACAGAATGATAGATCCACAGCTTGCACCAAGTCCCTAAAAAGCCACAGACACTCAATGCCAACCTGTGAAAGCAGCTGGAAGGGAGGCTGTACCATGAAAAGCCACAGGGGCAGAGTTGCCCAAGACCATGGGAACCCATCTCTTGTATCAGTGTGACCTTAATGTGAGACTTGGAGTCAAAGGAGATCATTTTGTTGCTTTAAGATTTGACTGACCCACTGGATTTTTGATTGCTCCTTTAGCCCTTGTATTGGCCAATTTCTCCCACTTGGAATGGGTGTATTTATCTAATGCTTGCACCCCCATTGTATCTATGAAGTAACTAACTTGCTTTTGATTTTACAGGATCATTGGCAGAAGGGACTTACCTTGTCTCAGATGAGATTTTGTACTGTGGACTTTTGAGTTAATGCTGAAATAAGTTAAGACTTTGGGGGACTGTTGAGAAGGCATGATTGGTTTTGAAATGGGAGAACATGAGATTTGGGAGGGGCCAGGGGTGGAATAATATAGTCTGGCTGTGTCCCCATTATATCTCATTTTGAATTGTAGCTCCCATAATTTCTACATGTTGGGGAGGGACCTGGTGGGAAATAATTAAATCATGGGAGCATTTTCCCCCATACTGTTCTCATGGTAGTGAATAATTCTCATGAGAGCAGATGGTTTTACTAAGGGGATTCCCCCTTTGCTTGGCTCTTATTCTGTCTTGTCTGCCACCATGTAAGACATGTCTTTGCTTCTCCTTTTCCTTCCACCATGATTATGAGGCCTCCCCAGCCATGTGGAACTGTGAGTCCACTAAACCTCTTTCCTTTATAAATTACCCAGTCTCAGGTATATCTTTATTGGCAGCATGAAAACAGACTAATACATGAACACATGTAAAAATTATCTCCCTTTGACTCCTAGCACTATTAAAGTGAAACCAGCTTGAACTGCTCTCAGGGAACAGGAATAGAGGTTCTTTCCTGGTCATGTAGCACCTGCCATCTGACCAGGCCACCTCCCTCTCCTCCACCTATTTCATTACTTCTCATTATTCAGAGTGCAGCTCAAATTCCACCTTCTCTAAGAAGTCAGGAATATTGTAGCCTACCACATAGCTAGACTCTTTGTTGTAACTTATCTTTGATTAATCCCTTGAAAAACTGTTTTTCTCCAAATTCTGGATTCTCCAGGGTTACGAAAGACAAAGCAGAGATGTAGGTTCTGCCTCCTGATTTGGAAACATACAGAGGCATTAAGTTCTGACTCTACCACTTACTGGCAGGGTGACATTAGAAAAGTCATGTCACCTCTTTGAATCTCAGAGTTTTAATGTACAAAATGGAGATGATATTAATTGATGGAACTGCCATGAAGTCAAATGAAACACTGGATTTGAAAGCATTTTGTAAAATGCCACAGCAATAAAGGCTATTGTTGTTACTGTAATATGAGATCCAAGGGCTTATCACAGCTGCAAAGCATTTCAAGTCCTTGAACGCCATGGAGCCCCCCTGAAAGCTTTCATGGTGACTCAAATCACTCCTCTAAACCCCTGACCATGGATACTTCACCTTTTCAGAACCACTACCTACATGGATTTCCTCTCTTGGGGTCTTACAAATGTTGGCTTTCCCAGGGAAAGGGCCTTATCACGCATGACTAATTCCTGTATTTGAGCATACGTAATTTATTTTTTTCTTTTCTTTTTGTTTTTGAGATGGAGTCTCGCTCTGTCACCCAGGCTGGAGTGCAATGGCATGATTTTGGCTCACTGAAACCTCCACCTCCAAGGTTCAAGTGATTCTCTGCCTCAGCCTCCTGAGTAGCTGGGATTACAGGCACCTGACACCACACCCAGCTAACTTTTTTTTTTTTTTTGTATTTTTAGTAGAGACGGAATTTCACCATGTTGGCCAGGCTGGTCTTGAACTTCTGACCTCAAATGATCTGCCCGCTCTGGCCTCCCAAAGTGCTAGGATTACAGGTGTGAGCCACCACACCTGGTCGAGCATACATAATTTCTAATTAGAAGGAAGCTGGTTATTTGTCTTCTGAGTACAAAGAGACCCAGCATAGAGACCAGGCTAAAATGAAAGTAAATGTTTAGACCCATTTGTTGGTGCTCTTTTTCTCCGGAGGAATGAACAAGCCTGAGTTTGGACCAAGGAAGCCAAGTGAGGGAAGGCTGGCAAGAGGGTAACTGAGCAGAAGGCAGAAATCAAGAGAATTCAAGCCAAGTGTCATTAAGCTTTTCCTGTGGGCCTCACTTTGCAAATTCTAAACCAAAAAAAACAAAAACAAAACAAAAAAAAAACAAAAATCTTAACTTCATGATACATCTCCCTGGTCGTGAATCTCTACAGGGTGGCTGACTATAAACCTGTTTCTAAGTGGAAATATTCAAATTGGTGGGTGATGGTAGTAAAAGCTAAGCCAGTAGGCCAGATATATCTGAGGGTTGCATTCTCAGGTTCCATTGCTCACCAGAGTTTAGCCACAGATCTGTAGCCTTATGTGTCCAATCACACTTGCTCACAGACAAACTATGCAAAAACACAGACAGACACTGAAAGGCAGATATGTATACATACCCTCAGCAAGGTGATACAAATAGGCAGGTCTGTAGACTCAAACACATACAAAAAGGCATCAGATGTCAAAACACCCAAAGATACACTCAGAAAAAAGCATAGACAGATAGATAGATAAATAGATGATAGATAGATAGACACAAGCACACAGAATAGACAGTTAAAAAATTCACGTTGTAGTTCATGCTCAGGGACATCCACACATGCACCAAAGAAGTGTTGTTTTAACAGGTGTGCCATGGGCAAAGATGCATAGATAGGCATATACAGACAGACATTCATATGCACAGAGATACAGCAAGAAAGCTACACTTATAAAGGTCTATATAAGTACCCAATAGACATGGATATAAAGACATCGAGATAAAGAAGCTGACCTCCTAAGCACCAGTTTAAATATCTCCATTTATAAAACAACTTCTCCAAAAAATGCCCATAAATATGCCACCAGTTAGCTCTGAAGATGATCATGAACCCAAAGAATGTAATAAAAGCAAACCGAAGTATTCAATTTAAAATTTCACAGCTCCTCCATCTGCCACAGCACAGGCAGCCAAAGACAATGGCAACAGCAAGCTGCATGGAAACCATAAAAAGTCCTTGATTTATCTCATGTAAAAATTAACCTCAGGGAAAAAATGTTAATGCTCCCAACTTTTATGCAGCCATAAAATAGCTCAGAAACCCATTTTAAGAATTGCTTCCATTCCACATGGTGGAAATTTCAATACTTGCAATATGTCTAGGAAGAGAGAAGCTTAGAGGAGATAAATGGTGCTGGAGGACAGGCAAGTTCCAAAGAAACTAAGAAAGGGTTCTTACTTCATTAACTGGCTTGTTTCCTGGTCCCTGGAGCTTCCAGTATTCACCAATGTTCTTGTGGGTTTCTAGCATCTTGGAGGCCTGGTCCAAGTTACCTGTGGTGAAAGAATACTCTTTAGGTTGAGACCAAACTTCAGCTCCTTTGGGAGAAACTTGGTTGCTGATCACCCTGGTCCACCTTGCAGAACCAACAGGATTGGGGTGGTGGAGCATGAGAGGGAAGGGTATACTCATGTAAGGCCAGTAATAGAGAGAAAAAGGGCTGAAATTAGTCAAGAAGAAATTCATAACCAGTATCTGAAGTATGCTGGGCCTTCTTCCATTGCTCAGGGAATATCTTGGGAAAAGAAGAACCTCAGGCTCCTGCCTGGAATTATAAAGTAAGAATCCCAGTTCCTAACAATTCTCATTATTTGAAGTCTTAGGTGACATGAAGAGCTTGGTTAATTAAAATATGAAAACATTGTCAAAACCTTGTTTCCACCAATAGCTCTAATTTCGTGCCCCTCCCAACACTTCCCCAGAGTATCATAAACAGTTCTAAATTTTCACCCCTCTCTGTAACCCACCCATTAAGAGGAAATGTGAGCAGTAGATGTGTCCAAAAACCAGGTGGTAGGAGGAAAAACCAAGGGTATATCTAATCAGACCCAATTAGAAAGTAAAATCTGTGTTCCCAGGACAGCCAAATAGCAATGCTTCCATTTCCAAAATGAGGATATTAAGGCTCACAGGAGGGGAATGATTGGAACTGACTACACACAAAAAATCACATTGTAGTCATAATGTGATACACAAAAATACACACAGAAATTCAGCAACATAACTAAGGTCTCCTGACACCTGGCTCAATTATCAAATGTTGCTAACTGGTACCATCAACAGATAAATACTCAAATAAAGAGTAAAAATACATCAGCTCTTCTTACCTGCTCAGAAACCAGTGTCCTATTTAATATTCCTTCCAACTGCTTCCTGGCCATTCATTCCAGTGGTGTTAAATTCTTCTAAGTGTATCCTAAAACCCTCTAGATCAAGACCAACCCAGAGCGACCCCTACTGGGAGGGACATAACCTCAGTGGGAAATGATTTGAATGCCTCTGCCTAAACAGGCTTCTGAGTCAGCCCAGTCTCAAGTGGTTTGAGTAGAGCTCAGCCAATATGTGAGGTGACATGTGTGTGGGTACTATTTCAGTGTGTCTGTTTTTGGGATTATATTTTGTTAGGTTTTTCTTAAGTATAAGAACCCCTCTACTTCATTTGGAAAGCAAATCTTAAATTTTAATATTGGTATCAATAGATATTCATGAATATCAACTATGTACCTATCCAGCCCAGGCCTGGATAGAGCTTATAAAGCACTTTCATGTCTGTTAGCTCTTTTTAGCCTACAGTATTGTCTGTGAGGTATAAACTATTAACCCAAGGTTACAAATAAATAACTGAGGCTCAAAGAGGTAAAGTGACCTATTCCAGATCATACAGGTAGTAAGAAGCACAGCCAAAATTCAAGTCCAAGCATGTCTGACTTCAAAACTGTTGTCCTTTCCAGCACTGGGTTGTCAGAATGCAAACTCCACAGGCTTTGCTATTTTGCTCAATCAATGTTTGTTGAATGAGCAAGTGAGTGAGTCAATTAATAATTAGAAGAAGCAGCTCATGTACCAGGGCAGATTCAGGTTGGCCCCACAGTGGGCAGAGCTCTTGGGCATATGGAATTGGTGGAGGGCAGTGGGGAGAAGAAAACTACTACCATCACTGAGCACCCCTGTGTGCTAGGAACTGTGCTGGGAACATCAATAGATTCTATTTCATGTGAAGATGTTATTCAGCACCCCATCCCTCATATTGAGAAATTGAGGTCCAGAGAGGTTATACAACTTGCCCAAGTTTGCAGAGCAAATATTTGAACCTGAGTCTGTTCAATCCCAAAGTTGATCCTCTTTCTACGATATTGGTCTGCCCTGGGAACCTCCAGATTAAAAGCTTCGAGGGAGGGGCTTGTAAGAATATGTGTAGAATAAGGTAGAAGAACAGAAATTGAGCAGTAGAAAACAAACTGAAGTTTGGTGGTCAGTGAAGGGGGCACTATTTGAAACCCACAGAACACTGGCAGTGAAAAAATGGAGGTAAATCAGGTACTAATTATGATATAAATATGATTCTTGGATCCCATAGCCAGGAGGGTCAGAGATATAAGAAGAGCTAGATGACACCTGGCTTTCCAAATGGAGTCCTGATGTCATCCTCCTTCCCAGGAATAGTTTTAGCCCCAAGTGTTTAGTTGGGACCTTAAGAATCAGAGCTGCAACATGAGAGCCACTTATATCCCACAGGTAAGTGTGGCTGCTGAGGTGATGGTGGGACATAAGCCAATCTCAGGGGTATATTTTTCTACCCATGGCCTATAAATAAGCCCAGATAAATCCCTAGGGTAAAGACTAATAGCCTCATCTCTGCAGCTCCCTGACCCCACCCCACCAGGAGTTGTCATCTGCTTCTGACAATCAGAAGGATGGTAGACAGGGCCTATCTGATTCACTTGGCAGTGGAATGGTATCAGCTGCTCAAAAAACTTCGAATTGCCAGGGGGTAGGTCCACTTCCTAAGAGGAATGGAAGGAGAGGAGGAATAGTTGTGACTATATTCCTTCCATTAGATACTCCAGGCCTGACCTCCTAAGGGATTATGAGAGAGTGCCTTATCCTCAGGCAGGGGAATTAGAAAATATGGCAGGCATCTGCTGCTGCCTTGATGGCTTGATTTGCACCCACCACCTGCAGTCTCCTTAGGGGATGGGGGGAGGCTGGCAACTCAAGCTTGAGTGGAACCTGAGGCTTGGCATCTTAGCATTTAAGACTTGGTCTAGGAGTGAAGTAAAATCACATTCTGGCATGATGAAAAGTCATGAGGTTGAAGCCTGAGTCACAACTCTGCTATAAATTGACTATGTGACCTTGGACTGGTAGGTCCCATCCCCTGTCTGATCCTGTTTCCCCATCTGTAAAATATGAGGACCATGTGACCTCTAAGCACTCTCCTAGTTACGATAGTAAAGGATTATCTCCCTGTCCTCAGAATTCTTTCTCTTTATTCTTACTGCCTCCCTAGCTTCTGGGAATTTCTGAGGGAAATGATGCCACACAAGACCGAAGCCAGTGATTTCTTTGGCTCCTACCTTCCTGGAACGCTGGGAAGGAGCCACCAGGTTGGAAATAAGCTCTGAGTCAAAGCATCCCACAAGGGCCACACACATGGAGTAAGAAGAATAAAGGAGGAAATAGGAGGAGGAGGAGAAGCAGGTCCAGAGGAGCTACAAGGCCTTCAGGGCTAAGGCAAACTTTGAGGCATGGGGAAGTGAAACTGGTGCTCTTAGAGCTTTTAGAGACTTCAGAAAAAGCCTTTAGAAAGGAATGCTGTGATGTCCTGAGAATCACAGCATTCATGCAAATTTTGTTGCTGTAAAAGGGCCTAGGAACTGTTAGGATGTGGTGTAAGGAATAGGGATCCAAAAGCATGGATTCCTTCCATTTGTGGCAAAAGACAGATTTTTGCAAATGACAAAGGTGTGGCAGGCAGGGCCCATGGGCTGAGTCTGAAAGGGCACACTCTGAAGCTCTGGGAGGTAACTGAAGTGTTAAAGGGAATGTCTCTGGATTTTGAGTTCTTTAAATGAAGCTGCTTTGAGACTTGAGGAGCTTTCCATAGTTGGTGGTCAGTGAAGGAGGCGGGATTTGAAACCCACAGAAAGCATGTCTATGTAAGGTGTTAGAATGATCCCATGTGGAGTTTGCTCTATGGGACTAGTCCCTTTGAGGCCTGCAGGCTGTATATAAGATCACTGTAAATGGGGTGAAGAGGAGGAACTGCTGTGTACGAGTTCTGGAAAGCATTAGGTACAGAGAGCCTGGGAGTGTCGGGGGGGGAGGGGAACACAAGACTTTGAGAAGAATAGGATATTTGAGTGCTTTGAGTTAATGAGTACCCCAATAAGGATATTTGCATTTTAAAAGAAGAGCTTGGGGAAGTCAAAGTCTATACCAAGGCATTGCTAATAGTTGATTTTCAGGTTTTAATGAGGAGCAGTACTGGGGGACTACAGGGTGGGGAAGAGGATAAATGTCAACACAGTCTGACTATGCATGAGGCCTGCCTAGCATATCCTGCCATAGAAACCAGGGCATAAAAGGCATCCCAATGCAAAGCATCATAGGTCTACTCCAGCCCACTTGGTCCAGCTCTGTGGGAATACTCTGTGAGATGGGCAGAGAGTGGCATTTTTCCAGAAGGATTTTAAGTGGCAGAGTCCCTGGTGATGGTTCAGCTGTGGGAGAGAAGGCCTGGAAAGAAAACCAACCAGGATCAGTTACTCAGTGGAGGTAGGAAACAGGCCAACACTTGGCCTAAAAAGTAGAGCTTCCAATTTGAAATATTAACTGGTCTAGCCCCCAAATCCAAGCAATGTTAACATGTGTCAACAATAAACACAAGCAAAGGCCCAACTACTAACAGTGTAAAAGACATCAGGCAGTGGAACAAATGTAAAGCAGGCAACTGATTTAAGGAAAAAAGTGTAATATCTAAATCATGCAGCTAGTAAATGGAATGTCTGTATGACTACAGATCTACCATGCTGCCTTTCTAGACAAAATGAAAATAGCTCCTGGGCCCCTACATTCTTCAAATTCCAGCACTCCTAAGTCACCGTGGACACAGTACAAATTTCTTCCACCTACGTCATTCATTCCTAAAAGAATTGGATGTGGGGAGGAGTTAAAAGTTTTGGTGACCCAGAGAAGGGTCTCTACACAGATGCTAACCCTACTAAGGGCAGAGACCAGCTTTCAAAGTCAGTTCATTCTTTTGAACAGCAAAAGTCACTTGGTTATACTGTAAATAGAGTTTCAGAAGGTATAAGGGACTACTAAATCTATGAATCTGAAGTAAAGGTCTCAAGGTTGCTTTTCAATCACTCCTCCTAATCCTAACTTATTTGCCTTGTTTCATAGACATATAAACTGTTAGAACTGAAAGCCCCCTTAAAAGTCGGAAAATCTAACCCTCTAAACAGATAGAAAAAAACAGCTGAGGCTCAGCAATGGAAGGGACTGGACAATTGAATTATTTTGATTTGAGATAGAAGGAATGGGAGCTACCTGTAGAGTATGGCATCAATATCTGTGATAAGATTTTTGTGATATTTGTTTCTCTCTACCTGATTTCTCCAGAATTTGTAAACTATTTGTGAGTATTCTTATGGTAATATAGTTATTTGCATAAGTGCAATAAGAATCTGTTTTCATTTGTAACAGGATACAATTGGAGAAACAGATTATTTTACCAAGCTTTGACTGGAATAGTGTGCTTTCTTTTAAGAAATCAAACTTGACTTATAGAGCCAATAAAAGCCCCTTGGGCCTGGGCATGGTGGCTCATGCCTGTAATCCTAGGACTTTGGGAGGCCAAGGTCGGTGGATTACCTGAGGTCAGCAGTTCAAGACCAGCCTGTACAAAGTGGTGAAACCCCATCTCTACCGAAAATACAAAATTAGCTGAGCATGGTGGTGCAAGCCTATAATCCCAGCTACTTGGGAGGCTGAGGCAGGAGAATCACTTGAACCTGGGAAGTGGAGGCTGCAGTGAAGTGAGACCACACCATTGCACTCCATCCTGGGCAACAAGCATGAAACTATCTCAAAAATAAAAAAAAAAAAGGCCGCTTTCGAAATCTGGCCTTATACACTGTCTACACATTCCCTGTACAGTGTTCCTGATCTGTGGTAAGTAAAGAATGTCACTATCTGACAGACCCAGGAGCCCCAAGTTATCTTGAGGACAAGAATTCACCCAACTCACTGGTATATGAGTGGTGAATTGGTATCAGCCATAGATGGTACAAATTCATGGCTGGGCTCGGCTTTTAAAAAGTCTTATCTGAGATTCCTTCTATGGAACAAAGTTCCATCAAAGCAAGTCTTTAAAGCTTATATGAAAAATAATTATTCTTGGTGTACTTTATACAAATAATCTGGCCAAGTATAATAAAGCAAATCACTCCTATCATGATTTATCTTTAGTAAACATGGAAAACTGGAGAGAGAAAAATTATGTTTCCAAAACTGTAGTAAACCTGTTGTTTGATTCTGTCCTTGTTTAATGTTTTTTTTTTCAATTTTTATTGTTTTCTACAGTTTAGATGGAATTCTAATTTTTCCTGGCTACAAGTCTCCAACATAACATTTTCAACTTTTTATTATTTATTTTCCTCTTTTGCCCATTTTTCCTAACTTAAAATTACTGAAAACTAAGCTGTGCTTTATTAAAGCTCTGTGAACTGAATCTAGACAACTTAAACTTCAGAAGAAAATAACAGCAACCCATTTACATACATAAGCCACTTTCATACCTGCCTACTGATGTATAGACTTCAGAGTAATGTGTCTCATATCAATTTTTCATAATTGTTCTTTTGTTTATTGTTGTTTTTCTCCCCCACTCCCCACCATTTTCTCTTCATAGGACATGAAACTTCTCAACCTGATGAAAATGAGCTTTCCTAATAACTTGGGACCTACCTGTCTAAAAATAAACTATCGTAGCCATGAGTGATCCGACAAAATCTGAGACCAGAGACTCATTTTCTTCTCAAATGCTTTCTCCAGAAGATTTTTTAAAGAACAAGGTATGGGGGTTGAATGTGAAAGGAAAATAAATATTGGGGGCCCAAAATCACTAATTTAAGAGAAGAAGTCAAACTGGGCACTGCTTAGGGCAAACCTGCCTCCCATTCTGTTCAAAGTCATGTCTCTGCTCACCAAGATAAATGCATATCTGATTGCCTCCTTTGGAAAGACAATCAGAAACTCAAAAAAAGAAATGCAACTGTTTGTCTCTCACCTACCTGTGACCTGGAATTCACCTCCCCGCTCAAGTTGTCTGCCTTTCCAGACAGAACTAATGTACATGTTACATATATTGATTGATGTCTCACTTCTTCCTAAAATGGATAAAACCAAACCGTGCTCTGACAACCTTGGGCACATGTTGTCAGGACCTACTGAGGTGGTGTCCTCAACCCTGGAAAAATAAACTTTCTAAATTAACTGAGACCTGTCTCAGATATTCAGGGTTCACAATACAAAAGTCTTATTTCCAAATCAGGTCACAGTCACATGTACACGGGGTTAAGACATGAAAATATATTTTGGTGGGGTGGGGGGCACAATTCTACCAAATACAAAAGGATACAGCCGTTTGGAAACTGCAGCTTGGGGAGGGACCAGCGCTAAGCATCTTAAATCTTAGACGATAGAGTGACAGGGGCCCCTAGATCTGGAAGAGGATAAGAAAAGTGGAAGGCAACCATTTTTACTTTTGCTAAGGCACATCCCAAAATAAGGGTACAATTTCTCCCTCCTCAAATGTCTTAAAGAAATCTACTACTTGGCTTCCCAAACTGAGGCTTCTACAGCCTTGACTTCATAGTTTGGTGTGTCCAGAAACACTGTGATGTTTTACCCGTTTTGGACTTTCTTTTGTCAAATTGTAACTGAGCAGCTTGGCTTCAAACTGCATTTTACAACTTTTTTTTCCTTTCCTCTTTTTGCGCAGTGAGAAAAACTCCAGGTGTGTTTTCTCTTGTCTTGAAAAACAGCCTTGGAAGGTGCTCTAACAAACACTCCATCTTATGCTCCCAGGCCTTATGCACATTTGTTTATCTGGATGTTTGTTAAACTCACATCATATTCACTTATCTGGTCATATATTTCCTTAGGAATCTTCAGGGGCCAAATCCTGACACAACGAGGCACCTTCTGAATTCTCTCTCCAATAAAAGCTTACTTCAAGACTGGAACCCACTCCCAGATACAGACTGACTACAAGATTGACTGTGATTAATTTGTAACCTGGTAGGGCCCTCAATGGCCCCAGCCCCTACATCAGAGGGAACAATAATTCAAGATGAGCCATTGGAGCAAGTCTCATCACCTGGCACTTCCTAGCATTCCCTGCCTCTTCTGCATTCCAAACTCTCTCTTAAAAAACCCCTGCATTCCCTCCAAAAATTGAAAAGTAAAATTTTTCTTAGCCACTCTTCCCCTTGCTGGCACGAATAATAAAGTTTCAGTCTTTTTCTATCACATCTCGTTATTATTTTGGCTTCTTTCTACAAGTGGCGAGCAGTCAAACACTTTTGCCAGTTACAAAGTGACTTTGAGAGTCTGGATAGCAGAACCTACCACAGGGGGACAGCCTTGCTCACTCAAGAAGCCCCCTGCCCACCCCTCCCTTGGACTCCCACAGGAATCAACTATGAAGGAGGAACTAAACCCATCCAGAGTGTGTAGGGGTTAATGGAAGAGGGCCAGAAAAGAGAGGCCAGAGTAGTGGACAATTTGGTTGGCAAAACCTGACTATTGCTCCCTTTATAGTGCATAGGTTGTCCCACTAGATTTGAAATAGGCAGCAGGTAAGAGACTAAGGAAATTGGGTTCAATAATTCTCAAGAGACCCCAGAGTGGAATGAAAGGCAGTGTAGACCTAGCAGCATGGGCCTGAGGGCCAGAACCTTGTGTCCTGATCCCACGTATAAAAAAGACTCACTCTGTGTGTCCTTAGAAAAGGCTTAGTCTCTTCATCTGTGAAATGGAAACAAGAGCCACTGCCCTAGCTGCTTCTGAGTATGGTTATGAGTAGTGATACTGTTTGGCTGTATCCCCACCCAAATCTCATTTGAATTGTAGTTCCGATAATCTCCACGTGTCATGAGAGGGACTGAGTGAAAGGTAGTTAAAGTGAAAGGTAATTGAACAGCTGTAGTTACCCACATGCTGCTGTTCTCATGATAGTGAGTAAGTTCTCATGAGATTTGGTTTTATAAGGGGCCTTTTCCCCTTTTGCACAGCACTTCTCCTTCCTTCCATCATGGGAAGAAGAACATGTTTGTTTCCCCTTCCACCATGATTTTAAGTTTCCTGAGGCCTCCCCAGCTATGCAGAACTGTGAATCAATTCAACTTCTTTCCTTTATAAATTACCCAGTCTCGGGTATGTCCTTTATATCAGTGTGAGAACAGACTAATACAGTAAATTGGTACCAAAGAGAGAGGGGGCACTGCTGCTAAAAATAACTGAACATCTGGAAGTGACTTTGGAGCTGCATAACAAGCAGAGGCTGGAACAGTTTGGAGGTTTCAGAAGAAGACAGAAAGATGTGGGAAAGTTTGGAACTTCTAGGACTTTTTGATTGGTTTTGACCAAAATGCTGATAGTGATGTGGACAATGAAGTCCAGCCTGAGGTGGTCTCAGACGGAGGTAAGGAACTTGTTGGGAACTCGAATAAAGGTGATTCTTGCTATGTTTTAGCACAGAGGCTGGTGGCAGTTTGCCCCTGCCATAGAGATCTGTGGAAATTTGAACTGGAAATAGATTTTTTAGGGTACCTGTTGGAAGAAATGTCTAAGCAGCAAAGCATTCAAGAAGTGACTTGGGTGCTCTTAAAAACATTCAGTTTTAGGCATTCAAAAGGATATGGTTTGGGACTTATGTTTAAAATATATAAAAATATATATCAAAATATAAAATAGGGAACTTATGTTTAAAAGGGATGCAGAGCATAAAAGTTCAGAAAATTTGCAGCCTGACAATGTGATAGGAAAGAAAAACCCATTTTCTGAGGAGAAATTCAAGGTGACTGCAGAAATTTGCATAAGTAGCAAGGATCCAAATGCTAGTTGCCAAGACAATAAGGAAAATGTCTCCAGGGCATATCAGAGGTCTTCATGGCAGCCTCTCCCATCACAGGCCCAGAGACCTAGGAGAACAAAATGCTCTCATGGCTCGGGCCCAGGGCCGCCCTGCTGTGTGCAATCCAGGGATTTGGTGCTCTGAATTCTAGCTGTGGCTCAAAGGGGCCAAAGTGCAGCTCAGGCTGTGGCTTCAGAGGGTGCAAGTCCCAAGCCTTAGCAGCTTCCACGTGGTGTTGAGCCTGCAGGTGTACAGAAGTCAAGAATTGAGGTTTGGGAACTTCTGACTAGATCTCAGAGGATGTGTGGAAACGCCTGGATATCCAGGAAGAAGTTTGCTGTAAGGGTGGAGTCCTCATGGAGACCCTCTCCTAAGGCAGTGCAGAAGGAAAATGTGGGGTCAGAGCCCCCACACACACTCCCCACTGGGGCACTGCCTAGTGGAGCTTTGAGAAAAGGGCCACCATCTTCCAGAGCTTAGAATGGTAGATCCATTGACAGCTTGCACCATGTGCCGGGAAAAGCCACAGACATGCAACACCAGCTTGTGAAGGAAGCTGGGAGGGGGACTGTAGTATGCAAACCTACTGGGGTGGAGCTGCCCAAGGCCATGGGAGCTCAATTCTTGCATCAGCATGACCTATTGTGAGACACGGAGTCAAAGAAGATCATTTTGAAGCTTTAGGATTTGACTGCCCCACTGGATTTTGGACTTGCATGGGTCCTGTAGCCCCTTTGTTTTGGCCAATTGCTCTCATTTGGAACAGGTGTATTTACCCAATACCTGTGCTCCCGTTGTATCTAGGAAGTAACTAACTTGCTTTTGATTTTACAGGCTCATAGGTGGAAGGGACTTGCTTTGTCTCAGATGAGACTTTGGACTTGGACTTTTAGGTTAATGATGGAATGAGTTAAGACTTTGGGGGACTGTTGGGAAGGCATGATTATATTTTTAAAGGTGAGGACATTAGATTAGGGAGGGGTCAGGAGTGGAATGACATAGTTTGGCTGTGTCCCCACCCAAATTTCGTCTTGTAGTTCCCATAAGCCCCATGAGTTGTCAAAAGGTAATTGAATCATGGGGGCGGTTACCCCATGCTGTTGTTCTCATGATAGTGAGTGAGTTCTCAGGAGAGCTTATGGTTTTATAAAAGGCCTTTCACCCTTTTGCTCAGCACTTCTTCTTCCTGCCATCATGTGAAGAAGGACACGTTTGCTTTCTTTTCACCATGCTTGTACATTTCCTGAGGCTTCCACAGCCATGCGGAACTGTGAGTCAATTAAATCTGTTTCCTTTATAAATTACCCAATGTTGGGCATTCCTTAAAGCAGTATAAGAACAGACTAATACAAGTATCATTTGGAAGCAGAAGCATAACCAAATGGAATAATGATGATGAGACCAACAGAGCACTGGTCAGCAGGAACACTTGGGGGATCAAATGAGATAACAAAAAGTAGAAGCACATAGTAAGTGTTCAATATATCTGCACCTTTTTCCTTCCTTAGGAAGGAAACCGAGGAGACTTCCTATTTCCAGTTGTCAAATGAAGATAATCGACAGTCAAAGTGATTAAAATCAAAAGTCACATATCTGTTAATGTCCCAGAGCCAGGACTTTGAAACTAAGCGTTTTGACTGCAAATTCAATACTTTTTTCTCCCGTATGTCATGCTTCAAGTTCCTCATCTGTCATCTGGGAATAATGATAATAATAATGATAACTGTAATTTGTTTTGCCAATCAATTTATATATTGGAAAGCATTCTGAAAAGTATAAAGTCCTGTACAAATTTAATGAATTCTTATTATTATTCCACTTCCTCAACTTGTATTCCACCAATTCTCACTAAGGTGTTAGCTAAGGATAGGCTTAAGGTACAGTCCCTTCCTGCGATATCTGCTTTTTAACAACTAATGCAAATAGCTAACATTTATTGCACTATGACTCTTGGTCACACAGTGTTATAAGCACTTATGTGTATTTACTCATTTCATATTAACAATACTATCTTCATTTTAAAGATAGTCCCTGACTCGCAGAGTAGTTGTGATGATGAAATACATTCACATATGTAAAATGCTGAGAACAATGCCTTGGCATATCATAAGTACTGTGTAAATGTTAGCTATAATTACTAGTACTACTCTCGTCATTTTCCAGGTGCAGGGAGGGAGGCACGGAGAAATTTAAGACCTGGATGACCCTTGGTAAGACCTCATCTCTGCCCTCTGACATCATCCCCTTAAAGCTGTGCCCCCTCTTTGGCTAAGATAGCAGTCCCAGGCTTGATCACAGCCAAGTCTGGGCCAAAGTAATCACAATTTCAAGAGCTATTTAGTTCTGGAGTGTTGGATGACTAGACCTCAAAAATAAAACACCCCAGAGGAAGCCTGCCAAAGCCTAGTTTCCCTGTAAAACATAGAAGGACCTGAGTCTGTTCAGCTTACTAGGTTCTTCAGTTTCATTGTATATTATAATCCGATGCAATCATGTGACCTTTTCTGCTTAACAATGTATTGTTTTCATATCGATTATCCCAGTTTAGCCACACAACAGACCTGCGAGGTGACCGTGCTGAAGATAAGAATTTCCAGCTCGTAAAGAGGGCTGCCAAAACTCAGAAAGAGAATAAGATTTGTGGTAGAGCCCATGTTGGAACTCTCAGATCCTACTTGCCTCCCAGTTTCTGTGTGCCCAAGGAAATTCCTTCCCTTTGGGACTGTGTTCCCATCATCTGTAAAGTGAAGTGACTGGATGAACATGGCTCCTGACCCACATCGACGTCCCTTGACATTCGGGTTTTTCAAGCTACTTTGCTTTTTCCCTGGGCCCCAGTCCATGTGTGGACTGGGGTTCAACATCCCAAGGAAAGCTATGCAGCATCTCCTTGAAACCAGCAGAGGGCACAGGAAGCCTACAGAGGAGAGCCAGTAGGAAATGAGGCATTAGGCTGAACCCAGGTGATCAGTTTCCCGCTGGACATAGATAAATACAGGTTTATGTGGAAGGAAAGAACTAGAAAAAATCAAGGCATAAAGAACCTTAGAAACTGATCCTTCAGGTGGAAAAACTGAGGCCTAGAGAGAGGAAAGAGCTAGCTGGAGGTCACAAAGCAAGTCAGGCAAAAAAAAAAAAAAAAAAAAAACAAACAAAAAAAAACTAGAACCCAGTGTTTCCTGATTTTCAGACACAGTTTCTTCAACTGCGTCAATCTGCTGCTACAACAGTACTGTTTTGAATTGTTTTTCTGGATGAATGTTCACATTTATTTATAATCTACCATGTCTCAATAATAGAGACAACTGGTACCACATTGTGGATTCCCACAAAATGTTATGAATGGTACTAGGCTGGGTGGCTTACATACAATGGCTCTTTCGATCCTCACAACAGCCCTCTTAGGTAGGTAGTGTTTAGTCCCATTTCACAGATGAGATGGCATGTCACATCCAAGCCTTTGTAATTCTGTAGCTTATGCTTTAAAAAAATCCACTGTTTATCTCCGTGTCCAGTCCATAATAAGGTGATGTGCTCATCTGTGACCCTCTTCCTGGCCACTGGTAACCTTGGACATGCAGTGTCCAGATGCAATTATCAGCTAATGGAGTCATTAGATGTGTTTGTTTGCTTGTTTGATTATTGGTCTTAAAAACCACTGCAATAAAATTTACTCCCAACAATATTATGCCAATTTTTATGTCCTTGAAGCTTATAATAAATGATATGGAAAGAGAATGTTCATAAACATATTAATGTCCTTTCAGAAAAAGCAGGCTTATTACTTCTGTCCTAATGAAACCCAAATTCTCTGACAGTGAGATGTGAGAGTTGACAGGGACAGGTCAAGAACTACCAAGGTAATCCATCCACCCACACGCTACCACCACCAAGAAGAACTGTAACTATGCTTAAAAAATACTTTGCCCTGGCTAGGTGCGGTGGCTCATGCTTGTAATCCCAGCAGAGGCTGAGGCGGGTGGATCACAAGGTCAGGAGATCGAGACCACCATGGCTATCATGGTCTATAAAACACAAAAAATTAGCTGGGCATGGTCGCTGGCGCCTGTAGTTCCAGCTACTCGGGAGGGTGAGGCAGGAGAATGGAGTGAACCCAGGAGGTGGAGCTTGCAGTGAGCCAAGATGGTGCCATTGCACTCCAGCCTGGGTGACAGAGCAAAACTCTGTCTCAAAAAAAAAAAAAAAAAAAAAAAACTTTGCCCTAAAATAATCTGGAGAAACTATAGTATTACAGCATACTCCCTCATAAAGACATCCTTAATTCTCAAAGCCAGAGAATCTCTTCTGTGTTTATTCAACATTTCTTTTACTACATTTCTAGAATATTTATTTTTGTCCATGAGTAAGGGTGTGGTAAACAGCTGCCCATCACCATTAAAATTAAACCACCTGAAAACTATAGATGGGATACTAAGAGTAAAAAGTAAGAACCCAAATTTGAACCCAAATTCTGTCATAATCTATATGATTTTGAATAAGTCACTCAACACCCCTGAGCTTGTTTCCTTGCTGTTAAAATGAGGATAATCACTCTTACCTCACAAGGTTACTATACGAATTAAAAGAAAACAATGTACATGAGAATGCCCTGAAAGGTGCCCATAGAAAGCTACCACTCAATGAATGCTAGGAGAAGAATGCTAGTTGGCTGCCCTAGGACTACATTTTTGAGGTCATATAACACAGAGTGTTGTTACTAGAAGGTGCCTCTAGATGTCCCAGACACCAAGCATAGCCTGCTCCCCTCTATAGGGAAACCGAGGTCCATCAAGATAAAAGGACTTGTCTCAAAATCATACAGACAGCAGGGCAGAGCTGGGACACAAATATAGATATTCTGAAACCCAGACAAGTGGCTTTCCTCAACCGCAGTCTCTGCATCTAGCTGATGCTAGAAGGGGAGGGCAGAGAGAAGGGAGCCAAAGCCAGAAAAATGTCTCACCACCTAAGGAAAACAGGAGGTCATGGCTGTCTTAGACATCATTAAATAATCATGGTCACTTTCCTGCTACTCCCAGAGCTTCAGGTTTCTGTCCATGGCTGAACTGAGGTGTGAATATAGGAACACAGCTCCAGGAAGAGGCAAAGGTCACCCAGGGTTTTAGGATCAGTCAAGTCTCCTGCAACTGACTACTGAGAACATTCCTTTTGGGGCATTTCTGGCTAGAGGTGGGCTGGGTGGGGCAGGGCATGGGAGTTTAGCTGGCTTTTGGGGCCCCGAATGTTACAAATAGTGATAAAACAACAACGACAACAAAAACAGCCTTACGTGAGCACCACAGACTCCAGTGTAGGGCTTTCTGGCTTTGCCCTCTGCCTTGGCTGCCCCCATTTACAACTGAGGCTCCAGGGGTTGTCTGGCCTGGCTGGACACCTCAGGCCCCCTACCAGCCTCTTGCCCCTTCATCTCATTGAGCTTCTCCTCTACTTTCTCCATGACAACCTCAGTGGTAAACCTCCTTGCATAGGCACCTAGCTCACGGGACTCCCTAGCATTGTCATCTTCCTTGAGGAAGCTGACCACGGTCTCAGTGTCTTCCTCGAGTTCCTCAGAAGAGTGCTCCCTGGTGAAGGTGCCGCAGTAGACTCGGCCACGACTGCCACGCCCATGGCTGTTCTGCTGCACTGGGTTGTCCTGGAACTCAAAGATGGCCAAGGTTGGGGCAGAGGTGGCAGCAGTACAGGGACCTGCTAGGGCCTGGTCCAGCGTCTCTTCGCCCTCAATGCTCATCTCAAAAGTGCATGAGGTCTGTGAGGGCTTCAGGTGGCGGTGGTTTGGCCAGTGCCTCCCCAAGGTGCTACTCCACAGTGAGGCCTCAATGGCCCAGCAGGACAGGTTGAGTGTTAAGGAGGACAGGGAGGCAGCACCCTCCGGATGAAGCTATTGCTGCAACTGCTGAAGTAGGCCTCCCATTGGCGGCGGGGCAACTGTGGCTCTTCACGGGTGAATGCCCACCGCTTGCAGGCCACCTCAGCCACATTGTTAAAGAATTTGATAATGACGCTCAGTGGCGCAGTCTTGTCTCAGCACCGGTGTTCGGGGCTCCCTTCATAGCTGCCTCCGAGCCTGCTTCCAATGTGGAGTCCTCGATGGCATCCTCAAACTTCTGGATTTTGGCAGCTTTGGCCCATGTACACAGGCCTTCACAGCCCCTGGGGAATATGCTTTTCAGGTAGCTTCTGCCTTTCCTTTCACCCGCAAGCTGTTCAGGGGCCTCCTCCTGCCAGGATTTGTCCTCCACTTGGATGCCAAACTCATCGAAGGCCAGCACTTTCCAGTTCACCCTCTTGGGGGCTTGGCCAGGCCCCAGCACTTCTGTGAGGAAGGACTCCAGGCCCTTGATGAAGCCAGCATAGGAATGGCTAAAGGGCTTCCCGGCCTCCTCAGCTTTCCTCATTTGATAGATACCTGGGGCATCCTGCGGCTCCTGGATCTTGCTGCTCCTACAGGGAGTGTTCTTGGAGGCCCCAGTAGAAGGCTTCAGCCTCCTGAATGACTTCATTCAATCCATGAACCTGAATTTCGTTTCACTTCTGACAGCCTGGAGGTGTCTCCCAGTAAAAGCATGGACTGGGGTCGCTTTTCCTGGCTGGAGGCGCCTTTTCTGCAGCTCACAAAATTCCAGATCTTGTTGACTTTGATTTTCCTCTTATTCCAACCACTATCTTCCCTGGTACTCAAGTCACTCTGGTCATACTGCTCAGATTTCTCCAATTCCTCCAGCCCTACCTCTCTGGTCAGGCTTTCTACCTCAGGGTGGTCTGGGATGACTTGAGTCACATAACCATTGGGCAGCATCTCTGAGAGAGAGTTAGTACAGCAGCTGTTGAGAGTCTCCATGGTAGCAGCAGAGGATGGGGCCAAAAAGGCACAGAGGGAGGGCTGGCCCTTTATTTCCATCTGAAAGAGAGAAATAAGGAGAGAGAAAAGGGAAGGGGAGGGAAGGGGAAGAGAGATGAGGAGAAAGAAAAGAGAGCTAAATTAGGCAAGTCCACAAACGGGGTCATTTACAGATTTGTAATGATCAAATATATGAACACACTTCAGCACTGGGCCACCAAATCTTTAAGACCTTTACAGAACAAAAACTAACTTGGATTCTACTAGTATAGGATCAGGATTGGAGGAAAGCAAAGCTTAACCTGTGTACCAAGGAAAGCTTTGATTCCTATTTAAGTGCAAATACACCTAAGAGGGACACAACTTAAGGCTATTGTCAGACCCCTAAAAACTGAGCAAATACATTTTTTAAAAAGAAAAAAAAAGCTGAAGCTATCTCAGAAATCTGTCACTTTAATCTTTTCCATTTTACAAGGAGGTACTGGAGATCCAGAGAAGACATCTGTCTTGCTTAGGCCACAGAGCCAAGGAAACAGCAGGGAGGAATCATCCAGGCCATGCTTCCCTTTCTCATTTGCTCCTCCATTCACTCAGGAAGGCTGCCTGAGAGAGCTCCCCTACCAGATCACCTGCTCAGCACTGGCGCCTCAGCTAGGTGCTGAACACCAGTGAGATGAGTAAGGCACACACGGCTAGTCACCTGAGCTCACAGGCTACTGGGAGAGATAGGTGAATGTAAACAAACAGTTACAATACAGCCCGATAAGTGCTCTAATGGAGATATGCACAAAGACCACAGAAGCTTAGAGCAAGTTGGGAGGGGATGATGGGCTGAGATAGGTGTGAGGGCTAGAGAGCGGCAGACAGAGAAAGGACTGGGGCTCCCAGGAATGCTTTCCAGAATAAGGTAGACTAAAAATGGGAGCTCACTCATGATAGAGTCTCTCTCCATCCAGTGTTCTTTGCACCTCTGCCCTGCACAGCCTAAGAGCAGGGTTTGCCATGAGAAGTGAAGAGAGGAGAGCAGGCACATTGAGCCTGGTGCCTTAAAGACAACATCTGCTTTCTTGGTAGTTTTGCCAAGACCCAACTCACTAACTCAGAGTCTATTACCTCCTTCTTCTCTAGTCTTCAAGGTTAACTTCACCTGACCTGGATCATGCCTTTACTCTGTGTTCTTTCTGTACTTACATGAATAGCCTTCACAGAATCTGTTTGACTCAAAAAATATTCAAGTAGAAGGAGGCCAGGAAGATGATCTAGTTTGGAAAAATGGAACAAAAAGAGAGCAGACATTTGGCTAAGGTCACACAGCAAGCCAGTGGCAAGCCAAGAACAGAAGCCTAGTCTTCCTGGCTTCCAGGCCAGGCAGGGACATTAACTCTCTACCACACTGCCACCCTTATCCAAGAGTTTTGTTTCCCCTAGTCTATTCCACTCAGGATGATAATAACATCTTAACATTGATAAGTGCCAGGTACCGCACTAAGTTCTTTATTCATTTAGTTCTCACAACAACCTTATAAGGTGGACATTATCGTGTCCCCATTTTAGAGATGGTTCAACTGAGGCACAGAAAGGTTAAATGATTTGCCTAGGTTCTCCACAGACACTAACTAATAGAGTTGGGATTTGAATCCAGGCAGTGTGGCTCCAGAGGCCAAGCCTTTAACCACTATGCAATACTCCCTTTTTAGAACAGGGTGTTTGCACACAGAGGATGATTCATATACAAGTCTGCCTTCCTGCCTGCCTGCCCTCTGACTTCTTTTGGTAGTACCAGAGCAGAATGAGCTTCCGAAAAGGCATCTGTACACATTCTTGGTGCCAGGGCCTAGCATGGGGTGTGGTGGGGAAGGGGGATTTGGTGGAAGATGACCACTGTACCTGATAAACTTCCTACAGAAATCCTTTCCACACTAGGCAAGTGAACTCAGAACTCTCACTTTTCCCAGTTCTCCACTTGGCTATAGCCCTTCTCCTTGGGATTTTCTCTAAGCATAACTCAAATAACAACCTTATTGACCTTAAAAAATATTGACCTTAAAAAGCCATCCTTAGCCTTTAAGTACAATTAAAATCAAAGAGAGCTTTGAGGTCCCCTAGTCCACTCCACCCATCATTTCACAGGATGAAATTTTAGCACATAAATTTCAATGGAAAAGCACATTATAAAAAAAAAAAATTAAGAATCCCATTTACAACAGCATAAAACACTACTTAGAAATAAATTGAACTGAAGAGATGAAAAATATGAAAGAACTGCCAAGGCTCAAGAACTACGTGAAGAATGCAGAAGCCTCAGGAGCCGATGCGATCAACTGGAAGAAAGGGTATCAGTGATGGAAGATGAAATGAATAAAATGAAACGACACGGGAAGTTTAGAGAAAAAGAACAAAAAGAAACAAACAAAGCCTCCAAGAAATTTGGGACTATGTGAAAAGACCAAATCTACGTCTGATTGGTGTACCTGAAAGTGATGGGGAGAATGGAATCAAGCTGGAAAACCCTCTGCAGGATATTACCTGTGAGAACTTTCCCAATCTAGCAAGGCAGGTCAACATTCAGATTCAGGAAATATAGAGAATGCCACAAAGATACTCCTCGAGAAGAGCTACTCCAAGACATAATTGTCAGATTCACCAAAGTTGAAATGAAGGAAAAAATGTTAAGGGAAGCAAGAGAGGAAGGTCGGGTTACCACAAAGGGAAGCCCATCAGACTAACAGCGGATCTCTCTGCAGAAACTCTACAAGCCAGAAGAGAGTGGGGGCCAATATTCAACATTCTTACAGAAAAGAATTTTCAACCCAGAATTGCATATCCCTCCAAATTAAGCTTCATAAGTGAAGGAGAAATAAAATCCTTTACAGACAAGCAAATGCTGAGAGATTTTGTCACCACCAGGCCTGCCCTAAAAGAGCTCCTGAAGGAAGCACTAAACATGGAAAGGAACAACCGGTACCAGCCACTGCAAAATCATGCCAAATTATAAAGACCATCGAGGCTAGGAACAAACTGCATCAACTAATGAGCAAAATAACCAGCTAACATCATAATGACAGGATGAAATTCACACATAACACTATTAACTTTAAATGTAAATGGACTAAATGCTCCAATGAAAAGACACACACTGGCAAATTGGTTAAAGAGTCAAGACCCATTTGTGTACTGTATTCAGGAAACCCATCTCATGTGCAGAGACACACATAGGCTCAAAACAAAAGGATGCAGGAAGATATACCAAGCAAATGGAAAACAAAAAAAAGGCCAGGGTTGCAATCCTAGTCTCTGATAAAACAAACTTTAAAGCAACGAAGATCAAAAGACACAAAGAAGGCCATTACATAATGGTAAAGGGATCAATTCAACAAGAAGAGCTAACTATCCTAAATATATATGCACCCAATACAGGAGCACCCAGATTCATAAAGCAAGTCCTGAGTGACCTACAAAGAGACTTAGACTCCCACACAATAATAATGGGAGACTTTAACACCCCACTGTCAACATTAGACAGATCAACGAGGCAGAAAGTCAACAAGGATACCAGGAATAGAACTCATCTCTGAACCAAGGGGACTTAATTGACATCTACAGAACTCTCCACCTCAAATCAACAAAATATACATTTTTTTCAGCACTACACCACACCTATTCCAAAATTGACCACATAGTTGGAAGTAAAGCTCTCCTCAGCAAATGTAAAAGAACAGAAATTATAACAAACTGTCTCTCAGACCACAGTGCAATCAAACTAGAACTCAGGATTAAGAAACTTACTCAAAACCGCTCAACTACATGGAAACTGAACAACCTGCTCCTGAATGACTACTGGGTACATAACGAAATGAAGGCAGAAATAAAGATGTTCTTTGAAACCAAGGAGAACAAAGACACAACATACCAGAATCTCTGGGACACATTCAAAGCAGTGTGTAGAGGGAAATTTATAGCACTAAATGCCCGCAAGAGAAAGCAGGAAAGATCCAAAGTTGACACCCTAACATCACAATCCAAAGAATTAGAAAAGCAAGAGCAAACACATTCAAAAGCTAGCAGAAGGCAAGAAATAACTAAAATCAGAGCAGAACTGAAGGTAATAGAGACAGAAAAAACCCTTCAAAAAATAATGAATCCAGGAGCTGGTTTTTTAAAAGGATCAACAAAATTGATAGACCGCTAGCAAGACTAATAAAGAAGAAAGGAGAGAAAAATCAAATAGATGCAATGAGAAATGATAAAGGGGATAGCACCACCAATCCCACAGAAATACAAACTACCATCAGAGAATACTACAAACACCTCTACACAAATAAACTAGAAAATCTAGAAGAAATGGATAAATTCCTTGACACATACACCCTTCCAAGACTAAACCAGGAAGAAGTTGAATCTCTGAATAGAACAATAACAGGCTCTGAAATTGTGGCAATAATCAATAGCTTACCAACCAAAAAGAGTCCAGGATCAGATGGATTCACAGCCGAATTCTACCAGAGGTACAAGGAGGAACTGGTACCATTCCTTCTGAAACTATTCCAATCAATAGAAAAAGAGGGAATCCTCCCTAACTCATTTTATGAGGCCAGCATCATCCTGATACCAAAGCCGGGCAGAGACACAACCGAAAAAGAGAATTTTAGATTAATATGCTTGATGAACATTGATGCAAAAATCCTCAATAAAATACTGGCAAACCGAATCCAGCAGCACATCAAAAAGATTATCCACCATGATCAAGTGGGCTTCATCCATGGGATGCAAGTCTGGTTCTACATATGCAAATCAATAAATGTAATCCAGCATATAAACAGAACCAAAGACAAAAACCACATGATTATCTCAATAGATGCAGAAAAGGCCTTTGACAAAATTAACAATGCTTCATGCTAAAAACTCTCAATAAATTAAGTATTGATGGGACATATCTCAAAATAATAAGAGCTATCTATGACAGACCCACAGCCAATATCATACTGAATGGGCAAAAACTGGAAGCATTCCCTTTGAAAACTGGCACAAGACAGGGATGCCCTCTCTCACCAGTCCTATTCAACATAGTGTTGGAAGTTCTGGTCAGGGAAATTAGGCAGGAGAAGGAAATAAAGGGTATTCAATTAGGAAAAGAGGAAGTCAAGTTGTCCCTGTTTGCAGATGACATGATTGTATATCTAGAAAACCCCAATGTCTCAGCCCAAAATCTCCTTAAGCTGATAAGCAACTTCAGCAAAATCTCAGGATACAAAATCAATGTACAAAAATCACAAGCATTCTTATACACCAATAATAGAGAAAGAGAGAGCCAAATCATGAGAGAACTCCCATTCACAATTGCTTCAAAGAGAATAAAATACCTAGGAATCCAACTTACAAAGGATGTGAAGGACCTCTTCAAGGAGAACCACAAACCATTGCTCAAGGAAATCAAAGAGGATACAAAGAAATGGAAGAACATTCCATGCTCATGGGTAGGAAGAATCAATATCATGAAAATGGCCATACTGCCCAAGGTAATTTTTAGATTCAATGCCATCCCTATCAAGCTACCAAAGACTTTCTTCACAGAATTGGAAAAAACTACTGTAAATTCATATGGAACCAAAAAAGAGCCCACATCGCCAAGTCAATCCTAAGTCAAAAGAACAAAGCTGGAGGTATCATGGTACCTGACTTCAAACTATACTACAAGGCTACAGTAACCAAAACAGCATGGTACTGGTACCAAAATAGAGATGTAGATCAATGGAACAGAACAGAGCCCTCAGAAATAACACTGCATATCTACAACTATCTATCTGATCTTTGACAAACCTGACAAAAACAAGCAATGGGGAAAGGATTCCCTATTTAATAAATGGTGCTGGGAAAACTGGCTAGCCATATGTAGAAAGCTGAAACTGGATCCCTTCCTTACACCTTATACAAAAATTAATTCAAGATGAATTAAAGACTTAAACGTTAGACCTAAAACCATAAAAACCCTAGAAGTAAACCATGGCATTACCATTCAGGATATAGGAATGGGCAAGGACTTCATGTCTGAAACACCAAAAGCAATGGTAACAAAAGCCAAAATGGACAAATGGGATCTAATTAAACTAAAGAGCTTCTGCACAGCAAAAGAAACTACCATCAGAGTGAACAGGCAACCTAGAAAATGGGAGAAAATTTTCGCAACCTACTCATCTGACAAAGGGCTAATATCCAGAATCTACAACGAACTCAAACAAATTTACAAGAAAAAACAAACAACCTCATCAAAAAGTTTGTGAAGGACATGAACAGACACTTCTCAAAAGAAGACATTTATGCAGCCAAAAAACACGTGAAAAAATGCTCACCCTCACTGGCCATCAGAGAAATGCAAATCAAAACCTCAATGAGATACCATCTCACACCAGTTAGAATGGCAATCATTAAAAAGTCAGGAAACAACAGATGCTGGAGAGGATGTGGAGAAATAGGAACACTTTTACACTGTTGGTGGGACTGTAAACTAGTTGAACCCTTGTGGAAGTCAGTGTGGTGATTCCTCAGGGATCTAGAACTAGAAATACCATTTGACCCAGCCATCCCATTACTGGGTATATACCCAAAGGACTATAAATCATGCTGCTATAAAGACATATGCACACATATGTTTATCGAGGCACTATTCGCAATAGCAAAGACTTGGAACCAGGCCAAATGTCCAACAATGATAGACTGGATTAAGAAAATGTGGCACAGATACACCATGGAATACTATGCAGCCATAAAAAATGATGAGTTCATGTCCTTTGTAGGGGCATGGATGAAATTGGAAATCATTATTCTCAGTAAACTATCAGAAGAACAAAAAACCAAACACCGCATATTCTCACTCATAGATGGGAATTGAACAGTGAGAACACATGGACACAGGAAGGGGAATATCACACTCTGGGGACTGTTGTGGGGTGGGGGGAGGGGGGAGGGATAGCATTACGAGATATACCTAATGCTAAATGACGAGTTAATGCGTGCATCACACCAGCATGGCACATGTATACATATGTAACTAACCTGCACATTGTGCACATGTACCCTAAAACTTAAAGTATAATAATAATAAAATAAAATAAAAAAATAAAAATAAAAAAGAACTGTACACTCAACAGTATAAAATATTGATGAAATAAATTGAAGAAGACACAAATAAATGGAAAGATATCCCATGTTCATTTACTAGAGGAACTAACATTGCTAAAATATCCATGCTGCTTAAAGCAATCTACAGATTCAGTGCAATCCCTATCAAAACTCCAATGACATCTTTCACTGAAATAGAGGAAACAAACCTAAGATTCATATGAAACCACGAAAGACCCCAAATAGCCCAAACAATCTTGAGTGAAAAGAACAACACTGGAAACCTTACCCTACTTGATCTCAAAATCTACTACAAAGCTATAGTGATCAAGACAGCATGGTACTGACACAAAAACAAACATATAAACCAATGGAACAGAATATAAAGCCCAGAAATAAGTCCATACACTTATGCCCAAGTAATTTTTCAAGAAATGTGGCAATAACACACAATGGGGAAAGGACAGTTTCTTCAATAAATGATCTTAAGACAACTGGATATCCACATGCCAAAAATGAAATTGGACCCTTATCTCACCCCATATACAAAACTTAACTCAAAACTGATTAAAGACTTAAACATAAGACTTGCAACTACTAGAAAAAAACATAGGGGAAAAGGTTCATGACTTTCATCTTGGCAAAGACTTTTGAATCTGAACCCAAAAGCACAGGCAACAAAATTGAAAACAGACACATTGGGCTATATCAAACTAAAAAATCTTCTGTACAGCAAAGGAAACAATCAACAGTGTGATGAGATAACCTACAGAAATAGGAGAAAATATTTAGGAAATAGACTTCTGATAAGAGGTTAGTATCCAAAATATACATGGAAGGAATTCAAATGACTTAAAAGTAAGAAAACAAATAATCCAGTTTTTAAAATGGGCAAAAGACCAAAAAAGACATTTCTAAAGAGGAAATACAATATAACCAACAGATAAAATGAAAAAATGCTTAATATCACTAATCATAACAGAAATGAAATTAAAACCACAATGAAGTACCACCTCACATCTCGTAAGATGTCTGTTATCAACAAGATGAAAGATAACAAATGTTGGTGAGGATTGGAGAAAAGGGAACTCTTGCACACTGTTAGTGAGAATGTAAATTATTACAGCCATTATGGAAAACAGTATAGATGTTCCTCAAACAATTTCAAATAATCTAGCAATTCCACTCCTGGTATATATCCAAAGGAAATCAAATCTGTATGTCAAATAGTATCTGCACTTCCATGTTCATTGCAGCATTCCATATCAATAGCCAAGATATGGAATCAACCTGTGTCCGTCAACAGATCAATGGATAAATTGTGGAATATATATGCAATGGAATACTATCCAGCTTTAGCAGTACAATCCTGCCATTTCCAATAGCATGAATGAACTCAGAGGACATTATGTTAAGTGAAATAAGCCTTCAGAAAAGACAAATATTGCATGATTTCACTTACATGTGAAATCTTAAAAAGTCAAACTCATAGAAGCAGAGAATAGAATGGTAGTTACTAGGGACTGGAGGTGGGGAAAAGGGTGGTGAGACTAGGGAGATCTTGACCAAAGGATACAAAAATTTAGTTTTGTTTTTTTGGGGTCTTTTTTGAGATTGGGCCTCACTCTGTTAACAAAGATGGAATGCAGTGGTGTGATCATGGTTCACTAAAATTTCATAAATAAAATTTTATTGGAACACAACCACATTCATTTGTTTCTGTATTTTCTATGGCTGCTTTTGTGCTACAAAAGCAGAATGAGTAGTCGTGATAGAAACTGCATGGATCTCCAAAGCCTAAAACATGCACTATCTGGCCTTTTATTTAAAAAGTTTGCTGACCCCTGTTGTAAGTAACATTTTGCATATATAGTCCTCTACATTATACCATACACTTTTACATCCCTCTAGAATGGGTATCCATTTTAGAAGGCTCCATTTTACATATGGGCACAATGGGATTCAGAAGGTGAACTGGTTTTTATGACTCAGAAGTATTTTGCACATGGGTAGGATATTACAATGGAAACATTTTTCATGAACCCAGTCAAACGCTCCTGCTCCCACAGGCAGTGAGTGACAGAGGTAGGACAAGAACACTGGGTATCTGGTGCCAAGTCCAATGCCCACTGTCCTGCACCTGACTCCTTCCTTAGGAGCTTTAGGTGGACTAATAAAAGACATGTGTTTCATTGCTAATTCCTACCTAGGTACTACTGCACGATACAATAATTGTTTGGGTCAGCAGACACTAATTCCCAGGCTCACTGGAATCTGAACACACTTCTCCTAAATATCAAGCAGTCTTGCAATCAGCTTTCTGTGACATATGGTTGTTAAATGAGATAATGCCTAACACAATAAAAGTAGTGATGACTAATATTTCTTAGCACTTACTTTGAACCAAGCATTGGGCTAAGCACTTTCTTTATATGTATAGCACTTTCTTTATATGTATAATCTTATTAATCCTCATCACGCAGCTAGAAAGTATTATGATCCCCATTTTAAATGTGGCAAAGAAGGTAGAGGTGGCTTGCCCAAGGCTACACTTAGTGCTAAGATTTCAACAAGGTCTTTTTAATGTCAGAGCCTGTGTTCTTTAACTACTGCCCCTGTAAGGATAACACAGTTTCTGGCACATCATACTACTCAATCAGCAATTCCTATGATTGTTTTTTAATTTTCTTTATCAGTTTCTACCAATTATTGAATGCTTGCTACATAGCAGGCATTGTGCTGTGTACTTTCTTAAGTGTTAATCAGTTAACCTTCACCACCACACACTGACGTTTGTACTATTATTATCTCCATTTTGCAACTGAGGAAGCTGAGGTGCAGAGAGACTAAGAAAATTGCCAAAAGTCACACAGCTAGTAGATAGATGCTTGGTACTAACGATGTGTTTTGTACTCTGGGCATGGGGAATGGATGAGTGTCTCAGCATCTTTTTCACTGGATGCAGGCCTGGAGTCTAGAAAGCCACCTAGCTGTCCATGTGCCCTCCAACTCTACCTCACCAACTGCAGACCGAGTGTATAAGGGAAAGAGAATGGGTTTTGGAGTCAGTGAGAACCATTCTCTTGAATGGTTCTGGTAATGGCCAGAACAAAGTCAAAAGCCCTGAGAACACATAGAACTTGACCTCAGCCGGAAGTATGGTTAAAAACATAAACCAAATGGGGGCTCCACTGAAGATGTGGCCAAAGGTCTCCACCAGACCCTTCACCAGAAAGAAAGCAAGACTGAAAGGCTGTAGGTGCAGGTGGCTGGTTTGTCCTTTCTAATTGTTTTGCCTGTCTTGAAGTCTTGCCAAATGCTGGACTTTCTCCTAGCTATCCTGCTACCCAGGGCACAAGTAGTTGCACATTTAGTCATTTCGTATCTGAAATCTAATAGTGTTTTGGAAAACAATAATAGAATGTCAGAGTTAGAACTCATCTGGTCTAATCCCTCATTTAATATGGGAAAATTGAGGACCCAAGAGATTAAGTTCCTTAACCACATTCATCTAGAGAATTGGAAGCACAGAAGTCATCAGGAAAAGGCTAATTTGAATTAAATGTAGCTTGTTTAAGAAGGCAGGGAATTGTGTAATGCATATTTAGATAGGTTTCCATATAAGCAAGAGTTAAATGTTCTGAAATCTTTAGCACTAAATTTGGTCTACGTTAGCTACCTGGACAACTCATCTCTATGGAATGCCTCATTCCACTAAATTTTTGAAGAAATGAGACATAGCTTTATATAGGTTTTTCACATATAAAAAGATTTAACCCCAAATATTTGTACTATTAAACATCCAGTTACCTTATAAAACTGATATGTTAAGTAATTGCCCCCAAATTCAGGGCTGAATCTGGTTTAGCCCTTGTATCTTGACAAGTACCTGCTTTAAGTCAATTTGGCAATAAAATAACTGATAAATCCTCTGATTTCCTGAATTAGTTTCAAAATTAATCACTGCTTCTAGATGTCTTGGGTGCACCATCAACAACTGAAACCAATATCTCAGGATGGGCTGTGAATAATGTGAATATTACGTGAATGTCAAGAAACAAATAGGCGATCTTTTCAGGGGAAAATATTAAGTAAAGCTGCTTGGCTTAGTTATTAAAATTGTGAGTGAAATCCACTAGATTTCAATCAAATCTAGACCTCAGCACCCAGAATCTAAGTGCCCAATATAGCCCTGTCAGAATTTGGACAGTGAGACTAAAGCAACCATAGTCCTCGTGTCACCTTTTTAGTCCTTTGTCTGGTTTTCATGGAAATGTGGTGAGGAGGAGAACATTCTGGGTGTGTCCACTATTAGCAGATGCTGACAGATAGGGCCCCAATGGGAGAAACAAGAGGTGAAGGGAGGTGCGGAATTCCGGGAGATGACAAAAAAAAGGAGGACTCAGTACTTAATGGAACAAAAACAACTTTTATAGTAAATTTTAAACAAGGATAAATGTTCTTAAACTGCATTGGGTATTATTGAGGGTGGTCACAAAGAAGACTTGGAGAAGTAATGAGATGATCTGAGGCACTGAAATAGGAGGATCTTCTCCAAAGGGAGAGGCTTACTCTCACCTCTTGGAGTCTCTGTTTTCCCATCTAGAGCTTGGTAATAACTAATGTCATTTTACCTTACTTCAGGAGGATGGTGTATAGCTAACAGAGAGGATCCTTCAAAGGACATTTTCCCCTTCAATGTAAAGGTGTTCTAGAAATTTAAGTGATTATAATTGTAACTACTACACTTGAATCACTATTTCAGTGGATATTTTCAAATATCTGTCACTAGAGCTCTGATGTTACTACTAAGGCAATTGACAAGTTACTTCTACCCTTCACCACATAGCATCAAGGCAAAGCAGCAGCTTCTGCTTATACTGGATACCTTGCATCTATACCATTTTATTTAATTTCCACAACAATACCCACTTAGCAGAGGAGGAAACTGAGGGTGAGAGGTTGTGACTTGCCTCAGGTCTCAGAAAAACAAGCCAATGGTAAAGCTTTGTCTAAAATACACATCTGTTAAGTCCCAGATCAAATTCCCTTCTCTTACACTTTTCAGGTCCCTGTTTGAGGGTGAAAAGAGACAAGGAAGTAAATTCCAGAAAGAACTCCTACCATATCTAGCCATTCAGGGACCATTCAAGCTACCAATTTCTTCTTGAGTAAACTTTGGTAGTTTGTACTTTCAAAGAGAATACCATTTTCATCAAAGTTGTCAAATCTATTGGCATAAAGTTGTTCCTAACATTTTATTTTTTTAAATATGTATAGCATCTGTAGTGATGTTATCGCTCTTGTTTCTGATATTGGTAATTTGTGTCTTCCCTCTTTTGTTCTTGGCTGTTCTGGCTAGAGGCTAATGTTATTGATTTTCTCAAAGAGTCAGCTTTTGGTTTTATTAATTTTCCTCCACTGTTTTTCTGTTTTGTATTTCATTTACTTCCACTCTGATATTTCCTATTTTTTTCTTCAGCTTACTTAGGGTTTACTTTGCTCTTCTTTTTCTGGTCTCCTACAGTGAAGTCTAAGGTCATTAACATGACCTTTCTTCTTTTATAATAAAGGGATTTAGTACTATAAATTTCCCTGATAAAAGTGCTTTAACTGTATACCACAAAATGTTATATTCTACCTATTCTTTAATTCAATAAAAATATCTTAGACATTTCCTATGTTCCAGGCACTATGATAGGTGCTGGAGATAGATTAGTGAATAAGAAAAGGTCCTTACTCTTATGAATCTGACATACCATCCCAGTGGGGAGAGATAGATGATAACAGATAAATAAGTAACACGACAATTTCAGCTAGAGGTAAAGTGCCTCTGCAAGCAATCAATAAACTGCTGGGAGTGAGGAGGCAGTTCTAGAGGGCCATGAAAGGATTTTCTGAGGAAGTGACATCTGAGCTGACAGCTACATGATATGAAGGAGCCAGATAGGTCAACATCTGGGCCCAGAGAACATTGCTAATGTGATTCTACTGGCATGTGAAGCTCAATGGTATATGGGGTTCAAGGGATTTGTGGGATGATCATGGAAATATATATGAAAATCAGGTGGCAGTAGGAGACAATGAGCTTTATTTGGGTGGCTCTTTGACAGGCTATATGATAAGGAAAGTCTTTCATGGCAAAAGAAATTCCACAGCCACTTAGGGGTATATATCCAATAGAAATGGAATGAGGATCTTGAAGATATATCTGCACTCCAATGTTCACTGTAGCATTATTTGCAATAGCCAATGTATAGAAATAATCAAAGTATCCATCAGTGGATGAATGGATAAAGAAATCGTGGTACATATATAGAAAGGAATAT
This sequence comes from Homo sapiens, assembly GCF_000001405.40. Lineage (NCBI taxonomy): Eukaryota > Metazoa > Chordata > Mammalia > Primates > Hominidae > Homo > Homo sapiens. The sequence goes on from NC_000023.11 coordinate 63,947,779, forward strand.
TATTCAGTCATTGAAGAAAATAATTCTGCTTTTTGCTACATGTATTAACCTGGAGGGCATTATGCTAAGTGAAATAAACCCGAAACAGAAAGACAAATACTGTAACATCTCACTTACATGTGCAATCTGAAAAAGTCAAAGTCATGGAACCATAGAATTGAATGGTGGTTGTCAGGGACTGTGGTGGTAGAGATGGGGAGATGTTGATCAAAGGGTACAAGTTTTCAGTTATAGGATGAACAAGCTCTGGAGTTCTAACGTATAGCATGAGTGGTGATGGACATGTTAATTTGATTGTGGTAATCATCACACAATGTATATGCATACTAAATCAGCCTATTGCACATCCTGAATATTTTCAATGTTTATTTAACAATTAAATTTTTTTAAAAAATTAAAGTTATCTGAAAGGAATTTAAAAATAAAGTGTGTAATTCAATGGTTATTAGTATAGTCACAGACATGTGCAACCATTACCACAGAATATTTTCATCACCTTAAAAAGATACCTCATACCTTGTATCTATCACCCCTTTGCCCACCACCCCAGATCTCCCCAATGTTGTTAAGCAACCAATTTTTTACTTTATATCTCTACACATTTCCCCTGTTCTGGATATTTCTTATAAATGGAATAATATACTACATGGCTTTTTGTGATTATTTTCATTTCACACAATATTTTCAAGATTTGTCCATGTTATAGCACGTATCTGGTACTTTATGACTTTTCATGGATAAATAATATTCATTTTTATGGGTGTAACACATTTTGTTTATTCATCAGTTTATGGATATTTGGGTTGTTTCCATCCTTTGGCTATTGTAAAAGGTGAAACATTTATACAATCTGAAGATAAACCAGAGTATTGACTATTGTAAATAATGCTGCTGTAAACATTCATGTATGGGTATTTGTGTGGACATATGTTTTCATTTATCTTGCCTATATGCATAGAAATGGAATTCTTGGGTCATATGGTAAACTCTATGCTTCAATGCTTGAAGACCTGCCAGATTATTTCCTAAGACAGCTGCATCATTTTACATTCCTGCCAGCAGTGCATGAAAGTTCTGATTTCTTCATATCTATGGCAATACTTGTTAATTCTAGCCAACCTGTTGAGTGTGAAGTGGTATATTATTGTGGTTTTAATTTGCATGTCACTGATGACTAATGACATAAAACACGTTTTCATATGCTTTTTGGCCATTTGTATACCTTCCTTGGAGAAATATCTTCAGATCCTTTGCCTACATTTAAAACTATGTTCTTTGTCTTTTTATTTTTGGGTTGCCAGGGTTCTTTATATATTCTGTATACAACTCCCTTATCAGATATATGCTTTGCAAATACTCTCTCGCATTCTGTGAGTTGTTTTTTCACTTTCTTGATACTGCTCATTGAAGAACAAAAGTTTTTAATTTTAATGAAGTCCAATTTATCTTTTGTTGCTTATGTTTTTAGTGCCAAACCTCAGAAACCTTTGCCAAATCTAAAGTTATGAAGGCTTACCCCTATGTTTTCTTCTAAGAGTTTTAGACTTCCAGCTCTTACATTGAGGTCTTTAATACATTTTTAGTTAATTTTTGTAAATGGTGTGAGATAAGGGTCCAACTTCATTCTTTTGCATGTGGCTATCAAGTTGTCCCAGCACAATTTGTTGAAAAGACTAATCCCCCATTGGCTGGTTTGGCACCCTTGTTGAAAATCAGTAGATCATAGATACATTCTTTCATTTATGGAGTCTCAATTCTATTCCATTCATCTATGTATCTGTCCTTGTGCCAGTGCCACACTGTCTCTGATTACTGTTGCTTTGTAGTAAATTTAGGAATCAGGAATTTTGGGTCCTCCTACTTTTTTGTTTTTAGTTTTAAGGAATGGTTTGGCCATTCTATGTCTCTTGAAATTCCATATGAATTTTAGAATTAGCTTGTCTAGTTCTTTCTAACAGAAAAATAGCTAGACTTATAATATATATTTCACTGAATCTGTAGATTCAGTTGGGGAGTATTGCCATCTTAACAAGGTTAAGAGTTCCTGTCCGTTAAGATAGGATATTCTTCTAATTATTTGGATCATTTTTCTTTCAGCAGTGTTTTGTAGTTTTCAGAGCATAAGTTTTGTACTTCTTAAAAATATAATGTTATGTATTTTAATCTTTTTGATGCTATGGTGAAGAGAATGTTTTTAAATTTTATTTCCAGATTTTTCACTGCAAGTGTATTGAAATACAATGAATTTTGCAAATTGATTGTGATGGTTAATTTAAAGTGTCAACTCGACTGGATTGAGAGATGTCTAGATGGCTGGTGAAGCATTGTTTCTGGGTGGGTCTGTAATGGAGCTTCCAGAGGAGACTGACTCAAGAATCAGTGGACTAAGAGAGGAAGACCCAGTGGGCAGGCACCATTCAATAAGCTGGGGCCTGGTTGGGAAAAACAGGCAGAAAAAAGAGAATTCTCTTTTTCTGCTCTCTCTCTCAACCTTCCAGAGCAATACACTTTTTGTTTTCCATCTTTTTCTTTTTCTTTTTCTCCTCCTCTTCTTCTTCTTCTTCTTCTTCTTCTTCTTCTTCTTCTTCTTCTTCTTCTTCTTCTTCTTCTTCTTCTTCTTCTTCTTTCTTCTTCTTCTTTTTTTTTTTTTGAGACAGATTCTTGCTCTGTTGCCCAGGATGGAGTGCAGTGGTGTGATCTTGGCTCACTGCAATCTCTGCCTCCTGGGTTCAAGCAATTGTCCTGCTTCGGCCTCCCATAATCTCAGCACCTGTAATCTTCAGCTGAGATTACAGGTGCACACCACCACAACCCAGCTAATTTTTGTGTACTTTTAGTACAGTCGGGGTTTCACTGTGTTGGCTAGGCTGGTCTTGAACTCCTAACCTCATGTGATCTGCCCACCTCGACCTCCCAAAGTGCTGGGATTACAGGAGTGAGCCACCACGCCCAGCCATATACTTTTTCTCTTCCTGCCCTTTGACATCAGACTAGGTTCTTCAGGTTTTGGACTCTGAAACTTGTACCAGCTGCCTCCCAGATTCTCTTGGGATTTGTAGCTTGGACTGGAGGTGGCACCACCAGCTTCCCTTGTTCTGTGGCTTCTGGACTGAGCCATGTTGCCAGCTCATTTGCAGATGGCCTGTTGTAGGACATCACCTCTGTAATAATACAATTCAATTCTCCTAATAAATCCCCTCTCATGTGTCTTATTGGTTCTGTGTCTCTGAAGAACCCTGACTAATACATTGTATTAGTATATGAAAACTTGTTGAACTTGTTTATTAGCTTTATTAGTTCTGTAGTGGATTCCTTAAGGTTTTCTATAATAAAAATCATGTCATCTGTGAATAGAGATAGGTTTACTTCTTCTTTTCCAATGTGATGACTTTCATTTTATTCTCTTGCTGAATTTCCCTGACTGGAACTTCCAGAACTGCAATGTTCAATAGAAGTGGTGCCTTCTTTCTGATGTTAAGGGAAAAGCTTCCAATCTTTCTCCATTAAGTATGATGTTAGTTGTGAGTTTTTCATGCCCTGTCTATGAAATAGTCCTTGAGGAATATGAACTAGGGTTGAGGAAGTTCCTTTCCATTCCTAGTTCGTCAAGTGTTTTTTATCATGAAAGTGTTCTGGATTTTGTAAAATGCTCTTTCTGCATCTATTGAGAAGATCATGTGAATTCTTTTTTTGTTCTATTGACACAATGTATTACATTAATTGATTTTCTGATATTAAACTAACCTTGCATTCCTGAGACAACTTCCACTTGGTTGTGAAGTATAATTATTTTATTATGTTGCTGGATTTAGTTTGGTAGTACTTTGTTGAGGATTACTACATCCATGTTCATAAATATTAGTCTGCAGTTTTATTATCTTATGATGTCCTTGTCTGGTTTTGGTATCAAGGTAATACTGGCCTCATAAAATAAGTTGGGAAGTGTTACCTCCTCTTAATTTTTTTTGGAAAGAGTTTGTGAAGGATTGATATTAATCCTTCTTTAACAGTTTGATATAACTTAGTATTGAAGCCATCTGGATTTTTGGCTTTTGTTTGTGGATAGTGTTGTCTTCTTCATTCAATCTCCTCCCTTATGATAAATCTACTCATATTAGCTAGTTGTCCATGAGTCAGTACCAGTAGTTTGAGTCCCTCTTGGAATTTGTCAGTTTCATCTAAGTTATCTAATTTGTTGGCTTACAATTGTTCATGATATTCCTTTATAATTATTTTATTTCCACAAGGCCAATAGTAATGTCCCTGTTTTACTTCTGATTCCAGTTATTTGAGTCTTCTCTTTTTACCTTGGTAAACCTACTTAAAGATTTGTCAATTTTGTTGATCTTTTCAAAAAACCAGCTTTTGGGAGATCATGGTGGATGGGAGGCAAGACTAGACTGCAGCTCTCACTCAGATGGACAGAACAGCATGTATAGGCTCGCATCATGAACTTTTGCTCCAGAATGACTGTGGGAATACATTAAGAAAGCAAAAAGAACCCACAGATCCTCTGAAGGCAATGGATTGCTCCTGCAGGGCCTGGGAGACACCACAAATACTGCAAGTGTCAAAACTGTGGAAATGGGAAAGGGAAGTCATCCATCCCTGAACACACACCCCCAACTGGGGAACCTGAGGTCTAAATTATGGGAGAAGATTCTGACCTTACCTGGAGTTGAGTCAATTTAGAGAGCGGAGTGAAATACAGGGCTAGAGGAAGCAGTGGGTAAATCCCTGTGGGCTCACTGGGTCCCCTACCAAGCCATTTCTGCCTTGCCTCACAGGGGTTCTTGACGAGGGCTGCCAGAGGTACTAGGAAAAGGCCACAGGGAGAATGAAAACTCCAGCTGAACTTTGTAACAATTTGAACTGGTTGAGAAGTCTCCTGGCCAGAACTCAGGGAAAGGTGTGAATCTGGTGTGAAGACTCCATAGGCAGTGGAAGAAGAAAAGCCCTACTTATTTTTGCAGCTGGGAGGTGGATAGCCTGGAGCAAGTTCTCAGCCCTGCTCACCCACTGCCTAGAAACAAACTTGGTGCTGTTGGGGGGAGGGGACACAGTGGGAGTGAGATGGCCCTTTGCGTTGCATGGGAGGTGGGTGAAGCCTGTAACTGCCGACTTTTCCCCACTTCCCTGACAACCTGCATGGCAGCAAAGGAAGCCATAATCCTTCTAGAAACATAAATCCATTGACCTAGAAACCTCAACTGCATTGCCCACAGCAGCCACAATAAGAGCTGCCCAAGTAGAGTCTGAGCTCAGACACACCTAGCCTTCTCCCCACCTAATGGTCCTTCTTTACCCACCCTGGTAACTGAAGACAATGGGCATATACTCTTGGGAGTTCTAGGGCCACGGGCACCACCTATTCCTCCCCATACTACCATAGCTGATGCTGTCTTGAAAGTGCCATCTCGCAGCAGGAGCAGAACTAAATGAACTTGAAGCAAAAGAAAAAATACAAAATATAAATGAAATAAAAAGCTGGTTCTTTGAAAAGATGAATGAAATTGATAGACCATTAGCAAGATTAACCAAGAAAACAAGAAAGAAAATCCAAATAAGCTTAATTAGAAATGAAACGGGAGATATTACAACTGACACCACAGAAATACAAAATATCATTCGAGGCTACTATGAACACCTTTATGCGCATAAACTAGAAAACCTAGAGGAGATGGATAGATTCCTGGAAAGATACAACCTTCCTAGCTTAAATCAGGAAGAAGTAGATACTCTGAATAAACCAATAACAAGCAGTGAGATTGAAATGGTAATTTAAAAATTACAAAAACAAAAACAAACAAATGAACAAGAAAAACTCCAAGACCAGAATGATTCACAGCAAAATTCTACTAGACATTCAAAGAATAATTGGTATGAATCCTATTGACACTAGATATTCCATAAGATTGAGAAAGGGGGCACCCTCTCTAAATCATTCTATGAAGCCAGTATTACCAAAACCAGGAAAGGACATAACAAAAAAGGAAAACTACAGATTAATATCCCTGATTAATACAGATCCTAAGATCCTTAACAAAATACTATCTAACTGAACCAAACAACATATCAAAAAGATAATCCACCATGATCAAGTGAGTTTCATACCAGGGATGCAGGGATAGTTTAACATACGCAAGTCAACAAATGTGATACACCACATAAACAGAATCAAAAACAAAAATCACATGATCATCTCAATAGATGCAGAAAAAAGCATTCAACAAAATCCGGCATCCATTTATAATTAAAACTCTCAGCCAAATCAACATACAAGGCACATACCTTGATGTAATAAAAGCCATCTATGACAAACCCACAACAAACATAATAGTGAATGAGGAAAAGTTGAAAGCAGTCCCTCTGAGATCTGGAGCAAGACAAGGATGCCCACTCTCACCACCCCCTTCAACATAGTACAGGAAGTCCTAGCCAGAGCAATCAGACAAGAGAAAGAAATAAGGGGCATCCAAATTGGAAAAGCAGAAGTCGAACTGTCGCTGTTTGATGATAATATGATTGTTTACCTAGAAAACCCTAAAGACTCCTCCAGAAACCTCCTCGAACTTATAAAAAGAATTCATCAAAGTTTCCAGATACAAAATGAATCTATACAAATCAGTAGCTCTTCTATACACCAACTGCAACTAGCTGAGCATCAGATCAAGAACTCAATATCTTTCACAATAGCTGCAAAACAAAAAAATACTTAGGAATATAGCTAACCAAGGAGGTGAATGACCTCTACAAGGAAAACTACAAAACACTACTGAAAGAAATCATAGACGACACAAACAAATGAAAACACATCCCATGCTCATGGATAGGTAAAATCAATATGGTGAAAATTACCATACTGCCAAAAGCAATCTACAAATGTAATGCAATTCCCATCAGAATACCATCATCATTTTTCACAGAACTAGAAAAAACAATTCTCAAATTTATATGGAACCAAAAAAGAGCCCACAAAGCCAAAGCAAGACTAAGCAAAAATAACAAATCTGGAGGCATCACATTACCTGATTTCAATCTATACTATAAGGCCATAGTCACCAAAACACCATAATACTGGCATAAAAATAGGCATGTAGACCAATGGAACAGAATAGAGAGCTCAGAAATAAACCCTAATACTTACAGCCAATTGATCTTTGACAAAGCAAACAAAAACATAAAGTGAGGAAAGGACACCCTATTCAACAAATGGTGCTGAGGTAATTGGCAAGCCACATGTAGGAGAATTAAAGTGGATCCTCATCTCACACCTTATTCAAAAATCAACTCAAGATGGATCAAGAATTTAAATGTAAGGCCTGAAACTATAAAAATTCTAGATGAGAAGATGGGAAAAACCCTTCTTGACATTGGCTTAGGCAAGGATTTCATGACCAAGAACCCAAAAGCAAAGGCAATAAAAACAAAGATAAATAACTGGAACTTAATTACACTAAAAAGCTTCTGCATGGCAAAGGGAACAGTCAGCAGAGTAAAAAGAAAACCCACAGAGTGGGAGAAAATATTCACAGTCTATACATCTGACAAAGGTATACATCTGACAAAGGACTAATTTCCAGAATCTAAAAAGAACTCAAACAAATTAGCAAGAAAAAAACCAAACAATCCCATCAAAAAGTGGGCTAAGGATATGAATAGACAATTCTCAAAAGATAATATGCAAATAGCCAACAAACATATGAAAAAATGCTCAACATCACTAATGATCAGGGAAATGCAAATCAAAACCACAATGCGACACCACCTTACTCCTTCAAGAATGGCCATAATCAAACAATCAAAAAATAGTAGATGTTGGCATGGATGCAGTGAACAGGGAACACTGCTACATTGCTGGTAGGAATGTAAACTAGTACAACCGCTATGCAAAACAGTGTGGAGATTCCTCAAAGAACTGAAAGTAAAACCACTGTTTGATCCAGCAATCCCACTATTGGGTATCCACACAGAGAAAAAGAAGTCCTTATATGAAAAAGAGACTCACACACGCAGGTTTATAGGAGCAAAATTTGCAATTGCAAAAATGTAGAACCAACCCAAATGCCCATAAATCAACAAGTGGATAAAGAAGCTGGTATATATGTGTGTGTGTGTGTGTGTGTGTGTGTGTGTGTGTGTGTATACACCAAGTATATACATATACTGTGTATGTGTGTGTGTGTGTGTGTGTGTATATATATATATATATATATATGTATGATGGAGTACTATGTGAAATAATGGAATGAATTAATATATATATATATATATATATATATATATATATATGTATGATGGAGTACTATGTGAAATAATGGAATGAATTAATGGCATTTGCAATGACCTGGATGAGACTGGAGACTATTATTCTAAGTGAAGTAACTCACGAATGAAAAAGCAAACATCATATGTTCTCACTCATATGTGGAAGCTAAGCTATGAGGATGCAAAGGCATAAGAAAGACATAATGGACTTTGAGGACTCAGGGAGAAAGGGTGGGAAGGGTTGACGGATAAAAGACCACAAACTGGATGTTGTGTATACTGCTTGGGTAATGGGGGCACTAAAATCTCACAAATCTCCACCAAAGAACTTACTCATGTAACCAAACACCACCTGTTCCCCAATAACCTATGGAAATAAAAAATAAGAATAATAAAAGAAAAAAACAGCTTTTGGTTTCATTGATTTCCTCTGTCTTCATTTTTATTCATCTTGAAATATTTTCTAATTTCCCCTTTAATTTCTTCTTTGGACCATTCTTTACTTAGTTGTGTTGCTTAATTGCCTCATTATATCTGAAACATTTCTCATATGCTTAACAGCCAGCTGATTAGTAAGTTGTTTCCAGCAATGACCTGAGGCATAAGTTACTCTACAAGCAATCTACTAAAATTGTGGATCTTTTAAAGGAATACTTCTAATATCATGGTTTGATATTTGTTCTGACACAATAGGGCTCCTCCCAGCTGTCTTACTCTTCAGTTCTCATCCATAACCTAGCTGGCTTACAGTTGAGTATGTATCTTGAATCTCCTCCATATGATTTTTGCCACAACTTAAACTGTTTTTAAAAGTGTCCTCAGTTTTGAACTTCTCCATGCTTCCTTGCTAATGACATCAGTTTCTCTGGGAAAAGATTAGTTCTCTGTTTATGGCCTGGCACAATCTCTGAAACAGGGCTCTGGGGCTGGGTTTGGGGACAGTGGCGAGCTTCTGTCTGAGTGACTCCTCCACTCTAAGAGATTAGTACTTGGTGGGAGAGGGCAGCATGAGGTTTTCTCCATTTGCCTATCCTGGTGTGGAACTACATCCGTAAGAACTGGGGCAAGGTGACCAAGACCCCAGTCTTCTCAACGTGCTGTGTCCAAGGTACAGCCTTCATTCCACAAATGTGGGCTGGGTGGCAAAAGGGAGAACCCCCTCAACTGCACTTGCCTTTGGACTTAGCCTCAGCAACAGGTAGCTGGAGCCATGATAAGAAATGTTGACATACTACTCCTATTCAGAAGTAAGTCCTCTGGAAGCTAGAGGGAGAGGGAAACTGCTGTTTTTGGCTGTAGGAGTATGGAATGGAGTCTCTGCTTCTCTGAACTGAGTGAGAGAAGGGAGAGAGTGGTCTTGGTCCACATACCATACCAAAGTCTGACCCATTCACCTTTCTTAGTGAATTTTCATATTTTTATAAATAGATGTGTCTTCACCTGCTCTTTGCTTCTAGGATTGTTTTCATCCTAGACTTTTGAATAACTCTGGTACCTTTGTTTTGCTACATTTATTAACTCATTCCTCCCTATTGCCAGGAGAGTCTTAAGGACAGAAGTATCCAAAGGGTAGCACACATTTCACTGAGGTATTATCAACACTTGGCAGACGATTTTCTAAAGTACCTAGATATGTAGATATGGCAAAATTTTGAAAATGTCCCAAAATGGTTGAAGTTTGGGAAATAGTACCATAGGGGAAAGGTTGTGGACTTTGAACACAGGCATATATTTTCATTCTTTCATTCAACAAACATGTATTGAGACCCTACTATAGATCAAGCACTGGTCAGGGATATGGAGTCATAAGAGTAAAGAAAACAGAAAAACATTCCTGGCCTCATGGCCATTCTGTTAGGTTGAAACATATAAAAATGCCAATATTTGATCATCATTGACCCATAAAAACAGCAATTTCATATGGTTCAACCTAATAGTAGGGGGAAATCCCCAGCTTTATCATTTGCCGGCTATGTGGCTCTACATAAGTCATTCTACTACTCTAAGCCTCAATTTCACCATGTAGAAAATAAAAATAATTAATGCATATTTTTGTTGATTATTCTATACGTTGATAAGTAGAGTGGCATCCAGCACCATGCTTAGCACATAGTAGGCATTCGATAAATCTGAGTTTTCTTACTTTTGAACAGCCTCCCCACAAAACATAAGTAGGGTATATATTCTTATTTCAAAAGACAAAGGGTAGGCTATGCAGAAGAAAATAATGTCATGCTTTTCTGACAGTCTGGGTGCCAAGAAATTAACTGGGAAAAGAGAGAGGGTGGAATAGGAGCCAAATTCCTGGAACCTGAAGGACAAGAAAGGCATGGAAAAGTCCTGGGAGAACTAACAGCAAGGGGACCTGAAGTCTATAGAAAAAGCTCACTAACACCCACAGATTCAAGCCAAATAAAACTAGGGAAATAGTTTGAAAAAAGAATGTGGGGCTCCAAAGATTCACTATCCAATTTCACCTTCTAATCCCTTATGGTTTGTTTTCCTTGGAAATAGTTTCAGGTGTTGCTATGGATTAAATGTCTCTTCCAAAACTCACGTGGAAACATAATCTGCAATGTGGCAGTATTGAGAGGTGGGGCCTTTAACAGTGACTGAGTCATGAGAACTCTGCCAGATGTGCTCTCTTGACCTTGGACTTCACAACCTCCAGAACTGTGAGAAATAAATTTCAGTCTCAGGTATTCTGTTATAAGCAACAGAAAACAGACTAACACAGGGGTGGAGGGGAGAGGCAAAAGGGAGACAGAAATCAAGGTGTACTGCTGTTAGGGAGAGGGGGAAAGGAAGCCAGTAAGGAATTCTAGGAAATGGACAAGAGCCGCAGGGGATGAGCACTTTAAGAAACAACAACAACAAAACTTTTACAGAAAATTTTTACCAAGGGTTAATGGCCTTAAACAGCACCATGAGGTTGGGAGGCTGAGGCTGGGGGATCACGAGGTCAGGAGATCCAGACCATCCTGGCTAACACAGTGAAACCCCATCTCCACTAAAAATACAAAAAATTAGCCGGGCGTGGTGGCGGGTGCCTGTTACTCGGGAGGCTGAGGCAGGAGAAAGGTGTGAACCCAGGAGGCGGAGCTTGCAGTGAGCCAAGATCGCGCCACTGCACTCCAGCCTGGGCGACAGAGCGAGACTCCATCTCAAAAAACAAACAAAACAAAAACAAAAAAACAGAAAAACAACAACAACAAAACAAACAAACAAACAGAAAAACAACACCATGAGGACAAAAGTTAGATGCTGAGGAGAATTTTATTCTCACTTTCTCTATTTTTTACTTTTATTTTTATTTTTGTTTTTTAGAGATAGGGTCACACTCTGTTGCCCAGGCTGAAGTACAGTGGTGTAATCACAGTTCACTGAAGCTTCAAACTCCTGGGTTCCAGCAATCCTACTACCTAGGCCTCCCAAAGTACTGAGACTACAGTTATGAGCCACTGCACCCGGCCTGGAGAATTTCTTGACAGTGAAGTTGTTAAACAATGAATTGAGAGAATCTTGTTGAGCAGGTATTGGCAAATTGCTAAATTTGAGCCGAGTCCAGCCAGGGGCCTGTTTCTGAAAGGTCTATAAGTGAAAACTGATTTTTACTTTTTAAAGAATTGTTTTAAAGAAGAATGTGTAATAGAGACTGCAAGTGACGCACAAAGCTTAAAATATTTACAATCTGTCCTTTTACAGAAAAAAAAAAAGCTTGTTAACCCCTGTCCTAGAAGAACTGGCTCATCCTACACCCTTGGGGCCTCAGTTTCCCTAATTAAAATTTGAGTATGAGGGAGACTGAAAGTCAGCTTAGAGAGGTGGGAGAAAGACAGGCATTTGCTGAAGAATAAATTACTATTTGGTCAACCTTGAGGCCATGTTGTGGAGATCCAGGCTAGCTTGGGGACGGGGTAGAGGAGGCTGGGGCTGGAAGTTGAGAGGAAGCACCATGGTAAAGGGAGAAAAGAGAAAGCAGCAGGAAGAGATGGGAAGAGCAATTTATAACAGCCCCATTCCACAGGCCAAGTCTCAAGGAGGACAGGCAGGAGGAAAAGAAACAAAAATAAGTCAGACAAGTGGCTTGCATAGCCCAGGGTATTGCTCTTAGAAGTGAGACTGAGAGGAAACAGATGTTTCAGTCTAGAGAAAAGGCACAGAAAACCAGCCATTCATTTGTAGAGAAGTTAACTAGCTGGACTGTGGTCAGGAAAACAAAGAGGGATTTAGCCTCTGTCTCTGGGGGGTTGGGGTGGGATGCTGAGCAGGTATTTCAGGGTCAGCCCTGCTCTAAAAATACTGCTTAGAAAGAGCTGGGTGACTGGGAAGGCTTGTCAATGGCAGCCTCAGAAGCAATCTATTCCTCAGCTCCCTTCTAGGTTTGGATTCTCTCTTTAACATTCCCAGCAAGAAATCTTCCAGTTTCTACTCCCTGGCACTGAGGATCTCACTCATTCTCGAAGCAGCCCTCTATCGCCAAGGCTCTAGGCTAAAATTTTTGTTTTGTTTGTAACTTGACATCTGTCTTCCATAATTTCTGTCCTCTGGTCCTGATACAGTTCTTTGGAATAGCACAAAGTTGGTCAACTCTTTTGTTTATAGTAGGAGAAATGGGTGAGATGTATTAGAAAAAGAGCACTAGATTTGGGATCAAAATCTCTTGTTGGAAATGCTAGCTCTAGGGTAATATCCAATCCTGTTGAACTTCATTTACCTTATCTGAAAAATGCTCAAAATGATACCTTCCCTAAGCACCTCCAAGCTTCATTTGTGTGGATCAAGTAACAATAATAATAAAAACACATAATGCTCTTCAAAGAACAATTAGCAAACTTGCCAGAAGTTCACAGTTGTGGGCATTTTGACCCTTGCTATTTTGAGCACGTGGAAAAAGCACAGGCTTTGGAGACTGTCAGGCTAAAGCTCTTTTCCCAGGACTGGCTTCATTCTGTTTATCACAGGTAACTGCTCCCCTTCTGCCCTGACAGGGGGCTGAGGTGACCTCTGGGAGTTGGAGGCACAGAGCTCACAGAGTTAGGGAGAGAGGGAGAAAATGGAACAAATTTTGCAGAAAACCAAGGGCAAAAAGGATTTAAGGGTCCTCTAGTAAACCCCACCACATAAGTATCACTACTGTAGTATCCTACACTTGTTCTGCTTTATTTCTTTTACAAACAAGGAACTCCTGTCTCTTAGGGCTTCCTTTTCTTGTCACTGCTAATCCTTTCACGAGTTCCTTATTCTGTTGAATCATCACTGACCTCCCTATAACTTTGTAACCCTGGATCTGTTCTTGCAGAAAATTGAACAGATTTGATTCACATTTGTGCAGGACTCTGTACAAAGGAAAATAAGCACACAGCCCCATTCCTGAAAAAGTGCATTACATGCTGTGGCACTAAGAGAAGAACATGATACAAAGATTGTAATATGGGAGGTCAAGGTGGGCAGATCACGAGGTCAGGAGATCAAGACCATACTGGCTAACACAGGGAAACCCCGTCTCCACTAAAAATACAAAAAATTAGCCGGGTGTGGTGGCAGACGCCTGTAGTCCCAGCTACTTGGGAGACTGAGGAAGGAGAATGGCATGAACCCGGAAGGCAGAGCTTGCAGTGAGCCGAGATCGCGCCACTGCACTCCAGCCTGGGTGACAGAGCGAGACTCTGTCTCAAAAAAAAAAAACAAACAAAAACAAACAAAAACAAACAAACAAACAAAAAAACAAAGATTGTAATGTAAGGTAGGATAAAACAAGAGGAAGAACTTCTCGTCTATGAGTCATTAAGCAGTGCAACAGGCATGCAGAGGAGGCTGCATAATATTTCTCTCTGCAGAGCTTTAAACACAGGACAGATCTGTCTGAGAGGGGTTACGTGTAGTCCTGCATGGAGGCAGGGGAATGGACTAAATAACCTTGAAGAAGTCCTCTCAGTCTTGGCATTCTAGAATTTGAGAAGTCTCCTAACCAACAGTGCATGCTCACACATATCTCAGCCAAAGGGGAAAGCCTGGTCTAGTCTTGCTGCTCCTACAATTGCTGCCACAGACATTTATTTGCTCAGTGTGGCAGCATGCTTCTTGGCCTAGGCAGGAATTCATGTGTCAGTCAAGAAGTTGGCAGTGTGTGAGATCTGGTACATGAGCCTATTATCAGTGTCCTATAGAGCAGTTTCAGTTGCCATATCTCCCGTTGCCACAGCCTAGCAGTTAGCAAAGGTTTATCTTTGTGAGAAGTGGAAGGTGGCAGCACAGCCTCACCTCTCTCCACTCTGCCCCCAGCCAATCATGCTTGAGAGAATTTCCTTCCCCCAACGGAATGAAAACTCTGCTTCTTCTCAGCTCCTCGTCATTGGTTCATAGAAACAAACTCCCCTGTATGTAAGTATCACAAGAAATGGAAGCAGACTCTTCTCCTGTTCATTTTGAAAGGCTATCAGTCCCACATGTACCTGAAGTGACTTTTCCTGACCCTATTGAGCAGGGTGTTGAAGTCTGAGGGTGCTTAACAGATTCCCAGCCATTATTATTTTGACTTTCACAGAGATCCTCTGATGTCCATATTATTTTCCATCATTTTAACGGATGACAAAACTGAGGCCTAGAGTAATTAAATAATGTATCATGGCTTACCTGGACAGGGAGTGAGCTGCTTGTTCTGAAGGCATGCAAACAGAATCTGACTATCCTTGTAAGGCAGGCAGTAGGGAGTTTATGTATCAGATCGCAAGAGAGAAATGTTGGACCAGATGACCTCCACTTCAACCTACTATTGTACAGTTTTGGGTAGTAGAGCAGGGTATTAAACTGAGATCTTCAGCCTCATCATTCTAGGTTATTTGCATTACACCACCACATATGAGGTCCTTCAGAGCAGGTACTACATCTTATACATCATTTTTATGTTCTGTATCCAGCATGGCACAGAGTCAACATTGGTGACTTAATTGTTGATTTAACTGCTTATTGGTTTAAAGGCAATAATAATCACTCATAGAATGGTCACTGTATTACAGGCACTGTTTTCATCTATAAACTTACTTAATACTGACAACAAGTCTACAAGGTATGTACTATTATCTGCATTTTAAAGATGTGGAAACTGAGGCTCAGAGAACTAAATGAACACAGCTGGTAAGTTTTTGAGAAAGGATTCAAACCCAAGCAGTCTAGCTTCAGTCCTGCTCTTAACCATTCCATTACACTGCCTCTCAGTATGTAATGAATGCATGAATGCATATTCTCCATTATCACAGTTCACTGACTCACCAAGAAACACTACTTTCAAGCACATATGGGAGACCTGATGGGAGAAATCAGTACAGAACCCACTTGGCTAACACTAGAATGTGAACTAAACTGGGCAGGTAGGGCCCTGAGGCTACTGGAGCTCTCATCTGTCTATCTTTTTTCTCTTTCTTCCCTGCTCAGGTATTCCAGCTGGGGCCCTCTCCTCCTATTGTTCATGCTTACCAGCTACAAAGCCTGGCCCCATCCCAGTCTGTATTTCCTCTGCTCCCTGGCCAAATTCCCAGCTGGAGGAAAACAGTTCACTACTCCCTGGCTCACATCCTCCAAGCCAGCAGGAGCACTTCCCTGCTAAAGGCATGAGTAGCGAAAAACCGAGGCTTGTGGATGTGCTCAGCCCAGAAGTAACCACAAGCCCTAGCCCAAAGCCAATGGAGGAAGAAGATACCACTCCACCTGTCTCACCCTCCAGAGAGGAAGCAGAGGCAAATAGCCTCTTCTTGCTGTGACAATCATGATTTGCAAACTTTTCCCTACTTAAGCAACAAAACTCCTGTCCATGGTGTGATGTGGATAAAAGTCAAGGACACCAGAAGTAGTGGAATGATTATCATAATAACAACTACTGCATTTATTCAGCCCTTACTCTGGCACAAACTGTGCTGAGTACTGGCAACCACTGTCTCACTCCATATTCCCAACAATCCTGTGAGGCAAGTGCTATTAGGTGCTCCTTGTATAAATGGAAACAATGAGAACTTAAGTGACTTTCCCAAAGCCACATAACTCCTAGGTAAAAGACTCAATATTGATACTGAGGACTAGCTGTGCTCTTAAACATCACCCTCTACTGCCTTTCCAATGGCCTCTCAGGGCCCTTCAAGCTCTGCCATGTGGGCATTCAAGGATTGGAGGTAAGATTAATGAGAGTGTTACATCTTACCTGACCAATGGGGATCAGGCTCTGGCCCAACTCCTCTTCCTGTCTCATGAGCCAAGCCCTTCACCTTACAGAGAGTATCACTAAGGACCAGAGAAAAAAATCAGTTTGCTTGAGGTCCTTGGTAACAGGGCTGCTCCCAGCCCAGTATGCTTTCCAATACTCCACAAGGCTGCCTTCTCTCACACCTCCTTCCTTCAGCTATTTACACAGAATCAAGGGGTCAGACAGTCCTCAGATGGAGGTGCTTCAGTTCTTCAGCCCCTTTGCTTAAATTTCAAGCCAGTTTTACAGCTTTAACATCTATGTTATTTTCTCGTTATTCATGTTCTTCCCCCCACCCAATAGACACAAAACAATTATGTTCTAAAATTGTGCATCCTTTTACATGACAGAAAACCTATAGCTGGGAATCCTCAGACCAGATGCTGGTAACTAACTCTTTGAAAAGTTTCAGATTTTTCTGACATCACAGGTGCTCAAAGCCTAGGGCAAGATAATACCAACAGGTGGATAAACCTACATGTTCCCAGGCTCTATACAGGGGCACTTTATGCCTAGGAACAACCTTATATGTAGAAATAATGTGAACGACAGCCTCTGCATTGAGGGTTCAGGACATCTGCAAATGTCTGATACCCAAAATGCTACCATTAGGTTCTGCATTACTTCTTATGCAGCTCTGCTTTTAAAATGCCAATGTCTCTGGGGAGTGAAAGGGTTGCTCAGGTCCCAGAAGCCTCAGTCTATCTTTTGACAGGCTAGGCAGGCATCATAAGGAGTCTGTGGTTCAGAGGTCACAGAATAGGGAAGCAGGCGTGCCAAAGACTAACTTTATTTACTCTTAGTGTTTTGCCAAAGGGCCTTAAAAACCATCTGGTCCAGCCCTCTCCTTCCCTCACTCCTCAAGCACCATTGCTAGCATCACTACTTAATGATTAATTCTTCCCTGTGGCATCCACATATAGAAAAGATATAATTGGTTTGCACAATTCCAGTGATGTGTGTCTCGTTACCCTTGTGGCAGCCCATCCATCATTAGAAATGTCTTTTTGTGGGGCTTAAACCTGCCATCCTGTAGCTTTCAGATTAGTATATATTCAATAAATACTAGTTTCCTCTCACTTTCCCTTTAACACATTGGAGGTACACAGACCCAACAGGGTTTTCCTTCTTCCCCGTATCAGCTTTCCTTAAGCCAAAAGCCACATCTCTCTGAGTTTTCACTCTTGAGGCTATACAATCTCAGTTCCTTCAATCCCTCTCCAGCCTACTTATCTGACCATACTCCTGGTTTGTTTAGGGCCCCTTTCACATGTGGGGCCCAGACATTTTTCTTAGCTTTCATGCTCCTACCTTCTCCTTCATAGGATACTCACCGACTAATTTGCACATACACATCTAAAGACCATGGGAAACATCTGGTGTGGCCAATCTAAAATGGTAAATACTGATAGGCACACTAAGGCCTGGAGAGGAGAAAAATCATTGCTTATTAAAAAGTTTTCATATGGCCAGTATATTTCCTGATAAACAATGTTTCTCAAAGTTTGGTCTGGACCACCTCAGTCAGAACCACAAGAAACTGAATCTCTGGGAGTTGGAACCAAGGCATCTACATATTTAACAAGCATGCTGAGTGATTCTGAGGCACACTGGAGTTTTAGAAGTAGGGCCTAAGAATGAGATAGCATTTCACCAACGTTGTTTTTCATTCTGTGAACATTTGTTTCTAATTAGAAACTGAGGCTCCTTCTCCAAGCCTCATTAATCAACACCTTGGACAGCCTGACATTCCTCCCTGGCCTAAGCCCAGACAGCCCCAATAACCCTGCAGCAGTTTAAGATTTTTTACTTAGAGAGAAAAATTTCTAGGGAACATTATCCAAATATCCAGACCTAGGTATAGCCACTATTTCAAACATATAAACAGACCTGGGAGCTGCTATTACTTCTCTGCATTATCAATCAGAATGCGTTCCTACTTCAATCAGAGATCTTCCTTTCTCAAAATGAAATTTCAAAACCACAGCACAAAAGCATAAGTGTCAACCTAAATGTTCCTGTCTTGCCTCTTCAGATTATCTGGATTGTTTTTCTGCGCACTTCTCCATCTTCTTCCTTTCCTTCATAGGCTTAATTCCACACTTCAACTCTTCTTACAATTATTTTCTGCTGTCACTCTCCTGAGTAAAGCATTCAGTGCAGCAGCTGCCTCACAATGTTTTAACACACAAAACAAACACAGACAATGGCTCCCCTTGGTGTGCAAGCAAGTTAGATACAGGTGTACCTATCATTCTTTGAGTTATGTGACTTGTATGTTTTAGATATTGTTATCTTGTCAATCTACAAGGCAGGCACCATCAGACCACATCACCATAGAGGGATTGGGAGGAAGAAAGGGGGGGACTTTCTCCGCTATGAATCACCCCAGAAAGCATCAAAGGTGGGGGAATCCTAGGAACTTGAGCCTCTCATAGGGAGAGAAATAGGAAATCAATAGGCTGTGTGCCAAGCACTGTCCAAAGCTTCTATTCTTTAAACCTCTAAATTGTCCAGTCTTCTTGGGGTTCAACAACTGTCCTTTTTTCCATCTGAAAGTCTAAATCTGAACTAGGATTGAGAGAAAAGGATCTTGAGTCATTTGAGAAGTTTAAAAAGTGAAGTAGAGGCCTCTGATGTCTGCTCTTGCTCATGGCAGGACACTGCCACGGATCAAGAGATAAGATAGTACCTGCCCCATGTTGTTGGGAAGGACCTGAGAGGGAGAAAACCCAAGCAAATGACTGAAGAGCAATGCCAGTCCACCTGGAGCAAGAGAAGGGTTAGTTAGCTTGAGAGAAAGCAAATAAGACTCAGGAAAACCTTTCTTTTGCTATGCTTACTACATTTGTATGATCAGACACCTGAAATTCGTATTCTACCAGTGGGTTATTGTGTTGGTGATCCCTCAGATGTGAAAAAAATTACTGTTGCTATATGAAAAAAGTATATTTTGAAAGTCTGTATTATGCATATTGCCTGCCATAGGCTTATTTACTACTCTAGAAGTTTCTAGCTTCTGGATATATAAGTTGTGGTATACTCAGACAATGGACTACTATATAACAATGGAAATAAAAGAACTGCAACTACAAATAACTCTAGCTTCTCACACTTGAATGTATACATGAATAATATGTAGATCTTTCTGAAATACAGATTCTGATTCTGGTCTGGAGTGGGACCTCAGGTTCTTCATTTCCAATCAGTTACCAGATGATGCTAATGTTGCTGATCTGCGGACCAAATTTTGAGTAGCAAGAGGCTAGAACACCTCTCAGCAAAAACAGAAGTATCTCACCCCTTTCTTGCATTGACATCCTCTGTAGCCCTCCCAAGGCCCCATGTGTCTGGCATACTCTTCTCAAATTATTCCTCAGATTCTCACAAAGAGTTGCCTCAAGATTCAGAGAAATCTCTTTCATTCCACGGGGCTTACATCCAGTCTTATCTTCTGTGAAAATCCATTGGTAACTTCCTGAAAAGAAATGAATCACTGCAAGTAGAATTTCAGGCATCTGGGAAAGAAATTTAGGGGCAGGGAACTTTCCTGGCACCTGTAAAATGACATCACAGAGACAGCCACTGACTTTCCTTCCACTACACTTGCCTACCTCTTCCTCATCTTCTGCCCACTGCCTCTTCTCCTCTCTTGGGAGAAGGAAACACCTTTCTCTGCTACACATAATCTCCAAGATATTACTTTGCCTCTTCTCTACTGGGCCCTGCTCCCTGATCTCCCCTCCCAAAGCCAAATCTCTTCCAAGTCTAGTTTGAAATCAGCTCGACTCATTGAAGAAATGAGCAGGTATTTGGAGGAGCAGGAGAAAGAATGCCAGTTTGAGCTCCACAGACAGGTTAGAAAGCTGACTTTCCTAGTCGCTAGCTGTGTCACCTTAGGCTAGTGACTGACTGGGTACAAGGCCTCTTCGGGAACTAAGGTACAAGGGAAAACAAGTCAGACAAGGACCCTTTCTTCATGAATCCCTCAAAGAGTTCACACTCTAGTGAAAAAAGACAGACAAAAACAAATATGCAGCATGCTGGGTGCTGGCAAGTACTCTAAAAATGAAGTGGAGTAAGAGGCCAGAATGATGGGGGTTGTTATTTGAGATATCAGGGAAAACACCTCTGCCATGTGTTACTGGAGCAGAGAAGTGAGTGAAATGAGACTGAGCCATCAGGCTAAGGGCAAGAGTGTTTTAGGCTGAAGAAATCACCAGGGCAAAGGCCTTCAGGTAGAAGTAAGCTTAGTATATTTGAGAGATGGCAGGAGTTTGTAATAAACAGATTGGTGACCGAAGTGGTAAGAAGTGGGCACATTATGGTAATACTTTTACTTCTCTATGCCTCATCCACAGAAAAATGAGAATAATATCTATTTCTCAGGGTGACACACTCATGCCATAGAGTATTGAGCCTAGCCTCGCACACAGGGATTAAATAATGTAAGTTACCTACATCTACCCCCACTTCCCTCAATGACTCTTAATTAATCTAACAGATGACAGTTTGTTCAAAATAATAATAGCAGGTATGTATTTAGGAATTAAAGCTTATAGATAAATAAAATGAATGACATCAATGTTATAAGGGACTGGAGGGAGGAATTGGAAATAATCTGTTATATTTTCACTACATGGGAAGTGATACATATTACTCGAAAGAGGACTTGGACTACTTCTAAATGTATATTGCAGACTCAAAAGCAACCACTTTTAAAAAGTTTAAGAAGAAGTATAATTTGCATGCCTAAAGAGCAGACAAAATGGAATCATACAAAATGTGCAATTAAAACCAGAGTGGAAGACAATAACACAAAGAACAAGATCAATAAAGAGAAAACAGTAGTGAAAATGATAAGTATAAATCCACCTATGTTAATAATCACTTAAAATATCAATGTTCTAAATACACCAATTATAAGACAGAGACTATCAGAGTGGATTTAAAACATAAGACTCGAATATATGCTGTCGAAGCCATGAAGAGATTAAAAGGAAAGGTACGAAGAAAGATGTACCATGCTAACACTCATAAAAGGAAGTTGAAGTAGCTATATTAATTTCAGAAAAAGGAGACTTCAGGTAGCGTGATGCCTCCAGCTTTGTTCTTTTGGTTTAGGATTGACTTGGTGATGCGGGCTCTTTTTTGGTTCCATATGAACTTTAAAGTAGTTTTTTCCAATTCTGTGAAGAAAGTCATTGGTAGCTTGATGGCGATGGCATTGAATCTATAAATTACCTTGGGCAGTATGGCCATTTTCACGATATTGATTCTTCCTACCCATGAGCATGGAATGTTCTTCCATTTCTTTGTATCCTCTTTTATTTCATTGAGCAGTGGTTTGTGGTTCTCCTTGAAGAGGTCCTTCATGTCCCTTGTAAGTTGGATTCCTAGGTATTTTATTCTCTTTGAAGCAATTGTGAATGGGAGTTCACTCATGATTTGGCTCTCTCTTTCTTTGTTATTGGTGTATAAGAATGCTTGTGATTTTTGTACATTGATTTTGTATCCTGAGACTTTGCTGAAGTTGCTTGTCAGCTTAAGGAGATTTTGGGCTGATACGATGGGGTTTTCTAGATATACAATCATGTCATCTGCAAACAGGGACAATTTGACTTCCTCTTTTCCTAATTGAATACCCTTTACTTCTTTCTCCTGCCTAATTGACCTGGCCAGAACTTCCAACACTATGTTGAATAGGAGTGGTGAGAGAGGGCATCCCTGTCTTGTGCCAGTTTTCAAAGGCAATGCTTCCAGTTTTTGCCCATTCAGTATGATATTGGCTGTGGGTTTGTCATGGATAGCTCTTATTATTTTGAGATATATCCCATCAATACCTAATTTATTGAGAGTTTTTAGCATGAAGAGTTGTTGAATTTTGTCAAAGGCCTTTTCTGCATCTATTGAGATAATCATGTGGTTTTTGTCTTTGGTTCTGTTTATATGCTGGATTACATTTATTGATTTGTGTACATTGAACCAGCCTTGCATCCCAGGGATGAAGCCCACTTGATCATGGTGGATAAGCTTTTTGATGTGCTGCTGGATTCCGTTTGCCAGTATTTTATTGAGGATTTTTGCATCAATGTTCATCAAGGATATTGGTCTAAAATTCTCTTTTTTGGTTGTGTCTCTGCCGGGCTTTGGTATCAGGATGATGCTGGCCTCATAAAATGAGTTAGGGAGGATTCCCTCTTTTTCTATTGATTGGAATAGTTTCGGAAGGAATCGTGCCAGTTCCTCCTTGTACCTCTGGTAGAATTCGGCTGTGAATCCATCTGGTCCTGGACTCTTTTTGGTTGGTAAGTTATTGATTATTGCCACAGTTTCAGAGCCTGTTATTGGTCTATTCAGAGATTCAACTTCTTCTTGATTTAGTCTTGGGAGCGTGCATGTGTCGAGGAATTTATCCATTTCTTCTAGATTTTCAAGTTTTTTTGCATAGAGGTGTTTGTAGTATTCTCTGATGGTAGTTTATATTTCTGTGGAATCGGTGGTGATATCCCCTTTATCATTTTTTATTGCATCTATTTGATTCTTCTCTCTTTTCTTCTTTATTAGTCTTGCTAGCGGTCTATCAATTAAGCCTACAGTAACCAAAACAGCATGGTACTGGTACCAAAACAGAGATATAGATCAATGGAACAGAACAGAGCCCTCAGAAATAACGCCACATATCTACAACTCTCTGATCTTTGACAAACGTGACAAAAACAAGCAATGGGGAAAGGATTCCCTATTTAATAAATGGTGCTGGGAAAACTGGCTAGCCAGATGTAGAAAGCTGAAACTGGATCCCTTCCTTACAGCTTATACAAAAATTAATTCAAGATGGATTAAAGACTTAAACGTTAGACCTAAAACCATAAAAACCCTAGAAGAAAACCTAGGCATTACCATTCAGGACATAGGCATGGGCAAGGACTTCATGACTAAAACACCAAAAGCAATGGCAACAAAAGCCAGAATGGACAAATGGGATCTAATTAAACTAAAGAGCTTCTGCACAGCAAAAGAAACTACCATCAGAGTGAACAGGTAACCTACAAAATGGGAGAAAATTTTTGCAACCTACTCATCTGACAAAGGGCTAATATCCAGAATCTATAATGAACTCAAACAAATTTACAAGAAAAAAAAACCATCAAAAAGTGTGCGAAGGATATGAACAGACACTTCTCAAAAGAAGACATTTATGCAGCCAAAAAACACATGAAAAATTGCTCACCATCACTGGCCATCAGAGTAATGCAAATCAAAACCACAATGAGATACCATCTCACACCAGTTAGAATGGCAATCATTAAAAAGTCAGGAAACAACAGATGCTGGAGAGGATGTGGAGAAATAGGAACACTTTTACACTGTTGGTGGGACTGTAAACTAGTTCAACCATTGTGGAAGTCAGTGTGACTATTCCTCAGGGATCTAGAACTAGAAATACCATTTGACCCAGCCATCCCATTACTGGGTATACACCCAAAGGACTATAAATCATGCTGCTATAAAGACACATGCACACATATGTTTATTGTGGCACTATTCACAATAGCAAAGACTTGGAACCAAGCCAAATGTCCAACAATGATAGACTGGATTAAGAAAATGTGGCACATATACACCATGGAATACTATGCAGCCATAAAAAAGATGAGTTCATGTCCTTTGTAGGGACATGGATGAAATTGGAAATCATCATTCTCAGTAAACTATTGCAAGAACAAAAAACCAAACACCGCATGTTCTCACTCATAGGTGGGAATTGAACAATGAGAACACATGGACACAGGAAGGGGAATATCACACTCTGGGGACTGTTGTGGGGTGGGGGGAGGGGGGAAGGATAGCATTAGGAGATATACCTAATGCTAAATGACGAGTTAATGGGTGAAGCACACCAGCATGGCACATGTATACACATGTAACTAACCTGCACATTGTGCACTTGTACCCTAAAACTTAAAGTATAATAATAATAAAATAAAAAACAAAAGAAAAGAATAAGGAGACTTCATAGTAAAGAAAATTGTCAAGGATAAGAGGAGCATTATATAATGATAAAGAGGTTAATTTTCCAAGAAGACAAACAATTATCCTTAGCAAGAGAGCATCAAAATATATAAGGCAAATACTGATAGAACTGCAAGGAGAAATAGATGGATCCGATGTTATCATTGGAGATTTTGACACCCTTCTCTCAGTAATTGACAGATCCAGATCCAGTATAGAGGAAATCTGTAAGGACGCAGTTGAACTGAAGAGTATCATCAATCAACTGGATCTTAGTGACATTGATAGAGTATTCAACCAGCAACAGCAGCATACACATTCTTTTCAAACTCACAGTAAACATTCACCAAGGCAGACCACATTCTAGGATAAAATGCACATTAAAAATTAGACAGAAGCAAAAAGAATACTACTCAAGTTTGATCAATAAATTCAGTAAAGTTTCAGGGCACAAAATTAATGTACATAAATTAGTAACATTTCTATACAACAATAGTGATCTAGCTAAGAACAAAGTCAAGAAGGCAATTCCATTTATAATAGCTACAAAAGGATACAACATCTTGAAAAATATATATTTATCTATTATAAATATATCAGTTTATATATTATATATAAATGTATATCAGTTTATATATTATGTATAAATGTATATCAGTTTATATATAGAATATATATCAATATATAGTATATACATAAAACCAAGGAGGTGAAAAAAAATCTCTACAAGGAAAACTACAAAACGCTGATGAAAGAAATCATCAGCTGACATAAGATGACATAAACAAATACAAAAATCCCATGCACATGCATCAGAAGAATTAATATGATTAAAATGATTATACTGCACAAAACAATCTATGAATTAAATGTAATTCCTATCAAAATATCAATGTCATCTTTTATAGTTAGGAAAATAATTCTAAAATTAATATGGAATCAAATAGAGCCCAAATACCCAAAGCAATCCTCAGAAAGAAAAAAAAAAAAAAGCTGAAGGCATCATATTACCTGACTTCAAATTATACTACAAAGCTATAGTAACCAAAAAAAGGAAGACATTCATAGAATAGATGACCCAGAAATAAAGTCACTTGTTTACAGCCAAATGATCGCTGACAAAATAAAAAACATACATAGGGAAACGACACCCTTTCAGTAAATGGTTCTGGGAAATTTGAATTGCCATATGCAGAAGAATGAAACTTGACCCCTATCTCCCACCATATACAAAAATCAACTCAAGATGGATCAAAGACTTAAATGTAAAACCTAGAGAAAATTCTTCTGGACATTGGTCTAGGCAAAGAGTCCATGACTAAGATTTCAAAAGCAGAGGGAACAAAACAAAAATTGACAAATACGACTTAAGCTAAAAACCTCCTGCACATCAAAAGAAATAACACAGTGAAGAAACAACATTTTAAATGGGAGAAAATATTGGCAAGCTATGCATCTGACAGAGAACTAATATACAAAATTTACAAGGAACTTAAAAAGCTCAATGAAAAATAAACAAATAATCCCATTAAAAAGTGGGTAAAAGACATGAATAAACATTTCTCAAAAGAAGACATGCAAACTACCTAGGTGTCCATCAACAGATGAATGGATAAATAAAACTTGGTGCGATATACCCAATGGATTATTATTCAGTCATAAAAAAGAATGAGATCCTGTCATTTGTAACGACATGGATAGAATTGGAGATCATTATGTTAAGTGAAATAAGCCAGGCATAGAAAGAAAAAATTTGGATGTTCTCATTCATTTGTGGGAGCTAAAAGTTAAAACAACTGAACTCATGGAGTTAGAGATTACAATGGTGATTATCAGAATCTGGGAAGGATAGCAGATGGTGGGGGTTGCAGAATGAGGATGGTTAATGGGCACAAAAAAATTCATTAGAAAGAATAAATAAAATCTAGTATTTGATAGTATAACAGAGTGACCATAGTTAATAATTTAATTGTACAGTTTAAGATAACTAAAAGTATAATTGGATGGTTTGTCACACAAAGGATGAATGCATGATGTGATGGATACCCCACTTATCCTGATGTGATTATTACACATTGTATGCCTTCATCAAAGTATCTCATATACCCCATAAGTATATAAACTTACTAAGTACTCACAGAAAATAAAATTATTTTAAAGAATACAGGCAAATAGCCAACAGGCATACATAAAAAAAAGCTCAACGTCACTAATCATCAGATAAATGCAAATTAAAACCACAAGGAGATACAATGTTATACCAGTTAGAATGGCTATTAATAAAAAGACAAAAAAAATCAGATGTTGGTGAGGATGCAGAGAAAAGGGAAGGCTTATACATTGTTCTTAGGAATGTAAATTAGTACAACCTCTATCGAAAACAGTATGGAAATGTTGCAAAGAAAAAGAACTACCAGGATCCAGTAATCTCATTACTGGGTAACAACCAAAAGGAAATATATGTATATAAAATATCTTCCTCCATATGTTTATCACAGCACTATTCACAGCAGCAAAAATATGGAATCAACCTAAGTGTCCATCAAAAGATGACTGGTTAAAAAAATTGTGACATATATACAAAATGGAATAATATTCAGCCACAAAAAAGAATGAAATCATGTCTTTTGCAGAAACATGAAGCTGGAGGCCATTATCTTCAGCGAAACAAGTCAGATGCAGAAAAACAAACACCACATGTTCTCACTTATAAATGGGAGCCAAATAATGTATGCATATTAACTTATGTGGGATGATTGACAATGAAGATGCAAAAGGGTGAAGGAGTGGGAGGGGTGGATGATGAAAAATTATTTAATGGGTACAATGTACATTATTCAGATGATGTTTACTCTAAAAGCCCTGACTCCATAAATGTGCAATCTGTGCATGTAACAAAATTACACTAGTACCCCATAAATTTATACAAATGAAAATAGTTGAAACAGAAATCATACAAAGTATGCTCTTAGACCATAACTGAATTAAACTAGAAATTAACAACAGAAACATAGCTAGGAAAATCTCAAAATACAAGGATATTAAACAACAAACTTCTAAATAATACATGGACATGGGCTGAAGAAGTCTGAGAAAAATTAAAAATAATTCAACCTAAATGAAAATGAACATACAACAAGTCAACATTTGCAAGGTGAAGTTAAAGCAATGTTTAGAAGGAAATTTACAGCAATGAATGTATATACTAGAAAAGAAGAAAGATGCAAAATCAATTATCTATGTTTTCTGCCTTAGCAAAAAGAAGAACTTAGAGAAAGAAGAGCTAAATATGTCCAAAGTAAGTGTAAGAAAAAATAAATTAAAATTACAGATAAAAATCAGCAAAATTGCAATAGAAAATTAATAGAGAAAATAAATAAAATCCAAAGCTGTTCTTTAAAAAATATCAATAAAATTGGTACGTCTCTAACCAGGCTAGAAAAGACACAAATTACTAATATCAGAAAATGATAGAGGAGATATAACTACAATTTCCATAGACATTAAAGGGATAGCTAAAAAAAAAAGAACAACTCTATGCCCACAAATTTGAAAACTTATATAAAATGAACCAATTCCTTGCAATGCACCATTCATCAAAACTCATACAGGAGAAAGAGATATTTTCAGTAAGACTGTATCTGTATCTACTAACAAATTAAATCAATAATTAATTACTTTCAGAAACAAAAAGAAAACACCAGGTCCAGATGGGTTCACTGGTAATTTTGGGGGGAAGTGTTGGGACAGGGTCTTATTATGTTGCCCAGTTTGGCATTGAATTCCTGGGCTCCTGCCTCAGCCTCCCGAGTATGTAAAACTACAGGCATGTGTTGCCTCGCCCATCAATTCACTGGTAAATTTGACCAAATATTCAATGAAGAAATTATACCAGTTCTCTACAATTTCTTCCAAAAAATAGAAGCAGAGGGAACACTTCCTAACTCACTCTATAAGGCCAGCATTAGCCTACCGCCAAAACCAGAAAAATACATTACAAGACAGAAAAACAAGAGTCCAATATCTCTCATAAACATGATGCAAAAACCCTCAAAAAATTTGCAAATTGATTCAAACAATTTATAAAAAGAATTATATGCCACAACCAAGTGAAATTAATTCCAAGTAGGCAAACAGGTTCAACATTCAAAAATCAATTAATATAGTCTAGTATATTAACAGGCTAAAAATTAAAAAAGCACATGATCATATCAACAGATGTAGAAAATGTTTTTGACAAACTCCAATCCCCATCTGTAATAAAAACAACTCAGCAAAATAAAAATGGGGGAGCTTCCTCGCTTGGAATAGAACATGTACAAAAAACCTATAGCCAGCATCCAGTATCATACTTAATGGTGAGAATCTAGATGACTTCCCAATAAGATTAGGAAGAGTGAAGCAAGATGGCAGAACAGAAGGCCCCACCAATTGCCCCTCCCACCCCCACAAGAACAAGTTCTTGCAAACCTTGCCACTGCAGGCTAAAGTGCTTTGTGCTTTAAATAAACTTGAAAGGCAGCCTAGGCCATAAAGACTGCAACTCATAGGAGAGTTACAGTGCTGAACTGGGCCAAGATACAGTGGACTGGGTAGACACGTGACTTACTGAGACACCAGCTTGGGCTGCTAAGGGAGTACTGGCATCACCCCTCCCTCAACCCCAGGCTGGAAAGCTCCCAGCTCCAAAAAAGACCCCTGGCTTCCACTTAAGGAGAGGGAAAAGTGGGGAGGACTTTGTCTTTCTAGATGACAATTCTAGACACACCCTGGCCAAGAAGGGAACCTGCTACTTTGAAGAGAATGACCCAATCCTGGAAGCATTCATCACCTGTTAACAAAAGAACCCTCAAGGCCTGAATAACCAGAAACAATACCCAGGTACTACGTTGAGGGCATTGGTAAGCCTCTAAGAGCTGCTGACATCAGGTGAGACTTGGCAAATTACCAGCTCTGGTGGCTACAGGGCAAAACTCCTTCTGCTTGAGAAAAGTAGAGGGAAAAGTAAAGGGGACTTTGTCTTGTACCATAGGTACCAGCACAGCCAAAGATGGATACAGCACCAAGCAGACTCTTGGGGTCCCTGATTCCATGGACTTGATACATGGACAGCATATCTAGACCTGCCCTAGGCCAGCAGGGAGCCCAGTGCCCTGAAGGGTGAGTCATAGACCAGGCAGTATTTACCACAAACTGACTTAAGAGCCCTTTGAACTTAAGAAAACATTGGCAGTAGTCTGGCAGTACTCCCCTTGACCTGTGGTGGTGGTGGCTACAGAGTGAGACTCCTCTGTCTTTGGAAAGGGGAAAGAAGAGTGCGAAGAACTGTGTCTTGTGGTTTAAGTACCAGCTCAGCTACAGTACAATAGAACAACAGGTAGACCTCTAAGATTTTTAACCCTAGTTCCTGGCTCCTTTGTAGCACCTCTGGCCCAACCCGAAGCCTGGGGGAGCTTCCCACCTTGAATGAAAAGACACAGTCAAAGATGGCCTTGCCACATAATAATTGTATGGCCCCAGGGCCTTGAGTGAACATAGGCTGTGTAGCTAGGAAGTGGTTACAGCAGGCCTTGGGCAAGAACTACTGCTGTGCTCACTTCAGGTCTGATCCAGCACAGTCATAGTGGTGGTGGCCACAGGAGTATTTGTGCCACTCCACCCCCAGCTTTAGGTGGCTCAGAACACAGAGAGAAACTCTGTATTAGTCTAGTCTCACGCTACTATAAAGAACTACCTGTGACTGTGTAATTTATGAAGAAAAGAGGTTTATTTGACTCACAGTTCTGCAGGCTTAAGAGGAAGCATGACTAGGAGGCTTCAGGAAACCTACAATTATGGCAGAAGGGAAACGGAAAGCAAGCATGTCTTACCATAGTGAAGCAGGAGAGATCAAGTGAAGGAGGAAGTGCCACACACTTTTAAACAACCAGATCTCCTAATAACTCACTCACTATCATAAGAACAGAAAGGGGGCTATCCACCCCCATGATTCAATCACCTCCCACTAGGTCCCTCCACCAAAAGGTGAAGGGTTACAATTCAAGATGAGATTTGGGTGGGAGCACAGAGCCAAACCACATCATTCTTCCCCTGGCTCCTCTCAAATCTCATGTCCTTCTCCTCACATTTCAAAACCAATCATGCCTTCCCAACAGTCCCTTAAAGTCTTAGCTCGTTCCAGCATTAACTCAAAAGTCCAAGTCCAAAGTCTCATCTGAAACAAGGTTAGTTCCTTCCACCTATGACCCTGTAAAACAAAAAACAAGTTAGTTACTCCCAAGATACAATGGGGATATACACATTGGGTAAATGCTCCCATTATAAATGGAAAACATTGCCAAAACAAAGGGGCTTCAGGCCCCATGCAAGTCTGAAACCCAGCAGGGCAGTCATTAAATCTTAAAGCTCCAAAATAATCTCCTTTGACTCCATGTCTCACATCCAGCGCAGGCTGATGCAAAGGGTTGGCTCTCAAGGCCTTGGGCAGCTCTGCCCCTGTGGCTTTGCAGGGTGGAACACCCTCACTGGCTTCTTTCAAGGGCTGACATTGAGTGCTTGTGGCTTTTCCAGGTGCATGGAATAAGCTGTTGGTGGATCTACCATTCTGAGATCTGGAGGACAGTGTCCCTCTTCTCACAGCTCCACTAGGCAGTGCCCCAGTGGGGACTCTAGCGGGGAGCTCCAACCCCATGTTTCCCCTCTGCACTGCCTGATATGGTTTGGCTGGGCCCCCACCTAAATCTCACCTTGAATTGTAGCTCCCATAATTCCCATGTGTTGTGGGAGGGACCTGGTGGGAGATAATTGAAGCATGGGGGCAGTCTCCCTCATACTGTTCTTGTGGTAGTGAAAAAGTCTCATGAGATCTGAAGATTTTATAAGGTGTTTCCCTTTTCACTTGGTTCTCATTCTCTTTCTTGCCTGCCACCATGTAAAATACACCTTTCACCCTCTACCATGAATGAGAGGCCTCCCCAGCCACGTGGAATTGTGAGTCCACTAAACCTCTTTTTCTTTCTAAATTACCCAGTCTTGGGTATATCTTTATCAGCAGCATAAAAATGGACTAATACACTGCCCTAGTAGAGGTTCTCCATCAGGGCTATACCCCTGAAGCAGACTTCTGCCTGGATATTCAGGCATTTCCATACATCCTCTGAAATCTAGGCAGAGGCTCCCAAAGCTCAACTCCTGTCTTCTGGGTACCTTCAATCCCAACACAAAGTGGAAGCCACCAAAGCTTGCGGCTTGCTCCTGTGAGGCAATGGCCTGATGTGTACCTTGGCTCCTTTTAGCCACTCTGGAGCTGGAGTAGCTGGGATGCAGGGTGCCATGTCCTGAGGCAACACAGAGCAACAGGGCTCAAGGCTTGGCCCAGAAAACCATTGTTCCCATTTAGGCCTCCTAGCCCTCTGGGCCAGTGCTAAGCAGCAAAGCATTCAACATATAACTTGGGTGCTCTTAAAAGCATTCAGTTAACTCATTCACAAAGATAGGATTTGGAATTGAAACTTATATTTAAAAGGGACACAGAGACAAACCATATCAGACTCTGGGAGAATGTAAGGGAAGAGAATGAGAGTCTCTACCTGGTAATCCAGAGAATGCTTCTGGATCTTGTCTAAGACCTCTAAGGCAATATCCCTATGAGTCAGTAAAAATCATAGTGTTACTGGGTTTGGGGTGCCCCTGAAAGCAGATAAAGCTTAGATCAAAACACCCAAGTCCTTTTGAATATCTGGAAAACCTTCTCAAGAAGGAAAGTTACAAACAAGCCCACTCAGTGAAGACTACAACAAATACCTAGCTCTTCAATGCCCAGACACCAAACAACATCTGCTAGCATCAATACCATCAAGGAAAACATGACTTCACCAAATGAATTAAATAAGCCACCAGGAAGCAACCTTGAAGAAACAGAGTTATGTGACCTTTCAGACAAAGAATTCAAAATAGCTCCCATGAGGAAACACAAAGAAATTTAGAAAAACACAAAGAAGGAATTCAGAATTCTATCAGATAAATTTAACAAATAAATTGAAATAATTAGAAAGACTCAAGCAGAAATTCTAGAGATGAGAAATGCAAGTGGCATAGTGAAGAATGCATCAGAGTCTTTTAATTGCAGAATTGATCAAGCAGAAAATTAGTGAGCTGGAAGACAGGCTATTTGAAAATACAGTCAGAGGTAACAAAACAAGAAAGAAAAAAAAAAACAATGGAGCAAACCAACAGGATCTAGAAAATAGCCTCAAAAGAGTAAATCTAAGAGTTATTGGCCTTAAAGAGAAGGTAGAGAAAAATATAGGGTAGAAAATTTCTTCAAAGGGATAATAACAAAGAACTTTCCAAATTCAGAGAAATATATCAATATCCAAGTACAAGAAGGTTATATAGATCACCAAGCAGATTGAACCCAAAGAAGACCATCACAAGGCATTTAATAATCAAAGTCCCAAAGATAAAAGATTTTTAAAAAGAAACCTAAAAGAAGCAAGAAAAAAGAAACAAATAACATGCAAAGGAACCTCAGTAAATATGTCAGCAGACTTTTCCGTGGAAACCTTACAGACCAGGAGAGAGTGGCGTGGCATCTTTAAAGTCCTTAAGAAAAAAATCTTTTACCCTAGAATAGGACATCTAGTGAAAATATCCTTCAAACGTGAAGAAGAAATACAGACTTTTCAAAGACAAACAAAAAATGAGGCATTTCATCAACACCATACCTATCCTAAAAGAAATGCTAAAGGGAGTACTTCAATCACAAAAAAAGGACATTAATGAGCAATAAGTAATCACCTGAAGGTACAAAATTCACTAGGAAAGGTAAATATACCAAAACCCAGAATATTCTAACAGTGTATTTAAACTTCTCTTATCCTAAACAGAAAGTCTAAATAATGAACCAGTCAAAAATAATATTATAAAAACTTTTCAAGTAATAGACAGTACAATAAGATATAAATAGAAACAACAAAAAGTTAAAAACTGGAGTGATGAAGTTAAAGTGTTGAGTTTTTATTAGTTTTCTTTTTGCTTGTTTCTTTATGCACAACGTTTAGTTTTTGTCAGGATAGAATAATGGGTTATAAGATAGAATTTGCAATCCTGATGGTAAGCCCAAACCAAAAAAAACATACAATGGTTACAAAAAAATTAAAAGCAAGAAACTAAATCATATTACCACCAAAATTCACCATCACTAAAGGAAGACAGAAATAAAAGAGCACGGTGGCTCATGCCTGTAATCCTAGCACTTTGGGAGGCCAAGGCGGGTGGATCACGAGGTCAGGAGATCGAGACCATCCTGGCTAACATGGTGAAACCCCGTCTCTACTAAAAATACAAAAAAAATTAGCCAGGCGTGGTGGCGGGTGCCTGTAGTCCCAGCTACTGGGGAGGCTGAGGCAGGAGAATGGTGTGAACCCAGGAGGCAGAGCTTGCAGTGAGCCGAGATCACACCACTGTACTCCAGCCTGGGTGACAGAACGAGACTCCATCTCAAAAAAAAAAAAAAAAAAAAAAAGAAGAAGAAGAAGGGAAAACCCACAAAACAATCAGAAAACAAGTAATAAAATAAGTGGAGTAAGTTATTTCTTACCAGAAACAACATTGAATTTAAATGGACTAAACACTCCAGTCAAGAAACATAGAGTGGCTGAATGTATGGAAAAAAACAAGACCCAAGAATCTGTTGCCTATAAGAAACGCAA
Organism: Homo sapiens; assembly: GCF_000001405.40. NCBI lineage: Eukaryota > Metazoa > Chordata > Mammalia > Primates > Hominidae > Homo > Homo sapiens. Next base: position 63,982,012 of record NC_000023.11, read on the forward strand.
GTCACCCTTAAAGACACATATAGACTGAAAAGAAAGGGATGAAAAAAGATATTCCATGCTAATGGAAAACAAAAAAGAACAGGAGTAACTATACTTATATCAAAAAAAAAAGATTTCAAGACAAAAACTATGAGACAAAGAAGGTCACTATATAATGATAAAAGGGGTCAATTCAGCAAGAGAATATAACAAGTTTAAATATATATGCACCCAACACTGGATCACCCACATATATAAAGCAAATATTACTAGAGCTAACAAAAAAGATAGACCTCAATATAATAACAGTTGTAGACTTCAACACCCCACTGTCAGCATTGGACAGATCTTCCAGAAAGAAAATCAATGAAGAAACATCATGGACAGGTGCGGTGGCTCACGTCTGTAATCCCAGCACTTTGGGAGGCTGAGGTGGGTGGATCACCTGAAGTCAGGAGTTTGAGACCAGTCTGGCCAAAATGGTGAAACCCCATCTCTAATAAACATACAAAAAAATTAGCCTGGTGTGGTGGTGCGTGCCTGTAATCCCAGCTACTCAGAAGGCTGATGCAGGAGAATCGCTTGAACCCAGGAGGCAGAGATTGCAGTGAGCCAAGATCATACCACTGCACTCCAGCCTGGGCAACAGAGTGAGACTCTGTCTCAAAGGAAAAAAAAAGAAACATCAGACTTAATCTACACTATAGACCAAAAGTATCTAATAAACATTTACAGAACATCTCATCAAATGACTATAAAAACACATTCTTCTTTTCAGCACATGTATCACCCTTGAGGATAAACCATATATTAGGTCAGAAACAAGACTTAAAACATTCAAAAAATTGAAATAATGTCAACCATCTTCTCTGAACACATTGGAATAAAACAAGAAATCAATAACAAGAAGAATTTTGGAAAGTTTACAAACACATGGAAATTAAACAATGTGATTCTGATTGACCAGTGGGTCAATGAAGAAATTTTTTAAAAATTGAAAAATTTCTTGAAACAAATGATAATGAAAACACAAAATACCAAAACCAAGGAGACACTGTAAATCAGTGATAAGAGGGAAGTTTATAGCTATAAGTGTCTACATAAAAAAAGAACTTCAAATAAACAATCTAACAATCCATCTGAAAGAACTAGAAAAGCAAGAACAAACCAAATTCAAAATTAGTAGAAGAAAAGCAATAATAAACATCAGAGCAGAAATAAATGAAATTAAAAAATGAAGAAAACAATACAAAAGCTCATGAAACAAAAAGTTTTTTTTAAATTAAACAAAATCTACAAAGATTTAGCCAGACTAGCTCAGAAAAAAACAGAGATAAGCTCAAAATAAATCAGAAATGAAGAAGGAGACATTACAACTAATACTGCAGAAATTCAAAGGATGATTAGTGGCTACTATGAGCAAGAGTATGCTGAAAAATTGGAAAATCTAGAAGAAATTGTTTAATTTCCAAACACATACAGCCTACCAAGATTGAACCAGGAAAATATCCAAAACTTGAATAGACCACGTATTTGTCCATTCTTGAACTGCTACAGAGAAATACCTGAGACTGGGTAATTTATTAAGAAAAAAAGATTAATTGGCTCATGGTTCTGCAGGCTGTACAGGAAGCATGATTCTGGCATCCACTCAGCTTCTAAGGAATTCTCAGGAAATTTAAAATCATGGCAGAAGGCAAAGGGAAAGTGAGGCATCTTACACATTGGGAGCAGGAGCAAGAGAGCAAGGTGGAAGGTGCTTCACACTTTTAAACAGCTAGATCTCATGAGAACTCACTATCATAAGAACAAGAGGGATAGTATTAAACTATTCATGAGAAATCGCCTCTATGATACAGTAAATTCCCACCAGGCTCCTCCTCCAACATTGGGGACTACAACTTGACATGAAATTTGGGTGGAACACAGATCAAAACCACACCAGACCAATAAAATGTAACAAGATCAAAGCTGTAATAACAAGTCTGTCGGTAAAGAAAAGCCCAGGATCTGATGGCTTCACTACTGAATTCTAGCAAACATTTGAAGAAAAACTAATATCAATCATATTAAAACTATCCCAAAATATAGAGGGGGAGGACATACTTTCAAACTCATTCTACAAGGCCAGTATTGCCCTGATACTAAATCAAAAACAAAGACATAACAAAATAAGAAAACTACAGGCCAATATCTTTGATGATTATTGATGCAAAAATCCTCAAAAAATACTAGTAAATAGAATTCAACAATACATCAGAAAGATCATTCATCATGACCAATTGGAATTTATCCGTGGGATGCAAAAATAGTTCAACATATGCAAACTAATCAATGTGGTACATCATATCAACAGAATGAAGGACAAAAACCATATGATCATTTCAAATGATGCTGAAATAGAATATGATATAATTCATTATCCCTTCATGTTAAAAAAAAAACCCTCAGAAAACTGGGTATAGTAAGAACATACTTCAACATAATGAAAGCAACATATGACAGACACACAGCTAGTGTCATAATGAATGGAGAAAAACTGAAAGCCTTTCCTCTGAGATGTAGAAAATGACAAAAATGCCCACATTTCCCCTGTTATTCAACACAGTACTGGAAGTCCTAGGAAGACCAACCATGCAAGAGAAAGAAATAGAGGGCACCCAAATTGGAAAGGAAAAAGTTAAATTATCCTTGTTTGCATGTAATATCATCTTACATTTGGAAAAATATAGACTACACAAAAAATTATTAGAACTTATAAATTAAATAAAGTTGCAGGATACAAAATCAGTATACAAAAATCAGTAGCATTTCTCCATGCCAATAGTTAACAAAAGAAATTTAAGCAGGTAATCCCATTTACAAAAGCCACAAATAAAATTAAATACCTAGGAATTAACCAAAGAAGTGAAAGTTCTCTATAATGGAAATTATAAAACACTAAGGCAAAAAATAGAAGAGAACACCAAAAAAATCAAAAGATATTTTATGAACACTGCATGGGGCTACTGCACACTGGGTCTCATTCCTGGCCCCCGAAGACTCCAGGGGAATGGATGAGTTGGACTGGCAAGGAGCAACATATGTTGCCACAGGCCTCTGTAATCCTGGCAGGAGGATATCTGTCAACCACCATGAAATACTTAGGTTGGCAGATAGAGCTGCTTAGAGAAGTGGTACAGGCAGCATGTCAGCTGAAATGAAGCCTAGACAGTTTGGTGCGAGAGCATGTGTAGCAGAGAATGGCCAGGGAGCTCATCTACCTAGGCTCAACATGCTCTCCTCGGAGACTCTAGCTGTAGGGGAACTGTTGGACCTAAACTCTGCAGGGTGGTCTTGCCCATCAAATGGGGCAACCCTGAACACCTCTTGGTCTCCTGAACTCTCCTGGGGCCCCAGGCTAGTTACAGCTGCTTGGAGGGCATCCTTAGGTACCCTGGGGACTGCACGGTAGCTTCTGCACTGGTGGACCATGCCTGACCAGTGCAGAACTCCAGTGGAGCAGAAGCTATGGCAACGCACCAACTCACCCACTCCCTCATGATACTGCAGTTTCCCCCAGGCCCACAGCAAACCCTCACATCAGTTTGCCAGCACATGTGTGTGTGGAAGGGTTTTGCCTTCCTTGTCCCACCAGAATGCCAGTGTGCGTGCACCCTTCCTTGACAATGCTACAGCAAGAGTGTACTCCGCCCTCCACCCCCATTGCTGGACCACCAGTGCACTCAGAGCCTTGATGGGTAAAGAACCAGCCAGCCTCACCCCTGCCAGCACCCTGCCCTTGCACCAACACTGCCACCAGAGTGAAACTAGGCACAGAGAACAGTGAAACCTTCCTCCCTGCAAGCCCCACTCACCCCCCAACAATCCCTGCCTGCAGAGATGCACAGAGAATGCACAAAGACCAGTACCCATCAGTGCCCTCCCCCATGCTAACATGACCACTAGCGTGAATGTGCACAGTCACCAGTAAGGACCCCCATGACCCACCGAGCTGTGCTTCCTCTGCCACTGGGTTGAATGCCACATGAAGGCAGGAACCCTGGAATCTGCTAGCACTCTGCCACAGCCGATAAGTGTGCACCCCACCACACTGCCACTGCTGCTGCTATTAGCACATGCAAATGAAGACAGATCCCGCTGCCGCTTTGGCTGACACCACCCATGTGCTGTGTACTGACCAGCGGTCTGGGAGTACCTCATCCCCCAACTTCAGTGGATTCATAACCTTAAGAAGCCAGAGAACAAAGGTGGGTACCAACACAAGTCCCCCTGAGTTAGAATACGCAGTCCAGGAGTTGGGAGCTGAGCAATGGCCCACTAAAATCTTACAGAAACCAAGCCAGTTGGCTGAATCCACATTATACCACAATCAAACCCTCAACGCAATCAAATAGGATAAAAGGGGGGAAAAACACATACAAAGGTCAGCAACTTCAAAGATTGAAGAAACATCAGCCCACAAAGATAAATAAAGAACCAACGCTTTAAATGTGTACCAGAGATTCTGGTATGTTGTGTCTTTGTTCTCACTGGTTTCAAATAACATCTTTATTTCTGTCTCAATTTCGTTATTTACCCAGTAGTCATTCAGGAGCAGGTTGTTCAGTTTCCATGTAGTTGTGGACTTTTGAGTGAGTTTATTAATCCTGAGTTCTAATTTGATTGCACTGTGGTCTGAGAGACAGTTTGTTGTGATTTCTGTTATTTTACATTTGCTGAGGATTGTTTTACTTCCAATTATGTGGTCAGTTTTAGAATAAGTATGATGTAGTGCTGAGAAGAATGTATATTCTGTTGATTTGGGGTACAGGTTCTGTAGATGTCTATTAGGTCCACTTTCTCCAGAGCTGAGTTCAAGTCCTGGATATCCTTGTTAACTTTCTGTCTCATTGATCTGTCTAATATTGACAGCGGGGTGTAAAAGTCTCCCATTATCATTTAAAGCAGTGTGTAGAGGGAAATTTATAGCACTAAATGCCCACAAAAGAAAGCAGGAAAGATCTAAAATTGACACCCTAACATCACAACTAAAATAACTAGAGAAGCAAGAGCAAACAAATCCAAAAGTTAGCAGAAGGCAAGAAATAACTAAGATCAGAGCAGAACTGAAGGAGATAGAGAAACAAAAAAAACCTTCAAAAAATCAACGAATCCATGAGATGGTTTTTTTAAAAGATCAACAAAATAGATAGACCGCTAGCGAGACTAATAAAGAAGAAAAGAGAGAAGAATCAAATAGACGCAATAAAAAATGATAAAGGGGATATCACCACTGATCCCACAGAAATACAAACTACCATCAGAGAATACTTTAAGCACCTCTATGCAAACAAACTAGAAAATCTAGAAGAAATTGACAAATTCCTGCGCACATATACCCTCCCAAGACTAAACCAGGAAGAAGTCGAATCTCTGAATAGACCAATAACAGGCTCTGAAATTAAGGCAATAATCAATAGCCTACCAACCAAAAAAAGTCCAGGACCAGATGGATTCACAGCTGAATTCTACCAGAGGTACAAGGAGGAATTGGTACCATTCCTTCTGAAACTATTCCAATCAATAGAAAAAGAGGGACTTCTCCCTAACTCATTTTATGAGGCCAGCATCATCCTGATACCAAAGCCTGGCAGAGACACAACAAAAAGAGAGAACTTTAGGCCAATATCCCTGATGGACATCGATGTGAAAATCCTCAATAAAATACTGGCAAGCCAAATCCAGAAGCACATCAAAAAGCTTATCCATCACGATCGAGTCGGCTTCATCCCTGGGATGTAAGGCTGCTTCAACATATGCAAATCAATAAACGTAATCCATCACATAAACAGGACCAATGACAAAAACCACATGACTATCTCAATAGATGCAGAAAAGGCCTTTGACAAAATTCAACAGCCCTTCGTGCTAAAAACTATCAATAAACTAGGTGTGGATGGAACGTATCTCAAAATAGTAAGAGCTATTTATGACAAACCCACAGCTAATATCATACTGAATGGGCAAAAACTGGAAGCATTCTCTTTGCAAACTGGCACAAGACAAGATGCCGTCTCTCAGCACTCCTACTCAACATAGTGTTGGAAGTTCTGGCTAGGGCAATCAGGCAAGAGAAAGAAATAAAGGGTATTCATTTAGCGAAAGAGAAAGTCAAATTGTCTCTGTTTGCAGATGACATGATTGTATATTTAGAAAACCCCATCATCTCAGCCCAAAATCTCCTTAAGCTGATAAGCAAATTCAGCAAAGTCTCAGGATACAGAATCAATGTGCAAAAATCACAAGCATTCCTATAATAGACAAACAGAGAGCCAAATAATGAGTGAAATCTCATTCACAATTACTACAAAGAGAATAAAATACCTAGGAATCCAACTTAAAGGGCTGCGAAGGACCTCTTCAAGGAGAACTACAAACCACTGCTCAATGAAATAAAAGAGGACACAAACTAATGGAAGAAGATTCCATGCTCATGGGTAGTAAGAATCAATATCATGAAAATGGCCCATATTTCCCAAGGTAATTTATAGATTCAATGCTATCCCCATCAAGCTACCAATGACTTTCTTCACAGAATTGGAAAAAATTACTTTAAAGTTCATATGGAACCAAAAAAATGGCCTGCATAGCCAAGACAATCCTAAGCCAAAGGAACAAAGCTGGAGGCATCATGCTACCTGACTTCAAACTATACTATAAGGCTGCAGTAAACAAAGCAACATGGTACTGGTACCAAAACAGATATATAGACCAATGGAACAGAACAGAGGCCTCAGAAATAACACCATACATCTATAACCATCTGATCTTTGACAAAGCTGACAAAAACAAGCAATGGGGAAAGGATTCCCTATTTAATAAATGGTGCTGGGAAAACTGGCTAGCCATATGCAGAAAGCTGAAACTGGATGTCTATATGCAGAAGAATGAAACCAGACCTCTATCTCTTACCATATACAAAAATCAAATAGAAATGAATTAAAGACTTAAATCTAAGATCTCAAGCTATGAAACTACTACAAGAAAACATTGAGGAAAAATCTCCAGGACATTGATCTGGGCAAAAATTTTTGAGCAATAATCCATAAGCACAGGCAAAAAATAAAAATGGACAAATAGGGTCACATTAATTTAAAAGCCTTCTGCACAGAAACAGAAACAATCAACAAAGGGAAGAGACAACTTACAGAATGGTAGAAAATATCTGCAAACTACCCATCTGACAAGAGATTAATATAACCAGAATATATGAGGAGCTCAAACAACTCTACAGAAATAAAATGTAATAGAGAAATACAAATCGAAACTATAAGAAGATATCATCTCACCCCAGCTAAAATGGTGTTTGTTTGTTTGTTTTTTTAGACAGAGTCTTGCTCTGTCATCCAGGTTGGAGTGTGGAGTGCAGTGGTGCGATCTTGGCTCACTGCACACTCCACCTCCCAGGTTCAGGTGTTTCTCCTGCCTCAGCCTCCTGAGTAGCTGGAACTACAGGCAAATGACACCATGGCCAGCTAATTTTTGTATTTTTTTGTAGAGATAAGGTTTCACCACGTTGGCCAGGGTGGTCTCAAACTCCTGACCTCAAGTGATCCACCCTCCTTGGCCTCCCAAAATGCTGGGATTACAGGTGTGAGCCACTGCGCCTGGCCTTGAAATGGCTTTTATCCAAAAGACAGGCAATAAAAAATGCTGGCAAGGATGTGGAGAAAAGAGGAACCTTGTAGATTCTGGGTGGGAATGTAAATTAGTACCACTACTATGGAGAACAGTTTGGAGGTTCCTCAAAAACTAAACATTGAGCTACCATATGATCCAGCAATCCCACTGCTGGGTATATACCCTAAAATAAGGAAATTGGTATATCAAATAGATATCTGCACTCTTATGTTTGTTGCAGCACTGTTCACAACAGCAAAGATTTAGAAGCAACCTGTGTGTCCATTAACAAATGAATGGATAAAGAACACTTGCTATGTATACAAAATGGATATGTATAATGTATATGGAATATTCAGCCATAAAAAAATGAGATCCTCTCATTTGCAACAGCATAGGTGGAATTGGAGGTCATTATGTTAAGTAAAATAAGCCTGTCATAGAAAGACAAACACCACATGTTCTCACTTATTTATGGGATTGAAAATTCAAAACAATTGAGTTCATGGACATAGAGAGTAGAAGGATGGTTACCAAAGGCTAGGAAGGGTAGCGGGGGAATAGAAGGGTGGTGGGGATAGTTAATAAGTACAAAAAACATAGAAAAAATTAATAAAACCTACTCTCTGATAGCATAATAGGGTGACTATAGTCAATAATAACTTAATTGTATATTTTAAAATGACATTAAAAATGTAATTGGATTGTTTGTAACTAAATGGATGAATGCTTGAGGGGATGAATACCCCATTCTCCAAGATGTGCTTATTTCACATTGCATTCCTGTATCAAAACATCTCATGTACCCCATAAATATGTACACCTACTCTGTACCAACCAAAAATTTAAAATAATTTTTAAAAAGAAATCAATTCAAAAATAGACAAAGGATTTGAATAGATATTTCTCTCCAAAAAGATATACAAATGGCCCATAAACACATGTAATGATGCTTAACATCATTAGTCATCACAGAAGTGCAAACAAAATACAATGAAATATCACTTCACACTCTCTAGAATGCCTATGTAATTTAAAAAAGTGAGAAAATAACAAGTGTTCACAAGAATGCGGAGATTGGACCCTGCAGACTTTGCTGGCGGGATGTGGAAAGGTGTAGCCACTGTGATAAACAGGCTGGCAATCCCTCAAAAAGTTAAATACGGAAATACCATATAACTCAGCTACTTCACATGCAGGTATATAGCTACGAGAAATGAAAATGTATTCCTATTCAAAAATTTATATACAAATGTTCACAGCAGCATTATTCATAATGACCCCAAACTGGAAACAAACCAAATGTCCATGAATTGATGAATGGACAAATAAAATGTGGTATATCCTTCCAATAAAACAATATTCAGCTATAGGAATGAATGAAGTATGGACATATGCTACAACATGGATCAACTTTTGGAAAATGTTATGCTAAGTGAAAGAAACCAATCACAGAAAACCCCATATTGCATAATTCTACTTATATGAAATGTACAGAATAGGTGAATCTTAGACACAGAAAGTGGATTAGTTGTTGCCAGGCACTAGGGTGAGAGGGGAATGGGGAGTGACTACTAATAGGTATGAGGTTTATATTGGTGGTTATAAAAAAGCTCTGGAACCAACTATCATAGTTGCACAACCTTATAAACAGACTTAATACCACTGAATTGTACACTTGAAAAGGGTGAATTTTATAATGTGTGAATTATATAAAAATAAAGTGTCAATTTGTATAGGTAAGATAGTGGTATTGTGGTTATAGGAGAAAATATTTTAAAATTTTTGAGATGCATGCTGAAGTATTTAGAGTAAAATGCCATGATGTCTGTAATTTACCTTAAAATATATCAGCAAAAACTTGACAAAATAAGTAGGGCAGTTGTTAGCAATTGTTATATCTACAACGTATATATCCAAGAGATGCCTTTTTGAGAAACTGATGAGTACATGGGGTCCCACATACTATTCTCTCTACTTTCTAGTACTCAAAAACTATTTGGTAGATGAATGAATAAATGAATGAAGCAAAGGACAAACATTAACCTCATAGACTGGCAACTCTAGGTGTCTTTTTAATTTTTTCCTTATTTTTAGCTAGTTAATATAATTTTATGTAAATAAACTTCATTAACATAGCACAAAACTGAAAACTATTAAAAGATGTGTGGTAAAGTCTATCTGCCTCTCCCTACCACAGGTAACCACTATTAGTTTTTTGAGTAGCTTTCCAGAGGATTTTGTAAATGCATATTAAAAACAAACACCAATATATAATTTAATTCCCACCCTTTTTACACAAACAGAATATCATATATAATATTTGGTACTTTGCTTTTTCAACTTTTCAACTCCACCCCTCCCCCTTTCAAGACTGCTTGGAGACAAACCAATTTGAATCAACCCAAGGTTAATCTGTAAAGAAGATCTAGCCATCTGTAAGTGTGTGTCTTCAGTCAATCCAGCAAGGTACTGAATGATGATATGGACTCTAGTTAAGCCCAGTTCCCCAATGATATGGTCTGAATGTGTCTCCCAAAGATCATGTGCTGGAAAGTTAATCTCCAGTGCAATAGTGTTGGCAGGTGGAGCCTAATAAGAGGTGACTGGATCATAAAGTGGAGTCCTCATAAATCATTTATTGTGGTTATCATGGGAGTGGGTTAGTAATTGCAAGACTGGGTTGTTCTAAAGCAAGTTCGATCCCTCATGCTTTTTTTCTATCTCACATGCTCACTTCTGCCTTCTGCTATGGGATGACCATAATCAGATGCCTATGCCATGTTCTTGGGCTTCCTAGCCTCCAAAACCATGAGAAATGCATTTTTTTCTTTATAAATTACCCAATTGGTGGTATTCTGTTTTATCAGCAGAAAAAAGACTAAGACATTCATGTCTAAATTCCTGTGCTGAACTGTATTTGCTCCCAACATCTATGTGAACCTGCAGGTGCTTGTGTATTGTGTGGAGGCAGGTGGACACGAAAGGGCTGCTATATTTTGCTGCCTCTGGTTTTGCTGCATACAGAACTCTTAACTAGTATCTTGACAAGTTCATCTATTGGAATGAAGCACAGTGCTAAAACAGAGGCAGACTGACTTGCCCAGTACCCCAGTTGGGCAACCACTAAATCTAAAATAGGTGAAAAGATAAATAAAATATTGCTTTTGAAATCACCCATTAGGAAGACGGAGGAAAGGAAGAAAAGAAGTGGGCAGTCTTTTAGTGGCTCCTTGGCCAAAAAAAATGACTTCATAGGTCTTTCTCATCTTAGATTATTCTGATGTGCCCAACAGTAGCTGAACACTAAGTATTGGCATGAGGCCCAGGCTCTGTGACTCTCAGTTGTGCCCACACCATTGCTGAGGCTGTTCCTTTCCTCACTGCTTCAGGGGTGTTATATACCAAAACAAACAAACATTTCCTCACATAAAATAAGCCTGTATTCCAGTACTTTGGACCCCAGTATGTAGGCTCTCACCTGTGGGATTTGTTTCATAAGTGATCAATCTCTTCTGAAGCTGGCATAGAGGCTGTCTTCAACAGGCCTGGTATAGCCAATTGGTGAGTAAACATTTGATTACCCATATTGAAAAATTTGTCCACAGCTCCCTCCTCTTCTCCATTCCAGAAATCTGATTTGCTAAGGAGAACACAAAGGAGTCCTCTAGAAGCAGCGCCTACTCTGATTAGCTAAAATTCCTTGTTGCATTCCACATTATGTCCTTCAATTCCAGAAGGAGTATATCTCAAATCAGTAGAACAGCTGACCATTTGGGTGGGCAAGCCTATTGGAGGTGTGGAAAGAAAAGACTACTATTAACCATGAAATGGTAAAAGGGAGACCTTCAAGGAATTAAAATGTTAATGGGGGCAGGCACAGTGGCTCATGCCTGGAATCCCAGCACTTTGGGAGGCCTAGGCAGGCGGATCACTTGAGGACAAGAGTTCAAGATCAGCCTGGCCAATATGGCAAAACCCTATCTCTACAAAAAATATGAAAAATTAGCCAGGCATGGTGGTCCATGCCTGTAATCTCAGCTACTTGGGAGGCTAAGGCACAAGAATCGCTTAAACCTGTGGGAGGCGGAGGTTGCAGTGAGCCAAGATTGTGCCACTACACTCCAGCCTGGGTGACAGAGCAAGACTGTCTAAAAAAAATGTTAATGTGTAGAACTAGGATGTTACATTATGGAACACTTTGGTTTTATCCATAACCAAAATGTCAGTCAGAAAAACATTATATCTTTTCCTTCAGGAACAGCTGTGTCTTGTGCAGAGAAATTCTAAAGATGTTCAGCAGTCACCTCGATCAAGGAACGTAACAGTATAGACCCAATGGAGATAAAATCAAAGAAGAAAGAAATCTTTCCTCTCTTGAGCTCTCCTTAGTCTTGTGTAGGGACTGCTAGTGAAGATTGAGGAAGCAGGAGGAAAAGGGAAGTTGAGGTATACTCATTACTACTGTTGTTCCTGGACAAAAGGGATGTGGGGGTTGTCTCACTTCCTCCCCATCTGCTCTCAAGATAGTGGACGTGCATTAGAGGAATGCAGAGGCTTCACTTGCTATACAAACCAGCTGGGCTCATGTATTATTCCGCTTACATACTGCTATAAAGAACTACCTGAGACTGGGTAATTTATAAAGGAAATAGGTTTAATTGACTCATAGTTCAGCATGATTAGGGAGGCCTCAGGAAACTTACAATCTTGGCAGAAGTGAAGGGGAAGCAAGACACCTTCACAAAGTAGCAGGAAGGAGAAATGCTGAGCAAAGTGGGGAAATGCCCCCTATAAAACCATTAGATCTCGTGAGAACTCACTTACTATAATGAGAAGAGCATGGGGGTAACCACCCCATGATTCAGTTACCTCCCACTTAGGTATTCTGATCTGATTGCTGACATTTAGACTTTGTTTTCCTTTTGTGAGTTTTGTTTATTATCTATTATTTTCTCCTCTAAGAACTTTGCAAGCCCTAAAACTAGCCAGGCCTTTCAGGGGTCCTATGTGCATATCTTGCCTCCCGTCAGGAGTATACTCAAATCAGCTGGGGAAAAAAAAAAAACTTTCTTTTTTTTTCCCTTAACTCCCCCAAAAAAGACTATTATGTAACATTTCTTGACCACACCTTCTTGTGCCTCAGAGTAAGAAAGAAAGACCCCAGTGATCCCTCCCACAAAGGTAGGGATTATGGGAACTACAGTTTAAGATGAGATTTGGGTGCAGACACAGCCAAACCATATCAGCTAACTTTTGGCCTTTTTGGTTCATAGGGCTCTCAGAAGGCCACTATGCTGCACAACTTCAGGAGGTACCATTGACATTGCAAGTTAGATGACTGGCAACCCCTGAAGTTGACCAGTGCACAGTCTGTGTAGCTTTATACATCAGCCTTAGCTTTCTTAGGGGACCCTTAATGACAATTGAGAGGCAGGGGAGAAAATAAGATTTATCATGAGCTGCTGATTACAGGTTTCCCAACAGCCAGGCAAGACAATATTATGTTATGTTATTATATGCTATTATATATTATAATATTATTATGTAATGCCAAGAACAATAGTTTGGCTTCATGCTAGACAACATTAAAAACTTCCTTACACTGATGCATGAGAAGATGTGGTCAAGAAATGTTACATAATAGTCTTTTTCAGAGAGTTAAGGGAAAAAAATGGAAGCTTTTCTTTTCCTAGCTGTGTTGAGTACAGTCCTGACTGGAGGCAAGAGATGCACATAGGACCCTTGGGAGGCCTGGCTAGTTTTAGGGCTTGCAAAGTTCTCAGAGAAGAAAAGCACTGATACGGTTTGGCTGTGTCACCACCCAAATCTGAATTGTAACTCCCACAATTCCCAGGTGTCCTTGGAGGAATCTGCTGGAGGCGATTGAATTATGGGGATGGGTCTTTCCTGTGCTGTCCTTGTGATATTGAATGAGTCTCATGAGATCTGATGGTTTTAAAAAGAGGAGTTCCCCTGCACAAGCTCTCTCTTTTCTTGTCTGCTACCAGGTGAGACATGTCTTTCACCTTCCACCATTATTGTGAGACCTCCCCAGCCACGTGGAACCATAAGTCCATTAAATCTCATTCTTTTGTAAATTGCCCAGTCTTGGTATGACTTTATCAACAGCGTGAAAATGGACTAATACAGTAAATTGGTATTGGGAGTGGGACACTGCTGTAGATACCCAAAAATGTGGAAGGAACACTGAAACTGGATAACAGGCAGAGTTTAGAACGTTTGGAAGGCTCAGAAGAAGACAGGAAAATGTGGAAATGTTTGGAACTTCCTAGAGACTTGTTGAATGGCTTTGGCCAAAATGCTGATAATGATATGGACAGTAAAATCCAGGCTGAGGTGGTCTCAGATGGAGATGAGGAACTTGCTGGGAACTAGAGCAAAGGTGACTCATGTTATGTTTTAGCAAAGAAACTGGTGGCATTTTGCCCCTGCCCTAGAGATTTGTAGAATGCTGAACTTGAGAGAGATGATTTAGGGTATCTGGTGGAAGAAACTTCTAAGCAGCAAAACATTCAAAAGGTGACTTGGGCGCTGTTAAAGGCATTCCATTTTAAAAGGGAAACAGGACATAAAAGTTCAGAAAGTTTTCAGCCTGACAATGAGATAGAAAAGAAAATCTCATTTGCTGAGGAGAAACTCAAGCCTACTGCAGAAATTTGCATAATTAATTAGAAGCCAAGTGTTAATCACCAAGGCGATGGGGAAAATGTCTCCAGAGGATATCAGAGACCTTTGCAGCAGCCCCTCCCGCCACAGGCCTGGAGGTTTAGAAGGAATAAAAGGTTTCCTGGGCTGGGCCCAGGGTCCCTCTGCTGTCTAGGGACTTGGTGCCCTGCTGCCCAGCTGCTCCCGTGATGACTAAAAGGAGCCAAGGTGTACCTCAGGCTGTTACTTCAGAGGGTGGAAGCCCCCAGCCTTGGCAACCTCCACGTGGAGTTGAGCCTGTGGTGCACAGAAGTCAAGAGTTGAGGTTTGGGAACTACTGCCTAGGCTTCAGAGGATGTATGGAAATGTCTGGATGCCCAGGCAGAAGTTTGCTACAAGGGCAGGGCCCTCATGTAGAACCTCTGCTAGGGCAGTGTGGAAGGGAAATATGGGGTCAGAGCCCCCACACAGAGTCCCCACTGGGACACTGCCTTGTGGAGCTGTGAAAAGAAGGCCACTGTCTTCCAGACCCCAGAATGAAAGACTCACCAACAGCTTGCACTGTGCATCTGGAAAAGCCTCAGACACTCAATGCCAGCCCATGAAAGCAGCTTGGAAAAGGGTTATACCCTGCAAAGCCACAGGGGCGGAGCTGCCCAAGAACATAAGATCCACCTCTTGCATCAGTGTGCCTTGGATGTGAGGCATGGAATCAAAGGAGATCATTTTGGAGCTTTAAGATTTGACTGCCCCATTGGATTTTGGACTTGCATGGACCCTGTAGCCCCTTTGTTTTGGTCAAATTCTCCCATTTGGAACAGCTGTACTTACCCAATTTCTGTACCCCCATTGTATCTAGGAAGTAACTAACTTGCTTTTGATTTTACAGGCTCATAGGTGGAAGGGACTTGCCTTGTCTCAGATGAGACATTGGACTGTGGACTTTTGAGTTAATGCTGAAATGAGTTAAGATTTTGGGGGACTGTTGAGAAGGCATGACTGGTTTTGAAATGTGAGGACATGAGATTTGGGAAGGGCCAGGGGTGGAATGATATGGTTTGGCTGTGTCCCCACCCAAAACTCATCTTGAATTGTAACTCCCACAATTCCCATGTGTCACGGGAGGAACCCAGTGGAAGGTGACTGAATTATTGGGGTGGATCCTTCCTTTGCTGTTCTCATTATAGTGAATGAGTCTCATGAGATATGATAGATTTAAAAACTGGAGTTTCCCTGCACAGGCTCTCTCTCTTTTCTTGTCTGCCACCATGTGAGACGTGCCTTTTACCTTCTTCCATTATTGTGAGGCCTTCCCAGCCATGTGGAACTGTAAGTCAATTAAACCTCTTTCTTTTGTAAATTGCCCAGTCTCAGGTATGTCTTATCAGCAGTGTGAAATGGACTAATACAAGCACCTAGATAATAAACCAAACCCCCAAAGGAAAAAAAAGTATAAATGCCAACAGTCAGATCAAAATATCTAAGGTTGGCAAACACAATCAAGGCAATAACCAGACTAAAACAATAACCAGAATAAGTCAGATTGTAGACAAGTGCACTGAAATGGTGAGGAAATTGTCATTCTGGTGATCCAGCCCTGTAACTGATGACATAGCTTTATAGAAAACTAATGCTATTAGAGAAATTTAGGCCTCCTAACATTAAAGATAAGCAACATGGAGTTTTTTTTTTTTTTTTTTTTTGAGTCTGAGTCTCACTGTGTCACCTAGGCTGGAATGCAGTGGCATGATGGCTTACTGCAACCTCTGCTTCCCGGGTTCAAACAATTTTCTTTCCTTAGCCTCCTGAGTACCTTGGATTACAGGCATGCCCCAACATTCCCAGCTAATTTTTGTGTTTTTAGTAGAAGCAGGGTTTCACCATGTTGGCCATGCTGGTCTCGAACTCCTGGCCCTATGTGATCCACCCACCTCGGCCTCCCAAGGTGCTTGGGATTACCAGCGTGAGCCACCACGCCCAGCCAACACCATAGACTTTTATCTCAAAGTGCACACACACACACACACACACACACACACATCTCAAAGGAATAAATAACCCAACGATAATTCCACAAAGCGTCTTATTAGTGAAACTCTGATTTCTTCTTTTGATTTTCCCACCATAGAAAAAGACTTGTTTTTATGTCGACTAAGGACACATTTCCTTACAATTAGGACAATTGGGAACCTTGAGGTTTGATTCCACTGAGAAATAGTGGTAAAAGAGACACTGAGCTGGGGTAGAAAAAAGAAAAATAATGACAAAGATAAAAAAAAAATACTCTAGTTGGAGAAATCATATGTATACAGATGATCCCCTACTTGTTTTGGTTCAACTTATATATTTTTTTTTATTTTACAATGGTGTGAAAGCAATAGGCGAATAATTATCAATATAATTATATGATAAAAATATTGTAAGTATTTTCAATTTATGCAAAGTTTATCCAGATGTAACCCCATTTTAAGTTGAGGAGCATCTGTATGTGAAACTGACAGCACAGGATAATGATGTAATATACATAAAAGTCAGATTATTGTTATTAGGAAAAGAATACAGAATTTTGCTGTGTGATCTTGAACAAATCCCTTCTCTTCTCTCTGCCTTGGATTCTTTATTTCTAAAATGAAGAAATTGGATTCCATTTTTAGAGCGACCTGCTGCCCCTGCTGCTCTTTGGCACTGTAATTGGGGACATTCTGCACTGTGCTAGTGTTGGTACAGACCCCAGGATTTCAATTATCCAGGTGTTTGGAAAGATTGATGTGTGCAGATTTCAATGATCCCACTTGTAGGTGAAATTGATGAGTGGGGATTTTTATGATTTAGATTTTAGATGAAATTGATGGGCAAGATTTCAATGATTTAGGTTTCAAATAAAATTGATAAGTGGGGATTTTAATGCTTCAGGTGTCAGGTAAAATTGATGTGCAGAGATTTCTATGATAGAAATTTGCCTATTTCCTATGGACGTAAATGAATGAAAATATATTGAACAGGATCAAGTGTGTGCCCTATGCCTTAGACAGTCTTGGGATCAGGCTGCCATTAAGGCTAAGTAAGCTGTTGCTTCCTGCTAACTTTTCTTATTTTCAATCATGTCACCAGGCATTCGTTGTGGAACAGGAATTAAAATAATTAAAGAATGTGTAAGCAGAAACTCAGTTGTATGTAAGAAAACCCAATTCCCCCTGAGAAAGAGAAAGAGCTGGAGTCCTTTAAAAATTAACTGCCTGTTTTTCTGTGGCTAGTGAGACTTATCTCTCCTCCTTTCTCAGGCATTGTGAAGACCCTGTTTCTCTAGCTGTGCAGCTGTAAGGTCACTAGACAGATAAACTCACGTGGTAAAACATGTTTTTCCTTGAAAAGTAAGAAATGATGTAATGTATGTCTCAATTAATTGAATAACTGTCTTTGTTTCTCACTTCTGTAATATGCTTCCCCCTGCACAGATCTCCCCATGCCCCACAAAACGCTTAAGAGGTAACTTAACTCTTTGTTCAGGGCTCAGTCCTTTGGATGTTAATCGGACTGGGCCCGTGCACCTAAAAAATAAATATCCTCCTGAACCCCATTGGTCTCTCTGATTCCTTAAAAAATCCCACCACGATTGGGGCCCTTCTATGTTCAGTATGGGTTAGTAAAAACTACAGCAAACTGAGTGTTAGGAGAAATGGATTTGAATTTCTTCTCTGTCCTGCGACCTTGACCAAGTCTCTTCTCCTCTCTAAACCTAAATATCCTCTTTTGTTAAATGGATAAGACATTTGTCATATCACATTCATAGGATTTTCTTGAGGTTCAACTAAAATGATAGAGAATGAAGTGATTTTTAGACTATAAAACATCATATTATTATGAGGTGCCCAGTCTTTTGAGCACTATAAACTGCCTACCCTTGAAAAGTTTACAATTCAGTAGAGGATGTGAGAGATATAAGTGAAACTGAATAATAAACCAAGGTAGGAAATAATCAAATCCAAATTTGTATTCTACAGACTAAGTGTTACAGGAATTCGGAAATGGGGGAGATCAATCCTGGGGCAGAACAGATCAGAGAAAGCTTACTAAAGAAAGAGATATCAAAAGATTATTTTAAAACTTATTTTGTATATTTGGTCAGATTTTCTTTGAACATAGGATACCACTGAAATTAAAAAAAATCAACACAAACCACCAACCTGGTTCAATTTCTTTTCTTTTCTTTTTCTTTCTTTCTTTCTTTCTTTTTTTTTTTTTTTTTTTTTTTACAGGGTCTCTCTGTTGCCCAACCTGGAGTTGTGTGATTGCAGCTCACTGCAGCCTCAACCTCTCAGGCTCAAATGATTCTCCCACCTCAACTCCCAACTAGCTAGGACCACAGTCTTGCACCACCACACCTGGCAAATATTTATTTATTTTTTTTGTAGAGTCGGGGTTTTGCCATGTTGCCCAGGGTGGTCTTGAACTCCTGGGCTCAAGCCATCCTCTCTCCTTGGCCTCCCGAAGTGCTAGGATTACAGGCATCAGCCACCACGCCTGGCCCAATTCTTTCATTTTACAGATGGAAAAGCTAAGGCCTGATGCTTGGGCCACAGCAGGGAATTGGCATTTCTTGAATTGTTGGGCCTTAGTGTAATGATCCAGTCTAAAGTACTTTGTCTTTTGGTCATGGTGCCCACTTCTGAGAGTCAGAACTAAAACCCAGACCACCTACTTGTCAAACTCCTGTGCTTTTGATGACAGACTGCTCCTCACAAGAAAGAAGCCAGGGGTTCTGGACATCTGAAATACTGGCTATTAGGAAGATTTAATCTCACAGCATGGGCTGGAAGGACTGGAGACAGGGGAACTTGATGGAATATTGTTTCAGTAACCCAAGCTAGAGAGTAGAAAAGCCTTGACCATGGAAACAGAAAGGAAGAGAAGGAAACTGACAAAGCAAACACTTGATAGGTCATATTGATTGATGCTACAAGACAAGATGAAAGAGAAATTGCAAGGTTTGTATCCAGGATGGGGTGGGAATATACAAGGATATCCTTGACAAAGGCATAGTGGTGCGATTGCTGTGGAAGGTGACAGGGAAAAGTAAAAGTACTGTCAGAGGCATTTGAACCAGAGTGACTCAATTTTCAGTGAGGGCTAGGAAAATGAAGCTGGGACTTGCTGGGCTGCATTCTCAGAAAGTTAGGTGTTCCTAACCTCTAGATATTTACAGTTAAGGGAACAAATTAATAATGTTTACTAAACAGACCCTAACTTGGGAGTGTCCAGATAGCCCAATAACTGGAGAAAAAAGGCATTCCTAATTTTGCTTTAAAGATAATAACATCGATTCTTGCAAAATATAGTAATTAAGAAAATTAATCCTTTATCACAAACCCTTGTAGCAGAATACATCTTTCCATGTATACAAGCATTGTACCTAGGATGGATGCATTCCTCCTCTTACTTTCGGGAACATCCTACTCTGTCTGTGGAGCAGCTGTCTTTTCACCACTTTACTTTCTTAATAAACTTGCTTTGCTTTGTACTGTGAATGCGCCCTGAATTCTTTCTTGCACGAGATCCAAGAACCCTCTCTTGGGGTCTGGATTTGGACCGCTTTCCTGTAATCGTACTTTATTTCAGATAACTTGTATTTGAGATGATGGAAGAGTGTACAAGTATATCCTCCAGGTAATGAGACAGGAATTTAAGATGCAGATTGAGTAGAGATATGAAATTACACAAGGCAATGAATTTTCTGAATTAGTTCAAAGGATAAAGACTGGAGTATCTGCATGGATAAAGGGACATATAGATAACGAAGATCCAATGCAGGAAGCCAAAACACAATGCAGCAGTCCATACATTACTGTCTGCAAATCACTGACATATATATTATCCCATGGAATTCTCATAATAGCTCTTGCAGATTCCATTCATTAATTCATTCATATGTTCATTCAATACATATTTGAACACCTATTCTGTAAACAATATTCTCTAAAAGGGAAATTAGATAATAAACAAATGAGAAAAGATTAGTCAGGCAAGGATAAATAATATGAAATAAAATAAACCAGGGTTAGGAGATTGAGAGAAACAAGGGGTGCTGTTTAAAATGGGTGGTTGCAGCAGTGCTCCTTTCGAGTGGGCACCAGCTATGGGGAGTCTGTTCCTTGCAGACCCCTGACCCAGTGATGGATGAATAAATTACACTGACACACAGATATTCTGCTCTGCCAGTCCAGCTGAGGTTGTCCGAACCGCTTACAGACTTCCTGCTGAGTTCTGCAAACAGTTGCAACTCCACCCTGATCAGCTAGTCAGACTCGCACTTATTCAGTAAGATTAATTAACAAAAGCTTGAGTCAACACCATTAGAGGGTAACTGACATTGTGGACTTCTTGAGTAAAAAGCACTTAAGCAATTGCGGTACATCAAAGGTTACTCTTAAGATTATATGAGTCCTTTCTTATTACTATTTTAATTTGTTTAACTAAAGGTAAAGGGATCAGGCTGCCTTTGGCCAGATCTATTACCAAAGTTATGCAAACTTCTCGGCCTTCCAAGATTTGTGTCTATTTCTATAACTATCTCTAATATTTCTCCTACCAGCTTGGTTGGACTCCAACAGGTGGTCAGGGAGGGCCTCTCTGATAAAGTGACATTTGAGTAATACCCTGAAAGAAGTGATGGAGTAAGCCACTCAATATCTGAGAGCAGAGCAGTCCAAGCAAAGGGGGAAAGTAGGTTCAAAGGCCCCAAGGCAGGAAGGCACCTGTGTGTTTAAAGAAGCAAGAAAGTCAGTGTAGTTGGAGTGGAGTGAGCAAGACGAGCAGAGTACAAGATGAGGCCAGAGAGAATAAGGTCATGTAGGGATTCTGTGGGCCATTATCAGGACTTTTGATTTTATTCTGTGTGGATTGGAAAGCCACTGGAGGGTTTAAAGTAGAAAAAAATGTAAAGCCACTTATGTAAAGCTATAGAACTCATGAGTAACAGTGCCAGGATCCTAACCCAGGGTGTACTGCCTCTAGGTCCACAGAGTAGTCAGAGAGGTTGAAGGAGAACTAGGGAAGGAGCAAATAAATGACTACTTTGGTAACCAAGCACCCTCCTTTCAACCCCCTAAAAGAAAGTGGCTTTGGCCTCACAATCCTGGAAGTCAGATGCCCCCCATGCACACTATCCTCAAAACGAACCTCCTTTGTCCAACACTCGTTTCTTCCCTCCCATAGGTCAGAAAGGGGAACATATACCAGGATATTCAATAGAAAAGCTATCAAGAGATGAAAATAGAACCCTCCCTTTCAGACCAGTAAACATGCTCATTCTTAACAGTTGCTTGCAAAATGAAAGGGTCCAAAGAGGAAAGGGCATCTATGTATGCTGCAGCCTAAAAAGGAATGATGTTTGGTGTGACTTTTCCCAGAGAGGGACTAAAAGTGACTAGACCCCTAGGACTACCCCCTCTCTGTGGTCTGGCATCTGGCCCACTCAGGGAAGTATCCCTTGTACCTTCTGCCCATCACCTACAGAAAACATGACCCTCAAATGACTGGAGAGTGTTTCATTCTCATGAAAGTTTAGATAGGGTGGCCATCATCTCCCACTTTAGGGATCCTCACCTCACATTCAAAATGCAAGCATCCCTCAGACTTTGGGAAAAATACTTTTCTAGAAAAGGCACATCTAGGCAAATCAAATGTAAGCCGAATCTGATGTTCCCATAAAGGTAATGTCATAACTGGAACTTAGAGACTTATCCGAAGCTTATTATTTAAATATTTATAGTAATCTACCAGAGATCTTAAAAGCAATAGACTTCCAGGGCTGGGCGCGGTGGCTCACGCCTGTAATCCCAGCACTTTGGGAGGCTGAGGCAGGTGGATGACGAGGTCAGGAGATTGAGACCATCCTGGCTAACATGGTGAAACCCCGTCTCTAAAAAAATACAAAAACAAAACTCACCAGGTGTGGTGGTGGGCATTGGTAGTCCCAGCTACTCAGAAGGCTGAGGTGGGAGAATGGCGTGAACCTGGGAGGCAAAGCTTGCAATGAGCTGAGATCGCGCCACTCCACTCCAGCCTGGGTGACAGAGCGAGACTGCATCTCAAAAAAAAAAAAAAAAAAAGCAATAGAATTCCATAAATTATTTTTATTCCCTGTATAAAGAGTTCTAAAACTTTACTATTTGAATCAATTAAACAGGGCAATGATTTAATTAATTTTATATATTTAAGAATGGTTTCCAAAAATCAAATACCACATGCTTTCACTTGTAAGTGGGAGCTAAACATTGGGTACTCATGGACATAAAGATGGCAACAATAGACACTGGGGACTACCAGAAAGGGGAGAAAGGGAAGGGGACAAGGGTTAAAAAACTAACGATTGGTTACTATGCATAGTATCTGGGTAAGAGGATCATTCATACCACAAACCTCAGCATCACAAAATATACCCAAGTAACAAACTTGGACATGTACCCCTGAATCTAAAATAAAAATTAGAAAAAAAAAGAAGTTTCCCCCTTTCCCCCAACACCAGGAGAGAAACGTACCTGTAATCTGGAGCCAAAAAAGAGGATTTTTCTAAATCAGAAAGATCAATTGAGTTCCACAGGACAAAAGCTGCTTGCTTCAAGTTTTGTGTATATGATCATGGGTACAATTAAGGAATAAAAAAGGTAATGAAGTCTGTAATGGAGTCTCATTGACTTGAAAGTAACCTATAGGTCACACAAAACATTGAGTTCAAACTGTACCTGCTTCTTGTGGTTACACTAACAGGAAATCCTCTGTATTAGCCTGTTCTCATGCTACTATAAAGACATACCTGAGACTGGATAATTTATAAGGAAAATGGGTTGAATTGACTCACAGTTCTGCAGAGTTGGAGAGGCCTCAGGAAACTTACAATTATGGCAGAAGGGGAAGCAGTCATGTCCTTCTTCACATGGCAGCAGGGAAGAGAAGAACAAAAGCCCAGTGAAGTGGGAAGACCCTTATAAAACCATCATATCTTGTGAGAACTAACTCACTATTACAAGAACAGGATGGGGGAAACCACCCCCATGATTATATTGCTTCCCACATGGTCCTTCCCACAGCATGTGGGGGATTATAGGAACTAAAATTCAAAATGACTTTTAGGTGGGTCCACAACCAAACCGTATCATTTCATCACTGGCCTCTCCCAAATCCCATGTCCTCACATTTCACAACATAATTGTGCCCTTCCAACAGTCCCCCAAAATCTTAAATCATTCCAGCATTAACACAAAAGTCCAAGTCCAAAGTCTTATCTGAGACAAAGCAAGTACCTTCCACCTAGGAACCTGTAAAATCAAAAGCAAGTTAGTTACTTCCTAGATACAATGGGGCTACAGGCATTGGGTAAATACACCTATTCCAAATGGGAGAATTTGGCCAAAAGAAAGAGGCTACAGGCCCCATGCAAGTCCAAAATCAAATAGGGCAGTCATTAAACCTTCAAGTTTCAAAATGGTCTCTTTTGACTCCATGTCTCACATCCAGGGCACACTGATGCAAGAGGTGGGTTCCCATCACCTTGGACAGCTCTACCCCTGTGGCTTTGCAGGGTACAACTCCCCTCTCAGCTGCTTTCATGGGCTGGCATTGAGTGTCTGCAGCTTTTCCAGGTGCACAGTGCAAGCTGTTGGTGGAGCTACAATTCTGGGGTCTGGAGGATAGTGACCCTCTTCTCACAGATCCTCTAGGCAGTGTCCCAGTGTGGATTCTGTGTAGGGGCTCCAACCCCACATTTCCCTATTACACTGACCTAGCATAAGTTCTCTATGAGGGTTCTGTCCCTGCAGCAAAACTTCTGTCTGGGCATCCAGGCATTTACATACATCCTCTGAAACTTAGGTGGTGATTCCCAAACCTCAGTTCTCAACTTCTGTGCACCCACAGGCTCAGCACCACATGGAAGCCACCAAAGCTTGGGGCTTGCATCCTCTGAAGCAATGCCCTGTGCTCTACATTTGTCCCTTTTAGCCATGGCTGGGATGCAAAGCACCAAGTCCCGAGACTGCACTAAGCAGCAAGGCCCTGGGCCTGGCCCACAAAATCAATTTTCCTCCTAGGCCTCTGGGCCTGTGATGGGAGGGGTTGCCATGAAGACTTCTGACATGCCCTGGAGACATTTTCCCCATTGTCTTTGTGATTAACATTTGGCTCCTCATTACTTATGCAAATTTCTGCAGTCAGTTTCAATTTCTTCTCAGAAAATGGGTTTTTCTTTTCTATAACATCATCAGGCTGCAAATTTTCTAAACTTCTATGCTCTGCTTCACTTTTAAACATAAGTTCCAATTCCAAACTATATCTTCATGAACATATAAAATTGAATGCTTTTAACAGCACCCAAGTCACCTCTTGAATGCTTTGCTGCTTAGACATTTCTTCTGCCAGACACCCTAAATCATCTCTCTCATGTTCAAAGTTCCATAGATCTCTAAGGCAGGGACAAAATGCTGCCAGTCTCTTCGCTAAAACATAGCAAGAGTCACCTTTATTCCAATTCCTATCAGGTTCCTTATCTCCATCTGAGACCACCTTAGCCTGGACTTCATTGTCCGTGTCAAATGGTCAAAGCCATTCAACAAGTCTCTAGGAAGTTCCAAACTTTCTCACATTTTTTTGCCCTTTTTCTGAGCCCTCCAAACTGTCCCAACGTCTGCCTATAACCCATTTCCAAAGTCACTTCCAGATTTTTGGTTATCTTTACAGCAGCACCCCACTCTCCCCCACTCTCTGTTGTACCTATTTATTATATTAGTCCATTTTCAGTTGCTATAAGGACATACTCGAGACTGGGTAATTTATAAATGAAAGAGGTTTAATTGACTCACAGTTCCACAAGGTTGAGGAGGCCTCAGGAAACTTACAATCATGGTGGAGGGGAAAGTAAATATGTCCTTTTCCACATGGTGGCAGGAAGGAGAAGAATAAAAGCCCAGCTAAGGGGGAAGCCCCTTATAAAAACATCAGATTTTGTGAGAACTAACTCACTGTCACATGAACAGGATGAGGGAAGCCACCCACCATGATTAAATTGCCTCCCACTGGGTCCCTCCCACCACATGCGTGGATTATGGGAAATAAAATTCCAGATGAGATTTGGGTGGGAACACAGCCAAACCATAGCACCCTGGCATCAGGCCATCTTGAGTAATTCCAGGTGTCACAGTCTCTAAAACAAGCCCTAGCCCACACATCACTGACCTTGGGAATGTGGCCTATGCGTAGATGTGCATCTTGACTTAGAGCTCCTGAGGGGGAGAGCAGGACAGCCAATGAACCTTTCCAATGGGTATCTTGAGGGATCCTTCATATCATAGACCCCTTCATCTGGGTGGTGAAAGAGTTGTGACATCAAAAAAGCGGGTGTCAGCAATGAGGCAGGGAACATGATAGGCCTTAGCAAAAAGGCACAGCTCTTTCTAGGTTGTGTCAAGTTTCCCTCTACCAGTTTTATACTTCCCTAAATGCCAGCTTTCCTAGCCCTGCTATACATCCATCTTCTGATTGAGAGACCTGTCATGCTGCTCTCACAGAACTGTCTGGTTGTAAATGCAAAGAATGGAGAAGAATAGATTGACTGGCTGTAAGAAGGGGAAATTAGTTAAATAAAGAGGGGCTAGGGCACTAAAATTCTGATTACCAATTGTCTTGCAGGTGCTCTTCAGAGAAGGCAAGCTGTGGCAGAGGAAAATAAAAACTCAATCAAAAATGATAAGTGTGAAGTCCCTGTTGATGTATGTGTTTACAAAATAAGGATAATTAAAAAGTGGGATGCAAAATTCTCCATGCATGCAGACCACAGATAGGCATAAAAAGATTGGGAGGGAGTTTAACGGAAAGGGTTTCTTCCATTAGTGTGCTGGAGCTGACCTGCACAAGCTGGTGAGAAAAGCTATTGTGCCTTCTTTCCACCTACACATTAAGTAACATCATGTCAGTAGCTTGGAATTGTCTATGGTTTGAGTATTTACGCTATGGAAATTGCCAATGAATAAAAATCAAGTTGTTGTTGCTGTTTTTTCTGGAGAGTCGATTTTGTTTTTTTTGAGATGGGGTCTCACTCTGTTGCCAAGGCTGGAGTGCAGTGGTGCAATCTCGGCTCACTGTAACCTCTACCTCCAGGGTTCAAGCAATTCTCTGCCTTAGTCTCCTGAGTAGCTGGCATTACAGGTGCCCAACACC
Organism: Homo sapiens; assembly: GCF_000001405.40. Taxonomy (NCBI): domain Eukaryota; kingdom Metazoa; phylum Chordata; class Mammalia; order Primates; family Hominidae; genus Homo; species Homo sapiens. The sequence continues at coordinate 64,008,529 of NC_000023.11, forward strand.
ATGCCCAGCTAACTTTTTTGTATTTTTAGTAGAGACGGGGTTTCACCATCTTGGCCAGGCTGGTCTTGAACTTCTGGCCTCATGATTCACCCACCTCAGCTTCCCAGAGTGCTGGGATTATAGGCGTGAGCCACTGCACCTGGCTGAGAGTCGATTGTTAAACATTTACCAAGACATCACTTAACAGAGCCTGTTTCAATTCTCAAAAGATTTGAGGAGCAGCTGAAAGGTAAGGCTGGTATTTTATGTCCAAGGGTATTGGATCTCCTCCACTAGACTATAAGCCACTTGGTGATAAAACTATCCCTTGTTCTTATATGCTTTCTCAACACCAACTGCAGTATGTGACACATTGTAGGTGCTCAATCAATATATTTAGATATAAATGTGTACATTCTAATGCAACAATTGATTTTTGAAATTCATGAGTTTTCCTACTCAAGTGAAGAGCATAAATAATTTTTTCCAAAGGTTGCATTTCATTTATTTTGAGCACCTCCTTTATTAATCTTATGTATACACAACAGTGTGAAAAATAGCACAGTTGTGTATCAGGACAGAAAAATTCTAGTGTAAGGCTGCCATGCTGCATTACTATGGATAGATAACATGGGAATTGTACCCCCCAGAGTTGCGTGGTAGGACATCCCTGAGTCCTGACTCTATCATTGGCTGGCTGTGTGTCCTCAGCTTCCATTTCAGGTCCTGTAAAATGGCAGGGTTTAATGTAAGCAATTGTTTTCCAAGTCTTTATTTTGTTTTTGCCATGGAACCCTTTCTTCTAATGAAACACAATGCAGATGCTCAGTGGGGATGCTCTAGTTGAAGTTCAGACTGGAGCTCAGAGCCACCCACTCAAATTCCAAGTATAGTCCCCAGCCAGTGTACCACCAAGGCACCTTTGGTGAATTCTTAAAGTTCTAGACATCATGGGCTGAAAACCACAGGCCTGGCTAGCTTTTTCTTAAAGGACCTCCAGCTCAGCAATCTCTAATTAAATGGTGGGCTTCAGAAACATTTGTTAAATTATTAGTTACGTAAAGTTGGTTTACTTAGAAGAAGGGATACCTGCAACTTCATATTGTATTTCTCACCAAAGTGGTTCTCTCAAACCTTGTAGACATCACATAACCTAGTGGGGCAGCTAGCCTATAATAAGTCCACTTTTCTTCTGCCAATTTTGCATGGGGAATAAGATGTTAAGACCTCTGGATCTCCTTTTCCATGCTCTTATACCTTTATACCACAGAGGTAAAACTCTAAAGAGATTTTGCCCCATGGTTTAGCTTTGAGACTTGGATAAAGAAATGGCCTAGTGATGTGGGCTTTCTGTCCTTGATATTTTTGACTATGAAAAACATATGAGATCCCTACCTCCGAACCTTCAAGTGAGTCTACTTCCAGCCATATCAGACTACTCACTATCTTCTCAATGTATAAAACGTATCCTTTACCACTAGTCTCTTTATGCATACTTTACATATTCATTTACTCAACCAACATATATCCATTAGGTATAGTCATACATTGCTTAATGACAGGGATATTTTCAGAGAAATATGTTGTTAGGTGATTTCCTTATTGTATGAATATCAGAGTACTTACACAAACCTAGACTGCATAGCCTACTACACACTTAAATTAAGCTACATGTTATAGCCTATTTTTCTTAAGCTACAAATCTGCACTACATGTTACTATACTGAATACTGTAGTCACTTGTAGAACAATGGCAAATATTTGTGTATCTAAACATATATAAACATAGAAAAGGTACAGTAAAAATGGTATAAAAGATTTTTTAAATGGTACACACTATATAGGCTACTTATTCTGAATGGAGCTTGAAGGACTGAAAGTTGCTGCAGGTGACTCAGTGAGTAAGTAGTGACCGAATGTGAAGGCTTAAGACATTACTGTACACTACTGCAGATTATATAAGCACTATACACTTAGGCTATGCTAAATTGATATAAAAACCTTTGTCTTTCTTCAATAATAAATTGACTTTAGCTTACTGTAACTTTTTACTTCATAAACTTTTTATTTTTTTTAACTTTTGGACAGTTTTGTACTAACACTTAGCTTAAAACGCAAACACGTTGTACAGTTTTACAAAAATATTTTCTTTCTTTACATCCTTATTTTATAAGCTTTTTCCCATTTTTTTATTTTTTATTTTTTTTTTTTACTTTTTAAACTTTTCTGTTAAAACAAAGACACAAACATACACATTATTCTAGGCCTACACAGAGTCAGGATCAACAGTATCACTGTTTTCCACCTCCACATCTTGTCACACTAGGAGGTCTTTGGGAGCAATAGCATGCATGGAGCTTTCACATACTGTAATAACAATGCCTTCCTCAGGAAAACCCCCTGAAGACCCTGTGGGGTTATTTTACAGGAACCACCATTGTACATGCAGTCTATTATTTATTGATTAGTGATTAGTGATTATTATTAATATGGTCTATCATGACTTGAACTTACTGTGTGCTTAACACTGGATAAAAAGAACAAACAAGACAAACGTCATCCCTGCCTCATGGAACTTCAAATATAATGGAGCTGTTCCATTTTTTTGGGAATTGTATCCTCATTCTCATCACAATTATTTTCCATTCAGAAAACTCTTTTTCATCCTTCAATTACCAACTCAGATACCAACTTCTCTGTTGAGTAGTTTTTCCTACAGCATTAAGCACCACATCTATCTTTATAAGTGTATAGCACTTATGTTTATCTTTTCAACTAAATAGGAACTTTTAAAAAGCCACAACTTTGTTTAATTTGCCTTTTTACGTCCTCCTATTACATATCTGGCACACAACAGGTAATAAATGTTGGAATGACCATTTCTATAAGTGATATCATTCTCAAAGTATTTTCAAATTACATTTATTATTCTTAACACACTGATCTCTTTGGCTTCACAACACAACCATCAGGTACTTATCTCTGGCTTCTCAAGACAAAATAACAATAAGTCAGGTAGGCAAGGCAAAGATTACTATTTCCAGGTTACAAGTGAGTGAACTGGGCCCTGGAGCAGGACTTTGCATCCCTCAAGTTCAAGGTGGGATTGTAGCTGGATCCCTCAACCCTACCTCACTGTTCTTTTCTGTCCATTATGCTGCTGCCCTAAATTCAAGGCTCATTATTAACCTTTTAATACACATGGCAATCTGCAGACATAAGGGAGGGGGGCTGCACAGTATTTTAAAAAGTTAAATTAGCATCCAATAGTTACAAATAAGGAGATTTCACATTTAAAAATTCAGATTTCTACTCTTTCTTACATATTTGCCCATGATCCTAATCAGTTGGAGCTGAGGTCCAGTTGCTCTCTTTAGTCAGAGTGTGTAGTCTTCAGTGTGCCAAAATTCTCACTACTCTTTGTTGTATTGCATTAAACATCCTCCATTTATTTACCCATGTTAATGATTTGGGGCTCATTTGTGTATCACCCTTGGACTAATCTGAATGCCATCTTTTCCCAAATGAGAAAATGGAAGGATAGGGAGAGAAAAGGAAATGTTGAAGGTCACAGAAAAAAATCTAGACCTCTCTCACCACTCCTATTCAACATAGTGTTGGAAGTTCTGGCCAGGGCAATCTAGCAGGAGGAAGAAATAAAGGGTAATCGAAAAAAAGACAAGGAGTCAAACTGTCTTTGTTTGCAGATGACATGATCCTATTTCTAGAAATCCCCATTGTCTCAGCGCAAAAGCTTCCTAAGCTGATAAGCAACTTCAAAGTCTCAGGATACAAAATTGATATGCAAAAATCATAAGCATTCCTATACACCAACAACAGACAAGCTGAGAGCCAAATCATGACTGAACTTCCATTCACAATTGCTACAAAAAGAATACAATACATAGGAATACAGCTAACAAGGGTAATGAAGGAAATCTTCAAGGAGAACTACAAACCACTGCTCAAAGAAATCAAAGAGGACACAAACAAATGAAAAAAACATTCCCTGCTCATGGACAGGAAGAATAAATATCGTGAAAATGGTCATACTGCCCAAAGTAATTTATAGATTCAATTTTATTCCCATCAAGCTACCATTGATAGTCTTGATATTCTTCACAGAATTAGATAAAACAATTTTATAATTCATACGAAACAAAAAAAAGCCCAGGTAGCCAAGATAATCCTCAGCAAAAAAAAACAAAGCTGGAGGCATCATGCTACCTGACTTCAAACTATACTACAAGGCTACAGTAACAAAAACAGCATGGTACTGGTACAAAAACAGACACATAGACCAATGAAACAGAAAAGAGAACTCAGAAATAATACCTCTCAGAAATAATACCATTTACAACCATCTGATTTGACAAACTTGACAAAAACCAGCAATGGGGAAAAGATCCCCTAGTTAATAAATGGTGCTGGGAGAACTGGCTAACCATATGCAGAAAATTGAAAGTGAATCCCTTCATTATACCTTATACAAAAACTGACTCAAGATGGATTAAAGACTTACATGTGAAACCCAAACCTATAAACAACCTAGAAGAAAACTTAGGCAATACCATTCAGGGCATAGGCATGGGCAATAGCAACAAAGGTGAAAGTTGAAAAATGGGATCCTATTAAACTAAAGAGCTTCTGCAGAGTAAAAGAAACTATCGTCATAGTGAACAGACAACCTACAGAATGGGAGAAAAGTTTTTTTTTTTTTTCTTTTTTTTTTTCTTCTTTTTTTATACTTTTTTTTTTTTATTATACTCTAAGTTTTAGGGTACATGTGCACAATGTGCAGGTTAGTTACATATGTATACATGTGCCATGCTGGTGCGCTGCACCCACTAATGTGTCATCTAGCATTAGGTATATCTCCCAATGCTATCCCTCCCCCCTCCCCCGACCCCACCACAGTCCCCAGAGTGTGATATTCCCCTTCCTGTGTCCATGTGATCTCATTGTTCAATTCCCACCTATGAGTGAGAATATGCGGTGTTTGGTTTTTTGTTCTTGCGATAGTTTACTGAGAATGATGGTTTCCAATTTCATCCATGTCCCTACAAAGGATATGAACTCATCATTTTTTATGGCTGCATAGTATTCCATGGTGTATATGTGCCACATTTTCTTAATCCAGTCTATCATTGTTGGACATTTGGGTTGCTTCCAAGTCTTTGCTATTGTGAATAGTGCCGCAATAAACATACGTGTGCATGTGTCTTTATAGCAGCATGATTTATAGTCCTTTGGGTATATACCCAGTAATGGGATGGCTGGGTCAAATGGTATTTCTAGTTCTAGATCCCTGAGGAATCGCCACACTGACTTCCACAATGGTTGAACTAGTTTACAGTCCCACCAACAGTGTAAAAGTGTTCCTATTTCTCCACATCTTCTCCAGCACCTGTTGTTTCCTGACTTTTTAATGATTGCCATTCTAACTGGTGTGTGATGATATCTCATAGTGGTTTTGATTTGCATTTCTCTGATGGCCAGTGATGATGAGCATTTCTTCATGTGTTTTTTGGCTGCATAAATGTCTTCTTTTGAGAAGTGTCTGTTCATGTCCTTCGCCCACTTTTTGATGGGGTTGTTTGTTTTTTTCTTGTAAATTTGTTTGAGTTCATTGTAGATTCTGGATATTAGCCCTTTGTCAGATGAGTAGGTTGCGAAAATTTTCTCCCATGTTGTAGGTTGCCTGTTCACTCTGATGGTAGTTTCTTTTGCTGTGCAGCAGCTCTTTAGTTTAATTAGATCCCATTTGTCAATTTTGGCTTTTGTTGCCATTGCTTTTGGTGTTTTGGACATGAAGTCCTTGCCCACGCCTATGTCCTGAATGGTAATGCCTAGGTTTTCTTCTAGGGTTTTTATGGTTTTAGGTCTAACGTTTAAATCTTTAATCCATCTTGAATTAATTTTTGTATAAGGTGTAAGGAAGGGATCCAGTTTCAGCTTTCTACATATGGCTAGCCAGTTTTCCCAGCACCATTTATTAAATAGGGAATCCTTTCCCCATTGCTTGTTTTTCTCAGGTTTGTCAAAGATCATATAGTTGTAGATATGCGGCATTATTTCTGAGGGCTCTGTTCTGTTTCCTTGATCTATATCTCTGTTTTGGTACCAGTACCATACTGTTTTGGTTACTGTAGCCTTGTAGTATAGTTTGAAGTCAGGTAGTGTGATGCCTCCAGCTTTGTTCTTTTGGCTTAGGATTGACTTGGCAATGCGGGCTCTTTTTTGGTTCCATATGAACTTTAAAGTAGTTTTTTCCAATTCTGTGAAGAAAGTCATTGGTAGATTGATGGGGATGGCATTGAATCTGTAAATTACCTTGGGCAGTATGGCCATTTTCACGATATTGATTCTTCCTACCCATGAGCATGGAATGTTCTTCCATTTGTTTGTGTCCTCTTTTATTTCCTTGAGCAGTGGTTTGTAGTTCTCCTTGAAGAGGTCCTTCACATCCCTTGTAAGTTGGATTCCTAGGTATTTTATTCTCTTTGAAGCAATTGTGAATGGGAGTTCACCCATGATTTGGCTCTCCGTTTGTCTGTTGTTGGTGTATAAGAATGCTTGTGATTTTTGTACATTGATTTTGTATCCTGAGACTTTGCTGAAGTTGCTTATCAGCTTAAGGAGATTTTGGGCTGAGACGATGGGGTTTTCTAGATATACAATCATGTCGTCTGCAAACAGGGACAATTTGACTTCCTCTTTTCCTAATTGAATACCCTTTATTTCCTTCTCCTGCCTGATTGCCCTGGCCAGAACTTCCAACACTATGTTGAATAGGAGCGGTGAGAGAGGGCATCCCTGTCTTGTGCCAGTTTTCAAAGGGAATGCTTCCAGTTTTTGCCCATTCAGTATGATATTGGCTGTGGGTTTGTCATAGATAGCTCTCATTATTTTGAAATACGTCCCATCAATACCTAATTTATTGAGAGTTTTTAGCACGAAGGGTTGTTGAATTTTGTCTAAGGCTTTTTCTGCATCTATTGAGATAATCATGTGGTTTTTGTCTTTGGCTCTGTTTATATGCTGGATTACATTTATTGATTTGCACATATTGAACCAGCCTTGCATCCCAGGGATGAAGCCCACTTGATCATGGTGGATAAGCTTTTTGATGTGCTGCTGGATTTGGTTTGCCAGTATTTTATTGAGGATTTTTGCATCAATGTTCATCAAGGATATTGGTCTAAAATTCTCTTTTTTGGTTGTGTCTCTGCCCGGCTTTGGTATCAGAATAATGCTGGCCTCATAAAATGAGTTAGGGAGGATTCCCTCTTTTTCTATTGATTGGAATAGTTTCAGAAGGAATGGTACCAGTTCCTCCTTGTACCTCTGGTAGAATTCGGCTGTGAATCCATCTGGTCCTGGACTCTTTTTGGTTGGTAAACTATTGATTATTGCCACAATTTCAGAGCCTGTTATTGGTCTATTCAGAGATTCAACTTCTTCCTGGTTTACTCTTGGGAGAGTGTATGTGTGGAGGAATTTATCCATTTCTTCTAGATTTTCTAGTTTATTTGCGTAGAGGTGTTTGTAGTATTCTCTGATGGTAGTTTGTATTTCTGTGGGATCGGTGGTGATATCCCCTTTATCATTTTTTATTGTGTCTATTTGATTCTTCTCTCTTTTTTTCTTTATTAGTCTTGCTAGGGGTCTATCAATTTTGTTGATCCTTTCAAAAAACCAGCTCCTGGATTCATTGATTTTTTGAAGGGTTTTTTGTGTCTCTATTTCCTTCAGTTCTGCTCTGATTTTAGTTATTTCTTGCCTTCTGCTAGCTTTTGAATGTGTTTGCTCTTGCTTTTCTAGTTCTTTTAATTGTGATGTTAGGGTGTCAATTTTGGATCTTTCCTGCTTTCTCTTGTAGGCATTTAGTGCTGTAAATTTCCCTCTACACACTGCTTTGAATGTGTCCCAGAGATTCTGGTATGTGGTGTCTTTGTTCTTGTTGGTTTCAAAGAACATCTTTATTTCTGCCTTCATTTCGTTATGTACCCAGTAGTCATTAAGGAGCAGGTTGTTCAGTTTCCATGTAGTTGAGCGGCTTTGAGTGAGATTTTTAATCCTGAGTTCTAGTTTGATTGCACTGTGGTCTGAGAGATAGTTTGTTATAATTTCTGTTCTTTTACATTTGCTGAGGAGAGCTTTACTTCCAAGTATGTGGTCAATTTTGGAATAGGTGTGGTGTGGTGCTGAAAAAAATGTATATTCTGTTGATTTGGGGTGGAGAGTTCTGTAGATGTCTATTAGGTCTGCTTGGTGCAGAGCTGAGTTCAATTCCTGGGTATCCTTGTTGACTTTCTGTCTCGTTGATCTGTCTAATGTTGACAGTGGGGTGTTAAAGTCTCCCATTATTAATGTGTGGGAGTCTAAGTCTCTTTGTAGGTCACTGAGGTCTTGCTTTATGAATCTGGGTGCTCCTGTATTAGGTGCATAAATATTTAGGATAGTTAGCTCCTCTTGTTGAATTGATCCCTTTACCATTATGTAATGGCCTTCTTTGTCTCTTTTGATCTTTGTTGGTTTAAAGTCTGTTTTATCAGAGACTAGGATTGCAACCCCTGCCTTTTTTTGTTTTCCATTGGCTTGGTAGATCTTCCTCCATCCTTTTATTTTGAGCCTATGTGTGTCTCTGCACATGAGATGGGTTTCCTGAATACAGCACACTGATGGGTCTTGACTCTTTATCCAACTTGCCAGTCTGTGTCTTTTAATTGCAGAATTTAGTCCATTTATATTTAAAGTTAATATTGTTATGTGTGAATTTGATCCTGTCATTATGATGTTAGCTGGTTATTTTGCTCATTAGTTGATGCAGTTTCTTCCTAGTCTCGATGGTCTTTACATTTTGGCATGATTTTGCAGCGGCTGGTACCGGTTGTTCCTTTCCAGGTTTAGCGCTTCCTTCAGGAGCTCTTTTATGGCAGGCCTGGTGGTGACAAAATCTCTCAGCATTTGCTTGTCTATAAAGTAGTTTATTTCTCCTTCACTTATGAAGCTTAGTTTGGCTGGATATGAAATTCTGGGTTGAAAATTCTTTTCTTTAAGAATGTTGAATATTGGCCCCCACTCTCTTCTGGCTTGTAGGGTTTCTGCCGAGAGATCCGCTGTTAGTCTGATGGGCTTTCCTTTGAGGGTAACCCGACCTTTCTCTCTGGCTGCCCTTAACATTTTTTCCTTCATTTCAACTTTGGTGAATCTGACAATTATGTGTCTTGGAGTTGCTCTTCTCGAGGAGTATCTTTGTGGCGTTCTCTGTATTTCCTGAATCTGAACGTTGGCCTGCCTTGCTAGATTGGGGAAGTTCTCCTGGATAATATCCTGCAGAGTGTTTTCCAACTTGGTTCCATTCTCCTCATCACTTTCAGGTACACCTATCAGACGTAGATTTGGTCTTTTCACATAGTCCCATATTTCTTGGAGGCTTTGCTCATTTCTTTTTATTCTTTTTTCTCTAAACTTCCCTTCTCGCTTCATTTCATTCATTTCATCTTCCATTGCTGATACCCTTTCTTCCAGTTGATCGCATCGGCTCCTGAGGCTTCTGCATTCTTCACGTAGTTCTCGAGCCTTGGTTTTCAGCTCCATCAGCTCCTTTAAGCACTTCTCTGTATTGGTTATTCTAGTTATACATTCTTCTAAATTTTTTTCAAAGTTTTCAACTTCTTTGCCTTTGGTTTGAATGTCCTCCCGTAGCTCAGAGTAATTTGATCGTCTGAAGCCTTCTTCTCTCAGCTCGTCAAAATCATTCTCCATCCAGCTTTGTTCTGTTGCTGGTGAGGAACTGCGTTCCTTTGGAGGAGGAGAGGCGCTCTGCGTTTTAGAGTTTCCAGTTTTTCTGTTCTGTTTTTTCCCCATCTTTGTGGTTTTATCTACTTTTGGTCTTTGATGATGGTGATGTACAGATGGGTTTTCGGTGTAGATGTCCTTTCTGGTTGTTAGTTTTCCTTCTAACAGACAGGACCCTCAGCTGCAGGTCGGTTGGAATACCCTGCCGTGTGAGGTGTCAGTGTGCCCCTGCTGGGTGGTGCCTCCCAGTTAGGCTACTCGGGGGTCAGGGGTCAGGGACCCACTTGAGGAGGCAGTCTGCCCGTTCTCAGATCTCCAGCTGCGTGCTGGGGGAAACACTGCTCTCTTCAAAGCTGTCAGACAGGGACACTTAAGTCTGCAGAGGTTACTGCTGTCTTTTTGTTTGTCTGTGCCCTGCCCCCAGAGGTGGAGCCTACAGAGGCAGGCAGGCCTCCTTGAGCTGTGGTGGGCTCCACCCAGTTCAAGCTTCCTGGCTGCTTTGTTTACCTAAGCAAGCCTGGGCAATGGCGGTCACCCCTCCCCCAGCCTCGTTGCCGCCTTGCAGTTTGATCTCAGGCTGCTGTGCTAGCAATCAGCGAGATTCCGTGGGCGTAGGACCCTCTGAGCTAGGTGTGGGATATAGTCTCGTGGTGCGCCGTTTCTTAAGCCGGTCTGAAAAGCGCAATATTCGGGTGGGAGTGACCCGATTTTCCAGGTCCGTCCATCACCCCTTTCTTTGACTCGGAAAGGGAACTCCCTGACCCCTTGCGCTTCCCAGGTGAGGCAATGCCTCGCCCTGCTTCGGCTCGCGCACGGTGCGCACACACACTGGCCTGCGCCCACTGTCTGGCACTCCCTAGTGAGATGAACCCGGTACCTCAGATGGAAATGCAGAAATCACCCGTCTTCTGCGTCGCTCACGCTGGGAGCTGTAGACCGGAGCTGTTCCTATTCGGCCATCTTGGCTCCTCCTCCCGAGAAAAGTTTTCCAACCTATCCATAAGACAAAGGTCTAATATCTAGAGTCTAGAAGGAATTTAAACAGATTTACAAGAAAAAAGCAAACAACCCCATTAAAAAGTAGGCAAATGATATGAACAGACACTTCTCAAAAGAAGACATTTATGCAGCCAACAAACATATGAAAAAAAGCTTAACATCACTAATCATTAGAGAAATGCAAATCGAAACCACGATGAGATACCATCTCACTCCAGTGAGAACGGCGATTACTAAAGTCAAGAGACAACAGATGCTGGCAAAGCTGTGGAGAGATAGGAATGCTTTTACACTGTTGGTGGGAATGTAAATTAGTTCAACCATTGTGGAAGACAGTGTGGCAATTCCTCAAAGACCTAGAACCAGAAATACTATATGACCCAGCAATCTCATTATAGGTTATATAACCAAAGGTATAAAATAATTCTATTATAAAGATGCATGCATGCATATATTCATTGCAGCACTATGCACACTAGCAAAGACATGCAATCGACCTAAATGTCCATCAATGATAGGCTGTATAAAGAAAATGTGGTACATACGCACTCTGGAATATTATGCAGCCATAAAAATAAATGAGTTCATGTCCTTTGCAGGGAAATGGATAGAGCCGGAATCCATTATCCTCAGCAAACTAATGCAGGAATAGAAAACCAAACACCACATGCAATGAAAACATGGAGACAGGGAGGGGAACAACACACATGGTGGCCTGTTGGGGAGGGTGGGGGGAGGGAGAGTATCAGAAAAAATAGCTAATGCATGTTGGGCTTAATACCTAGATTATGGGTTGATAGGTGCAGCAAACCACCATGGCACACGTTTACCTATGTAACAAACCTGCACACCCTGCACATGTACCCCAGAGGTTAAAAAAAAAAAAAGAATCTAGGGCAGTGAAAGTTCAAGTACGCAGGCCTTCAGTCCCTAGGTTAATGCTTTCTCCTCTGCCTGGGTTTGCCTGACCTATAACCATCTGCCATTTCACGGGTGTGCTTAGGTAAGCTAGGAATCCATGCATCTTACTACAGTGACTAAAGACTTGTCAGGTCACACTATGTGAAGGGAGACACATGCAGCACACATTGGGTCACGTTCTTTCACCCTGTAGTCTGGCTGAGAAAAAGAGTTTGGTGCTGCTCCAGAGACAGCAAAAAGAAGGAAGTTCTGGCTACTGGCAGGTAGGGGAACTGGACTCAGTAGAGGGTCAGGGCCTTGGAGGGTTTGCCATGGCAGTGGGGATTGGGCCTCAGTTTTGTAGGGCCAGAAGTAGAATTTTACTGCCCTATGTTGAGATACGCCAGCTGAGGAAAACAAATCCCCTTAACTGAAGTTTTCAGAGCTTGATATAAGAAAGATCTTCTGTCATCTTGCTAATTTCCCCTGTGGACAGAGCTTATCAAGTTACCCACAACCACAATTCACTCAGTAGCCTTTTTTCCTGGTAGGTCATTTGGCTTGAGAAGCTGAATGTACCCACAGGAAGCTTCTTGGTCATAAGAGAATTAGGACAAAGGAGGTTTAACATTCCTCAAGGATGTTTCTCTTGATTTAAGGAGACTGTGGTTCAAATTTTCCTCTGAGTATCAGAGCCAAACTGACTCCTTCTTAGAAATTGTAAAACTACACTACTCCCCCTTTTCCAGCCTCTACATATCCCCTGACACACACACTCTGTTAAGACAACACAACAACGACCTCAGACAAGTTACAATACATTTGAGTGGAGTCATCAAGTATTTTAGCTAGGAGGTACTTAGATATCCCCTGGTCTTATCTCTTCATTTTAGAAATAAGGAAACCGATCTCCACTGAAAAAGCAGGATTTTCTGAAGATCACGTGGTAAATTAAGAGCAAAGCTAGTATCCAAACTCTAGGGTTCTCAATCTCCATGAGAACTTCTCTCTCCAAAGTAAGATACTTTTTTGAGGATCAACTTATCTACCTGACTGAATTGAGAAACACAGGGATCCTGTCACCAGCCATTTGCACATGCCCTCCTCAGTTTTTGGCTGGGTCACTTTTGTAGTCAGCTAGCCTCATCTAGTATGAGTTGATGTTTGCTAGTTTTTATTTCAGGGATCTTGGCCTGCTTTCATACCCTGTGATTGTTAATTTTATGTACCACCTTCATTGGGTCCAGGGGTGTCCAAATTAAACACCATTTCTGGGCGTGTCTGTGAGAGTGTATCCAGATGAGATTAGCATTTGAATTGGTGGGGGAAGTGATTAGATTGTGAGGGCAGAACACTCATGAATGGATTAGTACCCTTATAAAAGAGGCCCCAGAGAGACCCCTTGCACTTTTCATCATGTGAGAACACAGTGAGAAGGTACTGTTAATGAACTAGATAGTGAGCCCCCACCAGACACCAAATCCGCTGGTGTCTTGATCTTGGACTTACCAATCTCCAGAACTATTTATGTTGTTTATGCGCCACCACGGTTAATGGTAATTTCTTATAGTAGCCTGAACAGACTAAGCCATCATTCATGAAACCGCATGCATTAAAGAATGTTCCTTTCTCCACTGACACCTGACTGGCCTGTCCCTATGGTTCTCTTGGCATCTCTCTGTCATCTGTCTTTATATCCAGAATAGAAGCCCCAGGTAAAGACAACCATCCACCATTAGCGTCATTGGCAGAGGAGGACACATAAACACACAGACACACACACACACACTACACACACACACACACATACACACATATATATATTGCATGAGGCCCAGTATCAGCTGTGTTTCTCATCAGAGGTGTTTGGGAAAGCAAGACAAACGGGTAACTTTAGCCCATCCAGAGATGGAATAAAAGTATACTGGAATGTCTGTATCTTGACACTAACTGTATAAAAAAGTCTCAGGTCTAGCTTTCATCCCAGTTTTTAGCACCTGATCTCTTTCCTGAGCTTAGGGATGGCTCTGTCCAGATGAAGCTTAGAAGAGGACTGAGAAATGCTCCAGACTCATTCTGAAGGGTAACTGAAAATGCCCTCTGCTTGCTTTTCCATAGTCTTCTAAACATGATCCTCCAGAGACCATCTTCATCCTCCTGCAAGAGTCAGAAGTGTTCTTTCCACCAAGAGTCACCTTAATCTCTTAGGAAAGACTGTTTAAAAGTTGCTATTGTCACCTTCAAAGCATGCTCAAAATATCCAGAAGGAAAAAATGATTTAGCTCTTTAAGTAAGAAAATTTTTGAAGAAAGAGAGTCTTTGAAATTTCTCCTGTAATAAGGTAGAAATAACAATATACAGAATTTTGTCATCTAAACTCTAGGGGAGATGAGATGACCAGATACATATTATTTAATGTACTAGATAGGAAAGGCTGGAGGCGTCTAGAGTTTTATATGCTTCCATCCTGAACTCCAGCGACCAAGGTTCTGGAAATAAAGAAAACTGAACCATAGTGGAATGATATATGCATAAAGCCCAGTCACAGTGGCCTGAAGACCAGAAACAAGGAGACAGGGATTTTGGTATATTTTAGGAAAAGAAAACTAACATTTACACAACATCTGCCATAGGACACACTGTGCTAGACACTCTACATGTTATCTCATCAATCCTCATAACAATTCTATGTAGTGGGCATGATTATTTCAATCCTACCAATAAGCAAAATGAGGCACAGAGAGGGTGATAAGTATTTTGGCTGCCAAATATGCATTTCCCCTCCTCTCGATAAAATACCTCTGGTTGTATTTTAAGGACACAAGCTCCCCTCTGTTCTCAGTACATGTGCTTCAGGCACAGTTCCAAGAGTCGAGCATGTGACCCAGCCATAGCCAATCATCACACTGATTCCCAGCCACCATGAACTATACATGCAGCCACAGAGAACTGCATATGATCTGAGGTGGTCAGATTAGAGTGAATTCTATACTTGCATGGGAATTTCCAGGAAGCATCCCTTCTCCAACACACACAGACATGCACGCGTTCACACGTGCATGTAGGGTTGTGCACCCCCCCCCCACACACACACACACACTTGGAATGATGTAGCATGGAACTGCCGGCAGATATCTTGCCACCCTGAAAGGAGAACCTTCCTATGTGTGTAGCCAACCAATGAAACAGGACCAAGAGAGAGAGAAAGAGATAGAGAGACAAAGACAGAGACAGAGGCTAGATACAAGTGACAGAATTGGAGCCCCTGGATCAAGCTCCATCTACCCCTGAACTTTTCAGTTATATGGGCTCATACATTCCTTTTTCTGCTTAATCCAATTTTAGTTGTAATCTCTGTCACTTGCAATGAAAATAATTGACTAATAGAGTAAATGACATGTTCATCTTTATCAACCTAATAAGCAAAGAAACTGGAACTGAAATTTATGTAACTAAGCTTTTTCTCAACTATGTTGCCTCCTAGAGGATCTTTAAATCCTCTAGGCCAATCCTTTTCTTGAATCGACTTCAAGTCTATGTATACCCTGAGCACTCTCCTTTAGTCATGTTTCAGATAATTAAATGCTTTCTTAAAGGGTAGGGCCAGAACTAAATGCAGTCCTTCAGTTATGGCCTGGGCAGCCAGGAAAGAACAAGATGACTGCTTTCCTTCTTATAGAGCACATACTTCTATATGTGTAGCCTCAGATCACATTAGCTTTTTTAAAAGCCAAGCCACACTGTTGACTCACTATGAATATAACTATTAACTACTATCCCTGAATCTGCCAATGCTAAACCACACTTTTCTCAGCCTGACCTTGACTTAGTAGATATTTTAAATTATTGTTACAATTCAGCATTTTTAGTATATTCACCAAGTTGTACAACCATTACCACTATCTAATTCCAGAACATTTTCATCACCCCATAAAGAAACACTTTTAGGACCTGCACCACATTTTCCCTTCCTATCACCTTCTAGAAGCCACTAATGTACCTTCTCTGTCTATGAATTTTCTCATTATGGACATTTAATATGGGTGAAATCATACAGTAGGTAGCCATCTGTGTCTTGCTTATTTCACTTAACATGTTCTCAAGTTTCACACATGTTATAGAATATATCACTATCTCATTGCTTTAAAATTTTTATTGTGGGAAAATATATACAGTATTTATCATCTTAATCATTTGTAAGTGTACAATACAGTGACATTAATTACAACCACAATGTTTTATAACCATCACTAGTATCTGTGCCCAAAACCTTTTCATCATTCCCGACATAAACTACGTACCCATTAAACAATCCTTTACCTTCCTACCCATCTTCCCTCAGCCCCCAGTTACTTCTATTCTATTTTCTGTCTCTATGAATTTGCCTATTTGAGGTACCTCATATAAGTAGAATCATATGATATGTATCATGTTGTGCTTGGCTTGTGGTAATTATCATAACATTGTTGCATGTAGCAGAATTTCATTCCCTTTTAAGGTTGAATAATATTTTTTGGTTATACCATATTTGTTGATCCATTCATCTGTTGACACAGGTGGTTGTTTCCACCTTTTAGCTATTGTGAATATTGCTGCTATAAACATTGGTGTACAAGTATCTGTTTTAGTCCCTGATTTCAATACTTTCGGGTGTATACCTAGAAGTGGAATTGCTGGGTCTATTTCTAACTTTTTGAGGAACCACCAAATTGTTTTTCAAAGCAGCCATACCATTTTGTATTCCAACCAGCAATGCATGAGAGTTTCAATTTCTCCACATCTTCAGCAACACTTGTTATTTTCTGTTGTGTTTTATTTCATTTGGTTTCTAGCCATCCTAGTGGATGTGGAGTATGGCATTGTGATTTTGATTTGCATTTCCCTAATGTCTAATGATGTTGAGCACCTTTTCATGTGTTTTGTGGCCATTTATATATCTTTTTTGGAGAAATGTTTATTCAAATATTTTGTTAATTTTCAATTGGGTTGTGTGTCATTTTGTTGTGGATTTGTAGAATTCCTTTATATATTATGGATGTTAATAGCCTGCCAGATATATATTTTGTAAACGTTTTCTTCTGTTTTGTGGATTGCCTTTTCACCTTGATATTGTTCTTTGATGCCCTAAAGTTCTTAATATTGATGAACTCCAATATACCTATTTTTTGTTTTGTTTGTTTTCTGTACTTTTGGCAAAGTCCAATGCTATAAAGATTTTCCCTACATTTTTTCCTAAAAGTTTTATAGTTTTAGCTCTTATACTAAATTCTTATATATTCTGCAGGATATATATTCTCATTAGCACATGGAATGTTCTCCAAAATAGACCATATGACAAGCCGCAAAACAAGTCTCAATACATTTTTTAAGAATCAAAATCATATTAAGTACCTTCTCAGACCACAGTGGAATAAAACTAGAAATCCATTCCAGAAGGAACCCTCAAAATTATATAAATACTTCAAAATTAAACAATCCACTCCTAAATGAATTTGGGGTTAACAATAAAATCAAGATGGAAATTTAAAAATTCTTCCAAGTAAATGATAACAATGACACAAGTTATCAAAACCTCTGAGATACAGCAAAAGCAGTGCTAAAGAGGACAGCTTATAGCATGAAATGCCTATATTGAAAAGCCTGAAAGATCACAAATTGACAACCTAATGTCACCTCAAGGAACTAGAGAAACAAGAACAAACCAAACCCAAAGCTAGCAGAAGAAAATAAAAAATAAAGATCAGAGCAGAAAGAAATGAAATTGAAACAAACAAAAAGAAAACAGTACAAAAAATTAACGAAATGAAAGTTTGGTTCTTTGAAAAGATAAAATTGATAGACCATTAGCTAGTTTATCCATTTTTTGGTTAATTTTTATAAGGTGGTAGGTAATAATTCAATTTCATACTTTTGCATGTGGTTATTCTATTCTCCCAGCATGATTTGTTAAAAAGACTGTCCTTTCTTTATTTAATGGTCTTGATAACCTTATCAAAAATCAATTGACCATACATGTGTTTTTTTTTTTTCTGGACTCCTCTATTTTATTCAGTTGGTCTACATATATGTTCTTATTCCAAAAAACATATTGTTCAATTGCTGTACCTTTGCAGTAAGTTTTGAAGTAAGGAAGTCTGGGTCTTCCAACTTTAGTTTTCTTTTTCAAGATTATTTTGGCCACTTCGTGCCCCTTAAAACTGCACAAGAATTGGAGGAATGGCTTTTCCAGTTCTGTGAAAAAAACCTGTTGACATTTTTTTAGGAATGTTGATGAATCTATAGATTACTTTGGGTAGTACTAAAGTCTAAACAATGCTAAGGCTTCCTATTCTTATTCATGTCATTCATTTATTTATATCTTTAATTTCTTTTCACATTGTTTTGTAGTTTTTAGCATACAAATCATTATCCTTAGTTACATTTATTTCTAAGTTTTTAATTATTTAGATACTCTGGTAATAGAGTTAGTTTCTTAAATTCCTGTTTGGGTTGTTCATTCTTGGTATATAGTAACACAATGGATTTTTGTGTGTTGATCTTGTAGCCTATAACTGCTCAATTTGTTTTTTAGCTCTAGTAGCTTTCTTGTGGAGGCTTTGGGATTTTTGTATATATAGAATCATGTTCTCTGTGAATAGGGATAGTTTTACTTCTTCCTTTCCAATTTGGATAGCTTTTATTTCTTTTTCTTTTCTAATAGCTCTGGCTAGAACTTCCAATGCAGTGTTGAATAGCAGGGGTGAAAGTGGGCATCCTTGTCTTGTTCTTAGGTGAAAGCTTTTCTTTATTCACCATTGAATATGATGTAAGTTGTGGATTTTTTATAAATACCATTTTTCATGTTGAGGAACTTTCTATCATTTGCTGTCTGAGTGCTTTTATCATGAAAGATATAGTTGATTTTTATTCAATTGCCCTTTCTGTGTTAATTGAGATAATCATTTGGGTTTTTTTCTTTATTTTATTATTGTGAATGTATTACATTGATTTTCTTTTTTTTTTGTTGTTGTTGCTGCTGTTTTTGTTTTTGAGACGGAGTCTTGCTCTGTCGCCCAGGCTGGAGTGCAATGGCATGATTTTGGCTCACTGCAACCTCCACCTCCCGGGTTCAAGTGATTCTCCTGCCTCAGCCTCCCAAGTAGCTGGGATTACAGGCATGCACCACCATGCCCGGAAATTTTTGTATTTTTAGTAGAGACGGTGTTTCACCATGTTGGCCAGGCTGGTCTCGGCTTCCTGACCTCATGATCAGCCCACCTCGGGCTCCCAAAATGCTGGGATTACAGGCATGAGCCACCTCGCCTGGCCATTACATTGATTTTTCTAATGTCGTACTACCCTTGGATTTTTAAGAAAAATTCTGCTTAGCCATGGTGAATAATTCTTTCAATGTGCTGTTAGATTCTATTTGCTAATATTTTGTTGAAGATTTTTGCATCATACTCATAAGGGATATTGTTCTGTAATTTTCTTTACTTGTGATGTCTTTACTTGGCCTTGGTATCAGGGTAACACTGGCCTTATAAAATGTGTTAGAAAGTATTTTCTCCTTTTCAATGTTTTTGGAAGCACTTGAGAAGAACTGGTATTACTAATTCTGTAAATGTTTGGTAGACTCGAATAGTCAAGCCAGAACTTTTAGTTTTGCGAAGGTGTTTGATCAACTTTTTAACTTGTTATAGGTCTATTGATATTTACTGTTTCTTCTTGAGTTAGTTTAGGTAATTTGTGTGTTTTGAAAAATCTGTTTTTCAGGACCAGGTTGGGCAACATAGAGAGACCTCATTTCTCTATATTTTTTTAAGCCAGGTGTGGTGCATGCCTGTATTCCTAGATGCTTGGGCAGCTGAGGCAGCAGGGTTGCTTGAGTCCAGGACTTCAAGGTTGCAGTGAGCTATTATTGTGCCACTGAACTCCAGCCTAGGCAATAGAGCAAGACCCTCTATTAAAAAAAATAGACCCTAACTAAAAAAGTAATAATAAATAAATTAATAAGTAAATTTGTTCATTTTGTGTTATCTAATTTGTTTGTATATAATTGCTCATAGTATTATCTTGTAATCTGTAATCCTTTTTTGTCTCTGTAAGGTTGGTAGTAATGTCCTCACTTTCATTTCTGATTTTAGTTATCTGTATCTTCTTCAGTCTAGCTAAAGGTTTGTCAATTTTGTTAATCTTTTTAAAGAACCAATTTTTGGTATTATTAATTTTCTGTTATTTTTCTATTTTCTACATTGTCCTATCCTATTATCTACATTCTCTACATAGGTCATCTCTGCAAATATTTTTTCTTCTGCAAGTTTTGGGTTCATTTTGCTCTTCCTTTTCCTTAAGGTTTAAAGTTAGATAATTTATTTGAAATCTTCCCTTTTTTAATGAAGGTATTTGCAGCTATAAATTTTCCTTCTGAGCACCACTTTTACTGCATCCCATGAGTTTTGGTATGTTGTGCATTTATTTTCATTTGTCTTTAAGTGTTTTCTAATTTCTTTCGTAATTTATTCTTTGATTCATTGGATGTTCAAAAGAATGTTGTTTAATTTCCGGTGAGATGTGCGATCTATCCTGGAGAATGCCCCATGTGCACTTGAGAATACTGGGTGTTCTGCTGTTATTGGATTAGTGTTCTGTATCTATATGTTAAGTATAGTTAGTTTATTGTGTTGTTCGAGCCCTCTAGTTCCTTACTTAGCTTTTGTCCGATTGTTCTATCCATTATTGAAAGTGGGGGTATTGAAATGTCCACCTCATTGTAGAGTTGTCCATCACTCCCTTCGATTATGACAATGTTTGCTTCATATATTTTGAAGGTTGGATATTAGGCTTGTAAATTTTTATAATATTTATGTATTCTTCGTATATCAAACTTTTAATTAAAATATAAGATTCTTTTTTTTCTCTCATAGGCTTGTTAGATGTAAAGTCTGTTTTGTCTGATAGTATTATAGCCACTAGCTATCTTTTGGTTATTATTTGTATGGAATATCTTTTTCCATCTCTTCATTTTCAATCTATTTGTGTCTTTAGATCTAAAGTGAATCTCTTATAGACAGCATATAATTGGGTCATTTTAAAAATCCATTTTGCTTATCTTTGCCTTTTGAATAAACTACTTAATCCATTCACATTTAAAGCAATTACTGATGAGAAAGGACTTAGGTCTGCCATTTTGCTAGTTGTTTTCTGTATGTCTCATATAACATTGTTCCTCATTTTCTTCATTAGTGCTTTCTTGTGTGGTTTGTCAAATTTTTGTAGTGAAGTGTTTTGATTCCCCTCTCATTTTCTTTTGTGTATATTCTATAGATTTTTTTTGTTATGGCTACCATTGGGATTACAATTAACATGCTAAGGTAATAGTAATTTAATTTAAATGTATACCAACTTAACTTCAACAGCATATAAAAATTTTACTCCTAATCAGCTTCAAACACCTTTTTGAATTACTTGTATCACAAATTACATCTGTACACTGTATGCCCAATAACATAGGTTAATAATTGCTTTTATGCATGTCTTTTAAATCACGCAGAAAATAAAAAGTGGAGTTACAAACCAAAATTATAATAATTCTAGCTTTTATAGCTGTCCATGCATTTACCTTTATTGAAAACCTTTATTTTTTCATATGGCTTTGATTTACTATCTAGTATCCTTTCATGGCAACCTGAAGATCATCCTTCAGCATTTCTTGCAGGGTAGGTTTAATGGTAATATGCTCCCTTATCTTTTATTTATCTGAGAATGTCATAGTTTTTCCCTCATTTTTGAAAGACAATTTGTTGAGTATAGAACTCTCAATTGACAGGATTTTTTTCTTTCAGCATTTGTAATGTATCAACTCAGTGCCTTCTGGTTTCTAACATTTCTGGCGATAAATCTGCTGATAATCTTATTGAGGATTCCTTATTTGCAACAAGATGCTTTTCTCTTTCTGATTCCAAGGTTCTGTCTTGACTTTCAACAGTTTGATTATAATGTGTCTCAGTGTGGGTCTCTTTCAGTTCATTTTATTTGGATTTCATTGAGCCTCTTGGACATTTACAGTCATGTCTTTCATTAGATTTGGAAAGTGTTCAGCCATTATTTCTTCAAATATTCTTACTGTTTTATTCCCCTCTCCCTTCTTCTTCTGGGATTGACACAATAAATATGTTGGTCAGTTTCATGGTGTCCCACATGTTCCCTAGACTCTGTTTACTTTTCTTCTATCTTTTTTCTTCCTCTTCCCCAGACCTGAGTATTTCAATTGTCCTATTTCATATTTGATAATTCTTTGTCTGCCAGATTAAATCTTTTTTGAAGCATCTAGTTTCTTTTTCATTTCAGTTATTAAAGTTCTTAGCTCCAGAATTTCCTTTTAGTTCCTTTTTATATTTTCTCTTTATTGATAGTCTCGTTTGGTTCATACATTATTTTCCTGTATTTGTCCATGTCTTCCTTTAGCTCTTTAGGCATCTTTAAGACAGTTGTTTTAAGGTCTTTGTCTGGTAATCTCCCAGCTACTTTTCTTCAGGAGAGGTTTCTGCTCACTTATTTTGTTTCTTTAATTGAGTCATACATAGTTTCCTGTTTCTTCATATGCCCAGTGACTTTTTTTGTTAAAAATTGGACATTTGCATTGTTATAATGTGGTAAATCTGGAAACTAGATTCCCCCTTTATTGAGAGTTTGCTGTTTATTATTATTTATTGTAGAATTTTTCTTTGCCAGGGATCAGCCTGAGGTGAAAAAATAAAGTCTTCTGAGGTATTTTCTGAATCTGTGTCTTTCCCTGGGCATATGCAGCGGTTTTGTAAACCCCTCCTGTATATTAAGTTGCTTTGAATATTCTAGTCCTTAAATGTCTTTCTCCCAAAAAAGGTGAAAATTGGAAAAGTAGAAGACACAAACAACAAAACCAAAAAATAATCACCAAACAAAAGCAACGAAAAAGGAGCTGTCAATTTAAGTCTTTTGGAAGCTTCTTCAGCTCAAGAGGGATGAACCAATACATGTGGGGGATTAAACAATAGCAGCCTGCCTCTGTGTCTGCACCAATGTGATCAGAAGCAGCAACCATCTATTAGAGCACAGATTCCTGATATTTGCAGGATAAAGCCCATATTGCTGACTCTGTCTGTCTGCAAAACCCTTTCCAGAATAAGGACATGGCTGCCTATCATGAGGCTGAGATGGGGAATGGGTAGTTGATACTGCTGATACTGCATTAACGGCTGAAATTGATTGAAACTGATTACAATTTATCATCCAGCTTTTCCCTTGATGCTGAAATTGTTTGGATAGAATCCAGAGTTCCAAAATAGACACTTCATAAGTTTTGATCCTACAGTTCTTGTCTAGGTGGAGAGACAGATTTCTGATGCTTCTTAATCTGCATTCTTGCATCTTTCCTGATGTCATGTGTATTTCTTTGCTTTTAACGATGTTGAATAATATTCCATTGTACAGGTAAACCATATTTTGCCTATTCATTCTTTAATTGATGGAGATTTGGATTGTTTTCACTTCTTTGGCTATTATAAATTGTGCTGCCATAAAAATTGTTTACAAGTTTTTGTGTGGACATAAGTTTTCATTTCTCTTGATTATATATCTAGGAGTGGGAATGCAAGGTCATGTAATTACTGTATGTTTAACTCTTTCAGGAATGACAGACTGTTTTCCACAGGGGTTATACCATTCTGCATTTCCACCAGTAATTTATAAAGGTTCCAGTTTCTCCATATCCTCACCAACTGTTGTTAATTTTTATTTTTTATTATAGACATCATAAGAGATATGAAGTGGCATTTCATTGTGATTTTAATTTCTATTTTCCTAATGATTAATGATGTTGAGCAACTTTTAATGTGTTTATCAGACATTTGTATATCTTCTTTGGAGAAATGTCTACTTGTATCCTTATGCATTTTTAAATTGTATTACTTGTCGTATATTGTTGACTTTTAAGAGTTATTTAGATGTTCTATATACCAGACACTGAGAGAAACGATTTACAAATATTTTCTCCCATTCAGTGGGTTGTCTTATAACTTTCTTGATTATATTCTTTGAAGTGTCAACTTTTTAATTTTGATAAAGTTTATCTGTTTTTTCTTGTGGTGGTTAAGCTTTTGGTGCCATACCTTTAAAAACTATTGCCTAATTCAAAGACATGAAAATGTGTAACTATGTTTTTTTCTAGGATTTTTGTCATTGAAGTACTTACATTTAGGTCTTTGATCCATTTTGAGTTATTTTTAGTATATGGTGTGCGGTGGGGGCCCAAACTTATTATTTGTCATGTGAATCTACTTTTTCCAGACATTTATTAGAAAGACTATTCTTTCCTCATGGAATGTTCTTGTCATCCTTATCACAAATCAATGGACTACAGATTACTGCTCTATTTATTATTACTAGTCAAAATATTTTTGTATTTAACCTGATACAGTTTATACTATTAATTTTAATAATATAGCAGCAAATGGTGAGAGCAAGATGGGTGACTGGAAGCTCCTAACAATAAACAACAAAACAAAAATTTAAAAAAATATAAACAAAAGCAATGAATAAACAAGTACTTTTTGGATAAAATAACCAAAAAACAGCACAACAGAACAGCATAAAAGCAAAGAAATTCTATAGAGCACAGAAACCCAGTATGGCTGAATGGAGAATGGAAGAAAGTGCCTTGCCTCCACCACTCTATTCCTCCAGTTGGGATTATCTCAGAACCAGGAGAGACTGCATGGAAAAGGTAAGCAAGAGGACCCCAGGAGCCCCCATCACCAGAGCAGAACATGCAGTCTTTGTTACTGAAGACTCCTGCAGTCATCACAGGCTTGATCACATCTGAGGAAGCTCCCCAAGGTCTACATACTGAGCTAATCCCAGAGGAAAAGCCAATGCTATGCCTCAACTCCCACCCCATGGCCCATGCTGCTACTACTCTGCACTATCTTGGAGCTGGAGCCACTACTAGAGTGACTCCATGGAGCGAACAGCTATTGCTTCTCTTTATTCCTGAAGCTCAGCCACTTCTGCACCATGCCCACCCAGCCCACCCAGTAGTGTGCTGTCATTGAGCTGAGCTGCTGCTATGCCCTACCCACTAGAGCCAAGCTACTGGAAAGCTGTTCCATCCCCCTCATCCCAGTTGCTGGTAAACCTTCTCTTAGGGCTGAGCTGAAGTGGCTCCCTATGCCCCAGGACCCAAAATCTAGATGGACCATAGAAATCATGCCCTCTAAATGCCACAGCTGATGTAGCACCCTATGCCTCAGGTCCCTCAGGCTGCCTGCACACTGGAACAGTCATGCTCCCTTGGCACTACAGCTGAGATGTCACCCTGCCTCCAAGGGACCTCAGGCCTTCTGTGCACCAAAGCAGTGGTGCCCATAGCCTCAGAGCAGATGCAGCACCCCACCAGAGACCTCAGGCTCCCTGTACACCAGAGTAATTACTCCCTCTAGAACCACAACTGAGACAGTGCACTGCTCCCAGAGGACCTCACACCTCATGCACACTGAGCAGTCACATTCTTTGACCCTACAGCTGAAGGAGTCCCATGCTCTCCACCCAAGGACATCAGGCCTCCAGCACACTGGAGCAGTTGTACCTCTCAGCACGACAGCTGATACAATGCCCCACCCTTAGTGATCCGAAGGCTACATTGACCTATGTAGCCACTTTCTGAGGCTGAGCAGACAAAGCGGCTTAAATCCCATTAAATCAGAACCTTGGCTGAGTTGAGCCACCCTGCCCTCCAGGCCATACATCCAGAGCATTTCACCCGCCTGGAATTCAAGCAGCACCCCGTGGTCTGAGCCGCTGTTACCCTTTCTCTCCAAGAAGTAGAGTCATCACTGCACTGTTCCCCCTCCCACTGAGGCCCAAGCCACATTGGCATCTTGCCATTCCTGGATCCTTCTTGCTGCTGTACCTGGCCTCACAGATTCTAGCCTACTTTCATGTTCCACCATCCTAGAATTTAGAGTCACCCAGGAGCCTGAGCTACCACTGTGCCCTGTTGGTTCTAGGTTCCAAATTGCAGCTGTGTCCTGCTGGAGTACTCCTTCTTCTCGAGATCAATACCAGGGCCAGAAACACAACTATATCCAGTCCTCTGGGACTGAGCTGCTGGGATGTGCCTCAACAATAGACCACAAGTTAGTGAGAGAACCACAACTGGATATGCCTTAACGAATAAACCTGCATCTCAAATCCCAGGTGGTATAGTAGTTTTGCATGACTCTGAGCCCAGGGACCTGGCTCCCCAGCCATTCCAAGCACTTGAGTCCTGAATCTCTGTTCTGTTGTGGCTGCTTGTAAGCCATGCCAAACTCAACCCCAAGAGAGATTCCCACAGCTAAAACTCTGCACTGTGAGGAAGACAAGAACAGAAGGACCCTAGAGCCCTTACTTAATAACTTAAACAGCCACCATCAGAGCTCCAAACTCCTGAAGCCTAGACCACTGAGGCACCCACAGTCATTGCTGATGACTAAAACTGAAGAAGCTACATAGACACCACACCACTGCTCACATGAAACCAGAGCCAGCACAGCTTGCTCAACTGGCACCTTCAGGCCCATCTACAGTTAAAAGCCTTCTCCTATGAATGCCACTCTAAAATTTGAAAGATGTAACTGCATCATCAGAAACACAGACATCAACACAGGGACACAAAAAATATGAAAAAGCAAGGAAACGTAATATCACCAAAAGAATACAATAATTATTCAGTAAATGATCCCTAATAAACCAAAAATTATAAATTGCCTGAAAAAGAATTCAAATTAATAATCTTAAGAAAGCAAGATAAAAGAAAATACAAATAGACAATTCAATGAATTCAAGAAAATAACTCATAATCTGAATAATAAATTTAACAAAGAGAAAATATCATAAAAAAGAACCAAACAGAAATCTTGGAGCTAAAAATTCAATCAACTAAATAAAAAAAAACATTATTGAAACCTTCAACATAGACTAGGTCAAGAAGAAAGAATCGGTGAAATTTTAATATAGGTCTTTTTAAATGACTCAGAAGGAAAAAAGAAAGAAAAAAATATTAAAGACAGGCTATAGGACTTATGACACACTATTAAGTGAACAAATATTTGCATTATGGTATTTCCATAAGGAAAGAAGACAGAGAAAGGGACAAACAGCTCATTCAATAAAATAATTCCTGAAAACGTCCTAAGTCTTGGGAGAGATATGGACGTCCAGAATCAGGAAGCTCAAAACTCCCACAATAGATTCACCTCAATGAGGTTCTCTCCAAGTCACATTATAATCAAATTATCAAAATTCAAAGACATCACTAATCATTAGAGAAATACAAATCAAAATCACAGTGAGATACCATCTCACACCAGTCAGAATGGCTATTATTAAAAAGTAAAAACATAACAGATGCTGGTGAGGCTGTGAAGAAAAGGAAATGCTTATACACTGATGGTGGGAATGTAAATTAGTTCAGTCATTGTAGAAAGCAGTATGGCGATTTCTCAAAGAACTTAAAACACAGTTACCATTCAGCCCCACAATCCAATTATTGGGTATATACCCAAAGGAATAGAAATCATTCTACCATAAAGACACACACACATACTTTATTGCAGCACTATTCACAATAGCAAAGACATAAAATCAACCTAAATGCTTACCAGTGGCAGTCTGGATAAAGAAAATGTGGTACATACATACCATGGAATACTATGCAACCATCAAAAAGAGTGAGATTATGTCCTTTGCAATAACACAGATGGAGTTGGAGGCCATTATCCTAAGTGAACTAATGCAAGAACAGAAAACCAAATATTGCATGTGTTTACTTATAAGTAGGAGCTAAAATATTGAGTACACATGGGCACAAAGAAGGGAACAACACACACTGAGGCCTATCAGAGGCTGGACGGTGGGAGGAGGGAAAGGATTGAAAAACTGCCTATTGGGTACTATACTTACCATCACCATTACCTGGGTGATGAAATAATCTATACACCAAACACCCATGACATGCAATTTACCTATATGACAAACCAGTACATGTACCCCTGAACCTAAAATAAGATTTTTTTTTTAAACTCAAAGACAAGGCTAGGCATAGTAGCTTGTGCCTATAATTCCAGTACTTTGAGAGGCTGAGACTGGAAAATCGCTTGAGTCCAGGAGTTCAGGACTAGCCTTGGAAACATGGTGAAATCCCATCTTTACAAAAAATACAAAAAAAAAAAAAAGTTGGGCATGGCAGAACTCTTGTGTAGTCCCAGCTATTCAGAAGGCTGAGGTAGGAGGATCACTTGAGCCTAGGATGTTGAGGCTGCAGTGAGCCATGATTGTGCCACTGCACTACAGCCTGGGTGACACAGTAATACTATGTCAAAAAAAAAAAAAAAGAAAGAAAATCTTAAAAAGTAGCAAGAGAAAAGTATCAAATCACATATAAGGAAATGTCCATTAGACCATTGGGATATTCTTCACAGAAACCTTGTAGACAAGGAGAGAATGGGATGATATACATAATGTGATGAAAGATTAAAAGTGCATCGAAGGATACTTTTTCCAGCAAAGCTGTCCTTCAGAAATGAAGGAAAAATAAAGTCTTTCATAGACAAGCAGAAGCTGAGGTAATTTGTTACCACCAGACCTGCCTTGCAAAAAAATGTTTAAGAGAATTCTTCAAGTAGAAACAAAAGCTCAATAATTACTATCATAAATAAATATGAACATATAAGACTCACTGGTGGAGGTAAATATGTAGTCAAACCCAGAATACACAAATACTGTAATGGTGGTATGTAAATCATATATATCTCTAGTATGAATGTTAAAAGTCAAAATGGTCAAAATAAATAAGGCCATAATAAGTTGTTAAGGGATAAACAATAGAAAAAGATGAAAATTGTACATCAGTAATGTAAATTTGGGGAAGGATGGTAAAAGTCTAGAGTTTTTGTATGTGACAGAAGTTGTTATTAGATTAAAATAAATTATAAGATGTTTTATGTAAACCCCATGGTAACCATAAAACAAAAAATACAGCAGATATACAAATAATGAAGAGAAAGGGATCAAAGCTTAGAAATACAGAAAATGATTAAATCACAACAGCAGACAACAAGAAAGGAAGAAAAAAAGGAGGCATAAAACAGCCAGAAACCCAAAAACTGCAGTAATAAGTTCTTAACTATTGATGACGACTTTGAATGTAAATAGATTAGATTGTCCAAGCAAAAGACAGACTGGCTGAATGGGTTAAAAATAAATAGGATCTAAGGGCAGAGCAAGATGGCCAAATAGAAGCCTCCACTAATTGTCCCCTGCAGCAGGAAAACCAATCTTTACAACTAGCTACACACAAAAAAGCACCGCCATAAGTACCAAAAATCAGGTGACCAATTGCAGTACCTGGTTTTAAGTTTACATGACTGAAAGAGGCACTGAAGAGGGTAGAAGAGATAGTCTTGAATCACTAATGTCACCATCTGCCACCCCCCAGGAGCAGCCATGTGGTCCAGAGAGAATCTCTCCATGCGGGGGAAGGAGAGCACAGCAACAGAGGAACTTGGAATTGAACTCTGTGCTGCCCTGTAAAGTAGAGAGAAAGCAGTGCTGGGCTCAGCAGGTGCCCACTCATGGGGGTAGCATTTGAACCAGCCCATGACAGAGAGAAATCATCCATCCCAGCAGTTGGCATCGAGATGCTCTGGGATACTAGGTAAACGTGAAAGGCAGTCTAGGAGAAAAGAACTGCAATTCCAAAGCAAGTCCTATTGCTGGACTGGGCTTAGAGACAAAGGACTAAAGCAGCACATAACTTAGGGAGACACAGGCAGAGCAGCTAAGAAAGTGTTTTCACCACCTCTCTCTCAATCCCAGGCAGCGTAGCTCACAGCAACAAAAGTAACACCTTCCTTCTACTGAGGAGAGAAGTGGGAAAAGTAAGAGGACTTCTTGCTGCATCTTGGATACTAGCTCAGCCATAATAAGATAGGGCCCCAGGCAGAACTGTGACAGCCTAGCTCCTGAACAACATTTCTTGACACATCCTGGGCCAGAAGAGAACATAGTTCCTTTTAAGGGATGATGCCGGTCCTGATAGAATTTATCACCTGCTGATTAATGGGTCTCTGGGCCCTGAATAGATAACAGCAATACCCAGGTCACATGTCATGGGCCATGGGTGAGACTCTGAGATGTGTTGGCTTCAGGTGAGACCCAGAACATTCCCAGCTGTGGTGGCTACAGTGAGAGACTCCTTCTGCTTGAGAAAAGCAGAGGTAAAAGTAAAGGGGACTTTGGCACCTTCGGTATCAGCTCAGCCACAGTGAGGTAGAGCACCAAACAAGCTCTTGGGGTCCCCAGCTTCAGGCCTAGGCTTTTGGACAGCATTTCTGGACCTGTCCTGGGTCAGAGGGGAGCCCAATGCCCTGAAGGGTGAGTCTCAGGCCTGGCAGCATTCACCACAAACTGACTGAAGAGCCCTTGGGCTTTAAGTGGACATTGGAGGTGGTCAGGCAGAATTCCTCAGGAAGCAATGATGGTAGTGGCCACTGGGAGATACTTCTCAGCCTTTAGAAAAGGGAAAGAAAAACAATAAGGATGTTGACTTGTAATTTGAGCTTCAAGCTTAGCTTCAGTAGAATAGACCAGGAAGTAGATTTCTAAGGTTTTTGATTCCAATCCCTGGCTCTCAGACAAGATCTCTGGATCCACCAGAGGCCTGGCGGAACTTGGTGCTCTGAAGGGAGGAACACAAACATGGTTGGCTTCACCATCTGCTGATTGTACAGAGCGAGGGACTTGGGTGAACATAGGTGGTAGCCAGGTAGTGGTTACAGCAGGCCTTGTGTGAGACCAAGTGTTATACTGCTTAAGTTCTGACCCATTGCAGTCCCATTGGTGGTGGCCAAAGTGGTGCCTGCATCACCCCACCCACAGCTCCAGGTGAGTCAACATAGACAGAGTGGCTCAGTTTGTTTGGGAGAAAGTAAAGGAAGAGAACAAGAGTCTCTTCTTGGAAATCCAGAGAATTCTTTCAGATCTTATCCAAGACTACCAAAGTGGTACCTCTAAGAGACTGCAAGAAACACAGCGTCACTGGGCTTGGGGCACAAGTCACTTTGAATATCTAGAAAATCTTTTCAAGAAAGATGGGTACAAGCAAGTCTAGACTGTGAAGACTGCAATAAATATGTAACTCTTCAATGCCCAGACACCAGTGAACATCCCCAAGCTTCAAGACCATTCCAGAAAACATGACCTCACCAAATGAACTAAATAAGTCACCAGGGACCAATCCTGAAGGAACAGAGATATGGGATCTTTCCGAAAGAATTCATAATAGCTGCTTTGAGGAACTTCAAATAAACTGAAGATAACACAGAGAAATAATTTAAAATTCTGTCAGATAAATTTAATGAAGAGATTGAAATAATTTAAAAGACTCAAGTATAAATTCTAGAGTTAAAAACTGCAAGCCTCATACTGAAGAATGCATCAGAGTCACTTATTAGCAGACTAGATCAAGCAGAATAAAGAATGAGACTGAAGACAGGATATGTGATAATACACTGAGGAAACAATAAAAAGACTACAAGCAATAAAGCAACACCAATAAGATCTACAAAATAATCTCAAAAGGTCAAATCTAAGGGGTGCTGCCTTTAAAGAGTAGGTAGACAAAGGCATAGGGGTAGAAAGTTTATTCAAAGGGGTATATCAGAGAATTTCCCAAACCTAGAGAAATATATCAACATTCAAGTATAAGAAGGTTATAAAACACCAAGCAGATTTAACCCAAAGAAGATTACCTCAAGGCATTTAATAATCAATCCCAAATAACAAGGATAAATAAAGGATCCTAAAAGCAACACAAGAAAAAAAGAAAAAAAAGTAGATAACATACAATGGAGCTCCAATGCATCTGGCAGCAGATGTTCAGTAAAAGCTTTACAGGCCAGGCTAGAGTGGCATGACATGTTGAAAGTGCTAAAGGAAAAAAAAAATACTTTTACCTTAGAATAATATATTCAGTTAAAATATCCTCCATGCGTGAAGGAGAAATAAAGACTTTCCCAAACAAAAGCTGAGGAATTTCATCAACATGAGACCTATCTTACAATAAATGTTAAAGAGAGTCATTCAGTCTGGAAGTAAAGCATTTTAATGAGCAACAAGAAATCATCTTAAGATGCAAAAGTCACTGGTAATAGAAAGCACCCAGAAAAACACAGGCTAATATAACACTGTATTTGTGGTGAGTAAACTACACTTATAAGTAGAAAGACTAAATCAAAAATAATAACTACAACATTTCAATACATAGAAAGTACAAGAAGACATAAAGAGAAACAATAAAAAGATAAAAAAATGTAAGATGCAATGAAAGTGTGGAGTTTTTATTTGTTTTCCTTGTGTGTGTTTGTTTATGCAATCAGTGTTAAGTTGTCATCATTTACAATAATGGGTTATAAGACAGCATTAGAAAGCCTCATGGTAACTTCAAATAAAAAACATACAACAGATACACCAAAAACTAAGATGCAAGAAATTCAATCATATAACTAGAGAAAATCTCCTTCACTGTAAAAAAGATAGGAAAGAAGAAAGGGAAGAGAAGACCACAAAACAACCAGAAAACAAATAAGAAATGGGCAGGAGTAATTTCCTACTTATCAATAATAACACTGAATGTAAATAAACTAAACTCTAATTAAAATACATACAGTGGCTGAAAGGATTTAAAAAAAATACAAGACCCAATGATCCATTGCCTACAAGAAATACACCACCTATTAAGATACATATAGACTAAAAATAAGGATATGAAAAAAGATATTCCATGACAATGGAAACTTAAGCAGAGCAGAAGAAGCTATACTTATATCAGACAGAAAAAATTTCCATAAAAACCTATAAGAAACAAAGGTCATTATGTGATAAAGGAATCAATTCATCGACAGGATACAACAATTGTAAATATATATGCACCAAACTCTGGAATACCAGATATATAAAGCAAATATTATTAAACAGAGAGAGATAGATTTCAATACAATAATAGCTGGAGAGTTCAACATCGCATTTTCAGCATTGGACAGATCCTCTAGACAAAAAAAATCAACAAAGAAATATCTAACTTAATCTGCACTATAGAACAAATAGACCTAAAAGATATTTATAGAACATTTCATTGAAGGCCTGCACAACCCACATTCTTCTCCTTAGCACATAAATTATTCTCAAGGATAGACCATACATTAGGTCACAAAACAAGTCTTAAAACATTCAAAAAAGTGAAATATCAAGAATCTTCTCTGACCACAATGAAATAAAACTAGAAATCAATAACAAGAAGAATTTTGCAAATTATACAAATACATTGCAATTAAACAAGATTCTCATGAATGACCTTTGTGTCGATGAACAAATTAAGAAGAAAATTTAAAAATTTCTTGAAACAAATGATAAAGAAAACACAACATACCAAATACTATGGAACACAGTGAAAGCATTACTTAGAGGAAAATATAGCTATAAGTGCCTATATTAAAATGAAGCAAAACTTCAAATAAGTAACTTAATAATACATCTTAAAGAACTAGAAAAGCAACAGCAAACAAAACCCGAAATTAGTAGAAACACATAAATAATAAAGATCAGAGAAGAAAGAAATAAAATTGAAAAGAAAAATGATACAAAAATAAATAATATGAAAAGTTAGTTTTTTTAAAAGATAAATCAAATGGACAAACTGTTAGCCAGGCTAACTAAGAAAAAAAAGAGGAAATCAAAATAAATATAAGCAGAGATTTAAAAATTCAAAGAATTGATAGTGGCTACTATAAACAACTATATGCCAATAAATTGGAAAATCCAGAAGAAACGGATAAATTTCTAGACACATACAACCTACCAAGATTGAGCCATGAATAAATCCAAAACCAGAACAGAAAAATGACAAGTAATAAAATGGAAGCCACAGTAAAAAGTCTCCCAATAAAGCAAAACCCAGGACTTGATGGCTTCACTGCCAAATTCTACAAAACATAAAGAACTAATACAAATACTACCAAAACTAATCTGAAAAATAGAGGAGGAAGAAATACTTTCCAACTCCTTTTATGAGGGTAGTTTTATTCTGATACCAAAACCAGACAAAGACATATCAAAAAGAAGTCCAGGGGCAGTGGTGCGTGCCTGTAATCCCAGCGCTTTGGGAGGCCGAGGTGAGCAGATCACGTGAGGTTAGGAGTTCAAGACCAGCTTGGCCAACATGGTGAGACCCTGTCCCTACTAAAAATATAAAAATTAGCCATGCGTGGGGGCGGGTGCCTGTAATCCCATCTACTCGGGAGGCTGAGGCAGAAGAATTGCTTGAACCCAGGAGGTGGAAGGTGCAATGAGCTGAGATTATGACATTGCACTCCAGCCTGGGTGACAAGAGCAAAACTCTATATCAAACAAACAAACAAACAAACAAACAAACGAACAAAAACCTACGGGCCAATATCCCTAATGAATATTGATGCAAAAATGCTCAAGAAAATACTAGCAAAACAAATTCAATAATACATTAAAAAATCATTTAACATGACCAAGTCAGATTTATCCCAGGGATGCAAGGATTTGTCAATATACACAAATCAATCATTGTAATACATCATATCAACAAAAGGAAATGCAAAATCCATATGATCATCTCAATTTATTTTGAAAAAGCATTTGATAAAGTTCAACACTTCTTCATGTTAACCACTATTAAAAAACTGGGTATAAAAGAAACATACCTAAACATAATAAGAGCCATGTATGACAGACCCACAGCTAGTATTATACTGAATGGAGAAGAACTGAAAGTCTTTCCTCTAAAATCTGAAACATGACAAGGATGCCCACTTTCACCACTGTTATTAAACACAGTACTAGAAGCCCTCACTAAAGCAATCAGAAAGAAATAAAGGGCATCTAAATTGAAAAGAAAGACTTCTTATTATTCTTACTTGCAGATGATATAATCTTACATTTGGAAAAATCAAAAAGAGCTCAAACAACTCCTTAAGAATAAATTGAACAATCTGATTTAAAAATAGGCTAAACAGCCAGGCGTGGAGGCTCACGCCTGTAATCCCAGTACTATGGGAGGCTGAGGTGGGCGAATCACGAGGTCAGGAGTTCGAGACCAGACTGGCCAACATGGTAAAACTCCATCTCTACTAAAAATACAAAAAAATAGCTAGGCGTAGTGGTGGGCACCTGTAATCCCAGCTACTCGGGAGGCTGAGGCAGGAAAATGGCTTGAACCCGGGAGGCAAAGGTTGCAGTGAGCCAAGATCACGCCACTGCCGGGACCACAGAGCAAGACTCTGTCCCAAACAGAAATAAAATAAAATAAAATAAAATAAAAAATGGGCAAAACTGCATTTTAGGTGGTCTGCGGGGGCGCCATCAAAGTGAGGAGGAGGCAAGAACTGCTGCCACTGCTGCTTATTTTTTTATTTTTATTTTTTATTTTGAGATGGAGTCTCGCTCTGTCACCAGGCTGGAGTGCTGTGGCGTGATCTCAGCTCACTGCAACCTCTGACTCCCTGGTTCAAGCGATTCTCCTGCCTTAGCCTCCAGAGTAGCTGGGATTACAGGCACGCGTCACCACGCCCAGCTAATTTTTGTATTTTGGGTAGAGTCAGAGTTTCACCATGTTGGCCAGCATGGTCTCGATCTCCCGACCTTATGATCCGCCCGCCTTGGCCTCCCAAAGTGTTGGGATTACAGGCGTGAGCCACCGCGCCCAGCCTGCTTACTCTTTTTCAGTGCAGCCGGAGAGAGGCGGAGTGTGAGCCGCTCGAGAGTGGGAGGCGAAGGGGGAAGGCCAAGGAGAGGCACAGGAGCCTTTGCGGCCATGTGCGCGCCTTCCTTGTCTTGTGTGCTTCGCCAGGTAGAGCGGGCTCACAGCAGCGGTGGGGATTACTTTGCTGCTAGTTTTGGTTTGCAGCATGCCGCAGGTGTAGTCTCGGTGGTGACGGAGACGGTAGCACTATGTCGGAGGAGGAGTTCAGCTGGGACAGGGCGGCGGCAGCAGCAACCGCGGCGGTAGGCGGCTTGGTGGGCGAGCAGGAGGGAACTATGGTGGCGGCGGCACAGGAGGCAGCAGCAGTGGCGGGAAGCGGAGCCGCGATCGGGGGCTGAACCGAGTCTGGAGGCACCAAAAGGGGCAGCGCCGAGTCGGAGGGGGCGAAGATAGGTGCCAGTAAGAACTAGGAGGATGAAGGCCATTCAAACTCCTACCCATGACACTCTGAAGCAACGACGGCACGGCGGGAAGAAGGGAAGATGTTTATAGGACACTACAAGGAAAGATCTGAAGGACTACTTTTCCATTTTGATAAAGCTGTAGAGTGCACCCAATCACAGGGCGATCAAGGAGTTTTGGCTTTGTGCTTTTTAAAGAATCGGAGAGTGCAGATAAGGTCATGGATCAAAAAGAACATAAATTGAATGGGAAGGTGATTGATCCTAAAAGGGCCAAAGTCATGAAAACAAAAGAGCCATCTAAAAAAATTTTTGTTGGAGACCTTTCTCCAGATACACCTGAAGAGAAAATAAGGGAGTACTATGATGGTTTCAGTGAGGTGGAATCCATAGAGCTCCCCATGGACAACAAGACCAATAAGAGGCTTGGATTGAGCTTTATTATCTTTAAGGAAGAAGAACCAGTGAAGAAGATAATGAAAAGGAAATACTACAATGTTGGTCTTGGTAAATGTGAATTAAAAGTAGCCATGTCAAAGGAATAATATCAGCAACAGCAATAGTGGGGATCTAGAGGAGGATTTGCAGGAAGAGCTCGTGGAAGAGGTGGTGGCCCCAGTCAAAACTAGAACCAGCGATATAGTAACTATTGGAATCAAGGCTATGGCAACTATGGATATAACACCCAAGGTTATGGTGGTTATGGAGGATATGTCTACACTAGTTACAACAACTACTATGGATATTGTGATTATAGCAGCAGAATGGTTATGGGAAGGTATCCAGGGGAGATGATCATCAAAATAGCTAAAAAACATACTAAATTATTCCATTTGCAGCTTATCCCCAACAAGTGGTGAAGCAGTATTTTCCAATTTGAAAATTCACTTGAAGGTGGCTCCTGCCACCTGCTAATAGCAGTTCAAACTAAATTTTTGTATCAAGTCCCTGAATGGAAGTATGATTTTGGGTCCCTCTGAAGTTTAATTCTGAGTTCCCATTAAAAGAAATTTGTTTTCATTGTTTTATTTCTTAATTGCTATGTTTCAGAATCAATTTGTGTTTTATGCCCTTCCTCCCAGTATTGTAGAGCAAGTCTTGTGTTAAAAGCCTAGTGTGCTAGTGTGACAGTGTCATGATGTAGTAGTGTCTTACTGGTGTTTTAATAAATCCTTTTGTATTAAAAAATAGGCAAAACGTTTCTCGAAAGATAACATGCTATCTTGACAAAATGAGAAATAAGCATTTCTCAAAAGAAGAAATGCAAATGGCAAACAGGCATATGAAAAGATGCTCAATATTATTGATCATCAGAGAAATGCAAATCAAAACTCCAATGAGATATCTCACTCCAGTTAAAATGGCTTTTATCCAGAAGCCAGGCAATAACAAATTCTGATGAGGATTTGGAGAAAAGGGAATCTTTATACACTTTTTGTGGACATGTAAATTAATACAGTCACTATGGAGAACACTTTGAAGGTTTCTCGAAAAACTGTAACTAGACCCACCATACGTCCAGATATCCCACTGCTGGGTATATACCCGAAAGAAGATAAATCAACATATCAAAGGGATATCTGCACAACCAGGTTTGTTCCAGAGCTGTTCACAATGGCCAAGATTTGGAAGCAGACAAACTGTCCATCGACAGATGAAATGATTTTTTAAATGTGCTACATATACACAATGGAGTACTATTCAGCCACAAAAAAGAATGAGATTTTGTCATTTTTAATAACATGGATGGAAGTGGAGGCCATTATATTAAGTGAAATAAGCCAGGAACAGAAAGACACTTCTCATGCTCTCACTTATTTGTGGGAGCTAAAAATTAAAACAATTGAAATGGAGAGAGAGTATGGAACAATGGTTCCCAGGGGCTGGGAATCATAGTGGGTGTATTTGAGGCAGGTAGTGAGGCTTGGTAATGGATACAAAAAAATAGCTAGAAAGAATGAATAAGATCTATTATTTGTTAGCAGAACAGGATGGCTACAGTAAAAATAATTTAATTGTATATTTTAAAATAACTAAAAGAGTATAATTGGATTATTTGTAGCATAAAGGATAAATGCTTCAAGGCATGGATATCCCATTTATCCTAATGTGATTATCTTGCATTGCATGCCTGTATCAAAGTATCTTATGTATCCCCTAAATATACACACCTACTATATACCAACAAAAATTAAAAATATAAGAACTAACTATATGTTGCCTACAAGAGATGTATTTATGCTTTAAGGACACACATAGGCTGAATATGAAAGATAAAAGAAGATATTCCATGCAAATCATAACCAAAAGATTACAAAGGTGGCTATACTTATGACTAGTAAAATAGGCTTCAAGTCATAAACTATTGCAAGATATATGTATATAAATCTTCTTAATGAATTGACATCTTTATCATTAAATACTGACATTCTATATCAGTATATATATTTTTTTTTTAAAAAAAAGATAAAAATGGGGTAGGGGCCAAGATGGACAATTAGAAGCAGCTGTGTTCTTCAGCTCTCATTAAGAGGAATGGAAATAGAGAGTGAATTCAGCGCCTTCAGTTGAAATATTCATGTTCTCACACTGGGACTGATTAGGCAGACAATTGGACCCACGGAGAATGAAGGAAAGAAGGGTGGGGCAACAACCGACCCTGAGCAAAAGGAACCAAACTGGAGGAATCACATTATGTGACTTCAAATTATACTACAGAGCTATAGTAATCAAAACCACATGATACTGGCATAAGAACAGACACATAGACCAAAGGAACAGAATACACAACCCAGAAGTGACATGAAGCCAAAAGAACCCCCACCCCTTGCTAAGGGAAGCAGTGAGTGATTGCATGACCCCACCTAAGAAACCATGCTTCTCCCATGGATCTTTGCAACCCATGGATCAGGAGATCCCTCATAAGCCCACACCACCAGGGCCTTGGGTTTGACACACATAGCTGTTTGGAGTCTCAGCAGAGCTGTTGCTCAGGCTCACACAAAGATCCAGGAGTTTTACAGACTCTGGCCCCAGGAATCCTGGCAAGGTGGGAGATCCATCTGTACATTCCTCTAGAAAGAGGACTGAAACCAGAGAGCTAAGCAGCATCATTCTGTAGGTCCCACTTCCATGGCACCTCACAAGTTAAAACCCACTGCCTTGGAATTCCAGCCAACCAGTGCAACCAGCTGGAGACTGCCTGAGATGAATGAGTTCCTGTGGGGAGGGGCAGCCACCATTTCTGCAGTTAGGTTGACTCAGACATTCTAGCCTGCTGGCTCTGGGAGATCCAGGTGTTCCTGATGAGAAGGAGCACCCCACAACATAGCACAGCTGCTGTACCAGATTGTGGCCAGATTGCTTAAGTGGGACCCTGATCCATCCCTCCTCACTGGGTGGGGCCTCCCAATGGGAATTTCAGCAACTCCAGCCAGGGTTATACAGACAGATTTCTGATCTTTCCTTCAGGCAGAGCCCCCAGGGGAAGGGGTGGCCACAGTCTCTGCAGTTTAATCCACTCAGCCATTTTAGCCTGCTGGCTCTGGAAAGTCTAGGTGGCCTGGACAAGGAGGAGCCCCCACAACACAGCGTACCTGCTGTGTTAGGTTGTGGTCAGACTTATTCTTTAAGTGGGACCCCGATCCATCCCTCCTCATTGGGCAGGGGTTCCCAGTGGGAATTTCAGCAACTCCAGCCAGGGTTATATGGAAAGAACTCTGATCTCTCCCTTGGATGAAGACCAGAGGGAAGGGGTGGCCAATGTCTCTGTAGTTTAGTTAACTCAGCCATTCTAGCCTGCTGACTCTGGAGAGCCTAGGTACTCTGGATAAGGAAGGGTCCCCCCAATGCAGCACACTTTCTCAATCAAAAAGTAGCCAAGCTTCTTTTTAAAGCAGGTCCTTGATTCTTTTCCTCCTGACTGGATGAGAACTCTCAAACAGAGGTCTCCAGACACTTCCTACCGGAGTCTCCAGGCTAGCATCGGGTCAGTACCCACATGGGATGGAGCTTCCAGAGGAGGAAGAAGGCTGCCATCTGTGCTTTTACACAGCAAGCACTGGTGATACCTCCAGGTAAAGAAAAATCTGAGGCAACTAGGGTCTGGAGCAATCCCCCAGCAAACCACAGCAGCTTTACATAAGAGTGACCTGACTGTTAAAAGACAAACAAACAAACAAACAAACAAAAATCAACAACAATAACATAAAAAAAAACCCACAAGACCCCATTCACAGGTCAGCAACTTCAAAAATTGAAGGTAGATAATAAGATCATGAGGATAAGAAAGAATCAACACAAAAATACTGAAAACTCAAAAAGCCAGAGTGCCTCTTTTCCTCTAAATGATTGCAACACCTCTCCAGGAAGGACACAGAAGTTGGCTGAGGCTGAGATGGATGAACTGACAGAAGTAGGCTTCAGAAGGTGGGTAATAAAAAAATTCACTGAGCTAAAGGAGTATGTTCTAACCTCAAACCAAAAAGAGCTTGTATAGCCAAGACAATCCTAAGCAAAAAGAACAAAGCTGGAGGCATCACACTACCCGACTTCAAACTTTACTATAAGGCTACAGTAACCAAAATAGCATGGTACAGGTACAAAAACAGACACAAAGAACAATGGAACAGAACAGAAAACTCAGAAATAAGACTACACATCTACAACCATCTGGTCTTTGCCAAACCTGACAAAACAAGCAATGGGGAAAAGATTCCCTATTTAATAAATGGTACTGGAAGATCTGGCTAGCCATATGCAGAAAATTGAAACTGGATCCCTTCCTTACACCTTATACTAAAATTAATTCAACATACATTAAAGACTCAAAAACCCAAAACTCTAGAAACCATAGAAGAAAATCTAGGCAATACCATTCAGGACTTATGTATGGGCAAAGATTTCATGACAAAAACATCAAAAGCAATAGCAACAAAACCAAAAATAGACAAAATTGGATCTAATTAAACTAAAGAGTTTCTGCACAACAAAAGAAAATATCTTCAGAGTGAAGGACATACAGAATGGGAGAAAATTTTTGCAATCTATCAATCTGTCAAAGGTCTAATATCCAGAATCTACAAGGAACTTAAACAAATTTATAACAAACAAACAACCCCATTAAATAGTGGGCAAAGGACATGAACAGACACTTCTCAAAAGAAGATATTATACATTTATGAAAAAAAGTTCAACGTGACTGATCATTAGAGAAATGCAAATTGAAACCAGAATAAGAACCATCTCACACCAGCCAGAATGGCTATCATCAAAAAGTCAAGAAACAACAGATGCTGGTGGGTCGTTGGAAAAATGAGAACGTTTCTACACTCTTTGTGGGACTGTAAATTAGTTCAACTATTGTGGAAGACAGTGTGGCATTTCTTCAAAGACCTAGAACCAGAAATACCATTTGACCCATTAATCCCATTACTAGGTATATACTCAAAGGAATATAAATTATTCTATTATAAATATACATGTATGACTATGTTTATTGCAGCACTATTCACAATAGCAAGACATGGAATCAACCCAAATGCTCATCAATGGTAGAGTAGATGCAGGAAATGTGGTACATATACATCATGGAATACTATGCAGCCATAAAAAGGAACGCGATCATGTCCTTTGCAGGGACATGGATGAGACTGGAAGCCATTATCCTAAACAAACTAATGCAGGAAATGAAAACCAAATCCCACATGTTCTCGCTTATAAGTAGGAGCTGAACAATTAGAACATATGGACACATGGGAAGGAACAACCCACACTGGGATCTGCTAGGGGGATTGGGTGGAGGGAGAACATCAGGAAGAATAGCTAATGGATGTTGGGCTTAATACCCAGGTGATGAGTTTATCTGTGCAGCAAACCACCATGGCACACGTTTGCCTATATAACAAACCTGAACATCCTGCACATGTACCATGAAGCTTAAAATAAAGGTTGAAGGAATAAAAAGGAAAATCTATCCAAAATAAATAAATTAATTAACAAAATTGATAAACAGATAGTATAATAAAAATAGTTGGAAGATTCAAAATTTAAAATGAAAATAGAAATTATAACAAATGCCTCAGAAACAAAAAGGATCATAAGGTAGTCGTAAGAATAATTTTATACCAATAAGTTGAGTAACCTAGAGGAAATGTATAAATTCCTAGAAGAATACAACCTACCAATATTGACTCAGAAATATAAAGCTTGATTCGATCAATAACAAATAAAGTTATTAAGGAAGTAACAAAAAATCTCCCAACAAAGAAAAGCCTAGGATCAGATGGCTTCAGAGCTGAATTCTATCAAACATTCAAAGAAGAATTAATACCAACACTTCTTTAACTCTTCCAAAAAATAAAGCTAGAGTGAATACTTACAAACACATTTTATGAGGCCAGCATCACCTTGATACCTATGGCAGAAAAAGACATCACAAGAAAAAAACCTACAACCTGATAAATATTGATGCAAAAATTCTCAATTAGATATTAGTAATCCAGATACAACAATATGTCAAAAAGATTGTACATCATGACCAAGTGGGATTTACCTGTGGCATGTGGGTCTGTTCAACATATGCAAATCAATCAATGTGATACACCACATTAAAAGAGTGAAAGATAAAAACCATATCATCATCCCAATCGAGGCACAAAAGCAGTTGACAAATTCCTAAATACTTTCTTGTTAAAATCTCTTAACAGTTTAGGTATAGAAGGAACTTCCTCAACATAATAAAAGCCATTTATGAAAAACTCACAGCTAACATTATAATCAATGGGGAAAAACTAAAACCTTTTCCAGTAAGATTGAGTACAAGGCAAGGAAGCCCACTATCACAGTTCTATTCAATGTAATACTGGAAGTACTAGCAAGAACCGTCAGACAAGAAAAAGAAATAAATGGCCTCTAAATCCAAAAGGAAGTAAAATAATCTCTATTGCAGATGAGATGATCCTACGTGTAAAATCTCCAAAGATTTTACAAAAAAAATTGTTAAAACGAATAAATTTAGTAAAGTTGCAGAATATAAAATCAACATAAAAAATTTAGTAGAATGTTTATACTTAAATAATCTTAAAAAAGAAAACAATCTTATTACACATAGGATTTTGAAAACACCTAGGAATAAATTTAACCAAGGAAGTGAAATATCTGTATACTAAAAACTGTAAAACACAGATGAAAGAAATTGAAGAAGACATAAACAAATGGAAAGATATGGAAGACATAAACAAATGCTCATGGGTTGGAAGAATAAATTTTCATACTACCCAAAGCAATGTACAGATTCAATGGAATTTGTATCAAAATCCCAGTGGCATTCTTCAAGAAATTTTTTAAAAGCCTAAAATTTGTGTGAAACCATAAAAGACCCAAATAGCCAAAAGAATTCTGTGAAAGAAGAATAAAGTTGGAGACATCAAACTTCCTGATTTAAAATTGTATTACAAAGCTATAGTAACCAAAACAGTATGGTACTGGCATTAAAACCAGGTACATAGTGGAACATAATACAGAAGACATAAATACAAAAATTTATGGTAACTTAATTTTTGACAAGGGCATCAAGAGTACACAATGAAGAAAAAATACTCTCTTCAATAAACGGTGCTTGGAAAACTGGATTTCCACATGCAAAATAATAAAAATTTTACCTCTGTCTTACATCATACACAAACTCAACTCAAACAGGATAAAAGACTCATATAGGACAAGAACCTATAAAACTCCTAGAAGGGAAAATAGAGGAAAATCTCCTGGACTTTGGCTTTGACAATATTTTTTTAAAATATCACTGCAAAAGTTCAGACCACAAAAGCAAAAATAAGTGGGACTAAATCACACACAAAAAACCTTCTTCACATCAAGGAAACAATTAACAAAATGAAATGGCAGCCTATAGATGGAAACAAAATTATTTGCAAGCCATATATTTGATAAGGAGTTAACAACAAAAAATTATAAAGAACTTATACAACTCAGTAGTGGGAAAACAAATAACCCAATTTAAAAATGGCCAAAGACATGATTGATATTTCTCTAAAGAAAATACAAAATTGGCTAACAGGTGTATGAAAAGGTGCTCAATATAATTATTCATCAGGGAAATGGAAATCAAAATCACTGTGAGATAACACCTCACACCCATTAGGATGACTATTATCAGGAAGTCAAAAGATAAATGTTAACGAGGAGTTGGAGAAAAGAGAACTCTTATACACTGTTGGTAGGAATGTAGACTGATACAGCCATTACGGAAAACAATATGAAGGTTTCCAAAGAAATCTTAAAAATAGTTGTAGCATGTGACCCACCAATCCCTCTTCTAGGCACATATACCCAAAGGAAGTGAAATAACCACCTCATAAAGTTATCTGCACCTCCTTGTTCATTGTAGTATTATTCATGGTAGTCAAGGTAAGGAAGCAAATAAGTGTTAATTGATGGAA
Organism: Homo sapiens; assembly: GCF_000001405.40. NCBI lineage: Eukaryota > Metazoa > Chordata > Mammalia > Primates > Hominidae > Homo > Homo sapiens. The sequence goes on from NC_000023.11 coordinate 64,052,913, forward strand.
AAATGAATAAAGAAACAGTGTCTGGTACATATACACAATGGAATATTGTTCATCCATTAAAAAAAGAACAAGATTTTCCATTTGCCAGAACATGGATGAGTCTGAAGGATGTTATGCTAAGTGAAGTAAGCCAAATACAGAAAGAAAAAAATACTGCATGATCTCATTTATATGTGGAATATTTAAAAATTCGAATATAGAAATAGAGAGCAAAAAAATATGTTACATGATACAAAGTAGAAAATATGTAGGATGAACAAATCCAGAGATCTAATGTACAACTTGAGGATTATAAGAAATAAAATTGTACCATATATGGGATTCATGATAAATGAGTAGATTTTAGTTGCTCTAGCCACAATAACAAAAAAATGGGTAACTATGTGAGATGGTAGATATATTAGTCTGCTTCACTATAGTAACTTTTTTGCCATCTATATTATTTATTCCAAACATCATGTTGTACACTTTAAATATGTACAATAAAATTTATTTAAACAATAAAATGAAAACAAATAAAATTATAGCAGCAGCAGCAGCAAAAAGAGTGGCAATAGTAGTAGCAGCAGCAGTACCCATATATTGGGTATGATCATTTAGCCAATCTCTATTTGTCCGTTTTGACCAAGAGACATTCAAAAAAGATGTGGTAATTTGCCTACCATAGGCCAGATAATCACATATTTCATTTCCCCCAATTTATTAGGCTAGTTACAATAAAGACAATGCAGCTGATTCATCTGACAAGTAATTTGTTTTCAAGGTAAGCCTATGATAGCTGTACTGATTACTGCTTCCTTTTCTACATTCCCACACATTATTCTTCCCATGATCTGTTCCAGAATCTTGCCTAAAAACAAAGTTAAGCTGTTTGGTCTCTGGTTTTCAATATCTGTTACCTTCCTTTTTTTTTTTTTTTTTGGAGAAATGAGGCATTTTTCTATCTCCTGCTCTTTGGAATTATTCCTACTTTCCAGGATTATTGGCTAATGGTTAAACTTGGAATGAAACCCAGCATGGCAACAAAGATTTTGGAAACTTCAATGAGGTGCTCTGAGACATACCTAGGTTGGTTTGCCTGGGGATGGAAGAAATCTTGTTTAGGATGCCTCTTTTTATCTCAGTTACCTGGAGTAGAGTGTCTGAGCTGTGACAAATTTAGGGATCCCAGGGAGTGGTATAGCTACTCAGAAAAGCTGAGCCACCTGATTCTCTAGGGCAGTCTAAAGACTTACAGAAGAGATAACTCACTGGGTAACCTTGGGCAAATCTCATTTGCCTCTTTGGATTTTTATTTCCCACCTGCAAGATGAGAGAATGGGCCAAGAAGATGGTGAAGATCCCTTTCAGTTCTGAGACTGGCTGTCTCATTGTGAAGGCTGTAGGACTCCAGTAGGGCTCGAGGGTGGAGAGATACTTATGAAAGAGGTAAAAGGGACTGGGCACAGTGGCTCACTCCCATAATCCCAGCACTTTGGGAGGCCGAGGCAGGAGGATCACTTGAGGTCAGGAGTTCAAGATCAGCCTGGCCAACATGATAAAACCCCATCTCTACTAAAAATACAAAAATCAGCTGGGCATGGTGTCATGTGCCTGTAGTCCCAGTTACTTGAGGGGTTGAGGAAGGTGGATCACCTGAGCCCGGGAGGCAGAAGTTGCAGTGAGCCGAGATCCCACCAATGCACTAAAGTCTGGGTGATACAGCAAGACTCTGTCTCACAAATTTTTAAAAAAGGTAAAAGGTAAAAGGTACTGATCCTTTCATTTCCCCGGGGCATGGGAAACTTGCCTATTTCCACTCCCTCCCCACAACACCAATGTATTCTTGACCCAAAAATAGATATAAAATAAACACACAAAAATAAGGCCTAAGCGTCCAAAGGAATGCAGGCTGGCAGGAGTCTGCAAGGCTATAATCTCTGGGCTGTTTCCATTGCTTGGCTCCCAGGAGCCTAGAACAGCAAGTCTCTCAGGAGAGGAGAGAGACAAGGCTGTCTAAGTCAGTACCAATTTCTCCTTCCCTTAGAGGAGAGGGCATGACAGCCCCACTGGCAGATTGGAGGTTGGGGGCAGAGGTGTGGCAGAGAGCATAAATCCTCTGTGGGATTTTAAATCCAGGAAAAACAATTAAAAAGCAACAGCCATTGGCTCCAGAATAGTCAAGCACTAACAAGAAAAGGGCCCTGGGTCAGTCTGATGACCCAGGATAACAGCACTTCTGCATAGGGTGAAACAGAAACCCCAAGTCAGAATTCTGTCCTGTGGAGAGGACTTAAGCTTTCTCAGAAGCTGGGAGGAAAGGCACTGAGACATCTCGAGAGTTGACAGAGCACAGGAGAAAAGGAGAGTTTATGGAGGTGAGGGGAGAAAGTGCTTGGAAACACACCAGGACGACAAGTCAACACAGTAGGGAGAGGAAGGAAGTTTATGTGGGCTATCTTCATTCATATGATGATATACTAGGCTGTTTTTGTGAGTGCTGTTTCCCTTACTACTCACAATACTCCTAGAAGTCATTATTAGCCCATGCTACTGATACAGAAACTGGGGCACAAAGCTGTGAAGTGATTTGGCCAAGGTTACACAAATACTAACAAAGCTAGGATTTAAAGCCAGGTCTTCCTGCCTTCAAAGGTCTCCTTCTACTATGTAAGCTGCCTTATATTTTTTAGGACCCCTTAAGTTCTTAAAACCACAGTCACTTGATTATATTCTCACCATCCCAGCTCATTCACTCATTTTTAAATTCATCTGTCTATTCAGCAAGCACTTTTGCACCCCATATTACACAGTGTGAATTCTCTAGGTGCTGGGGACATAAAGAAGAGTTGTGTCTAGACCATGAGGATCTTCCAGCTCAGTGGAGGATTCTAAAGGCAAGCAACTAACTCCATTATAATGTAGTTGGTGCTATAATGGAGAAAGTGCTGGTATAGGCTTTCCCAATAAGTTAATGGGTGAACACAGCTTTCAATTACAATATCATAAATAATAATTTCACTGCCCTAAATATACCTTGTGATCCACCTATTCATCCCTCCCTCACTTCCCTGGAAGAACCTCTAGAAACCACTGATCTTTTTACTCTATCTGTAGTTTTGCCTTTTCCAAGATGTCATACAGCTGGAATTTTACAGTATACCATATTTTCAGATTAGCTTCTTTCATTCAGTAGCGTGTAGGTAAGGTTCCTCCATGTCTTTGTGGCTTGATAGCTGATATCATTTTATTGCTGAATAATATTTCATTGTATAGATGTAGCAAAGTTTGTTGATCTCTTCACCTCTTGAAGGATATCTTGTTTGCTTATGCATAAAATTGTTACACACATTCATATCCAGGTATTTGTGTACATATACATTCGTGACTCTTTGGGGTAAATACCAAGAAGTGCAATTACTGGATTGTATGGTAAGATTATGTTTGGTTTCATAAGAAACTGCCAAACTGTCTTCAAAGCGGCTGTAACATTTTTTATTTTCACCAGCAATGAATGAGTTCCTGTTGCTACACATTCTCATCAGCATTTTGTGTTATCAGGGTTTGAGATTTTAAGCCATTCTAACAGGCGTATAGTGATATTTCACTGTTGTTGCAATTTGCAATTCCCTGATGATATATAATGTTGAGCATCTTTTCATATGCTATCTATATTTTATTTGGTAAGATATATGTTCAGATCTATTTATCATTCTTTAAATTGAGTTTTTGTTTTTCTTATTGAGTTTTGAGTGTTCTTTGTATATTTTGGATACCAGTAATATCAGATGTGTTTTGCAAAGATTTTCCTCTGGTGTGTGGCTTGCCTTTATATTCTCTTAACAATGTCTTTAACAGCATAAATATTTAATTTTAATAAAATCCAACTTACCCATTTTTCGTGTCATGGATCATGCTTTTAGTATTTATCTAAAAATTTTTGCCAAACCCAAGATTACCTAGATTTCCTCTTATGCTATCTTCCAGGAGCTTTATAAGATACCACACTATCTTGATTATTGCTGCTTTATAGTAAGTCTTCAGGTCATGTAGTTTCACTCCTCCAACTTCGTTCTTCTCCTTCTGTACTGTGTTGGCTATTCTGGGTCTTTTGCCTTTTCACATAAACATTAAAGCAGTTTATCAATATCCACGAAAAACTTGAAGGCATTTTAATTGGGATTGTATTGGTTCTCTAGATCAAATAGGGAAGAACTGGCATCTTGATAATATTGAGTATCCCAATCCATGCGCTTGAAATATTTATTCACTTATTTAAATTTTTGATTTTTTTAATCAGAATTGAATAGTTTTCCTCACTTTTTGTGCATATTCGTTAGATTTATATCTATATATTTTTTGGTGCTCATGTAAATGGTGTTGTGTTTTTGTTTGTTTTGTTATTTTTGTATTGCTAAATTCTTTTTAATATATTCATTTACTCAAATATTTATTTCCTTTTTTCTCATTTTAAATATTGACTTTATGACATCATTTAATTCTTTATTACATAAGTTTATTTACCCTAAATAGATATTGAATTTATTACATAATTTTAGAGCCCCACAATTGTATATGTTTCAGGCTCCACAGAGCATATATCCACTCTTTATTTATTTTTAATTATACTTTAAGTTTTAGGGTACATGTGCACAACATGCAGGTTAGTTACATATGTATACATGTGCCATGTTGGTGTGCTGCACCCATTCACTAGTCATTTAACATTAGGTATATCTCCTAATGCTCTCTCTCCCCTCTCCCCCCACCCCAAAACGGGCCCTGGTGTATGATGTTCCCCTTCCAGGGTCCATGTGTTCCCATTGTTCAATTCCCACCTATGAGTGAGAACATACGGAGTTTGTTTTTTTTATCCTTGTGATAGTTTGCTGAGAATGATGGTTTCCAGCTTCATCCATGTCCCTAAAAAGGATATGAACTCATCCTTTTTTATGGCTGCATAGTATTCCATGGTGTATGTGTGCCACATTTTCTTAATCCAGTCTATCATTGTTGGACATTTGGCTTGGTTTCAAGTCTTTGCTATTGTGAATAGTGCCACAATAAACATATGTCTGCATGTGTCTTTATAGCAGCATGATTTATAATCCTTTGGGTATATAACCAGTAATGGGAATGCTGGGTCAAATGGGATTTCTAGTTCTAGATCCCTGAGGAATTGTCACACAGACTTCCACAACGGTTGAACTAGTTTACAGTCCCACCAACAGTGTAAAAGTGTTCCTATTTCTCCACATCCTCTCCAGCACCTGTTGTTTCCTGACTTTTTAATGATCGCCATTCTAACTGGTGTGAGATGGTATCTCACTGTGGTTTTGATTTCCATTTCCCTGATGGCCAGTGATGATGAGCATTTTTTCATGTGTCTTTTGGCTGCATAAATGTCTTCTTTTGAGAAGTGTCTGTTCATATCCTTCACCCACTTGTTGATGGGGTTGTTTGTTTTTTTCTTGTAAATTTGTTTGAGTTCATTGTAGATTCTGGATATTAGACCTTTGTCAGATGAGTAGATTGCAAAAATTTTTTCCCATTCTGTAGGTTGCCTGTTCACTCTGATGGTAGTTTCTTTTGCTGTGCAGAAGCTCTTTAGTTTAATTAGATCCCATTTGTCAATTTTGGCTTTTGTTGCCATTGCTTTTAGTGTTTTAGACATGAAGTCCTTGCCCATGCCTATGTCCTGAATGGTATTGCCTAGGTTTTCTTCTAGGGTTTTTATGGTTTTAGGTCTAACACTTAAGTCTTTAATACATCTTGAATTAATTTTTGTATAAGGTGTAAGGAAGGGATCCAGTTTCAGCTTTCTACATATGGCTAGCCAGTTTTCCCAGCACCATTTATTAAATAGGAGATCCTTTCCCCATTTCTTGTTTTTGTCAGGTTTGTCAAAGATCAGATGGTTGTAGATATGTGGCATTATTTCTGAGGGCTCTGTTCTGTTCCATTGGTCTATATCTGTTTTGGTACCAGTACCATGCTGTTTTGGTTAGGGTGGCCTTGTAGTATAGTTTGAAGTCAGGTAGCGTGATAGCTCCAGCTTTGTTCTTTTGGCTTAGGATTGACTTGGTGTTGCGGGCTCTATTTTTGGTTCCATATGAACCTTAAAGTAGTTTTTTCCAATTCTGTGAAGAAAGTCATTGGTAGCTTGATGGGGATGGCATTGAATGTATAAATTACCTTGGGCAGTATGGCCATTTTCACTATATTGATTCTTCCTACCCATGAGCATGGAATGTTCTTCCATTTCTTTGTATCCTCTTTTATTTCATTGAGCAGTGATTTGTAGCTCTCCTTGAAGAGGTCCTTCACGTCCCTTGTAAGTTGGATTCCTAGGTATTTTATTCTCTTTGAAGCAATTGTGAATGGGAGTTCACTCATGATTTGGCTCTCTGTTTGTCTGTTATTGGTGTATAAGAATGCTTGTGATTTTTGAACATTGATTTTGTATCGTGAGACTTTGCTGAAGTTGCCTATCAGCTTAAGGAGATTTTGTACTGATACGATGGGGTTTTCTAGATATACAATCATGTCATCTGCAAACAGGGACAATTTGACTTCCACTTTCCCTAATTGAATACCCTTTATTTCCTTCTCCTGCCTGATTGCCCTGGCCAGAACTTCCAACACTATGTTGAATAAGAGTGGTGAGAGAGGGCATTCCTGTCTTGTGCCAGATTTCAAGGGGAATGCTTCCAGTTTTTGCCCATTCAGTATGATATTGGCTGTGGGTTTGTCATAGATAGCTCTTATTATTTTGAGATATATCCCATCAATACCTAATTTATTGAGAGTTATTAGCATGAAGCATTGTGGAATTTTGTCAAAGGCCTTTTCTGCATCTATTGAGATAATCATATGGTTTTTGTTGTTGGTTCTGTATATGCTGGATTATGTTTATTGATTTTCGTATGTTGAACCAGCCTTGCATCCCAGGGATGAAGCCCACTTGATCATGGTGGATAAGCTTTTTGATGTGCTGCTGGATTCCGTTTGCCAGTATTTTATTGAGGATTTTTGCATCGATGTTCATCAGGGATATTGGTCTAAAATTATCTTTTTTTGTTGTCTCTCTGCCAGGCTTTGGTATCAGGATGATGCTGGCCTCATAAAATGAGTTAGGGAGGATTCCCTCTGTTTCTGTGTTTGGAATAGTTTCAGAAGGAATGGTACCAGCTCCTCCTTGTACCTCTGGTAGAATTCGGCTGTGAATCCATCTGGTCCTGGACTTTTGTTGGTTGGTAAGCTATCAATTATTGTCTTAATTTCAGAGCCTGTTTTTGGCCTATTCAGAGATTCAACTTCTTCCTGGTTTAGTCTGGGGAGGGTGTATGTTTGGAGGAATTTATCAATTTCTTCTAGATTTTCTAGTTTATTTGCTTAGAGGTGTTTATAGTATTCTCTGATGGTAGTTTGTATTTCTGTGGGATCGGTGGTGATATCCCATTTATCATTTTTTATTGCATCTATTTGATTCCTCTCTCTTTTCTTCTTCTTGCTAGCAGTCTATCAATTTTGTTGATCTTTTCTCAAAACCAGCTCCTGGTTTCATTGATTTTTTGAAGGGTCTTTTGTGTCGCTATTTCCTTCAGTTCTGCTCTGATCTTAGTTATTTCTTGCCTTCTGCTAGCTTTTGAGTGTGTTTGCTCTTGCTTCTCTAGTTCTTTTAATTGTGATGTTAGGGTGTCAGTTTTGGATCCTTCCTGTTTTCTCTTGTGGGCATTTAGTGCTAAAAATTTCCCTCTACACACTGCTTTGAATGTGTTCCAGAGATTCTGATATGTTGTGTCTTTGTTCCTGTTGGTTTCAAAGAACGTCTTTATTTTTGCCTTCATTTCGTTATGTACCCAGTAGTCATTCAGGAGCATGTTGTTCAGTTTCCATATAGTTGAGTGGTTTTGAGTGAGTTTCTTAATCCTGAGTTCTAGTTTGATTGCACTGTGGTCTTAGAGATAGTTTGTTATAATTTCTGTTGTTTTACATTTGCTGAGGAGAGCTTTACTTCCAACTATGTGGTCAATTTTGGAATAGGTGCGGTGTGGTGCTGAGAATGTATATTCGGTTGATTTGGGGTGGAGATTTCTGTAGATGTCTATTAGGTCTGCTTGGTGCAGAGCTGAGTTCAGTTCCTGGATATCCTTGTTAACTTTCTGTCTTGTTGGTCTGTCTAATGTTGACAGTGGGATGTCAAATTCTCCCATTATTATTGTGTGGGAGTCTAAGTCTCTCTGTAGGTCTCTAAGGACTTGCTGTATGAATCTGGGTGCTCCTGTATTAGGTGCATATACATTTAGGAGAGTTAGCTCTTCTTGTTGAATTGATCCCTTTACCATTATGTAATGGCCTTCATTGTCTCTTTTGATCTTTGTTGGTTTAAAGTCTGTTTTATCAGAGAGTAGGATTGCAACCACTGCTTTTTTTTGTTTTCCATTTGCTTGGTAGATCTTCCTCCATCCCTTTATTTTGAGCCTATGTGTGTCTCTGCACATGAGATAGGTTTCCTGAATACAGCACACTGATGGCTCTTGACTCTTTATCCAATTTGCCAGCCTGTGTCTTTTAATTGGAGCATTTAGCCCATTTACATTTAAGTTAATACTGTTATGTGTGAATTTGATCCTGTCATTATTATGTTAGCTGGTTATTTTTTTCGTTAGTTGATGCAGTTTCTTCCTAGCCTTGATGGTCTTTACAATTTGGCATGTTTTTGCAGTGGCTGGTACCAGTTGTTCCTGTCCATGTTTAGTGCTTCCTTCAGGAGCTCTTTTAGGGCAGGCCTGGTGGTGACAAAATATCTCAGCATTTGCTTGTCTGTTAAGGACTTTATTTCTCCTTCACTTATGAAGCTTAGTTTGGCTGGATATGCAATTCTTGGTTGAAAATTCTTTTCTTTAAGAATGTTGAATATTGGCCCCCACTCTCTTCTGGCTTGTAGAGTTTCTGCCAAGGGATCAGCTGTTAGTCTGATGGGCTTCCCTTTGTTGGTAACCCGACCTTTCTCTCTGGCTGCCCTTAACATTTTTTCCTTCATTTCAACTTTGGTAAATCTGACAATTATGTGCCTTGGAGTTGCTCTTCTCGAGGAATATTTTTCTGGCGTTCTCTGTATTTCCTGAATTTGAATATTGGCCTACTTTGCTAGATTGGGGAAGTTCTCCTGGATTATATCTTGCAGAGTGTTTTCCAACTTGGTGCCATTCTCCCCATCACTTTCAGGTACAGCAATCAGATGTAGATTTGGTCTTTTCACATAGTCCCAGAGTTCTTGGAGGCTTTCTTCATTTCTTCTTATTCTTTTTTCTCTAAATTTCTCTTCTCGCTTTATTTCATTCATTTCATCTTCCATCACTGATACCCTTTCTTCCAGTTGATTGAATCGGCTACTGAGGCTTGTGCATTTGTCACATAGTTCTCGTGCCTTGGTTTTCTGCTCCATCAGGTCCTTTAAGGACTTCTCTGCATTGATTATTCTAGTTAGCCATTGGTCTAATTTTTTTGAAGGTTTTTAACTTCTTTGCCATGGGTTCGAACTTCCTCCTTTAGCTCGTAGTAGTTTGATCATCTGAAGCCTTCTTCTTTCGACTCGTCAAAGTCATTCTCCATCCAGCTTTGTTCCATTGCTGGTGAGGAGCTGCGTTCCTTTGGAGGAGAGGCACTCTGATTTTTAGAGTTTCCATTTCTTCTGCTCTGTTTTTTCCCCATCTTTGTGGTTTTATCTCCCTTTGGTCTTTGATGATGGTGACGTACAGGTGGGGTTTTGGTGTGGATGTCTTTACCGTTTGTTAGTTTTCCTTCTAACAGACAGGACCCTCAACTGCAGGTCTGTTGGAGTTTGCTGGAGGTCCACTCCAGACGCTGTTTGCCTGGGTATCAGCAACGGAGGCTGCAGAACAGCGGATATTGATGAGCAGCAAATGTTGCTGCCTGATCTTTCCTCTGTAAGTTTTGTCTCAGAGGAGTACCTGGCCATGTGAGGTGTCAGTCTGCCCCTACTGGGGGGTGCCTCCCAGTTAGGCTACTCTGGGGTCAGGGACCCACTTGAGGAGGCAGTCTGTCAGTTCTCAGATCTCCAGCTGTGTGCTGTGAGAACCACTAGTCTCTTCAAAGCTGTCAGACAGGGACATTTAAGTCTGCAGAGGATTCTGCTGCCTTTTGTTTGGCAATGCCCTGCCCCCAGAAGTGGATTCTACAGAGGCAGGCAGGCCTCCTTGAGCTGTGGTGGGCTCCACCCAGTTCGAGCTTCCTGGCTGCTTTGTTTACCTACTCAAGCCTTGGCAATGGTGGGCGCCCCTCCCCCAGCCTCACTGCGGCCTTGCAGGTTGATCTCAGACTGCTGTGCTAGCAATCAGTGAGGCTCCATGGGTGTAGGTCCCTCCGGAGTCATGCGTGGGATATAATCTCCTGTTGTGCCATTTGCTCAGTTGGAAATGCAGAAATCACCTGTCTTCTGCATCACTCACGCTGGGAGCTGTAGACTGGAGCTGTTCCTATTCAGACATCTTGGCTCCACCTGGTGTTGTGTTTTTAATTCCAAATTCTAATTGTTTATTGCTGGTATATAAAAAGGCAATTGAATTTTATAGCTTTACTTTGCATCCTGCAAACTTATTATACTTACTGATTAGTTTCAGGAATACCTTGTTGATCTTTGGTATTTTCTAATATAATATAATCATGTTATCTGTGAATAAAGACAGTTTTATTTCTTACTTCCAAATGTGTATACATTTTCTTTACTTGTCTTACTCCATCAGCTAGGACATCCACTATGATGTTGATTAAGAGCAGAGAGAGTGGTCATTTTTCCCTTATCCCTGCTCTTAAGGAGAAATCATTCTGTTTCTCAATATTAAGTATGATATTAGTTGTAGGGTTTGGTTTTTTTTTTTTTTTTGACAGATATCCTTTATCAAATTGATGAAGTTCCCCTTTATTCATAGTTTGCTGGGAGTTTTTATCCTGAATATGGGGTTGGATTTTGTCAAATGCTTTTCCTACATCTATTGATTAGAATCATATACTTTTTTTTAGCCTGTTGATAGATAAACTACATTAATTAATTTTCAAATGTTGAATCAGTCTTACATACTTGAAGAAATCCCTCTTGGCCCCAGTGTATAATTATTTTTCTAAATTATTAGACTCTCCCTGGGATGGAGTTCCCAGGAGAACAAGCGAGCTGCCACCTGTGCTCTTTGGGTGACTCAGCCCTTCCAGCCTGAGGGCTTTGGAAAGTCCAAATCATCTGAGAACAGAAGGGAACCCCCAGGACAGCACAACTCCTCTACCAAAACGTGGCCAGGCTGTTTCGAGTGGGTCCCCCATTTGTTCCTCCTCCTTTGTTTGGGCAGGACCTCCTGACCAGGGCCTCCAGCCACTCCTGCTGGTGTTCACTGGCTGACAGACATTTGAAAACTTCCTGGGAAAGAGTTACCAGAGGGAGAGGCAGGTCACCACCTTTGCTGTTTGGGCAATTTAACCATTCCATCCTCCAGGCTTTGGAAAGTCCCAGCTGGCTGAGGGCAGAAGAAGTACCCCAGCACAGCACAGCTGCTTTATGAAAGCATGGTCAGACTGCTTCTTTAAGTGGGTCCCCAATCCTGTTCCTCCTGACTGGGTGAGACCTTCCAACTGGGGTCTCCAGTCACCTCCTACAGGTGTATTTTGGTTGGCAACATGTTTGTGCTTCCCTGAGACAAAGCTCCCGGAGGAAGGGGCAGGCTGCTATCTTTGCTGTTTTGCAGCCATCACTGGTGATACCCCCAGGTACTGGAAAATCTGAAGTGACTAGGGACTGGAGTGGGCTCCCAGAAAACAGCAGCAGGCCTAAGGAAAGGTGGCAAGTCTGTTAAAAGAAAAGAACACAATAAAAAACAGAAAACTCCATCCAAAGGTCATCAACTTCAAAGATTGGAGGTAGATAAGCCCACAAAGATGAGAAAGATAAAGCACAAAAACACTGAAAACTCAAAAAAGTCAGAGTGCCCTCTTTTCTCCAAATGACCACATCACTTCTTCAGCAGGCGTTCAAAACTGGGCTGAGGTTGAAATGGCTGAAATGGCTGAAATGACAGAGATAGAATTTGAAATATGGATAAAAATGAACTTGCTAAAAGAGCATGTTGTAATCCAATTCAATAAAGCTAAAACTTATGATAAAACATTGCAGGAGCTGACAGACAAAATAGCCAGGATAGGAAAATATGTAACCAACCTGATAGAGCTGAAAAATCCTCTCTCCTCCCACCTTCCACCCTTTGATAGACCCCAGTGTGTGTTGCTCCTCTCTATGTGCCCAAGTGTTATCCTCATTTATCTCCCACTTATAAGTGAGAAAATGTAGTATTTGGTTTTTTATTCCCGTGTCAGTTTTCTAAGGATAATGGCCTCCAGCTCCATCCATGTCCCTGCAGAAGACACGATCTCATTCTTTTATGTGGTTGCATAGTATTCCATAGTGTATATGTACCACATTTTCTTTATCTAGTCTATCATTGATGGGCATTTAGGTTGACTGCATGTCTTTGCTATTGTGAATACTGCTGCAATAAACATGTGTGTGCATGTGGCTTTGTAATAGAATGATTTGTATTCCTTTGGATATATACCCAATTATGGGATTTCTGGGTCAAATGGTGTTTCTGTCTTTAGGTCTTTGAGAAATTGCCACACTGCCCTCCACAATGGTTAAACTAATTTACTATCCCATCAACAGTGCATAAATGTTTCTTTTTCTCCACAACCTCACCAGGATCTGTTATTTTTTGCCTTTTTAATAATAGCCATTCTGGCTCATGTGAGATGGTATCTCATTGTGGTTTTGATTTGCATTTCTCCAATGATCAGTTGCCAAGACCAGCTCGGTCGGGGAGACCCTAACACAGTGGCGCTAGAGGAATTAAAGACACACTCACAGAAATATAGAGGTGTGAAGTGGGAAATCAGGGGTCTCACAGCCTTCAGAATGGAGAGCCCCGAACAGAGATTTACCCACATATTTATTAACAGCAAACCAGTCATTAAGCATTGTTTCTATAGATATTAAATTAACTAAAAGTATCCCTTATGGGAAATGAAGGGATGGGCCAAATTAGAGGGATAGTTTGGGCTAGTTAACTGCAGCAGGAACATGCTGTTAAGACACAGATCGCTCATGCTATTGTTTGTGGCTTAAGAATGCCTTTAAGCGGTTTTCCGCCCTGGGTGGGCCAGGTTTTCCTTGCCCTTATTCCCGTAAACCCACAACCTTCCAGCTTGGGTGTTAGTGCCATGATGAACATGTCACATTGCTGCAGAGATTTTGTTTATGACCAGTTGACCAGTTTTGGGGCCAGATTATGGCCAGATTTTGGGGGGCTTGCTCCCAACAATCAGTGATGTTGAGCTTTTTTTTTTATGTGATTATTGGCCACATGTATTTTTTTTTTTTTGAGAAGCATCTGTTCCTGTCCTTTGCCCCCTTTTTAATGGGGTTGTTTGTTTCTTGTAAATTTGTTTAAGTTCCTTATAGAAGCTGGATATTAGACCTTTGTCAGATCCAGTTTGCACAAATTTTCTCCCATTATGTAGGTTGTCTGTTTACTCTGTTGATGCTTTTGCTGTGCAGAAGTTCTTTAGTCTGATTAGATCAATTTGTCAAATTTGCTTTGTTGCAACTTTAATTGCTTTTGGTGACTTTGTCATGAAATCTTTGCCTGTGTCTATGTCCTAAATGATTTTGCTTAGGTTGTCTTCCAGAGTTTTCATCATTTTGGATTTTACCTTTAAGTCTTTAATCCATCATGAGTTAATTTTTGTATATGGTGTAAGGAAGGGGGTCCAGTTTCAATCTTCTGATTTTGGCTAGCCAGTTATCTCAGCATCATTTATTGAATAGGGAATTCTTTCCCCAGTGCTCGTTTTAGTCAGGTAGAAGATGAGATACTTGTAGGTGTGCAGTCTTATTTCTGGGTTCTCTCTTCTGTTGCATTTATCCATGTGCCTGTTCTTGTACCAGTATCATGCTGTTTTGGTTACTGTATCCTTGTAGCATAGTTTGAAGTTGGGTAGTGTGATGCCTCCAGCTTTGTTCTTTTTGCTTAGGATTGCCTTGGCTATCTGGGATTTTTGGTGTTGTTGTTCCTTATGGATTTGTAAATATTTTTTTCTAGTTCTGTGAAGAATCCCAATGGTAGTCTAATGGGAATAGTATTGAATCTATAAATTGTTTTGGGCAGTATGGCCATTTTAATGATATTGATTCTTCCGGTCCATGACCCTGGAATGCTTTTTTATTGGTTTGTGTCATCTCTGATTTCTTTGAGCAGTGGTTTTTAGTTCTCCTTGTAGAGATCTTTCACCTCCCTAGTTAGCTACATTCCTAGGTATTTGCTTTATTTGTGGCAGTTGTGAATGGAATTACCTTTCTGATTTGGCACTCATCTTGACTGTTGTTGGTATATAGGAATACTAAAAATTTTTGCACTTTTATTTTGTATCCTGAGACTTCGCTGAAGTTGCTTATCAACTTATGATGCTTTTTGGCTGAGAATATGGGTTTTTCTAGATATAGGATCATGTCATCTGCAAACAGGGATAGTTTGACTTCCTCTCTTTCTATTTGAAAGCGCTTTATTTCTTTTTCTTGCCTGATTGCCCTGGCCAGAACTTCCAATACTATGTTGAATAGGAGTGATAAGAGAGGGCATCCTTGTCTAGTGCCAGTTTTCAATGGGAATGCTTCCAGCTTTTGCCCATTCAGTATAATGTTTGCTGCAAGTTTGTCATGTATGGTTCTTATTGTTTTGAAGTATGTTTCTTCAATACTTTGTTTATTGAGAGTTTTCAACTTGAAGGTATGTTGAATTTTATCAAAACCCTTTTCTGCACCTACTGAGATATTAATGTGGCTTTTTTCTTTAGTTCTGCTTATGTGATGAATCACATTTATTTATTTGCATATGTTGAACCAACCTTGCATCCCAGGAATAAAGCTTACTTGGTCATGTCTGATAAGTTTTTTGATGTTCTGTTGGATTCAGTTTGCCAGTATTTTATTGAGGATTTTTGCATAGATGGTCATTAAGGATATTGGCCTGATGTTTTGTTTTTTGTTGTTGCTGTTGTGTCTTTGCCAGGTTTTGGTGTCAGGGTGATGCTAGCCCCACAAAATGAGTTAAAGAGAAGTCCCTCTTTTTCCATTTTTTTTTTTTTTTGGAATAGTTTTAGTAGAAATGGTACCAACTCTTCTTTGTACATCAGGTAGAATTCAGCCATGAACCTGTCTGTTCCTGGGTTTTTGTTGTTGTTGTTGTTGCAGGTTATTACTGCCTCAATTTCAGATCTTGTTATTGGTTTGTTCAGGAATTCAATTTCTTCCTGGTTCAGTCTTGGGAAGGTGTATGTGTCTAGGAATTTATCATTTCTTCTACATTTTCTAGTTTATGTGCATAAAGGTGTTTATAATATTCTCTGATGTTTGTTTTTATTTTCATAGGATTAATGGTAATATCCCCTTTGTCATTTCTGATTTTGTTTATTTGAATCTTCTCTCTTCTCTTGTTTTTTTTTTAGTTTAGCTAGCAGTCTACCTATTTTATATCTTTTTTTCAAAAAATCAGCTCCTGAATTCATTGACCTTTTGAATTTGTGTGTGTGTGTGTGCGTGTGTGTGTGAATCCCCTTCATTTCAGCTCTGATTTTGGTTATATCTTGTCTTCTGCTAGCTTTGGATTTGTTTTCTGTTGATTCTCTAGTTCATTTAGTTATTATGTTAAGTTGTTAACTTGAGTTGTTAACTTTGTAACTTTTTGCTGTGGACATTTAGTGCTATAAATTTTCCTCTTTCCTACTGATCTGGTTCTTTGGATCTTTGTTCTCATTAGTTTCAAAGAACTTCTTGAGTTCTGCCTTAATTTAATCATTTACCCAATAGTCATTAAGGAGGAAGTTATTCAATTTCCATTTAATTTTATGGTTTTGGCTACTCCAGCTTTCTTTTGATTAATGACACCATGGTATATTTATCTCTATTACTTTACTGTTAGTTACTCTGCATGTGTCTTTATACTTAAAATTGGATTCTTGTAGACAACATATAGTTGGGTCCTATTTTTTTAATCAACTTTCACAGTCTCTGTCTTTTAATTGGTATATTTAGCCCATTGTTATTCCCAGTGATTTTTTATATAGTTGGATTAATATGCACCATATTTGTTAATGTTTTCTATTCATTGACCTCATTCTTTGTTTCTTATTTGTCTTACACTTTTTTCTTTCTTCCCTCATTTTAATTGATCATTTTTATATTATTAGCTTTTGTCCCTTCTCTTAACATATCAATTTTATTACTTTTGAAGGCTATTTATTTATGTAGTTATTAGAGATAGAGTCTTTGTCTTGCACTTTAGGTACCAGCTCAGAGACTTTGTCTTGCAACTTAGGCACCAGCTCAGACAGACTATCTAAACAAATACACAAATAAAAAGCTTTCTAAAGTAATATAATTAATAAGTGGCAATTGTTTCACCCAACCCCAGCTCTGTCATCCAGGCTAGAGTGCAATGGTGTCATCATGGCTTACTGTAACTGCAAACTCCCGGGCTCAAGTGATCTTCTCACCTCAGCCTCCCAAGTAGATAGGCTTACAGGCATGTGCCAACATGACAGACTAATTTTTAAAAAATATTTTTATAGAAATAGGGTCTCACTATGTTGCCTTCACTTATCTGAAACTCCAGACCTCCAGCAATCCTCTCATCTTGGCCACCCAAAGCGCTGGGAAAAAAGATATAGACTACCACACCTAGTCCTTTCTAAACTTTTAAAAGTGGTTGCCTTTAAGTCTGCAATATACATTTACAAGTAATCCAAGTCCTCTTTCATATAACACTATACCACAGCCCATATAGTGCAAAATACTTTAATAAAGAGCATTCCTAATTCCTTCCTCCAATCTCTTATGTCTTTCATTTCACTCATCTATAAGCTATAATCACTGAATACATTATTCTTAACTGTTAACTGTTAGCACGACTAAGCATAAGAGAAATACAGAGGGGCAGAGCAAGACGGCAGAATAGAAGGTTCCACTGATCATCCTCCCGTAAGAACACCAATTTAACAGCTATCTACACACACAAAAAAAGCACCTTGATAAAAATGAATAATCAGATGACAATTCACATTACCTGGTTTTAACATCATATCCCCGAAAGAGACACTGAACAAATAATAATAATAAAAACAGTCTTGAATCACCAGTGTCTCCCCTCCCCTGTCCCTCGGCAACAGTATCATGGTACAGAGAGTATTTCTGTGCTCTGTGGAGAGGGAGAGTGCAGCAATTGTAAGGCATCGAATTCAGTGCTGCCCTGTTATAGCAGAAAAAAAAACCGGACCAAACTCAGCTCATAGCTGCAAACAGAGGGAGCATTTAAACCAGCCATAGCCAGAAGGAAATTGCTGATCCCACCAGTCAGAACTTGAGATCCCACAATGTTTGCCACCATGGGCTAATGTGTTCTGGAGCCCTAAATAAACTTGAAAGGCAGTCTAGGCTACAATGACTGCAACTCCTAGGTGAGTCTTGGTGTTGTACTTGGCCAAGAGCCAGTGGACTGGGCTGTGACAGCGGTCATGAAACCTACCAATACATCAACCAGGGTGGCTAAAAGAGTACTGGCATCACCCCTTCCCTAAACACAAACCGCACAGCTTGCAGCTCCCAAAGAGACCCCTTCCTTCTGCTTGAGGATAGGAAAGAGTGGGGAGAAATTTGTCTGGTGGTATCTTGGACACCACCTCAGCCACAGCAGGGTAGGGCACAGGTCATAGCTATCAGACATTTCTACACACACCCTCACCAGAAGGGAACCACCTTCCTTAAAGGGAAAGACCCAGTTCTGGCAGGATTCATCACCTGCTGACTAAAGAGCACTTGGGCCCTGAATAGCAGCAATACCCAAGTACTATGTTGAGGGTGTTGGGTTGAGACTCTGAGGCTTGCTGTCCTCAGGTGAGACTCAAAACGATCCCAGCTGTGGTGGTTATAAGGAAAGACTACTTTTACTTAAGAAAAGTGGAAGGAAAAGTAAAGGGGACTTTGTCTTGCACCTTAGGTACCAGCTCAGCCACAGGAGAATGGAGCACCAAGTGGTCTCTTTGGATCCTCAGTTCCAGGACTTCGCTTTTGAACAGCATTTCTGGAGCTGTGCTGGGCCAGAAGGGAGATCACTGTTCAAACAGGTGAGTCCAAGACCAGGCAGAATTCACCACAAGCTGACTGAACATCACCACAATATCCCTTTGGGCCTTAAGGGAACATCTACAGTAGTCTGGGAGTACTCCCCATACACCTGTGGTGGTGGTGGCAACAGGGTGGGATTCCTTTGCCTTTGGAAAGGGGAGGGAAGAGTGGGAAGAACTGTGTCTTGTGGGCCAGCTCAGCCACAGTACAATAGAACAACAGGTAGACTGCTAAGATTTTAGACTCTCATCCCTGGCTCATGAATGGCACCTCTGGACATGCCTGAGATTCACAACACTGAATGGAAGGACACAGGCCTAGCTGGCTTTGCCACTTGTCAATTGTACAGACCCAGGGACTTCAGCGAACATAGGTAAAGCCAAGGAATGGTTACAGTAGGTGGTGGGGGAGACCCAGTGCTATACTGGTTTTAGGTGTGGCTCACTGCTGCAATCCTGGTGATGGTGGCCACAGTGGTGCTTGTGTCACACGACCCCAGTTCCAGGTGGCTCAGAACAAAAAAAGAGACTTTGTTTGTTTTGGAGGAAGTAAGGTAAGAGAATAAGAGTCTCTGCTTGGTAATCTAGAGAATTAGCCTTGATCTTTTCCAAGACAATCAAAGTAGTACCTCTATGAGTCTGAAAAAACAAAAAACAAAAACAAAAACAAAAACAAAAAAGCAAATACAGCTTAGATCACTACACCCAAGTACTTTCAAATATCTGGAAAGCCTTTACAAGCAGGAAGGGTGCAAACAAGCCCAGACTGCTAAGACTACAATAAATGTGTCTTCAATGCCCAGACACAGATGAACATCTACAACTATCAAGACAATCCAGGAAAACATGGCCTCACCAGATAAACTAAATAAGTCACCAAGGACCAATCCTGGAGAAACAGAGATATGTGAACTTTCAGGCAAAAAAACTCAAGCTAGCAGTTTTGAGGAAACTTAGATAAATTCAAGATAACACAGAGGAAATTCAGAATTCTATCAGATAACTTTCACAAACAGATGGACATAATTAAATAGAATTGAGCAGAAGTTATTGAGCTGAAAAATACAATTGGCATACTGAAGAATGCATTAGAGTCTTTTAACAGCAGAATTGATCAAGCAGAAGACAGAATTAGTGGGCTTAAAGACAGGTTATTTGAAAATACACAATCAGAGGACATATAATAAAAAAGAACGAAAACCAATGAAGCATGCCTACAGGATATAAAAACAGTCTCAAAAGGGCAAATGTAAGCATTATTGGCCTTAAAAATGAGGTAGAGAAAGAATTGGGGTAGAAAGTTTACTGAAAGGGATAATAACGTAAATTCCCAAATTTAGAGAAAGATTTTGTTATCCAAGTAGAAGAATATTATAGAACACCAAACAGATTAAACTCCAAGAAGACAACCTTGAGGCATTTAGTAATTAAACTCCCAAAAGGTCAAGGATAAAGAAAGGATCCTAAAAGCAACAAGAAAAAATAAACAAATAACATACAATGGAGCTCCAATACATCAGGCATTAAACTTTTCAGTGGAAACCTTACAGGCCAGGAGAGAGTGGAGAGAGTGGCATGACATATTTAAAGTGTTGAAGGGGAAAAAAAAAAACCTTTTACCCTACAATAATATATTCTATGAAAAACCCTTCAAATATGAAGGAGAAATAAAGACTTTTCCAGACAAATAATAGCTGAGGGGTTTTATCAACACCAGACCTGCTCTACAAGAAATGCTAAAGGGAGTTCTTTAGTTAGAAATAGAAGGACATTAATAAGAAATAATAATTCATCTGAAGGTAAAAAACTCATTGGTGATAGTACACAGAAAGACAGAATATTATGACACTGTAACTGTAGTGTATAAATCACTCTAAAGTAGAAAGACTAAACAATAAACCTATCAAAAATAAAAACTACAAAGACCTTTCAAGACACAGATAATACAATAAAATATAAATGAAAATGAGTAGCTAAAAAGCAGGGGGCAAAAATTAAGTCATAATTTTTTTATTAGTTTTCTTTTTGCTTGCTTGTTCGGTTATACAGTGTTAAGTTGTTATCAGCTTAAAATAATGAGTTATGTTGTGTTTAAATAAAATTTGTGTTTAAATAATTGTAAACAACATAAGAGGGAAATGTATAGCCATAAGTGCCAACATCAAAGGAAGAACTTCAAATAAACAACCTAACAATGTATCTTAAAGAACAAGAAAAGGAAGCACAAACAAACCCAAAATTAGTAGAAGAAAATAAAAACAAAGATCAGAGAAGAAATACAAGAAATTGAAATGAAGAAAGTAAAACAAAATATGAATGAAACAAAAAGATTTTTTTGAAAACTTAAGCAAAATTGACACACCTTTAGCCAGACTAAGAAAAAAAGAAAGAACATACAAATAAATAAAATCAGAGATGAAAAAGGAGACATTATAACCAATACTGAAGAAATTCAAAGGATCATTAGTGGCTGCTATGAGCAACTATATGCCAATAAATTGGAAAATCTAGAAGAAATGGGTAAATTCCTAGACACATATAACCTACCAATATTGAGTCATGAAGAAATCTAAAACCTGAATGAACCAATAACAAGCAATGAAACTGAAGCCAAAATAAAATGTCTCCCAGTAAAAAAAAGCCCAGGACCCAATGGCTTCACTGCTAAATTCTACCAAACATTTAAAGAAGTAATACCAATCCTACTGAAACTATGCTGAAAAATGAAGGAGGAGAGAATACTTCCAAACTTATTCAATAAGGCTACTAGTACGCTGATACCAAAACCAGGCAAAGACATAGCATAAAAAGAAAATTACAGGCGAATATCCCTGATGAATATTGATGGAAAAATGGTAAACAAAATACTAGCAAACTCAATTCAACAATACAATAAAAAGATCATTCACCATGACCAAGTGGGATATATCCCTGGTATGCAAGGATTGGTCAATATACACAAATCAATCAATGTGATATATCATATCAACAGAATGAAGGACAAAATCCATATGATCATTTCAATTTATGCTGAAAAAGCAGCTGATAAAATTCCACATCACTTCATGTTGAACTTTCTCAAAAAACTGGATATACAAGAAATATTTCTAAACATAATAAAAGCTATGTATGATAGAGTCACAGCTAGTATTATACTGAATGGGGAAAATCTGAAATCTTTTTCTTTAAAGATTTGGAACATAACAAGGATGGCCATTTATACCATTATTCAACGTAGTATTGGAAGTCCTAGCTAGAGCAATTAGGCAAGAGGAAGAAATAAAGGGCATCCAAATCGAAAAGGATGAAGTCAAATTACTCTTGTTTGCAGGTAATATAATCTTATATTTGGAAAAACCTAAAGACTTCACCAAAAAGCTATTAGAACTGATAAACAAATTAGATAAAGCTTCAGGATACAAAATCAGCATACAAAAAACAAGTAGCATTTCTAATATGCCAACAGTGAACAGTCTGCAAAAGAAATAAAAAAGTAATCCCATTTACAATAGAAACAAATAAAATTAAATACCTATAAATTAACTTAACCAAAGAAGTGAAAGATCTCTATGATGAAAACTGTGAGACACTGATGATAGAAATTAAAGAGGACACCAAAACAAATGGAAAAACATTCCAAGTTCATGAATTGGAAGGATCAATATTGCTAACATGTCCATACTACCAAAAGCAATCTACAGATTCAATGCAATCCCTATCAAAATACCAGTATTTCTCACAGAAACAGAAAAAACAATTCTAATATCTATATGCAACCACAAAGACTCAGAATAGCCAATGCTATACTAAGCAAAAATAACAAAACTAGAGGAATCACATTACCTGACTTCAAATTATACTACAGAGCTATAGTAATCAAAATGGTATAGTACTGGCATAAGAACAGAAACATAGACCAAGGGAACAGAATAGAGATCACAGAAATACATAGACACAACTAAAGCAAACTCATTTTTGACAAAGGTGCCAAGAATATACACTGGGAATAGGACAGCATTTTTAATATATGGTGCTGGGAAAATTGGATATCCATATGCAGAAGAATAAAACTAGACCCCCATCTCTCACCATATACAAAAAATAAAATCACAATGGATTGAAGACTTAAATCTGAAACCTCACACTATGAAACTGCTACAACAAAACATTGGAAAACTCTCCAGGGCAAAATTTTCTTGAGTCACGCCCCATAAGCACAGGCAACTAAAGCAAATGGGGTCATATCAAGTTAAAAAAATTCTGCACAGCAAAGAAAACAATCATCAAAATGAAGAGACAATCTATAGAATAGGAGAAAATATTTGCAAACTACCCATCTGACAAGGAATTAATAACCAGACTATATAAATTGCTCAAACAACTCTACGGGGAAAAAAATTAATAATCCAATTTAAAAATGGGCCAGGTGCAGTAGCTCCAGCATGTAATCCTAGTACTTTGGGAGGATGAGTCAGGCAGATTGCTCGAGCACAGGAATTTGAGACCAACCTGGGCAATATGGCACACCCATCTCTACAAAAAATGGAAAAATTAGCCACGTGTTGTGGTATGTACCTGTGGTCCCAGCTACTCATGGGGCTGGGGTGACAGGATTGCTTGAACCAGGAAGGTCGAGGCTGCAGTGAGCCATGATCATGCTACTGCACTCCAGCCTGCATAATAGAGCAAGACCCTTTCTTAATAACAACAAAAAATGGGCAAAAGATTTGAATATACATTTCTTAAAAGAAGACGTACAAATAGCAAACAGGCATATGAAAAGGTGCTCAACATCACTATTCATCAAACAAATGCAAATGAAAACTACAACGAGATATCTTCTCATCCCAGTGAAAGTGGCTTATATCCAAAAGACTTTCAATAACAAATGCTGGGGAGGATGTGGAGAAATAGGAACACTTGTACCCTGTTGATGGAAATGCAAACTAATACAACCACTATGGAAAACAGTTTGGATGATGCTGAAAAATACTGAAAATAGAGCTGCCACAGGATCCAGCAATCCTACTGCTGGGTATATACCCAAAAGAAAGGAAATCAATATAGCAAAGAGATACCTGCGCTCTCATGCTTGTTGTTGCCCCGTTCACGATAGCCAAGATTTGGAAACAACCTATGAGTCCATCAACAGATGAATAGATAAATAAAATATGGTGCCTATAATCAGTGGTGTACTATTCAGCCATAAAAAGAAATTAGATTTGTAACAGCATGGACTGAACATGGATGGGACTGGAGTTCGGTATGTTAAGTGAAATAACCCAGAAACAGAAAGACAAACACCTCATGTTCTAACTTATTTGTGGGCTCTAAAAATCAAAATAATTGAACTCATGGAGATGGAGGGTAGAAGGATGGTTACTGGAGGCTCGGAAGAGTAGTGGGTGTTGAGGGTGGGGAGGTGGGGACAGTTAATGGATACAAAAATTATAGTTAGAAAGAATGAGTAAGACCTAGTGTTTGATAACACAACTGGGTGACTGTAATAAATAAT
Source organism: Homo sapiens (assembly GCF_000001405.40). Taxonomy (NCBI): domain Eukaryota; kingdom Metazoa; phylum Chordata; class Mammalia; order Primates; family Hominidae; genus Homo; species Homo sapiens. The sequence continues at coordinate 64,076,647 of NC_000023.11, forward strand.
AATTTAATTGTACCATTTAGAATAACTAAAAGAGTATAATTAGGTTGTTTGTAACCCAAAGGATAAATACTTCAGGGGATGGATACCCGATTCTCCATGATGTGGTTATGATGCCTGTATCAAAACATCCCATGTACCCCACAATTATATACTACTATGTACCCACAAAAATTAAAACTAAAAATTTTTTAAAAAATAGGAAAATAAAGGTTTTATTTTATTTATTCTTTTTCTAATGCTTTTTTTCTGCTCAGTTCTAAGTTTCTGCCCTATATTATTTTTCTCCTTTCTGAAGAACTTTTTAAGATATTATTTGCAAGGCAGGTGTACTGGTGACAAAATCCTCAATTTTTATTTGCCTAAGTATTTATTTCTCCTTCATTTTTGAAGATTAATTTGACTAGATATAGAATTTTAGGTGGTGGATTTTTTCTTTCAACACTTTAAATATTTTACTCCAGTGTCTTCTTGTATGCATGATTTCTGAAAAGAATTATAATGTAATTCTTATCTTTGCTCCTCTATACAGAAGACCTTTTTTCTCTCCACGTTTCTTTTGAGACTATATTTTTCTATACAGTGGGAACATTTAACATCCTCTAGTCTAGCTATTTTAAAATATACAATATATTTTTGTTAAGGTTAGTCACCTTACTGTACAATGAAACACTAAAACTTATTCTTAAGATGATGGATATGCTAATTTCTCTAATTTGATCATTACATATTGTATACATGTTTTGAAACATCACACTGTACCCCATAAGTATATACAATTATGTGCCAATTAAAACATTAAAAAAGATTCTTTTTTTATATTTTCTGCAGTTTGAATATAATATGCCTAGCTTATTTTTTCAGTAGTAGTTTTTTTTTTTTAATCTTGTTTGGCGTTATTTGAGCTTCCTGCATTTGTGGTTTGATGTACATTATTAATTTTGTAATTCTCAGTAATAATTGTTTAAATATTTCTTCTGTCCTTTTCTTGTTTTCTTTTCCTTTTGGTACTCTCATTACTTGTGTGTTACAGCTTTTGTAAATGTCTCACAGATTTTGGATATTCTGTTCTGTCTTTTCTTTCTTTTTTCCCTCTCTGTTTCAATTTTGGGAGTTAATAGTTGACATCTTTATAAGCTCACTGATTCTTTCCTTGGCTCTTTCCCATCTATCAACTACCCCATCAAAGACATTCTTTATTTCTGTTACATTATGTTTGATTTCTAACATTTCCTTTTTATTTTTTCTTACAGTTTTTATGTCATTGCCTATCTTACTCATCTGGTTTTTACATGGTCCTTTTTTTTTCTATGAGAACTCTTAGCCTATAGATCATAGTTGTTTTAAATTATCAGTCTAATAATCCCAATATCCTTGCCACCATGCCTTTTTGGCTCTGATGCTTGCTCTGTCTCTTCAAACTGTGTTTTTGGCAATTTAGTATCTTCCGTAATTTTTTTGTTGAAAGGCAGACATAATGTACTGGCTAAAAAGAACTGAGGTTAACAGGCCTTTAGTGTGAAGTTCTATGTTTATCTGGCTAGGAGTTAGTCTGTGTTTATTGTTTGCTGTAGCTGTAGAGGTCAGAGGCTAAAATTTCTTCTAATGTCCTCATTATTGTCTTCATCGTTGTCTCTGGATTTTTTTAGATATTTCTTCCTCATTATGTTTGGAGACATGTAATTCTTTCATTGTATTTCCCTGTCATTGTCCAGCACACCGGTTTATGTGGTACGAAGGTGTTGAGGGAGGAGAAGCATTCTATATTCTTATAATTAGGTCTCACTCTGTTAGTGAGCCTGTGACCTTGGGCTATAACTTCTACAAGTGCTTCTCAGTTTTTGTCCCCATCTGTTGTGAGATAGAAGGGACAGAGAGGGATGGAGTTGGTTATTTCTCTTAGCCCAGGTTAGTTAAGCTTTAGAAAAATTTAGTCAATTAAGATCTGATGAAACAGTTTCACTTGAAGGCAGGTATTGTTTAGAAAAACAGAAAACTCTGGGCCTATTGCAGAACGCTGGGCATATTTCCCACTCACCAGCTGGAATTAGTAGGAGATTTTTCTCAGATTTTCTCTGTGAGAACCTCTGGACTCAGAGGGGTAAAACTCACACAAATGTGTATGTGCCCAGCTTTTCTACGCAGAGCCCTTAGCAATTCATAACTCGTGAGTTAACTTTTTTCTACTCCTATACTGTTACCAATGGAGATTTTTTTTCCTTTTTTTTTATTATACTTTAGGTTTTAGGGTACATACAAACAACGTGCAGGTTAGTTACATGTGTATACATGTGCCATGTTAGTGTGCTGCACCCAGTAACTCGTCATTTAACATTAGGTATATCTCCAAATGCTATCCCTCCACCCTCCCCCTACGGCACAACAGGCCCCAGTGTGCGATGTTCCCCTTCTGGTGACCATATATTCTCATTGTTCAAATCCCACCTATGAATGACAACATGCGGTGTTTGGTTTTTTGTCCTTGGGGTAGTTTGCTGAGAATGATGGCTTCCAGCTTCATTCACGTCCCTACGAAGGACATGAACTCATCATTTTTTACGGCTGCATAGTATTCCATGGCGTACACGTGCCACATTTTCTTAATCCAGTCTATCATTGTTGGACATTTGGCTTGGTTTCAAGTCTTTGCTATTGTGAATAGTGCCACAATAAACATACGTGTGCATGTGTCTTTATAGCAGCATGATTTATAATCTTTTGGGTATATACCCAGTAATGGGATGGATGGGTCAAATGGTATTTCTAGTTCTAGATCCCTGAGGAATGGCCACACTGACTTCCACAACGGTTGAACTAGTTTACAGTCCCACCAACAGTGTAAAAGTGTTCCTATTCCTCCACATCCTCTCCAGTGCCTGTTGTTTCCTGACTTTTTAATGATTGCCATTCTAACTGGTATGAGATGGTATCTCATTGTGGTTTTGATTTGCAATTCTCTGATGGCCAGTGATGATGAGCATTTTTTCATGGGTCTGTTGGCTGCATAAATGTCCTCTTTTGAGAAGTGTCTGTTCATATCCTTCACCCACTTTTTGATGGGGTTTTTTGTGTTTTTCTTGTAAATTTGTTTGAGTTCATTGTAGATTCTACATATTAGCCCTTTGTCAGCTGAGGAGATTGCAAAAATTTTCTCCCATTCTGTAGGTTGCCTGTTCACTCTGATGGTAGTTTCTTTCGCTGTGCAGAAGCTCTTTAGTTTAATTAGATCCCATTTGTCAATTTTGGCTTTTGTTGCCATTGCTTTTGGTGTTTTAGACATGAACTCCTTGCCCATGCCTAAGTCCTGAATGGTATTGCCTAGGTTTTCTTCTAGGGTTTTTATGGTTTTAGGTCTAATGTTTAAGTCTTTAATCTATCTTGAATTAATTTTTGTATAAGGTGTAAGGAAGGGATCCAGTTTCAGCTTTCTACATATGGCTAGCCAGTTTTCCCAGCACCATTTATTAAATAGGGAATCCTTTCCCCATTTCTTGTTTTTGTCAGGTTTGTCAAAGATCAGAAGGTTGTAGATATGTGGCATTATTTCTGAGGGCTCTGTTCTGTTCCATTGGTCTATATCTCTGTTTTGGTAGCAGTACCATGCTGTTTTGGTTACTGTAGCCTTGTAGTATAGTTTGAAGTCAGGTAGCGTGATGCCTCCAGCTTTGTTCTTTTGTCTTAGGATTGACTTGGAGATGCGGGCTCTTTTTTGGTTCCATATGAACTTTAAAGTAGGTTTTTCCAATTCTGTGAAGAAAGTCATTGGTAGCTTGATGGGAACGGCATTGAATGTATAAATTACCTTGGACAGTATGGCCATTCTCACGATATTGATTCTTCCTACCCATGAGCATGGAATGTTTTTTCATTTCTTTGTGTCCTCTTTTATTTCGTTGAGCAGTGGTTTATAGTTCTCTTGAAGAGGTCCTTCACGTCCCTTGTAAGTTGGATTCCTAGGTATTTTATTCTCTTTGAAGCAATTGTGAATGGGATTTCACTCATGATTTGGCTCTCTGTTTTTCTGTTATTGGTGTATAAGAACGCTTGTGATTTTTGTACATTGATTTTGTATCCTGAGACTTTGCTGAAGTTGCCTATCTGCTTAAGGAGATTTTGGGCTGAGACAATGGGGTTTTCTAGATATACAATCATGTCATCTACAAACAGGGACAATTTGACTTCCTCTTTCCCAAATTGAATACCCTATATTTCCTTCTCCTGCCTGATTGCCCTGGCCAGAACTTCCAACACTATGTTGAATAAGAGTGGTGAGAGAGGGCATCCCTGTTTTGTGCCAGTTTTCAAAGAGAATGCTTCCAGTTTTTGCCCATTCAGTATGATATTGGCTGTGGGTTTGTCATAGATAGCTCTTATTATTTTGAGATACATCCCATCAATACCTAATGTATTGAGAGTTTTTAGCATGAAGGGTTGTTGAATTTTTTCAAAGGCCTTTTCTGCATCTATTGAGATAATCATGTGGTTTTTGTTGTTGGTTCTGTTTATATGCTGGATTATGTTTATTCAATTGCATATGCTGAACCAGCCTTGCATCTCATGGATGAAGCCCACTTGGTCATGGTGGATAAGCTTTTTGATGTGCTGCTGGATTCAGTTTGCCAGTATTTTATTGAGGATTTTTGCATCAATGTTCATCAAGGATATTGGTCTAAAATACTCTTTTTTTGTTGTGTCTCTGCCAGGCTTTGGTATCAGGATGATGCTGGCCTCATAAAATGAGTTAGGGAGGGTTCCCTCTTTTTCTATTGATTGGAATAGTTTAAGAAGGAATGGCACCAGTTCCTCCTTGTACCTCTGGTAGAAATCGGCTGTGAATCCATCTGGTCCTGGACCCTTTTTTAGTTGGTAAGCTATTAACTATTGCCTCAATTTCAGAGCCTGTTACTGGTCTATTCAGAGATTCAACTTCTTCCTGGTTCAGTCTTGGGAGGGTGTATGTGTCAAGGAATTTATCCATTCCTGCTAGATTTTCTAGTTTATTTGCGTAGAGGTGTTTATAGTATTCTTTGATGGTAGTTTGTATTTCTGTGTGATCAGTGGTGATATCCCCTTTATCATTTTTTATTGCATGCATTTGATTCTTCTCTCTTTTCTTTTTTATTAGTCTTGCTGGCAGTCTATCAATTTTGTTGATCTTTTCTCAAAACTAGCTCCTGGATTCATTGATTTTTTGAAGGGTCTTTTGTGTCGCTATTTCCTTCAGTTCTGCTCTGATCTTAGTTATTTCTTGCCTCTGCTAGCTTTTGAATGTGTTTGCTCTTGCTTCTCTAGTTCCTTTACTTGTGATGTTAGGGTGTCAATTTTAGATCTTTCCTGCTTTCTCTTGTCGGCATTCAGTGCTATAAATTTCCCTCTACACTGCTTTGAATGTGTCCCAGAGATTCTGGTATGTTGTGTCTTTGTTCTCATTGGTTTCAAACAACATCTTTATTTCTGCCATCATTTTGTTATGTACCCAGTAATCATTCACAGTCAGGTTGTTCGGTTTCCATATAGTTGAGTGGTTTTGAGTGAGTTTCTTAATCCTGAGTTCTAGTTTGATTGCACTGTGGTCTGAGAGACAAAATTTGTTATAATTTCTGTTGTTTTACATTTGCTGAGGAGAGCTTTACTTCCAACTATGTGGTCAATTTTGGAATAAGTGCAGTGTGGTGCTGAGAAGAATGTATATTCTGTTGATTTTGGGTGGAGAGTTCTGTAGATGTCTATTTGGTCTGCTTCATGCAGAGCCGAGTTCAATTCCTGGATATCCTTGTTAACTTTCTGTCTCGTTGATCTGTCTCATGTTGACAGTGAGGTATTAAAGTCTACCATTATTATTGTGTGGGAGTCTAAGTCTCTTTGTAGGTCTCTAAGGACTTGCTTTATGGATCTGGGTGCTCCTGTATTGCGTGCATGTATATTTAGGATAGTTAGCTCTTCTTGTTGAATCGATCCCTTTACCATTATGTAATGGCCTTGTCTCTTTGATCTTTGTTGATTTAAAGTCTGTTTTATCAGAGAGTAGGATTGCAACCCCTGCCTTTTTTTGTTTTCCATTTGCTTGGTAGATCTTCCTCCATCCCTTTATTTTGAGCCTATGTGTGTCTCTGCATGTGAGATGGGTTTCCTGAATACAGCACACTGATGGGTCTTGACTCTTTATCCAATTTGTCAGTCTGTGTCTTTTATATGGAGCATTTAGCCCATTTACATTTAAGGTTAATACTGTTATGTGTGAATTTGATCCTGTTGTTATGATGTAAGCTGGTTATTTTTTTCGTTAGTTGATGCAGTTTCTTCCTAGCCTTGATGGTATTTACACTTTGGCATGTTTTCGCAGTGGCTGGTACCGGTTGTTCCTTTCCATGTTTAGTGCTTCCTTCAGGAGCTCTTTTAGGGCAGGCCTGGTGGTGACAAAATATCTCAGCATTTGCTTGTCTGTAAAGGATTTTATTTCTCCTTCACTTATGAAGCTTAGTTTGGCTGGATATGCAATTCTTGGTTGAACATTCTTTTCTTTAAGAATGTTGAATATTGGCCCCCACTGTCTTCTGGCTTGTAGAGTTTCTGCCGATAGATCGGCTGTTAGTCTGATGGGCTTCCTTTTGAGGGTAACCCGACCTTTCTCTCTGGCTGCCCTTAACATTTTTTCCTTCATTTCAACTTTGGTGAATCTGATAATTATGTGTCTTGGAGTTGCGCTTCTCGAGGAGTATCTTTGTGGCCTTCTCTGTATTTCCTGAATTTGAATGTTGGCCTGCCTTGCTAGATTGGGGAAGTTCTCCTGGATAATATCCTGCAGAGTGTTTTCCAACTTGGTGCCATTATCCCCATCACTTTCAGGTACACCAATCAGATGTAGATATGGTCTTTTCACATAGTCCCAGATTTCTTGGAGGCTTTGTTCATTTCTTTTTATTCTTTTTTCTCTAAACTTCTCTTCTCACTCCATTTCATTCATTTCATCTTCCATCACTGATACCCTTTCTTCCAGTTGATTTAATCGGCTACAGAGGTTTGTGCATTTGTCACATAGTTCTCGTGCCTTGGTTTTCTGTTCCATCAGGTCCTTTAAGGACTTCTCTGCATTGGTTATTCTAATTAGCCATTCATCTAATTTTTTTTCAAGGTTTTTAACTTCTTTGCCATGGGTTTGAACTTCCTCCTTTAGCTCGTAGTAGTTTGATCATCTGAAGCCTTCTTCTATCAACTCATCAAAGTCATTCTCCATCCAGCTTTGTTCCATTGCTGGTGAGGAGCTGCATTCCTTTGGAGGAGGAGAGGCACTCTGATTTTTAGAGTTTCCATTTTTTCTGCTCTGTTTTTTCCCCGTCTTTGTGGTTTTATCTACCTTTGGGCTTTGATGATGGTGACGTACAGATGGGGTTTTGATGTGGATATCCTTTCTGTTTGTTAGTTTTCCTTCTAACAGTCAGGACCCTCAGCTGCAAGTCTGTTGGAGTTTGCTGGAGGTCCACTCCAGACCCTGTTTTCCTGGGTATCAGCAGCGGAGGCTGCAGAACAGCGGATATTGGTGAGCAGCAAATGTTGCTGCCTGATCGTTCCTCTGTAAGTTTTGTCTCAGAGGAGTACCCGGCTGTGTGAGGTGTCCATCTGCCCCTCCTGGGAGGTGCCTCTCAGTTAGGCTACTCCGGGGTCAGGTACCCACTTGAGGAGGCAGTCTGTCCATTCTCGGATCTCCAGCTGCGTGCTGAGAGAACCACTAGTCTCTTCAAAGCTGTCAGACAGGGACATTTAAGTCTGCAGAGGATTCTGCTGCCTTTTGTTTGGCTGTTCCCTGCCCCCAGAGGTGGAGTCTACAGAAGCAGACAGGCCTCCTTAAGCTGTGGTGGGCTTCACCCAGTTCAAGCTTCCTGGCTGCTTTGTTTACCTACTCAAGCCTCGGCAATGGTGGGCTCCCCTCCCCCAGCCTGGCTGCCGCCTTGTAGTTTGATCTCAGACTGCTGTGCTAGCACTGAGCAAGGCTCCATGGCCATAGGACCCTCTGAGCCAGGCACAGGATACAATCTCCTGGTGTGCCGTTTGCTAAGACCATTGGAAAAGCACAGTATTAGGGTGGGAGTGACCTGATTTTCCAGGTGCTGTCTGTCACCCCTTTCTTTGACTGGGAAAGGAATTCCCTAACCCCTTGCACTTCCCGGGTGAGGCAATGCCTTGCCCTGCTTCATCTCATGCTCAGTGCACTGCACCCACTGTTCTGAACCCAGTTTCTGACACTTCCCAGTGAGATGAACCTGGTACCTCAGTTGGAAATGCAGAAATCACCTGTCTTCTGCATCGCTCATGCTGGGAGCTGTATACTGGAGCTGTTTGTATTTGGCCATCTTCACCAATGGAGATTTTTGCTCCTGGGCTTCTGTTCTGGTTAGCTATGATTCTCTGTATCTGCCAATCTATCTCTTCAATTTTGTGGCCAGCATTTTGCTCTATGATCTGAATTATTGTATGGATCTAAGAAGAGATATTGACTTTTGATTTGCTCAGTTTTTTTTCTTACTGAAGATGGAAGTGACAACATCTAAGCTTCTTACATGGAAGACCTGAACCTGGAAGTCCATTTATTCTTTTAAAAATTAATTCAGGATTCATTGAGCAGATACTACGTGTCAAGCATCGATGTAGGAACAAGAAATACAGCAGTGAGTAAGATAGACAAAAGTCCTGCTCTCAAGTTTATATTCTGGTTGATAAGAATGAATAAAAAAATAAACATTCAAAGTAATAGCTATGGGGAAGCTGGAAAGATGGCTGAATAGGAACAGCTCTGGTCTGCAGCTCCTAGAGATTTCAACACAGAAGGCAGGTGTTTTCTGCATTTCCAGCTGAGGTACCCAGTTCATCTCTTTGGGACTGGTTGGACAGTGGGTGCAGCCCACAGAGGGTGAGTTGAAGCAGGATGGGGCTTTGCCTCACCCAGGAAGTGCAAGGGGTTGAGGAATTCTCTCCCCTACCCAAGGGAGGCCATGAGGAATGGTGCACTCTGGCCCAGATACTATGCTTTTCCCATGGTCTTCACATACCTCAGACCAGGAGATTCCCTCCAGTACCTATGCCACCAGAGCCCTGGGTATCAAGCACAAAACAGGGTGGCCTTTTGGGCAGACACCGTGCTAGCTGCAGGAGTTTATTTTTCCATATCACAATGGTGCCTGGAATTCCAGCAAGACAGAACTCTTCACTCCCCTGAAAAGGGGGCTGAAGCCAGGGAGCAAAGTGATCTGGTTTGGTGGGTCCCACCCCCACAGAGCCCAGCAAGCTAAGATCCACTGGCTTGAAATTCTTGCTGCCAGCACAGCAGTATGAGGTCCACCTGGGACGCTCAAACTTGGTGATGGGAGGGGTGTCTGCCTTTGCTGAAGCTTGAGTACACGGTTTTACCCTCACAGTGTAAACAAAGCTGCTGGGAAGTTCAAACTGGGCACAGCCTGCCACAGCTCAGCAAGGCCTCTCTAGATTCCTCCTCTCTGGGCAAGGAATCTCTGAAAAAAAGGCAGCAGCCTCAGTTAGGGGCTTATAGATAAAATGCCCATCTCACTGGGACAGAGCACCTGGGGGAAGGGGCAACTGTGGGTGCAGCTTCAGCAGACTTAAACGTCCCTACCTGATGGCTTTGATGAGAAGAGTGGATCTCCCAGCACAGCGTTCAAGCTCTGCTAAGGGACAGACAAATGGATCCCTGACCCCCGTGTATCCTGACTTGGAGAACACTCCCAGTGGGGGCTGACAGTCACCTCATACAGAGAGCTCTGTCTGGCATCAGGTGGGTGCCCCTCTGGGATGAAACTTCCAGAGGAAGGAATGAACCAGGGTCTGGATTGCACCTGCAGCAAACACCAGCAGACCTGCAGCAGAGGGGCCTGACTCTTAGAAGGAAAACTAACCAACAGAATGGGATAGCATCAACATCAACAAAAAGGACATCCACTCAGAGACCCCATCCAAAAGTCACCAACATCAAAGACCAAAGGTAGAAAAATCCATGAAGATGTGGAGAAACCAGCACAAAAAGGCTGAAAATTCCAAAAACCAGAATGATTCTTTTCCTGCAAAGGATCACAACACCTTGCCAGCAAGGGAACAAAACTGGATGGAGAATGAGTTTGATGAATAGACAGAAGTAGGCTTCAGAAGGTGGGTAATAACAAACTTCTCTGAGCTAAAGGAGCATGTTCTAATCCAATGGAAGGAAGCTAAAAACCTTGAAAAATGGTTAGACTAATTGCTTACTAGAATAACCAGTTTAGAGAAGAACTTAAAAGACCTGATGGAGGTGAAAAACACAGCACAAGAACTTCGTGAAGTATACACAAGTATCAATAGCTGAATAAATCAAGCAGAAGAAAGGATATCAGAGATTGAAGATTCACTTAATGAAATAGAGAGAAGACAAGATTAGAGAATAAAGAATGAAAAGGAATGAACAAAGCCTCCAAACAATGTGGGTCTACGTGAAAAGACCAAGCCTACATTTGATTGGTGTACCTAAAAGTGATGAGGAGAATGGAACCAAGTTGGAAAACACTCTTCAGGATACTATCCAGGAGAACTTTTCCAACCTAGCAAGACAGGCTAACATTCAAATTCAGGAAATAGAGAGAACACAACAAAGATTCTCCTCAAGAAGAGCAACCCCAAAACACATAATCATCAGATTCACCAAGGTAGAAATGAAGGAAAAAATTTTAAGGGCAGCCAGAGAGAAAGGTCGGGTTACCCACAAAGGGAAGCCCATCAGACTAACAGCATATCTCTCTGCAGAAACTCTACAAGCCAGAAGAGAGTGGGGGCCAATATTCAACATTCTTAAAGAAAAGAATGTTCAACCCAGAATTTCATATCCAGCCAAACTAAGTTTCATAAGCAAAGAAGAAATAAAATCCTTTACAGACACAAATACTGAGAGATTTTCTCAAAACCAGGATTGCCTTACAAGAGCTCCTGAAAGAAGCACTAAACATAAAAAGGAACAACTGGTACCAGCCACTGCAAAAACATATGAAATTGTAAAGACCATCAACACTATGAAGAAACTGCATCAACTAATGGACAAAATAACCAGCTAGCATCACAATGACAGGATTAATTTTACACAAAAACAATATTAAACTTAAATGTAAATGGGCTAAATGCCACAATCAAAAGACACAGGCTGGCAAGTTGGATAAAGAGTCAAGACCCATCGGTGTGCTGTATTCAAGAGACCCATCTTATGTTCAAAGTCACACATATGCTCAAAATAAAGGGATGGAAGAATATTTACCAAGCAAATGGAAAGCCAAAAAAAAAAAAAAGCAGGGGTTGCAATCATAGTCTCTGATAAAACTGTCTTTAAACCAACAAAGATCAATAGAGACAAAGAAGATCATTATATAACGGTAAAGAGATCAATGCAACAAGAAGAGTTAAGTATCCTAAATATATATTCACCCAATACAGGAGCACCCAGATTCATAAAGCAATTTCTTAGAGACCTACAAAGAGACTTAGACTCCCACACAAGAACAGTGGGAGAATTTAACACCCCACTGTCGGTATTAGACAGATCAATGAGACATAAAATTAACAAGGATATTCAGGTCTTGAACTCAGCTCTAGACCAAGTGAACCTAATAGGAAAATACAAAACTCTCCACCCCAAATCAACAGAATATACCTACTTCTCAGAACCTCATTGCACTTATGCTAAAATTGGCCACATAATTGGAGGTAAAAAACTTCTCAGCAAATGCAAAAGAACAAAAACCATAACAGTCTCTCAGACAACAGTGCAATCAAATTAGAACTCAGGATTAAGAAACTTACTCAAAACCACACAACTACTTGCAAACTGAACAACCTGCTCTTGAATGACTAATGGGTAAATAATGAAATTAAGGCAGAAATAAAGATGGTCTTTGAAACCAATGAGAACAAAGACACAACATACCAGAATCTCTGGAACATATTTAATGCAGTGTTTAGAGAAGAATTTACAGCACTAAATGCCCACAAGAGAAAGCAGGAAAGATCTAAAATCAATACGCTAACATTGAAATTAAAAGAACTAGAGAAGCAAGAGCAAACACATTCAAAAGCTAGCAGAAGACAAGAAATAACTAAGATCAGAGAAGAAATGAAGGAGATAGAGACACAAAAAAAACCCTTCAAAAAATCCATGAATCCAGGAGCTGGTTTTTTGAAAAGATTAACAAATAGATAGACTGCTAGCCAGAATAATAGAGAAGAAAAGAGAGAGGAATCAAATAGATGCAATAAAAAAAGATAAAAAAAGATATAACCACAGATCCCATAGAAATACAAACTACCATCAGAGAATACTATAAAATTTTTCTATGAAAATAAACTAGAAAATCTAGAAAAAAATGGATAAATTCCTGGATACATACACCCTGCCAAGCCTAAACCAGGAAGAAGTCAAATCCCCGAATAGACCAATAACAAGTTCTAAAATTGAGGCAGTAATTAATGGCCTACGAAGCAAAAAAAGTCCAGGACCAGATGGATTCACAGCCAAATTCTAACAAAGGTACAAAGAGGAGCTGGTGCCATTTTTTTCTGAAACTATTCCAAACAATAGAAAAAGAGGGACTCCTTCCTAACTCATTTTATGAGGCAGCATCATCCTGATAACAAAACCTGGCAGAGACACACACAAAAAAGAAAATTTCAGACCAATATTCCTGATAAAATCCTCAATAAAATACTGGCAAACCAAATCCAGCAGCACATCAAAAAGCTTATCCACCACGATCAAGTCGGCTTCATCCCTGGGACGCAAGCCTGTTTCAACATAACAAAACAATAAACGTAATCCATCAAATCAACAGAGCCAACAACAACAACCACACGATTATCTCAATAGATGCAGAAAGGTCTTCGATAAAATTCAACAGCTCTTCATGCTAAAAACTCTCAATAAACTAGGTATCGAGGGAACGTATCTCAAAATAATAAGAGCTATTTATGACAAACCCACAGCCAATATCATACTGAATAGGAAAAAACTGGAAGCATTCCCTTTGAAAACTGACACAAGACAAAGATGCCCTCTCTCACCACTCTTATTCAACATTGTATTGGAAGTTCTGGCCAGGGCAATCAGGCAAGAGAAAGAAATAAAGGGTATTCAAATAGGAATAGAAAAAGTCAAATTGTCTCTGTTTGCAGATGACAAGATTGTATATTTAGAAAACCCCATGGTCTCAGCCCAAAATCTCCTTAAGCTGATAAGCAACTTCAGCAAAGTCTCAAGATACAAAATCAATGTGCAAAAATCACAAGCGTTCCTATACACTAATAATAGACAGAGAGCAAAATCTTGAGTGAACTCCCATTAAAAATTGCTAAAAAGAGAATAAAATACCTAGGAATCCAACTTACAAGGGATGTGAAGGACCTCTTTAAGGAGAACTACAAACCACTGCTCAAGGAAATAAGAGAGGACACAAATAAATGGAAAAACATTCCATGCTCATGGATAGGAAGAATCAATATCGTGTAAATGGTCATACTGCCCAAAGTAATTTATAGAGTCAATGCTATCCCCATCAAGCTACCATTGACTTTCATCACAGAATTAGAAAAAAGAACTTTAAATTTCATATGGAACCAAAAAAGAGCCTGCATATCCAAGAAAATCCTAAGCAAAAAGAGCAAAGCTGGAAGCATCACGCTACCTGACTTCAAACTATACTACAAGGCTACAATAACCAAAACAGCATGGTACTGGTACCAAAACAGAGATATAGACCAATGGAACAGAACAGACGCCACAGAAATAATACCACACATCTACAATCATCTGATCTTTGACAAACCTGACAAAAACAAGCAATGGGAAAAGGATTCCCTATTTAATATATGGTGTTGGGAAAACTGGCTAGCCATATGCAGAAAACTGAAACTGGATCCCTTCCTTACACCTTATACAAAAATTAGCTCAAGATGGATTAAAGACTTAAACATAATACCTAAAACCATAAAAACCCTAGAAGAAAACCCAGGCAATACCATTCAAGACATAGGCATGGGCAAGGACTTCATGTCTAAAACACCAAAAGCAATGGCAACAAAAGCCAAAATTGACAAATGGAATCTAATTAAACTAAAGACTGTCTTCATAGCAAAAGAAACTATCATCAGAGTGAACAGGCAACCTACAGAATGGGAGAAAATTTTTGCAATCTGTCCATCTAACAAAGGGCTGATATCCAAAATCTACAAATAACAAACTAATTTACAAGAGAAAAACAACCCCATCAAAAAGTGAGTAAAGGATATGAACAGACGCTTCTCAAAAGAAGACATTTATGTGGTCAACAAACATGAAAAAAAGCTCATCATCTCTGGTCATTAGAGAATGCAAATCAAAACCACAATGAGATACCATCTCACACCAGTTAGAATGGCGATCATTAAAAAGTCAGGAAACAACAGATGCTGGAGAGGATGTAGAGAAATAGTAACGCTTTTACGCTGTTGGTGGGAGTGTAAATTAGTTCAACCATTGTGGAAAACAGTGTGGCGATTCCTTAAGGATCTAGAACCAGAAATACCAGTTGACCCAGCAATCCCATTACTGGGTATATACCCAAAGGATTATAAATCATTCTACTATAAAGACGCATGAAGAAGGTTTTTTTTTTTTTCAACACTATTCACAATAGCAAAGACTTGGAATCAACCCAAATGTCCATCAATGATAGACTGGATGAAGAAAATGTGGCACATGTACATCATGGACTACTATGCAGCCATAAAAAAGATGATTTCATGTCCTTTGCAGGGACATGGATAAAGCTGGAAAACATCATTCTCAGCAAACTAACACAACAACAGAAAACCAAACACCGTTCTCACTCATAAGTGGGAACTGAACAATGAGAACACATGGACACAGGGAGGGGAACATCACACACTGGGGCCTTTCAGGGGGTGGGGGCTAGGGGAGGGATAAAATTAGGAGAAATACCTAATGTAGATGATAGGTTGATGGGTGAAGCAAACCACCATGGCACATGTATACCTATGTAACAAAACTGTACATTCTGCACATGCACCCAAGAACTTAAAGTATAATTTAAAAACTACTAGGTATGCAACTGTATACAAAATATTTTATTTAAATCAACTATATTTTTACTTGCAGAAATTCATTTTAAAAGGAAACTATAACACTTTTTTAAGTGGAGAAGCAGCAATATTCCACCATCAAAAGATAAGCATAAAATAAATTTCTAACTTGTAAAAAAATGATCATGGTAGCCACTATAATCATATCCAATGTCACCTCTAGAACCCATGCCACACGTTGGGAAGCATTTAGTTGAGCCCATTGCTTTTTATATGAGGAAATCAAGATTCATAAGGCAAGAGTAATTTGAGCACATCCTCAGTCAGATCTCATATATCCAAGGGCCAAATATATTCCCCCATTTTTTTATCAAAGAGAAGAGACACACAAGAAAGCTGCATATGGTCATGCAAGTTCTCCATAGCACAACTCTAGGACATGCCAGTTACTTGGTGAATGATGTTCCTTGGAGTTGAACAGTGTACAACCTGAACCTGTGTGACCATATGCAAAGTCCCTCAGGACTCAATATTAGGGAAATAAAGCACAGTGATTAAAAGTGCAAGATTTGGAGACAGCTGCTACCCCTCTTCTGGCCCTCACTGTGCTCTTGATAGAAGGTGGTTGCTCTTATTTTGATGCTTACAGGACAGAAAAGCATCAGAAGGGTGAACCTAGAAGGACAATCACTGCTCTCAAGTAATCCATGTTTTTCTTTTGTCTCTCCAAGGATAAAAGATGTGGGGTCTCTATGGAGTAGATACTCCTGGTCTTTCCACACTGAAGATGCAGCAGGGGCATAAGTAAAAATTACAAAACAAGTCATAACTGCAAAGGAAAAACGTACCTTTATAAAGGAAAGGTCACTTCATCAAATGATCAAACATAGCTTCGTTAATAAAACACAAACCAATGTGTGTGTGTGTCTTGATGTGCTGTACAATACTAAATACCAGCATCACCTATGAAGTACTCTTACCAAAAATATTTAATCTAAAGCTATTTATTCCTTTAGACCTAAATTCCAGTTTTACAGAAAATATAGGGGATGGAGGATCAAATTAAATTACACCCTGGGGAAGCAATTAAACAAACCCAGGATGTGGAACATTTATAAGACAATTGATCTGGTCTCGTTAAAATATCAATATCATGTGGGAAAACAGATGAGAGGACCTTCCTAGATTAAAGAGACATAATGAAATACAACTTGAGGACCTTCGTTGGATTCTGCTTCAAAAATTCCATTTTGGGGATCTATTGGGGAAAATTTGAATGTGGATTATATATTAGATAATATTGTGAGTTATTACTAATTTTCTATACCATGGGGATTGTATTACAGTTACGTAGGAAAATGCCCCCATTTTTAAAAGCTGCCTGCTAAAGTATTTAGGGGTAAAGTATCATGTTATCTGCTACTTACTTTCAAATGGCTTGCCAAAACTAAAGAATATACACAAAGTAACATTTCTCAGGAAATCTTTGTGGACTATATGGAAAACTTTAACTGGACGATGCTACAGTTTGGTGGACTTAGCTGTTCAAAAACCCATACCTAAATGGAGCTCAACTTATACCAACAGATGAATGGAAAACAACAATGTGATATCCAAAAGGGATAAAGTGAAATCCTAAGCTTGGATTTAAAAAGAAATCAATTGTATAAATACAGGATGAGGAAGATCTGGCTTAACAGCAAGTCAAGTGCAAAACACAGAATAAAATCCAGGCTCTTCAGGTGACTCAGAGGGGAATTTTAAGCAATGGCCCCGCATGATTTACATACACATCAAGGACTTGGTGAACTTAGTGACTGATCAGACATGGGACGGAAGGAGGGGAAAGGGAAGAGACAAAAGAGGAGCTTGGGCTAAGGAGTCAAACTGCCTGGGTCTTAATTCTGATTCTACCACTTATTAGCAGGCAAACATGAATAAGTCAGTTAACCTCTCTATGCCTCATTTCCTCTATAGTGGAAAAACACACTTGCCTAGAATTGATGGGGCTTAATTCAGTCACTATCTGTCTGGGCCTACCTTTAAATTAGGGAAGCACTAGGTCATCTATACGGCCCTATCAAGCTCCATCTTTCAGTGCCCCTGGAATTCTGCACCTCCTACTTTGAGGCTGGGGCAGAGATTAGTTTAAATGCCTGAGGGGATGCATTCTTGAAGTTGGAAAAACTATCAATTTGCCATAAAGCTCGGCCTGCATTGGTAAAATGTGGTCTCTAGAGGGTGCTCAAAACACAAAAAGTACTCAATTAAAGGTTCTCAGAAAGAGAACCTAATCAGTAGGATTCCTATAAGCAGGAATAAGCAAAGGAGACAGCTATTGTCAAAGAGAAGGCCTAATTGGTGACTGCTGTTCTAGATACATTAGGGCTCTCCCAGAGTACAGTCAAGGGTGGGGTGAGTACTCATTTATCAGCCCCTGTCCTACAGTTTAGCTGTGAGCACAATCCCAATGTTGACAAGAAATGGTACTGAAGTTTTGACATCTCATTTCCCAATAGCTTCCCAGCTGGGTCCAAGTGTTATGTAGGATTTCAGAGACCCTGGGAAGAAGTGATACTGGTGGAAGTATATTCAAAGGTTTCCTCTCCCAAATGAGATTTGGAGGTGGAGGAGGTGAGGGGAATGTGAATAGCCTAAAAGAGAGGACATACAGATACTCAAAAGATTACTCGTTCCTGGACTGGGCTTAAGTGACCATGGAGCCCTCTAGAAAAGGAACTAAGCTAATGAGGCCTAAGTGAGGTCATGAGGCAGAGAGAACTTAAACGTTCTTCCGTGACCTGAGCAGTGAGAGTTTGAGAGTCTGGTTTCTGAGTGGGATGCCCCAGCTTTCTTCCCCATTCCCAAACATGGCAGGCCTCTTTCCTGCTACGAGCAACTCTGACACTCAAACGAGACAATTTCTAAAAATATTATCTGCCGTTTGCCTATTTCCAATCTTTGTAAAGTATAAAATCTTAATCTTTGGGTTTAAGGAGGTGCTCACCCACACACTTTAGCTGGAATCCTTCCCTCATGACCTTCTTCCCCTTTCCTCTACCAAATTAGGGCTCGAAAGGCACAAGGAGAATGAGCTTTCTACTAGAGATCCCTTCCCAGGTCTGATGTCTTGTCTTGTTGTTTTTTTCCTCAGAAATGATTTCATCTGAACATAAATCTCCTCAAGAATGAAGATGGTTATTTCTCTGGGCCTGTTTCTCCATGTCAAAAAAGGAAAAGACCTCAGTGAATTTATGTTAGTGTTAAACCTCTTAAGGAGTCTAAAGACTATTAGCCAAGCTTTTCCTGAGAGCCATTTGGGGAAAGGAAAGAAAGGAAGAGAACATGAGAAGAGCATAGAGGCCTTTAAAGGAGTATTATCACAAAGGGACTCAGCATTCTGGGGGCAGTGCTTACTTACTCTGGCCTTTTGCTGCCTGAATGTGGTGATTGGTGATACCCCAGGGCAGCAAAAGAAATATTCCTCCCCTGAGTCTATACCCACAGGATACTCCTGGTTCTGGCTGGAACCTTCCCCAGGCACAGCAGTCCACTGTACTAAAATATGCCAGGTCATATTGTAAGAAATCTAGGAATGTTTTGTTATGCCTTTGCTTTGTTTTTGTGTTTTTGCAAGGTGACATAAAACATGGAGAACATGTGGGGTTTAGGCATCAGACAGCTCTCAGCTGGAATCCAAGTTTGACCACTTCTCCTGGGTGACCCCAGGCAACTTACCTAACTTTTCTATGCTCCTCTTTCTTCACCTGTGAATTATGGATAATCATATTCTGATTCATGGTGAGTACTAATTATAATGTACCCAATTATAGTGCTCAGTTCATATTGTACTCAGCAAAGTGGAGGCTTCTTCCTTCATGAGTCCTTGTCACACAATGGCTTCTGAAAAATATTCTGTAATCTTTCTGGGCCAACATTTCTTCATCTGCAGAATTGGGGTAGTGTGGATAGGAGAATGTCACTCAGAGGAAATGTGGGCCTAAATGGAATGAAGTCATGGATAGTGAGGGACCTTTATTACATCTCAAGAGCTAATGCCAAAAAACAAACAAACAAACAAAAACAAACAAACAAACAAAAAACCCTGTAGTTGTAGGAACTAAACACCTGATGATTTTGCCAGCTGGTTTGGAGGTCAAATTCGGTTTTGGGCTCTGAGATTTGCTTATTCCTGAAAGATTTGGAGGAGCTGTGGGCCCAACCTCAGATTCTAAGTGTGAGAAGAGAACAAACTGCTCACTCTGAGTAACTTAAATCACAGGCTGGGCACACTGAGCAGGAGTATCTTGCTGCTAATTAACCCACACACACATGCTCGCTGCCAAGGTAAGGTGTAGAAGGTGGCTCCAGTGCCAACACTGAACTTAAGGCCATTTGGGGATGGCTATCTAGTGCCAAAGAAATTAAAAAGCAGGAAACAGAGAGCAAACACAAACTCTCACTGATGGAGTTCAAATTGACCACTGTAGCCTCATTCTGACCCTCCCCCAACTCACATGCATGTGTGTGCACACATACATACAAACACTCAGGCTGTGGTAACCAGGAGCAGGAAGATAGGATGGAAGGGGGTATTTTTCAGCCCAGAGAGAGTTTCTGATGGTACTCTGTCAGAGAGTGAGATAGAAGAGCCAGAGGTTTTCAGACTTAAAATGCTTCCATTCCACTTGTCTGGAATCTACAGGTCTTGGTCAGCCAAGGCTGCCTCCTCCAACTGTCAGGGCAATGGTCACCTAGAGGACAGCTTCTCCTTGCTGGGATCAGAAAGCAATGGAAAAAGTGAGGACATTCACTTACCCAGCTTCCTGAAAAGCCTAAACTGCTATATAAATGTCAGGAACAGCAATTTGTATTGTACTTGATTGGATTCTGCTTGTTGGACGTAAGGTCTGTCCTGAAGATAATTGTGTTCCAAATCAGATAAGTGCACGAGTTACCTTTGTTGGATTTTTTCCTCCTGACTTTATGAAGCTCTTTGGAGAAAATAATGTTTTCCACAAGGCAACTGGAGGTAGTTTTAACAGCTCTCAAATTGAACTGGAAATACTAAAATTTTGTCACTGAAAGGGCCCTAAGAAATTCTTTAGAAAAGCAGCTTCATGTTATGAATGGAGACACTGAGGCATAGAGAGAGGTTAGATAATAAAACAGATTTATGATCAGTGACTGAGACATACATCTGGCAACAAAAGTCTTCTTTGCTATAACTTGGATCATTCTCAGGTTCAGTCCCCTCCCCAAGAATCAGGAGGGAAGAAAAGAGGTTAATTGGAAGGACAGATCCTTACCTATTTACCCCACCGAGACAAATCAGAAGTAAATCCAGCAGCCCCAAGGGGCATACCATAGCCTGATTTAAGAAGCCTCACCCCATATTAGAGTTAGTTGGCAGTCAGATAACTAAAATAATGGTAACAATAGTTTAAACTATGCTGGTTAATACTGGTTTAGTATCTCTCATCTGGTTCCTGTACTAAATGCTTCACACACAATCTCTCATTTCATTGTCACATTCACCCTGCAGGGTAGGTCTGAATGTCCCCATTTTATAGATGACAGAACGGAGGTTTAAAAAGGTTGCATAACTTGTGTAAGGACACATAGCTAAGCAGTGGAGGTGCTGGCTTTGGAACCCAAGTCTAGCTGAACCCAAGGTCTGGGAGCTTAATTATTACAGTCCCCTACATGGGGTCACAAATGTCTCCTTCATCTGAGGGCTACCCAATCTTTCCTATCAAGAGCTCTCTCTCTCTCTCTCTCTCTCTCTCTCTCTCTCTCCCCTAAATTCCCTTGTCATGGATTTCTGTCTTATATTCTCACTATTTGTGTCCTTGTCTTATTTCCCTCACAGGCTATAAGCTTTTTGATAATATAGGCTGTGTGCATGTGTGTGTGTGTCTGTATATTATTAGCATCTAGACCAATGTCAGGTATATAGAAAGTACTTCCATTTCATAAATGTTTATTGACTAAAAGATGTTGATGACAGCCAGGTTTGCAGAGCAGCTATGCAAAAATGACAAGCCAGGTTCACATCCCTGTCTTTCTACCAGTTTGAAGTAAAAAGGCTATCTTCAGGCTTCGCCTGAAGTCAGACCACTGATACCAAGCCACCAGTGGTGACAGCCTTTTCAATATTTCCTTTCCTCCTTCATCTCCATGGAAACACCATCCTCAGCTTCTACTGGGGGGAAAATGAGCCCCATAGAGTGGCTTTACGGCTGACAGAAGCAACAAAAGGGCTGGCCTAATTCTAAACAGGAGGCTTTGAGTCACCAAATGCTCCTAGACTTTGATGGTAGGTGCTGGCAATAGGCTGAACACCCCATGAATCATATCAGCCAAGCCACTGTGGGTTAGACCTGAACATCTCAATAGAGACATGAAAGACCAGCCATCCTCACTTCACAGACAGGGGAGCTGAAGCCCAGAGAGGGGAAAGGACTGCCTCAGTATCACATGTGCATTCAGTGGCCAAGC
Source organism: Homo sapiens (assembly GCF_000001405.40). Lineage (NCBI taxonomy): Eukaryota > Metazoa > Chordata > Mammalia > Primates > Hominidae > Homo > Homo sapiens. The sequence continues at coordinate 64,098,241 of NC_000023.11, forward strand.
CAAATCTGGATCCCTAGGCACATTGTTGCTTAGCATGGGGTTTTCCCCGTTCCACCATACTGTGTTTTTGATCAGAAGGGCTTCCATGGATTGTCACCCTAGGGGGTGACAGTGCTCCCTGAAGTAGATTTGAAAAGTGATACAATAGTTTTATTTTCCAGAGTGGGAAAATGGAGGCCTGGGCAATGAGCTCCCTCACACAAAAGTAAATAAAAATTCAATAAAAGGGAAATTGTTTGATGAGGAGAAAAAAGGAAGAGATAATTCTAAATAAATATATCACTTTTCCATGTTTTTTCTTGGTTCTCCCACACATTATTATAAGGTGGCAGTGGGTTACAACTCCCTAATAGGTCTACTAAAACACACCTTGAGATTGTACAATCTTCCCATGCTGATTGCCGTTGCCAACACACTGTCTCCTCTATCCATGCTTTGGGAGATTTCAAGAGAATGGAAATACGAAAATGTTTCCATTCTCCTGCCAGCAAGGAGTTATCACAGGGTTATTGAAATAACATTATTTTTTTACTTTGCTTAGCAGAAAAACATTAAGGACTTCTGTTGGTAATAGTAAGATCTAGGTACTGGCTCCAGGCAGAATTAATATTAGTTATATAGCATTTAACAGTTTATTTATCCTTTTTAAGCCTCAGTTTCCTCAATCTCTTTGGGATCCCACTCATTCACCTGACCACCCACCCTCTATTTTCTGAACCACCTGCCTATTTATCCACCCGTCCACATATCCATTTGCCCACTGTTTGCGTATCTACTGCTTATCCTGGAGAGGTTAAGGGGTTAAGTAATAGCTCTGGTGACAAAATTGCTCAGTTTGAATCCTAACTTCTTACTTTCTGACTGAGTGATATTAAGCAAGTAACTGAATCTCTCTGTGCCTCAGTTTTCTCATGTAAAATTGGAGATGATAATAATATCTATGTCATATGGATGTTTTGAAAATTAAATGAGTTAGTCTGTTTAAAGCATTTGAAAGGTGTTTGACATATAATACACACCAGAAAGTAAATGTTAGCTTCTATTGTTGCCTCCCCACTAGATGTCAGGCACTTTTCTGGGTTCTGAGGATTCAAAGTGAGTTAAGATAGTCCCCCAGACTTTCAGAGTTCCATGTAGAGGGGAAGGCAGATATAGAAAAAAAGAATACATTATAATTTAGTGAGAAAATTGTATTAATATAAGTTTTTGCAAGTTACAGTAGTAGCAAGAGAAGTGAGGGACCAAGATTGCTGCTGGTGTTGGGGTTGGGGAATGCCTAGCAGAGAGAAGATAACACTGAGCTTGGTATTAATGGGCAAGGTACAAGGGATGATGTGAGAGTGCAGTGCCTGCAAACGTGTGTAGAAGTCCCAGATGATGTGGTGCATTTGGAGAACTACAGCTCTGTCAGTATGGCTGGTGAGCTAGGCCTAGGCCGGAGTGGCAGGTCCAATCAGAAAAGTCCTCATAAGCCATGATAAGGAGCTTATCCTTTACTGACAGCAGTGGGAAAAAAACAGAAGTAGGTTTCTAGCAAGGTAGGGACAAAATCAGACATTTCCTTGGGGACAGGCACTCTAGGCACTGGGTGAATCTATAGGGTAAGGTGGAAGCAGGAGAAGAGTCTGGAGATATGTTGAGGGCCTGAGTAGACAGGAAGATAGAAGAAGTGCAGGCAGCCTCAGAACATTTGCATTCAAATATAATGTTGCATTCAAATATAACCTTGCATCAGAGAATAAACAAATAAAGAAACTCAGAACAGAGGTGTCCTAGATGAGGTAGGCATGGGAATCCTAAGGGACCTCTAAGGAGGTTCCACCAAATCCAGAGTTCAAAAACCCTGAGCTTGGCAAAAAATCTAATGAAAAGTGACCTCTCAGCCCATGTAGCTATTTTTAGACTTGTGTATTGGGAGCAACATGTGCAGAAGAGCATGTACATGGCTCATTTCTGCTCTTCATTTAGATCTCTGGGCACACATCACAAACTCAGAGAGGCCTTCCCTGACCACTGTATCTAAAATAGTAGGGTTCTATTCATGGGTTACCGCTCTCTGCCCAGGCCAGACTAGGTTCTACTGTGGGCAGAGGGAAAAGAAACAGCCCCTTGCCCTCAAGATTCCCACAGTTTGTGGCTCTGTCTCTCCCTCTCTCTCTCTCTCTCTCTCTCACACACACACACACACACACACAAAAACAAACACACCATCCACCAAACAAGAAAGCAGCTAGTTAGTACTAAATATTATGGTGTAGCCTAGAAGTGTAACAGAAGTTGACAAGATAAACAGAAGAGTGTGGGAGGGGAGCGAGCTAAGTTTCTTCAGAAAGAGGGTGGAATCTGAAAGTGCACTGAAGGATGAGCAGGAATTTAGGTGAAGTGGACAGGTGGCAGAATAGTGGTGAAGAACTTGGGCTCTGAAATCAGCCAGTCTTAGGTATGAAAGTGGATTCTGCTTACTATATGTTCTTGGACAACTTGCTTTGGCTTTGCCTATCTAAACTCCAGTACTCATCCATAAAATGGAAAAAGCGAAAATACTTATTTTATAATGTGATTGTGAGTATAAAGGACATGGTGAAGCAGTCAGAAAATCTTAGCTGTTGCTTTTATTGATCTTCCATGCCTTCTGACATTCATTTTCTGTGATCTTCTCACTTAAGATGGTCGCTTCCTCACAGGGTCCCAAAGACCTACACCCACTGTGGCACCCCACTCAGGCTTTCCTTCTAGGGAAAATTCCATGTGTTATCAGTGCTTTTTCTTCCTTTTCCTCTTCATATCTGACCTGGTCTGTGTCGCATTTCCATAGGACTCTGTTTCCTAGCTCTTTGATCTGATAAATTAATTTCTAGTAAGAGGTCAGTAATTGATAATGACCTCTTTCAGAGATTTTTCATTTATTTGTAGGACTCCTAGGCACATAATATTAATCCCCAGAGGCATCTAGAGAAACCAGAGGTTGTCCAAACAGTCTACATCTTTAAGAATTGGAGACATGCCCCTGCTCAGGCCTTAGGTACCTCTAAGGCATTCCTTTCCAGTCACCTGCTCTAAGAGGAACCTCTTCCCACTGTTCTCCTCAGGCCCCAAACTGCTTGCTTCTCCATTTTTCTTTGGCTTGTCCTGCATTTCAGCTCAAAATGGTTTACCTTAGCATTTCTGATTGGAAACGCACAGGACACTGTTTTTCAGTAACCTTAAGACACCTGGCCGAGCACCAAGCCCAGACCCACATTCTTCCTTGACCTGAGGTAATTGAGCAGAAGGGACACCATGCCCTTCAGGCAGACCAGAGGCCTGTCTTTTGATCTCTTGCTCAGACTCATCAATTATTCCTTTAACACCGGTGCAGCAAGCACACTATGCAGATCTCCCTGGCCAAGTTGTTCTTGCCAAATCCTGCACCTAAGTGCAGGGGAGTGTTACAGCCTAGAAAGTGTTACAACATTAGGAAGGGTTAAAGATAAAAGATAGCACAGAAACTGACACCTGGAAAGTATCTGGGGTAAATTTCATATCATCAGCCTGGCTTCATCCTGTTGCCATGATTAACCCTATTCCGAGTGTTAGGTTCCTATTCTTACTAGAAGTTGGCATTTTCTGGGAAGGATTTTACTGTTCCTTCCTTCTGGAGTGATAATCACTACTTATCTGTGTGGCCCCCCGACAGACAACATAGTCACAATGGCCATGTATAACAATAATAACATCAGCAAAACCCCACTTATGAGCAGCTTACTTTGTGCCAGGCACTGCATTAAGTACTTAACAGACAGTAACTCATTTAATCCTCACAATAACCCTAGAAAGAAGGTGCTATCATCCTGATTATTATCCCCCATTTTACAGATGAGAAAACTTAGACACAGAGAGGTTGAGTGACTTTGTCAAGGTCACACACCTAGCAAGTGGTAAATCTGGGACTCAGAACCAAACAGTGTAGCTCTCTCAGCCATGTCCTTAATCCCCATTCTATATAGTCGCTCAACATTGACTTCACATATTGAGTGAAGCCTTATTAATGGAGCACCAATGGTAATGGATTTGCTGCATCTATGTGCAAGAGGTTTGTTGAGCTGATTGCAAGTAAACTGGTAACCCACTTAAGAAAAAATATCTTTCCTTTTATAGCTGCTAAAATTAAAAACAGAAACACCACCATGGCCTTGAATTTTTGTATCCACCAGATCTACACACATTTGCACATATTTGACGTTCCAAAGAGTCTGTATTCATTAAGGCAAGCCCACTCTATGAGAGTAGATAATTCATGCTATTGTATGTGCTAACATGAAACAGCATATTGTTCTCCCAAATTCAACGATTCAGATAAGCTTCATTCCAAATTAATCTTAGTTTGTATAGTACAACATATCTTGGCTTTTTAGGGTCCCTTTACTCAACAGGCTTACCAAACACCTACCATGTGCCAGGCACTGCTTGGGGTGCTAGAGCCAGAGACTGATGTAATATGAGCCCCACCTCCAGCAGTCCACAATATTTCCATGTCGAATGTGGAGCACCATAGGTACTAGGAGAGGCATGGTTTGGAGGCTCTGGGAGGGCAGGGACTGCTGTATCCCCAATTTCTTTAATATAGTGGGCACACAACAAATATTTGTTGAATGAATGAGCAAGAGCAATATTTAAATGAGTTGTTAAAATTGTGGTTTTGTCCACAGAAATTTGTAATTGGGAAAATATCACATGCAAAACAGACTTAATATTTACCAAATATAATAAACTAAATCACAAGTGTGATCCAACTAGTTCTGAGCACTCCTATAGCTGCCCTTCTTTTTTCTCATAACAGTCATGAGTTAGAGAGGGACAGGAACTTTTCTCTGCAGGATACAGGTGGAGAAATTGAAGCCCAGAAAAACATAGACTTGTAGGGTCAGAAGGGATCTTAGAGGTCATCCTGTGCAACTTCTAACCCTGCCCAAAATGATGTTTTCCCTCCACCCCGCCCCATAACTATTGGAAAATTCTGAAAGCTGGAGATAAACCTCTCATTCCCTAGTAAAAGGGTCCAGAATTCTCCCCACAGCATCTCTGACCAGAGGTCATTCAGGCCCTCATGTTTACTGGTCCTTTGTTTGACAGCTTGTCTTAATAGACAAGTCTTCATTAGATAGGACTGCAACTTTCCTCCCTATAACATGTCCTGGGTTTCAGCCCTTCAGAGAAAGAAAGAGGTGTATCCAAGGCCACTGGAGGTCCTCCCATTTCTACCATCCAACTTGTGATTTTCAAGATAACAGACATCTTTTCATAGAAAGCAGTGATGATATTCACTCAATAAATACTCTTTGAACATTGGGCTAAGGAAGGCTGTGCCCTCTAAAAATTACCAATCTAGTTAAAAAAAATGTTTATTTTCCTCATAAACTTGTTGCCATATATGGAGTAATTAATGCAATACCTGAGGTGCTGTACATAAGAAGGGGATCTAGTTGGTAAGGGACTCAGGGAATGCTTCACAGAAGTGGCATATATTTTGGCCTTAACAATTGAGAAAGGGTTCTCTAGATGGAGAACCTAAAGAGCTTCAAGAAAGAGAACAATGTGCGAAAGTTCAAGAAAACATGTGCTTAGGGATATAGGAAAAAGATTGGTGTGGCTGGGGTAAGCCTAAGGAGAGGAAATGGTGGAAAATAAAGAGGTAGATCTGTAAGGGCCTCCCTTGGTCATGCCAAAGTGAATGGACTTTACCTGCTGACCAAGAGCCTAGTAAGTTATCTATGGTTTAAAAGTAGGAAAGCCAAAGTCAAAGAGTGTCATAGATTAAATGTGAGAATGAATTTGGGTGGTAGCAGCAGCAAGGATAGAGGTTAAAAGACAATACCAATTCATGATTACTAATGTATATGCCCACAGAAACAAGGCAGACAACATAAATGAGTGAAATGGGCTAGATGCAATACTACAGGGAGTGCTGGGGACTGTGACAATTGAGATATAAACTGTGCCAAAAGGGAGTTGATACTCAGTTCTAGTTGATAAATACCCTGCAGGAATAGGGGAAATCAGATTTTTATGCGAAACTTCCCAATCACATTTAGTGACTTCTGTGCTAAGTGTAAACTCAAAATGACTAATGGAGATGGTAAGGAAGAGGGAGAAGTCTACTTTGGGGAACTGGGAGGAATGGTTGTGCCACTCAACTAGACATGGAATAGAAGAGGAGGGGCTGCTCTACCTTGGAGGTGGGGGTACAGAGTAGCAGAGGATAATGAGTTCTGTCTTGGACATAATGAATTACAGGATCTGTAGAAAGCCAGATGGCGATGGCAGCTAGGATTTTGGAAATATCCTGGATCTGGAGAAAGCAAGTTGAGATTAGAGGTTTAGGGGACACTGACATAGGTAGAAAGCACATATGAAACTAATGATCCTTTTGGCTCTTTCTCAAGAGAGAAAAGCCCAGATCACAGTTCCTGGACCCTTCATTGAATCATAGGCCCAGGGAGTTCTCTGGATACATATGGCTGTGTTGAAGGTGGGGAATTGGAGAAAGCTAGGAGTACTCAGGGAAAAAGGAAGGAAGGAAGGAAGGAAAGAAGGAAGGAAGGAAGGAAGGAAGGAAAAGGAAGGAAGGATGGAAGGAAGGAAAGAAGGAAGGGAAGGAGGGAGGGGGGGTGAGGGGGCGAGGGGAGGAAAATGGAAGGCTCACCTTCAGTGGGGCCACCAAAATCAGTTTCCCATTAGCTAGCTGTTTCATATCATTTAGGGAACCTTTTAAAATATGGATTCCCAGCTCCCCCATATACCTACTGAGTCTGAATGTTTCTCTTCACCACTACCCCAATCAGTCTTAGTCCTCACCACCTCCTTACTCTATTATTCAAGAAGCCATAGTCCTTAAGGCTCACGAGGGCCCCAGAAACCATCTCATTCAAGTCTTTTAATAACTCAGATGGGGAGCTGAAGACCAGGAAGGAGACAAGACTTCTAAAAGTAAGTCATAAAGCCAGGACCATATTCTGTAATCTGAATTACTCAGCCTCTTTTCTGATGTGTATGTCTGTGAGAGAGATCATTCATGATCTGTCTTTCAGCATAAGGCTGAGTTCCTGCCCTTGGTGAGTGACTTGAAGCAATTCCGTCTTCCCAGCTGAGCCAGAGACTAACCATGAATGTTGCCTCCTGAGTAGCATCTGGTGCCTGACTATCCCCAAAGCAGCAGGAACATATATGTATAAAATGAGGCACTGATGCAGATACATAGACAGGTCTTGAGAGAAAATCAATACCGGAAAATGCACAGCAATGATACACCAAAGAACCCATAATAGGAAGCCCTGCCCCCCATTAAGGAACAGATGGACAACCCTGTTCATACCTGTCAAAGTCTTAGAGTCTGACGCCCAGCTGCTTGGCCACAGGAAAAGACTTTCAGAAGTCTTTCCACCTCAGAATGGATGCAAATTAGGCAATTTTCAAACCATTCACTTACTATCTTTCTGGATATCCAGTGTTTGGGTTTGAAAACACCATCCTCTAAATTAAAACCTGGCTGAAAGCCAGGGCCTGAGGAGTGCAAGGGGGCGAGAGCAAGCCACAGCTAACCACAGAAAAGGTCTGCCTGCTTAAGGGTCTCCCCAGTGCTCCCAAGAATGTGGAAATGCCACTAGCTTTGTGGGGAAATAGGCCCCAAAATAACTGTCATGCAGTGGAGTCATAGAAGTAAACACAGGTGCTGGAGAAATACAAAGGAGGCACAGTCACAATAGCTAAGAGATGGTCAGGGAATGCATTCTAGAAATGTTATCTCAGCCAAGTACTGAAGGGTGTCAGTCAGATGCAGGAGAAAAGGTAGGCAATCCATGTGAATGGAGTAACACAGAAGTGAGGGAGACATGGGCCCTAAAAGAACTGTAATGTCAGTCTGCAGAGGAGGTTATGAATGAGAGAGCCGAGAGAGATGGAGCTGGAGAGGCTGATAGCAGTCAACTCAGGAACATTGCCGTAAACCAATCAAAGAATTGGGACTATACATGGAAGGAAATTGATAGCTATGGAATTGGCTTTAAGGTAGATTAATATGGTTAGCATCCACTGTAGCAACAGCATTGAGAATAAATTGGAGGGGGAAAAATTGGAGGTTGAGTGACCACTTGGAAGATTGAGGCAATAATCTAGGCAAAAGCTAGTAAGAACATAGAAGTTCCCTCATTCTGCCCCTTTGTAGGCATATCCTCCCCACCTCTAGTCCTTGGCAACCACCATTGATCTGTTCTTCATCACTATAGTTTTATCTTTTCAAGAATGCCATATAAACGGAACCATACAGTATGTAACCTCCTAAGGCTAGCTTATTTCACTGAGCACAATATCTTTGGGATTCATCCATATTGTTCTGTGAATCAGTAGTGTATCCTGTTTATTGCTGAATAATATTCCATTGTATGCATATACTATATTTACCTATTTCATTCATTGAAGGACATTTAGTTTGTTTCCACTTTTTGGCTATTATAAATACTGCTGCTATGAGCATTTATGTACAAGTTTTTGTGTAGGCATATGTTTCCATTTTTCTTGCCTACCTATATACCTAGGATTAGAATGGCTGGGTCATATGGTAACTCTGTGTTTAACCTTGTGAGTAACTTCAAACTGTTCTTCAAAGTGGCTGCAATTGATGATCCGTGCAGTGAACCACCATGGCACACTTCTACCTATGTAACCTGTACATCCTGCACATTTTATTTTATTTTACTTTATTCTTCAACTTAAAATAAAAGTTGAAGAATAAAATAAAATAAAATCCCACCATCAATGTATGAGGATTCCAGGTGTTCCATATCCTCATCAGCATTTTGTATTGTCAGAGTTTTGTTTTGTTTTGAGACATTCTAGTGAATGTGCCATAGTGTCTCATTGTGGTCTCAATTTGAATTTTTTGCATTTTCCTAATAGCTAATGATGTTGAACTTCTTTTCATGTGTTTATTTAACATCTGTATATTCTTTTTAGTGAAATGTCTGTTCATGTCTTTTGCCCGTTTTCTAATTGGATTCATTTTTGCTGAATTTTGAACACTCTATTTTAGACACTAGTTCTTTGTCAGATATGTGGTTTACAAATATTTTCTCTCAGTATATAGCTTATCTTTTCATTCTCTTAATAGGATCTTTTGAAGAGTAGAAGTTTTGATTTTGACAAAGTCCAATTTATTTTTTTAATGAATTACGCTTTTGATGTCTTGTCTAAGAACTGTTCACAATGCTTTTGATGTCTTGTGTGAGAACTCTTCACAAAGCACTAGGTCCCAAAGATTTTTCTCTTGAGTTTTCTTCTCAAACTTTTAAAGTTTTATGTTTTATATTTAAATATGTGATCTGTTTCGTGTTAATATTCGTATAAGATGTGGGGTTTATATTGTTTCCTTTAAAAATTTTTTTTCTTCTTATGGATGTAAACAATTGCTCTATCATCATTTGTTTTAAAAGGTTATCTTTCCTTCATTGAAATGTTCTTTTAATTTTGTCAAAAATCAGTTGGCCATAATTTGTGAAACTATATCTGTGTTCTTTATTCTGGTCCACATTCCATGTGTTTATCCAGTCACCAACACCATCTTATCTCGATTACTCTAACTTTACAGTAAGTCTTAGAGTCAAGTAGTTTAAGTTCTGCAACTTTTTCTTTTATCAAGATTGGGTGAGTCTAGTTTCTCTGTCCTTTCATTTAAATTTTAGAATATGCTTGTCTATATATACAAAAATCATACTAGGATATTGATCAGAATTGTGTCATATCTATAGATCAATTTTAGAGAATTGAATCTTAGCGATACTGAATCTTCCAACCCATGAACACATTATGTTTCTCTTTATTTAGATCCTCTTTGATTTATTTCATCAGCACTTTGTAGTTTTGAGCAACAGATACTGCAAATGTTTTGTTAGATTTATACCTTATATTTTCTGAGCTATTCTAAATTTTATTTACTTTAAGATTTTCTTCTCTCATTGTGTGTTGCTAGTATATAGACATACAATTTGTTTTATAAATTGATCTAATAACCTGTGGCTGCACTCAATTTGCTTCTTAGTCCTAGGCATTTCTTTGTAGATTCCTTGGGATTTTCTATGTACAAAATCATATTGTCTGTAAATAGAGCCTGTTTCAGTTCTTTCTTTCCAGACTTTATGCCCTTCATTTTTCTGCCCTGTTGCACTGGGTAGGACTTCTAAAACAATGTTGAATAGGAATGGTGATAAAGGAGATCACTGACTTGTTATGAAATTGAAGGAGGACGCATTTAGTTTTTCATCATTAAATATGATGTCAACTATAGGGATTTTGTAGATGTCCTCTGTCAGGTTAAGAAAGTTCTCTTCCATTCTTAGTTTCCTGAGTTTTTATAATGAATAGATGTTGAATTTTGTTAAATCCTTTTAATGAATCCATTGATATTATTATGCAATTTTTCTTCTGTTCATAATATGGTGGGTTGCATTGATGGACTTTTTTTTTTATTATTATTATACTTTAAGTTTTAGGGTACATGTGCACAATGTGCAGGTTAGTTTCATATGTATACATGTGCCATGCTGGTGCGCTGCACCCACTAACTCGTCATCTACCATTAGGTATATTTCCCAATGCTATCCCTCCCCCCTCCCTCCACCCCACAACAGTCCCCAGAGTGTGATGTTCCCCTTCCTGTGTCCATGTGTTCTTGTTCAGTTCCCACCTATGAGTGAGAACATGCGGTGTTTGGTTTTTTGTTCTTGCGATAGTTTACTGAGAATGATGATTTCCAATTACATCCATGTCCCTACAAAGGACATGAACTCATCATTTTTTATGGCTGCATAGTATTCCATGGTGTATATGTGCCACATTTTCTTAATCCAGTCTATCATTGTTGGACATTTGGCTTGGTTCCAAGTCTTTGCTATTGTGAATAATGCCGCAATAAACATACGTGTGCATGTGTCTTTATAGCAGCATGATTTATAGTCCTTTGGATATATACCCAGTAATGGGATGGCTGGGTCAAGTGGTATTTCTAGTTCTAGATCCTTGAGGAATCGCCACACTGTCTTCCACAATGGTTGAACTAGTTTACAGTCTCACCAACAGTGTAAAAGTGTTCCTATTTCTCCACATCCTCTCCAGCACCTGTTGTTTCCTGACTTTTTAATGGTTGCCATTCTAACTGGTGTGAGATGGTATCTCATTGTGGTTTTGATTTGCATTTCTCTGATGGCCAGTGATGGTGAGCATTTTTTCATGTGTTTTTTGGCTGCATAAATGTCTTCTTTTGAGAAGTGTCTGTTCATGTCCTTTGCCCACTTTTTCATGGGGTTGTTTGTTTTTTTCTTGTAAATTTGTTTGAGTTCATTGTAGATTCTGGATATTAGCCTTTTGTCAGATGAGTAGGTTGTGAAAATTTTCTCCCATTTTGTAGGTTGCCTGTTCACTCTGATGGTAGTTTCTTTTGCTGTGCAGAAGCTCTTTAGTTTAATTAGATCCCATTTGTCAATTTTGGCTTTTGTTGCCATTGCTTTTGGTGTTTTTGACATGAAGTCCTTGCCCATGCCTATGTCCTGAATGGTAATGCCTAGGTTTTCTTTTAGGGTTTTTATGGTTTTAGGTCTAACGTTTAAGTCTTTCATCCATCTTGAATTGATGGATTAAATTCATCCATTATCCCTGGTGTAAGGAAGGGATCCAGTTTCAGCTTTCTACATATGGCTAGCCAATTTTCCCAGCACCATTTATTAAATAGGGAATCCTTTCCCCATTGCTTGTTTTTCTCAGGTTTGTCAAAGATCAGATAGTTGCAGATATGTGGCATTATTTCTGAGGGCTCTGTTCTGTTCCATTGATCTATATCTCTGTTTTGGTACCAGTACCATGCTATTTTGGTTACTGTAGCCTTGTAGTATAGTTTGAAGTCAGGTAGTGTGATGCCTCCAGCTTTGTTCTTTTGGCTTAGGATTGACTTGGCGATGTGGGCTCTTTTTTGATTCCATATGAACTTTAAAGTAGTTTTTTCCAATTCTGTGAAGAAAGTCATTGGTAGCTTGATGGGGATGGCATTGAATGTATAAATTACCTTGGGCAGTATGGCCATTTTCACGATATTGATTCTTCCTACCCATGAGCATGGAATGTTCTTCCATTTGTTTGTATCCTCTTTTATTTCATTGAGCAGTGGTTTGTAGTTCTCCTTGAAGAGGTCCTTCACATCCCTTGTAAGTTGGATTCCTAGGTATTTTATTCTCTTTGAAGCAATTGTGAATGGGAGTTCACTCATGATTTGGCTCTCTGTCTGTTGTTGGTGTATAAGAATGCTTGTGATTTTTGTACATTGATTTTGTATCCTGAGACTATGCTGAAGGTGCTTATCAGCTTAAGGAGATTTTGGGCTGAGACCATGGGGTTTTCTAGATATACAATCATGTCATCTGCAAACAGGGACAATTTGACTTCCTCTTTTCCTAATTGAATACCCTTGATTTCTTTCTCCTGCGTAATTGTCCTGGTCAGAACTTCCAACACTATATTGAATAAGAGTGGTGAGAGAGGGCATCCCTGTCTTGTGCCAGTTTTCAAAGGGAATGCTTCCAGTTTTTGCCCATTCAGTATGATATTGGCTGTGGGTTTGCCATAGATAGCTCTTATTATTTTGAGATATGTCCCATCAATACCTAATTTATTGAGAGTTTTTAGCATGAAGCGTTGTTGAATTTTGTCAAAGGCCTTTTCTGCATCTATTGAGATAATCATGTGGTTTTTGTCTTTGGTTCTGTTTATATGCTGGATTACATTTATTGATTTGTGTATATTGAACCAGCCTTGCATCCCAGGGATGAAGCCCACTTGATCATGGTGGATAAGCTTTTTGATGTGCTGCTGGATTCAGTTTGCCAGTATTTTATTGAGGATTTTTGCATCAATGTTCATTAAGGATATTGGTCTAAAATTCTCTTTTTTGGTTGTGTCTCTGCCCGGCTTTGGTATCAGGATGATTCTGGCCTCATAAAATGAGTTAGGGAGGATTCCCTCTTTTTCTATTGATGGGAATAGTTTCAGAAGGAATGGTACCACTTCCTCCTTGTATCTCTGGTAGAATTTGGCTGTGAATCCATCTGTTCCTGGACTCTTTTTGGTTGGTAAGCTGTTGAATATTGCCACAATTTCAGATCCTGTTATTGGTCTATTCAGAGATTCAACTTCTTCCTGGTTTATTATTGGGAGAGTGTATGTGTGGAGGAATTTATCCATTTCTTCTAGATTTTCTAGTTTATTTGCATAGAGGTGTTTGTAGTATTCTCTGATGGTAGTTTGTATTTCTGTGGGATCGGTGGTGATATCCCCTTTATCATTTTTTATTGCGTCTATTTGATTCTTCTCTCTTTTTTTCTTTATTAGTCTTGCTAGCGGTTTATCAATTTTGTTGATCCTTTCAAAAACCAGCTCCTGGATTCATTAATTTTTTGAAGGGTTTTTTGTGTCTCTATTTCCTTCAGTTCTGCTCTGATTTAGTTATTTATTGCCTTCTGCTAGCTTCTGAATGTGTTTGCTCTTGCTTCTCTGGTTCTTTTAATTGTGATGTTAGAATGTCAATTTTGGATCTTTCCTGCTTTCTCTTGTGGGCATTTAGTGCTATAAATTTCCCTCTACACACTGCTTTGAATGTGTCCCAGAGATTCTGGTATGTTGTGTCTTTGTTCTCGTTGGTTTCAAAGAACATCTTTATTTCTGCCTTCATTTCGTTATGTACCCAGTAGTCATTCAGGAGCAGGTTGTTCAGTTTCCATGTTGTTGAGTGGTTTTGAGTGAGATTCTTAATCCTGAGTTCTAGTTTGATTGCACTGTGGTCTGAGAGATCGTTTGTTACGATTTCTGTTCTTTTACATTTGCTGAGGAGAGCTTTACTTCCAAGTATGTGGTCAATTTTGGAATAGGTGTGGTGTGGTGCTGAAAAAAATGTATATTCTGTTGATTTGGGGTGGAGAGTTCTGTAGATGTCTATTAGGTCCGCTTGGTGCAGAGCTGAGTTCAATTCCTGGGTATCCTTGTTGACTTTCTGCCTCGTTGATCTGTCTAATGTTGACAGTGGGGTGTTAAAGTCTCCCATTATTAATGTGTGGGAGTCTAAGTCTCTTTGTAGGTCACTCAGGACTTGCTTTATGAATCTGGGTGCTCCTGTATTGGGTGCATATATATTTAGGATAGTTAGCTCTTCTTGTTGAATTGATCCCTTTACCATTAATAATGGCCTTCTTTGTCTCTTTTGATCTTTGTTGGTTTAAAGTCTGTTTTATCAGACACTAGCATTGCAACCCCTGCCTCTTTTTGTTTTCCATTTGCTTGGTAGATCTTCCTCCATCCTTTTATTTTGATCCTATGTGTGTCTCTGCACATGAGATGGGTTTCCTGAATACAGCACACTGATGGGTCTTGACTCTTTATCCAATTTGCCAGTCTGTGTCTTTTAATTGGAGCATTTAGTCCATTTACATTTAAAGTTAATATTGTTATGTGTGAATTTGATCCTGTCATTATGATGTTAGCTGGTTATTTTGCTCGTTAGTTGATGCGGTTTCTTCCTAGTCTTGATGGTCTTTACATTTTGGTGTGCTTTTGCAGTGGCTGGTACCGGTTGTTCCTTTCCATGTTTAGTGCTTCCTTCAGGAGCTCTTTTAGGGCAGTCCTGGTGGTGACAAAATCTCTCAGCCTTTGCTTGTCTGTAAAGTATTTTATTTCTCCTTCACATGTGAAGCTTAGTTAGGCTGGATATGAAATTCTGGGTTGAAAATTCTTTTCTTTAAGAATGTTGAATATTGGCCCCCACTCTCTTCTGGCTTGTAGGGTTTCTGCCGAGAGATCCGCTGTTAGTCTGATGGGCTTCCCTTTGAGGGTAACCCGACCTTTCTCTCTGGCTGCCCTTAACATTTTTTCCTTCATTTCAACTTTGGTGAATCTGACAATTATGTGTCTTGGAGTTGCTCTTCTCGAGGATTATCTTTGTGGTATTCTCTGTATTTCCTGAATCTGAATGTTGGCCTGCCTTGCTAGATTGGGGAAGTTCTCCTGGATAATATCCTGCAGTGTGTTTTCCAACTTGGTTCCATTCTCCCTGTCACTTTCAGGTACACCAATCAGACGTAGATTTGGTCTTTTCACATAGTCCCATATTTCTTGGAGGCTTTGCTCGTTTCTTTTTATTCTTTTTTCTCTAAACTTCCCTTCTCGCTTCATTTCATTCATTTCATCTTCCATCACTGATACCCTTTCTTCCAGTTGGTCGCATCGGCTCCTGAGGCTTCTGCATTCTTCACGTAGTTCTCGAGCCTTGGTGTTCAGCTCCATCAGCTCCTTTAAGCACTTCTCTGTACTGGTCATTCTAGCTATACATTCTTCTGAATTTTTTTCAAAGTTTTCAACTTCTTTGCCTTTGGTTTGAATGTCCTCCTGTAGGTCAGAGTAATTTGATCATCTGAAGCCTTCTCTCAGCTCGTCAAAGTCATTCTCCGTCCAGCTTTGTTCTGTTGCTGGTGAGGAACTGCGTTCCTTTGGAGGAGGAGAGGTGCTCTGCTTTTTAGAGTTTCCAGTTTTTCTGGCTGTTTTCTCCCCATCTTTGTGGTTTTATGTACTTTTGGTCTTTGATGATGGTGATGTACAGATGGGTTTTTGGTGTGGATGTCCTTTCTCTTTGTTAGTTTTCCTTCTAACAGACAGGACCCTCAGCTGCAGGTCTGTAGGACTACCCGGCTGTGTGAGGTGTCAGTCTGCCCCTGCTGCGGGGTGCCTCCCAGTTAGGCTGCTCGGGGGTCAGGGGTCAGGAACCCACTTGAGGAGGCAGTCTGCCCATTCTCAGATCTCCAGCTGTGTGCTTGGAGAACCACTGCTCTCTTCAAAGCTGTCAGACAGGGACATTTAAGTCTGCAGAGGTTACTGCTGTCTTTTTTTTTTTTTTTATTATACTCTAAGTTTTAGGGTACATGTGCACATTGTGCAGGTTAGTTACATATGTATACATGTGCCATGCTGGTGCGCTGCACCCACTAATGTGTCATCTAGCATTAGGTATATCTCCCAATGCTATCCCTCCCTCCTCCCCCGACCCCACCACAGTCCCCAGAGTGTGATATTTCCCTTCCTGTGTCCATGTGATCTCATTGTTCAATTCCCACCTATGAGTGAGAATATGCGGTGTTTGGTTTTTTGTTCTTGCGATAGTTTACTGAGAATGATGGTTTCCAATTTCATCCATGTCCCTACAAAGGATATGAACTCATCATTTTTTATGGCTGCATAGTATTCCATGGTGTATATGTGCCACATTTTCTTAATCCAGTCTATCATTGTTGGACATTTGGGTTGGTTCCAAGTCTTTGCTATTGTGAATAGTGCCGCAATAAACATACGTGTGCATGTGTCTTTATAGCAGCATGATTTATAGTCCTTTGGGTATATACCCAGTAATGGGATGGCTGGGTCAAATGGTATTTCTAGTTCTAGATCCCTGAGGAATCGCCACACTGACTTCCACAATGGTTGAACTAGTTTACAGTCCCACCAACAGTGTAAAAGTGTTCCTATTTCTCCACATCCTCTCCAGCACCTGTTGTTTCCTGACTTTTTAATGATTGCCATTCTAACTGGTGTGTGATGATATCTCATAGTGGTTTTGATTTGCATTTCTCTGATGGCCAGTGATGATGAGCATTTCTTCATGTGTTTTTTGGCTGCATAAATGTCTTCTTTTGAGAAGTGTCTGTTCATGTCCTTTGCCCACTTTTTGATGGGGTTGTTTGTTTTTTTCTTGTAAATTTGTTTGAGTTCATTGTAGATTCTGGATATTAGCCCTTTGTCAGATGAGTAGGTTGCAAAAATTTTCTACAAGCAATGGGGAAAGGATTCCCTATTTAATAAATGGTGCTGGGAAAACTGGCTAGTCATATGTAGAAAGCTGAAACTGGATCCCTTCCTTACACCTTATACAAAAATCAATTCAAGATGGATTAAAGATTTAAACGTTAGACCTAAAACCATAAAAACCCTAGAAGAAAACCTAGGCATTACCATTCAGGACATAGGCGTGGGCAAGGACTTCATGTCCAAAACACCAAAAGCAATGGCAACAAAAGCCAAAATTGACAAATGGGATCTAATTAAACTAAAGAGCTTCTGCACAGCAAAAGAAACTACCATCAGAGTGAACAGGCAAGTTACTGCTGTCTTTTTGTTTGTCTGTGCCCTGCCACCAGAGGTGGAGCCTACAGAGGCTCCTTGAGCTGTGGTGGGCTCCACCCAGTTCGAGCTTCCCGCTTGCTTTGTTTACCTAAGCAAGCCTGGGCAATGGCGGGCGCCCCTCCCCCAGCCTCGCTGCCGCCTTGCAGCTTGATCTCAGACTGCTGTGCTAGCAATCAGCGAGACTCCATGGTCATAGGACCCTCTGAGCCAGGTGCGGGATATAGTCTCCTGGTGCGCCGTTTTTTAAGCCCGTTGGAAAAGCGCAGTATTCAGGTGGGAGTGACCCGATTTTCCAGGTGCCATCTGTCACCCCTTTCTTTGACTAGGAAAGGGAACTCCTTGACCCCTTATGCTTCCCGAGTGAGGCAATGCCTCGCCATGCTTCGGCTCGCGCACGGTGCGCACACCCACTGACCTGCGCCCACTGTCTGGCACTCCCTAGTGAGATGAACCCGGTACCTCAGATGGAAATGCAGAAATCACCTGTCTTCTGCGTCGCTCACGCTGGGAGCTGTAGACTAGAGCTGTTCCTATTCGGCCATCTTGGCTCCTCCCCGGACTTTCTAACATGGAATCAGCCTTGCAATACTAGAATAAGCCCCATGTGGTCATGGTGCATTAACCATTTTTCCTTTTTGTTTGTTTTGATCAAATTTTTATTGTGGTAAAATATAAATAACCTAAAACTTACTATTTTAACCATCTTTAAGTGTATACTTCAATGCCATTAAGCATATTCTTTTTTTGGCTTTTATTTTAGGTTCAGGGGTACGTGTGCAGCTTCGCTACATAAGCAATCTTGTATCACAGGGGTTTGATGTACAGATTATTTCATCACACAGATACTAAGCATATTACCAAATAGTTATTTTTCCTGCTCCTCTCCCTCCTTCCACCCTCCAACCTCTGGTAGGCCCGAGTGTGTGTTGTTCCTCTCTTTGTGCCCATATGGTCACGTCATTTAGCTCAGAATTATAAGTGAGAGCATGCAATATTTGGTTTTCTGTTTCTGTTAGTTTGCTAAGGATAATGCCCTCCAGCTCAATCCATGTTCCTGCAAAGGACATGATCTTATTCTTCTTTATGGCTGCATAGTATTCCATAGTGTATGTGTACCACATTTTCTTTATTCAAGTCTTCCATTGATGAGCATTTAGGTTGACTCTATGTCTTTGTTATTTTGAATACTGCTGCAGTGAACACACATGAGCAGTTGTCTTTATGATAGAAAGATTTATATTCCTTTAGGTATATACCCAGTAATTGGATTGCTGGATAGAATGGTAGTTCTGTTTTTAGGTCTTTGAGGAATTTCCATACTGCTTTCCACAAAGGTTTAACTAAGTTGCACTCCCACCAACAGTATATAAGCATTCCCTTTTCTCTGCAACCTCTCCAACATCTATTTTTGACATTTTTCCTTTTTTTCTTCAAATTTTGCTTTAAGTTCAGGGATACATGTGCAGGATGTGCAGGTTTGTTACATAGGTAAATGTGTGCCATGGTGGTTTGCTGCATAGATCATCCCATCACCTAGGTATTAAGCCCAGCATCCATTAGCTATTCTTCCTGATGCACTTCCTCCTTCACACCCTCCTCCAACAGGCCCCAGTGTGTGTTGTTCCCCACTTGTGTCCATGTGTTCTCATCATTCAGTTCCCACTTATAAATGAGAACATGTGGTGTTTGGTTTCACATCCTGTGTTAGTTTGCTGAAGGTAATAGCTTCCACCTCCATCCATGTCCCTACAAAGGACATGATCTCATTCCTTTTTATTGTTCCATACTATTCCATGGTGTATATGTACCACATTTTTGTTATCCAGTCTATCATTGATGGGCATTTAGGTTGATTCCTAAATGCCCATTTTCACTATTGTGAATATGCTGCAATGAACATACATGTGCATGTGTCTTTATGATAGACCAATTTATATCCTTTTGGGTATATATACAGTAATGGGATTGCTGGGTCAAATGGTATTTCTGCCCTCTAGGCCTCTGAGGAATTTTCACACTGTCTTCCACAATGGTTGAACTAATTTACGCTCCCACCAACAGTGTAAAAGTGTTCCCTTTTATCTGCAACCTTGCCAGCATCTGTTGTTTTTTGACTTTTAAATATTAGCCATTCTGACTGGTGTGAGATGGTATCTCATTGTGGTTTTGATTTGCATTTCTCTAATGATTAGTGATGTTGAGGGTTTTGTTCATATGTTTTTTTGACTGCGTGGATGTCTTCTTTTGAAAAGTGTCTGTTCATGTCCTTTGTCCACTTTTTAATTGGGCTGTTTGCTTGTTTCTTGTAAATTTGTTTAAGTTCCTTTTAGACTCTGGATATTAGACGTTTGTCAGAAGGATAGATTGAAAAAAAAATTTCTCCCATTCTGTAGGTTGTCTGTTCACTATGATAATAGTTTCTTTGGCTGTGCAGAAGCTCTTTAGTTTAATTAGGTCCCATTTGTCAATTTTTGCTTTTGTTGCAATTGCTTTTGGTGTCTTCATCATGAAACCTTTGCCCATGCCTATGTCATGAATAGTATTGCCTAGAACTTTTTCTATGGTTTTTATGGTTTTTACATTTAAGTCTTTAATCCATCTCGAATTAAGTTTTGTATATGGTGTAAGGAAGGAGAACAGTTTTATTTTTCAGCATATGGCTAGCCAGCTCTTCCAGCACCATTTATTAAATAGGGAATACTTTCCCCATTGCTTGTTTTTGTCAGGTTTGTCAAAGATCTATGGTTGTAGGCATGCCACCTCCTTTCTGGGCTCTCTATTCTGTTCCATTGGTTTATGTGCCTGTTTTTGTACCAGTACCATGCGCTTTGGTTACTGTATCCCTATAGTATATTTTGAATTCAGGTAGTGTTAGGTCACCCACTTTGTTGTTTTGCTTAGGATTGCCTTGGCTATTTGGGCTCCTTTTTGTTTTCATGTGAATTTTAAAATAGTTTTTCTAATTCTGTGAAGAATGCCATTGGAAATTTTGTAAGGATAGCATTACATCTGTAAATTGCTTTGGGCAGTATGGACTTGTTAACAATATCGATTCATCCTACTCATGAGCATGGAATATTTTTCCATTTGTTTGTCTCGTCTCTATTTCTTTGAGCTGTGTCTTTGTAATTCTCATTGCATAGTTCTTACACTTCCTTGGTCAGCTGAATTCCTATGTATTTTATTCTTTTTTATGTCTATTGTGAATGGGATTGCATTCTTGATTTGGATCTTGGCTTGGCTCTTGTTGGTGTATAAGAATGCTAGTGATTTTCATACATTGATTTTGTATCCTGCTACGTAGCTGAAGTTGTTTATCAGTTTAAGGAACTTTAGGATTGAGACTATGGGGTTTTCATGATGATATGGAATCATGTTATCTGCAAACAGGGATAGTTTGACTTCCTCTCCTCCTATTTGGATATGTTTTATTCCTTTCCATTGCCTGATTGCTCTGACCAGGACTTTACATACTATTTTGAATAGGAGTGGTGAGAGAAGGCAACCTTGTCTTCTGCCAGCGTTCAAGGGAACTGCTTCCAGCTTTTGCCCATTCGGTATCACGTTGTCTATGGGTTTGTCATTGATGTTTCTTAATTTTTTGAGGTATGTTTCTTGAATACCTAGTTTTTTGAGAGTTTTTAACATGAAGAGGTGTTGAATGTTATTGAAAGCCTTTTCTGCATCTATTGAAGTGATCATGTGATTTTTGTCTTTAACTCTGTTGATGTGGTGAATCACATTTATTGACTTGCCTGTGTTGAACCAACCTTGTATTCCAGGGATAAAGCCTACTTGATTGTAGGGGATAAGTTTTTGATGTGATACTGGTTGCATTTTGCTAGTATTTTATTGAGGATCTTTGCATCAATGTTTATCAAAGATATTGGCCTGAGGTTTTCTTTTTCTGTTGTGTCTCTTGCAAAGTTTTGCTATCAGGTTGATAACTTATAGAATGAGTTAGTGAGAAGTCGCTCCTCCTCAATTTTTTGGAAGAGTTTCAGTAGAAATGATACCAGTTCTTCTTTGTACATCTGGTAGAATTTGGCTCTGAATCAATCTGGTCCAGGGCTTTTATTGGGTGTAGGCTATTTATTACTGATTAAATTTCAGAGCCCATTATTGGTTTGTTCAATGATTGAATTTCTTCATGGTTCAGTCTTTAAATGGCATATGTGTCCAGGAATTTATCAGTTTCTCCTAGATTTTCTAGTTTCTATGCATAGAGCTGTTCATAATAGTGTCTGACAATTATTTGTATTTCTATATGGCTAGTGGTTATATCTCCTTTGTCATTCTTGATTGTGTTTATTTGGTTCTTCTGTTTTTATACTGTATTATTCTACAAGTAGTCTATCATTAATTTTTTTTGAAAAACCACTCAGCTTCTGAATTTATTGATCTTTCTAATGTTTATTTTGTGTCTCAATCTCCTTTAGTTCAGCTCTGATTTTGTTTATTTCTTGTCTTCTGCTCACTTTGGGGTCAGTTTTTCTCTTTCTTCTCTGGTTCTTTTTGTTGTGATGTTAGGTTAATTTGAGATCTTTCTAACCTTTTCATGTGGCTATTTAGTGCTACAAATTTTCCTCTTAACAGTGCCTTAGCTGTGTTCCAGAGATTCTGGTACATTGTATCTTTGTTTTCATTAGTTTCAAAGAACATCTTGATTTCTTCCTTAAATTCATTATTTACCCAAAAGTCATTCAGAAGCAGGCTGTTTAATTTCCATGTAATTATGTGATTTTGAGCAATTTTCTTAGTCTTGAATTCTATTTTTATTGCACTGTGGTCTGTGAGAATGGTTGGTATAGTTTTTGTTATTTTGCATTTGCTGAGGATTGTTTTATGTCTGACTGTGTGGTCAATTTTAGAGTATGTGCCATGTGCAGATGAGAAGAATGTATATTCTGTTGTTTTAGGGTAGAGAGTCCTATAGATGTCTGTCAGATCCATTTGGTCCAGTGTTGAAATCAGGTCCTGAATATATTTGTTAATTTTCTGCCTTGATGATCTAAGATTGTCAGTGGATTGTTGAAGTCTCCCACTATTATTGTGTGGGATTCTATGTCTTTTTGAAGGTCTCTAAAACTTGCTTTATAAATCTGAGTGTTCTTGTTTTGCATGCATATATATTTAGGATAGTTAGGTCTTCTGGTTCAAGAAGACCTTTACCATTATGTAATATCCTTCTTTCTTTGTCTTTTTTGATCTTTGTTGATTTAAAGTCTGTCTTATCTGAAATTAGAATTGCAACCCCTGATTTTTCTGTTTTCCATTTGCTTGGTAGATTTTTCTCCATTCCTTTATTTTGAGCCAATGTTTGTCATTGCATGTGAGATGGGTCTCTTGAAGACAGCATACTATTGGGTCTTGCTTCCTTATCCAGCTTGCCCCTCTGTGCCTTTTAGTTAGGGCGTTTAGCCCATTTACATTGAAGGTTAATATTGATATGTGTGGATTTAATCCTGTCATCATTAATTATATTTTATGTTGCTGGATTCAACTCACCAATATTTCGTTGAGTGTTTTCAGGTCTAGGTTCATGAAAAAATACTGGTTGACATTTTCTTTTCCTGTATTGTCTTCATCTGGCCTTTTTAAAATTAATTTTTAATTTTTGGGGTACATGGTAGGCATATATCTTTATGGGCTACATGAGATATTTTGATACAGATGTGTATTGTGTATTAATCACATCAGGGTGAATGGATCTTGCTCAGTCTTTCTAAATAATTTTTGTACTCGATAACCATCCCCACTTTTCCTCACCCACTACGTTTCTCATCCTCTGATAACTATCCTTCTACTCTCTATGTTCATCAGTTCAATTATTTTAAATTTTAGCTCCAACAAATATGTGTGAACAGGCGAAGCTTGTCTTTCTGGCTTATTTCACTTAACACTTAAAAATGACATCACGATTAACAAATGACAGGATCTCTTTCTTTTTATGGCTGAATTGTACTCCGTTGCATATACATACCACACTTTCATTATCCATTCATCTGTTGATAGACAGTTTGCTTCCAAATCTTGGCAATTGTCAATAGTGCTGCAGTAAACATCGGAGTGCAGATATATCTTTGATATACTGATTTCCTTTCTTTTGGTTATATACCTAGTACTGGGATTGCTGGATTATATGGTAGCCCTATTTTTAGTTTTGTGAGGAACTTACAAACTCTTCTGATTGTACTAATTTACACTTCCAGCAACAGTGTACAAGTGTTCCCTTTTCTCCACATCCTCGCCAGCAGTTGTTATTGCCTATCTTTTGGATACAAGACATTTTCACTGGGGTAAGAGGATATCTCATTGTAGTTTTGATTTTAATTTCTGTGATGATCAGTGATGTTGAGCACCTTTTCATATACCTGTTTGCCATTTGTGTGTCTTCTTTTGAGAAATGTCTATTCATATTTTCTGTCCATTTTTAAATTGGATTATTTGATTTATTCCTATAGAGTTGTTTGGCTCCTTATATGTTCTCGCTATTAATCCCTTGTCAAACAGATAGCTTGCAAACATTTTCTACCATTATGTGGGTTGTCTGTTCACTTTGTTGATTATTTCCTTTGCTGTGCAGACAGTTTTTTACTTCATGTAATCCCATTTGATCATTTTTGCTTTGATTGCCGGTGCTTGTGGGGTATTATTTGAGAAATATTTGCCCAGCTCAATGTCCTGGAAAGTTTCCCCAATGTTTTTATAGTAGTTTCATAGTTTAAGGTCTTAGATATAAGTCCTTAATCTATTTTGATTTGATTTTTGTAGAAGTCTAGTTTCATTCTTCTGCATAAGTATATTCAGTTTTTCCAGTACCATTTATTAAAGAGACAGTCCTTTCCCCAGTTTATGTTCTTGGCAACATTGTCAAAAATGACTTTACTGTTGATGTATATATTTGTTCTGGGTTCTCTATCCTGTTCCATTTGTCTATGTCTCTGTTTTTATATCAGTACCATGTCTTTTTTTTTTTTTTGCTATAGTTCTGTAATATAATTTGAAGTTAGGTAATGTGATTCCTAGAGTTTTTTTATGTTTTTTTTTTTTTTTTTTTTCCCCTCAGGATAGATTTGGCTATTCTGGGTCTTTTGTGGTTACATATAAATTTTAGGATTTATTTTTTCTGTTTTTGTGAAGATTGCCATTAGTGTTTTGACAGAGAGTGTTTCGAATCTGTAGATTGATTTGGGTAGTATGGACATGTTAACAATATTGATTCCTCCAATCCATAAATATGCGATATATTTGCATTGTTTCATGTCCTCTTTAATTTCTTTCATCTATGTTTTATAGGTTTAATTGTAGAGATCTTTCACTTCTTTGGTTAATTCCTAGGTATTATATTTTATTTGTAATTACTGAAAAAGTGACAACTTTCTTAATCTCTTTTTCAGATTGTTCACTGTTGCCATATAGAAATGCTACTAAATGTGTATGTTGATTTTGTATCCTGAAACTTTATTAAATTTATCAGTTCTGATAAATGAAAGAAGAGACATTAAAACTGATACCACATAAATGCAAAGGATCATAAGAGGCTATTGTAAATAATTATCTGCCAAAAATGGATAACCTAGAAGAAATGGATAAAGTACTAGACACACACCAGACCAATAATAAGTGAGGAGATTTAATCAGTAACAAAAATTCTTCAATCAAAGAGAAGCCCAGGACCTGATGGCTTCACAGCTAAATTCTAAAAAACATTTAAAGAACTAATACCAATTCTCCACCAACTTCCAAAAAATCAAAGAGAAGGCAACACTTCCAAATCTTTTTTACAAGACCAGCATTACCCTGATACCAAAGCCAGACAGACACCACAAGAAAAGAAAACTACAGGACAATGTCCTTGATGAACATAGGTGCAAAAATCTTCAACAAAATGCTAGCAAACAAAATTCAACAACACATTAACAGGATCACTCACCATGATTAAGTGAGATTTATCACTGGAATACACGGATGGTTCAATATACAAAAATCAATAAACATGATATACCACATTAAAAGAATGAAAGAGAAAAATGATATTATCATCTCATTAGATGCAGAAAAATGTATGGGACAAAAGTCAACATCCCTTCATGATAAAAACTCTCAACAAATAAGGTATAGGAGAAATGTACCTGAACACAATAAAGGCCATATACAATAAACCCATGAAAACATCATACTGAACAGGGCAAAGTTGAAAGCTTTTTCCTGAAGATCCAGATAAGACAAGGATGCCCACTCTCTCCACTTTGATTCAACAACTATTGTAAGTTCTTAACTTAGCAATAAGGCAAGAAAAAATAAATAAATGGCATCCAAATTTGAAAAGAAGAAGTAAAATGTTGCTGTTTACTGATTACACAATTTTATATATAGAAAACTCTGAAGATTCTGCTAAAAATCCTGTTAGAATTGGTGAACAGATTCAGTAGAGTTGCAGGGTACAAAATCAACATACAAAAATCAGTAGTGTTTCTATAGACTAACAATAAACTTTCTATAAAATAAATAAAGAAAATAATCCCATTTATTATAGCAACAAAAAATGAGAATAAATTTAACCAAGGAGGTGAAAGATGTGTCCATTGAAAACTATAAAACATTAATGAAAGAAATTGAATAAGATACAAATAAATAAAAAGATATCTTGTGTTCATCAATTGGAAGAATTAAAATTGTTAAAATGTCCAAACTACCAAAGTGTCTACAGATTCAATGCAATCCCTAACAAAACTCCAATGGCATTTTTTATAGAAACAGAAAAAATTCCTAAAATTCAGATAGAACCATAATAAGCTCCAAATTGCAAGGCAGCTATGAACAAAAAGAACGAAGCTGAAAGCATCAAACTATACATCAAAGAGATAGTAATTAAAACAGCATAGTACTGGCATAAAAAAATAGGCACAATGACTAACGGAAGAAAATAAAGGGCCCAGAAATGCACTCACACATCTACAGACAAGTGATTTTTGACAAAGGTGCCAAGAATATACATATAGGAAAAGGATTGCTTCTTCCATAATGTTGGGAAAACTGGATGTCCATATGCAAAACAATAAAATTGGGTCCTTAACTGACATCATATACAAAATCAACCCAAAATAGATTGCAGACTTAAACATAAGACCTGAAAACATAAGACCTTAAGCATAAAACTACTAGAGAAAAACATAGGGCAGGAAACTGTGTAACATTGGTCTGGGCAATATTTTTTTAGATATGACCCCAAAAGCACAAGAAACAAAAGCAAAAATACACCAAGAGGATTACATCAAAATAAAAAGTGTCTGCACAACAAAGGAAACAAAACTGAAAGGACAACCTATGGTTTGGGAAAAATATTTGCAAGTCATATATTTGAAAAGGAATTAATATCCAAAATATATAAGGAACTCAACTCTACAGTATGAAAACAAATAATTCAATTAAGAAATGGGCAAAAGACCGGAATACACATTTCTCAAAAGAAGGCATACAAATAGCTAACAACTAAATGAAAATGCTCAACATCATTGATCATTAGGGAGATACAAATTAAAACCACAGTGAGATATCACCTCATACCTGTTAAAAAGGCTGTTATCCAAAAGATGAAAGATAAGTCTGGGCAAAGGTATAGAGTAAGGAGAATGTTTGTATACTGTTGATGATAATGTAAATTAGTACAGCCATGAAAAAAGTACAAAGTTTCCTCAAAAAACTGAAAGAATTTGCATATAATCCAGCAATCTCACCTCTGGGTATTTACCTGAAAGATTTGAAATCAGTATGTTGAAGACATGTCTGCACTCTGATGTTCACTGCAGCACTATTCACAATAACCAAGTTATGAAATCACCTAAGTTTTCATCAAGGAATGAATTAATAAATAAATTGTAGTATATATAGACAGTAGAATATTTTTCAGCCATAAAAAAGAAGAAATTCTGTCATTTATGATGACATGAATGAAATTGGAGAATACTATGCTAAGCACAATAAACCAAACCCAGAAAAACAGTTCATATGTGCAAACTAAAACAATTAAACTCAAAGAAGCAGAGTATAGTATGATGGCTACCAGAGGAAGAGGGTGAGGGAAATAGGGAAATTTTAATAAAGGGTACATAGCTTCAGTTAGATAGGAGGAATTAGCTTGATTTTTTTAGAGCTATTCACAGTGCAATAAATACAGCTAATAAGTAATGCACACTTCAATATTACTAAAAGTAAATTTCAAATGTTCTCATTGTACAAAATGTTTGATATTTGAGGTGAGGTGTTGAATATGTTAAATAGCTTGATTCAATCATTTCACATTGTATTCAAACGTCATAATATTACTTGTTACTTCATAAATATATACACCTATAATTTCAATACATTAATACAAGAAATACATTAATACAACAAAAATCAACACATTAATACATTAATACAATACATTAATACGAGAAAAATTTTAAAAGATATTGAACAATTCATGTTGTCTATTTATTCTTTTAATCTTGGATAAAGTTTAATAGTTCATGGGTTTCAAGGAATTGGTCCATTTCAACTAACCTGAATTTCTTTGCATAGTATTCTTCATTTTATTTTCTTATTTTGTTTTTAATGTTTGTAAACTCTCTACTGATATCCCCTTCTTTTATATGAGATATTGTTGACTTATGTCTCTTTCTATTTCTCTCTGTCAGTTTGGCTAGAAGTTTATTGGTTGTATTGAACTTTTCAAAGAGCTAGCTTTTGGTTTCCTTAAACTTTCTCAATTTCATTGATTTCTGCTTTTTTTCATTATTATTTCCTTTCTTCTACAGCTTTGGGTTGATTTGAGGTGTTTTCTTCTTTGGTAGTATTAGCATTAAAAATATAAATTTCCCTCTGAGCACTGCTTTAGCTGCATTGCACAACATTGACATGCTGTATTTTCTTTTCTTCATTGAAAATATTTTCTAATTTTATTTGAGACATTTTCTTTGACCCACGAGTTATTTATAATTGTTTTGTTTACTTTCTAAGGATTTGGAGATTTTCCAATTATTTTTCTACTATCAATTTCTAGTTAATTCTATTGTGGTCAGAAAAAAATTCATTGTTGGATTTCAATTCTCTTTAATTTCTTAAAGTTTATTTTCTGATTCAGCATATGGTCTATCTTAGTGAATGTTCCATGTTTATTTGTAAAGAATGTGTATTGTACTGTTGTTGTATAAAGTGTTTTATAAATTTCTATTATATCTAGTTGGTTGACGATGTTTAAATTTTCTATATCCTTGCTGATTTTCTGAGTACTTCTCTGAATTACTGAAAAATGAAAGTTGGAAGTCTCCAACTATAATTGTGAAATTTTGTATTTCTTCTTTCATTTTTACGAGCTATTGCTTTATTTGTTTTGAAACTCTGTTGTTAAATGCATAGGCATTTAGGATTGTTATATCTTCTTGGTGAATTGACCCCTTTATCATTACATAATGTCTCTCTGTATCCTGGGTAAGTTCTTTACTCTGAAGTCTAGTTGAGTTGGTATTAAATATAGCCACTCCAGCTTTCTTTTGAAGAGTGTTTGCATGCTATATTTTTCCCATAATTTCCTTTTGAACTACCTACATCATTATATATAAAGTAGGTTTCTTTTTTCCTTTCTTTCTTTCTTTCTTTTTCTTTCTTCTCCTTTTTTTTTTTCTTTTTTCTTTTGAGAAGGACTCTTGCTCTGTCCCCTATGCTGGAGTGCAGTGACATAATCTCGGCTCACTGCAACCTCTGCCTCCCAAGTTCAAGTGATTCTCCTGCTTCAGCCTTCCGAGTAGCTGGGGTTACAGGCACGGCGCCGCCACAGCCGGCTAATTTTTGTTTTTTTAAGGAGAGACGGGGTTTCACCATGTTGGCCACGGTAGTCTCTAACTCCTGACCTCAAGTGATCCACCTGCCTCGGCCTTCCAAAGTGCTGGGATTACAGGCGTGAGCCACTGCACCCGGCGCTAAAGTAGCTTTTTTTATAGGTAGCACATAGGTGGATTGTGTTATTTTATCCGCTCTGCCAAACTTTGTCTTTTAATTAATGTGTTTAGGTCATTTACCATTAATGTAATTATAGATATGTTTGAATTTAAATCTACTTTTCAATGATGTTTCAGTTTTTTGAATTCCTGTTTCTTATTCCTTGCCATCTTTTAGATTATTTGATTTTAAAATTCAACTCTAATGTATCTGTTGGCTTTTTGTGTGTGCTTATTTTTTACTGTATCTCTTTGTATAGTTTCTCCTGGACACACTGGGAATTAAACTATACATAATTACTTTTTCACAGTTTATTTACCTCTTCAGGTGAAATGTAGAGCTCTTATTACCCTATAGGTCACTTTACCCTCCCCCCTTTTTGTTGTAGATGTAGTTGTATTACATCTACATACATTAAAGTCTACATACATTACATCTACATACATTAAAGTACGTGTATAATTTTGTATTTTAACCAAACATTTTAAGTACTTAAGAAGACAAAAATTATCTGCTATATTTACCCAGATGTTTACCATTTCTATTGCTCTTCCTTCATTCCTGATATTCCAGGTATCTCACAGTCCTTTTTATTTCTGTGGAATTGGAAGTAATGCCCCAACTTTCATTTCTGATTTCAGTAACTTAGGTCTTATTTCTTTTTATCTTAGTCAGTCTAGTTAAAGGTATGTTAATTTTGTTAATTGGGACAAATAGTCAATTACACAATAATACAGACTCCAATATCTCAACTTGTAATAATAGATAAAACAACCAGACAGAAGATCACTAAGGAAAAAAAAGACTTCAGCAACACTATAAACCAATTACACCTAAAAGAAATATATTAAAAAAACTCCGCCTAACAACAGCAGAATCCATACTCTGTATTAACATGTAACTAGTAAGGAGATTGAATCAGTAATCAAAAACCTCCTAACAGAAGCCCTGGATCACATGGTTTCACTCACGAATTTTACCAAACACTTAAAGAAGAAGGAACACAAAGAGCTACCATCATTCTCAAAGGTGAAAGTGTAACAGCTTTTTCTCTAAGATCAAGAATAAGGCAAGGATGCCAGCTTGCACCACTTCTATTAAACTTAATTTTGAAAATTTTAGCTAGAACAATTAGGCAAGATAAAGAAATACAAGGCATCCAAGTTTTGAAAGGGAGAATAAAGTTATTTCTATTAAGAGATGACATAATGTCATATTTATAAAATCCTAAAGATTCTACAAAAGTCTGTTAGAGCTAGTAAACAAATTCGGCAAACTTGCAGGTTACAAAATGATCAATAAACATCACTTGCATTTCTTTACACTAACAACGAGCCATCTGGAAAGGAAATTAAGAAAACAATTCCATTTACAATAGGATCTAAAAGAATAAAATATTTTGGGATAAATTTAATCAGGGAGATGAAAGTCTAGTACCCTGAAAACTGTAAAACATTGCTAAAATAAATTAAAGACATAAACAAATGGAAATTCATCCTGTGTTCATGCATAGGAACACCTAATACTGTAAGGATGACAATATCCCCAAAGTGATTGATGGATGCAATCCCTATCAGAATTCTAATGGCTTTTTTTTTTTTTTTACAGAAATGGAAAATATGGCCCTAAAATTCATATGGAATCTCAAGGGACCCTAAGAAGTGAAACAATCTTGAAAAAGAACACAGTTGGAGGATTCACACTTTCTGATTTCAAAACCTACTACAAAGTTACAGTCATCAAAACAGTGTGGCACTGGCCGAAGGACAGACTTATAGACCTTTAGAATAGAATGGAGATCCCCAAAATAAACCCTCACCTGTGTGGTCAATTGATTTTTGACAAGGATTCCAAGACCATTCAATTGAGAATGGACAGTCTTTTCAATAAATGGTGCTGGAAAAACTGGATATCCATTTCCAAAATAATGAAGTTGTACCCTTACCTTACATCACACACAAAAAAAATTAGTGAAAATGGATAAAAAATCTAAATATAAGAGCTAATAGTATAAAACTCAAGGAAAAAAACCATAGCAAATCTTCACAATATTGATTTTGGCAATGATTTCTTGGATATGACATTCAAAGCACTAGCAACAAAAGAAAAACAGATAAACTGTACTTTATCAAGATTAAAAGTATTTTTTAATCAAAGAACACTGTCAAGGAGGTAAAATATAACCCTCAGAAAGGGAGAAAATATTTGCAAATAATATATCTGACAAGTAATTAATATCCACAATATATGAAGAACTCCTCCAAGTCTATTGTAACAACCAAAAATGCAATTAAATAATGGACAATGAACTTGAACAGACATTTTTCCAAAGAAGACATACAAGTTCTCAATAAGCATATCAAAAGATATTCAATGTCACTAGTTATTAGGGAAATGCAAATCAATCCCACAGTGAGATACCACTTCACACCCACTAATATGGCTATTTTAAAAAATGGAAACTAACAAGTATTGGCAAAAATGTAGAGAAACTGAAATATTTGTGCATTGTTAGTGGTAAAGCTAACAATGGTACAGCCACAGTAGAAAATGGGTTGGCAGTCACTCAAAAAAGTTAAAGAATTACCACATGATCCAGCAATTCCACTTCTTTGTATACACCCCAAAAAATAAAATCAGTGCTGGGCGTGGTGGCTCACACCTGTAATCCTAGCATTTGGAGACCAAGGCAGGTGAATCACTTGAACCCAGGAGTTTGAGACCAGCCTTGGCAACATGAAAAAACCCTATCTCTACAAAAAATACAAAAACTAGCCAAGTATCGTGGCATGCACCTGTCATCCCAGCTACTTGGGAGGCTGAGGTGTATGGAATGCTTGAGCTCTGATCACATCACTACACTTCAGGCTAGGTGACAGAGTGAGACCCCATCTAAAACAAATAAACAACAACAAGAACAACAAAAATTAAAAGCAAGGACTCAATCAGATTTGTGTACACCAATGTTCATAGCAACATTATTCACAATAGCCAAAAGGTGGAAACAACTTGTGTCCATCAAAACAGATAAACAATGGATAATCAAAATGTGAGATACATATGTATTTACATATATATATATAGGAATATTATTCAGCCTTAAGCCTTAAAAGGAATACAATTCTGATATATGCAATAACATGGATGAACCTTAAAAACATTATGCTAAGTGAAATAAACTAGATACAAAATGCCAAATGTTGTATGGTTCCACTCATGTGGGGTACCTAAAATGGGCAAATTCATAAAGACTGAGAATAGAATAGAGGTTAACAGAGGCTACAGAGAGAGAGAAATGGACGTTATTATTTAATGAGTACATACTTTCTGTTTGGGATATTGATGAAAATGTTCTGGAAATGGATAGTGGTGATGGTTGCATAATATCATGAATGTACTTAATGCTTCTGAACTGTACACTCAAAATTTAGAAAATCATAGAGTTTTAAAAATTTTATCTATAAGTATCTTTAATATGCTTAGTTAATTTCTAGATACTTAATTCCTAGACACTAGATCATTTTCATTGTTATTGCAAATGGTATCTCACATATCTTTTTTATTATGTTGCTGACACAGAGAAATGTTATTAATTTTTGTAAGGTGAGTTTTATTTGGCATGCTAAACTCACTTATTAGTTTTAATAGTTTATTTTTTGGTATTTCGTATCTACAAATAATGAAAACTTTAGGCCTTCTCTTCCCATACTCATGCCTCTTTTTAAAAATTCTACACTGAATCGGGTAGAAACTCCCATACTCTGTGAAACAGTATGAGTGATAGTAGGCATGGATCTTGATCTCAATCTTAAATGGGATTTTATTTAAAGTTCCTCTATTGAGTACAGACAGTCCCCAACTTATAATGGCTCAATTTATGATTTTTTTGACTTTAGATGGTGCGAAAACAATATGCATTCAGTAGAAACTATACTTCGAGTTCCCATACAATGATTCTGTTTTTCACTGTCACTACAGTATTCAATAAATTACATGAGATATTCTTTTTTTATGTAAAATAGGCTTTGTTTTCAATGATTTTTTTCCCAACTGTAGGTTAATGTAAGTGTTCTGAGCATCTTTAAGACAGGCCAGGCTAAGCTAGGATGCTCAGTAGATTAGGTATATTAAATGCATTTTTGACTGATGATGTTTTCAATTTACAATGAGTTTATCAGGAAGTAACCCCATCGAAAGTCAAGGAGCACCTGTATGTTTGCTGGCTTTTTCATACATAACCTCTACAAAGTTAAAAAGTTTTCTTTTTATTCCTAATTTACGAAGACATTCTGTTGTTACTGTCAATAAGACTTGAACCTTATCAAATATTTTTCCTGCAACAATATGTCTGCCTCCCTTGACAGACTGTGAACATCATGAGTGCAGGCCTCAACTCTGTCTTGTTCATTGTTTTTTTTCAATTTATTTATTATTATTATATTTTAAGTTTTAGGATACATGTGCACAATGTGCAGGTTAGTTACATATGTATACGTGTGCCATGCTGGTGCGCTGCACCCACTAACTCGTCATCTAGCATTAGGTATATCTCCCAATGCTATCACTCCCCCCTCCCACACCCTACAACAGTCCCCAGAGTGTGATGTTCCCCTTTTTGTGTCCATGTGTTCTCATTGTTCAATTCCCACCTATGAGTGAGAATATGCGGTGTTTGGTTTTTTGTTCTTGTGATAGTTTACTGAGAATGATGATTTCCAATTTCATCCATGTCCCTACAAAGGACATGAACTCATCATTTTTTATGGCTGCATAGTATTCCATGGTGTATATGTGCCACATTTTCTTAATCCAGTCTATCATTGTTGGACATTTAGGTTGGTTCCAAGTCTTTGCTATTGTGAATAGTGCCGCAATAAACATACATGTGCATGTGTCTTTATAGTGGCATGATTTATAGTCCTTTGGGTCTATAACCAGTAATGGGATGGCTGGGTCAAATGGTATTTCTAGTCGTAGATCCCTGAGGAATTGCCACACTGACTTCCACAATGGTTAAACTAGTTTACAGTCCCATCAACAGTGTAAAAGTGTGCCTATTTCTCCACATCCTCTCCAGCACCTGTTGTTTCCTGACTTTTTAATGATTGCCATTCTAACTGGTGTGAGATGGTATCTCATTGTGGTTTTGATTTGCATTTCTCTGATGGCCAGTGATGGTGAGCATTTTTTCATGTGTTTTTTGGCTGCATAACTGTCTTCTTTTGAGAAGTGTCTGTTCATGTCCTTTGCCCACTTTTCGATGGGGTTGTTTGTTTTTTTCTTGTAAATTTGTTTGAGTTCAATGTAGATTCTGGATATTAGCCCTTTGTCAGATGAGTAGGTTGCAAAAATTTTCTCCCATTTTGTGGGTTGCCTGTTCACTCTGATGGTAGTTTCTTTTGCTGTGCAGAAGCTCTTTAGTTTAATTAGATCCCATTTGTCCATTTAGGCTTTTGTTGCCATTGCTTTTGGTGTTTCAGACATGAAGTCCTTGCCCATGCCTATGTCCTGAATGGTAATGCCTAGATTTTCTTCTAGGGTTTTTATGGTTTTAGGTCTAACGTTTAAGTCTTTAATCCACCTTGAATTGATTTTTGTATAAGGTGTAAGGAAGGGATCCAGTTTCAACTTTCTACATATGGCTAGCCAGTTTTCCCAGCACCATTTATTAAATAGGGAATCCTTTCCCCATTGCTTGTGTTTCTCAGGTTTGTCAAAGATCAGATGGCTGTAGATGTGTGGTATTATTTCTGAGGGCTCTGTTCTGTTCCATTGGTCTATATCTCTGTTTTGGTTGCAGTACCATACTGTGTTGGTTACTGTAGCCTTGTAGTATAGTTTGAAGTCACGTAGTGTGATGCCTCCAGCTTTGTTCTTTTGGCTCAGGATTGACTTGGTGATGCGGGCTCTTTTTTGGTTCCATATGAACTTTAAAGTAGTTTTTCCAATTCTGTGAAGAAAGTCATTGGTAGCTTAATGGGGATGGCATTGAATCTGTAAATTACCTTGGGCAGTATGGCCATTTTCATGATATTGATTCTTCCTACCCATGAGCATGGAATGTTCTTCCATTTGTTTGTATCCTCTTTTATTTCGTTGAGCAGTGGTTTGTAGTTCTCCTTGAAGTGGTCCTTCACATCCCTTGTAAGTTGGATTCCTAGGTATTTTATTCTCTCTGAAGCAATTATGAATGGGAGTTCACTCATGATTTGGTTCTCTGTTTGTCTGTTATTGGTGTATAAGAATGCTTGTGATTTTTGAACATTGATTTTGTATCCTGAGACTTTGCTGAAGTTGCCTATCAGCTTAAGGAGATTTTGGGCTGAGACAATGGGGTTTTCTAGATATACAATCATGTCATCTGCAAACAGGGACAATTTGACTTCCTCTTTTCCTAATTGAATACCCTTGATTTCTTTCTCCTGCGTAATTGTCCTGGTCAGAACTTCCAACACTATATTGAATAAGAGTGGTGAGAGAGGGCATCCCTGTCTTGTGCCAGTTTTCAAAGGGAATGCTTCCAGTTTTTGCCCATTCAGTATGATATTGGCTGTGGGTTTGCCATAGATAGCTCTTATTATTTTGAGAGATGTCCCATCAATACCTAATTTATTGAGAGTTTTTAGCATGAAGCGTTGTTGAATTTTGTCAAAGGCCTTTTCTGCATCTATTGAGATAATCATGTGGTTTTTGTCTTTGGTTCTGTTTATATGCTGGATTACATTTATTGATTTGTGTATATTGAACCAGCCTTGCATCCCAGGGATGAAGCCCACTTGATCATGGTGGATAAGCTTTTTGATGTGCTGCTGGATTCAGTTTGCCAGTATTTTATTGAGGATTTTTGCATCAATGTTCATTAAGGATATTGGTCTAAAATTCTCTTTTTTGGTTGTGTCTCTGCCCGGCTTTGGTATCAGGATGATTCTGGCCTCATAAAATGAGTTAGGGAGGATTCCCTCTTTTTCTATTGATGGGAATAGTTTCAGAAGGAATGGTACCACTTCCTCCTTGTATCTCTGGTAGAATTTGGCTGTGAATCCATCTGTTCCTGGACTCTTTTTGGTTGGTAAGCTGTTGAATATTGCCACAATTTCAGATCCTGTTATTGGTCTATTCAGAGATTCAACTTCTTCCTGGTTTATTATTGGGAGAGTGTATGTGTGGAGGAATTTATCCATTTCTTCTAGATTTTCTAGTTTATTTGCATAGAGGTGTTTGTAGTATTCTCTGATGGTAGTTTGTATTTCTGTGGGATCGGTGGTGATATCCCCTTTATCATTT
This sequence comes from Homo sapiens, assembly GCF_000001405.40. Lineage (NCBI taxonomy): Eukaryota > Metazoa > Chordata > Mammalia > Primates > Hominidae > Homo > Homo sapiens. The sequence goes on from NC_000023.11 coordinate 64,134,742, forward strand.
TTTATTGCGTCTATTTGATTCTTCTCTCTTTTTTTCTTTATTAGTCTTGCTAGCGGTTTATCAATTTTGTTGATCCTTTCAAAAACCAGCTCCTGGATTCATTAATTTTTTGAAGGGTTTTTTGTGTCTCTATTTCCTTCAGTTCTGCTCTGATTTAGTTATTTATTGCCTTCTGCTAGCTTCTGAATGTGTTTGCTCTTGCTTCTCTGGTTCTTTTAATTGTGATGTTAGGGTATCAATTTTGGATCTTTCCTGCTTTCTCTTGTGGGCATTTAGTGCTATAAATTTCCCTCTACACACTGCTTTGAATGTGTCCCAGAGATTCTGGTATGTTGTGTCTTTGTTCTCGTTGGTTTCAAAGAACATCTTTATTTCTGCCTTCATTTCGTTATGTACCCAGTAGTCATTCAGGAGCAGGTTGTTCAGTTTCCATGTAGTTGAGCGGTTTTGAGTGAGATTCTTAATCCTGAGTTCTAGTTTGATTGCACTGTGGTCTGAGAGATCATTTGTTATAATTTGTGTTCTTTTACATTTGCTGAGGAGAGCTTTACTTCCAAGTATGTGGTCAATTTTGGAATAGGTGTGGTGTGGTGCTGAAAAAAATGTATATTCTGTTGATTTGGGGTGGAGAGTTCTGTAGATGTCTATTAGGTCCGCTTGGTGCAGAGCTGAGTTCAATTCCTGGGTATCCTTGTTGACTTTCTGTCTCATTGATCTGTCTAATGTTGACAGTGGGGTGTTAAAGTCTCCCATTATTAATGTGTGGGAGTCTAAGTGTCTTTGTAGGTCACTCAGGACTTCTTATTTTATGAATCTGGGTGCTCCTGTATTGGGTGCATATATATTTAGGATAGTTAGCTCTTCTTGTTGAATTGATCCCTTTACCATTAATAATGGCCTTCTTTGTCTCTTTTGATCTTTGTTGGTTTAAAGTCTGTTTAATCAGAGACTAGGATGGCAACCCCTGTTTTTTTTTTTTTGTTTTCAATTTGCTTGGTAGATCTTCCTCCATCCTTTTATTTTGAGCCTATGTGTGTCTCTGCCCGTGAGGTGGGTTTCCTGAGTACAGCACACTGATGGGTCTTGACTCTTTATTCAATTTGCCAGTCTGTGTCTTTTAATTGGAGCATTTAATCCATTTACATTTAAAGTTAATATTGTTATGTGTGAATTTGATCCTGTCATTATGATGTTAGCTGGTTGTTTTGCTCATTAGTTGATGCAGTTTCTTCCTAGTTTCGATGGTCTCTACATTTTGTCATGATTTTGCAGCGGTTGGTACCTGTTGTTCCTTTCCATGTTTAGCGCTTCCTTCAGGAGCTCTTTTAGGGCAGGCCTGGTGGTGACAAAATCTCTCAGCCTTTGCTTGTCTGTAAAGTATTTTATTTCTCCTTCACATGTGAAGCTTAGTTAGGCTGGATATGAAATTCTGGGTTGAAAATTCTTTTCTTTAAGAATGTTGAATATTGGCCCCCACTCTCTTCTGGCTTGTAGGGTTTCAGCCGAGAGATCCGCTGTTAGTCTGATGGGCTTCCCTTTGAGGGTAACCCAACCTTTCTCTCTTGCTGCCCTTAACATTTTTTCCTTCATTTCAACTTTTGTGAATCTGACAATTATGTGTCTTGGTGTTGCTATTCTCGAGGAGTATCTTTGTGGCGTTCTCTGTATTTCCTGAATCTGAATGTTGGACTGCCTTGCTAGATTGGGGAAGTTCTCCTGGATAATATCCTGCAGAGTGTTTTCCAACTTGGTTCCATTCTCCCTGTCACTTTCAGGTACACCAATCAGACGTAGATTTGGTCTTTTCTCATAGTCCCATATTTCTTGGAGGCTTTGCTCGTTTCTTTTTATTCTTTTTTCTCTAAACTTCCCTTCTCACTTCATTTCATTCATTTCATCTTCCATCACTGATACCCTTTCTTCCAGTTGATCGCATCGGCTCCTGAGGCTTCTGCATTCTTCACGTAGTTCTTGAGCCTTGGTGTTCAGCTCCATCAGCTCCTTTAAGCACTTCTCTGTATTGGTTATTCTAGTTATACATTCTTCTGAATTTTTTTCAAAGTTTTCAACTTCTTTGCCTTTGGTTTGAATTTCCTCCCATAGCTTGGAGTAATTTGATCATCTGAAACCTTCTCTCAGCTCATCAAAGTCATTCTCCATCCAGCTTTGCTCCATTGCTGGTGAGGAACTGTGTTCCTTTGGAGGAGGAGAGGCACTCTGCTTTTTAGAGTTTCCAGTTTTTCTGCTCTGTTTTTTCGCCATCTTTGTGGCTTTATGTACTTTTGGTCTTTGATGATGGTGATGTACAGATGGGTTTTTGGTGTGGATGTCCTTTCTCTTTGTTAGTTTTCCTTCTAACAGACAGGACCCTCAGCTGCAGGTCTGTTGGAGTACCCGGGCGTGTGAGGTGTCAGTCTGCCCCTGCTGGGGGATGCCCACCAGTTAGGCTGCTCAGGGGTCAGGGGTCAGGGTCCCACTTGAAGAGGCAGTCTGCCCATTCTCAGATCTCCAGCTGCGTGTTGGGAGAACTACTGCTCTCTTCAAAGCTGTCAGACAGGGACATTTAAGTCTGCAGAGGTTACTGCTGTCTTTTTGTTTGTCTGTGCCCTGCCCCCAGAGGTGGAGCCTACAGAGGCAGGCAGGCCTCCTTGAGCTGTGGTGGGCTCCACCCAGTTCGAGCTTCCCGCCTGCTTTGTTTACCTAAGCAAGCCTGGGCAATGGCGGGTGCCCCTCCCCCAGCCTCGCTGCCGCCTTGTAGCTTGATCTCAGACTGCTGTGCTAGCAATCAGTGAGACTCCGTGGGCGTAGGACCCTCCGAGCCAGGTGCGGGATATAATCTCCTAGTGCGCTTTTTAAAGTGCTTCGGAAAAGCACAGTAGTTGGGTGGGAGTGACCCAATTTTCCAGGTGCCATCTGTCACCACTTTCTTTGACTAGGAAAGGGAACTCCCTGACCCCTTGCACTTCCCGAGTGAGGCAATGCCTCGCCCTGCTTTGGCTCACGCACGGTTCACGCACCCACTGACCTGTGCCCACTGTCTGGCACTCTCTAGTGAGATGAACCCAGTACCTCAGATGGAATTGCAGAAATCACCTGTCTTCTGCATCGCTCACGCTGGGAGCTGTAGACCGGAGCTGTTACTATTCGGCCATCTTGGCTGCTCCCCAAGGGTCCTTGTTCATTGTTATATTTTCAATGTTCAGCAGTATTCCTGACACATAGTGGTTACACAATGAAGGTACATTGAAGTGAATAGATTCAAACCTTTGAGTACCTGTGTGCGTAGAAGCCATCAATCTTGGACTTCAGCTCAATATATTCTTTCAATAAATACAATTTTTTAATTGTATAACTCAAATGACACTGAGCATCTCACTAGTTTATGGACTGTCTTGAATGCCACGGCACTCTCTTATTCATCTACCCCAATCCTCTAGCATCTAGCCTCGTCCTGGCACATAACCAGTGCTTAATTTATAGTTCATGAATGGATTTCATTTTTGAATTTTTTTGTTTTTAAAATCTCATCCTTTGAAAGCACAAGTAGAAAAACATTCTGTTTTGTCAGGCCACACATTTAGATTTTCTATTTGGAAAATAGGGATTCTGTACCTGTATGCTAGGAACTGGGTTAGCTATGCCACCAACACCATCCTTTCCCTTTCTTGACTTCTACTCATTGTCTAGACCACACAGCCCAACACTCAACACTCAATTTTATTGATAATAACGAAGTAATTGCTATTTCCTCTGTGCCAGGTACTATGATAAGCATGTTGATATTTATTCTTACATTCACTTCTCCATGAGATAAATACCATTATTAGCCTTATTTTACAGATGGGGAAAGTCAGGATCACAAAAAGTTACACAACACATAATTGGTGGATCTGGAATTCAAATTCAAACCCAGGTGAGTCTGACTACAAAGGCACACACTCTCAACCATTATGTCAGTGGCTTTCAAATATTTGTCCACTACCCACAGTAAGAAATTCACTTTAAATTGCAAATCTCTATACACTATTAAACTTATGCATGTGTGTATATAACATACATATGTATGTGTGTTTATATATAATAAATATAACTATATATAATACATACATAACAGATAGTTTCACAAACCAATACCTGGAATGACTGCTATTTTTTATTCTATTCTGTTCTGTTCTTTAAAACACAAATATCTATACGCTGTATTGATTTCACAACTCACTAATGAATTGTGACCACCAGTTTGGAAAACACTGCACTACACTGTGCTAAATCCTGAAACTTATTTGTCCTTCACCACCTCCATTGCTACCACCTTAGTCCAGGACACCATCATCTCATGCTTGAATTATGGAAAGAACTCCTTCGCTGGGCTGTTTACTTTTGCTCTTGCCCCATTCTTAACACAACAGCCAGAGGAATCTTTTCCAAGTCTAAACCATGTCAATCCTATTCAAAACTCTCCAAAAATTTCCCATCACATTCAGAATAAAATCTGAACTCCCAATCAGCCTACAGAGGCTTGCATATGCTAGACACTGCCTACCTTTCTGATGTCATGTTTTTCTCCTCTCCCCTTTGCTGGCTATGCTCCAATCACATAGGCCTTCTTTGTGTTCCTTGAACACCACAGCTCGCTCCTGATAAAGGTTTTTGCACTTGCTTTCCCTCGATCTGGATCACTCTGTGCTCCAATTTTCTTGTGCCTGGCTCTTTCTCCTCCTTCAGATTTTAGCACCAATGTCATATCTTCAGAGAGGAATATTCTGACCACTTCATATCAAGTAGCTCCTTAAACCAACCCAATTTTCTTTCTTATAACACCACCATCTTATTTTCCACATAGCACTCTATCACCATCCAAAATTACTCTAATTTTTATATATGATTATTGTCTGTCTTATTCACTGTTGCATTCCCAGCACCCAAAACAATGACTGGAACATAGTAGTTGTTAAGTAATATATTTGATAAAGGAGTGCTTCCTGGTCTACTCCCTCAACTTAAGTCTGAGTACAGGCAATATGCACATTTTTTCTGACTCCTCCAGGGCCCAGCCTAGGCCAGTGCCCACATTTTTGACACAATTTATGTTTGCCCAGTGGTTGTTTCAGCTGGTCCTTATCAAGAGAAGAACAAGCCTTCTCTTTGTCCTCATAGTCCCTCCAAGAAGCAGGGAGAGGCAACCATCCTGGTTCCTTCTTGAAGGCCAGAAATGAGGACCAGAGAGAGATTCATGAAAATTCTATACCCAGTCAGTGTCTATAACCCAGGCATTCTGGAAACTTGGACTCCTTGCATCTAAATCTCATGGTTTTAAGAGAAGAAGTCCTGTCCTAATCAGCACAGGACTCTGGAACCAGATGAGGCATCAGAGTCAAGGGGCTACTTCATTTAAAGATGGGACACAGGGAAGAGAGGAGGCAACCTCCAGCCCTAGACAGCAGCCTTCTCAGGCAAGGGACTTTGACCTCTCCTGCTCACAAGGGGTGAGTCAGTGACGAGGTGTGTCCCTCAGTCTCAGGTGGCCCTAGCCACCTAGCAAGAGTGAAAAAAAGCAGATTCAAGGGAATACAGTGTCTGGTTTCTGGACCTATCAAAGGTTGTCACTAGCAGAGGGAGCAGACTGCTCTGTGTTGCCCCCGGGTGCTTAACTAAGACCTGTGGGTAAAAAATCCCAGGGAGGTAGATATCAGCTAAGCACAAACATAATATCAATGACAATATGTACTGTTTTGTGAAGCAATGAACTCTCTGTTACTAGAATTGCTCATGCAAAATTGTATGAGCACCAACTTAAAGCCATTGACCTAGCAGTTTTTTCACCTCTAAAGGTTCTTCCCTATGATACTTGTATGGCTGGCTGCTTCTTGGCCTTCAGATCTCAGCCCACATGTCCCTTTCTCAGAGAGGCCTTCCTGACCATCCAATACAGAGTAGCAACCCAGGCAATCCTATTTCAATTCTCTGCTCAACACTAATCATTATCTAATACGTATTGTGTTTGTTCCTTGCCCCCACACCATGACAATACCCTCTAAAATATAGGCTTCATGAGAGCAACGACCTTCTTTTGTCTGTCTTATTTAATTTTATATCCATAGAGGCTAGAGCATTGTGTATCACATTGCTAGTGCTTAATAAATACTTGTTGAATGGCTAAGTGAAAAGGCCAAATGACATATGTCAGGAATATTGCAGAAAAGACTTCTACATACTTCTACATACATAGTAAATCTTCTACAAGGTTTACTAGATGACTTTTTTTTATACTAGATAACGATTTACTTTATGTTATAATATTATTCAAATCTCTTTAAATATAGATGAAGTCTATGGCTATACCACCCTGAACATGCCCAATCTCATCTAAATATAGATGCAAAAAGTCTCAGCAATATGCTAGAGAAGTAAATCTATCAATATATAAAAAGACATATACGTCATTACTGAGAGGTAACCCAGGAAAACAATGTATTTTTGCATCTGAAAGTCAATTAATGTAACACACCATATTAATAGGATAAATGTCAACAACCACAGGATCATCCAAAAAGATGCTGAAAAATCATTTGAAAGGTTCAATGCTCCTTCACAATAAAATACTCAATAAATAATAAACAGAAGATAACTTTTTCAACTTACTTTAAAGCATGGATGAAAAGCCCACAGCTAACATCATAAAAAAAAAGTTTCCCATAAGAAAAAAAAAGTGGAATATGTATATAGTGGATAACGATATCCAGTACCTGCCAAATAAGGAAAGTAAATATTCAAACAATTAAAAAAGACTAATTTTTCAATGATCCATTAATTATAGAACAATTAAACTACTATATACATTTACACTTACCTATAAATTAGAAAAACGTTTCAATTTACCCACAGATTTAACACACTTTAGAATGAATAGAAAAAAAAAGAAGGAGACAGAGACAAAAAACCCTTCAAAAAATCAATGAATCCAGGAGTTGGTTTTTTGAAAAGAACAACAAAATTAATAGATTGCTAGCAAGACTAATAAAGAAGAAAAGAGAGAAGAATCAAATAGATGCAAAAAAAATGATAAAGGGGATATCACCACTGATCCTACAAAAATACAAACTACCATCAAAAAATACTATAAACACCTCTACGCAAATAAACTAGAAAATCTAGAAGAAATGGATAAATTCCTCCATACATACACCCTCCCCAGACTAAAACAGGAAGAAGTTGAATGCCTGAATAGATCAATAACAGGATCTGAAATTGAGGCAATAATTAATAGCCTACCAACCAAAAAAAGTCCCAGACCAGACGGATTCGCAGCCGATTTCTACCAGAGGTACAAGGAGGAGCTGGCACCATTCTTTCTGAAACTGTTCCAGTCAACAGGAAAAGAGGGAATCCTCCCTAACTCATTTTATGAGGCCAGCATCATCCTGATATTAAAGTCTGGCAGAGACACTACAAAAAAAGAGAATTTTAGACCAATATTCCTGATGAACATCAATGCAAAAATCCTCAGTAAAATACTGGCAAACCGAATCCAGCAGCACATCAAAAAGCTTATCCACCATGATCAAGTGGGCTTCATCCCTGGGATGGAAGGCTGGTTCAACATATGCAAATCAATAAATGTAATCCAGCATATAAACAGAACCAAAGACAAAAACCACATGATTATCTCAATAGATGCAGAAAAGGCCTTTGACAAAATTCAACAGCCCTTCCTGCTGACAACTCTCAATAAATTTTGTATTGATGAGAACTATCACAAAATAATAAGAGCTATTTCTGACAAACCCACAGACAAGATCATACTGAATGAGCAAAAACTGGAAGCATTCCCTTTGAAAACTGGCACAAGACAGGGATGCCCTCTCTCACCACTCCTATTCAACATAGTGTTGGAAGTTCTGGCCAAGGCAATCAGGCAAGAGAAAGAAATCAAGGGTATTGAATTAGGAAAAGAGGACGTCAAATTGTCCCTTTTGCAGATGACATGATTGTATTTTAGAAAAGCCCATCATCTCAGCCCAAATTCTCCTTAAGCTGATAAGCAACTTCAGCAAAGTCTCAGGATACAAAATCAATGTTCAAAAATCACAAGCATTCTTATACACCAATAACAGACAAACAACCAAATCATGAGTGACCTCCCATTCACAATTGCTTCAAAGAGAATAAAATACCTAGGAATCCAACTTACAAGGGATGTGAAGGACCTCTTCAAAGAGAACTACAAACCACTGCTCAACGAAATAAAAGAGGACACAAACAAATGGAAGAACATTCCATGCTCATGGATAGGAAGACTCAATATCATGAAAATGGTCATACTGCCCAAGGTAATTTATAGATTCAGTGACATTCCCATCAAGCTACCAATGACTTTCTTCACAGAATTGGAAAAACTACTTTAAGGTTCATATGGAACCAAAAAAGAGCCCACATTGCCAAGACAATCCTAAGCCAAAAGAACAAAGCTGGAGGCATCACGCTACCTGACTTCAAACTATACTACAAGGCTACAGTAACCAAAACAGCATGGTACTGCTACCAAAACAGAGATATAGACCAATGGAACAGAACAGAGCCTTCAGAAATAATACCAAGCATCTACAGCCATCTGATCTTTGACAAACCTGAGAAACACAAGCAATGGGGAAAGGATTCCCTATTTAATAAATGGTGCTGGGAAAACTGGCTAGCCATATGTAGAAAGTTGAAACTGGATCCCTTCCTTACACCTTATACAAAAATTAATTCAAGGTGGATTAAAGACCTAAATGTTAGACCTAAAACCATAAAAACCCTAGAAGAAAACCTAGGCATTACCATTCAGGACATAGGCATGGGCAAGGACTTAATGTCTAAAACACGAAAAGCAATGTCAACAAAAGCCAAAATTGACAAATGCAATCTAATTAAACTGAAGAGCTTCTGCACAGCAAAAGAAACTACCATCAGAGTGAACCGGCAACCTACAGAATGGGAGAAAATGTTTGCAATCTACTTATCTGACAAAGGGCTAATATCCAGAATCTACAAAGAACTCAAACAAATTTACAAGAAAAAGTCAACCCTATCAAAAAGTGGGTGAAGGACATGAACAGACACTTCTCAAAAGAAGACATTTATGCAGCTAATGGACACATGAAAAAATACTCATCATCACTTGCCATCAGGGAAATGCAAATCAAAACCACAATGAGATACCATCTCACACCAGTTTAAATGGTGATCATTAAAAAGTCAGGAAACAATAGGTGCTGGAGAGGTTGTGGAGGAGTAGGAACACTTTTACACTGTTGATGGGACTGTAAACTGGTTCAACCATTGTGGAAGACAGTGTGGTGATTCCTCAAGGATCTAGAACTAGAAATACCATTAGGATCTAGAACTAGAAATACCATTTCACCCAGGAATCCCATTACTGGGTATATACCCAAAGGATTATAAATCTTGCTGCTATAAAGACACATGCACATGTAGGTTTATTGCGGCACTATTCACAATAGCAAAGACTTGGAACCAACTCAAATGTCCAAGAATGATAGACTGGATTAAGAAAATGTGGTACATATACATCATGTAATACTATGCAGCCATAAAAAAGGATGAGTTCACGTCCTTTGGAGAGACATGGATGAAGCTGGAAACCATCATTCTCAGCAAACTATTGCAAGGACAGAAAACCAAACACTGCATGTTCTCACTCATAGGTGGGAATTGAACAATGAGAACACTTTGACACAGGAAGGGGAACATCACACACCAGGGCCTGTCGTGGAGTGGGGGGTGGGGGGAGGGATAGCATTAGAAGATATACCTAATGTAAATGACGAGTTAATGGGTGCAGCACACCAACATGACACATGTATACATATGTAACAAACCTGCACATTGTGCACATGTACCCTAGAACTTAAAGTATAATAAAAAAATAAAAATAAAAAAATGTAACTGCCTTTTAAAAAAAGTACCTATTAAACTCATGCACTATTTCTTTAAAAGTACCTACTGAATTCTCACTGCAAAGCTTACTTGCAAAAGCAGTGAAAATCCAGTCTAGATATCCTCTTTAATAATGAGTTACTGATAAACACAATAAATAACTCATATACCATTTCATTCATGTTCTGAATTTTCTCAACCACTCTACAATAATGAGTTTGCATCAGGCTTTCCATATTACTTACATTTATAGGATTTCATTCCAATAGATGTCATGTGATTTTTAATATAATTAAAATGGAATATTTCTGTATTTTCCATATTATTATGCATAGTTGCATAGTAAGGGGCGCATTCTTATATTTATATGGTCCATTTCCAGTGTGCATTATCATGTGTCTTTGAATAAATATGAAAGAAATGAAGGCATTCCCACATTTTAGACATTTATAGAGTTTTCCTCCACAATGAGTTATTTTATGTCATCAAATAGAACTGGAAGAGCTGAAAGCCTCATAATATTTCTAACACTCATAAGGTTTTTCTTCAGAGTCCTTTCCCATTTTCAAACCACATTTCTTCTAGTCATAGGGTTTTTTATTCAGTTTGTTTTGTTTCATATCTTTGAAAGAAACCAAGAAAATTAAATGCTCTTCTACATTTCTTCCATTCACAAGATTTCACTCCAGTGAGTTCTTTCATGTATTCGAGAATCACCAGTATATCTGAAGGCTTTAACCACATTTTTTTAGGTTTATAGAATTTTCATAGGGTTTATCTCTGGTATGAGTTATTCCACGGTTATAAAGATGGCTGGAACAACTGAAGGCTTCCCCACATTCCTTATATTTACAGGGTTTCTCTCCACTATGGTTCTTTTATGTCTATAAAGGTAACTGGAATGACTGAAGGCTTTCCCACATTCCTTACATTAATAAGGTTTCTCTTGATGATGAATTATTTCATGTCTATAAAGGTTCCTGGAAAGACTGAAGGCTTTACCGCATTTCTTACATTCATAGGATTTGTCTCCACTGTGAGTTCTTTCATGTCTTTGAATAAAATGCTCAATAAATAATGAACAGAACAGAATGACTGAGGGACTTACCATATTGCTTTCATTAATAGGGTTTCTCTCCAGAATGATATTTTTCATGGTTATAAAGAGAAATAAAATAGCAAAGGATTTACCACATTTCTTACACTGATAGGGCTTTCCTCCAGAGTGAATACTTTCATGTCTTTTATTAAAAAACAAGGGAAAATCAAATGATTTCCCACCTTCCTTATATTCACTGGGCTTTGCTCCAGTGTAAGTTCTTTTATGTATTGGACAGGAAATAGAAAACCTGAAGAGATTACAATTTTGTTTACATCCACAGGGCTTACTGCAATGGGAATTCTCTGCTGTATTTGAAATAAATTGGAAAAATCAAAGGCGTTCTCACATACTGTACATTCATAAGGTTCATTTACAATGGGAGTTACCATGTGTCTTTGAGTAGTTGTGAGATAAATGAGGGCTTTCTGACACTGTTTAGATTTAGATGGCTTCTCTCCACATTCTGCACACTCATATTGTTTGTATCCAGAGTGAGATATAATGTGCCTATGAAGGGACAAGTGATATATGAACACTTTTCAACACAATGCATTCATGTAGTTTTACTCCAGTGCTAAGGATTTTTGTTCAGGCTAAGATTTGGAATCTGGGTGAAGGTTTCTCTCCACTGACTACATTATTTAATTTCATCCAGTCTCTTTATCATATGATATCTGGAAAAATGACTACCACATTATTAATGGTTGTCTCATTAATGATTTTCTATTTATTAAAAGGTCTTTAACTTAGATTGCTACCAATATCAGAAAATTCCAGATTTTCTGCACTGACTAAAGTGTTTGAAAGTAAATGGATTGATTACTCCCCAGCAGAGCTACCTCCACCATAGCTATTACCAAATATTTATATATGCAGTTTCTTAGCACTGTTTCCAAGTGAACTACTTTGCAAACACTGAGCATTTATGTTACATGGAAGCATATATTTTTGGTCAACATTTTTTATGAATAAATATATTCAAAGTTTGCTTATTTTTTTGGTTTGCTTGAAGTTAAATGACTGTGACATGCTGAGATTCCCTTAAGGAATAATGTTTTCTCTTGTGAGTGGAAATTACCTTAAATCTCTGAAAGAATTTTTTGTACTGATTTTCAATATGTTTGTCTCTCCATTGGTTTTCTATATAACCCAAGTTCCTTAAGATTTTTTGGATCACATTTTTATGTAGATTCTTCCAGGAAGGACCTTGCAAAGGCCGCTCTTCCCAGGTAAAAGTCACAATCACATCTTCAAACGCCACTGAGTCCATTTCCTGACTTATTGGGTGTGCTAGCACCCTTTCTGCAGATCTCCCAGTACCTACAGGTCGCAAGGGTTACAGAGGTTGTGATGAAGCCCCCGTGGGATTCCAGGAGCTGAGGGGAAGAGCAATAGAGATGGGACCCGGACCTCATGCCATGGAAACCAAAGTCTCACGAGATTGTGGAAAGCAGTCCCATTCTCTCTGGCTGCATGCCTGATTGGACCTACTAGATGACTTTCTTTAACTTTTATTTTAGGTTTAGGGCTATCTGTGCAGGTTTGTTATATAGGTAAAATTGTGTCATGGGGATTTGGCTGTACAGATTATTTCATCAACCAGGTACTAAGCATAGTATCCATTAGTTATTTTTCCTAATCCTCTCCCTCCTCACACCATCATCCCTCAAGTAGGTCCCAGTGTCTGTTGTTCCCCTCTATGTGTCCATATGTTCTTATCATTTAGCTCCCACTTATAAGTGAGAACACGTGGTGTTTGGTTTTCTGTTCTTGCATTAGTTTGCTAAGGATAATGGCCTCTAGCTCCATCCATGTTCTTGCAAAGGAAATTATCTTGTTCTTTTTTATGGTTGCATAGTATACCATGGTGTATATGTATCACAGTTTTTTTTTTATCCAGCCTACCGTAGATGGGCCTTTAGGTTGAGTCCATGTTTTTGCTATTATGAATAGTGCTACAATGAACATACACATACATGTGTCTTTATGGTAGAATAATTTATATTCTTTTGGGTATATACCCGGTAATGGGATACTAAATGACTTTTAAGGTTTTTGCAGTTTCAAACACAAAGGTATCAGAGCTTGTGACATGTGTGAGGCAACCATATGGGTCTCAGAGTTGTTCTTGAGAAGTGATTCTCAAAGTGAAGTCCCCAAGCCAGGAATATCAGCATTATCTGGGAACTTGTTAGAAATGCAAATCCTTGAGCTTCACCCAGACCGACTGCACCCAGGCCAACTGAATCATAAACTTTTGTGGAAGGGCTGAGAATGTGTGTTTAGATATGCTCTTCAGGTAATTCTGATGCATGCTCAAGTTTGAGAATCACTGGTCTAGAGAAAGCAGTAGTTGGCTCCCTATGGCAGCCCAACACACAGCACTAGGCAGGGCACATCTTATTCCTACTTCCATGGCCTCAACTGCCACCTTTCTGTATCTCGCCAAGACCCTCGCCAAGGCTCTTGGTATTGCCTTACATTCAAATTGTCTAAATGAGAACTTACAGAATTCTCCCCAAACCTGACTCTTTTCCCTTGAGCCAAATTTTGTCCTTTACACAGAATCCCTCAGACTCCAAATCCTGAGTCCTTCTATTTCCCTCTCTCTTTCAAATAGTCACCAAATCCTGTTGAGTCTTTTGGACAGCACCTGTTGCATCTGTCTTTTTCTTTTCATCTCCACTGTTTTCCCCCTTCCATTTCTTCCCCTCCACAGCCTGAGCCTTCATGGCCTCATCTCAGTGGACTAGCTCCTAGTTGATCTTTCTGCTTCCAGCTTCCACTGGGAGGCAAAAATGGCCTCCAGAGCTTTGTTCACAGGAGCTCCCACTCTCAGCATAGAATACCCTTCATCCTTATTACCATGCACTGTGGCAATGTAGTTCAGAATGAAAAAGCATGGATTCTTGCAGGTAGGCTGCTTGAGTTCAAATAGTGGTCTCACCTTGTATTAGTCCATTTTCACACTGCTATAAAGAAATACCCAAGATTGAGTAATTTATAAAGAAAAGAGGTTTAATTGACTCACAGTTCCACATGGCTGAGGAGGCCTCAAGAAACCTACAATCATGGTGGAAGGAAAAGGGGAAGAAAGGCACCTTTTACATGGTGAGAGAAGAGAGAGAAGGGGGGAACTGCCAAACACTTTTAAAACCATCAGATCTCATGAGAACTCCTTCAATATGATGAGAACAGCATGGGGAAAACTGCCCCCATGATTCCATCACCTCTCACCACGTCCCTCCCTCGACATGTGGGGATTACAATTCAGGATGATATTTGGGTGGGGACACAGAGCCCAATCATATAATTGCACCCCTGGTCCCTCCCAAATCTTGTGCTTTTCACATTGCAATACCAATCATGCCTTCCCAACAGTTCCTCAAAGTCTCAACTCATTGTAACACTAACTCAAAAGTAAAAGTCCAAAGTTTCATCTGAGTCAAGGCAAATCCCTCTCACCTATGAGCCTGTAAAATCAAAAGCCAGTTAGTTACTTCCAAGATACAATGGGGGTACAGGCATTTGGTAAATGTTCCCATTCCAAATGGGAGAAATTGGCCAAAACAAAGGGGCCACATGCCCCATGCAAGTCTAAAACCTGGCCGGGCAATCATTAAATCATAAAGTTCAAAAATCTCCTTTCACTTCATGTCTCACATCCAGGGCATGCTGGTGGAAGGGGTGGGCTCCCAAGGCCTTGGGTAGCTCTGCCCCTGTGGCTCTGTAGAGTACAGCCCTCTTGCATGCTTTCACTGGCCAGCATTGAGGGCCTGCAGCTTTTTCAGGTGCACGATGCAAGCTGTTAGTGGATCGATCTTTCTGGGATCTGGAGGATGATGGCACACTTCTCACAGCTCCTTTAGGCAGTGCTTCAGTGGAGACTCTGTGTGGGGGGCCCAACCCCACATTTTCCTACCATACTGCCCTAGCAGAGGTTCTCCATGAGGACTCCTCCCCTGCAGTAGACTTCTGTCTGAACATCCAGGCATTTCTATACATTCTCTGAAATCTAGGTGGAGGTTCCCAGAGCTCAATTCTTGTCTTCTGCATACCTGCAGGCCCAAAACCATGTGGAAGCTACCAAGGCTTGTGGCTTGCACCCTCTGAACCCATGGTCAGAGGTGTACCTTGTCCCCTTTTAGCCATGGCTGGAGCTGGAGCATCTAGGACACAGGGCACCAAGTCCCAAGGGTGCACAGAGCAGTGGGGTCCTGAACCTGGCCCACAAAACCATTTTTCCTTTCTAGTCCTCTGGGCCTGTGATGGGAGGGGCTGCAGTGAAGATTTCTGACATGCCCTGGAGACATTTTCCCCATTGTCTTGGTGATTAACATTCGGGTCCTTTTTACTTATGCAAATTTCTGCAGCTAGCTTGAATTCCTCTCCAGAAAATGGGTTTTTCTTTTCTACCACATAGTGATGCTGCAAATTTTCCAAAACTTTATGCTCTGCTTCTCTTTTAAACATAAGTTCCAATTTCAAACCATCTTTTTGTGAATGCATGTAACTGAAAGCTTTCAGAATAATCCAAGTCACCTCTTGAATGCTTTGCTGCTTAGAAATTTCTTCCACTAGATACCTTAAATCACCTCTCTCAAGTCAAAAATTCCACAGATCTTGCACCCTCTGAAGCCATGGTCAGAGCTGTACCTTGGCCCCTTTTAGCTGTGGCTGGAGCTGGAGCATCTGGGACGCAGGACACCAAGTCCCAAGGCTGCACTATTGTGCAGGGGTAAAAATGATGCCAGTCTCTT
This sequence comes from Homo sapiens, assembly GCF_000001405.40. Taxonomy (NCBI): domain Eukaryota; kingdom Metazoa; phylum Chordata; class Mammalia; order Primates; family Hominidae; genus Homo; species Homo sapiens. The sequence continues at coordinate 64,150,543 of NC_000023.11, forward strand.
TGCTAAAGCATAGCAAAAGTGACTTTCACTCCAGTTCCCAATAAGTTCCTCATTTCCATCTGAGACTACATCAGTCTGGACTTCATTGTCCATATCACTATCAGCATTTTGGTCAAAAAAATTCAGCAAGTCTCTAGGAAGTTCCAAACTTCCCCACATATTCCTATCTTGATCTGAGACCTCCAAACTGTTTCAACCTCTTCATGTTACGCAGTTCCAAAGTTGCTTCCACATTTTCAGGCTATCTTTATTGCAGTACACCACTATTCTGGTACCAATTATCTGTATTAGTCCGTTTTCACACTGCTATAAAGAAATATCTGAGAATAGGTAATTTATTTAAAAAATATGGGTTAATCAACTCAGTTCCCCATGGCTGGAGAGGCCTCGGGAAACCTACAGTCATTTCAGAAAGTGAAAGGAAAGCAAGGCACCTCTTACATTGTGGCAGGAGAGAGAGAGAGAAGTGGGGAATTGCCAAACACTTTTAAAGCCTTCAGATCTCCTGAGGACTCCTTCACTATCATGAGAACAGCATGGAGGAAACTGCTCCCATAATCCAATCAACAACCACCAGGTACCTCCCTTGACACATGGGGATTACAATTCAGGATGAGATTTGGGTGAGGGCCCAGAGCCAAACCATATCACACCTCTTCCTAGCTGTGTGATCCTGGGCATGACCTCTGACGTCTCTGTGACTCTTATTTCTCATCTGAAAAATGGGGATCATGGTCAGAGTTCCTACTTTATGGGATTGTGGTGAGAATTAAATGGGTTACTGTATGTAAAGTACATAGAATGATGCTTAGTTTGAGGTAAGTATAATATATGTGTTTGTTATTGTTGGTAGTAGTAGTCTTAATACCTAATCTTGAAACCCAAATCAATTCCTATCCTTTCTTTGAAGACTGCCTTGACATTCAGAAGAAACTTCTCTTTCTTTTGTTTTCCTGTAACATTTAATCTCAGTGATAGAGTCAGATGGAACATTAAGGCTCAGAGAGGTTCTAAGATTTATCCAAGGTCAACCTAAGTCACTACTAGTTAAGACTAAGGCTCCCTGGCACCACAACATTCTCAGATGCTTCTGAATCCTTCATTTCAATCCCTTTCAATCTTACGTGTCCAGAAAAAATAAACATAGCAGGGGCCCCAGAATAATCAGAAAACACATATTTTAAAATAGCCTTTAAGGTGCCTTTAGTCTTCTTGGTCAGAAGAATGGGAGTACAGGGGGTTGGTGTTGAGAAAAAGACCAAGTGTGAGGAATGTGAGCACTAAATGTGTGAAGATGGAATCCAGCTGTGTCTACACTCAGGATCAGGCATACACATTATCTCCATTCTTTTGCCAACTTTTGCCAGGTAAATGGCAGGGGGATGACCATTGCTCAAGGAGGCTGAGACCCTGTCTCAGAGGAAAAGGGGGAGAGGGATGGGTAGACTAAAACAGGTGGCTATGATTTAATGGATGTCTGTATGATTTGAGAACCCTGAGGCATTGGGCTAGGCACTGAAAGAGAAAGTCATAAAGATGACTAATGATTGGCTTGGCTCTGTGACATGGCAGTCTTCTTCCAGCTTCCTTGACAGGCTGGAGAAGCCATTAAAATATGTGCAGAGCTAGTTCTAACAAGTTGCTGCAGGACCAAAAAAGAGATTTGAAAGAATTGTGGCTCTCCAGACAGCAACCTTTCTGGCAAGCAGGACTCAGTCTGGACTGTCAGAGATTGGGATATCCTGGGTTTTAGTGTCCATAGGCTCAGCTTCCCAGAAAGGTAAGCTCCCTTCACAGAATGAAACACCTAAGTAAATTGAGGACAAGGTAGTCAAGTAGGTGTTATGGTTTGAACGTTTGTCCCCCTAAACCTCATATGGAAATTTGATCCTAATTGCTGGAGATGCAGCCAAATGGAAGGTGTTTGAGTCATGGGGACAGATAGCTCACTAATAGATTAATGCCCTCCCTGTGAAGAGGGGTGGGGAGGGTGAGTGAATTCTCACCTTATTAGTTCCCAGGACAGCTGGTTGTTAAAATCAGTCTGGGAATATAATTTGAATTGGATTTCCAAGATGGCCAAATAGGAACAGCTCTGGTCTGCAGTTCCCAGGGAGATCAACACAGAAGATGGACGATTTCTTCATTTCCAACTGAGGTACCTGGTTCATCTCACTGGAACTGGTTGGAGAGTGGGTGCAGCCCACAGAAGGTGAGCTGAAGCAAGGCAGGGCATCGCCTCACCCAAGAAGCATAAGGGGTTGGGGGATTTCCCTTTCCTAGCCAAGGGAAGCCATGACAGACTGTACCTGAAGAAATGGTACACCTCTGACCAAATACGTCACTTTTCCCACAGTCTTAGCAACTGGCAGTCCAGGAGATACCCACCCATGCCTGGCTCAGTGGGTCCCACGCCCACACAGCCTTGCTCACTGCAGTCTGAGATTGACCTGCAATGCTGCAGCTTGATGGGGGGAGGGGTGTCTGCCATTGCTGAGGTTTGAGTAGCTTACAGTGTAAACAAAGCAGCTGGGAAGCACAAACTGGGCGGAGCCCACCACAGCTCAGCAGGGCCTACTACCTCTATAGATTCCACCTCTGGGGGCAGGGCATAGTAGAACAAAAGGCAGCAGACAGCTTCTACAGACTTAAACGTCCCTGTCTGACAGCACTGAAGAGAGCAGTGGTTCTCTCAGCATGGTGTTCGATCTCCGAGAATGGACAGACTGCCTCCTCAAGCGGGTCTCTGATCCCTGTGTAGCCTGACTGGGAAACACCTCCCAGTAGGGGCCGACAGACACCTCAAACATGCGGGTGCCCCTCTGGGATGAAACTTCCAGAGGAAGGATCAGGCATCAGTATTTGCTGTTCTGCAGCCTCTGCTGGTGATACCCAGGCAAACAGGGTCTGGAGTGGACCTCCAGCAAATGCCAATAGACCTGCAGCTGAGACTGTTAGAAGGAAAACTAAGAAACAGAAAGGAATAGCATCAACATCAACAAAAAGAACATCCACACCAAAACCCCATCTGTAGGTCACCAACAACAAAGACCAAAGGTAGATAAAACCACAAAGATGGGGAGAAACCAGAGCAGAAAAGCTGAAAATTCCAAAAAACAGAGCATCTCTTCTCCTCCAGAGGATTGCAGCTCCTCGCCAGCAAGGGAACAAAACTGGATGGAGAATGACTTTGATGAGTTGACAGAAGTAGGCTTCAGAAGGTTGGTAATAACAAACTTCTCTGAGCTAAAGAAGCATGTTCTAACTCATTGCAAGGAAGCTAAAAACCTTGAAAAAATGTTAGATGAATGGCTAACTAAAATAAACAGTGTAGAGAAGACCTTAAATGACCTGATGGAGCAGCCAGAGAGAAAGGTCAGGTTATCCTCAAAGGGAAACCCATCAGGCTAACAGCAGATCTCTCAGGAGAAACCCTACAACCAAGAAGAGAGAGGGGGCCAATATTCAACATTCTTAAAGGAAAGAATTTTCAACCCAGAATCTCATATCCAGTCAAACGAAGCTTCATAAGTGAAGGAGAAATGAAATCCTTTACAGACAAGCAAATGCTGAGAGATTTTGTCACCACCAGGCCTGCCTTACAAGAGCTCCTGAAGGAAGCACTAAACATGGAAAGAAACAATCAGTACCTGCCACTGCAAAAACATGCCAAATGGTAAAAACCATCGACACTATGAAGAAACTGCATCAATTAATGGGCAAAATAACCAGCTAATATCATAATGACAGGATCAAAGTCAGACATAACAATATCAACCTTAAATGTCAATGGGCTAAATGCCCCAGTTAAAAGACACAGACTGGCAAATGGGATAAAGAGTCAAGACTCATTGGTGTGCTGTATTCAGGAGACCCAACTCAAATGCAAAGACACATATAGGCTCAAAATAAAGGGATGGAGGAAGATCTAACAAGCAAATGGAAAGCAAAAAAAAAAAAGCAGGGGTTGCAATCCTAGTCTCTGATAAAACAGACTTTAAACCAACAGAGATCAAAAAAGACAAAGAAGGCCACTACATAATGGTAAAGGGATCCATGTAACAAGAAGAGCTAACTATCCTAAATGTATATGCACCCAATATGGGAGCAGCCAGATTCATAAAGCAAGTCCTTAGAGACCTACAAAGAGACTTAGACTCACACAATAATAATGGGAGACTTTAACACTCCACTGTCAATATTAGATCAATAAGACAGAAGGTTAACAAGGATATACAGGACTTGAACTCAGCCCTGGACCAAGCAGACCTAATAGACATCTACAGAACTCTCCACCCTAAATCAACAGAATATACATTCTTCTCAGCACCACATCACACTTATTCTAAACTTGACCATGTAATTGGTAGTAAAACACTCCTCAGCAAATGTAAAAGAACAGAAATCACAACAAACTGTCTCTCAGACCACAGTGCAATCCAATTAGAATTCAGGATCAATAAACTCACTCAAAATCACACAACTACATGGAAGCTGAACAAGCTGCTCCTGAATGACTATTGTGTAAATAACGAAATTAAGGCAAAAATAAAGATGTTCTTTAAAACCAATGAGAAGAAAGACACAAAGTACCAGAATCTCTGGGACACATTTGAAGCAGTGTGTAGAGGGAAATTTATAGCACTAAATGCCCACAAAAGAAAGCAGGAAAGTTCTAAAATTGACATCCTAACATCACAATTAAAAGAAATAGAGAAGCAAGAGCAAACAAATTCAAAACTAGCAGAAGGCAAGAAATAACTAAGATCAGAGGAAACTGAAGAAGATAGAGACACAAAAAAACCCTTCAAAAAATCAATGGATCCAGGAGCTGGTTTTTTGAAAAAATCAACAAAATTGATAGACCACTAGCAAGACTAATAAAGAAGAAAAGAGAGAAGAATCAAATAGATGCAATAAAAAATGATAAAGAGGATATCACCAATGATCCCACAGAAATACAAACTACCATCAAAGAATACTATAAACACCTCTACGCAAATAAACTAGAAAATCTAGAAGAATTGAATAATTTCCTGGACAACATACACTATCCCAAGACTAAACTAGAAAGAAGTTGAATCTCTGAATAGACCAATAACAGGATCTGAAATTGAGGTAATAATTAATAGATGACCAACCAAAAAAAGTCCAGGACCAGATGGATTCACAGCCGAATTCTACCAGAGGTACAAAGAGGAGCTGGTACCATTCCTTTTGAAACTATTTCAATCAATAGAAAAAGAGGGAATCCTCCCTAACTCATTTTATGGGTCTAGTGTCATCCTGATAACAAAGCCTGGTAGAGACAAAACAAAAAAAGAGACTTTTAGACCAATATCCCTGAGGAACATCGATGTGAAAATAGTCAATAAAATACGGGCAAACCAAATCCAGCAGCACATCAAAAAGCTTATCCATCACGATCAAGTCGGCTTCATACTTGGGATGCAAGGCTGGTTCAACATATGCAAATCAATAAACGTAATCCATCATATAAACAGAACCAAAGACAAAAACCACATGATTATCTCAATAGACGCAGAAAAGGCATTCAAAAAAATTCAACAGCCTTCATGCTAAAAACTCTCAAAAAACTAGGTATTGATGGAACATATCTCAAAATAATAAGAGCTATTTATGACAAACCCACAGTCAAGATCATACTGAATGGGCAAAAACCGGAAGCATTCCCTTTGAAAACTGGCACAAGACAGGGATGCCCTCTCTCACCACTCCTATTCAACATAGTATTGGAAGTTCTGGCTAGGGCAATCAGGCAAGAGAAAGAAATAAAGGGTATTCAATTAGGAAAACAGGAAGTCAAGTTGTCTCTGTTTGCAGATGACATGATTGTATATTTATAAAACTCCATCAGCTCAGCCCAAAATCTCCTTAAGCTGATAAGCAAATTCAGCAAAGTCTCAGCATACAAAATCAATGTGCAAAAATCACAAGCATTCCTATACACCAATAATAGACAAACAGAGGGCCAAGTCATAAGTGAATTCCCATTCACAACTACTAAAAAGAGAATAAAATACCTACGAATCCAACTTACAAGGGATGTGAAGGACCTCTTCAAGGACAACTACAAACCACTGCTCAATGAAATAAAAGAGGACACAAGAAAATGGAAGAACATTCCATGCTCATGGATAGGAAGAATCAATGTCATGAAAATGGCCATACTGCCCAAGGTAATTTATAGATTCAATGCTGTCTCCATCAAGCTCCAACTGACTTTCTTCACAGAGTTGGAAAAAACTACTTTAAAGTTCATATGGAACCGAAAAAGACCCTGCATTGCCAAGACAATCCTAAGCAGAAGGAACAAAGCTGGAGGCATCACGCTACCTGACTTCAAACTATACTACAAGGCTACAGTAACCAAAACAGCATGGTACTGCTACCAAAACAGAGAGGTAGACAAATGGAACAGAACAGAGCCCTCAGAAATAACACCACACATCTAGAACCATCTGATCTTTGACAAACCTGACAAAAACAAGCAATGGGGAAATTATTCCCTATTTAATAAATGGTGCTGGGAAAACTGGCTAGCCATATGTGGAAAACTGGCTAGCCATATGTAGAAAGCTGAAACTGGATCACTTCCTTACAACATATACACAAATTAACTCAAGATGAATTAAAGACTTAAATGTAAGACCTAATACCATATAAACCCTAGAAGAAAATCTAGGCAATACCATTCAGGACATAGGCATGGGCAAAGCCTTCATGACTAAAACACGAAAAGCAATGGCAATAAAAGCCAAAATAGACAAATGGGATCTGATTAAACTAAAGAGCTTCTGCACAGCAAAAGAAATTATCATCAGAGTGAACAGGCAACCTACAGAATGGGAGAAAATGTTTGCAATCTACCCATCTGACAAAGGGCTAATATCCAGAATCTAAAAAGAACTTAAACAAATTTACAAGAAAAAAACAACCCCATCAAAAAGTGGGCAAAGGATATGAACAGACACTTCTCAAAAGAAGACATTTATGCAGCCAACAGACATATGAAAAAATGCTCATCATCACTGATCATCAGAGAAATGCAAATCAAAACCACAATGAGATACCATCTCACACCAGTTAGAATGGCGGTCATTAAAAAGTCAAGAAACAACAGATGCTGGAGAGGATGTGGAGAAATAGGAATGCTTTTACACTGTTGGTGGGACTGTAAATTAGTTCAATCATTGTGGAAGACAGTGTGGCGATTCCTCAAGGATCTAGAACTAGAAATACCGTTTGACCCAGCAATCCCATTACTGGGTATATACCCAGAGCATTATAAATCATGCTACTATAAAGACACACACACACGTATGTTTATTGTGGCTCTATTCACAATAGCAAAGACTTGGAACCAACCCAAATGTCCATCAATGATAGACTGATTAAGAAAATGTGGCACATACACACCTTGGAATACTATGCAGCCATAAAAAAAGATGAGTTCATGTCATTTGCAGGGACATGGATGAAGCTGGAAACCATCATTCTAAGCAAACTATCACAAGGACAGAAAACCAAACACCACATGTTCTCACTCATAGGTCGGAGTTGAGCAGCAATAACACATGGACACAGGGTGGGGAACATCACACACCAGGGCCTGTCAGAGGTGGGGTGCTGTGGGTGAGATAGCATTAGGAGAAATACCTAATGTAAATGACAAGTTGATGGGTGCAGCAAACCAACATGGCACATGTATACCTATGTAACAAACCTGCATGTTGTGCACATATACCCTAGAACTTAAAGTATAATAAAAAACAAATAAACAAAAAAAAAAAAACAAAAAAAAAAGAATTGTCAGGAGGGAGAGGGGATGGGTTGAGAAACTAACTGTTGGATACTATGCTCAGTACCTGGGTGAGGTGATTAATCATATCCTGAACCTCAGCATCACACATTATACCCAGGTAACAAACCTGAACATGTACCTCCTGAATCTCAAATAAAAGTTGAAATTATTTTTTAAAAATGAATATAATTCACAAGTGTTCAGCTCAGCAACTTTTCAAAAATTGTACATGTTTATGTAACTGGCATTCTAGATCAAAAAATAGAACATTATCAGGACTCTAAAAGCTCCCTCCTTCCTGTACTACTTACCCTTCCAAAGTAATCACTGTTCTGATTTCTAGACAATAAATTAATCATGTCTGATTTTGAAAGTCATATAAACGGAATCATAGCAAAAAAAAAAAGTCTGGCACCCCCGCCCCTTTCTGCCTTTGGTCCTTTCTTCCCTTGTGATCTCTGCATGTGTCAGCTCCCCTTCACCATCTGCCATAAGTGGAAGCAGCCTGAGGCCCTCATCAGATGCATAATCTTGAACTTTTCAAGACATCAGAATCATGAGCCAAACAAATCTTTTTTCTTTATAAATTACCCAGCTTCAGATATTTCTTTGTAGCAATACTAAACAAACTAAGATGAAAGGTTTACTCAGGGACAAAAAGAAGTCAAGGGGAGATTGAGATGGGATCACAGAATCTTAGAACTGAAAGGCTCTCTCCTCCTCCATTGCTCAGACAGGAAACAAGGGTACCAAAAAGGGAAGAAAGGAGCCCAAAGTCACACAGTAAGATACAGATATCAGATATCAGATTGAGGTCGAGGGATCTTAATTTCCAATCTATTCACTGATTTTTTTTTTTTACTAATTTTTTAAGGCATGTAATTGATATCAAGTTACATATTTAACACTAGTATGACCCTTAAAATAAGATGGAGGTTGAAGACAATTTTTTTTTTATTTGAGTATAGCTTCAGTCTCTTAAAATAATATGAAATTTGATCCATAGTTTGAGGCTGGGAGAGACTCAATGTACAGAACATTTATAGTATTAATGTTGCCCCCCCCACCCCCAGTATTCTTTCTCTCTCCTAGAATGGCTATGGCAATCAAATAAAATATTATTAGTGAAAAATTCCATCCCCACAACACAGACAGACACTTATCCTCTGATTTCTGTAAAATAAATAACAAATTTTTATTGAGTACAGTGTCTGTGACAGGGATTCTTCTGAATTCTTTACAGATAGTAATCCATCTTCTCATTACAGCAATCCTTTAAGGCAGTTGCTGTGTTATCATCCCAATGTTAAGGCAAGTACTGTAATTATCACCTCAACTTTAGGGATGACAAACTCAGGCACAGTTACGTGACTTCCCCTGAGTCACAATGAGAGGAGCAAGAAAGAGTTGTCTGAACCCTAATTTTCAGAGCAAAGGCTTTTAAGAAGAAAACTGAGGTCAGGTGGAGTTGTTCGGTTTCAATATTATGGTCTCTAGCATTTTCTGAGCACATTATATTTTCTATGTGATTCTCTACACATTCTCTCTTTGCTTCCTCACAGTAAACCTAGTGGCTAAGGAGGGAGGGAGGGAAGGACATACCACATTCATTTTACTGATAGATGAGGAAACTGAGTTCCAGAGAAAGAAAGAGCAATGCAGGTCTAGGAGAACAAGAAAGTCAGAATTTTGCCCTGACTGCTAGGTAGGCAGTAGCCAGGCACTTCTACAATGCAGGGCTATGGGATTCCATCCCAAGGCTTCAGGGAAGACACTCCCTGATTCCTGAGAAAGTTGCTGGGAGGCTGTAGACCAACTTCATCTGTGTGGTGCCTGCCATAGGTTCAGCTAGCCAGAGAGGAATCAACATGAGACCATCCACACTGTCTTCTGGCCAAGCCTAGAGTGGCTCAGAAAGGAAAGACATGGCAGCATCAGGACCTGAAACTTCATCACCCTGTTGTTGAATGTTGGTTCAGATTTTATTTTCAGATAGCAAATTACTAATTCATCAAAATGGCATAGTGAAACTAGGGAACCAAGCTTTGAATAGAGAGTCAGGAGATACAGGGGACCCAGCTGCTTAGCTTCCTTTGTGACTTTGGCAAAGTGCTGCCCCTGATTTGAGCCTGAGTTCCTCCTTTTGTTACATGAGGAGGTTGGACTCCTTTGTTAATTAAATTTCCCTCTAGTACAGGAGTTTTTAGCCTGAGGTCCAAATTTAAAATTCAGGAGTTAATTTGAATGGAAAAAAATATGTCTTTATTTTTACTAAGCTCTGACTGAAAATTGCCATTTCCTTCAAGGATGAATGTTGGCACCAAACCACAGCAGTATTAGAAGCAGAGATATTTTTGTATCATATTACAGTTGTGGCAAAAATAGTAAAGTATTATTAAAGCTCATCACCCTTTGTAATTGTGTTAATAGACTAACTAATGCATCAACAATGATAGACATATATTACTGTATTATAGATTTTAACGGCTTCATTGATATATAATTTACATACCATGAAGTTCACCTGTTTAAAGTATAGAATCCAATGATTCTCTATATTTAGATTTGTGCAATCATCGTCACAATCTAAATTTAGAACATTTTCATCACTCTAGAAGGAAATCTTGAACCCACTGTTGAAATTCTTCAGGCCAAAGACCACCAGGGAATACATCTATGTTTGGGTTTATTACTTATTGCAGGAAGAGAGAACACACACCATGGGGAACCAGGGGGTGTCTCAGTAAGAGGTATAAGAAAATAACTCATTATAGGATTCGGGTTTTCGTTGGGTGATTTCAAAGTGTATCTGAAGAAGTGGAGGTTTTTTCTAGATTGTATGCTATCGAAATGGAGGACAATTTTATGATTGCACATCTTAATAACTGCTATCTATAGGGAGGGAGACTAGAGCAAGGATAAAGGTGTAATTGGTAAAGAAGTAGCAATCATTCATTTTGGCCAAGGAGGGGTGCTTGGTACAGATAGCATAGCAAGCTGATTTCTGCCTGTGCTTAGACAGAAGTAAGAAGTGACCTTGACCTGTCTCATTATATCATGGTCTCATAGTAATCTTGTCTGAAGTTGGTATTTTGTGAGACTATTGATAACGTCTGTGAAAATAACATTATTTAGCTGTGAGTGCGAGGCCAGCCTTAAATGTTAGAGACTGCTATTTTTTTTTTAATTCTCTTATTTGGATAAGGACAGATGAAACTGGGCCATAGCACATCAATCCAGAGTAACCAGCTATTAACCACTGAAAGATGTTGATTACAATCTATAGGGTGTCCATCCAATGTTGTTTGTAGTTTATCTGGGGTTAACCCTTTCTACTACTTCTGTTATAGGATGAGATTTTGAAACACCTGACTTGACAATAGCTGCTTAGTAGCATTTAAGACTCTGGACAGGATATATTGGCCAACCATAACATAGGCAATTGTCAGAAACAAAATGATTATTAGTCTTTGCCATAAGTCCAAACTCAGGCAGTGGAAACATGTCCAAGAATTCAGTGGGGTCTGTTTCAGAAATCTAGGTGGCTTTTTCTCTTAGCCTAGTCACAGACTGTTCTATTTGTCCTGTAGTATTTATATAGATGCAATAAAAACATTGCCATAGCACAATTCCCCTTGGCTGGCTAAGAGGAAAGAAAGGGCTATACAATTACCCATGACAACTTTAGTTAATTAATTCAGACTAATTTGTTGGGCTTCCAAAACAGAAGTAACTTATAATTTAGTGACTTGTAAAAAAGTTTTCAACCACCATTTCTAGTTCTATTATTCCCTCTATGAGAACTGCAGATCACAGAATATTCATGGAGAAGAAACTGGTTATCCCTCCAGGAAGTTTTACTGAATAACCTGTACTTGTTTTATTTTGGAGGCTTCAGGGTATTGCCTTTAAATAAATGAAATTTACTGAAGGGATAGTTTTAAATATCTGGAAATCTCTAACAATTGCTGTTAACACACAGGAAAAATTAAGGAACACTATAACTCATTTTTCCTATCTACCTGCAATGTATCCTTTACCCAACCTCTCCCCATTCTCCCCTCCTCCCTACTCTCCCCAGCCTCCAATACTGGGTTTTTCTTTATAGGAAGTTTCTTGATTACTTATTCAATCTTTTTACTTTTAATAGGTCTAAGGAGACTTTCTGTTTCTTCTTGAGTCAGTTACAGTAGCTTATATCTTTCTAGGAATTTTTGTTCATTTTATTTACATTATTTATTGACATATAAATGTTCCCAGGATTCTTTCATAATTTTTATTTCTATATAGTTAGTAGGAGTAATATCTCCTGATTTTAGTAATTTCAGTCTTCTCTTTTATTTGTCAGTCTAGCTAAAAGTTTGTCAACTTTATCAAACTTTTAAAAGAAACAACTTTTGGGTTTGTTCATTTTCTCTATTTTTTTCTATTTTCTATTTCATTTATTTTAGTGATAACTGTGAAAAGAAAATAAAAACTCAGGACCCCAATTCACTATGCCAAAAGGAAAAAAAATTAAGCTAAAAGCTGAGTCATGCAAGAAATTGCCTTTCCTTTTGTTCCTAAGCAGATAGCTACAGATAAAAGTTTAATATTTCCACAGGTAGCTACTATATGTTCACCTTATCTTTATGTAAAGTGCAGATTTACTGAGCATGAGAGTAATACATAACTGACTATTCCCCTACCTGCTCCTCTTCTCTTGCAACATGCAGATTCAATAATGTGACCATAGCCTCCCACTTTCCCTTCTAGCCTGCTTTTCTCCTTTAAATATCGAAGCCCCCCAAATCATCTTTGGATAAAGGCATAGACTTGTCTCCCAGGCATGTCCTTAACCTTGGCAAAATAAACATAAATTGATTGAGACCTGTCTCAGATACTTTTTGGTTTACATAACTTTCAGGTCACATTTGACAGAAACCAGTCTTCCAAATTAATCCATCTTGGGGAAGTCTTGTGACTCAAGGGCAACATTCTCTCTCTGAGTAAATAATCTTATTGTAAATTTCTCAAATTGTTGATGTGTTGATCAATGTATAACCTACGGACACTAAATTGGATGCTGATTTATTTTAAGGTTAGCTCAAGCATGAATTTCCACTGGATTGCCTTGCACCTAGACATATTTAGCCTCTATGATATAATCTGTTTATAACTTTTGTATTGTATTCTCCAATGAAAAGAGGACAACTCCAGTATGAGGAGTCCCTCTCCCTTCTTTTAAACTTTTCTATAAAATCCTTTCACCTAGTGACAGATTTCAGAACACCCCCCAGCTCTGATGGTATGTCTTTCAGCTTCATCCTCACATTTGGCTTCCAATAAAGTTTTATCAAATTACTTCTGCCTCAATAGCCTTAATTTCAGTCAAATTTAATTATAATCCTTATTATTTTCTTCTTTCTGCTCACTTCGGCTTTACTTTGGGTTAGGTAATTGGTTTAAGATCATTCTTCTTTTGTAATATAGGCATTTATAGCTATAAATTTTCAAGAACTACTTTAGCTGCATCTCAAGTTTTGGTATGTTATGTTGGTGCTTTTATTCATCTCAAACTGTTAATTTTTTGAGTAGTCTCTTCTTTGAACCATTAATTATTTAGAAGTGTGTTTTATAAATTCCACATATATATGAACTGAAATTTTCTTCTGCTGTTGATTTTTAATTTTATTTCATTGTGGTCAGAGAGTCTGATATCGTGAAATATATATTTGGTCTTTGTCCCCATTCCCAGCATAGAACTCCCTAAATCCTTGGAACCTTCAAAGTAATAAGTATATTTTTGTATGCTAATGAGTTGACCACAGGAGGCATGGTAGTGCATGCCTGTAATTCCAGCACTTTGAGAGGCCGAGTTGGGTGGATTGCTTGAGCTCGGGAGTTTGAGACCAACCTGGGCAACATAGTGAGACCTAATCTCTAAAAAAAGAAAAAAAAAAATGAGTTGACTGATGGCTGTAGCCTCTAGGTAGCTTCAGGATGGATGCTGGTCACCAGAAAGACAAAGGCAGAATTAGAGGGCTGGAATTTTGAGCCCCACCCCCTGACCTCTAAGGAGAGAGGGGCTGAAGATGAAGCTGATCATCTATGGCCAATGATTTAATCAATCATGACTACGTAATGAGGCATCCATAAAACCCCCAAAAAGAGTGGATTCGAAGAGCTTCCTGATAGCTGAACACATAGAGATTTCTGGAAGGTGGTGCACCGAGGAAGGATTTGGACAATTCGCGCATGTAATCCTGTACCTCCACCCTATGCATCTCTTCATCTGTATCCTTTGTAATGTTATTTTAAAAAAACAGTAAGTGTAAATAAATGTTTACCTGAGTTCTGTGAGCCACTCTAGTAAATTGATCAAACATGAGTAGGGAATCATGGGAACCTCAATTTATAGCCCATCAGTCAGAAGCACAGGTGAAACAACCTGGGCCTTGCAATTGGCATTAGAAGCAGGGAGCAGCCTTGTGGGACTGAGCCCTCAACCTGTGGGATCTGGTGCTATCTCCAGGTAGATAGTGTTGGAATTGAACTGGTTAGAGGATATCCAGCTGGTGTCTGCCGCAGAATTGCTGGCTTGCTTGATGTGCACTTACATATGCTGTCAGAAGCACCTTGAGAGAGTATAGTGGGAGAAACTGAGGGTTTTTTTTTTTCTCTCAGAGAGCACGAAGTGCGTGATTTCAATCCTCCTAAATCTACTGAGGCTGGTTTTATGACCTAAAATGTGATCTATCCTAGAGGATGTTGCATGTGCACTTGAAAAGAATGTGTATTCTGCTGTTGTTGGATAGAGTGTTATACAGATATTGTATAGTTGATTTATAATGTTGGTCAGTTCTTCTATATCATTGATATATTCTGTTATTCTGCTATCTTTACTATTCTAAAATGGCCATCTTTATGTATGTTAACAGTTTTTGCCTCAGTGTCTATTTTGTCTCATATTAATAAAGCCACTCATGTTCTTGGCCAGGTGCAGTGGCTCATGTCTACAATCCCAGCATTTTGGGAGGCCAAGGTGGGTGGATCACTTGAGGTCAGGAGTTCCAGACCAGCCTAGCCAACATGGTGAAACCCCAGCTCTACTAAAAAAATACAAAAATTAACCAGGCATTGTGGTGGGTGCCTGTAATCCCAGCTACTCAGGAGGCTGAGGTGGGTGAATCACTTGAGCCCAGGAGGCAGAGGTTGCAGTGAGCTGAGATGGCACCAATGCACTGCAGCCTGGGCAACAGAATGTGAGACTCCATCAAAAAAAAAAAAAAAAAAGAAAAAGAAAAGCCACTCATGTTCTCATACGATTGCTGTTTGTATAGTATATCTTTTTCTTCCCTTTTACTTTCAACCTATTTGTATCTTTGAATTTAAATTGTGCTTCCTGTGGAGAGCATGAAGTTTGATTATGCCTTTGATTGGATTATTTAATCCATTCACATATTATGTTACTATTGATATGATTGGACTTATGTCTGCCATTTTATTTTATTTTATTTTAAAACATTTTTCTGTAGAGATGGGGTCTCGCTGTGTTGCCCAGGCTGGCCTCGAACTCCTGGCCCCAAGTGATCCTCCTGCCTTGGACTCCCAAAATGCTGGCATAACAGGTGTGAGCCACGATGTCTGGCCTTTGTTTTCTATGTGCTTCATGACTATGTATTTCCTCTGTTCCTCCTTCACTATGTCCTTATGTCATAAATGGATGCTTTTTAGTGTAAAATATTAATTTCTTTAATTTTTTAACCATAATTATTTGAAACATTTTATGAATGATTGCTCCAGGAGTTACAATATGAATCATAGTGAATCACAATCTACTTTAGATTTATATAAAATTATTTCTAGTAAGGTATAGAAACTTTACTCCTATGTAGCTCCCTTCCCCCTTTTTCATGTTATTACTATTATAAATATTACACCTATATATGTTTTTAAACAATACATTTTTATAATTTTCATTTCACATAATTTAATGTCTTTTTTTTTTTTTTTTTTTTGATGGAGTTTTGCTCTTGTTGCCCAGGTTGGAGTGCAATGGTGCGATCTCGGCTCACTGCAACCTCCACCTCCTGGGTTCAAGCGATTCTCCTGCCTCAGCCTTCCAAGTAGCTGGGATTACAGGCATGTGCCACCACGCCCGATTAATTTTGTATTTTTAGCAGAGACAGGGTTTCTCCATGTTGTTCAGGCTGGTCTCAAACTCCCGACCTCAGGTGATCTGCCCACCTCGGCCTCCCAAAGTGCTGGGATTACAGGCTGAGCCACTGTGCCTGGCCAATTTTATGCCTTCTTCAAGAGACAAAGAGAGTAAAGAAGAGCACACATATTTATAGTTTTTTTTAATTAAACTTCTTATTTACCATTTCTGGTTGTCTCTATTTCTTTCTGTAGATTTGAGTTGTCCTCTACTCTGTTTCCTCACTTTCATATAGCTTAATTCCCACTCTCTCCCTTTATATTGTTGTTGTCAAATATGTTGCATTTCTATATGTTATAGACCCCAAAATAAATTTTATGTCATTGTTTTATGTAATTGTTTTTTAATTGGCATATTATAGAATTCACCATTTTAAAGGGTACATTTCAGCAGAATTTCAGATATTCACAGAGATGTGCAAGCATCACCACTAAGTCCAGTTATATTCATAACCCCCGAAAGAAACTACTTACCCATTACCAGTCACTCTGCATTCTTTTCTATGCCTAACCCTTTGCAGCCACTAATCTGCTTTCTGTCTCTAAATTTGCCTATTGTGGGCATTTCATATAAACAGAATCACATAGTATGTGGCCCTTTGTGTCTGGTTTCTTTCACTTAGCATAATATTTTCAAGGTTTATCCATTATGTAGCATGTATTGGGACTTTATTTCTTTTTATGGTTGAATAAAATTCCATTGCATAGATAAACCATATATTATTTACCTATTCATCAGTTTACGGACATTGTGTTGTTTCCATCTTCTGGCTATTATTAACAATGGTGCTATGAGTATTGGGGTCCAAGTTTTCATGGGAACATGCTTCCAATTATCCTGGGTGAATACTTAGGATTGGACATTCTGAGTCATATAGTAACACTACTAAATACTATGTTTGGAACTATTTGAGGGACAGCAAAACTGTTGTCCACAGAAGCTGCACTACTTTACATTCCCATCAGCAATATATGACAGTTCTAATATGTCCACATCCTTACCAACATATTTTATTTTCTGTTTTAAAAAAATTATAGCCATAATTGTGAGTGTTAAATAATACCGTGTTGAAGGCTAGATTTGCATTTTCCTAATGAATAAATATGCTGAACATATTTTATTATTGCTTATTGGCCATTTGTATATCTTCTTTGGAGAAACGTCTATTCAAATTTTCTATCCATTTAAAACTTTTTATTATTTATCTTTTTATTGATGAGTTTTAAAGTTCTTTAGATACTCTGAATACTAGACAGTAAATCAGACGTGATTTATATTTTTTCCCATTTGTGTATTGTCTTTTTCTTTACAGTGTTTTTAAATGCACATTTTTAATTTTGATGAAGTTCAGTTAATCTATTTTTGGTTTTGTTTTGTTGCTTGCTCTTTATGGTGTCATATATATATATATATATATATATATATATATATATATATATATATATGTATATATATACCAATCTAAGTTCATAAAGATTTACTCCTATGTTTTCTTATAAGAATTTTACAGTTTTAGCTTTTACATGTATGCCTCTGATCTATTTTGAGTTAATTTTTGTATATGGTGTGAGGTAAGGGCCCAAACTCATTCTTTTGTATGTGGAAATCCAGTTGACATAGCACCATTTGTTGAAAAGATTATTTTTCCTCACTGAATTATCTTGACACCCTTGTCAAAAATCAGTCAACCTATAACATAAGGTTTTATTTCTAGACTTTCTGTTTTATTCCATTTATCTATATCTACATCTATCTATCTATACATCTTTATATCAGAATCACACATTCTTGATTACTGTAACTTTATAGTCATATCTGAAATTGAGAATATAACTTTTCCAAATTTGTTTTTCTCTTTCAAGAACTTTTTGGCTTTTGGATTGCTTGCATTTTCATATGAGTTTTAGAATCAACTTGTCAATTTCTGGAAAACAAAACAAACTAAAAAAGACCAAAAAAATAAATAACTTAACTGCGATCTTAATAGAGACCATATGCAATCTGTAGATCAATTTGGGGATTAATGTTATCTTAACAATATTAAGTCTTCCAATTCATGAACATGGGATAGCTTTCCATTTTTTTATGTCTTTAAATTCCATCAACATTTTTTGTTTTAGTTTCAGGATACAAGTTTTACACTTGTTTTGTTAAATTTATTCACAGGTATTTTATTTTTGATACTATTATACATGGAATTTTAAAATGTTTATTTCCACATTGTTCACTATTAGTACATAGTGTGTGCAATTGATTTTTTATATTGAGCTTGTAGCCTGCAACACTGCTGAGTTGATTTATTGGCTCTCAACTCTTTGGGTGAATTCCTAAGGATTTTCTATATATAAGATGGTGTCATCTGCCAATAGAAACATTTCACTTCTTCCTTTCTAATACTGACACCTATTTTTGTCTAATAGCTCTCACTAGATTCTCAACTACAGTGTTGAATAGAAGTGGCACAAGTGGACCATCCTTGCTGGTTAATGATTTTAGGAGGAAAGCTTTCAGTATTTAAACATTAAGAATTATGCTAGCTGAGGGTTTTTTGTAGACGCCCTTACTTAGGTTGAGGAAGTTCCTTTCTATTCCTAGTTTTTGAATGTTTTTATCATGAATGGATGTTGGATTTTGTCAAATGATTTTTTTGTGTGTCTATTAACATGATCATTGCGGTTTTGGTCTTTTATCATATGGTGTACTGCATTGATTGATTTTTCACATGTAAAACCAGTCTCTCATTTCTGGAATAAATCTCACTTTGGTCATAGTGTGCAATCTTTTGTAAGCTTCTGGATATTTGTCTGCTAGTATTTTTGTTGAGGGTTTTTACATCTATATTCACAAAGAACGTTAGTCTGTAGTTTTATCGTCTTATGATATCTTTGCTTTGTTTACTTTTGGTAACAGAGTAATTTTGGCCCAACAGAATGAGTCGGGAAGTGTTCCCTCCTCTTCCACTTATTTTGGAAGAGTTGTAAGAGATTGGTGTTAATTTTTCTTTAAACCTTTGGTACAAGTCACTAATAAAGTTATCTCATCCTTGACTTTTCAAGATTTTAGAATAATATTCAATCTCTTTACTTGTGATGTATCTATTTATATCTTCTCTTTTTTTCTTGTGTCATTTTCAGTAGTTTGTGTCTTCATGGAAATTTCCTATAGGTTCTCTAAATTGTTGCATACAGATGTTCATAGTACTCATTTATAATCCTTTTTATTTATTTAAAATCAGTAGTAATGTCCCCTCCTTTATTTCTTATTTTAGTAATTTGAGGTTCTTTCTTTTTTCTTGGTCACTTAATGTACAAGTTTGCCAAATCTCTTGATCTTTTCAAAGAACAAACCTTTTATTTATTTATTTTTTTGGACAAACTTTTTTTTTTTATTTTTGTGATTGTTTTTCTATTGCATGTACTTATAGTCTATTCTTCGAGTGGACATACATGAAAATGCCCTAATTTCTCACTTTTTGCTGACTTTTTGGCTCTGCACAAATTAAGGCAGAGTTTTAAACTGCTTGCCTGAATGTTGAAGACTTGTTCCAACATATACACTGAGCTACTTGGCAAGAGCTAAGAAGCTTACTGGTTCCAAGCATTTAAGAATATCTCTGTCCAGTTATTAGTCAACCACTCAGCTAACCAAACAGAAACTTCAGTGGCCACACAGGTTAAAGAATACAGACTTTACAGAGTTAGTTGAGGAAAGTCACTAATCAAGCAAATAGTAACAAGTGACAGCAAACACACACCCAGCAGAATCTGATTTCCAGAGTTGCCACATTATATTACTTAAAAGGTAAATTTTTTAACACATGCAAAGAAACAAGTATGACGGATATACAGTGGGGGAATCTTTCAATAGAAACTGGTTCCAAGGAAGGACTTTGGACTTACTAAATAAAGACTTAAATTGAGCTATTTTGAATATGTTCAAAGAACTAAAGAAAACATTTCTAAAGAATTTTCTCTAAAGAAAAGTATATGAATAATGTCTCACTAAATAGGGATTATCAATAAGGAGAACGAATGTATAATAAAGAACCAAATAAAATCTCTGGAATTGAAAAGTTAGATAACTGAAATTAAAAATTAATTAGATGTGCTCAGTGAAAGATTTGATATGGCAGAAGAAAGAATCAGCGAGTTGGAAGATAGGTCATTTGTGGTTATCTAATTTGAGGAAAAGGAAAAAAAAGAATGAAGAATAAACAGGCCTGTGGGACATAGATGTCACAAAGTAAAAACCATGGAATTCCCAGAAGGCAAGGGTAGAAAGAAAGGGACAGAAAGAATATTTGAAGAAATAATAGCTGAAATCATCCCAATTTTGATGAAAAACACTAATTTACATATCCAGGATGCTCGATGAACTTTACGTAGGATGAACTCCACAAACTTCACACCTAGGCACATCATAATCAAACTGCCAAACCAAAGACAAAGAAAGAATCTTGAAAACAAGAAAAAAATGACTCAGCATATACAAGAAACCACAAGAAGATCAACCTTTACCTTCTCATCAGAAACAATGGAAGCAGTGGGATGGCTGAGTCTAAGTACAGAAAGAAACAAAAAATTCCTGCCAATCAAGAATCATATATATGGCAAAGGTATCCTTCAAAGTTGAAGGAAAGATTCCTAGATAAACAAAAACAGACAGAATTCATTGCTAGAAGACATGTTTTACAGGAAATACTAATGGATGTTCTTCAGGCTGAAAAAAGTGACAGCAGGCAGTAATTTGAACATACCTGAAAAAAAAAACAGCTCCAGTAAATGTAATTATATAGATAATGATAATAGACAATATAATTACATATTTGTTTCTTAACCAATTTAAAAAGCAATTGCATAGGATAACATTGGTAAAGTCCTTTCAGAGTAAAACCTCCAAAAATTTCCCCATCCATTAAAGCAATATAAAACCTGGTAAAAATTGTCAGAATCAACTTTTTCAGAACACCGGAAGTTAGCCAAAGGCTTGCAGTAGCTGGGTAGTGTTTACTCAAGAGATACGACTGACTCTTGGTAAGAGCAGTGAGATTTGTAGTGTTTTAACTTGCCCTAGTCCCATTCTCCACTATCCAGTTAAGCAGTAACTTTGAAAAATAACAGCCTACTTTCTTCAGCATCTTATCAGCCCTTGGAGAAAGCAGAATGGAGCTGCACCTCTTTAAAAATCTTATTCCCAAAGAACTGTCATTATCTGACCTGTCTGGTGGTTTCCTGGAGGAACCCCCTTACAAGCCTGACTCGGAGTTTTCCCAGTGATAAAAGCCCTCTATCTTGGCAGGGGGCAGGGGGGATGTTTGTTGAAAATAATTACAGGCAGGAGTTTTAAATTTGCAGCTGCCTAAGACAATTGATAATATTTGGGGTAAATAGCAGACTAACCAAAATATTAACAGGAAAAGCTGAACAATAAGATGTACGTACAAACTTTGAAAAGGTCCAACATATTCTTAGGAATTTGGAAGACCGTACATGTGCCTAGGAATGTCTGTATACTCAGAAAGACTTGAGAAGGCTCTAAGCTGTCACTTCTGGCTAACCTTGAAGCTGCGCACAAATAAGAAGAGAAAGCTTAGGTAAACATGTAAACTACCTGGCTAAGTATAGAGTTGTAAACTGCCTGGATGAATACCCCAACAAAGTACCCCTCAGCAAAGACTAGGAGATGTATTGGTTCCAGGCATTTAAGGAAATAACTGTGCAATTTTTAACTGACCACTAAGCTAACTGAGCAGAGACTTTAGTGGTCACACACAAAGTATATGAACTTTACAGAATCCGTTCTTAAAATTTGCAAAAGAAACAAAAACAACAATTACAATAAGCATCAACAACAGCAAACCCTGGGAAGCAGGGAAAATCTGCTGTCCAGAGTTACCATATTATATCACTTAAATTATAGTGTTTTAATTTTTAAAATTATGAGATGAGCAAAAGCATGGGAAATTATGGTCCACACGCATGATAAAAAGCAAATAATTAGAAACTGTCCCTGTGAAAACTCAGACATGGGACTTACTAGACATTACTTTAAATCAATTATTTTAAATATTTTCAAAGAACTCCTTTAGTTCTTCATGATTTCCTTTAAACCATATCTAAAGAATTAAAAGAAAGCACGAAACTGATTTCTCACCAAATATCAATAAAGTGATAGAAATTATCCAAAGGACCAATAGATATTCTAGAGTTTGATATAGGTAAATATAAAAGACAATATAAATTTTACTACTATGTGACTTAAAATACAACTATATAAAGCAACAATTATGAATCTATGTTAGTGGGTGCACAATGTATAAAGATGTAACTTGTGACAATAATGGCATAAAGATGGAGGGGCACAGTGGGATAAAAGCAGTATTTTTGTATATTATTGAAATAAAGTTGGTATCAATCCAAATTAAATTGTTATATATTAAGATATTATTTATAATCCTCAGGGAAACCACTAAAAAAATAAAACCAAGAAATGTGGTAAAAGAAACAGTAAGAGAATGAAAATGGTACACAGGAAAATATCTATTTAACTCAAAGGAATATAGTAATAGAGGAAGAAAAAGACCTCGGAAACTTGAAAACAAGTAGCAAACTGGCAAGCAGAAATCCTACCTTATCCATAATTAGGTTAAAAGTCAATGAACTTAAATTTTCCATTTAAAAGGAAGATACAAAACAAATAGCTAACTGGCCGGCAGAAATCCTACCTTATCCATAATTAGGTTAAATGTAAATGAACTTAAATTGTTCATTTAAAAGGAAGATACTGAGAGATTTGATAAAAATAACATGATGCACATACTTTCTATGAGAGACACGATTTAGAATCAAAGACACAAATAGGCTGAAAGTAAATAGTTGCAAAAATGTATATCATGCAAATAATAACCAAAAGAGAAGTAGAGTGGCTATACTAGTATCAGGCAAAACAGACTCCTTCAAATTATCTACAGAATGATGTAGTCCCTATTAAAATCTCAATTTATTTCTTTTCTTTTTATTTTTTGTTTTTATTTTCATTTTTTTGAGACAAAGCTGGAGTGCAGTGGTGTGATCTCTTCTAACTGCAACCTCTGCCTCCCAGGTTCCAGTGATTCTCCTGCTTCAGCTTCCCAAGTAGCTGGGATTATGGGTGCCTGCCACCATGCCTGGCTAATGTTTTTGTATTTTTAGTGGAGGCAGGGTTTCGCCATGTTGGCCAGGCTGGTCTCGAACTCCTGACCTCAGGTGATCCGCCTGCCTCGGTCTCCCAAACTACTGGGATTATCGGCGTGAACCACTGCACCTAGCTCCAACTGATTTCTTCACAGAAGGCATTAACGTTTGATTTTTCTGGCTCTTGTTATAATGAGTGATTTTTTTTTTATTGTATCCTAGACATTTTGTATATTATGTTAGGGGGCTCTGCTCCCATATAAATGTTTTACTTTAGCAGGGAGTCATCTTGTTTATGTTAGGAGGCAGGTCCTGGTCTACTTTTGTGGGCCGTGGTTCCAATGACAATTTAATTTTCCTTAGGATCTTTATGCTGCGATTTCAGTCTGCTTAATTTATCTGTTGCTTCTGGGGCCCCAACTTGCTTCTGCTGATGCTGCCTGAGGGGTGTGAGGAGTTTTCCCTAGGCCAAACCACCTGGCAAATCTAGGTTAGGGCAAAAGAGTCCTGCAGGGAGAATGAGCACTTCCCAGGCAGGGCTGCTTATTTTGATGGGACAACCCTGTTAATGCCACCTAGTCACCTTGTGTGTCTCAATGGGAAAGGGGAGTCTCAGGCCTGTTAGGGAAAGGAAGTGGTTCCTTTAGCTGCTTATTGTCAGTGGGGCTCCCAATCAACCCTCTTTGACCGTGCTGCCAGGATAACCTTACGTTGGGACACCTATTCTATCTTGGGGAAGGTTGAGCCTTCCTGGGCTGCCTTCTGTTGCTAGGTTGACAATTGGGAAATGCCAGGTTGTGGTTGCCTACTTCTCTTGGATGGGTGATCCGTGATGCCCTGTGGTTGTGCTATTCCTTCAATCCTGTGGTCCCATCCCAACTTGCTTTCTTCTTATCACTTTTTCAAGTTTTGGTGGTGTCTTGCACTATTTTCAGAGTTTATAGTTGTACTTTGAGAGGAAGAGCAGGGAGAAATTAGCTGAAACTATCTTTTCTAGGCCAGAAGTTCCTGTGAAGCATTTCAAAAAATCCTTATTAATTGTCACAAACAATGAGCAATATGTGATTTCTACCATCAAGGAACTATGGTCTAGTGGAAAAGATGAGACAAGAATATAAACAATTATAATAGCTGCATTTACTATTCAACATATTTCAGTTTATAGTTAATAAATATTCAGTTTCAAACATTTATTAACTTGTGCAACTTCTGAGGGAAGTACTTATATGTTGCCCATTTTAAGGATAATCAAGAAAACTTAAGCAACTTGTTCAATGTCACATAGCTAATAGGTAGCAAAGTCAGGATTGGGACCTAAGCAGTCTAGCTGAAAAGCTGCTGCTCTTACGACTATGCTAAGTCACGTGCCAACAGAAAGAGACAAATGAATGACTATAGTGTTTAGGAGGGCAAATGAGCCCATCATGATATGGAATTCAGGAGGAAGTGGCCTTTAGGATGCATCATGAGAGATAAACAGGATTTCAATGGGCAAAAATGATGGAAGTCTAGGTGGAGGGAAGAGCATGTAGAAAGGCCCTGTGGTGGTAACAATGGGGGCCTACCAAGGAAACAGCTGAAGTATCTAGTATATCAAGAGGTGGGAGTTGGGGCTGCAAAGGAGGTTGGAACCATAAGAGAAAAGGCTTTTAATGTCAGGCTGAAGAAGTCATTCTTAATTTCATAGGCAATAGTGATCTCACAAAAGGCATTGCCTGAATAGTTGGGTGATACTTAAGTAACTAACCTGCACAATGTGCACATGTACCCTAAAACTTAAAGTATAATAATAATAAAAAAAAGAAGAACATTCTGGTGGCGGTAGTTGAGAAGGATGGAGCCCAGTGGAGGCTAGGAATAAAGGCCTGACCTAGGACCATGGCAGCTGAGATGAAGAAGAAGGGACAGATTCAAGAGATATTTAAGAGGTAGAATCAGTAGAATTCTTGGACTGATTAGAAATAGAGACTGAGTGAGACAAATGAGTCAATGATAACTCTCAGTTTAGGAGCCTGGATGGCTTGTAATACCGTTAACCAAAATGTTGAATTCTTCTGGCTTCATGAAATGGAAAAGGCAGTATAGATCCTCTGTATAGCAGTTATTTTGAGACATAAAGCCTATTATTCTGTTGACAGGCGGACTTCTTTTTTTCAAGGCAAAATCACTTTCACCTTTCCTCATGGATTCTATTTCCAACTGCTATATTCATTTTCCTTTGCTTTCTTCTGGACATGCTCTAATCTCTGACACTCTCAGAATGCAAGACACAGGCAGAGTGGTGAGGGTAGGGTGGAGGGAGGGAGGCAGAGAGAAAGAAAAAAAAGTGTGTTGGGACAATGAGTCTAAGACATAAGAATATCTGCTGGATTCTAACCTTTAACTCAGAGGACACAAAGAGAAAAAAGACCTGTGGATATCCTACTCTATCAGTACTGCAGTTCCCACATCAGAGCTTTGTCCATTTTGACAAAGAATCAGAGGACAAAAGAGTGATGATGAAGCCTTCAGGGTTAAGACAAGGAACCATGAGTCCTGGAGCCTAACTCCAGCTCAGCCTCAGATCTTTGGAGGGACCCTGGGAAATTCTCTTCTATTCCAGGTACTCTTCTGCTATAAATACTCAATTAGGTTTAACCATATGCAATTGTCAATAGTAGGCTAGTTTTGATTGACACAAATAGCAATATCTCATGGTTCAACTTAATACTCTTATCTATTGTAGTCATGTACCTGCTTATTTTACCAGCCTGTATGCATGTGCATTCATACACAGGTGCAAGCATGCACACACACACACACACACACACACACACCACTGCTAGATTGGCAACTCCCTTGTGGCTGAGACAGGTCTGGATCTCTGGGAAAAAAAAAAAATTAAAGCCCTGATTTATAGTATCTTCTGATTTCCATTATGGATATTATTCCCACCATAGTCAATTTCAGTCTACCAATGTGATGTCACTGGACGTAGAGTTAGGAAGAGATGTGCACAATTGGCTCTTGAGAGCTGTTACCAGCTGGCCCCGGCACATCACTGCTTGTTTCCATATCTATAGCACCTAGCGCAGGATCTCAGACTTAGCATGCGGGAAGTAAAAATTTATTACTTTGGAGATGCAGCCTCCTCCCTGAGAATTCAAGCTGCACAGATAATGCCAGTAATAATGACCACCATTTTGTCTTCTTCCTTTACAGTTTTCAAAATACTCTTTATAACCATTGCACAAGAGGGGGACATGGCAGAGATCCATATTCTTACCTAATGACTGAGGAAGCTGAGCCCTAGACCAGTGAGGGAAGTGCCCAAGGTCACACAGATGAGCAGGCCAGAACCAGAAAGGCAAGTCTTTGATCCAACTCCCAGGAGGATAAGTGAACACTCCTACTGCCATTGGACTGTACTCATTGGAGCTCAGCTCTATCTCAGATTATGGTGAAGATAATTTTTGACTCATGAGCCTGAACCTGGGATGCTGCAAACAGTTTCCACCAGCTGCCCACAATTACTCTAAATAGTGGCTGCCATGAATAAAGCCAGCCAAGGAGGAAGTTACATGAGACCATCTGTACCCTGCATGGTCTTCTGGCTAAGCCAAGAACATAGTCAGTCTTGGTACTGAGAATGAGAGTGAGAAAGAGAGGAATATCAAAAGATTGAAATTGAGGAGTTGGGAGCAGCAAGAGAGTGAATTCCCCTAAGTATGCCAATTTTTCATTTTCCTAAAAAAAAAAAACCCACTCACAAGTCACAACTAAAACTCTAAACTTACTGTGTCCAATGACTGGCCTATCACAGTGTTGGTCTCGCTACTGGCAGGTTTAAAGGTTTTTTAAAAAAAATTTTTCTATTATTAAAAAAATTGCGGGTACACAATAGGTGTATATATTTATGGGGTTCTTAACATGTTTTGATACAGGCATGCAATGTGAAATAATCACATCATGGAGAATAGGGTATCCATCCCCTCAGGGCCCAAGCCTCATGAGAGAGATGAATTCATAGAGGGCAGAGGACAACCAGTGCCAGAGTATTTGCATAATACTACCACCTTGAATTTCTATATCCTTTTACAATTTTCAAAAATTAATTTAATATCCCATGTCTACAGCGTTGTTCAGTGGGGGAAATTAGAATGGCCTTCACTGGATCACAGGACTGGTGAGAGGGAGGATCACTGGGCATTACTGGTCCTGTTTAGCAGCTAAGAAAACAGGCTCAGACCTATCCAGGTTCTCAAAGACTTGCCTGTTACTCTGGCTGCTCCCAACACAGGCCTGTCCCAAGCAATTATTTCAACTTCCAAGTGAACAGGGTTACTTCTCAGACTGGCCTACCACTAAGCCCAGCCCCAAAGGTGGAACCAGAGATATCCTACAAATACTTGGCTTTATGTCTGGACTACCCTGAAAGTAGTGCTCAAGGGACCCTGAGGAAAGCATCTTGGTGGGTCCCCTGTTTGCAACCTGTATGCAGATATGGCTCACTTGCTCACACAAAAAGCTACTGGAGACTCGTAAAAGCCCAGCCTTGGCACTAAGCACCAGCGACTGTCATCTCCTTCCTGCTCACCTGTTTGGTCGCACTGTTATGCACTTGCTTCCCCCCTTGGCATTGGGCTTCCGATGCCCACTTTAGGTCCCTTACGTGCATGATGATTTTAATTCTGATTAAGCAGCTCACACCTTAGCCTGGTTTTTCAGGTACAATGTGATGCAGGTCTCTGGGCTTTCAATTGCAGGTCAAATAAACACTTGCCACTGACTTCGTTTGAAGTCTCCATTTCAACCTTCCCTCAGAGAAGAAGCATTAAACTTTGAGCCTGAATGCTTACAGCCCTGACTCTCCTGAGACCCTGGGTCTAGCCGCCAATAGACACTCACATAACTCAATGGGAGAAGCACACGAGGTCCACACTCTCACTTCTCCATCTGCTGAGCGCTACAAAAATGTGATCAGTTTAACCAAATTCTCTCCAACTACAGGGTCCTACCAAAGATCCAAAATGAGGCTGCCTATGTGCCAAGGATAGGAGCCACAATGATAGTTAAGATTGACCACCATATGTGCAGGGCCTGCATGGGCCAGGCAGTAGACAGAGAGGCTTCATACACATTATTGCTATCTCCCATGATGAGGTGAAGATTATTTCTTCTATTTTATAGATTAAGATGCTGAGGCTTAAAGATTTTAAAGATTAAGATGCTGAGGCTTAATCTATTTTATAGATTAAGATGCTGAGGCTTAAAGAAGATCTCACTTATCAAGGTCATACAGCTGGTAGATCATGGAGCCAGGAATAAGACTTGGGTCTGTTTGACTCCAAAATTCATAATATCACGTAGACTCTTACAGGTATCCAGGAATCATGACAAAGAGCTTCAGTAAATTTGTCCAAAGTGTTCACCTTAGCATACTAAAATATAGAATTACCTGCTCTATGATAGTGGCTTTTTAAATCTTATTCATTCTTCCTCAAAGAATGTCAGCATTAGGCCAGGCACAGTGGCTCATGCCTCTAGTTCCAGCACTTTGGGAGGCTGAGGTGGGCAGAGAGCTTGGGTCCAATAGTTGGAGAGCAGCCTAGGCAACATGGTGAAAGCCCAGTTCTACCAAAAATACCAAAAATTAGCCTGGTGTAGTGGCCTGTGCCTGTAGTCCCAGCTACTTGAGAGGCTGAGGTGGGAGGATTG
This sequence comes from Homo sapiens, assembly GCF_000001405.40. Classification (NCBI taxonomy): domain Eukaryota; kingdom Metazoa; phylum Chordata; class Mammalia; order Primates; family Hominidae; genus Homo; species Homo sapiens. Next base: position 64,179,437 of record NC_000023.11, read on the forward strand.
CTTGAACCTGGAAGGCGGAGGTTGCAGTAAACCAAGATTGGGCCACTGCTCTCCAGAGTGAGACCCTGTCTCAAAAAAAAAAAAAAAGTCAGTGTTAAAAGTATGTTAGAGAACATCAAGGAAAGTAATGGCCCCATACCTCTCTGCCTAGGTTAGGTAGTCCCTAAGAGATCATATCCTATTCTGGGACCCATGCTTGAAGGGGGCACCAACACACTGGGGTATATCTAAGAGGGAGCAAGAAGGCTGGGGAGGGGGCTAAGACCCAAGGCACATAAGGAAGGACTGGAAGGAGCTTACTTGTTATGGTCTGAATGTTTGTGTAATCCCCAAATTCATATGTTGAAACCTGGCCCCCAATGTGATAGTATTAGTAAGTGAGGCCTTTAGGAGGTGATAGGTCATGAGGGTTACATTCTTATGAATGGGATTAATGTCCTTATAAAAAAGGCCCAAGGAAGCTGTTTGCTCCTTCTACCATGTTAGGACAAAGCAAGAAGGCACCGGCTGGGCATGGTGGCTCACGCCTGTAATCCTAGCACTTTGGGAGGCCGAGGTGGGAGGATCACCTGAGGTCAGGAGTTCGAGAGCAGCCTGGCCAACATGGCGAAACCCCGTCTCTAATACAAATACAAAAATTAGCTGGGTGTGGTGGCGCAAACCTGTAATCCCAGCTACTGCAGGAGAATCACTTAAAACCAGGAGGTGGAGGTTGCAGTGAGATGAGATCACGCCACTGTACTCCGGCCTGGGTAACAGAATGAGACTCCGTCTGAGGGAAAAAAAAAAAAAAAAAAAAGCAAGAAGGGGCACCATCTATGAGGAAGTGGGCCTCACTAGACACTGAATCTGCTGGCACTTTAATCTTGTGCTACCTAGCCTCCAGAACTGTGAGATATAAATTTCAGCTGTTTATAAGCTACTGAGTATGTTATAGCAGGCCAAATGGACTAAGACAGAGCTGAAGCTAGTTAGGCCTGGAAAAGACACTTCTACAGGTGACTTAAGTCAGCTCATGTCACTGCTCCCAACTCAGGAGTCTTTACAATGTCTTTGCAGTTGTCTACAAGGCTCTGTTTCATCTCCCTAGCCCCAACACTACCTCTATGATATTATCTCCTAACATTGTCCCCCTCACTCACTCTACTTCAGCCATTCTGGGCTCATGTTTGTTCCTGCAATACATTATATGCTCTCACCTCAGAGCTTTAGCTCTTCTCTCAAATGTGACCTGCTCAGTGAGTCTTCTCTGACCACTCTATTTTAAACTGCGAACCCTGTCTCTCCTCCTCTACTTAATTTTTCTCCATTGTACCTATCATCATTTGACACTCTATTTTATTTTATTTTCTGCCTCCCCACTCTCACAAAAAAAGTAAGCTCTGTGAAGGTAAGGGTTTTATCTCTCCTGTTCACTTCCACATGCTTGGCATGTAGAACAGAGTCTGACACAAAACAGGCACTCAATGATATTTATTGATCCAAAGAATACCACCTCTGCCTTCAGATCTAGAAGGGCTGTGATGGGGTAGATAGCAGACAAGATCTGTGTGGCACCCAAGGACTAAGCTAGGCCAATTCCAGCTCAATATAAGAAGGGGCATCTCAGGTATTAAAACTTCTCCAGGAGTCTATGCCAGTTGCAGTGAGCAGGCAGAGGACACATGGTGTAGGGGGGACTTCGAGCATCAAAAGGGGCAGGGTGAGAAAAGAACTGCAGCTCAAAATTCCATGTTCTCCAACCCCCTCATTTACAGTGAGGAAACTGAGACTCTGAGAAATCACCCAAGTTCCCAAGAGTTATAGGAAGAGCAGTGACTAAAATCTTGGAGTCTTGAGTTCTAGGATAGTGAAATCACTTTTTTCCCCAATGAGAAAGTCTTCTGTGGCAGAGTAATTTCTAGAAATATTTATGTTTGTGTCTGTTGTCTCCCTATGTCCCCATTCCCCATTTTTCTGCTCCATGGAGGTAACCAGGCCCTTGACAGACCTCTTACAAGAGGGATTTTGCAGTGTAGAAAGAAGAATCAGACTGAAGCCACTAAATCTATCATTCTTTTATAAAACCCCCCAAACCACAGTGAAGACATAATATCCTACAGGCAAAGGAAAGAGGGAAGAGACTTCTGAGAGCCCAGAGAGAGAAAAGAAGAACCAGAAAAGAGAGAAAAGAGAAAAGAAGCTCCAGCTGGGAAGGAAGAGTTCCTGAGTCTGGGACTGTAGGAACCCTTAGCTGTAGAAACTCCTCCTCAAGGAGAGGGTGGACATAGCCCTAAGGTGCTCAGAGGGAGGAAGAACCTAACATCTCAGGGCTTTTAGCTTTCCTTCCCCTACTATTGGTGTAAAAAATGAGGGTGTCAGTGGCGACTGGAATAGATGGGAGATTAGTTGCCCTTGACCTGATTTTTGAGCACCACAAATAGTCCCTGGATTCCAGTGCCACCCTTGAGGGAGTGGGGACTCCCAGTCATGACTGACATGGAATTTCCTACTTCCCTGTTTGGATGGGGAGTCTGGGGTCAGAATTCAGTTACTTCAAAGAAAACAAACAGTGGCTGTTTCTTGCCCTGACACATCTGAGTTTGAAGATGGAGATGGATGCCCATTCCGTTTTCGGCCTCTTAAAGGACATAACATTACTTAGAGCATCATCCACTTCCTGTTGGTGATGGGTGCTGCACAGGAGCCCTTAGAAAGCTGCATGAAGTGCCTCATAGGCTGGAAGGAGCAGAGAAAATGTGCTCGGGCATCCAGAGGGAGCAAGTGGGAAAGTAGGAGAGAAACTGAGGGAACAAAGAACAGCCTTCAAGAGCCCATCAGACAGCAATTATTCTCCCAAAGAAAGAGACTATTTACCACTGTGACTATTAAGTGATTTACAATTAAGTAGCTCCTCATGAGGCAGCGCTCCAATTGATGATAAAGGTCTGAGTGGCGAAAGCTGAGTGGTGGGAGGCCCTGTCTCCAGGCATCTAAGTGCTCATGTCTATTGACTCACTCTGCTATTCATCATCTTTCCCAGGGCACTTATTAGCAGATTTAAGTGGGAGGAGTGTTGAGCTCACCTAGAGGGAAACAATTCTCAGAGATCCAAGGCTGGGGGTTGGGTGGGGGATGGGAGTCCCACCCTGGACTCCACCAGGGCCACAGCCACCAAGCTCCCCTGCTGACTGGGGGAGAGGGCCTTGGAGCTTGGAGGCTGGGCTGGGCATAGTGGGATAGGGAGGCAGCTAGAGGTCCCTTTCAGCTTTAGGATGCTCTGGCCTGAGGCCAGCTGCTGGGGCCATTGCTATGAGTTATCCCTAATGTTCAGCTGACAGCTTCACTATAAGTGCAAAGGTAAAAGCACAAGATTTGGAGTCCAGTGAGCTAGTTGGGTGAATTTTGGAAAGGGTCTTAACCTCCCTGAGTCTCAGTTTTCTTATCTGAAAATAGGGATAACACCAAATGTCAACTTCATAGGGTTAAATTGAGGATTACACAAGAAAATGTAGTGTTTAGTGCCTGGCACATATCAATGATGTTATTCATCCTGTGCTTGGAGAATTATTAGCAGTAAACTTTCTCTTCTACCTCTTCTACCCCAGCCTGCCCTACCCTTTTCCACACTGACTTGCAGTCAGTATTCTATATAACCACGAGCAAGTCACTCTACTTCTCCATGACTCTTTTATTCATCTATAAAGTGGGGATGAAATTACCTGCTCTTTTCATCTACTTTTTAGGGCCATTTAGAAGATAACAAAGATGGAAAGAGTTTGCAAACTACAAAATGTCACGCTCAGGTCACTTGCTCTTACTGGCTAGTTTTGGTTCCCAGAAGCCAGGCAGCTCAGCTAAAGCCTAGGAGTTATTAAGCAAAGGAAGAACACGATCAGTAGGGCCCAGAGCCCAGTCAACTTCCTTGGAAGTGGGGCAGTGGGGAACTAGCAGCTTGTCCACAGCAGTTTCAAAAAGGCTTACAAAAAGCTCTCTTATCTGTTGGATTTACGTCTGCTTTAAACATTAACTGGAAACAAGGGCTGACCACTTGCTAGGCACAACCCCAGCCCTCAAACAGACCATAGAACAGTGCTGGAGCTGACCAAAGTGAGTTTCTTGATGATAAAAGGAAGTTCTTAAGAAATTCCCTCCATCAACGCCACCCACCCCCCCGACCCCCACCCCAATAAGCACTGCAAAGCACTCCTCAGGGGACCACAGCAAAGGCAGCCATCTGTCATGGCAGAACAGGAAAAGCTCTTGTCCAGCAGGTTCAATACACCAGCATCATATGGGTAAAACAAAAAATACTCCCTCACGGGCCACCTGAGTCAGAATCAGGGTGAGAAATCCTGCACTTAGGTAGTTGAAAAAGTCCTGAGTCATTTGAGGTAGCCCAGACTCTGACTTGCATATGGGAACCAGTCAAGTAAAATCTAGCCCAAGATTTGCCAAAGATGAGATTTGCCCACAGCCCAGTTGATTAACTGGGGGCAAAAATTGGCAGAAACACAGGCCTCTCAGACTCCAGGACCCTTATGAATTTCTAATAGATATAATGAGATTTTATGGACTTTCCCAGAGGGTCTTGCTCCAAAAGTTCCTTTAGCAATCATGCCTGCTCCTTCCCTCCCTGGACAGCCCAGGACAGTTAATCCAATTTCTATGAAATATCAACTCCCCTCCCGTAAGTTTCTCTTTTTTTGTCTTGCTAATTTGCTTTTAATTGGCTTTGCTTGATTCATGAAATACTGAGGGCCACCAAGCTTCTTTGCTGGCCTGGGAAGGGGCCCTAGGGATCCCTTCAATTATATCCGCAGCAGCACTGCCCACAGCACTTTCAAGCAACTGCTATTTCAGGCCTTTTGGCTTGCTTAGAGATTGCAGTTGGGGGGAACTCAGGAATGCATCTACAGCAGGTGCCAGATGCCCTTGCTTGCCAGGGAGCAAGGGTAAGAATCTGGATTAGAGAAACCAAAGCCATGAGCACAATCACCTTCTCTTGGTTGGTGGCACAGGTAGGCATTTGTGTGGTAGCAGAAAGTGGCAAGTGATTCCTACCTAGGCTAGGACAGGCCTGGAAATCAGCACATGCCCCCAAGGTGACTGGTTGTTGCTATGGTATACCACTGGTGCTCACTGGATAAGATGCCCTGCAATAAGTGGCAGAAGCCACATCTCCCCACCCAGCCCAACAGCTGAATAGGTGGGGCAGGCAGCTATCTGGCCAGCATCTCTGCCCATAGTCCCGGATAAAAGATGCCATTCCTGCAGCTTGGCCTGCCGGTCCCACCATTAGATATAACCTTTTGATTGAGCCATCAGCAGGAGGTACACACATTTGTCTCCTGGCTGGTAGGGAGGCCACATACTTGCAGAAATTGAGGCTAATTTTAGAAGTGCTAGCCAGCCCCTGGCAGTGCACAGGGACTTAAGGGGCAGGTCTTAAGGCATAGAAGGTGTGATAGAGAGTTTGCCAATATGGCATCTGACTGGGATATAAGGCATGGCTTGGATGAAAAACTGCAATTTCCTCTACTTTCAATTTCAGCCCTGGCTTCTGTTTCCCCTGCTGGTTCTCCCTACTCCACCTCCACCCACCACCTCCTTGGTTTCTCAATTTCTCTCCAAGGGCAATCCCAACAACCATGGGTTACAGGCACACTACTGTGGAACAAACCACAAGAATGCACATTAGTGACTGAGGGGTTCCCTCTTGAACCCAGAAGTTTATTAGCATTCAGCAAAGAAGTATATGTTGTTACAAACAGGCAGTGCATCAAGATATCCAGATGTCAGTGAGAGCTAGAAGTGGAGAGGTCAGAACCCGGGTGATTCTGTGATGTCTCAGGGATGGAGAAGAGGAAGCTCAGGTACAGCCAGGGGCCACACTCCCCTTTCTGCACTGGGAGAGAAATAACTCTTACACCTGGGGTGATGATGTACTGCAGTTCCTAATTTCTTCCCTCCTTCCTCCAGCCATTTTATTTAACATGACCTAAATATACATTCCTGTTTTATTCCCCCCCACCCCCACCCCCATATACAGCAGGAAAAATAAGCACCAATAATAATAACAATAATTAAAGTCCCACCTCTCAATAGACCCAACCCTCACACATATACATACCATGTGGATTTTCTTCTTTGGAGTGACTATAGGATTGGAAAGTCAGGGATCAGGCCAGCAAGCCATCACCCTGAAAGTCACTGTTCCCCAAAGTACCATCCACGTGTGAGCTGGAGCAGGGCAGGGGAGGGGGAATGGTGGTAGGGGAGGAGATTCCCCCAAAGCAGCAAGAGGGGTGAAGGAGTTCCCCAAAGCCTCTCTTCTGGGAAAATGTCACAATCAACTGAGCTCCTAGGAAGTCCTATGCAAGGGTTTCCTCAACGAGATGGTAAATTCCTGATAGTGCAAGCATCATTGTCATCTGTCTCCCACAGCTTCTTGGGGAAAGGGGACATGGTTGAAACCCCCTTCCTTCCCCATTGGGTGGAGAATGTTCCCAAAATGCTCCTTTGGAGAAACTCAACAAGACAAATAGCACAACATGGGCACTCTGATTTCAAAACTAAAGCACAAAACATAACGAGGAAAAAAAATAAGACACATGAGTACTCTCAGAGGGTCTAGACATGGGGAAGAAGGGTTCAAAAGAAAGAAAAACATAAAATAAAGCCAGAAAATGACAAGCTGTCTACCAGGTCCCACACGCCTGAGTCACTTGGCGTTTGTCTTCAGTACCTGGGCATCTTCTGCTGTCCCTATCATGGGGGGAGGGAACGGACAGTGTGGTACAGCTAAGGTAGGGAGAGGGGAAAGAGGGAGGGCCCTAGGCAGTTGAGATGCCAGCCCTCTGCACAAGCAGCAGCAATTTTTGTGTCATCTTTGTTTTGTTTAAAACTGTAAACAGCACCGCTTAAAAATAAATCAGAAAAGAACAATTGATAAACATTGTTTTCCATGAATATAAAATGCAAACAATATAAAAATAGATAATTGACTTTTGATATATATATATATATATATTAAAAACAACTTGAATGCAACATACACATGGGTAAACTTGAAGTCTCCCTGCTAAACCCCATGCCTCCCTCTAGCAACTGGGCCTGGGGGCTGAGGGCAGGTGGGGTGGTGGCACTGGCACAGGTAAGGAAAGCTGCTGGCAGCAGGATGAAGGGTACACACCCAGCCTCCTGAGTGTGTGAAGCTACTTCCCTTCTTGGCATAGGACTAAGGAGGGAGAGAGACTGGTGTTTACTGAACCCATTATCCGGGCAGTCTTGTGGCCTGGTACCCAAGCTGAGGCCAGATAGGTAGGGCTGGCTTGAACTGGGCCCCAAGGCAGTGCTTCCTTGGAGACTCTAAAGCACCAAGAAACTGGCATCCTGGCCCTGGGAGAGGCCTACTAGGTGGCCTTCTCTATCCACATTCACTGGTCCTCCAAGGACCAGTCTCATCTGGGAATTCTCAGGATCACAGCTGTCTGGCACTAGGCCTATTGGGTAATAAGATGAAGGCAGCTACTTCCACTAAGTCCCATTTTCCCTTAAAATCACATCCAAAAGCATTATTCCAGGACCTTGCAATGGAGACATGTTGTTCATCTAGTAGTACTCTTGGAGGTGTGGACATGATATCAACAGTTTTAGTGGTCTGGGGTGTATTTGCTGCCACCCAAGCCAGCACTAGTCTGTGTTTGGAAACAGGCCTGAAGCTTGGCTGGCTCTCCCAATGTCACCCTGTGCTGTCAACACCATGGGTCCCCAGACAGGTCTTCCTTCCTCCCCTAGGCTGCCATTGGGTTTCAGCCACAAACTGCTTAGCTCTAGAAATTCAAAGGAACCTGCTTCTGCAGCCACATATCCTGGCTGCCCCACTTCAGGTGGTAAGGATCCTATTCCTGGGCTGGCTAGGGCAGTGAAGGGACTTGCAGGCAGCAAGGCTGTCCAAACCATGAACTCTCACTCAGCCCCAGGCCCTACTCTGTGGTGTGTGACCTTCCAAAGCCCAACAAAGTGTGTCAGGGCTATGCCAGTGCCCCTCAGAGACAATGCCTCATGCTGCCTTCCTGATCCTGAGGGCAGCTCTCAGCCCTTAGCCAAAGGTTGGCCACCTCCTTTTTCTCTTCCCAGATAGGCTGGTGGCCCTTCTCCAGCAGGGTCTGGAGGCTGGTGATGGCTCTACCGCCTGCTGTGGCTGGCACAGTCCACATGTAGACAGGAGCTCAAGCTGCCCTGAAAGAAGAGGCAAGAGGTGGGTTCTTCCCTGTTGTAAAGGCATTTGGTGAGTGTTTACTTCCTGCCAAATAGCCAGGCCAATTTCAGCCCCACCATCCCAGAGCAGCTTTGGTAAGAGGCCAGAAAGTTGGAATTTGGGCACTTCTCTCTTGGAATGCTGTGCTTGGGGTAAGGAGGGCCTTCCTCACCCTCTTTCATTCTCCAGCTCCACAACAGATACATTTCTTCACAATGTATCTGTAGCCAAAGTCAGCCTGAAGAGCTGGTCTGGGTCCCTTGAGTGGTGGTGTTAGTGCCATGCAAATTCATGTGGTGCTTCCAGGGGTGCAGCTTCTACCAGCCAGGTCTGCTATTTGTGAGTAAGGGCACTGGGCCAACCCCAATCTGAGAAATGGTGACAAAGACCAGCATGGACACATCCCCTGGCCAAGAAACAGTTTGCCCACAAAGTCACCTTGACTTAGGGGGCAAACAGCATCTGTTCCCAAGCTAAATTGCCATATCTCAGGAATGGCAAGAACCCTGTTGACTTCTTCTCTCAACAGGCATGGAGATGGTGGGATGTGAGGGCGAGGGTGCAATAATCATAATTTGAGTGAACACAGCCAAGCAAAAAATGTTCCATATGCCATTTCCAATAAAGACATGTAAAAGGAACCCTCTCCTACAGGTGATTAATGAGAGGTTGAGCTTGGCAAGATTAGCCTGTTCCAATGTCTTCCTGACAGCAAGCTCTTCCCCACCAGTATTTCCAACCTAGTTTAACATGAAAACTGCATGGATGCAGGAGAAGGGAGGGTGCCATTCATTCCATAAAGGGCTGCAACTGCCAAGAAGCCCTGTCATTTGATGATGCTAAGGACTCGGCTAATTGGAAGATAAAAGCTCTTTAAAGGGCCCAGAACAGCAGCTGAGATGCCTTTGGTATCCTGTCTTGGGAGTGCAAACCTGGGGCCTTATTACAGAGTCCAAATGATGGGATGGGCAAGGCTTAAGGAACATTTTGTGTTGGGAGGCTTGAGAAGGGAGTTTTCCCTTTTAAGAAACTGAGATACCTTAAGCTCTGCATGGTCTGAAATCCCCTTTCTTGCTGGCTGTGATAAATGGACCCTCATTTTCTATCTTTCCCCTACACTCCACAAAAACCCCAGCCCCTATAGTCAAGCCTAATTTAGGTTGCTTCTCTTCCCTTATCTCAATTAAAAGACCGTGTTCCTTGTGATGAGATTATGAAAATTTCCTTTAGAGGAAAAAAGAACAAAAATTCAAAAGCATCTGCAACTCAGGTAGTCACAAGCTTAAAAGAAGGAAAAAAAATCCTATCATTCCGGAGCTCAACACTCTATGGCAGTGTCCACAACAGAACCTTGTTTTGTCTTCTGTTTGCAAATGGATGAATTTTATCACTCCATCAAGGGGATTAGCATTTTTGTCTTTAACCCAAGCTATGGCAGGACAGTTAAAAGGCCCCCATCTGGTCATGATGCCAAAGTCCACAGCGATAGGCTGTGAGACACACGCTACTTGATCCTCTCTAAGGACAGCTAGCTGGGATGAATAGCTTATAGTCATCTGATATAATGATGGCAGCTATGCCAGGCCAAAAGGAATAGGGGTGGGGAGGATCTGTACCATAATTTCACATTGCTAATAGCAAATAAGCCCCACTTCCCCAAGCGGGAGGCAATGCAGACTTGGCTGCTAATCAGTGGTTCATCATTCATTGGGGGAAAGGGGCAGGGGGCACTAAAGGTTTAGCCTGTGTCAAGGATGCATGCTATATATGTGTGTGCATGTGTGTTTGTGTGTGTGTGTGTATGTATGTGTGTGTGTGTGTGTGTGTGTGTGTGTGTATATATATATATATATATATATATATATATATATATATATATAATCACTAACTTGGCAACTGGAATAGGCACAAAATTACAGCATCCCAAACCCAGCGTGGGTCACAAGAAGAAACCTCGAAAGCAAAAACTGGAGTGCAGTAGCAGCAGCAGCCTCCCTGGGCAGATGCACTTGAGTTGAACGTGGCCATAGATGGCAGAAGAGGCAAGTGGGAAAACCAAGGTGAAAACTCACAGGAGTTTTCCTTGGCCCAAAGGGTTTTCAAGTTAAACAACAACCCCCACCCCCCCACCCTTCTGCCCAACCCCTGATCCCCATTCACATGCTCAGGCCCCGTGTCCCTACTCCAGAATTGATAATAACTACTTGGCTAGGTTTCCATTCATGGCAGTGGAGGAGTAGCTGGTGGCAAGAGAGGCACCTTGCTCAGCCCTCTCCTTTGACAGGTCAAGGCTGGAAGGCCCATAGTGAGTGGGCTGAGGCTGGGGGTGCTCAGGCCGGACCCTGGGCAGCTGAGGAATGCCATGGGTGATGCCCACAGGCTTGGCCTGTGGTAGAGGGCTGGGGCTGAAGCCTCCAGAACTGGAAGAGCAACTGGGCTCATCAACAGGCAGCAGCACATCTCGAGGCCTGGCCCTCATGCTCTGGGAGGCCTGTGGCTGGAGGTTATAGCAAGGGCCCATGGGCAGGTGTAGGTGTGAGGGACGAGCTAGTTGAGGCCCAGATTCCCCAGGTGCCCTTGACTCTGGCACTGATAGTGATATTGACATGGTCATAGGAGGTATGCAACAGGTTGCCTGCCTATATGGAGACTGGCTGGAAGGCCTGTCCAACTGGTTGGGGCTTATCCAGGCAGGACCTGGCCCCACTGGAAGAGGACAGGGAGCCCAAGCAGGCCAATCATAGGCCCCTGGGGGTTCAGTATAGAGGGAAAGGGGACTGTCTCGGCTCCATTCTCCTTCTTCCTCCTCTTCGTCCTCCTCATCTGAATCTTCCTGCTGGGCCTGCAGCTCATCAGACTCGAGGTAGCCCTGGACCAAGTGGGAATTGGAGAGCTCCATCTCCAGGGTCTCTGCAGTGTCGAGAGAGCGGCTTCTCCTGTTGAGGGCCATAGCAGCAGGTGGAGGTCGAGGGTGCAGGCCAGGCAGTCCCAAGTATCGAGGGAGGCTGCTCACACCCCAGGGCAGGCCTTGGTAGAATCGACTATGGTAGTTGTTGAAGGCATGTTTGTGATAGTAGCCCAGCTCAAAGGCTTCCAAGGAGGCTGCAAGATCTTCATCATTGTGGAACTCAGGATTCTCTTCACACTTGCCTTCCCCATCCCGTTCCACATCAGCGATGTCAAAGGTCACCATGGGAGGCAGCTCAGGGAGGTTTTGAGTGAAAGATGAGTCAGAGTCAGAGCTGCAGGACATGCTGGAAAAGAGGTTCCCATTGCTGGTGAACTCTACCAGGGCCTGTGAGAAACTCACAGTGGCATTCCCTTCCTTCTCAACCTCCTCTTCCTCTGGATCTTCAGGGGGTGAATAAGTAGGGTAGGCCCTCCTGGGAGATCCTCCAAAATTTGCTTCTTGCATGTCTGGCTCAAACATGGCATCACTCTGGAAGAGCTGCATCAGGCAGGTACTTTGATCTTTCTTGGAGCAGGTTCCTTCATAACGCTTCTCCAGAGGACGGAAGTCCCTCCAGTCTGGCTCGCTGCTTGCAGTGGTGGGGAAAGCTGAGGTAATTCCCCGGTGGGAAATCTGAGAGGTCCCTGATACCCCTGCTGCCAGGCCCATCACTGATGGGCCTAAGGGCCTCATCTGATACTCTAAGACGGGCTTCTCCTGCCGGGCCTGGGTCTCTCGGACTTGAGTCTCTCTACAACGAACCTCTCGGGCCTGGGCTTCTCGGGTTCTGGCCTCCCTGCCATGAGCTTCCCAAGTGTGGGCCTCCCTGGCATAGGCTTCCCTGCCATAAGCCTCTCGAGTATAGGCCTCCCTGGCGTGGGCCTCCCTGGCATGAGCTTCTCGGGCACGTGCCTCCTGGGCCTCAAGCTGCTCCCGCCGAAGCTCCCAATACAACAACTGTTTCTGGATGGTCACTAGCCGTTCTTCCTCTGTCTCCATTGCCCCAGGTGGCCGGGAGGACAAAAAGGGCTCAAAGTTTAAGAAGGGGTCAAACATCTCAGAGCTTCGACCATGGAGGTCATAAAGGCAGTCATCTCCAGGTGGAGAGTTCTCAAGGCTGTCATCTGGCTCATAGAACTCATATAGGGCATCTCCACTGTAGCTGTCTCGGGGTAGACAATCCCTGCGGACAAGCCCCAGGGCCTCACCTGAATCATCCTCAAATCCAGGTGTGGTGGAGTCATAATAACCTTCATCACTATTGGGGGCGGATTCTTGCTGGTCACTCTGAGGAGTCAAAAGTTCCCCAGGGGCTAGGCCAGGATAAGACCTAACTGGGTCAAGGAGCATGTAGCCGTGGTGGCCTGGGGATGTGGTGGGATGGTAGCCCAGGTTCATATTGGGCCGTGGATACATTTGGGCAGTTTCCCACAGATATTCTAAGTCATCATCTTCTTCCTCCTCCTTAACCTCCTCTTCTTCCTCCTCTAATTCCACCTCTTCTTCCTCTTCTTCCTCCTCGTCATCATCATCTGGCAAGGCCATCTCCTCCCCACCTCCTTGGTAGGTCACCAGGCAGGAACTTCGCTTGGTCCCATCTCGGTTTGCTCTCTGGCCCCCAGAGGCCATGCTGTCTGTCATACTGTCCATGTCCTGTTCTGCTATTATGTCACCACAACCTGTCAATGAATCAAAGCTTTTCAGGGATGTCACATCCCCAAACAAGAGGCTCAGTGGGTCCCCCACAGGGCCATTGGGTGGGTTTACCTCTCCTGCTACTACCTTCTCCCCTGTTTCTGGGCTATGGGGCTCCTCTAGGCTACTGGCTTCAGGGGCAGGCTTGGGTTGCACATGTGCTGAGGCACAGGCCTCCATGGGTTTTTCTGGATCTTTACAGGCCATTTTCTCAGTAGCTGGTGGAGAAGGTTCTGGTGTTGGAGAAACTTTTGGCCCAGGGGCATCTTGGGGGTTAGCATTTTCCTTTCTAGGGGCTTGGAAGGTCTCCTCAAAGCAGGGCACCTGAGGGGCTGAGCTCACGTGCTCATGAGGCCTGGCTCTGACCCTCTCAGGCCCCTTGGCCCCTGGCTCACTTTGCTCAGCCCCAGTGACCTTGCTCTTCCGGTGACGGCGGATACTGCTAAAAAAGCCTTTTAGGCCTTTCTTTGGCTTGGGCATAGAGGGAAACTTCTCAGCCACAGCTTTCTCTGTGGCTCCAGCCACAGATGTCTTACATCTGGAGCCTGTCTCCAAAGCCCCATGGGCACTCTGAGAGCTGGGAAATTGGCAGGGTAACTCAGGCAAAGGCAGGGAGAAGCCAGTTCCTTCACTGACAACATCTTCAGGGCCATGGGCTGCTTCACTCAGGCCATCGTGGGTCTTGCTCTTGCTGAGACCTTTCTTGGAGCTGCCTTTCCCAGAACCTTTGCTCCGTCCCCCTCCAAAGAAACTAGGCAGAGTACAGATACCCTTCTTGCCACCAAAGAGTTTCATGGCAGTTTTCTTCAGCCTACCTGGGCCGGATGAGGATGGCTCTGAGGTTGGTCCTTCTGTCGCCTCAGCTGCCTTGTTCTTGGCTCCTTTTTCTGCTGTTTGTTCACGGGTACTCCCAGAGGCTGCAGCTCCCTTGGCCTGAGCAGCTTCATCCTTTTGGGTCTCCATGATGATGGGGACAACTGAGGTACGTCCAGCTGGAAATGCAGCCTCAGGCTTCCAGGCACTGTTATAACATTATCAGTCAGGAAGCATCACAGTGGGGTCTGGAGGAGATAGGAGAGACAAAGACAGAGAGACAGATACTAGTGAGCAAGCATCCAGGCTGGGTTTGCTTTCACCGGACGTCAGGCTTGAGTGGAACAAGAAAGAAAATGATGGAAAATGTGGGGCAAATCTTAATCCACTCGATATGCTTGGCTTGCTGGGCCAGCTCTCTCTGGGCCCCAAGGAAGCAAAACTCTACACTGAGCAACAAGAAGCCTTCATCCCCTACCTTCTTGCTGGGTCCACTCCCTTCAGACCATCCTAAGCTCAGGGGACCACTGGGCAGGGGGACCTGCAGTTGTGTGAAAGGCCTAGTGGTGCTATTGGCTGTGGGAGGTATTATCAATTATCAAAGGGGATGAGGATAGGGAGAGACAAGAAAGGCAAAAGGGATGTTGGCTCCAACATCACAGAATTTTTGAAAACCATCTGGCAAAACAGTCCATTGAGTCCTCACAGGGCTCTGTTGGATTCAAGCTTCAGTTTCATATTAGTCTGGGCTCTCACTGACATTTTGTCTGAGACTGAAAAGTGGACCTGAAGTTTCACCTCCCATCCAAAGCTTCCTAAATTGCCTGCAGAACCATGCTCAGGCTTCAGAATCTCAGAATAGGAGCCTCACACATCCACAAAGTAGGTCTGCAATCTAGAACCTGCTAAGACAATGAAATGGGAGCCTCAAGAAAGGTACTCTCTGGGCTTCAATATTCGCCATTCAAGAGGCCTATCAATATCTCTCCCTCAGAGAGGTGATATGAGGGTGGGTCTAAGCCAGACCCTCTATTGGCTGTCCTGCTGGGAAGATACTTTAATGCGGTCATCAATGGAACCCCAAATTCCACTTGAGAACCATGAGGTGGACTGTTTCTCCTCTACTCTCCTCCTCTTATTATTTTTGTCCCCATCTAGCTCCCTATCTAGGAAGGGAACTCCTTGAAGGCCCTACATGATTCATATTCCTGGTGTGTGAGATAGGTTCCCAATGGCTTTTTAAATAAATAAACCTGGTGCAAGCCACACCCTTCTGGTCAAGGCTCTCAATCCTCCAAATGCCCAAATACCAACAGAGATGGAATAAAAACAAGACCTAGCCACTACCCACCACAATATACCTCTGCACCTCTGGTCATCCGCTAGCTCAGTGACCAGCCTGCTAAAACCCAATGACCCCTCCCTGGGAAGTCCCTCACCAATTTGTCCCCTCTCTGTAGAGTGGCACCAGCAGATGGGGGAATCTGGGAGGAGAGGGGAGAGGGGAAGGGGAAGGGGAGGGAAGGAAGAGTAAGAGAGGGAGAGAGAAGCAAGCACCCTTGGTCCAAGAACAGCTGGACAGTACACCAGGCCTGTGATTGCTTGCCATAATAATAAGACTCACACATTCACCTAAAGTGGAAGACTGTGGACCAGCACTGAGCATGGAAAGAGGCTGGCAGCTACACTCTAGCCTTGGAGCCCCTGGTTCTGTCTTGCAAACATTAATTTTGTGCCTGCTGCCTTGCTTGGCTTGACACTTGAATCATCAGTGTGATGATCCAAGCTTCCATAAAGAACACTCTGCATAACTGAATATTAAAATTGGAGCAAGATAACAGCTGGTTATCCAGAAAAGAAAAGAGCAGGTGAAAAGGAAAGTTCATCTGAACCTCTCTCTGCAGAGATCTGAATTGCCATTTGCTCAGGTTAGAGATTTTTCTGTAACATATTTTGACATCACACTGTTCCAACTCAGCCCTGCAACTGATAGTCCCACAATAGACAGTGCCCCCTCCCACCTCCAAATACACACACAATCACACCTAAACACACAATCACCCAGTTTTCTGCCCCTGGGTCTGGTGGGAATAGGGGCCCTATCATGTCTGAATGCCCCACTTTCCACAGCACATTTTTACCTCAGCCTTAAAATTACTGCTAAGGTTATCGTCACGGTGTTGGGGATAGGGGAGTTGGGGAGGCAGTACTGGAGTTGTTTGTGAAATTCTATTCCCCTCTGGAATTCAGTGCTTCAGGGCAGGACAAGAAGGGAGAACTCCCAGCCTTTGCTTCTAAGGAGCTCCTAGGCTAACAGGGAGAGTCCTATATGTAACAGTCTGTTAGAAACTGGACCAAACAACAGGAAGTGACCGGCAGGCAGGAGGGCAAGGTGAACATTACCTGAGCTCTGCCTTCTGTCAGATCAGCAGAGGCATTAGATTCTCATAGGAGCGTGAACCCTATTGCAAACTGCGCATGCGAAGGATCTAGGGTGCACTCTCCTTATGAGAATCTAACAAATGCCTGATGATCTGAGATGGAACACTTTTATCCCAAAACCTTCCTCCTCTCCATCCATGGAAAAATTGTCTTCCATGAAACAGGTCCCTGGTTCCAAAAAGGTTGGGAACCGCTGCCTTAAAGAATAGCCCCTGTTATTTCTAAAGCTGGTTGGTGGAGTATCATTCTTTATACCTTGTAAACATATTCCAAGATAAATGTGAAAGGGAGAAAGACACTTCTTGGGCAGTAAGGCTGGGCCTCAAGGAAAACCTCACAGCCAAGTGAAAAACTCTAGGACCTACACATCCTTGTGAATCAAAGGCTGACTTGTCCTGCTGGGTTTGGGGCTGGAGTTCCTGGGAACAGAGTGATTTGGCAAATTGAATCACAAAGAAGGCTGCTTTCCAGAGCCTTGACGCCCCAGTTAGAAGACAGTCTCTTTGGGCTTTCCCTTGCCCTTGCTCCTATGCTCTGTGAGGGTAGAGGCCAGCCCACTCACCTCTCTCTGTATTGTCCCCTTTCCTGTCACAGGGAGCTGCAGTGTGTTGTGGAAGGAGCCATGGACCACAGGGCTGGGGTCCAGGCCATGTCAGCCTCCCATCTGCCAAGGGACCCTGAATGGGCCAGTGTAGCCTGCTGAGACGCAGGTACTTGTGAGCTATTTTGAGATCAAAACAGCTCCTCTACCTATCCTTCTACCTGCCCACTCCAACTACAGTGGTGTGATGAGTTGATGTGATAATAGGCACAAAAAAAGCACTTTATAAACTGTATAGTACAGTGCAAATGAGAAAGACTGTCATTACAGTTATTATTACTCCTTCCAGGTCAGATCCCAGTTTCTTAGGAAGCAACTGACCATGTGTTAAAGGCTGTTCATTTGGGAAAGCCATTCACTGTGGGAAGCTCAGGGACTTGCTGCCTTGGCCCATGCTGAGAGGGAGACAGATATGAGGGGATTTTAAAAAGGTGTGTATATCTATACAAACTCCTCTGCTAAGAGGTTTGAAAAGCCCTCTCTGTGTGTTGTGGGAGACAGATGAATTACGCAGGGTGTCCCTGGGATGGAGTTTCTCTCCGTCCAGTTCAGGCCCTTCTCCTAACCAAGTCCAGAGTCATCTTTGCTGGCAGATACCAGCCTTAAACTGGTACTCTGTGTTCTCTCTCCCAGAGCCATGTCCCCCCACAGTCATTCACAGTATCTCTGCCTATGTCACCCAGAACACTGGGAAGGAAGGTGGCAGGGTCACCCATAGCTGGTAGCTCCCTAGCGTAGCCCCACCTAGCTACCTCTGCCTTAGGCCTCTTCTCCATACTCTTTGCTATCCAACCAGGTGCCAAAGCTATCCTTCCTCAATGGGTTATGCTGCCTTTACTTAGGACCACAAGAGTTCACCAAGAGAGTGAGGTGGGGCAGAAAGCAAAGGAGACAGCAAAGGACAGACTCTGCAGATCCCCTAGGCTGGGACTGGCTTTCCCTGGGGGTCCTGTCAAGAAAGTGGCACTGCCAAATGCAGGGCCCCACAACCCTCATGTTCCTTAACCAGTGTGGCTGAGTTTCAGGTGGGCTGGGGGTTAAGAGAACCCTCCCAAGCCACTCTGTGGTCCCTTGCAGGGACTGCCTGCTGCAGCAGCTGCTATCATGGCAGAAAGCAGGCTGTGGTAGAAAGCGCTGGGGCCATTCCAGCTCCCTGAGCCAGATTCAAGCCATTCTGGGGCCAGTGGAAGGCTGGCTACAAAGGAAGAGCTTCTTCCTTCTCCTCTCCACTTAAAACATAGGCAGGAGGCCAGCCACATACCTGCCCTAGAGACCCTTCTCAAGGAGAAGGGACAGCTGCAATATGAGCCTTGCACATTCTGCTCCAAATCAGCTTCCCGGGGCCAGCATGGCCAACTTGAAGAGGGCTGAATTGGGGGAAGAAAAAGAAGCAAGTGGATTTATGCAGTAGCTCCAGAGACATGGCCTTGACCAGCCATAGTTCCTCAGGCCTGTTCCAAACAGTCTTCCTGAAAGCAAGCCCACTTCAGGCCCACCTGCCCTTCTGTATGTTGGGGAGGGTTGGTTAAAGAAAAAATGGTGAGGATGGCCCTCCAGAGAGCTGGCCATTTCAGCGCTGGAATCAACTCTGCCCAGCTAGGGGAAATCCAGCAAGTTTTTTCCCATGTTTATGCCTCAATTTCCTTAACTGTAAAATGAGGTCATTGAGAGTGCCTACCTCTTAAGGCTATTGTAAGAAGTAAAACCAATGCACATAATGTACCAAATCAAGTGCATTACATAGCAGAAGCTAAAAACATTATAGTAACCAACTTTTATTCATATTTTATTCAAACTGTGGTAGAACAATTTCTAGAAGTAAAATCATCTCAGTCAGGTTGAGTAGGGTGCTCCCTAGGGCTCTGTGGGTAAGTCACCAAACCTCCTTGGGGCTCAGTTTTCCCAAATGGCAAATGGTAAATGAAGATAACTGTGTGGTCATGTCATAGGAGGCTTTACTTGCTCATTTAGCCAACTTTTGATATTCAGGGACCTAAAAGAGTCAGCTACTGGCTAGCAGCCAAGGATTATCTGGGACTTTCAACTAGCCAGGTTCTCTAGCCCAGGTCAAACTCAGCTAAAAGTACCAACATCAAAGGAAATGCAAATCAACAGATATCCTTCACCCTCAGGGTATTTACCACTTTATAAAGCACTCCCTACTCCCATACCCCCCCATTTGCCCTCCTCAGCCACCCATTACTCAGGCCTGGTGGGGGATGGCAACTCCTTGTCACAGAGAAGGAAACTGTGCCTAGACTTGGGAAAAGACTTGTCCAAGGTCACATAGTGAAATGGTGACAGAGCCACACTAGCTCCCAGAACTGTTGAGTCTCAATTTCATGCCATTCTGCTGCACTGTGCAGGCCACCAATCAAAGGAGGAAGACTGAGCAAGAGAACTGCAAAGTTTACCCTCACACCAGCAAGAACTATAATCTCCCAATCCCATCCCACCTCTGTCCCAGCCCTGCTAAGCCTTCTTTGCCACATTTCCAGTCCTCACTGGTTGCCACTGTTTGGGTCCTACCAAACACATTCCAGGAAGCCTGCTGACATCAGAATCTAGGGGCCAACAACCCAGCCTGTGGCTGCTCTCCTCATCAGCAACCCTACCACCACTCCTCTCAAACTACAGGACATGTCACTCTACTCCCCTTTTCCTTAAGAGATAGGTTTGAGTGGCCCAAAAACGAGAAACCTGCCAACGTGGACAAAGATGCAGAATTTGAGCTATTTGAAGAAAATGACTTATCAGATGATCTGGAACTTGAATGATCCATTTTTAACACCCATAGCCAAGTACTGCCCTCAAAACTATTTGGTCAGAGCCTAAAGGAAGGGCTGCTTGGCTTGGTTGGCTGATGGAGTTGTAGATGCAGCTGGCAGAGCCCCTTCAGCTCCTCCCCTAATTTGCAGCCTTCCTGCTGAGGGGCACCTCCTGCCCAGAGGGCATCTCACCAACTCCAGATGCAGCAAGACCCCAAATTGGGACTTCTCTCTCCTGTCCCAATTCCCCCACCAGCCCCTCTCAACTGATTTGTTTACATACTGAGCTTTGTATAATTCATCCTGACGGGCTTTGGTCTGTTCATTCATCTCTCTCAAATTGACCCTCCTTCATCTTACAGTCACTACAACTAGCACACAGCAGGAGCTCAAACAATGCTGATTCAACTGAATTCTAATTCACCTGAAGTTTCTTGGTGCGGAACTGGAATGCCAGCCTCACCTTCTATAGGCTGTGTGGTTTGAGAAAGTGGCCTAACCTCTCTGACACTCAAATGCCTTATCTGTAAAATGAAGAAAATGCTATCTACCATGCAGGATTGTGGTAAGGATTAGAGATGATCAATGTAAAAGCAAACTGGTAACTACATACTAAGCAGATATTCAATAAAGGGCTCTTGTGATGAGGCCACTTGTAGGCACCTTTTCCTCTCCAGCTCCCCAATTGCCACCCCACATTCTCCGAAGATGACACAAGCCTCTTAGCTGAGCTCCCTCTAGTCCCTCCCTACCGCAGCACCCCCTGGCTCCCCTCTCCCATCTCATTCATCCTGTACGTTGTTGCCAGATTCATTTTCTTACAACTCCTGTTTCAGCACTTCACTCCTCCACTTACCAAATTATTCTGCATTGCCTACAGGATAAGGGCCAAAACCCTATGTCTGATGTTAAAGGCTTGCTCTCCCTGAATGCTCCTTACAAGTTTCTCAGCCTTGTTTCTCTGCCTCTTGGCCCCAGCCCCAAATACACAGGGGTTTGCCCAGTCTGGGAGATGTGGTCACCCAGATACCACCTCTCCCTAGAAATGGGCTTTCCTGGTGAGTCTTCTTAGTGCCCCAGGTTCCTCCTCAGGCTCTTGAGGTCCCCTCCCTGCCCAGCTTGCCTTGAATGACAGGGACTTTGGGAGCCACTTACTTGCCACTCCCATCTTAGGCTCCCAAACTTTCTTAGAGAGAAGTGTATCTGAAGTGGGTACCATGCCCGCCTGCATAGGCTTCCACTAAGTCAGTACTAGCCCAGCTAGAGCGAGATCAGACAGGTGCCAACCCTTCCCCACCCCCCGTTCAAATGAAGAATAGGAGAGGAGCTAACTCCAGAGAAACAGATGTGACAGAGCAGCCAAGGAAACCCTACAGAGGAGCAGCTGGGTCAAGTGAACAATGGATACCTCTGACTTTCCTATGTGTCCACTCCCCTCTACTAACCATGCCCTGTGTGAGAAACCAAGTGAGGAAACTGAAGCTTGGGAGGGGACAAGGAGAGTGTGATTCGAGGAAGAACTCTGGAATTGAATTGCGGACCAGGAGCTTTGGACTTCTGAGTTAACTTGAGCAAATCCTTTCCCTGTTCTGGACCTCAGTTTCTTCATATAGAAATGGGAGATTGGACCAGGGAGTCTGCTTGCTCCAAGTTGCCCTGAGAGGCTGGGGGAGGAGTGGTCTTGTGCCCAGTTTTCTAATGGCTGCTGAGTCAGAAGGCATAGCAGGGGGCACTGGATTGGCTTTGAGGGTCCTAGGTCTTACTGTTAGGCCTGGTTACCTAGCTGGTTCGACCTAGTTCACCACTTCAGGACAAAGGTGCACTGTGGCCCAGCCTCACTCCTTACACCACCCCTCAACATTTTGCTCTTTCAAAATGCACTGAGTCTGGCCTGTGAATATTTCCAACATATCCAGAAAGGAGGGGGGCCAGAACTGGTCATGCCATTCCTCATTCCCCTGAAAAGAGCCACAGCCCCCAGCAAGAAGGGCTGAGCAGATGGAGAGGGAGGGTTGAGGCATACTCACTAGGGATGGAGGGTTAGTATCCACTTGGAAGCCCAGCGGGGGTAAAAACTGTAGGAGATGAAAGCAATGAAACCTCTATGCTGAAAAAAAATGCACATCAAAGGGTCACAAAGGCCACTGCAGCACCAGTATGCCTGCCTATGACCACACCAAGCCCCTCAGGTCATTTTCTCCATTGTTCATATTTTCCCCTAATTCCAAAAGGGGAGGTGGAGGGAGCAACATACTCTTACTGGGCTAGCACCTGTACCTCTGTAGTGGTTCTGGTTCCCCTGCCTGCCTTTGCTAGAAATACACTTACACACGCACAGGTTTGAAAAATAAGACGAAGCAGAGGAGATGGAAGACTCTGAGATTATTTAATTCAGAGAACAGAAGTTGGGGGTGCAGAGAGAGTTTAATGCCTATGAAATCTCCAATAGATCGTTAAGCAGAAGAGCAATGGTGGCCAGCTGCTCGCAACTCCTTCCCCCAACACACACACACACACACACACACACACACACACACACACACAAGGTTTAACTATAGCATGACAGGCTCAGATTATCCCTGAGAAAGAACTGGGCAATGAGGCAGGTGACCCAGGAATGAGTGACACAGAAAGGCTATGAAATATTGCCTCAGGGGCTTAACCCTTTATCACCCACTGTATCTGCCCAGACAGGATTCAGGTAGGGAAATTGAAATAACATTGGACATTCTCTCTTCTAGCCTCAGATAGCCTATCTGTTAAGCAAGGGGGCTGGAAACCCCTTCTCCCTCTTGGTTCTACCTGCCAGGCTTGCTACTGTTTCCTAGTGGAGCAGAGTTGTTTCTTCCATACACACTATCTACGAGTGGAGATGTAACAGTTCTTCAGGAAATTTCGTGTTTCTTTGAGACAGGGTCTTGCTCTGCTGCCCAGCCTGGAGTGCAGTGGCATGATCATGGCTCACTGCAGCCTTGATGTCTCAGGCCCAAGAGAGGCTCCTGCCTCAGCCTTCCAAGTAGCTGGGACTACAGGTGCAAACCACCACACCTGGCTAAATTTTTGTATTTTTTGTAGAGATGAGGTTTTGCCATGTTGCCCGAGCTGGTCTCGAACTCCTGGGGTCAAGTGATCCACCCGGCTAGGCCTCCCAAAGTGCTGGAATTGCAGGTGTGAGCCACCAGGCCCAGCCCTTAAGGAATTTTTAATACCTCCACTATGCTAGGAGGGGATCATTAGACTGCCAAATTCTTCCAACTACCTCCTCTCCTTTTGAAATTTTCAGTCCCAGCAAAGCTATAGGCCAAGACCAAGAGGCAAAAGAGACATTAAACGAGTGAGAGGCTCCCCTTATGAAGTTCCCAAGTTAACTCAGCCCCCCTTTCCTCTTAGGGAATGAGGGAGGTAAGATGAGGGGGATGGTTAATGAAATCTACATTGATTGGAGGCTGCTGGTTCCATGGAACATAGTGGAAAGAGCCACTGCACGGGAAGCAGGAGCCTATCCTTAAATAGCTGTGTGACCTTAAGCGAGCCCCTGTTGCTTTCCAAGGCTAAGGATTCTCATCTGTAAGCATAGCAGTTCAAACTGGTGCTCCCCAAGGACTGCCCATCTGAGAGGAAGGTGTTCAGCAGAGGCCTGGGGAACACTTCTCAGCCCCACTTCCCACCTCTTCCTGCCCTTTCCCCTGCAATGCCAAAGGGAGGCTGACATAGTAAAACTTTCCTTTGGAGGTAGCCTGCCCGCAGCTCTACTTCCAGATCCAAAGGTGACCTCTTAACTGGCTGACTTTGCAGCATGCTTCTGATCCCTTTCTAAGACCCCATTCTAAAACTCATTCAAAAACCTTGTTTTTATTACTGCTTAGTTACATACAAAAATAGCAACTCCCTGTCAATTCCCTACTCTTTGATGCCGCCTTCCCCTAAAAGGATCAGATTTCCATTCCACAGCCTGGCATCCGGGAAACCCCATCACTGAGCCTCAATCTCTTCTCTACCTCTGAGCCACACCATCTCAACCAGAATAGACTCATTCACTCCCTTCACCCTGCCTGTCAATCACTTTCTCCCCTCCCATTCCTGGGTCTGCTTATGCTTTGCCTACTAAACCCCTCTACTTTCTGGCAGCTTCCATGGATGATCCCCCTGCTTATACAGATCTTTCATCTCTCTCCAAGTAGTTTGTCTCTTGGCTCATGAATCAGCAACCAAAGATATGCATGGTCTGGGATCTGAGCATTCCAAATCCTGGGCCTGTTGTTGGGGGAAGATATATCATGATTTTTTTCTTGTAGTTGCAATCATCCCCCTTCTAATCCATCCTCATTAGGCACACTCAATACATATCTGAGCCTTGAGTATCATTTCTCTAGCCACTTTCATATGAATCAGGACAAGCGCAAGTTGGAAAGGTAAAGGTCTTCTGGAAAACTCTACAAAGAAAGCAAGTCCTTCCGGAACAATCATTAACTGCTCTGCACTGCTTGGCTTTGAGAGGGTTGTGGCTGAGGTCCAGGTTTTATTTACTCCTCCAAAGGGTTCTGAGAGAACCCAGACATCCATGATATCAGACAAAACAGAGGCAGGCCAACTTAATTATAGTCTGCATCCTATTATAATTTAAGCCTGAATATGCCCAGGAGAAGTAGGCAGCCCTGGAGGAGTTCTGAGAAGAAAGAAGTCACCATGGGTGGGCAAGAGCCAGGCAGAAAGGCACCAAGGAAAAGGAAGGCCCAGAACTGAGGTTTGAGAAGGAAGAAGATTTGGACAGGTGTAGGCTGAGTGGGTTTGGGTGTGGGGAAGGGAGTTACATAGAGCAGATACATTAGGTGCCTGCTGGCCTGAGACAAGGCAGAGGGCAGGTCCAGCCCTGGGCTAGAGATGCCCAGCTGCAAGTAGAGGTTTGTGTTGGGGCCTAATCAAGGTGGGAGGAGGTGACTGTAGTGTGATATCTGTGGTCCTGGCTCCTGTCATAAAGGTCCAGAGCTAGCCTTCCCCCAAGTGAGGAATTTACTGGGTCTCGTTGCCCCTCCTCAAAGTGCCCAAGCTTTGCCTGGGCCCTGCAGCCCACAGGGCTCTCCACACCAGAGGTTAATCAAAGGTCCAAGAGCTTACCAAGCCCCCAGTGGCTTCCTCTGTCCTATTCCTCAAAAAGGCCTAGAGAGCCCACTGCCAGAGGTGCACCATGGTGCAGTGACTGTGCAGTGGGTGGTGCCGAATGAGGGGAGCCACACTGGGGGAGGGGGCTCTGCTGGAATCCCGGTGGGGCAGGCAGTCCAACAGTGCAGTGCCCTCTGCCTTGCCCATGCCCACGCCGCTGCAGCAGGCAGGCAGAGCCGCAGAGGAAGATGTTTGTGTGTGGAACAAGGCTCGCCTTGACCCCGCGGCCCTTGCCGAAAGCAGCCTGGCCAAACGGAGACCAGCTCTGCGGGGCCAGTCCAGCTGCCGCCTAGGCGCTTGGGCTGTGACGCATGTAGCGGGCACAGCCCCTCACCACCGGGGGAGCCAAGCAAAGTCCAGCGTTCGGGCGGTCACCAGTGTCAGAAGTGTCTCCAGCAGACAATGACAGGGGCCTGGCGGGCTGGGTATGTTAAGTAACTGCGAAGTTGGAGGGTTTGGCCACCTCGCTAGCTCTCCTGTACACAGAGATGGTATGATACGTTCCGTACTACAATGAGGGCTCCTTCGGCCTCTGGCAAGGAAATGCCCCCCAAACACCGTGCCTATTGCTATTTTTAAACGGGAGGCTGGAGAGGAAAACGCGGCCAGTATCCTCCAAGGGAAAAGGAGGTGAGGCGAGGCGAGGCGGGAGACAAAGCGGCCTTGCAGCTCTAACTCAAGGACTAGCTTGCGCCGCTGCTCTAACCCAAGGACCAGCAAGAGCCCGGCTGCCAGCCAGCCTGCCCGACCGCGGGGGCGGGCGCCAGATGCGCCCGGAGGCCCAGGAGGAGGGGCGCGGCTAGTTGGGGCCACAAGGCCAAGGTTCTGAAGGGAAGTGTGCGACTGAGCTCAGCCCACAGGCCCAACTGAGCTCCTCTGGGGAGGGGGCAGTCTGTGGATGTCCCAATCCACGCCAAAGCCGGTCTCCGTCGGGCCCAAGCCAGCACGCCAGCTTGAGTCCGCAGAAAGGAGGGAGAGGCTGGAGATGCACAGGGGAGGGGAGGGGCGGCAGCCAGGCAGCCGGAGAGAGGGGTGAGCGGTACCCGCGTTACACAGCTGTTCCAGCAAATGTGCTACAACAAAGCTGCAGAGCTCCTGGCCTACAAATGCATGGCTTGGGGTGCTGGCTGGCGGCGCCCTTCCCGGGACTGTGCGGCAGCACGTGCGGGCCCATCCCCGCCCCCCCGAAAGCCGGGAGGCTTGGCCCAGGCTAGCCTGCCTTCCTACCCGCCCTCCCCAACCCCCCTCCCCCCAGCCGTGGTCGCTTGTGCCCAGGGGACTCAAGGCCGCTCTGCCTCTCCACCCGACAGTCCGCAAAGCGGGTTCCAAAGGAGAGGGGCGAGCGACCGGGACTCCGACCCGCCTAGTCCTTAGTGCCCTCCTCCAGTCCGTAGGAGCAGAGCACGCGGGAATGCACCCGACCGCGGGCAGGCGGAGGCTCCTGGCTGTACGCAACGCTTACCCAGCCCGGTCAGGTTCCTAGCCCGGTTATTGTCCGCTGAGCCGCCCTGGGCCGGGCTGCAGCCTCGGCTGCCACGGCTGAGAGCGCCGCCACCGCAGCTGCTGCCGCCGTCGCCGCGGCTCCAGTCACCTCCAGCACTGACTCCCCTTCCCCAGGCTTTGGGTAGCTCCCCCATACCCCCTCCCCCAGTACTCCAAGGCCACCGGGTGGGGCATCTGCGTCCTGATTGGCAGGCATATGGCCCAATCGCTATGGTGGGAAGGCGTGCCCCGGCCCGCCCACTGTTTTCCTTGGTGCGTTTCTCTTTAAATGCAAATAAGTGCAGGCGTGGTGTTGGCAGGGGGCGGAGAGGGTGCGGAACCACTGGCTGGGGCTCCCCACTCCCGCCCCCACGCCGGGCTGGTAGTGGCGTGGCTACACCGTGGCCTCAAGGAGCCAGTCCTGCCCGGATGGGGCTCGCCGGATCGGTTTCGGTTTTCACGCACTCCCATTTCTGTGGCCGCTGTGCATTCGCGGTACTGTGCCCTGGCCGCCACCAGGACGTTTATTCCTGAGCTAGAGGCCGGCGGGGAGTAACGAGGCAGAGAGGTTGAGGAATCTGGGAAGACTGCAGAAACCTAAGGGCCGGCCTATCCTTAGTCGTAGAGACAAGGCCCTGCGGATCGCGCCGCCAGGCCACCCAGAGGAGGGACTCACCTGCCAGGAAAGCTAGCTGCAGCGCCTGCGCCCTAACTTCGTCCGCCTCTCTGGCACACCAGTGCCCTTAGAGACCATAGAGGCCAACTTCCACCCGTTACCGACGGGCCCTCTGCTGCCCAGAGTGGGGAAAGTCCCTCCCCACAGTTACCCAGCCTGCCGGCGACAAGGGCCAATTTGGAATCCAGAGCCCCGGGCTCCCTTTCCAGGATTGCTTTCACTTTTCTTCTCTGAGATGATACCTGTTTCCATAGTTTGACCCTCACCCAAATTTCGCACCTTCTATGGAATGTGGAGGGAATCCCCAAGGTCTCCAGAGTCCCCCTTCCCCCATCCTTTGTGAGCCTGGCTTTCGGCAGGCCTTTTTCCTTGAAAAGTCTAAATATTGAGAGGAAAATCTTGTCTGGGCCCAAACCGGAGGTCAGGCTGAGGACAAAGTGAGGAGGCCTGTACCAGCCTTGTCTGCTACTGTGTGTGGGATGTGGCAGGGAGCCCGGCGAACTTGGGTCTCTAGCCTAAGGACATTAAGTGGCATCAGTGGCTGCCAGGGCCAGGTGAGCTGAGGCAGCAAAGAATCTAGTTCCACCACTAGTTCAAGAATATCCAGAAGGCCCAGCCCTAAAACTCTGTGTGTGTCTAAAAAGGGAGGTGGGTGGATTAAAGCTGAGGATAGAGAGAAGGATTAGAGAACAATGCGTGCTATTTTTGCATTGCAGGAGTGTTCTCTGCTGCTTCTGGGTCCTGACAGTCTTGAAAAGATCCAGCTGCTGAACTGGTAAGAGGTGGACTGCTGCCTCTGCATGTGTAGAGCACAGGAACTGACATGGCTGCTAGGGATCTGACTCTAGCTCTACCTCAGACTTGCTGGACACCTTGGCCAATTCATTTTTTTCTCTGGGCCAGGGCATCACCCCACCTCCACAAGGAGAGGGTAAGCATCATCAGGCTCCCTTGATATCTTTGAGATCTGACAGTTCAACTCATTTTTTTCTATAATATTCCATGATCTTCCACGGAATATTATAGAAAATATAGATGTTCCATGACCTTCCATGGCATTCTATACATTGCCAACAAAAATCAATATTGAACATCAGACTCCCATCCTAGTACTGAGTCTAAATAAACGATGAGGAGTAGGGAGCTGCTGCTGGCTCATTATGCAACTTTTTTCCCATCTGGATGGCTGGACTATAAAAGTTTCCCTGGGGCTATGCTTTCCTGCTTTGCAAAGTCCTGATTCTCATTTGTGGGCCTGATTTGGAAGTTTATTTTCTTTTCCAGAATCTCCATTATAGACTTCCTCCCTACCTCGTGCCTCTGGTCACTGCCACTTGCTCACATTTCACTCAGAACCTTGATTCTTTGAATTAGACTAAGATTATGAGAAGGCAGTTTGCAAACCTGGGGTCCAGGGAAACAAAGGGCCAGAGCAGTCTCAGTTGTGGAAGCAGGGAGAGAGGAGGTGTGCAAAGTAGTCAGGTGGCAGGCTTGAAATAGTCCCAGGCACTATTGTGCTGCTCCTGTCACAGGGGCTAGTCTTCTATGCCTTCTGCCCAGCCACCAAACATTCTGTCACACCAGTCAGTTTTTGGAGTGACTAGTGTGGGAGGAACAATTCGTGAGAAATTGAGCTAAACCCAAAAGAAATGGGGCTTCAGGAAAAAAAATATTCTTTGTGATCCTAGAGAACTCCCAGCTGAGCACCCTTCTTTATGGTCCAGATATTACTGAGTCTTGGGAGGATACTGTATGTGTGTATTAAAGGGGAAAAGATGTGGGAGGGGACAACACAGCTTCTTGTTTGCATAGCTCACTTCTCTCCAGGGACGATGTATGGAAAGACCAAGTGTGTGCATAAACTTGCACCTCAAAATGCCTCCTCATAGAGAGAGTACTGTAAGACCCCATTCCACATGCTGACTGACACGTGGTCAACTTGCTTAGTCAAGACAGGCACTGGTTGTGAGGAGCTGGAAATCTTTCTTAAGTTTGTTTACCTGCAAAATGGAGATAATCCTCGTGCTGCCTAGTGTCTTGTGGCTGCGGTGAAAAGCCCATAAGAACAGATGTGTGGGCTGTGTGGAGGCAACTTCATAAACTCAAGTAGACACATCATTACAGGGCACATCATTACAATGCTCATTTCTTTCTTCACCAAGTATTCCATAGTCATTTCCTCTATGCCAGGCCTGTTGATAGTTATTGGGAGAAGCAGTACAGTGTTAACCTTTTTGAGGCACCTGGGTATGGAGTTCTGAGAGGAACTGAAATCTACACTAGAGGTCTGGCAAAGGTGTTCTGGAGCATTGCAGATGAAGAGACTCCTTCTCCCCAGGGTGGCAAGGGGTATCAGAGAAAAGTTCTATGGAGGATAGCTTTGACGGTTGGGTCAAGTCAGAAAAGTAGGGGAAGGATTCCTGCCCAAGCCAAAGCCCATCAGTGAGAGGGTATGGTGGGTTGGGCAAGAGCTACAATTCTGGATGGCTGTGGCTAAGTATTTGTGTGGTGGGGAGAGGAAGAGCTGGACATTAGACTAGAAAGAAAGGCCTGGGGCCAAAGTGTAAAAGACCATGACTGCCTGGGTAAATTGAGGCTCAACTAGCTAAGTTCATCTTTTCCAGGAAAGTGGTATGTTGTAGTGGCTCTGCCACCAGACTGCCTGGGCTGGGATGTGAAGCTTGCCACTTAGGAGCAGTATGATCTGGGCAGGTCAATTTACCTCTCTGAGTCTCAACATTTTTTTCTGCAAAATGAAAATAATAGCACCCATGTCAGAGAATTGTGGTAAGAATTGAGTAGTCCATATGAAGTGGCACAGAGGCTAGTACATAAGATGGTATCAATAAATGTTAGTTACTGATGCTGTTATTATTATTGCTATCCTTCTGATCCAATGTACAGATCTTCAAAGTTATGGAACTGCTAATATGACTTTGAAACCAGTTTTTGTTTTGTTTTTGGTTTTTTTTTTGAGACGGAGTCACGCTCTGTCGCCCGGACTGGAGTGCAGTGGAGCGATCTCGGCTCACTGCAAGCTCCGCCTCCCGGGTTCACGCCATTCTCCTGCCTCAGCCTCCCGAGTAGCTAGGACTACAGGTACCTGCCACCACACCCAGCTAATTTTTCGTATTATTAGTAGAGGCGGGGTTTCACTGTGTTAGCCAGGTTGGTCTAGATCTCCTGACCTCATGATCCATCTGCCTTGGCCTCCCAAAGTGTTGGGATTACAGGCGTGAGCCACCACACCTGGCCGAAACCAGTTTTTAATATAAACACACATGAGCCTATGATTCCTTATGAACAGACTCACTTTATTGTGCAGACCCAGACTCAGTTTCCCAGGGCAGAATATTTTGTTCATCTTCATATCCTCAGCACTCAACAGAGAGTTTGGCAGAAACTTGTTGATGAGTATGTATTTACTGAACATGAAATGAGGCATTTTCAGGCCTAATATCAAGCTTAAGTGCCAGCATCCACCAATGAAGTGTGATGTTACCACTCATTGGGCATCTCCTTTGTGCCAGGCCCTGTGTTAAGTGACACACTCATTACCCAGAATGATGGACTACACACAGCTTCTGGTCTCAAGGGCAACCAGTCTAGTGGAAGAGGAAGAAAACTCCTGAGTTTCTTACTTGGACAAGGGACTGCTGGATGGTGTTGTCATCCACTGAACTGAGTAATATAGGAACAGAATTAGGAAAATGTGGCCAGGTGCGGTGGCTCACGCCTGTAATCCCAGCACTTTGGGAGGCCGAGGTGGGCGGATCACAAGGTCAGGAGATCAAGACCATTCTGGCTAACACGGTGAAACCCCGTGTCTACTAAAAATACAAAAAATTAGCCGGGCGTGATGGCGGGCGCCTGTAGTCCCAGCTACTTGGGAGGCTGAGGCGGGAGAATGGCATGAACCTGGGAGGCAGAACTTGGAGTGATCCTTGATCGCTCCACTGCACTCCAGCCTGGGCGACAGAGCGAGACTCCGTCTCCAAAAAAAAAATGATTTTGTTTAGGACATACTGAATTTGACTTGTCAGAAATCCCACCTCAGGGCCTTTGCACTGGCTGCTCCCTCTGCCTACAGTGTTTGTCCTCTGAATATTGGCATAGTTTGCACCTCATTTCCTTCAGGTGGCTGCTCAAATGTCATTAATAGTGACACCTTCACTGAACAGTTGATATATAAAATAGCAATCCCCATTTCCACCCCCTTCACTCTCCAATTCTTTAATAGGCCTTTTTTTCTTATCCACAGCATTTACCACCTCTTGGTATATTTTTTATTGTTATTTATTTTAGAGTCATTTTTAAATTTTCTCTTTCTTATCATGAAAATGGAAGCTCCGTGAGGGATAGACAATGAACAAATATATACATAAAATATACAGTAGGTCAGATGGCAATAAATGTGATGGATATCCTGGGGCAGTGGCACATGCCTGTAGTCCCAGCTACTTGGGAGGCTGAAGCAGGAGGATAGCTTAAGTTCAGGAGTTCTGGGATGTAATGCACTATGCTGATAGGGTGTCTGCACTAAGTTCAGCATCAACATGGTGACCTCCCAGGAGCAGGGGACCACCAGGCTGCCTAAGGAGGTATGAACTGGCCGAGATCAGAAACGGAGCACATAAAAACTTGCATCTTGATCAGTAGTGGGATTGCGCCTACAAATAGCCACTGCACTGCAGACTGGGCAACATAGTGAGACCTTGTCTCTTGAAAAAATAATGTGATGGAGAAAAATAGAGCAGGGAATGGGTATAGGCAGTACTGAGGGGTGCTGTTTTAAACAAGGAAGTTGGAGAAGGTGATATTCTAGCAAAGACCTAGAGGAACTGAGAGAGCAAACCATGAGGATATCTGGAGGAAAAGCATTCCAGGTAGAGAGACCAGTAAATACAAAGTTCCTGAGGTGGTGACATGCTGAAATGTTAGAGGAGCATCTAGGCAAGCCAGTGCACCTGGAACACAGTGAGTGAGGAGGAAAGTGGTAGGAGAGGAGGTCAAAGAGGACATAGGGAAACAGACAATGTATAGTTTTCTGAGTCATTTTAAAGACTTTAGATTTTGCAGGATTTTGAGCTGAGGAGTTACATGACCTTAGTAAAACATTTAGGGAGCTATAGCAACAAAGGAAGAAGCAGAGAGGCCAGGAAGGAGGCACTGATAGTGATCCATATCAGAATAGAGGCAGTGGAGGTGGTGGAAACTGATTGGACTCTGGATGTATTTGGAAGATAGAACTGGCTGGACTTGGTGTTGACACCTTAGATGAATGATGTGAGGGAAAGAGAAGAGTGAGGAATAGAAGCCCACAAGGCCCGGAGAAAGAGGGATTGGCAATGTGAAACCAGAGCAAAGAGAACTGGCTCTCCTGGAAGCCAAGTAAAGTACTGGGATTTTATAAAAGACAGAGTTACCAAGAGTGTATGTGTCAGATGCTGCCCAGAAATCCAGCAAGATACAGGCAGAAAAGATGCCATTGGTTGTGGATCTGGCAAGTCACTGGTGATATGGGCAAGGCCAGTTTAGGACAGAGCTGTAGATATACACCAGACTGCCCTGGGGTGTCAAGAGAATGGTCTGTGAGAAAAGGGAGAATGTATACAGCTTCCTTATTCTAGAAGTTTGACCGCAAAGATGTGGTAGCTAGAGGGGGCCCTGGTGTTCAGGTTTGTTTTTACAAGATGGAAGGATGTGAGTTTGTTTATGTGCTGAGAGGAAAAGAAATCAATCAAGTAGAAGATACAGGAAACAAGGTAATTGATGGGTGGGGGCTACGGGTGGGAGTGGGGGATGGAATCCAGAGCCCTTACAGATGAATTAACCTTTGCTGGGATGAGGGATCAAGACAAGAGGGAAAAATGGGTGGACTCAGTAGAGTTTGTTGTTATGGAAGGTTGAAGATGTCACTCCTTATGACCTCTACCTGCTCTGGGAGGAAGGAGGCAAAATTCCTAGTTGACAGTGAGAGGAAAAGCAGTACTAGACGGAGGTTCAAGGAAGTCTGTTAATATTGGACAAGGTTTGAAATAGCCACTGCAGACAATGGGCTAGTTGGTAAAGGTCCAGCTAGGCTGTCACCCAGGAATGTATAGCCACCCCATTCTGTAGTTTTGTGACATCCTGCTTCCTAGCTGTCTGACCTAGAGCAACTTCACTTAGCCTACTTAACTTCACTGCACCTGAATTTCCTCATCTATAAAATGGGCATGAATAAAACAAAGCCATTGAAATAAATGAGTTAATCCATGTGAAGTGATTACTGAGGACACTGCCTGGAACATATAAGTGCTTGATGGAAATCAACTCTTTAGAGTTATTTTTATTTTTGATTGACAAATCATAATTGTGTACACTTATGGGATATAATATGATGTTTTGATATATGTATACAGTGTGGCATGATTAAATCAAGCTAATTAACATATCCATCACCTTGTTTACCTGTCATTGCTTTATGGTAAGACATTTGAAATTTACTCTCTTAGTTACTTTGAAATAAATCATGCATTCTTATTGACTATAGTCACCCTCCTGTGCAATTGATCTCAAAACCTATTTCTCCTGTGTATTAGTCAGTGTTCTCTAGAGGGACAGGACTAATAGGATATATGTATATATGAAAGGGAGTTTATTAAGGAGAATTGACTCACACGATCACAAGGTGAAGTCCCACAATAGGCCGTGTGCAAGCTGAGGAGCAAGGAAGCCAGTCCGAGTCACAACACCTCAAAGGTAGGGAAGCTGACACTGCAGCCTTCAGTGAATGGTGAAGGCCTGAGAGCACCTGGCAAACCACTGGTGTAAGTCCAAGAGTCCAAAAGCTGAAGAACTTGGAGTCTGATGTTCTAGGGCAGGAAACATCCAGCACAGGAGAATGAGGAAGGCTGGAAGATTCAGCCAGTCTATTCCTTCCACGTTATTCTGCCTGCTATATTCTAGCCGAGCTGGCAGCTGATTAGATTGTGCCCACCCAGATTGAGGGTGGGTCTGCCTCTCCCAATCCACTGACTCAAATGTTAATCTCTTTTGGCAACACCCTCACAGATACACCCAGGAACAATACTTTGCATCCTTCAATCTGATCAAGTGGACACTCAATATTAACCATAAGTCCACGCCTTGTCGACTTGAACCCATACACATCTCCTGAAATCATATATAATCTTTAAATAAAGACAATAATAATGTCAAAATTAAGCCTAACATAATACAGCTATCCTTTGTACAACCGGAAGCTGACTAATCCTTAGCCGAAATGCTATTACATAAAGATAACAACACTTAAATGCTGATAGGAAGTCAATAAATCTTATGTCACATGATGAAGGAAAAAGAAAGGAAATAAAGTGAAGATATTCTCTCAGTACAAGTGTATACATACACAAACATGTTCTTAACAAAATAAGGAGGAAATACTCATGACAATTACAGTCCTTATTTCTGCAACTGGTCTGCAGCTGTTATTGATGACTATAATCTTCTAATACCCATTTGGCATCCCCTTTGCCTTCAGCAAGCAACTCAGCAGGTCGTGGTTTTGTACTGGTGGAGTGACCCAAACTTCCATTCCTGAAGGGTCTGGGCTATTTGTAGTCCTGCCTGGATTGTGTTGTTGTAGTTTCTCATTGACCTTAATCACAGGGTATGGTAATACTAAGAGATGCCCGAAGGGACCTCCTGTATTCCACACATACTCTTCCTTACCTCCGTTGTGGAGTAGTAGACTGATTTCATCTTGATAGTCCAGGTCATTCACCCCAGCCAACATTGGAACTCCCTTCTTAGCCTGTTGACTTAGAGGTAGGAGGAGCCCAAAGTGTCCAGGTGGCAATCTTAACTTCCAGTTTAATGGAATCATTGTTGTGCCTCCTAGTGGCAGTATTCCTCCCTCTGGAACTAAGACCTCTAGGCCAGTAGAAAGTAATGAACATGAAGCAAAAATTTTGTTAGTGGGTCACTAGGGGTGATAGTGAGTGGTGCTACTTCCACCCATTGATGACTGAACCCTGTGAATCCTGGCTATGAGAGGAACAGTACCATATATATTGGACACTGATTTAGAGTATACACAGCCTTCTGGAGAATTTTGCCCCAGCCCTACAAAGTATTGTCACCTAGTTCGCATTCTACTTGTGACTTCAAAAGGCCATTTCACCGTTCTATCATTCCAACTGCTTCAGGATGATGGGAAACATGGTAAGACCAGTGAATTCCATGAGCATGAGCCCACTGTTGCACTTCTTTAGCCATAAAGTGAGGGTCTTGGTCAGAGGCAATGCTGTGTGGAATACCATGACTGTGGATAAGGCATTCTGTGAGTCCACAGATGGTAGTCTTTGCAGAATGGTTGCACACAGGATATGCAAACCCATATCCAGAATAAGTGTCTGTCCTGGGGAGGACAAACCACTGCCCTTTCCATGATGGAAGAGGTGCAATATAATCAACCTGCCACAGAGTAGCTGGCTGATCGTCCAGAGGAATGGTGTCATATGGAGGGCTCAGTGTTGGTCTCTGCTGCTGGCAAATTGGGCACTCAGTGGTGGCTGCAGCCAGGTCAGCCTTGGTGAGTGGAAGTTCTTGTTGCAAAACCCGTGCATAACCTCCATCCTTGGCACCACGACCACTTTGTTCATAGGCTCATTGGGCTATGATGGTGGTGGCTGGGGAAAGAGGCTGAGTGGCGTCCACAGAATGAGTCATCCTATCCACTTGATTATTAAAATCCTCCTCCGCTGAGGTCACCCTTTGGTGAGCACTCACATGAGATACAAATATCCTCTTAGTTTTAGACCACTCAGAGAGGTCCATCCACATACCTCTTCCTCAAATTTCTTTGTCACCAATTTTCCAATCATGCTTATTCCAAGTCCCTGACCATTTAACCAAATTATTGGCTATAGCTCATGAAACAGTAAAAAATCACACATCTGGCCATTCCTCCTTCCAAGCAAAGTGCACAACCAGGTGCACTGCTCCAAGCTCTGCCCACTGGGAAAATTTCCCTTCACTGCTGTACTTCAGGGATGTCCTAGAAAGGGGCTGCAGCTGTCCACTTTCGGGTGGTGCCTGCATATCATGCAGAACCATCTGTGAACCAGGTCCTAGTCTTCTCTTCCTCTGTTAACTGATCATAAGAAACTCCCCATGAGGCCACTGGTGCAGGCTCGAGGAGAGAAGGCAGGGTGGCAGGAGTGGGGACCATGGACATTTGAGCCATTTCTTCATGTAACTTACTTGTGCCCTCAGTACCTGCTCAAGCCCAATCTTGTATATACTACCACTTTCATTTGATGATGGAATGCTACTATGCATGCCCCACTTTATGGATAGATGGGTCAGAAAGCACCCAGTTCATGACAGGCAGTTCAGGTCGCATGGTGACTTGATGACCCAGAGTCAAAAGTTCAGTTTCCACCAAAGCCCAGTAACAGGCGAGGAGCTGTCTTTCAAAAGGAGAGTAGTTATCTGCAGAAGATGGCAGGGCCTTGCTCCAAAATCCTAGAGGCCTCCACTGTGATTCACCTGTGGGGGCCTGTCAAAGGCTCCAAAAAGCATCCCTATCTGCCACTGACATTTTGAGCATCATTGGATCTGTAGGGTCATATGGCCAAAGTGGCAGAGCAGCTTGCACAGCAGCCCGGACCTATTTCAGAGCCTTCTCCTGTTCTGGACCCCACTCAAAACTGCTAGCCTTTCAGGTCACTCAATAAATGGGCCAGAGTAACACACCCAAATGAGGAATGTGTTGCCTCCAAAATCCAAGTAGGTCCACTAGGCATCGTGCCTCTTTCTTGGTTGTAGGAGGGGCCAAATGCAGCAACTTATCCTTCACCTTAGAAGGAATATCTCAACAGACCCCACACCACTGGACCCCTAGAAATTTTACTGAGGTAGAAGTTCCCTGAATTTTAGTTGGATTTATTTCCCATCCCTTGGCATGCAAATGTCTCACCAATAAGTCCAGTGTGTTTGCTACTTCTTGCTCACTGGATCTAATCAGCATAAGGTCATCAATGTAATGGACCAGTGTGATATTTTGTGGAGGGGAAATGTGATCAAGATCTCTGTGAACAAGATTATGGCATAAAGCTGGAGAGTAGGTATACCCCTGGGGTAAGACAGTGAAGGTATATTTCTGGCCTTGCCAGCTAAAGGCAAATTGCTTCATATGGTCCTTATGGACAAGAATGAAGAAAAAGGCATTTGCCAAATCAAAGTCTGCATACCAGGTACCAGGAGATGTGTTAATTTGCTCAAGCAATGAAACCACATCTGGTATAGCAGCTGCAATTGGAGTCACCATTTGGCTAAGCTTATGATAATTTGCTGTCAGTCTCCAAGATTCATCTGTCTTCTGTACAGGCCAAATAAGAGTGTTGAATGGGGTTGTGGTGGGAATCACCACCCTGCATCTTTTAAGTCCTTGATGGTAGCACTAATCTCTGCAATCTCTCCAGGGATGTGATATTGTTTTTGATTTACAGCCCTCACCCTACCAGCTAACGAACCAATGTGGGGATTCTGCCAGCTGCTAGGTATGTCTATGCCAATTATGCATTCATGTACTGGGGAGTTGACCATAGGTTGAGTCTGGGGACCCACTGGACCCACTGTAAGTCAGACCTGAGCTAAAACTCCACTAATTACCTGACCTCCATAAGCCCCTACTTTAACTAGAGAACCACAATGACGTTTTGGGCCCCCTGGAATCAATGTCAGCTCAGAGCCAGTGTCCAGTAGTCCCCCAAAAATCTAATAATTCCCCTTTCCCCAATGCAGTTACTGTGGTAAAAGGCCAGAAGTCTCCTTGGGGAAGGATGGGAGAAAGATTAACAGCATAAATTGTTGGTATTGTAGTTGGGTCTTTCCTCAAGGGGATTCGGCTTCCCCTTCATTCAAGGGGTTCTGGGTCTGTAAACTGGTTCAGGTCTGGAAATTGATGGAGGGGCTGTGATTCTATATTTTTACAATTCCAATTAGTCTTTTGTCCACTTGACCTCGAAGTTTTCTGCTCCTACAAATTAAGAAAGAATGCAGTAGGCTTTCTATCAATTTCATTTCCAGGAATACCGTGTTTAATTGGCCAAAGCCAGAGCTCTGCACAAGTCAGACTATTCTGATGGCTGCTTTGCCTTGCTCTCCATTATGGTAACTACACCCATCTTGCCTTTGACGGTTGAGTGCTGCCACTTGACCCCTTCCACCTCAGGATCCAATTATTCCCATTGCATTTAAATTTTTCTAATTTAGTTACTGCGGTTCCCAATGTAAGATCTGGCATACAGAGAAGAGCAATCACAGAGCTCTTCAAGGATGCAGGTGTTCCCATCACAAATCTGTTTCACAAACTACTGGTGAAGGGTATGTCTTCTGGATCCTCCCAGCTGGGATGAGTAGGTCTAAAGTGATTAATCCACTCTAGCATTCCAATCCTCCTAAGCCTTTGGATCCCTTCCTCTATAATAAACCAAGGGAGATCAGGCATTTCCAGCTTGCTCACAGTAGGCCATCTTTTGATCCATATTTCAGCTAACCAAGCAAATAAACTATTAGAACGTTTATTAACTCCCCAAGCTGCAACATTAAATGCAGGATCCCTGCTTAGTTGGCCCATATCAATAAATTCAGCCTGATCCAACTTTATGTTCCTTCCACCATTATCCCACACCCTTAGTATCCATTCCCATGCCTGTTCTCCAGATTTCTGCTTATGTAAATTAGAAAACACAAGCAGTTCTTTTGGAGTGTGTAGTGCACCTCCTTGTGTGTCACACTCTAAACCTCATCTCTAGGGTCTCGCTGGGACTTGAGTCTAGTTATAGGACTAGAAGCAAACAGCGGTGTTGCGGGTGGGTCCTGAGGAGAATCAGCATTGTCTTGCCTGACAAGTGCCTCAAGGGAGGACATTACTGTTGCCTCAGGAAGTTCATGGTTAATCTCCTCAGACAAAGTTGGGAAGGCTGATGGCAACATGGGTAGGGAGGGGATCTGGCCACCACTGGGGGTAAGCAGGCTGTTTTCTCTGGCAAAAAAAGGATAATCACAATTTAGGGGCTCAGTGCCCGCAGCCTCATCAGGGTCCTCCCACATGTCCTCATTCCAAATTGCAGGGTCCCACTCTTTTCTAATCAGTGTCCTCACTTTAACAATAGACACCTGGTGAGGCTGCGCATGCACCTTTCATTGCAGGTCAGCCACTCGCATGACAAGAATTTGTGTCTGGTTTTACACAATTTCAGCTGTTTCTCTATAGGAGATAAGACTCTCACTCAGGGCAATCTTAGAAGATTTGAGGATCAGTATGTACTTCTGGGGCTGAGAGTTAGAATCCCTGAGTTCATCATTTTCTTTCATCATTTTGTCCAGTTAACTTAGGAGCAACCAACCAACATTATTATATTACTTGGTTCTCCACATATGGTCAAAGGTATTATGTATAGTCACTAAACTCCTTGCCTCTCACAAGCAGTGAATCAGGAGTATCAAATGTGTTTATTTTGCATAACTCTCTAAATAGTTCACACCAAGGACTATCAATGTTCTCCATACTATTAGAAGTAGAGTCCTTAGCATTTTGGGTTCTAATCATATTAAGCAGCCAACCCCAGAAACCCCAAAACCAACTAAAGAACTCCATCCTTAATATTCTGTTTCTCTAGAACCACCCCACATCTGGTACCAAAATCTGTAATAGGGTTCTCTAGAGGGACAGGACTAATAGGATATATGTATATGTAAAAGGGAGTTTATTAAGGAGTATTATTGACTCACACAATCACAAGGTGAAGTCCCACAGTAGGCCTTGTGCAAGTTGAGGAGCAAGAAAACCAGTCTGAGTCGCAACACCTCAAATGTAGGGAAGCCAACATTGCAGCCTTCAGTCAGTGGCCAAAGGCCTGAGAGCCCCTGGCAAACCACTGGGGTAAGTCCAAGAGTCCAAAAGCTGAAGAACTTGGAGTTTGACGATCGAGGGCAGGAAGCATCCAGCACAGGAGAATGGTGAAGGCTGGAAGACTCAGGCAGTCTATTCCTTCCACGTTCTTCTGCCTGCTTTATTCTAGCCGAGCAGGCAGCTGGTTAGATTGTGCCCACCCAGACTGTGTGAGGCAGGGTCTGCCTCTCCCAGTCCACCGACTCAGATTTTAATAATCTCTTTTGGCAACCACCTCACAGACACACCCAGGAACAATACTTTGCATCCTTCAATCCAATCAATTTGACACTCGATATTAACCACCACATCCCGTTTATCTGAAACTTTGTACCCTTTGATGAATAATCCCCCATTTCTTTTCCCCCAAAGTCCCCCAGCCTCTGATGACCATCATTCTTCTCTCGATTATTTAGATTTCTATGATGATTAGTTATTTCTATTTCTTCTATAGTGTTCCTTAGACCAGGCTTAGGAGAGGACAACAACTTGATCCAAAGTTAGTGTGGAGACTGAAGTGACTGAAGACAGAGTCAAAGATGGACAGTGAGGGAAGGGAAGACAGGGGAGAGGGGAAATGCAGATAAATTAGGCTTGTGTGGTGCCTGAAATGCAGTTCCTGGCACAGAATAGGTACTCAATAAATATCTGTTGAATAGATTCTGTGGAATCAAACCATAGAGTTCCAGGAATGTAACTTCTGGGAAAGCAAGCAATTCTGACTAAAAAGGGGAACCTGCATTTCCAGGTAAGGCCAAGGATACTAAAATGGAGAGTGAGGGGTGGTACAAGAGTCAAGAAGGTGAAGGAACTGCAAGCCAGAGCATTGGAGGTATCACTGGACCAGATTCTGCCACCAGCCTAGCCTCTGATTTTCTCCAGGGAAGAAGCAGCCTACTTGGAGACTGGCAAAGTAGGAGCTAACAAGTAGGCTAGTAGCTGGAAGTTAATGTCTTCTGTGCCTGTAGGTGGATAGAGCTCAGAAGATACCAGGATGAAACAGATGGTCATTGGCTTGACTGTTTAGGAGCAGGGTTTCCTCAAGGCTGAGGGAACAATGAAACCCCATTAGAGTTTGGAAATAACCAGCAAAGTAGAATCGGGGCCCCTCTGATCCCTAGGCAGGGAGAGGGAGGCCTCTGATCCTCCCATATGCCCAGCCCCTCACTGTAGGCTTAGCCCAGCCCCTTTAGCTTATCCCCAGTCACTGGAGCTGCCACCTTTTCCTACCTTGCTACATCACTCCTTAGTGCTAAGTTCTATCGGCGGGAGGGCGGGGACCCAGGCCTGGAAAATGAAGTCAGAGCTTGCAACCTCCATGCACCACCCCTGCCTCAGTGCTAACATTCACACATGAAGCAAAGCAGCATCTTGGGAAATGACACTGGCTTGGGCATCAAGAGTCTTGTGGGTTCAGTCCTGGCTCTGCCACTGCCTCACTGTGTCAAGTCCCCTCCCTTCTCT
Source organism: Homo sapiens (assembly GCF_000001405.40). NCBI lineage: Eukaryota > Metazoa > Chordata > Mammalia > Primates > Hominidae > Homo > Homo sapiens. Next base: position 64,220,676 of record NC_000023.11, read on the forward strand.
GGGCTTTAGTTGCAACATCTGTACAAAAACTGTTCTGCTTACCTCACAGAATTGTTCTAAGAAGTAAATGAAATTATAGATGTGCAAATAACTTGTAAGTAAATTGATATGTGCACACACGACAGTGGTTTAGTTAATGCTAGCAGATATGTCCTGGGAAATCAGGGAACATGTTCTCCATATGCTCAGGAAGTCATTCCTGTGAGTATAAGTGTCCCATTCTAAGAACTGAAACCTTCAAGTCTAAAAAACCAAGGTATTCATGGCTGTCTTCAGTTTAGTCTGCAACCTAGCTCCTGTTCAAATTCACTGAACTGAAACCAAGCTGCCCTGCATTTTTCCACTTCTATGCTTTTGCTCATAGAGTTCCCTCCACTAATACCTTTTGCTTCCTCTCTGCTGATTAAAATTCTTTCCACCTTTCAAAGCAAAGATCAAATACCACCTTCTCCATCAGGCTGTCAAGTTAGCAGCTGAATGGGGATCTCTCTGGTTTCTGGAGTCCCATGGGCCATTTTACACTTTGGATGTAGTCCTCCGGGGCCATCTTTTTGAATAAAGCAAAATAATTTTCCCATTGCAGGAGAGAGTGCAGACTGATAGTGGCATGTACAAAGCAGAGCCAAGATCCAGGATAATGGCAGTGTCAGGAAGGAAGAAAGGGAGGTGTCTTAGTCTGCTTGCACTGCTATAACAAAATACCTTAGACTGGGCAATTTAGAAACAACAGAAATTTATTTCTCTCAGTTTGGGGGGCTGGAAAGTCCAAGATCAAGGTGCCAGCAGATTTGGTGTCCGGTGAGGGCCCACTTTCTAGTTTATTAACAGCATCTTCTTGCTGTGTCCTCACATGGTGAAAGGGGTGAGGGATGTCTTTGGGGCCTCTTTTATAAGGTCACTAATCCCATTCATGAAACTGGAGCCTTCATGATTTAATCACTTCCCAAAGGCCTCACCACCTAATACTGTCACACTGGAGATTAGGTTCCAACATTTGAATTTGGGAAGTACAACATTAACATGATAGCAGGAGAGAAGAAAGGAGGGAGAGAGGAAGGAAGAAAGGCAGAAAGGAAAGGGAGGTCAGGAGAGATAAAAGGGAGATAAGGGGCCTAGCTTACCTGAAGTAGTTAAGATTTGGCCTTCTGAAAGCTAGTGACTGTGCTGGGGGTAAGGGGGATTGAGGAAACTGAGCTTTCACCTGGAGTCAGTGCCAACAAGACACTAAAGGCCAAGAGGAAGATTTCACTCTAGGTGCAGTAATAGCATCTCTGCTTTCTTCTCATACTTCCTAGGCAAAATTGCCTTGGAAAAGTCATCATCAGAATTTGAGGTGATTCATTCCAACTCCTGGCCCATTTTCTGGATGGGAATGATGAGGCCTGGGGAGGGGACAAAATTAAGGTACCAGGACGTAAAGTTGTCTCTTCTCACTAACAGCACAGGCAACCAGAGAAAGAACAGCTAGAAGTACTTTGAAGAGCTGGACCATAAATAATAACATGGGCACTTACCTTAGTTGGGTTCTCAATTCCCTCATCTGGGAAATTGAAGCTAAGAGTTTTGGCCCTTCCTCTTTATCTAGAATTTTGTACATTCCTATAACCTCCTCAAGCACATGTACTTTGAAATGCCCAGAGTGTCCATGTGCCTTCTTGGGTCAACCAGAGTTTGTGTCCCAGATGCCATGGAGGAGGCCACCTTGGCCAGGCCCCATTCGAAGGATGTACTTTCCTGGGGATCTATAGCAGATAGGGCTGCTGAGGTTGACTTAGTCCCCAAGGGCCCTAAGGGAATGGCAGGCAGGGCTAGGGGTGGGGCTTTGCATAAACTACCACCTAGGATCCCAGATTGAGAGAAAGACAGAAGAGAGCTGAAGATGCCTACCCTGAAGCCCTCAGTTCTTTAGTTCTTATGTTCCTTGGAGAAAAACAGTTGCACTGTTTCCCAAAGTGCCTAAGAATGAAAATCTGAAAGCTAGGTGGGGCGGGAGCATGGAGATAGATGTCCAATTTTCTCACCTTCCTTCCTAAAGTCTCTCAGGCAGAAGTAGCTAGGGAGAGTGGGGGAGGTGAGAGAGGTGAGGGGCAAATCAGATTAAGACTCCGTGCTCTGCCTTCCTTTCCCAGTGATAGGGGAGCATGATGTAGGAGACCATCAAAGCAGCTCCCAGGAAGGGCTCTAAATATGTAAAGTGCTTCCTGGGGACAGATTATCTGGGCTCTCCTCCTCTACCCCTTAATCTTGTGTCCCTTTCACTGCTCATCCATGTCCTCACCCACAGTTGTACAGAAGAAATACAAGAAGGTCCTGTGGAGGGATTAAAATTTAGTAAAATGAATTTCCCTGGATTTAAGTGGATATCTGTGCTGTTCCAGGGTCTGTTTGCCTCCTTCCCCAGTTCTCCACATTATAGGGGGTCTGACCCCTACAGGCTGCATTTCCCAGGCTTCCAAGTCAACTACCTTCTGGCTGGGTTTAACCAATAGAAGGCACTGGTGGGAAGGCAGGGAAAATGGAGAAGCCAGGGTACTTAGCCTCTGCCTTCTCTGCCTCGAGTGCTGCCCCTGCTGTGTCTCCTCTGTGGTTCCTGCTATCAGCATACTTCCAATTCTGCTGTGTGATTCCAGCTCCGGTTTAGGTCATACTACCTCCTCCCATGGTCCCTCCATTCTTCACCACCTCACCCTCACTCTGATTGCAAGGGGGTTGACCCCTGTAAGCTGTGTTTCTCAGGTTCTAATATTAATTGACTTCTGGTTTCCTCAATGAGAGAGACTTCAGAGGCAGATTGAAGGGCAGGAATGAGGGAAAGAAGAGGCTACCTCTTCCCATCCTCTAGCTCAGGCGCATTTCTCATCTGTGGCTTTAGCCCTTGAGGGCAGGCCTGCGATTTCACTTTCAATCAGATGACCCCTCTCCCTCCTCCCTTACCCCTGAAGCCTAGAAGTTAGGTTGGCTTCCTGCATTTGCTAATCTCTAAGTTATCTGCTTGTCTTACTTGGATTCTCAGCCTATCACCTATGTAACCAATTTATTTTTCACATTAGATATTCTGTCATAAATATTTGATAGTTTGTTTACCCAGGTAGATCTTGAATATAAACTGGACTAGCGGAAATGCAGCCTATGATTCAAGGTGAGTGAATGGGAGGCTCCTCAGTCACTTGACTCAAAGTAATATGGGACTGGGGGACAGCCAATGAAAAGGTGTCTTGTAGCAGCCAGAGAATTGAAGGGAGGCACAGGGCTGGGCAAGCTGATGCTACCCTTCTACCCACTTGTATTATTCAGGACCTTGCTTCCAGGGCAACACAGCTCCCAAAACTCTCTAAAGGATCTTGGTGGGGAGGTATAGGCCATTGGGTTAGTTTCCTCTTTTGGTCTTACAGACTCCTGTGCCTGTCAGATACCAGACCATTTGCTATCCTTCTCCATGGCCAATCATACCCCTTCCCTCAATAACGCCCATGCCCCCATCCATGCCCACACACACCAGACACAGCAGACACTGGGACTTATTTTCTGGAGAATTTTATTGTGGAGGATAATACAGGAGAGCAGCTCCAGGTAAGTGGATGAGGCTGTAATGCTCTCCAGCTACGTGAGTCCCCAGGTGGTTTTCGGAGGCATCATAAGTTCCTGGGGAGACTGCAAGATTACAGTTGGTGTTTTAGGTAGCTAATCAACATGGGAGGAATATCCAGCTGGTTGATGGCTTGTGGCTGGCCAGCCTGGCACAAGGCTCTGCGGACGACTAAACGGACCTGTGATAGAAGTGACCGTGGAGTGGCTACAGCAAGAAGAAACAGGTCATGAGGAGCAATTATCAGCAAAATTCTCCCACACAAGCCTACATCCACTCTCCACTGGCTACTACAGCCCTAATGCTCTATCCTTTCCAAGAAATAAACAGTCATTGGCAGAGCCAGAACCAGAAATTGGGCTAATGCTCCCCACCCCCACCCAACCTTATCTTAGTGACCTTTCTCTAACATGGAATACATAACCCCTCTTCTCTACTGGGGCCCCAGGAGAGGGAGGAAGATGGAGTTTTCTCCAGTGCACCTCAGAGGATTGGCTTATACGTGATTTAGAGCCCTGGGACCTCCAAGCCAGGTGGCCTATGAGGCTGGCCTGTTCACCACTCACCTCGGGCCTGTAGCAGCAATGCAATGCCTTTATCATCTTGTGAGGTCAGGTCAAGGGAGAGAGATGGAAGGTAGATATTAGCACCAAAATCGATTAACAGCTGGATATACTCTGGCTCACAATTATGATGGAGGCAGATTTCAAGGAGGGTGCGGGGTCTTGGGACACGAGCCAATAGGCCCTGGTCAGTGCAGTTGTAGTCAGGGTCTGCCCCGTGGAGCAAAAGCAGGCGGAAACAGTCCAGGTGCCCGTAGACTGCGGCCAAATAGAGGGGGCCAGAACATGAAGCTATGTTTGATGCCCAGACTGGTAGTTTAGCTTTGACGTTGGCCTCTGCACCATGGTCTAGGAGCTCCTGCAGGATAGCAACAGCACCATCACGGGCAGCTGTGAGCACGGGAGAACAGTTGTTGTAGATGCTACCACCAGGAGAGGCACCAGCTTCCAAAAGCACACGTACACAGTCCAGATGGCCATGACTGACAGCAGTGAAAAGTGGCGTCTGTGCCTTGACATCCAAGCTGTCAACATCAGCACCATGGGCTAAGAGGACTTGCAAACAGCTCAAGTGGCCATAAGAAGCAGCCAAGCGCAAGGGTGTCCCAGGAACACCCCAGCCACTCCTGCTGTTGATGAAACGTTTGTAACGCTCCTGGCGCAAAAGCTGGTCCAAAGTATAGGAGTCGTTGTCATACACTGCTTGATTGAGAGCCTGCTTCTCCTCTGTGTCAGTGTCCTCCTCCTCCTTGTCGGGCTGCAGGAGGGAGAAGATCTTGGTGATGTCCATGAGGTTCATCTTGGCTAATTGGAGAACTATTCTCATTATGAGCACAAGGAAATGCCAGATCTGTGGGTGACAAACAAGTGGGAGAGAATGAGGGTACCCATCAAAAGCCTGACCATGCACGCTCCTTGAAATCTCCCTCCATTTCACCATCAGGCTACTCATTCATGGGTCTCCTACTTCTCACTCCCAATCCCACTGTCTTATTTCAGGCCCCAAAGACACTGCCAAAACAGGTCAGGGCATTTTACAGTTTGATGCCTTTGCATACACTCTTCTGCCTACCCCTCAAACTCCTACGTCTAGGAAGCCTTCTCTAATCTCCTCTTCCTGCTCAGGGATTCTGAAGGATCACAACTAAACTTCAGCTATGAACTTTCACACCACATTTCCGCTTATCTATGTTCCATTAGTGTATAAACTCCAGGGCAAGGACCCTGTATTCATCTTGTATTCCTCTATCCCTAGTAGGGCTATATCATGGCTGGAAATCTGGTAGATGCATTTTCCTCAGTTCAGAATGTGTGGATTAGTAAGGTGGCTCTGGCCTGGCGCTGGCTAAGCCAATAGAACCATACTTTGTGGTGTCAAGTTGCCATCCCTGAGCTTGCTGACATCAATCTTTTGGGGCAAGCCCTTAACTCCATTTTCAGATAGTTTAACTCTTCACAGCCCCTCATATATGACTAAAGCTCCCTCATCTGAGCCTTCTGTAACCTTCCCTCAGATGAAGTCCCACATTTCAGGAAAAGAAGTATTCAGGAAACTGGTATTGAATGATATTTACTGATTAAATGAAGAGGTGGCATTACAAAGAACATATTTCAAGTAAAATGAAGACAGATGGCAGGAAACAGTCGAGGCTCCCAGGGCAAGTTTCCTCTCTGATTACAACTAGATTCTCCCCCAGGACCAATTTAATCCAGGAGTCCCTTTGATTGCCAACACTGGCTCCCCATTCCTCTGGCTTAAGCCTTTTTCCATCCTGTCTGACCCAGGCTAGAGCCTTTGACTCAACCTTCAACTCTTCTCTTTCCATAATCCTCACCCTACAAAACCACTCATGGCTCAATGTCTGACTCAACCCAACCTCTGACCTTACCAGTGCTTCAGTGTCAAGGTCGCCCACCTCAGTTTGTAATGTCATCAGGGCGAGCTGGCAGGTTTCTCAGAGCTTAAGTTCCCCTACTCTCCCATACCCTGCAGCTGAGGTCTCAGGACCTCATATCTTCTTTTATTCACTGTCTACCCCCACCCCTCTTTGTTAGTCTGGGACCTCAGGTACCTACCTCATAGAAAGAAAATTATGAGGTGGGTGGGTAGGGTCACCCTAAACTTTAGGCCCCTCCCCACCCACCAGCATCAGCTCCATATATGGTGTTATTATTTATTCATTCTTGGGGTGCAATGGGAAGGACAGGATTTTGGAAATCCAGCAGACCCAGGTTTGCAGCTCAGCACTCTCAGTTCTTTGCTGAGTAACCTTGGGTAAGTCTCTTCCCTTCTTTGGGACTCAGTTTCCTCATCTATAAGACAGAAATGGAAGTCACTTTCTCATGAGGTTATTAGGAGTAAGAGAGCTACTACATACTCTGCACCTTTAGCCTCCATCTTAGGAGACAAAACTTAGGAGAATAAACTTCTATGGTCCTTTGTCCCACTCTAGCTATCTTTCTCTTCGTCTCTCCCTTCTTTACACCAAACATATCCAAATAGTTTTCTACTATGTACTTCACCACCTTCCATTCACTTGTCCATTCTCTGCAGTCTGGCTTCACCCACACTCAAACATACACCAAGAAAGCTCTTCAAAAGGTCATCTTTGTGGTTAAATCCAGTGGATATCTTGAAGATCTTTTCTTCCCTGACTTTTCTGGAATATCTATCCCTACAGACCACTCCTCCCTACAAACTCCTCCATCAGCTTCTTTGCCAGCACACTCTCCTGATTTTTCTCCCTTCCCATTCTCCCCTGAAATATTTGTGTTCTCTTCTCCAACCTCTTCTCTCCAGTCGCTCTCACCTTTATTCTGATTATTTTAAGCGTCTCTATCCGAGCCCCCAGCTCTCTCTTTAGCTCCAGGCATGTATCCACTGAGTTTCTTCAAGCACTTCAAAGACAGCAGTATCACATCACCACCACTACCACCATGACTAAACTTGATCCATATATCATTTCCTCACCATCTACCTGGTCAACCAAACCAAAAACCAAGACTCCTGTCAATGCTCTTGCCTCTTTATCCCACTCTCATAAAATCCCATCAAGTCCTGTGGATTTTACCTACTAAAGACTTCTCCAGACCATCTGTGCTCTTCAGGGACCATTCTCATTGACTATGCTTCATCTAGGCCCCCACTGCCTTTTGCCTCAGCAGTTATAGTGGTCTCATAGGTAGTTTCTCTTTTCAATATTTTCTCCACATTGTTGCTAAAGTGGTAATTTAAAAATACATATCTGATCTCTACCAATCCTCTGTTTTAAATACCTTAATGGCTCCCCTTTCTTTCCAGCTACAGCCCAAATACTTTAGCCCAGCTCAGAGGTCCTTCATGAATAAATCTTGGCCAATCTCTCCAGCCTCACTTCCTACTACTCCTTGACTTATATCCTGAGGTCCAGTGACAAGAGACAAAAAGTGATGGCTCTCCATATACACCATGTTTCTTTCTGCCACATGCAACTCCTTCTGCCAAGTTAATTCCTGCAGAGTCTGTGTTATAGCACTATAGCAGTCATCACACTGTATTGTAACTTCTATATGGGTCTTTGTTTGCCCTAGTGCAGATAAAGAGGCCTTATGTGGTAGTGGCAAAACATGGGAGTTCTGCTTCTACCCCAGCTCTAGCATTTAGTAGCTGTGTGACCTGGGGCAGGTCACTTAATCTCTCTGTGCCCATTTCTTCATCTGTAAAGACAAAATAACAATAGTATCTGCCTTGGAGGGTTCTTAGGATTAAATGAGTTAGTACATAGTAAGTGCTTAGAATAGTGCCTGAAAGTAGTTCTCAGTAACTATTTTTACTATGATGATGATTGTTACTTATGTCTCCATTTTCTAAGGCTATTGCTCCCTACTTAATGTTCTAGAACCTCAGAGCTGCAAGGGACCTTGTAGATCATTTAATTTAATTTTTTCAATTTACAGATGGGGAAACCAAGGTTCAGAGCAGAGCAGGGACTTTGGTAAGGTCACATGGTTGTTATTGTTAGTTGTCTCATTAACAAGAACTCAGAACACACTTATAATCCTGTGCTTTTCAAAGCAATTTCATGTAACAAAATAGGTAATATTATCCCCATTTTTTGGATGGAGGAAACTGAGTCCAGAGAGGGTAAGGGGTTTTCCATATACCTTACATCAAGGCAAAAGCAGAGTCAGAAATAGAATCCAGGTTTCTCTACTCCTCCTCCTGTTCTTTCTATTACAAGATGAAACACAAACACATACCCCCCTCCCTTGACTCCAGCAGTCACATTGCAGCTCCCAGGATCTTCAGCTTTTGAGTGTCATGCTGAATTCCAGGGTCTTCGGTAATGGAAGGTTCCTTTACAAATAATTTATTCTGATAACTGGTAGGAATTCCCTCCTTAATATTTTATTTTGGCGACTGGGATCTGGGCAGATAATTGGCAGGGAGTGGCAGAGGGAAGTGCTGAAGTTCTTGCTAAGGTTCATACCAAGAGCCCACAGCAGAGCTCATATAATGAGCCTCCAGAGGGAGACCAAGCCATGCTCTCCAGCTGGCTGTGGCACTGGAGTGAATCGTGCCTCCATTAGATAAGGACAAGGAAATCCAGCTAGCCTGTTGTCTTACCTCACTTTGCTGTAGTTTATTAATCAAAGAGTTACTATGTGCCTGTTATGTGCACGTAGCTCCTTCCTGATCCTAAAGATGTAGGAGTTTTAAACCTTTTTTTTTGTGATATTGGTTCCTGTGACAAACTAGCAAAGTCTGTAAACACCTTTCAGAATGGTTTTTGCTACATAAAACACATAAAATTAAAGGAAACCAATTATATTAAAATGTGACTGTCAAAATATTTTTAAATGCATGATATAGTAAGAGATGTTCTTTAGTAACACATTAAATAAAAAGGTCTAGTAATAATTTCTAAGTGGTAATAAATGACATTTCAAGATCTCTGCCACAACTGTAATATGATATGAAATATCTGTGGTTTCTTCTGGTAACCAAATTACATGAACTGGTTATGCTACTGCCATTTGATACCTGCATTCATCCTTGAAGGAAATAGTACATTTTAGTTAGAGGTTAGGGGGAAAAAAGGTAATTGTCTATTCATCCAAGTTTCTGGACCCCTTGAATTCTATCTAAGGCCCTCTTGGTGTCTGTCAATCCAGGTTAAGTACTCCCACAGGAAAGTGGTTGGTTTCCGTGCATCCTAGAGCATTCCTTCAGGCATTAGCAGAACGTTTTTAAGCCTCATCTTCCTTCTCTCACCCTTACGAGTTCTGCCCTTATGCCCTTAAACCCACTCTAAGGCACCCACACACACAGACTAGCCAACACCACACAGGGACACAAAGACAAATCTCCACACTTCCTGTAGTGTATAATCACAATTGCTCTCAAGAAGCAGGTCTGTTTAGACCCGAGGTCCTAGGCAGACATATCCTCTTGGGACACACAAGGCAGGGAGCTGGCATTATATCCCTCCTCCCTCCTCCTGGTGGGTTGCCCTAACGACCTTCCAAGCGCCTCCCCCAACTCCCACCACGTCCCAGACCCAGCGGAAACAGCCTACAACGGGAAGTGGGTGATCACAGGTCTGTGGGCCCGCAGTGGTCACTCTTCTCAAACCGGTCCTAGGCTCCAGGTACTCACCGGGCTTCAGCCTGAGGCCATGCTGCCCAGGGTCGCTGCCCCCCGCCCCTCTGTGAAACATTGGGGCCCTGGTGTCCCCTCCTTAGGGAGCCCCCACGGCCCCAACCTGGAGCAGCTGGGGCTCTCGTTTCCCACTGTTAACAATGCCGTTGAAAGACTAGGAGTCAGTCCCTAGTCTTGGTCCAAGGGGCTAATTTTAGGCTACCCTCCACCCCCTCTTCCCAGGCCGTGTTATCTTACCAGTGCCATTCTGGGAGCGATTTCAGTAAGAGGAGGGGCTCTCCCATGGGGAAGTCCTGGAAGGACTGACTGACAGATAGACAGGTGCCTGGTGAGGCTAGGGTTCCTGCTCCCAGCCTATCCTCCTATATCCCTCCCTGCCACTCAAATGGGAGACAGGGTGAGGCCCCTGAGCTGCGGTTGTTCCCACACCTCCACCAGGGGGCACTGAGAAGGTCCAGCCTCAGCCTAGCACACTTTTTTTTTCTCTTTTTTTTTTTTCTAATTATACTTTAAGTTTTAGGGTACATGTGCACAACGTGCAGGTTAGTTACATATGTATACATGTGCCATGTTGGTATGCTGCACCCAGTAACTCGTCATTTAACATTAGGTATATCTCCAAATGCTATCCCTCCCACCTCCCCCCACCCCACAACAGGCCCCGGTGTGTGATGTTCCCCTTCCTGTGTCCATGTGTTCTCATTGTTCAATTCCCACCTATGAGTGAGAACATGCAGTGTTTGGTTTTTTGTCCTTGCGATAGTTTGCTGAGAATGATGGTTTCCAGCTTCATCCATGTCCCTACAAAGGACATGAACTCATCATTTTTTATGGCTGCGTAGTATTCCATGGTGTATATGTGCCACATTTTCTTAATCCAGTCTATCATTGTTGGACATTTGGCTTGGTTCCAAGTCTTTGCTATTGTGAACAGTGCTGCAGTAAACATACGTGTGCATGTGTCTTTACAGCTGCATGATTTATAATCCTTTGGGTATATACCCAGTAATGGGATTGCTGGGTCAAATGGTATTTCTAGTTCTATATCCCTGAGGAATCTCTTCTTTTTTCTCTTCTGAACTGAGCCTCTCTGCATATCCTCCAACTCGTTGCCCCTCCCCTTCCTTCACTGCTCAGAGTGAGGAGGAAGGTAGGAAGGAGAAGCCTCCATAACAGAATGTGTTCTCACTCAGCTTTTCTAAAGCTTAAGAAGGCCTTGGTCATTTATAAAGACCTTCCCAGTCCACTGACCCACCAGGCTCAGCCTGAAGAAAATGCCCACAACCTCCCACTATCCTCACCCTAAAGCATCACCATTACTTTAATGTGTCCAGCACTGGAAACTTTGTCAAAAACTCAGCTCTCACTTTTTCTGCCCCAAAACAGCCCTCTAGGGATCTGAACCCAGATATTATATCCTCCATGTCACCTTGTTTCAGGGAAAACAGCCCCAGCTCCTTCAACTATTTCTTTCAATCTGTTATCTATTTAGTTCCCTCCCCAGTCTTGTCTACCTCACTCATGAAGTGGTCAAGCAATCTGCTTGCACATTGATAGTGCCAGGGAGCTCACAGAAGACCAGATAACTCCTCTGGAAAATGTGGGAATGTCCTAGTGTGATCAGTGACTCTGAAGATCAGAAACATCAAAAAGCATACCAGTTTCAGCTTAGCTTGAGCCAGGGGACTTTGTCTGAGGCCTCATGCAAGCCCAATTAGCAGTCAACAAATAAGCTATTATGATGCTAAAGATGACAGAGTAAGGTGTTATTCTTGAAAAAAAGATTTGCAGGATTTTTTAATGTAAGTTTTTGTTGAGATAATTGTAATTCACATGTGGTTGTGGAATTAATACAGATTCCAAGTACACTTTACTGAGTTTCTCCCAATGCTAACATCCTGCAATACTATAGTACAATATCTCAAGTATGACATTGGCATTGATACAATCCACTTATCTTATTTAAATCTCCCCAGGTTTACTTGTACTTTTTTGTGTCTGTGTGCGTACATTTAATTCTATACAATTTTATTACATGTAGCTTGTGTATACCACCTTAGACAATATACAGAATAGTTCTATCCCAATTAGGATATTTCACATTGCCTTTTATAGCCATATCTACTTCCTTCCTACTTCCTTTCCATTCTTCCCACCTTGGTACCTAACCCCTGGAAACCTCTAATCTGTTCTTCATATCTATAATTTCAAAATTATATGAATGAAACCATACATGATATAAACATTTGGAATTAGGTTTTTCACTCAGCATGTCCTTGAAATTAATTCAAGTTGCTGTATGTATCAAGTTTGTTTATTTTTATTGCTAAATGTGATTTATAGTAGGTATGTAGCATAATTTGTTTAATTATTGACCGATTGAAGGACATGTGGGTTCTATTTACTATCTGTCTACTATGAATAAAGCTGCTATGAACATCTGTGTACAGGTCTTTATCATTGTCGTTTTATAGTAGAGTAGATTGACTCCTTTAGCTTTACTATTTCATTTCAAGATTGTTTTAGCTATTTTAGTATCTGCACCTCTTTATATAAATTTTAGAACCAGCTTGTCTATGCCTACAAAAAACCTCTTTGAGATTTTGATAGAAATTGTGTTAAATCTATATATCAGTTTGGTTATATATATCAGAGTGCTTTGTTATACTGAGTCTTCCAGTGTATGCACATGATATGTTTTTACATTTATTTAGGTCTTCTTTGATTTCTTTTATCAGCATTTCTGATTTTTCAGCATATGGATTGTATATTTTGTTAAGAATATACCTAAATATTTCAATTTCTGTGGTGCAAATGACATTGGATTTTGATTTGGGTTTCCATATATTTGGTTCTTCTTGTTCCATATGTTTGTTTCTTCTTAGAAATGCAATTGGTTCACATGCACATGTATGTTTATTGCAGCACTATTTGCAATAGAAAAGACATGGAACCAACACAGATGCCCATCAATGATAGACTGGATAAATAAAATGTGGTACATATACACCATGGAATACTATGCAGCCATAAAAAAGAGTGAGATCATGTCCTTTGCAGGGACATGGATGAAGCTCGAAGCCAAATCCTCAGCAAACTAACACAGGAGCAGAAAACCAAACATTGCAGATTCTCACTCATAAGTGGGAGTTGAACAGTGAGAACATATGGACACGGGGAGGGGGACAACACACACTGGGGCCTGCTGGGAGGTAGGGGGCAAGGGGAGGGAGAGAATGAGGACAAATATCTAATGCTTGTGGGGTTTCAAACCTAGATAATGGGTTGATAGGTGCAGCAAACCATCATGGCACATGTAACAAACCTGCATGTTCTGCACATGTATCCTGGAACTTAAAGTAAAATTAAATTAAATTTTAAAAAAAGAAATGCGTTTTTTTGTGTGTGTGTTGATCTTGTATCCTAACTGAACTCCTTAGTCACAGGAAAGATTTTGTAGTTGTTGATTGTTTACTTTTGTTTTTGTTTTTTGGTAAGTTTATTGGGATTTTCTACATAGCCATTCATGCCATCTGCAAATGAGGGCAATTTTATTTTTCCTTTTCCAATCTGTATGCCTTATTTGTTTTATTTGCCTTAATACAATAGCCAGAACATCCAAGACTATGTTGAATAAGAGTTGTGAGAGTGGACATGTGTGCCTTTTCCCAGTCTTAGAGAATTAGCATTCAGTCGTTCACAATTAGGTATGATGTTAATTGTACATGTTTCAAAGATGCCCTTTATCAAGCTTATGAAATTCTCTTCATAGTTTTCTGAGTTTATCAGGAATGAATGTTAAATTTTGTTAAATGCTTTTTTTTCTCCATCAGCTGATGTGATCATTTCATTTTGCTTTCTTTAATCTCTTGACTGGTGGATTATGTTTGTTAGTTTCAAATGTTGAACCAGACTTGCATTCTTGGAATGATCCGCATTTGGTAATGGCATATAACTCTTTTTTTATGCATTGTGGGATTCAGTTTGCTAATACTTTTGGTGAGGAATTTTGTATCTGACTTGATGAGAAATATTGGTTTGTAGTTTTCTTTTTTTGTTCTGTCTTTGGTTTTAGTATCAGAGTAATAATGACCTCATAAAATGAGTTGGGAAATGTTCTCTCCTTTTCTATTTCTGGAAGAAATTGTGTAAAATTGGTGTGAATTCTTCTTTACATTTTTGGTAGAATTGTCCAGTGAAACTGCCTGGACCCAGAGATTTCTTTTTCCGAAAACTTTAAATAATAAACTGCATTTCTTTAATGGGTATAGGATTATTCATATAACCTATTTCACCTCTTTTAAAGTTTTGATAGTTTGTGGTTTTTGAAAAATTGGTCCGTTTTTTCTAAGTTGTTGAATTTGTGATGGTAAAGTTATTCCTAGTATTCTTATTTGTAATTATTTTATTATGATTATATATATATATATATATACATATATATATACATATATATACACACACATACATACATACACACAGACATATATATTACCGATTTAACCATTTATAAGTGTACAATTCAGTGACACTAACTACATTCACGGTGTTGTGCAAACACCATCATTATCCGTTTCCAGAGTTTTTTTCTAATCATCTCAAACAGAAACTTTGTACCCATTAAATAAAAATTCCCCATTCCCCCCTCCTTTCAGCATCTTATAAACTTCTGTCTCTATGAATTTGCCTATTCTAGGTACTTCATGTGAGTGGAATAATACAATAATTTGGTTGTGTGTGTGTGTGTGTGTGTGTGTGTGTGTGTGTGTGTGTAGCTTATTTCACATAGAATAATGCTTACAAGGTTCGTCCATGCTGCAGCCTATATCAGAACTTCATTCATTTTTAAGGCTGAATAGCGTTCCATTTTATGTATGTACCATATTTTGTTTATCCATTAATCCTTTGATGGACGCTCAGATTGTTTTTTCTTTTGGGCTATTATGAATGCTACTATGAACATTCACGTGTAAGTTTTTGTATGAACTTGTCTTCATACATTTCTCTTGTGTGTATACCTAGGAGTAGAACTGCAGGGTTATATAGTAGCTCTATAATTTTTTGAGGAAAAGAGACACACTGTTTTTCCATTACAGGTGCACCATTTTATATTCCCACCAGCAATCTATGAGAGTTCCAATTTCTTCATATCCTAGCCAATATTTGTCATTTTCCTTGTTTTTGATTATAGCCATCCCAGTAGGTGTGAGGTGGAATCTTGTGGTTTTGGTTTTCATTTCTCTAATTACTAACGATGTTGGCCTCTTTTAATGTGCTTATTGGTCATTTATACATCTTCTTTGGAAATATGTCTATTCAAGTACTTTGCCTTTTTTTAAATTTTAGAACATACTCATGTCTATTAGCTGGCTTATACTTGAGAAAGCAAAGGCAGGTGCACCAAGAGCTGTTTGACAAAGTCTCAGATATCAAAAAATAATAGTATTTATCTGTCTGCCCTACTCAGAGGGCACTTACATCCACTTCTAGGTGACTGTCTTCTGGAATGCAACCATTTGGTTTATGACATTGCACTGTTGTTGTATTGCACACAGAGTGCAGGCCTGTGTGCATCTAGTATCAAAGAAGTGGTCCATTAAACACCAAAAGCACTAGTTCTAAATGTCAAATTTGAATGTTAGTAACTAGCAAATACTAATTACGTAATAGAACGGTCAGAAAAACAACAAGCTTTGAATACTTTGTAAACTACAGGCTCTTATAAAATATAGGCTCTTAAGAGCTGCTTCCAACTTATTTCCTTCCTTTGCCAAAGCCTGTGCATTCATGCCAAATCAAGTACCTATAACACAACACTTATTGTGGTAAAAACAGATAACATAAAATTTACCATTTCAACCATTTTAAAGTATACAGTTCAGTAGTGTTAAGTATATTTACATGTTTGTGCAACAGATCTCCAGAACTTTTTCCCACTTGCAAAATTGAAACTCTGTATTCATTAAACAACTCTCCAACTCTCCTTTCCCCTAACCCCCGGAAAGCACTATTTTACTTTTTATTTCTATGAATTTGACTACTGTAAATATGTAATATAAGTGCAACCACGTGATATTTGTCTTTTCGTGACTGACTTATTTCACTTAGCAGATGTCCTCAAGGTTCATCAAAGTTTTCATTAGTAGTATGTATTAGTCCATTCTCACATTGCTATAAAGAACTATGTGAGACTGGGTAATTTATAAAGAAAAAAGGTTTAATTGGCTCACAGTTCCACAGACTGTACAGGAAGCATGGTTGGGGAGGCCTCAGCAAGCTTACAATCATGTCAGAAGGCAAAAAGGAAGGAGTTACATCTTACATGTCCAGAGCATCAGGAAGAGAACAAAAGGGTAGGTGGTACACACTTTTAAACAAGATCTCATGAGAACTCACTCACTGTCATGGGAACAGAAAAAGGGAAATCTGCCCCATGATCCGATCACTTCCCACTAGGCCCCTCCTCCAACACTGGTGTATTAGTCAGGGTTATCTAGAGGGACAGAAGTAATTGAATATATATTCATAAATATATATATATATATATATATATAGAACATATATAGAGAGAACTATATATATAGAACATATATATATATACACACATATATATGGAGAGAGAGAGAGAGATTATTATTAAGTATTAACTCACACAATCACAAGATTCACACAATAGGCTGTCTGCAGGTTAAGGAGCAAGGAAAGCCAGTCTGAGTTCCAAAACTGAAGAACTTGGAGTCTGATGTTTGAGGGCAGAAAGCATCCAGCTTGGGAGGAAGATGTAGGCTGAGAAGCTAGGCCAGTTTCACGTTTTCACGGTTTTCTGCCTGTTTTATATTTGCTGGCAGCTGATTAGATTGTGCCCACCAGATTAAGGGTAGGTCTGCCTTCCCCAGCCCACTGACTCAAATGTTAATCTCCTTTGTCAACACCCTCACACACACACCCAGGATCAATACTTTGAGTCCTTCAACCCAATCAAGTTGACACTCAGTATTAACCATCACAACTGGGGATTACAATTCAACATAAGATTTGGGTGGCGACAAAAATCCAAACCATATCATAGTATGTTACAGAATTTTCTTCCTTTTTAAAGATGAATAATATTCCATTGTATGTATATATCACATTTTGTTCATTCATCCATCACTGGATGCTTGGGTTGCTCCCACCTTTGGCTTTTGTTAATAATGATGCTACGAACGTTGGTCTACAAGCATCTATTTGAGCTCCTGCTTTCATTCAGTTCTCTTTGGTATGTACCCAGAAGTGGGATTGCTGGATCATGTGGAAGCCCTATTTTTAAGTTTTTAGGAACTGCCATATTGTTTTCCATATCGGCTGCACCATTTTAAAATCCCATCAACAATCCACAAGGGTTCAGATTTCTCTACATCTTCGCCAACATTTGTTATATTCTGATTTTTATTTTATAGTAGCCATTCTAATGGGTGTAAGATAATATTTCATTGTGGGTTCAATCTGTATTTCCCTAATGATTAATGATATTGAGCATTTTTTCATGTGCTTTTTTGTCATTTGTATATTACCTTTGGAGAAATGTCTATTCAAGTTCTTTGCACATTTTAAATTTATTATTTGGTTTGTTTCATTGTTGTTTTGTTGTAGGAGTTCTTTATTATTCTGGGTATTAACCCTTTATCAGATATATAATTTGTAAATGTTTTCTACCATTCCATAAGTTGCCTTTTCACTCTGTTGATATTAATTTTTGATGCACAAAAGTTTTTAAGTTTGATGTATTACCATTTGTCAATTTTTGCTTCTGTTGCCTGTGCATTTCATGTCATAGCCATGAAATCACTTCCAAATCCCATGTCACGAAGATTTGGTCTATGTTTTCTTCTAGGAGTTTTATATTTTGGGGTCTTACATTTAGGTCTTTAATCCATTTTGAGTTATTTTTTGTATATGATATAAGATAAGGGTTCTTTTGTATGTGAATGTCTATCGGGGGAAACCAGCCCCCAATATTTCAACATAAGTTCTTTTCTATTTTCCCTAAGTGTCGGCTGGTCTGAGAAATAAAGGGAAAGAGTACAAAAGAGAGAAATTTTAAAGCTGGGTGTCTGGGGGCGATATCACATGTTGGCAGGTTCCGTGATGCCCCCTGAGCTGCAAAACCAGCAAGTTTTTATTAGTGATTTTCAAAGGGGAGGGAGTGTACGAACAGGGTGTGGGTCACAGAGATCACATGCTTCATAGGGCAACTAAAGATCATAAGGCAGAAGGTCAGGGCGAGATCACAAGGTCAGGGCAAAACTAGAATTACTAATGAAGTTCCATGTCCCGCTGTGCATGCATTGTCATTGATAAACATCTTAACAGGGTTCAAGAGCAGAGAATCAGTCTGACTAGAATTCGCCAGGCTGGAATTTCCTAATCCTAGCAAGCCTGGGGGCGCTGCAGGAGGCCAGGGCATGTTTCATGCCTTATCGGCGACTGCATAAGGCAGACACCCCTACAGCAGCCATTTTAGAGGCCTCCTCCTGGGAATGCATTCTTTTCCCAGGGCTGTTAATTATTAATATTCCTTACTGGGGAAATAATTCAGCGATATTTCTCTTACTCGTTTTTGGCAATAAGAGAAATATGGCTCTGTCCTGCTCGGCTCCAGGCAGTCAGACCCAATGGTTATCTCCCTTGTTCCCTGAACATCGCTGTTATCCTGTTCTTTTTTCAAGGTGCCCAGATTTCAGACTGTTCAAACACACATGCTTTATGAACAATTTGTGCAGTTAATGCAATCATCACAGGGTCCTGAGGAAACATACATCCTCAGTTTATGAAGATGATGGGATTAAGAGATTTAAGTAAAGACAGGCAAAGGAAATTATAAGAGTATTGATTGGGGAAGTGATAAATGTCTATGAAGTCTTCACAATTTATGTTCTTCTGTCACGGCTTCAGCAGGTCCCTCCATTCTGGGTCCCTGACTTCCTACAACAAATATCCAGTTTTGCCAGAACCATTTTTTGAAAAGACTCTCCTTTTCCCCACTGAGTGGCCTTAGCATTTGTGGAAGATAATTTAACCATATATGTGAGGATTTATTTCTGGTATTTCTATTTTGTTTCATTGGTCTGCATGTCTGTTTTTATGCTAGTACTACATTGTTTTAATGCTAGCACTACATTGTTTTAATTACTATAGCTCTGTCTCGGACTTCCAGTACTGTTTTGAATAGAAATGGTGAGAATGAATATCTTTGTCTTATTCCTGACCTTACATGAAATGCTTTCAATCTTTAATCATTGAGTATGATGTTAGCTGTGTACTTTTCCCATTTTTAAATTAGGTTTTTGTCTATTTGTTGTCGAGTTTAGGAGTTCATATATCTGAGACAGTAGACCCTTATTAGATAAAAGTTGTCAAATATTTCCCACCATTTTGTGGGTTGTCTTTTCACTTTATTTGGTTCTCTTTCTACACTGCCATCCCAAGTTTCCATATCTGAGAATGTTTTTATCATTTCCTTGCTGGAATTACAGTGTTATCTCAAGTGTGGTTATTTGTTAGTAAGGTCTTTATTTGTGAGTGAAAAGAGCATGAGACACATCTAGTCAGCCATCTTCATAATGTCTCTTTTTCACTTTCTTAATAATGAGCTTAGATACATAAAAGTATTTAATTTTAATGAAGTTCAATTTATCTATTTACTGCTTTGTGGTTTGTGCTTCTTGTGTCCTCTACAAATGCATTGCTAAACCCAAGGACATGAAGATTTATATCTTTTTTTAACAATAGCTTCACAGTTTTATCTATTATATCTGGGTCGTTGATCCATTTGAGTTAATTTTTGTATATGTTGTGGGGTAAAGATCCAACTTCGTTATTTTGCATATGCGAATTCAGTTTTTCTAGCATCATTTTTAAAGAGTTTTTTTTTTTTCACTCACTGAATATACCCAGCTTTGTCAAAAAAAAAAAAAATGGCCATAGGTGTGTTGGTTTGTTAGGACTCTCAGTTCTATGTCACTGGTCCATATGTCTATCACTATGTGAAAATCACACTTTTAAAAAATTTATACAAATTTATAGGGTACATGTGAAATTTTGTTACATATATATACTGTGTGGTGATCAATTCAGGGTGTTTAGGGTTCCCATCAAGTGAGTATAATACAGTTTTGTTAACTGTACTCACCCTACTCTGCTATCAAATATTGGATATATTTCTTCAATCTAACTGTATGTTTGTACTCATTAACCCACTTTTCTTCAACCTCCTCAATTCTCCCATTCACCCTTCCCAGATATAGTTTGGATATCTGTCCCTTCCAATCTCAAGTTGAAATTTGATCTCCAGTGTTGGAGGAGGTTCCTCATGGGAGGTGTTTGAGTTATGGGGATGGAACCTTCATGAATGGCTTTGTTCCATCCCCACGGTAATGCCTGAGTTGTTACTCTATCAGTTCATGGGAGATCTGGTTGTTTAAAAGAGTATGACACTGTTCCCCACCCTCTCTTTCTTCCTCATCCCTGATCATGTGTTGCCTGCTCTGCTTCACCTTGCATCATGATTGGCAACTCCCTGAAACTTTCACTAGAAGCAGATGTTAGTGCCATGCTTTTTGTACAGCTTGCAGAACCAGGAACCCAATAAACCTACTTTTTAAAATAAATTACCTAGCCTCAGGTAGAGTAATGCAAATGGACTAAGGCATCAGTATCTGTTATCTATCTTTTCACTCTCTACTTCCATGTAATCAAACTTTTTAGCTCCCATATATGAGTGAGAACATGTGATATTTGTATTTTTGTACCTGGCTTATTTCTTTTAAGATAATGACTGCTAGTTCCATCCATGCTTTGCTGCAAATGATATGACTTCATTCTCTCATATAGCTAAATAGTATTCCATTATGTACACATACCACATTTTCTTTATCCATTCATCCATTGATGGACATATTGATGGAGTGCATGTATTATTTGATATATTTCTTTCCCTTCGAATAGATACACAGTAGTGGGATTTAATGGTAATTTTACTTTTATTTTTTGAGATGTCTCTCTACTTCTTTCCACAGCAGCTGTACTAATTTACATTCCCACCGACAGTGTATAAGAGTTCTGTTTTCTCTGCATCCTTGACAGCATATGATTTTTTTGTATTTTTAATAATAGCCATTCTGACTGGGGTAAAATAATATCTTATTGTGGTTTTGATTTGCATTTCTCTAATGATTAGTGATGTTGAGAATTTTTTTATATACCTGTTGGATATATACCTGTTTATATATTCTTTTAAGAAATGTCTATTCATGTTCTTTGCCCAGTTTTATTCTGCATGTGGCTTTGCAATTTTTCTAGCAACTTTTATTAACGAGGGTGTCTTTCCCTCAGTGTAAGTTCTTGTTGACTTGGTTGAAGATCAGTTGGCTGCAAATATGTGGTTTTATTTCTGGGTTCTCTATTCTGTTCCATTGGTCTATGTGACTGTTTTTAAACCAATACCATGCTGTTTTGGTTACCATAGCTGTGTAATATATTTTCAAGTTTAGTAGTGTGATACCTCCTGCTTTGTTATTTTTGCACATGATTGCTTTGGCTATTTGGGCCCTTTTTTGCTGCTATAAGAATATTGGGATTGATTTTTTTCCATTTCTGTGAAGAATGTCATTGATATTTTGATAGGGACTGTATTGAATCTGTAGATTGCTTTGGGTAGTATAATTATTTTAACAATATTAACTCTTATTCATGAGCATGGGATGATCTTTTCACTAGTTGGTGTCCTCTTCCATTTTGCTTCATTGGTATTTTGCAGTTTCCTTGAAGAGGTCCTTTACCTCCTTGGTTACATTTATTCCTAGGTATTTTTTTGTAGCTAGTATAAATAGGATTTTCTTCTTGATTTATTTTTTCAGCTAATTCATAATAGCTATATAGATACACTGCTGATTTTTGTATGTTGATTTTGTATTCTGCAACTTTACTGAGTTTATCAGTTCTAAGAATTCTTTGGTAAACTCTTTAAGGTTTTCTAAATATAAAGTCATGTCATCTGAAAAGAGGAAATTTTTGACTTCATCTTTTCCAGTTCAAATGCCTTTTATTTCTTTCTCTTGCCTCATTGCTCTGCCTAGAATTTCCAGTGCTATGTTAAGTGAGAGCAGTAAAAGTTGGTATCCTTGTATTATTCTAGTTTTTATAGGAAATATTTTTAGCTTTTCCCCATCTGGTGTGATGTTAGCTGTGGATTTTTCATATATGCCTTCATTATGTTAGGGTATGCTCCTGCTATGCCTACATTGTTGAGAGTTTTTATCATGTAGGAATGATGAATTTTATCAAATGCTTTTTTCTGTACCTGATGAGATAATCATATGGCTTTTGTTCTTAATTGTGTTGATGTGTTTTATCATGTTTACTGATTTGTGTATGTTGAACCATCCTTTCATCCCTGGATTAAATCCCAATTGATAATGATGTATTATCTTTTTCTTGTCCTGTTGGATTCAGTTTGCTCTTTTGTTGAGAATTTTTCCAGCTATGTTCATCAGGAATATTGGCCTATAGTTTTCTTTTTCTGTTGTATCTTTATCTGGTTTTGGTATCAAGGTAATGCTGGCCCTGTAGAATGAGTTAGGGAGAATGTCCTCTTCAACAACCTTTGCAACAGTTTGAAGAAAACTGGTGTTAGTTTTTCTTTATATGTTTGGTAGAAATAGGCAGTGAAGCCACCCAGTACTGGGTTTTCTTTGTTGGGAGACTTTTAGTTACTGAATAAATCTGGTTACTCATTATTGGTCTGTTCAGGTTTTCTATTTCTTCATGATTCAGTCTTGGTAGGTTGTATGTGGCTAGGACTTCATCCATTTCTTTTAGGTTATCCAATTTTTGGCATATAATTATTCATAATAGTCTCTTATAATCTTGTTTTATATGTGATACTAATGTCTTCTCTTTCATTTATGATTATTTTAACTTTTATTTTAGGTTCAGGGGTACATGGGCAGGTTTGTGATTAGCAATGTTGAGCACTTTTTCATAAGCTTATTGGCTGTGTGTGTATCTTTTTTTGAAAAGTGCCCATGACCTTTGCTACTTTTTAATGTTTTTTTTAACTTGTAAATTTGTTTAAGTTTCTTGTAGATTCTGGATATTAGACCTTAGTTAGATGCATAGTTTGCAAATATTTTCTCCTATTCTGCAGGTTGTCAATTTACTATGTTGATAGTTTCTTTAGCTGGGCAGAAGCTCTTTAGTTAGATCCCATTTGTCAATTTTTGTTTTTGTTGCTATTGCTTTTGGCATGTTCATCATGAATTCTTTACAAGACCTTATGTCCAGAATGTTATTTCCTAGGTTGTTTTCCAAGATTTTTATAGTCTTAAGTTTTATATGTAAGTGTTTAATCCATTTTGAGTTGATTTTTGTATATGGTGTATGGAAGGCATCCCGTTGCAGTCTTCTGCATATGGCCGGCCAGTTATCCTAGCACTGTTTGTTGAACAGGAACTCCTTTTCCCATTACCTGTTTTTGTCAACTTTGCCGAAGATTATATGGTTGTAGGTCTGCAGCATTATTTTGGGGTTCTCTATTCTGTTCCAGTTTTCCATGTCTGTTTTGTTTTTTCTAATATGCTGTTTTGTGTTTTGGTTAGTGTAGCCTTGTAGTATAGTTTGAAATTGGGTAACGTGATACCTCCAGCTTTGGTTTTGTTTGTTGTTGTTGTTTTGTTTGTTTGTTTTTGCTTAGGATTGCCTTAGGTATTTGGGCTCTCTTTTGGTATAAACTTCAAAATAGTTTTTCTAATTCTGTGAAGAATTTCGTTGGTAGTTTGATAGAAATAGCATTGAATCTGCAAATTGCTTTGGGAAGTATGGACATTTTAAAGATATTGACTCATCCTGTCTGTGAACATGGATGGAATGTTTTTCCATTTGTTTGTCTCATCTCTGATTTCTTTGAGCAGTGTTTTATAATTATCATTGTATAGTTCTTTCACCTCCCTGGTTAGCTGTATTCCAAGATATTTTATTCTTTTTGTGGCTATTGTGAATGAGATTGCATTCTTGATTTGGCTCTCAGCTTGGATGTTGTTGGTGTATAGGAATGCTACTTATTTTTCTATGTTAATTTTGTATCCTGAAACTTTGCTGAAATAGTATATCAGATCAAGTTGTTTGTCAGCTTAAGCAGCTTTTGGGCAGAGACTATGGGATAGCATTATATCTAGCATTATATTCTAGGTATAGCATTATATTATCTGCAAACAGAGATTGTTTGATTTCCTCTCTATTTGGATGCCTTTTATTCCTTTCTCTTGCCTGATTTCTCTGTCTAGTACATCCAGTACTATGTTGAATAGGAATGGTGATAGTGGACATCCTTGTCTTGTTCCAGTTCTCAAGTGGAATTATTCCAAGTTCTGCCCATTCAGTATGATTTTGGCTACTGCTATGTCATAGATGGCTTTTATTGATTTGAGGTATGTTCCTTGAATGCCTACTTCCTTGGGGATTTTAACATGAAATCATACTGCATTTTATCAAAAGTCTTTTCTTCATTTAGTGAGATAAGTATGTGGCTTTAAAAATAGATCTATTTATGTAATTAGTCACATTTATTCATTTGTATATCTTGAATCAACCTTGGATCTCAGGGATAGAGCCTACTTGATTGTGGTAGATTACCTTTTTGATGTGCTCCTTGATTCAGTTTGGTAGTATTTTGTTAAGGATTTTTGCATATATGTTCATCAAGGACATTGGCCTAAAGTTTTTGTTGTTGTTTTTGTTGTGTCTCTGCCAGGTTTTGCAGTCAGAATAATGCTGGCTTCAAAGAATGAGTTAGGGAGGAATCACACTTCCTCAACTTTTTGGAATAGTTTCAGTAAGAATGCTGGTACCAGCTCTTCTTTATACACTTGGTAGAATACAGCTGCGAATCTGCCTGGTCCTGGATGGCAGGCTTTTTATTACTGATTCAGTTTTAGAATCCATTATTGGCCTGTTCAGGGATTCAATTTCTTCATGGTTCAATCTTGAGAAGCTGTATTTTTTTCAGACATTTATCCATTTTGTCTAGGTTTTCTAGTTTGTTTACATAGAGGTATTTGTGGCAGCCTTTGAGGATTTTTGTATTTCTCTGGGTTTGGTGGTAATGTGCCCTTTGTCATTTCTGATTATGTTTATTTGTCTAGTTATCAGTCCATCAATCTTATTTATTCTTTTAATGAACCAATTCATAGATTCGTTGATTTTTTTTTTTTTTTTTTTTTTTGCATCTCAGTATCCTTCCCTTCTGCTCTGATTTTGGCTATTTCTTGTCTTCTTCTATCTTTGGATTTAGCTTGTTTTTGTAGTTTCTCGAGGTGTGATGTTGGGTTGTTAATTTGAGATGTTTCTACCTTTTTCATGTGGGTGTTTAGTGCTATAAACTTCCTTCTTAACACTGCTTTAGCTGTGTCCCCAAATTGAACAAAACTAAAGAAGTGTTAAGAAGGAATGTTGTATCTTTGTTCTTAGTGGTTTCAAAGAATTTGTTAATTTCTGCCCTAATTTCATTATTTACCCAAAAGCCATTCAGGAGCAGGTTGGTTAATTTCCATGTAATTGTATAGTTTTGAGTGATTTTCTTAGTATTGGTTTCTATTTTTATTGTGCTGTGGTCCAAGAGTGTGTTTGGTAAGATACTGGGGTTTTTTGAATTTGCTGAGGATTGTTTTATGGCTGATTGTGTGGTTGACTTTAGAGTATGTGCCATGTGCTTCTGAGAAGAACGTATATTCTGTTGTTTTTTGGGGAAGATTTCTGTAGATGTCTGTTAGGCCCATTTGGTCAAGTGTCGAGTTCAGGTCACAAATATCTTTGTTAATTTTCTGCCTTGATGACCTGTCTAATATTGTCAGTGGGTTGTTGAAGTCTCCTACTATTATTGTGTGGTTATCTAAGTCTCTTCATAGGTCTCTAAGAACTTGCTTTATGAATCTGGGTGCTCCTGTGTTGTGTGTGTATATATTTATGAAGGGTGGGTCTTCTTGTTAAATTGAACCCTTTACCATTATGTAATGCCCTTCTTTTTTTTTTTTTTACCATTGTTGGTTTAAGTCTGTTTTGACTAAAAGTAGAATAGCAACCCCTACTTCTTTCTGTTTTCTTAGTAGATTTTTCTTCATCCCTTTACTTTGAGCCTATGGGTGTCATTGCAGGTGGATGGCTGTCTTGAAGACAGCATACTGTTGGTCTTGCCTTCTTTATCCAACTTGTCACTCTGTGCCTTTTAATTAAAGCACTTATCCTGTTTACATTCAACGTTAATATTGATATGTGTGGATTTGGTCCTGCCATCAAGTCGTTAGCTGGTTATTATACAGACTTGATTGTGTGGTCACTTCTTAGTGTCATAGACCAAGTACATGGTCTATGCATTTAAGTGTGTTTTTGTGGTGGCTGGTAACAGTCTTACCTTTCCATATTTAGTACTCCCTTCAGGGCCTCTGGTAAGGCAAGTCTGGAGCTAACAAATTCCCATAGCATTTGCTTGTCTGAGAAGGATCCTATTTCTCCTTTGCTTATGAAGCTTAGTATGGCTGGATATGATATTCTTGATTGAAATTTCTTTTCATTAAAGATGCTGTATATAGGCACTAATTCTCTTCTGACTTATAGGGTTTTTGCTGAAATGTCCTTTGTTTTCCTAACGGGGTTCCCTTTGTAAGTGACCTGTCCCTTCTCTTTGGATGCCTTTAATATGTTTTCTTTAATTTTGACCTTGGAAAATCTATGTGTCTTGGGGATGGTCATCTTGTATAGTATCTTGAAGGGTTCTCTGCATTTTCTGAATTTGAATGTTGGCCTCTGTAGCAATGTTGGGTAAATTTTCTTGAATGATATCCTTAAGTATGTTGCCCACATTGCTTGCTATTTCTTCCTCTCTCCCAGGGACACCAATGATTCATAGATTTGGTGTCTACATAATACCATATTTCTCAGAGCTTTCGTTCATTCTTGTGTTTACTTTTTGTTGTGGTGGTTGTTGTCTGAGTTATTTTGTAGAACCAGTCTTCGAGCTCTGAGATTTGTTCCTCAGCTTGATCTGTTCTTGCTGTTAATACTTGCAATTGTATTCTGAAATTCTTGGAGTTTTTCAGCTCTATCAGATCAATTTCGTTGTTTCTTAAAATGGCCATTTTGTTTTTTATCTCCTGTATCATTTTATTGTATTCCTTAGATTCCTTGAATTGGGGTTCCACTTTATTCTGAATGTTGATGATCTTCATTCCTCTCCATATTCTGAATTCTATTTTTGTCATTTCAGCCTTGTTAGGAACCACTGCTGTGGAACTGGTGCAGTCATTTGGAGGTAAGACACTCTGGGTTTTTGAGTTGCCACAGTTTTTGCACTGGTTATTTATTATCTGTGTAGACTAATTTTTTTTGATCTTTGAAGCTGCTGTCCTTTTGGTGTTTTTGCTGTTATCTTCTTTGATGCCCTTGAGAGTTTGATTGTGGTATAAGGTCGGTTTCACTGTCTTCATTTCTGGAAGATTTTATGGGGCTCAGGCTCAGCTCAGCACTCCTGATTTGCATGCTCTGACTCTGAGGGGCAGGTACCAGGCTCCTGGCTTTCTTCTCCAGCTCCTTGCAGTTAGAAGCCTGCTGTGCTGGAGGGGCTGAGGTGTTCCCACCCCAATGGCCACAACACTCTAAAGGCTGGTGCCAACCAAAACACTTCATTGGGGCAGTGACAGCACAAGCTGTGGCTGCTTCAATGTGCCAGCAGCTGTGGCAGCATGGTGGAGTGCATGTACATTGGCTGGGGTGGGATGCTGGCAGAAGCGAGGTTGAAGCATTCCTGTGCATACTCCTGCTGGCAGTGGGCCACAGGCAGGGGAAAGGTTGCCAGTGCCTGTGCTTGCACTTATGCTGGTGGCAGTGGCAGTGGAGCACTGGTGGATGTGGGGCTGCTGGCCTCCATGTGTACATTTGCACTGTTGGCAGTGTCAGGGTATGGGGCTGCCGGCATTCAGCACTTATTCATACCAGCTGTGGTGGCAGCATGGGAGAGTTGTGATCGCCAGTGTGTGTGCACATTCACATGAAATTGTTGCACAGCTGAATGCTGAAACATTAGTGGTGGTGGTGGGGCAATGGGTTGCACTCACACTGGCAGCACACTTCCACACTGGCAGAGGAAAGGAGGTGACGTCCACTTGCACATATGCGCCAGCAAAGCAGTTGCAGGTGGCCATGAGCGAGAGTGTGCTGGCAAAGTGGTGTGGGGAAGGCTGTAATGGGGAGGGTGTGTGGGGGGCTGGTGTACTCTGTCAGTGGATGCTCTGCTGGGGCCCTCTCGTGGTGAGGCACGGTTTGCTGGTGAAAGAGATATAATGAGGGTCCCCAGGAAGCACCCTGGTTGGGCATCCAAGGCTGCACTGCCAGCAGGCGCAGTCAGCCTAGGGTCCTGGGAGATGGCAACAGACAGGTGGGCACTCAGATTGAACTGGCCTCATTCCACAAGCAAGATAGCCCTGTTCTGTCCAGGTCTGACATTGATCCTATGGCCAAAGTATCCTAGAAAAGCATGGGAAGCCTTGGAGGATGGGCATCCCTGGCATTGCTCCCATGCAGATATTCCCACACCAAATCCTCTGGGCTCTGTGCAAGCTGGAGACCAGGTCCTAGCACCTGTCTGAGAAGTACTCCCTGCCAACTCAAGTGTCCATGGGGGTCATGGCATTTCCTGCTGCCCAGATTTCAGAGGTCCATGATAGGAGCAGGCTGCTTCTTGCCTGTTCCCCCCATTGCTCATCCCCATAAGGAATGAGTCCCAGTGCTTTGTATTCCCTTGCAGGGTTTCCAGATACCCCCCCCACCACCCGTTCAGCCCAGCATCTACTCCTTCCCTCCATCTACTCTTAATGCCTTCCCTCTGAAGATCTGCTTGGAATTTGCCAGTCTTCCTGATGTTCCAGTCTCTCAGTGGTAGATGTTCCTACTGGCTGTGTCTAGTTGGCCATCTTTGGCCTATCACTGTCAATCTTGAAGGACAGTTTTGCCAGATATAGAATTCTCAATTTTCAGGGTACTTTTTTTTTCTTTCAGCACTTTAAATGTATGAATTTTCTGTCTTCTGGTCTTGAAGGTTTCTGCTGAGAAACAAACTGATGATCTTATTGAGAATACCTTGTATGTGATGAATTGCTTTTCTCTTCCTCCTTTCAAGATTTTTCTCATCCAACAATTTGAAAATAATGTCATTGTCTTGGTGTGAGTCTCTTTGGCTAAATCCTACTTGGAATTTGTTGAACTTCTTATATTTACATATTCATTTCTTTCCTCAAATTTGGGAGGGCTTTGGACATTATTTCTTCAAATAATCTCCTTGACCCTTTTCCTTTCTCTTCTTCTGGAAATTTTATAAGGTGTTTTATTTATTTATTTATTTTTGTCTCCTTCATGGTGTCTCATTAATCCATTAGACTCTGTTCACTTTTCTTCATTCTTTTAAAATTTTTGCTCCTCAGATTTGACAACTTTAAATGACCTGTCTCCAAGTTCTCTGATTCTTTCTTCTGTCTATTAGAGTCTGATGTTGAACCACTCTAGCAAGTATTTCAATGCAGTTTTTGTATTTTTTAGCCCACAATTTAAAAAAATAATTTCTACCTTTCAGTGATTTTTAAAATTTTGCTCACATACTGTTTTCTTTTTTTTTAAAAAATTTATTATTATTATACTTTAAGTTTTAGGGTACATTGCACAATGTGCAGGTTTGTTACATATGTATACATGTGCCATGTTGGTGTGCTGCACCCATTAACTCGTCATTTAGCATTAGGTATATCTCCTAATGCTATCCCTCTGCCCCCCGTCCCACCCCACAACAGTCCCTGGAGTGTGATGTTCCCCTTCCTGTGTCCATGTGTTCTCATTGTTCAATTCCCACCTATGAGTGAGAACATGCGGTGTTTGGTTTTTTGTCCTGGCGATAGTTTGCTGAGAATGAGTTCTTTTCACATATTTTTTTTTTTTTTTTTTTTTTTTGAGACGGAGTCTCGCTGTGTCTCCCAGGTTGGAGTGCAGTGGCGCGATCTCGGCTCACTGCAAGCTCCGCCTCCCAGGTTCATGCCATTCTCCTGCCTCAGCCTCCCAAGTAGCTGGGACTACAGGCGCCCGCCAACACGCCCGGCTAATTTTTTGTATTTTTAGTAGAAACGGGGTTTCACCGTGTTAGCCAAGATGGTCTGGATCTCCTGACCTCATGATCCGCCCGTCTCGGCCTCCCAAAGTGCTAGGATTACAGGCGTGAGCCACCGCGCCCGGCCTCTTTTCACATATTTAAGGAAGTGTGTTAAAGTCTTTATCTAGTACATTTGATGCCTAATGTCTCTTTTTGGACGATTTCTGTAGATTTATTTTGTTTCTATAAATAGACTATGCTTTTGTGTTTTTTTCTATGACTTGCTATATATTTTTCGAAAATTAGGCATTTGAAAAAAAAAAAAATCCCAACCACTTTTTCCAGTCTTTGCAGAATGGCTCCTTGCAGGGATAGACTTTTATTACTTAGCAGGGTACATTTTTGTCCTTGGGATTGGCCCAGGCAATCCCAGCCTTTGCAGGCCTTTTCTCAGCCTGTATTTCCCCTGAGCTCTTTTTCTCCAATTTCTCCACATATAATCAAATTTTATGTGTCTTAGTTTCCCTACGAGTCTCACTGCTGCTTCTTTTTGGGGACATGGCAGTTAAATTGTATTCCCCTACCAATAATCTCCTGCCCTTGGGGTCTATGGGTCTATAGTCCCCCTGTGGTTTTCATGAGCTGTACTCACTGCTTCTCGTGACTTTTCTTAGCTTGAGATCTGGGCCGTATCAATTTTGGCCATCTAAGCTCCATTTTAGGTGACAGAAATCAATCCGTCAGGTTGCCCTCAGACAGGTTAGAACATGGAAAATTAGGTCTACTCTTCTCTCTCTGGTTTGAAGGAGAGCTGGGGACTGAGCCACCTCTTCCCCAAAAGCATGTAACACCAGCAAGGTGTGGGTCAAAGGCAAGTAACAATGTCATGAAATTTCCTAGCTTTTTGAATGTGACTTTTTCTTCACTGGGCATTTGCTTGGTTTCTATTGATCTCTGACTGATTTCCAGAACTCCTATACAGTTATATAGATTTTAGTAGTTTCTTTTTAATGTGTTTTATAGGGGAAAGATGGCTTGAATCTTCCCAGTTCACCATTCTTCTTTAAGTTTTTAACTTTTGAAGGATAATTTCACTGGACACAAATTTCTAGATTGGGGCTTTTCTACCTTTGATACTTTAAATTTTTGCTTCACTACCTTCCTTCTGGCATGGCTCTGAGAAGTCCAATGTAATTCTTATCCTTGCTACTCTAAATTTAAGTTTTCTTCCCCCTCTAAAGCTCCTTTCAATATTTTTTCTTTGTCTTTGATTTTCTGCAGTTTGAATATGATATGCCTAGGTATGGAGTTTTGGGTATTTATTCTTCTTGGAGTTCTTTGAGCTTCCTAGATCTGTGGTTTGGTGTCTATCATTACCTTTGGGAAATTCTCAGTCATTATTGCTTCAAATTTTTCTTCTCTTCATTTTTCTCTTTCTTCTTCTTCTGGTATTGTCATTACATCTTTATGTAATGTTATGCTACACTACATAAAGTTATGTTACACCTTTTCTAATTGTCCCACATTTCTTGGATATTGTTATGTCTTTCCATTTTTTTTCTTGTTGCATTTCAGCTTAGGAGGGTTCTATTAACATTTCTTTAAACTCACTGATTTTCTTTTTCCTTGGCCATGCTCAGCCTAATAGTCTATTGGTGAGCCCATCAAAGCCATTCTTCATTTCTATTACATTTGATTTGTAGCATTTAGTTTTCATTCTTTTTTTTATTATTATACTTTAAGTTTCAGGGTACATGTGCACAATGTGCAGGTTAGTTACATATGTATACATGTGACATGCTGGTGCGCTGCACCCACTAACTCATCATCTAGCATTAGGTGTATCTCCCAATGCTATCCCTCCCCTCTGCCCCCACCCCACAACAGTCCCCAGAGTGTGATGTTCCCCTTCCTGTGTCTATGTTTTCTCATTGTTCAATTCCCACCTATGAGTAAGAATATGCGGTGTTTGGTTTTTTGTTCTTGCGATAGTTTACTGAGAATGATGATTTCCAATTTCAACCATGTCCCTACAAAGGACATGAAGTCATCATTTTTTATGGCTGCATAGTATTCCATGGTGTATATGTGCCACATTTTCTTAATCCAGTCTATCATTGTTGGACATTTGGCTTGGTTCCAAGTCTTTGCTATTGTGAATAGTGCCGCAATAAACATACGTGTGCATGTGTCTTCATAGCGGCATGATTTATAGTCCTTTGGGTCTATACCCAGTAATGGGATGGCTGGGTCAAATGGTATTTCTAGTTCTAGATCCCTGAGGAATCACCACAGTGACTTCCACAATGGTTGAACTACTTTACAGTCCCACCAACAGTGTAAAAGTGTTCCTATTTCTCCACATCCTCTCCAGCACCTGTTGTTTCCTGACTTTTTAATGATTGCCATTCTAACTGGTGTGAGATGATATCTCATTGTGGTTTTGATTTGCATTTCTCTGATGGCCAGTGATGGTGAGCATTTTTTCATGTGTTTTTTGGCTGCATAAATGTCTTCTTTTGAGAAGTGTCTGTTCATGTCCTTTGCCCACTTTTTGATGGGGTTGTTTGTTTTTTTCTTGTCAATTTGTTTGAGTTCATTGTAGATTCTGGATATTAGCCCTTTGTGAGATGAGTAGGTTGCGAAAATTTTCTCCCATTTTGTAGGTTGCCTGTTCACTCTGGTGGTAGTTTCTTTTGCTGTGCAGAAGCTCTTTAGTTTAATTAGATCGCATTTGTCAATTTTGGCTTTTGTTGCCATTGCTTTTGGTGTTTTAGACATGAAGTCCTTGCCCATGCCTATGTCCTGAATGGTAATGCCTAGGTTTTCTTCTAGGTTTTTTATGGTTTTAGGTCTAACGTTTAAATATTTAATCCATCTTGAATTGATTTTTGTATAAGGTGTAAGGAAGGGATCCAGTTTCAGCTTTCTACATATGGCTAGCCAGTTTTCCCAGCACCATTTATTAAATAGGGAATCCTTTCCCCATTGCTTGTGTTTCTCAGGTTTGTCAAAGATCAGATAGTTGTAGATATGCGGCGTTATTTCTGAGGGCTCTGTTCTGTTCCATTGATCTATATCTCTGTTTTGGTACCAGTACCATGCTGTTTTGCTTACTGTAGCCTTGTGGTATAGTTTGAAGTCAGGTAGCGTGATGCCTCCAGCTTTGTTCTTTTGGCTTAGGATTGACTTGGAGATGCGGGCTCTTTTTTGGTTCCATATGAACTTGAAAGTAGTTTTTTCCAATTCTGTGAAGAAAGTCATTGGTAGCTTGATGGGGATGGCATTGAATCTATAAATTACCTTGGGCAGTATGGCCATTTTCACGATATTGATTCTTCCTACCCATGAGCATGGAATGTTCTTCCATTTGTTTGTATCCTCTTTTATTTCATTGAGCAGTGGTTTGTAGTTCTCCTTGAAGAGGTCCTTCACATCCCTTGTAAGTTGGATTCCTAGGTATTTTATTCTCTTTGAAGCAATTGTGAATGGGAGTTCACCCATGATTTGGCTCTCTGTTTGTCTGTTGTTGGTGTATAAGAAAGCTTGTGATTTTTGTACATTGATTTTGTATCCTGAGACTTTGCTGAAGTTGCTTATCAGCTTAAGGAGATTTTGGGCTGAGACGATGGGGTTTTCTAGATAAACAATCATGTCATCTGCAAACAGGGACAATTTGACTTCCTCTTTTCCTAATTGAATACCCTTTATTTCCTTCTCCTGCCTGATTGCCCTGGCCAGAACTTCCAACACTATGTTGAATAGGAGCGGTGAGAGAGGGCATCCCTGTCTTGTGCCAGTTTTCAAAGGGAATGCTTCCAGTTTTTGCCCATTCAGTATGATATTGGCTGTGGGTTTGTCATAGATAGCTCTTATTATTTTGAAATAGGTCCCATCAATACCTAATTTATTGAGAGTTTTTAGCATGAAGGGTTGTTGAATTTTGTCAAAGGCTTTTTCTGCATCTATTGAGATAATCATGTGGTTTTTGTCTTTGGCTCTGTTTATATGCTGGATTACATTTATTGATTTGCGTATATTGAACCAGCCTTGCATCCCAGGGATGAAGCCCACTTGATCATGGTGGATAAGCTTTTTGATGTGCTGCTGGATTTGGTTTGCCAGTATTTTATTGAGGATTTTTGCATCAATGTTCATCAAGGATATTGTTCTAAAATTCTCTTTTTTGGTTGTGTCTCTGCCCGGCTTTGGTATCAGAATGATGCTGGCCTCATAAAATGAGTTAGGGAGGATTCCCTCTTTTTCTATTGATTGGAATAGTTTCAGAAGGAATGGTACCAGTTCCTCCTTGTACCTCTGGTAGAATTCGGCTGTGAATCCATCTGGTCCTGGACTCTTTTTGGTTGGTAAACTATTGATTATTGCCACAATTTCAGAGCCTGTTATTGGTCTATTCAGAGATTCAACTTCTTCCTGGTTTAGTCTTGGGAGAGTGTATGTGTCGAGGAATGTATCCATTTCTTCTAGATTTTCTAGTTTATTTGCGTAGAGGTGTTTGTAGTATTCTCTGATGGTAGTTTGTATTTCTGTGGGATCGGTGGTGATATCCCCTTTATCATTTTTTATTGTGTCTATTTGATTCTTCTCTCTTTTTTTCTTTATTAGTCTTGCTAGCGGTCTATCAATTTTGTTGATCCTTTCAAAAAACCAGCTCCTGGATTCATTGATTTTTTGAAGGGTTTTTTGTGTCTCTATTTCCTTCAGTTCTGCTCTGATTTTAGTTATTTCTTGCCTTCTGCTAGCTTTTGAATGTGTTTGCTCTTGCTTTTCTAGTTCTTTTAATTGTGATGTTAGGGTGTCAATTTTGGATCTTTCCTGCTTTCTCTTGTAGGCATTTAGTGCTATAAATTTCCCTCTACACACTGCTTTGAATGCGTCCCAGAGATTCTGGTATGTGGTGTCTTTGTTCTCGTTGGTTTCAAAGAACATCTTTATTTCTGCCTTCATTTCGTTATGTACCCAGTAGTCATTCAGGAGCAGGTTGTTCAGTTTCCATGTAGTTGAGCGGCTTTGAGTGAGATTCTTAATCCTGAGTTCTAGTTTGATTGCACTGTGGTCTGAGAGATAGTTTGTTATAATTTCTGTTCTTTTACATTTGCTGAGGAGAGCTTTACTTCCAACTATGTGGTCAATTTTGGAATAGGTGTGGTGTGGTGCTGAAAAAAATGTATATTCTATTGATTTGGGGTGGAGAGTTCTGTAGATGTCTATTAGGTCTGCTTGGTGCAGAGCTGAGTTCAATTCCTGGGTATCCTTGTTGACTTTCTGTCTCGTTGATCTGTCTAATGTTGACAGTGGGGTGTTAAAGTCTCCCATTATTAATGTGTGGGAGTCTAAGTCTCTTTGTAGGTCACTGAGGACTTGCTTTATGAATCTGGGTGCTCCTGTATTGGGTGCATAAATATTTAGGATAGTTAGCTCCTCTTGTTGAATTGATCCCTTTACCATTATGTAATGGCCTTCTTTGTCTCTTTTGATCTTTGTTGGTTTAAAGTCTGTTTTATCAGAGACTAGGATTGCAACCCCTGCCTTTTTTTGTTTTCCATTTGCTTGGTAGATCTTCCTCCATCCTTTTATTTTGAGCCTATGTGTGTCTCTGCACGTGAGATGGGTTTCCTGAATACAGCACACTGATGGGTCTTGACTCTTTATCCAACTTGCCAGTCTGTGTCTTTTAATTGCAGAATTTAGTCCATTTATATTTAAAGTTAATATTGTTATGTGTGAATTTGATCCTGTCATTATGATGTTAGCTGGTGATTTTGCTCATTAGTTGATGCAGTTTCTTCCTAGTCTCGATGGTCTTTACATTTTGGCATGATTTTGCAGCGGCTGGTACTGGTTGTTCCTTTCCATGTTTAGCGCTTCCTTCAGGAGCTCTTTTAGGGCAGGCCTGGTGGTGACAAAATCTCTCAGCATTTGCTTGTCTATAAAGTATTTTATTTCTCCTTCACTTATGAAGCTTAGTTTGGCTGGATATGAAATTCTGGGTTGAAAATTCTTTTCTTTAAGAATGTTGAATATTGGCCCCCACTCTCTTCTGGCTTGTAGGGTTTCTGCCGAGAGATCCGCTGTTAGTCTGATGGGCTTTCCTTTGAGGGTAACCCGACCTTTCTCTCTGGCTGCCCTTAACATTTTTTCCTTCATTTCAACTTTGGTGAATCTGACAATTATGTGTCTTGGAGTTGCTCTTCTCGAGGAGTATCTTTGTGGCGTTCTCTGTATTTCCTGGATCTGAACGTTGGCCTGCCTTGCTAGATTGGGGAAGTTCTCCTGGATAATATCCTGCAGAGTGTTTTCCAACTTGGTTCCATTCTCCACATCACTTTCAGGTACACCAATCAGACGTAGATTTGGTCTTTTCACATAGTCCCATATTTCTTGGAGGCTTTGCTCATTTCTTTTTATTCTTTTTTCTCTAAACTTCCCTTCTCGCTTCATTTCATTCATTTCATCTTCCATTGCTGATACCCTTTCTTCCAGTTGATCGCATCGGCTCCTGAGGCTTCTGCATTCTTCACGTAGTTCTCGAGCCTTGGTTTTCAGCTCCATCAGCTCCTTTAAGCACTTCTCTGTATTGGTTATTCTAGTTATACATTCTTCTAAATTTTTTTCAAAGTTTTCAACTTCTTTGCCTTTGGTTTGAATGTCCTCCCGTAGCTCAGAGTAATTTGATCGTCTGAAGCCTTCTTCTCTCAGCTCGTCAAAATCATTCTCCATCCAGCTTTGTTCTGTTGCTGGTGAGGAACTGCGTTCCTTTGGAGGAGGAGAGGCGCTCTGCGTTTTAGGGTTTCCAGTTTTTCTGTTCTGTTTTTTCCCCATCTTTGTGGTTTTATCTACTTTTGGTCTTTGATGATGGTGATGTACAGATGGGTTTTCGGTGTAGATGTCCTTTCTGGTTGTTAGTTTTCCTTCTAACAGACAGGACCCTCAGCTGCAGGTCTGTTGGAATACCCTGCCGTGTGAGGTGTCAGTGTGCCCCTGCTGGGGGGTGCCTCCCAGTTAGGCTGCTCAGGGGTCAGGGGTCAGGGACCCACTTGAGGAGGCAGTCTGCCCGTTCTCAGATCTCCAGCTGCGTGCTGGGAGAACCACTGCTCTCTTCAAAGCTGTCAGACAGGGACACTTAAGTCTGCAGAGGTTACTGCTGTCTTTTTGTTTGTCTGTGCCCTGCCCCCAGAGGTGGAGCCTACAGAGGCAGGCAGGCCTCCTTGAGCTGTGGTGGGCTCCACCCAGTTCGAGCTTCCTGGCTGCTTTGTTTACCTAAGCAAGCCTGGGCAATGGCGGGCGCCCCTCCCCCAGCCTCGTTGCCGCCTTGCAGTTTGATCTCAGACTGCTGTGCTAGCAATCAGCGAGATTCCGTGGGCGTAGGACCCTCTGAGCCAGGTGTGGGATATAGTCTCGTGGTGCGCCGTTTCTTAAGCCGGTCTGAAAAGCGCAATATTCGGGTGGGAGTGACCTGATTTTCCAGGTGCGTCCGTCACCCCTTTCTTTGACTCGGAAAGGGAACTCCCTGACCCCTTGCGCTTCCCAGGTGAGGCAATGCCTCGCCCTGCTTCGGCTCGCGCACGGTGCGCACACACACTGGCCTGCGCCCACTGTCTGGCACTCCCTAGTGAGATGAACCCGGTACCTCAGATGGAAATGCAGAAATCACCCGTCTTCTGCGTCGCTCACGCTGGGAGCTGTAGACCGGAGCTGTTCCTATTCGGCCATCTTGGCTCCTCCCCCTCCTTTTTGAATCTTTTTATGATGGCAGTTTTAAAATCCTAGTAATTCCAACATCTGATTTATCTCAGTGTTAACGTTACTCGATTGTCTTTTCTTAAATTGTGAGTTTTCTATTATATCCTGGACATTTTGTCTATTCTGTTAGGAGTCTCTATTTAAACTTTCTATTTTAGCAGGCAGTCATCTTGTTTAGCCGTAGCATGCAGATCCTCTCCTACTTTTGTCAGCTATCATTCCAGGGAAGTTGTTTTTGAAAGCTTTTGGTGCTGTTTTGGTCTGATTGGTTTGTCTGTTGCCACTGGGGTTCCTCCTGTTTTCTGCTTGTGCTGCCTAAGGGGAGCAGAAATGGTTTCCCTAGGCCTGTTGCCCAATGTCTCTCAGGTGGGCATAGAACTTTCAGGCTTGCAGTGACAAAGAGGCTTCCCTGCCTAGTCCCTTGTTTTGACAGGGTCCGCATCTGGCTGTGGAGATGAAGTGGTCGTCCTGGGATAAGCACTTGTGGCAGGGCCTCTTTTGCTGATGTCTCCTGGTTGCCCATGTCTCTGAGTAGGAAAGGGTAGAGATGGAGAGCCCTTCGCCTGGCTGCTTATTGTTAGTGGGGAATGCGGGAGTTCTTGATGTCTTGA
Organism: Homo sapiens; assembly: GCF_000001405.40. Taxonomy (NCBI): domain Eukaryota; kingdom Metazoa; phylum Chordata; class Mammalia; order Primates; family Hominidae; genus Homo; species Homo sapiens. The sequence goes on from NC_000023.11 coordinate 64,259,002, forward strand.
TTAATCCCCCTTGATGATGCTGTCAGGCTCACCTCTTGTTGGAGGTAATCCTGCTTGATCTAGGGGAGGAATAAGCCTACCTGGGCTGCCTTCTTTTGTTAGGTTGGGGGGTCAAGAAATACCCAGCCTGGACTGCCACCTTGTTGGGTGACAGGACATAAAACATCTTGCTGCTGTGTTGTTACTCCAGCCCTGGGATCCCAAAACAGTTCTCCTTCATACCACCTTTCAGAGTTCTCCTTTGGTTGCCACTTGTGTTATTTTCAGGCCTTATGGTTGTACTTAGTGGGAAGGAATAGTGAGAAATGAATCTACGCTGTCTTGTCTGGACTGGAAGTCCAATCAATCAATAGGGTTTTAGAGTATGAAATTCTCAAGATAGACAATATTTTAGTCAGTCTTGTGTTTCAGTAGCCTACATACTAGCTTGGTGACTTTGAACAGGACTTCAGTTATTTCATCCACACAACATATATTTAAAGCTCCCAGCCCAAGACCTGGCACAGATGAACCACTCAATAGGTATTCAGTCTTTTCCTAGAAATCACCTAGTTCAAACCACCTGTCTTAAATATAAGGTAACAGAGGCCTAGAGAAACAAGGTAGCCTTTCAATTGTGCTGTGCCTTGCGTATATACCCAAGTAGCATTTTCCTCCCAAAGGCCAAAAGCATACTCCATTAATTCTTGATTTTGTTCCTTACTTCTATATGTAGTTCTAGTTCAGTTGGACAGGATTTGAAGATTGAAACTAATAATACCAATTTATATTTGAAAAGTACTTCCAAATTTCCAAAATTGCAATTTCCCTTGGTTGTCACAATCACAGCATGAGACTGGCAGGGTAGAGATTATTCCTGTTTTGCAAATAAGGAAGCACAGTAAGTCAGGGGGCTGACTAATCCAGAAGTGCTTTCTCATTTAGGGGCTTCCTTTGACACCCTCTCTCCTGTGAAACTAGGCCTTTACTGAATGACAGGAGGCTGTGAACATAGTTGATTTCAGAGTGCCCAGCTTGCCACACCCTCAGCCACAGCTAACACAGTGCATTACCTTGGGACTGCAGAGTGAATAAATTCCAAGATCAGGCTTATGTTCTGTACAAAGTACCATGAAAATTTAGAGCTCAAATTACCCTTAGGGTTTGATATGGTTTGGATCTGCGTTCTCACCCAAATCTCATGTTCAATTGTAATCCCCGGTGTTGGAGGTGGGGCTCCTTCATTAATGGTTTAGCATCATCCACTTGGTGTTGTTCTGATAGTGAGTTCTTGTGAGATCTGGTTGTTTAAAAGTGTGTAGCACCTCCCTCTTCACTCTCCTGCTCCTGCTCCAGCCATGTGAGATGCCTCGCTCCCACTTTGCCTTATGCCCTGATTGTAAGTTTTCCCGAGGCCTCCTCAGAAGCCAAGCAGATGCCAGCACCATGCTTCCTGGACAGCCTGTGGAACTGTGAGCCAATTAAACCTCTTTTCTTGATAAATTACTCACTCTCAGGTATTTCCTTATAGCAATGGGAGAAAGGACTAATACAGAGTTTGTTGGTTAAAAAAAATCCTACCAGAATAGATGAAATTGCCCATCTGTATAGGTCACCTCAGGGAAGGCGGTTACCTCAAATTAGAAAGCAGGTTGCTGAATTCTAACCAATGAAGATAGGGTATAGCTCAGAAAGGCAAGATTGAAATTTGATATAGAAGAAGGCTGTAGCGTGTTTAACAATAGGAGGGTGGTTGAATAAACTATAGCTCATATAGTGAGATACTATGTGGCCATTAAAATAGCAAAATAAACCTATATTTATAGAAATGGAAAGATGTTCAAAATTAAGTGAGACTATTAAATAAGAGTGAACAGTACAGTCCTATTTTGTTCTCTGCATGTAGATTTCTCCCTGCATAGAAAAATTATGATGTCTTCTTTTTTGGTTCTCGATATTTTAAAAACATTCTATAATGAACAAAGATTTATTGGTTAATTTAGCATAATATATTATATTATAATCTGACTGTCTAAAGACAATATGTCAAGAGTAGGAAGGGGCTGAATAGAGTTGAAAAAAGAAGCATAAGAGTGAGCACTTGTCAGTGTAATCAGCAGCATCAGGGCTGAAAGTAGGAGGAGGCTGACTAATGCATTTTGACTGTTTTTATGTGCCAGGGACTTTACCAGGTAGTACTTTACATGTTAGCTCTGTTAACTTGCACAACGACCCTGTGTGGTAGGTACAATTATCATTCCCATTTTATAGATAAGACGTCTAAGGCTGAGAGAGAGAAAATGACTTGCCCAAAACCACTGGGCCAGTGAATGGCAGAGCCAGGACTAGAACGCAGGTCTCTCTGTGTTCTACCCACTAGAGGCCCAGATCACATAGTCCCCAGAGAGGGAAGCTCTTTTGAGGCCTGGAGGAAATAACCCCCAAGTTCATGAGTGAGAATTCTTGCTGGGAGAGGGGGCAGTGGGGGCAGGAGAGAAGGCCCTGAAAGAGGATGAAGAGCTTGGTCTGTAAACAGGTCTGTCCCCAATGTGAATGAACAAACTGGTATACTGTCAGCGCTCTTTTGTGAGTTAAGTTGGTGTCAGTCTTGCCCTCACAGCTGGTCACTGACAGTGCTCTTCAGAACCAGGTGCCCTGATACCTTTCTTGTCTTATTTTAACATCAACAGAGAGTATTTTAACCTACCTGCAGATCCTGTCTTTGTAAGGTGGTTCATCTGTTGAGGCTAGGTCAGCGTACCATTTTTGGAGGTATGCCATCTTTTCTTTTATTTGTAGCTAATACACAGTAACCTCACACATGCAAAAGACTGAAGGTTTTTAATTTTGGATAAAAAACATGGTATCATCCAAACATTTGCAAATTGTAACACAACTGCAGTAGAGGGCCAATGATCTCTGTGGCACTGGACAAAACAACTGGCAGTGAACATTGTCACTGGGTCACACATCCATACCGCAGTGGTGTAACAGGCTCAAGAAAACACATGACAGGGAATTAAAGTCAATCATTCACACTGTTGTACCTTGGCAAGTTCAGACTTGAGCTGCTGTGACAGTGTCAGTCTGTAAACCTGGAGCTAATAAAAAGTCAGGTTCTCAAAGAACCTATATGGTTCAATTCTGAATTATACATCAGTTGCATGATCTTCATGCAGGTATGTGGCTGACATTAACATATTACAGATAACACTGGTCATATACTTGAATCTTACTTTTAAAGCTGCCTGATAATATATCCCAGAGAAAAGGCCAATTGCTTCACTTTGGTTTGTATCTCTGGCTTGGCATGTCCCAAAGTACTCATTAAACTTAGCTAGACAATATCAAAGTAAGAGGCTTAGCACTAAAAGAGTTTCTAATTTCTGGGACAAATCTTCTTCATCTGAATGCCCAAATAACCTATGAGACCAGATGCTACTAAAGTTCTAGTAAACACACACACATACACACATACACAGACACACACACACACAAATAGCTATACTATGAGTTATATTCCAGAAGGACTGAACTTGTTAGCTGTTCCTAAGCCAGAGGCATTGTCAAACTATAATATACAACATGCTCTGCTTCAGAAACAGAATATGTGCTCTGCATTCTCATTGGCATTCACAAAATGAAGACACCACCCTGTCTGCAAATGCAAGTGAAGTGGAGACTTGGCGGCACTTTATGTGAACTGGTATGGCCAAATGCATGTGAATTGGGACCAGAGGACATGGGTCTTTGAACACTGATTATCTATGACTTTGGTGTATGTTTCTCACCTGACAGGTGAGAAATCCAGTGTTGCTTCAGCAAAAGAAGCAAAAGAGAGATAAGGACTGATCTGCCTCAGGGATATATTAAGGGGAGAGAATACCACCCGTCATCCTTCACTCTCTAAAAGAAGAGAAAACCCAGGACTACATATCACAACAGAGAAAAATGTTGACAAAGAAAATACACAACTCACAGCATTCTTAAGGAAACAGTTTCTACCAGTGTAAAAGCCTTAAAAAGAAAATATATTAGCCCCAGTACCACTTGGAAAAGACTTTTGGACCTTATTGTGAACAATTTAATCTCAAGGAGCACATGAAATTTTAAACAACCGGAATGCTGGTAATCATGGATAGGTATATACTTTTTTTGTTGAACTGGCCAGGTATATTTCTGTATTACTCTCTTCCTCCGACCCTTCCCACCTCCTTCTCCACAACTGGGATTCTGTAAAGGCTGGTGTAGAGCCCTCTAAAAAGTTAAGAGTACAAAGCCATGAAAATGGTTGAAGGGTTAATAAAGCTTTGGAAGAGAAAAAAGCTTTTAGGTTACCCCCAATGCTTTAAAAAGCACCAAGAGACAGGACACCAGACTTAATATGGAAGCCACTGGTTTCACACATGCCAACTTCCGAGCATATTTTTGTTCAGCTCCTGCAAGACCCATGGGTCTAAATGAGACAGCTGCTTTTTTATTTTTGCTTTTTTGTAATATGTTCTTTATTATTATTATTATTATTATTATTATTATTATTATTATTATTTAAGTTTTAGGGTACATGTGCACAACGTGCAGGTTTGTTACATATATATATATGTCATGTTGGTGTGCTGCACCCATTAACTTGTCATTTAACATTAGGTATATCTACTAATGCTATCCCTCCCCCCTCCCAACCCCACAACAGGCCCCGGTGTGTGATGTTCCCCTTCCTGTGTCCATGTGTTCTCATTGTTCAATTTCGACCTATGAGTGAGAACATGTGATGTTTGGTTTTTTGTCCTTGCAATAGTTTACTGAGAATGATGGTTTCCAGCTTCCTCCATGTCCCTACAAAGGACATGAACTCATCATTTTTTATGGCTGCATAGTATTCCATGGTGTATATGTGCCACATTTTCTTAATCCAGTCTATCATTGTTGGACATTTGGCTTGGTTCCAAGTCTTTGCTATTGTGAATAGTGCCACGATAAACATATGTGTGCATGGAGACAGCTGCTTTCAAAGCACACTTCTCTTTTATGAAAACAGTCACAAATCGCAGAGAGTGTAACATGCTTTTACTTGCATTGACATGTAAAGGAGACAAGGGCTGCCAAGACTGGTGACAATACTAGTACTTCCTATTTAAGGGGAAGGCAAAGACTGTCAGTATCACAGCCAGGGAATCAGAGAAGACATGTTTTATAGGGCTTGAAAAGTAAGTTTTTTGTTTTTGTTTTTTGCTTTGGAAAAGTTTCTATGCCACCATCAAATACTTTGAAATCACAACTGCTTTTAAAAGGACAAGAAAACAAGAGTCCATTATGACCTCACATCTTTCCATTTGTCTGTTTTTGCCTGACAGCTCAACCATTTCTTCACAGTATATTTAAAAAAAAAAAAAGGAATAACATGTAAGGGTTAAGCCTTGTCTTTCTATTTGTTTTTAAATGTGTACATAGAAAGGCAGGTTTAGATTTGGCACTTAGAATAAAGCAACCAGATTTGGTTGGAATCATATCTGTCTGTATCATACAAAGAATTCTCAGAGTGAGACGCCTAAAGGTGGGGTAAAGATTTGGTTTAGATATCACTAAATCATACACATTGGAAATTAATAAAGTGAGAATTATCTTCCTAGGTATAAACCAATCTGGAGTACAGTAAACCCCTTTTGAGAAGGATATTTTAACATAAAGGTAATTTACATTACCCTACACAATTGTTTAGAAAAAGGACACTTAATGAAATACTCTCATAGAAAGATTTCCCAATAGTATATCAAAGCCTAATTACCATCAAGAAGAGTTGGGTGTTTAATAAAAGCCAGTATGTAACAAAGAACTGACATGATCATCTTTAGTTATTAAACTTCTCTTTCTACTAAATTAAGACCAAGCTTAAATAGTTACCAATTAGGTTTGAAAAGCACCTCTTAAAAAGACTTGGATTCCTTTTGGCTAGAAGTGTTCTGAGAAAGGTCTCACTTCCAGTGAAGTGTGAGGGGTATCTTAGACAAAAGGTGTTTCATGCATGTTGGCAGGCAATGACAACTGACTTGCTGGTAATTGAACATAATTTCTAAGGGTACTTTCCAAAGATACACATGTCTAATATATGCACCATAAGCTTTAGATTCTTGTAGTTAGTTCTATATAGAGTTTCAGGTTTTCTTTCATAAAGCAAACCTTATTCGTGAATTTATTCTTTAAAACGTCAAACTGTTAGCTGTTATTTGTTACTTAAAATTGTTTTATTTATTACTGTGATAAATCTGTCATTCCATAAACTAAGTAAATAATTAATGAATTTTTAAAACAGTGGCCACAGTAGAATCTGAGCATGGTCACAAGCACAGGAACAGAGCCTGCCTCATGCATAGAAAAGATAAGCAGTAACCCCAGGCCTGTGAAACTTGTGTAGAAAGTAGGCAGAGGTCAGATTAGTGGATGACAGTGGCAGGTGGTTAAATGCCTTCCTATTTAAGTAGAGTAGTCACATGAGAATGGAATTTCTGCTTGGGGAACTGGAAAGGTAGGACAGTGGGTGAAGGGAGTCACATTTCTTTCACAGGATAGGTGCTATATCAGAGTATGAAGTGAAAGCCATTAATAGATCATCTTTTCTAGTATTCCTGGCAACTTGCCTTAAAGAGTCTCCTCACTATTGCTGGGCTCCTACCTATAGATAGCTAATCTGCTTTTAATAGTGTGTAAATACCTGGATTCCATCTTTTTCTTCTCTCAGATTTTTAAATCCAACTGTAAAACTAAAAGGTGTTTGGTGTTGAGAATAAATAGTTGATTTTCATGCAGTTTATTTTTTAAGTTCTGTATATTTTATACGTAAGCAATAATGTGGCATGTTGGGGAATAAAAATATCAAAGACCAAACAAATTGACCTCACAGATTTTGAGACTGAGATTGATCCCATGGCCTTAGATAATTAACAAAATAATCCAGTCTTTTAAAAATGTTGTTTTCGCTTTTGGAAATACCAGGGTTGTGGTTTACTACTTCTTAGTTTAGAATTATTTTGAAAAGACCTTCCTTTCACTATTGACTAATTTTGTTTTTGATCTAAGACATAAGATTAGGTACTATGTACTGTCCCTGTACAGATCTTTAGGAATAAATCAAGACTCTTTAGTTTTTTATAGAATTTGCAAAAACTACTACATCTTGCCATTTACCTTTTTACTTTCAGCTTCCCTGAAAACTAAACACACTCTATCCAGAACATCATGCTAGTTAATGAACTGCAAAATACAGATTGAGATATGGGAGAAAGATCTGGGAGCAAGATCCAGAATGGCTCACTGGAGGCAGATTGGTACCATCATCCTTTTTGGCAACTTCCTTCACAAAGCCAGGAGTAGATGTAGCCTCCAGATTAAAACGGTGTGCACAAACCCCATTTTTTTTTCCCAAAAGAAGTCAAATGACAACTGGCAACATCTGATAATTTAGGTTATATAAAGCAAGGACTAAAGCATGGAAAGAGGAGGACCAGAGAGATAAAAAAAAAAAAAAAGGAAATCGTCTTGATGCTTTAAAATTATAGGATCAAGGCAGCTATCAAGAATATGTAAGTAAAATATGGCCCTTATTTATTAATGGGAAAGACCCAAATAAATTAGGAGTTATTCAAAAACAAAAAATTAAAAATTTACCAAGAGGAAGTAAATAGAAAAATGACTCCTGCTTACATATAAAAAAAGACAACCAAAATGATTTAGAGTTCTTCCACTAAAGAGGATGTTTTGGGTCTACAGTTTACAGCTAGAGATAAGAAATCAAGGAGCTATCCTGGCACTCCTCTCCTATATTTAAATTAAACCCTTAAAAGGCACCTCTTTCTTTCAAAGGAAAGCACCTAATGAGGTAATCCTTTAGAGATTTCTATGTGCACAACTGGATGTGATAATCAAGGGATGCCTCTTTAAGTCATCTAATGTTTTAGCTTAAGCCAAATATAGAGTATTTGGAACAGATTTTGGGTGAAGACCTGGATTCTGTTGGCATTAAGAGTTCTGGAATTGCTGAGAATATACAGAGCATGACCCAAACTGACTGAGGCCTATCCTACTCTCAGTATGTGGAAGTAGCAAAATCATGACTGAATATCCAATAGGACAGATGAAAAACCCATCAAGTGTATCAACCCCTAGGAGAAAAACTGGTGTTTAAATAAAAATACATCCTTTTCCCCAGAAGTATCTGGATCTGCTATCAGAATGGACTTTTTTCAAAACTGTACATTAGCACAAGGTGATAAACCTGGCCGGGCGCGGTGGCTCACGCCTGTAATCCCAGCACTTTGGGAGGCCGAGGCGGGCGGATCACGAGGTCAGGAGATCGAGACCATCCTGGCTAACACGGTGAAACCCCGTCTCTACTAAAAATACAAAAAATTAGCCGGGCGTGGTAGCGGGCGCCTGTAGTCCCAGCTACTCGGGAGGCTGAGGCAGGAGAATGGTGTGAACCCGGGAGGCGGAGCTTGCAGTGAGCCGAGATCGCCCCACTGCACTCCAGCCTGGGCGACAGAGCAAGACTCCGTCTCAAAAAAAAAAAAAAAAAAAAAAAAAGGTGATAAACCTACCAGATTTAAAAGTAGTGCCAATTGTGTCTAAAAAATCTACAAACCTCATGTGATATCTAGATAAGCAAAACCACTTGTCTTCATAAAAAGACCTAAAAAGGGTCCTATTTTGCACAAACCCAGATGGGCACACAGACCATGTCTCAGTCTGAGTCTGAAGCACTGAGATTTTCAGTTACTTCCTAAACTGATGCAATTAATGTTACTAATTCAAACCCCATTAATTTGAAATTTATAATTTTAGACTGTAGTGGATTCAAGTTTACCTATGGGCTATCTATGAAAAAAGGAATTGGCTAAGTATTATAACAAGACCTAGCTGGGGTGTGGGTTGGGGAAAGCAAGTGTTGTAACTTAAGAAAACTTTCCTTACATGTTTCAAACCACCAAGCACCCATGCACTCATGCTAACAATTAAGCATCATTTTGATTTCCTTCTCAGGAAAATATTGTATGTCTCCATTGGCAATAATGTTAGCTAACATCCCATGACTAAGCATACCTGAAAGTAAAATTTTCTTTCAATTTATTCTGCAATTCACAGTTACCTGCTGTATACCATCTCTCCATACCCTCAAAAGGGTCATTATTGACCATTGTGACAATATTTCCACTTCACTTTCACATTACTGCAGTGAGGATAGAAAATAGGGCAGGTCGATCATTAAGGAAAACAGACAGTAGAACCAGCTTAATATGTGTCTCAGCTGAGAGGCAACATTTCTATAGTTAAATCCCATTTTAGAACAATAACATATTCTTTCTCTTGCCTACACTCTGTACTGCTTAATATGAACATATTGGTCACTTAATCAGTAAAGTAATTCCCTTCCAGACTTAAGTGGGGAGAGGGGTGCCCTGGCTTCACCCACTTAAACCAATTGGAAAAGCAGCATAGCCCTCTCTGGGACAAGAATCATTGTAGCTGCTGTAGGTATACCTAGCATGGAAGATGAGTAACTAACTCACTGATGCTTGGAGTAGTCTGCCTCCTTGGTGCTGGCCTTGGAGATGCCTGTGTCCCCCAAGATGCCCATGTCCCCAGAGAAACCCCTGGCCTCAGAAATACCCAAGTTTCCAGAGATGCCAGTGGCCTCAGAGATGTCCATGGCCCCACAGATTCCTAAGTCTTTGGAGAAGCCCGTAGCCTCAAAGGTGCACATGTCTCCAGAGATGCCCATGGCCTCAGAGATGCCCACATCCCCAGAGATATTTATGGCCCTAAGGCTGCCCACAATCTCACAACAGTTATGGTGGAGGTCTGCACCCTGGCTTTTTACTTGATCCATCTGAGCTCGGAGGCCTCCTTCCCTGGATAGGGTGCCATTCTCCATCAGGGTATTCAGGTCTCCATTGATACCCATAAAGCCAAGAGGATTGGTCAAAGGACTTCCCAGATGCTGGGATAATATGTTTCCTAATTGAGAGCAGGTACAGATCTCTTCTGGTGGCTCATCACGGACTTTTAGTTTCTGCCTCAGGAGCAAGAAAGGGTTGAGAAGAATTAGAAACAGGAGAAAAACTAGGCAAACATTACCTTGATCTGCAGAGATCCTATTGCTGTCACTTATAATGGTAGCAAATGACCTTTTGCTCACCCCCTCCCCCACAACATCTTTCCCTCATCACATGTCATAGTACTTTAGAAGCCCTACCATTGAAGAATGTCAAAGGTCTTATATCTATAAAAGTCATCTTTTATGATAAGTGCAATTTTGTTCATGAGATGGGGAGAGGGCAGGGGAAAACATCACTAATATTTATTGAATACCTCTATGTGCTAGGCACTTTACACACAGTATTTCCTTTTATCCTTATAATAAACCTATTAGTTTAGGTATTAGCTATATTTTACAAATGAAGAAACTGAGGCTCAGAGAAGTTAAGTAAGTCACCCAAATTCGCACATGTACAAAGTAAAGAACTGAGATCTGACCCTGCATCTGCCTGATGCCAAAGTCTATGACCTGTCGTCTACATCATGCTACCTCTAACAGATATTTTCACTTTCAGAGATAATATAATGATTCACTGATACTTCACAACAGTGATTCTTTGGGGTCATACGTCCCCATTGAAAATCTGATGAAAATTATGGACCTTCTCTTCAGAAAAATGCATACATTTTTCTGAAGGTGGTGGGGGGAGTCTTTTAAACTTTTCATTTTTTACCTTGTTGTATTCTGTATTTTCTAACTTAACACTTATATTGCCTTTAAAAAAAAGTCAACAGGGTTGTCTGGGTGATATTATCAGCAGCTTTGTTTTTCTGCTCTGTATTAAAAAAAGAAAGTTAATAACACACATACATAAAAACACATACACACTTCAAAAGGAAGTCTTTCTAGAGTGATCTGGGTATATGTGAAATGAATCTGATTCTCTCTCAAGAGTCAGGCAGGGATAAGTGAGAGGGCTGGGTCAATAATAGGGCACCTTCCCTGGCCTTGTGGAAGAATCTGCTAGTAGCTAAAAGAGGAGCCGTTAAGAAGTTTCTCTACTACATCTAATCTACTTAGGACTGGGCCTTCTCGGGGATGCATGTTTCCTACGATTTTAACTTATGCTTTAGTTTGCCCCCCTCCACCTTTAAAAAAAATGGAACCAAGTAACTGGCTGTTGCCTCCCAAGAGGACATTAAAAAGTTTGGGATCTGATGTAATCACAACACATTTATTTTCACAATAAAATGACATTTGTTTACTTACAGGGAGCAGAAAAGCTATGCCTTATCTGGCTTAAAGTGGGTTCACACCCAGTTCCTAAATAGCACACCATTTCCAATAATTCTTTTCTAAGAGGTACCTTTCCCCTGTCCTTCAAACAAACCCTTAGGGATTCCTACATTTCATAAGCAGCTCAGTTTATGAAATCAACAAGAAATACTTTTTGACTTCTGTAACCTGTAATTAAAAAACAAGTGTCCAACATGGTCACTCAATAAGCAGAGTTTGCAGTTTACATGGGAAGGAAATAAGAATCTTCTTTTGTAAGATTTTCCTAATTGGAAAACAGCAATTGCACTGTTCTTATCAGTATACCCAAGATGTTATACTTATTCTCTTGATGGATAACAAATGCTATGTGATTTCCCTAGTCATTCCCTCTTGTTCCTCCTATTCATTCCATCCAGATCCAAAAAGAGATAAAGGGAACAAATTCACTTGTTTATCTAGTTGAGTGACATATTTACCACATTTTGGGAAGTAAGAAAAGGAGTTATGCTCAGAGATTTGTAGACACGGGACACATGAAAAGCCAAAGAGTATAAAAAAGCCAGCCAGTCAGCTTTCCACAAGTATCAATTCAACTCCAAGCAGGCTGGACCTACCCAGAAGGGGCAAGAAGATCTCTCTTTGGGACTTTTCTCCTCACCTTTTCTAGTTCATGCACATCTGTCTCCAGCATTGCTCTCTGTTTCTTAATTTCCAGGAGGCTCTCTAGCATACTCTGCTTGGGCTGCAGCCCTTTGTCAAAGCGGTTATACATCCCACACCAGAACCTCAAATAGACAAAAATGGGGGGAAAAGTGGGTTAGTTTAGCTGGAGTAATTGATTACCAATGTTTTCCTTGTGCCAAGAAAATATTGGCTTAGTAGGTGGGAAAATCTCATGAGTACTGTAATTTGATGACATTAAAAAGCCTGGACATGCTCATAATTGGGAAGAGTAAAGATACCAGCAGAAAAATCTCAGCTGAAGGAGACATTTTAGACTTGAGCAAACTTGAGGTTCTTTTAAACAATCAAATTATGATTTTACTTTGAGATAATTATAGACTCACATGTAGTTTTATGAAATAATAAGGGAGAGGAGTGACATCAGCAAGATGGCAGAATAGGAAGCCCTGGACTGTCCTTCCCCCAATGGATACACTGATTTAATTGCAACACAAGGATCAATTCCCTTTATGAGAAATCCAGCAACTCATGGAGAGGCTTCTGCACCCTGGATAAGTATGAAACCAACCAGATTGTAAACAAAACATCTGTAGAAAAAGCAGAAACATCCACTCATCATAATCCCAACTCCCAGCACAGTGCCATAGGATCAGGAGGAAACCCCCATTCCCAGCTTCTATCTCAGAATGGAAGAAGTTGGACTGCACACCTAACATCCCAACTTCTCCAGGTGCCACCTGAAAGACTGGCTTCTGTCTCACCTGTTTCAAAGAGTTGAAAGGGTCTGGCATGTGATAGTATCCTGAGGGCTACAGAGAAGAAAGTGGCAGTTTCAACTAGCATGTAGGCATGTACCACAGCTCCTGTACCTGGCTCAACACAGGGTAGGGGGAAAATCCCAGTTCCCAGCTTCTCCCTGGGAAGGGAAAAGAGTTGGAACATGCACACAGCATTCTAAATTCTCCAGGAGCTACCAAGGGAATGGCTTTTGTGCCACCTGTCTAGGAACACTGATGAAACTGGACATACTCTGGATGCCTGGGGGACACTAATAACAAAGACAGCAGTTTAAACTAGGACAATGGGTTGAAAGGCCCACAGAAGCTCTGGCTTGGTTGGCTGGTGAATGTCTTCTCCTGTACAAGGCCAATCCATATGACTTGGGGTGAGAGTGGATTCTTCTGACGTGCAGAAAAAGGGTAACACAATCTGAACAAAGAAACAAGCTAAAACTCCAGAAACTGACTCTAATGAAAATATATGAATTACCCGACATAGAATTAGAAATATCCATCATGGAAAATCTCAAGCAGCTCAGGAGAACAATCCATGAACAAAATGAAAATTTCAACAAAGAGACAGAAAATGTAAAAGAACAGGCAGATGTCTTAAAGCTGAAGAATACAATAACTGAAGAATCCAATAGAGGAGTTCAACGACAGACTAGAGCAAGCAGAAAAAAGACTAAGCAGACTCAAACACAGATTATTTGTCATTATCCAGTCAGAAGGACACAAAGAAAAAAGAATAAAAAAATAAAATAGCTTAAAGGACCTATGGGACACCATTAATTAGCAGACCAATATATGCATTATGGGAGTCCCAAGAGAATATAGGAAGGACTAGAAATCTTATTTAAAGAAGTAATGACTGAAAACCCCCTAAATCTGAGGAAGGAAATGGACATCCAGATCTAGGAAGCCAAAATGACCAAAACACGATGAATCTAAAGAAATCCACACTAAGACATATGATAATAAAATTGTCAAAAGTCAAAGACAGAGAGAATTTTGAAAGCAGTAAGATAAAACCAACTTGTCATATGCAGGAAAATCCATTAGGACCATCAGCAGACATCTCAGCAAAAAAAAACTTTCAGGACAGAAGAGAGTAGAGAGTGGGATAATATATTCAAAGCACTGAAGGAAAACTAAAACTATGAACCAATAATGATATATGTAGCAAAACTGTTCTTCAAAAACGAAAGAGAGATCAAGACATTCCCAGACAAACAAAAGCTAAGGGAGTTCATTACCAACAGACCTGCCTTACAGGAAATCTAAAGGGAAGTCTTCTCCTTAGATTGAAAGGGAAATGAAAATGAAAATGAAAGAATGCTAAATAGCAACACAGTAGCATAAAAAAGTATAAAAGTTGTTGGTGAAGGTAAGTATATAAACTAATAAAGAATACTATATTACTGTAATGGTTGTGGGTAAATCACTTTTAATTGTAGTATAAAGTTTAAAAAAGTATTAGAATAATTATAAAGTATGCTAATGAATATACAATATAAATAAATGTAAACTTTGACATGAATAACATAGAGAAGAAGAAAATGTGTAATGTGTGCATAATTGAAGTTAAGTTGTTACATGCTTAAGACAGAGTGTTAGACTGTTAGACATTTTATGTAAGCCCCATTGTAGTTACAAAGGAAATACCTACAGAAGTTAAAAAAAAAAGAAAGAAGTGAAAGAAATCAAAGCATACTAATATAAAAACTAAACAAACAAACAAACAAAAAAAACAAAACATAAAGGAAGAAAGCAAGAAATGAAAAGAAGAACAACAAAATCCCTACAAGGCAAACAGAAAAAATGAACAAAATGGCAACAGTAAATCCTCCCCTATCAATAATTACTTGAAATATATACATGGATTAAACTCCCCAATAAAAATACACAGAATGACTGAATAGTTTAAGAAAAACATCCTATTATATGCTGTCTATAAGAGACTCACTTTAGATTTAAGGGCACACATAGGCTGAAAGTGGAGGGATAAAAAAAGATATTCCATGCAAATTGTAACTTAAAAAAAGCAGGTGTGGCAATAGTAATATCAGACAAAATGAACTGTAAGTCAAAAAATGTCACGGAGACAATGAAGAATTTTATATAATGACGAAAGGATCAATACATCAGGAAAATATAACAATTATAAATGTATATGCATTCAACATCAAAATACCTAAATATGTAAAGCAAACACTGATGGAACTGAAGGGAGAAACAGACAGAAATACAGTAATAGATTACTTCGATACTCTACTTTCAATTATGGATAGAACAATCAGAGAGGAAAATCAAAAAACAAATAGCAGACTTGAACAAGTCTGTGGACCAAATGGACCTAACAGATATACAGAATATTCAACCCAATAACAGTACAATACACATTCTTTTCAAAAGCACATGTAACATTCTCCAAGATAGATCACATGTTAGGTCATAAAAGAGAGCTTATCAAATTTAAGAAGATTAAAATCATACCAAGTATTTTCTTCTGTTCACAATGGAATGAAACTAGAAATCAATAGCATAAAGGAAACTTGTAAAGTTAAAACATATGGAAATTAAAAAACTTAAACACTCTTAAACAACCAATGGGTCAAAGAAGAAATCAAAAGGGAAATTGGAAAGTATCTTGAAACAAACAAAACCACAACATACCAAAACATGTAGGATGCAGCAAAGGCAGTATTAAGAAGGAAATTTATTAGCACAGCTATTACAGAAAATGGTACAGAGGTTTGACAAAAATTAAAAATAGAACTACCATATGATCCAGCAATCCCACTTCTGGGTAGAGGAACTGAAATCAGTATTTTGAAGAAATATCTGCACTCTCATGTTCATTCTGGCATTATTCACAAGAGTCAAGATATGGACTCAACCTAAGAGTCCATCAATAGATGACTGAATAAAGAAAATGTGATATATACATACATAATGGAATACTATTCTACCTTAAAGAAGAAATAAATGCTGTCATTTGTGACAACGTAGAAGGAACCGGAGGACACTATGTAAGTGAAATAAGCCAGACACAGAAAGACAAAAACTATATCTTCTCACTTACACTTGGAATCTAAAACAATCAAACTCATGGAAACAGAGAGTAAAATTGTGGTTATCAGAGGCTGAGATAGGAGAGAATGGGGAGATGTTGGCCAAAGGGTAGAAAGATACAGCTAGATAAAAGGAATGACTTTTTGAGGTCTTCTGCCCAGCATGGTGACCATGGTTGACAATAATGTATTGCATATTTCAAAACTGAAGAGAAGAGAGTAAATTTCAAGTGTCTCACCACAAAAATGATGTCTAAATGAGGTGATGGATATGTTAATTAGCTTGATTTAATCATTCCACATTTTATTCATATATCAAAACATCACATTGTACCCCTGAAATATATACAATTATGACTGGCCAATTAAAAATGTTAATAAAAAAGAGAAATTTATAGTGATAAATTATAGTGATAATTTATAGTGATACTAAAAAAGAAGAAAGATCTAAAATCAAAAACCTAACTTTATATCTCAGGAACTAGGAAAAGAACAAACTAGCCCAAAGGTAGTGGAGGAAGGAATAATAAAGGTTAGAGAAGAAATAAATGAAATAGTGAATATAAAATCAAAGAAACTAAGAGGTGGGGCCAGGTGCAGTGGCTCACGTCTATAATCCCAGCACCTTGGGAGGCCAAGGCAGGAGAACTGTTTGAGGCCAGGAGTTCGAGACCAGCCTGGACTACATAGAGAGGCCCCCATCGCTAAAAAAACATTTAGAAAATAGCACATGCTTGTAGTCCCAGCTACTTGGGAGCTAGGTTTGGAGGACTGCTTGAGCCTCGTCCAGTCTGCAGCCAGGCCAACAGAGTGAGTCTCTCTCAAAAAAAAAAAAAAAAAAAGAAAGAAACTAAGAAGTGTTTATTTTTTGGAAAAAAATATTTCCAAAACTGATAAAACTTTAGCTAGACCAAGAAATAAAAAGAGAAGACTTGAATAAATAAAATCAGAAACAGAAAAGGAGATATTACAACCGATGCAACAAAAATAAAAAAGATCATAAGGACAACAATGTACCAATAAATTGGATAACCC
Source organism: Homo sapiens (assembly GCF_000001405.40). Classification (NCBI taxonomy): domain Eukaryota; kingdom Metazoa; phylum Chordata; class Mammalia; order Primates; family Hominidae; genus Homo; species Homo sapiens. The sequence goes on from NC_000023.11 coordinate 64,275,861, forward strand.
AGAATAAATGGATAAATCCCTAGAAACACACAACCTACCAAGACTAAATCACAAAGAAAAACTGAACAGACTAATATTAAGTAGAGAAATTGAATCAGGAATCAAAAATCTCCCAGCAAAGAAAAGCCCAGGGCTAGAGGCTTCACTGAAGAATTCTCCCAAATATTTAAAGAATTAATGCTTTTTAAATTGTGTCTATTTGATTCTTCTCTCTTTTCTTCTTTATTAGTCTGGCTAGTGGTCTATCTATTTTGTTGATCTTTTGAAAAAAACAGCTCCTGGACTCATTAATTTTTTTGAAGGGTTTTTCATGTCTCTATCTCCTTCAGTTCTGATCTGATCTTAGTCACTTCTGGTCTTCTGCTAGAATTTGTTTGCTCTTGCTTCTCTAGTTCTAGATGTTAGGGTGTTGATCTAGTTCCAGATCTAGATTCTAGTTCTAGATGTTAGGGTGTTGATCTAGTTCTAGATCTAGATTCTAGTTCTAGACCTAGAACATCTCTAGTTCTAGATGTTAGGGTGCTGATCTTAGATCTTTCCTGCTTTCCCCTGTGGGCATTTGGTACTATAAATTTCCCTCTAAACGCTGTGTCTTTGTTCTCATTGGTTTCAAAGAACTTATTTATCTCTGCCTTAATTTCAATAATTACCCAGTAGTCATTCAGGATCATTAATTACCCAGTAGTCATTCAGGAGCAGGTTGTGCAGTTTCCATGTAGTTGTGCAGTTTTGAGTGAGTTTCTTAATCCTGAGTTCTAAATTGATTGCACTGTGGTCTGAGACACTGTTTGTTATGATTTCCATTCTTTTGTATTTGCTGAGGAGTGTTTTACTTCCAATTATGTGATCAATTTTAGAATAAGTGCAATGTGGTGCTGAGAAGAATGTATATTCTGTTGATTTGGGTTGGAGAGTTCTGTAGATGTCTATTAGGTAGGCTTGGTCTAGAGCTGAGTTCAAGTCTCATTGATCTAATATTGACAGCGGGGTATTAAAGTCTCCTACTATTATTCTGTGGGAGTCTAAGTCTCTTTGTAGGTCTCTAAGAACTTGCTTTATGAATTTAGGTGTTCCTGTATTGGGTGCATATATATTTAGGATAGTTAACTCTTCTTGTTGCATTGATCCCTTTACCATTATGTAATGCCCTTCTTTGTCTTTTTTGACCTTTGTTGGTTTAAAGTCTGTTTTAAGACTAGGATTGCAACCCCTGCTTTTTTTTGCTTTCCATTTGCTGGGTATATATTCCTCCATCCCTTTATTTTGAGCCTATGTGTGTCTTTGCATGTGAGATGGGTCTCCTGAATACAGCACACCAATGGGTCTTGACTCTATCCAATTTGCCAGTCTGTGTCTTTTAATTGGGGCATTTAGCCCATTTACATTTAAGGTTAATATTGTTATGTGTGAATTTGATCCTGTCATTATGATGCTAGCTGGTTATTTTGCCTGTCAGTTGATGCGATTTCTTCATAGTGCTGATGGTCTTTACAATTTGGTATGTTTCTGCAGCAGCTGGTACCAGTTGTTGCTTTCCATGTTTAGTGCTTCCTTCAGGAGCTCTTGTAAGGCAGGCCTGGTGGTGACAAAATCTCTCAGCATTTGCTTGTCTGTAAAGGATTTTATTTCTCCTTCACTTATGAAGCTTAGTTTGGCTGGATATGAGATTCTGGGTTGAAAATTCTTTAAGAATGTTGAATATTGGCCCCCACTCTCTTCTGGTTTGTAGGGTTTCTGCAGAGAGATCTGCTGTTAGTCTGATGGGCTTCCCTTTGTGGGTAACCCAACCTTTCTCTCCCTTAACATTTTTTCCTTCCTTTCAACCTTGGTGAATCTGATGATTATGTGTCTTGGTGTTGTTCTTGAGGAGTATCTTTGTGGTGTTCTCTTATTTCCTGGATTTGAATGTCGGTCTGTCTTGCTAGGTTGGGGAAGTTCTCCTGGATAATATCCTGCAGTGTTTTCCAACTTGGTTCCATTCTCCTCATCACTTTCAGGTACACCAATCAAATGTAGGTTTGGTCCTTTCACATAGTCCCATATTTCTTGGAGGCTTTGTTCATTTCTTTTCATTCTTTTTTCTCTAATCTTGTCTTCCTGCTATATTTCATTAAGTTGATCTTCAATCTCTGATATCTTTTCTTCTGCTTGGTCAATTTGGCTATTGATACTTGTGTATGCTTCACAAAGTTCTCGTGCTGTGTTTTTCAGCTCTATCAGGTCATTTATGTTCTTCTCTAAACTGGTTATTCTAGTTAGCAATTCCTCTAACTTTTTTTCAAGGTTCTTAGCTTCCTTGAATTGAGTTAGAAAATGCTCCTTTAGCTCGGAAGAGTTTGTTATTACCTACCTTCTGAAGCCTACTTTTGTCAATTCATCAAACTCATTCTCCCTCTAGTTTTATTCCCTTGCTGGTAAGGAGTTGTGATCCTTTGGAGGAAAAGAGGCGTTCTGGCTTATGGAATTCTCAGCCTTTTTGCACTGGTTTTTCCTCATTTTTGTGGATTTATCTACCTTTGGTCTTTGTAGCTGGTGAGGTTCAGATGGGGTTTCTGTGTGGATGTCCTTTTTGTTGATGTTGATGCTATTTATTTTGCTGGTTTTTTTTTTTTTTTTTTTTTTTTTTTTTTTGAGATGGAGTCTCACTTTGTCCTCCAGGCTGGAGTGCAATGGTGAGATCTCAGCTCACTGCAACCTCCGCCTCCCAGGTTCAAGTGATTACCCTGCCTCAGCCTCCTGAGGAGCTGGGACTACAGGTGGGCGCCACCATGCTCAACTAATTTTTTGTATTTTAGTAGAGACGGGGTTACACCATGTTCATCAGGCTGGTCTCGAACTCCTGACCTTGTGATCTGCCCGCCTCGGCCTTCCAAAGTACTGGGATTACAGGCATGAGCCACCATGCCCAGCCAATGTTGATGCTACTTCTTTCTGTTTGTTAGTTTTCCTTCTAAAAGTCAGGCCCCTCTGTTGCAGGTGTGCTGGAGTTTGCTGGATGCCCACTCCAGACCCTATTTGCCTGGTTATCACCAGTGGAGGCTGCAGAATAGCAAAGATTGCTGCCTGTTCCTTCCTCTGGAAGCTTCGTCCCAGAGGGGCACCTGCCAGATGCCAGCCAGAGCTCTCCTGTATGAGGTGTCTGTCGACTCCTGCTGGGAGGTATCTCCTAGTCAGGAGGCATGGGGTCAGGGACCCACCTGAGGAAGCAGTCTGCCCCTTAGCAGAGCTCAAGCGCTGTGCTGGGAGATCCACTGCTCTCTTCAGAGCTGGCAGGCAGGAACACTTAAGTCTGATGAAGCTGTGCCCAAAGCCACCCCTTCCCCCTAACACTTCTCAAATTATTTCAAGAAATCAAAAAGGAGGGCATGCTTCCAAACTCATTTCGTGTTAGCCAGAGTTACCCTTATACCAAAGAAAATTATAGGCTAATATTGCTGATGTTGAATATAGATGCAAAAATCTTCATGAAAATACTAAACATCATACTCAATGTTGAAAGACTGAAAGCTTTACCTTTAAGATTGTGAATGAGACAAGAAAGCCTGCTTTCACTAAACTTAAGCATGCAGGTAAGAGGCTTATAAACAATAAACTACAAAATATTGTTGAAAGAATTTAAAGATGACACAAATGAATGGAAAGACATTTCCTGTTCATGAATTGAAAGACTTAATATTGTTACGATGTCAATACTACCCAAAGTGATTTACAGATTTAATGCAGTTTCCATCAAAATCACAATGGTGTTTTTTTACAGAAATGGAAAAAATACATCCTAAAATTCATATGGAATTGCAAGGGACCCTGAATAGCAAAAACAATCTTGAAAAATAAGACAAAGTTGGAGGTCACACACTTCTTGACTTCAAAAGATATTATTAAGCTACAGTAATCAGTACAATATTGTACTGGCATGAATACACACATATGGACCAATGGAATAGAATGGAGAACCCAGAAATAAACCATTGCATATACAATGAAGTGATTTTTGATAACAGTGCCAAGATAATTCAATGCAGAAAGGACAGTCTTTCAAACAAATGGGTGCTGGGAAAACTTTATATCCACATGCAAAAGAATGAAACTGAAATGAATAAATTCCTGGACACATACACCCTCCCAAGACTAAACCAGGAAGAAGTCGAGTTATTGAATAGACAAATAACAAGTTCTGAAATTGCAGCTGTAATAAATAGCCTACCAACTAAAAAAAGCCCAGGACCAGATGAATTCACAGCCAAATTCTGCTAGAGGTACAAAGAGGAAATGGTACCATTCCTTCTGAAACTATTCCAAACAATTGAAAAGGAACGACTTCTCCTTAACTCACTTTATGAGGCCAGCATCATCCTGATACCAAAACCTGGCAGAGACACAATAAAGAAAGAAAACTTCAGGCCAATATCCCTGATGAACATTGATGCAAAAATCCTCAATAAAATACTGGCAAACTGAATCCAGTAGCACATCAAAAAGATTATCCACCACAATCAAGTCGGCTTCATCTCTGGGAGGCAAGGCTGGTTCAACATACAGAAATCAATAAACATAATTCATCACATAAACAGAACCAATGACAAAAACCACATAATTATCTCAATAGATGCAGAAAAGGCCTTCGATAAAATTCAATGTCCTTCATGTTAAAAACTCTCAATAATCTAGGTACTGACAGAACATATCTCAAAATAATAGGAGTTATTTATGACAAACCCACAGCCAATATCATACTGAATGGGCAAAAGCTGGAAGCATTCCCTTTGAATATAGGCACAAGACAAGGATGCCCTCTCTCACTACTCCTGTTCAACATAGTACTGGAAGTTCCAGCCAGGGCAATCAGTCAAGAGAATGAAATAAAGGGTATTCAAATAGGAAGAGAGGAAGTCAAATTGTCTCTGTTTGCTGACGACATGATCCTATATCCAGAAAACATTATTGTCTCAGTTCAAAAGCTCCTTAAGCTGATAAGCAACTTCAGCAAAGTCTCAGGATACAAAATCAATGTGCAAAAATCTCAAGCATTGCTATACCACCCCCAACAGACAAGCAGAGAGTCAAATCATGAATGAACTTCATTCACAATTGCTACAAAGAGAATACAATTCCTAGGAATACAGCTAACAAGGGATGTGAAGGACCTCTTCAAGGAGAACTATAAACCACTGCTCAAGGAAATGAAAGAGGACACAAACAAATGGAAAAACATTGCATCCTCATGGATAGGAAGAATCAGTATCACGAAAATGGCCATACTGCCCAAGGTAATTTAGAGATTCAATGCTCTTCCCATCAAAGAACTATTGACATTTTACATAGAATTAGAAATAACTACTTAAAAATTAATATGAAATCAAAAAACAGCTCATATATCCAAGAAAATCCCAAGCAAAAAGAACACAGCTAGAGGTATCACACTACTTGACTTCACACTATACTACAAGGCTATATAGTAACCAAAACAGCATGGTATTGGTCCCAAAACAGACATATAGACAAATGAAACAGAATCTAGATCTCAGAAAAAACACCACACATCTACTACCATCTGATCTTCGACAAACCTGACAACAACAAGTAATGGAGAAAGGATTCCTTATTTAATAAAAGGTGCTGGGAAAACTGGCTAGCCATTTGCAGAAAACTGAAACTGGACCCCTTCCTTATACCTTATACAAAAATTAACTCAAGATGGATTAAATACTTAAATACAAAACCCAAAACCATAAAAACCATAGAAGAAAATCTAGGCAATACCATTCAGAAAATAGGCATGGGCAAAGATTTTATGATGAAATTGCCAAAAGCAGTTGCAACAAAAGCTAAAATTGACAAATGGGATCTAATTAAACCAAAGAGCTTCCGAATAGCAAAAGAAACTACCATCAGAGTGAACAACCTACAAAATGGGAGAAAATTTTTGCAATCTACCCATCTGACAAAGTTCTAATATCCAGAATTTACAAGGAACTTAAACAAATTTACAAGGAACTTAAACAAATTTACAAGGAAAAAAACAACCCCATCAAAAAGAGGGCAAAGGACATGAACAGATACTTCTCAAAAAAAAAAAAAAGATATTTATGCGGCCAACAAACATATGAAAGAAAGCTCAACTTCACTGATCATTAGAGAAACACAAATCAAAACCACCCAATACTATCTCATGCCAGTCAGAATGGCGATTATTAAAAAGTCAAGAAACAACAGATGCTGGCAAGGCTGGGGAGAAATAGGAACACTTTTACACTGTTGCTGGGAATGTAAATCAGTTCAACCACTGTGGAAGACAGGGTGGAGATTCCTCAATGATCTAGAGCCAGAAATACCATTTGACCCAGCAATGCCATTACTGGGTATATACCCAAAAGAATATAAATAATTATATTATAAAGATATAAGCACACATATGTTTATTGCAGCAGTATTCACAATAGCTAAGACTTGGAACCACATGTGGACACAGGGAGGGGAACAACACACACTGAGGCCTGTCAGAAGGGGTGGGGGTAGGGAGAGCATCATGTGGGGCTTAATACCTAGATGACAGGTTGATAGGTGCAGCAAACCACCATGGCACACGTTTACCTATGTAACAAACCTGCACATTCTGTACATGTATCCTGGAACCTAAAATAAAATAAAATTAGAAAAAAATAGACAACAAAAAGAATAAAGTTGGACTCTTACTTTACACCATAAACAAAAATTAACTCAAAGTGTATAAAAGACCTAAAGGTAAGGGTGAAAATTGTAAAATTATTGACAGTGAACACAGGATAAAACATCATGATACTGAATTCAGCAATCTTATATCACAGATATAAGACCAAAAGAATAAAAATGGATAAATTGGGCTACATCAAAATTAAACTTTTGTGTATCAAAATACACTATCAGAAGAGTGAAAAGGCAACCTGCAGAATGGGAGAAAATATTTGCAAATCATATATCTAGTAAGGAGTTAATATCCAGAAGGGGAGAGCTCCAAGATGGCCAAATAGGAACAGCTCCAGTCTACAGCTCCCAGCGTGAGTGATGCAGAAGACGGGTGATTTCTGTATTTCCAACTGAGGTACTGGGTTCATCTCACTAGGGCTTGTTGGACAGTGGGGGCAGGACAGTGGGTGCAGCCCACCGACTGAGCTGAAACAGGGCGAGGCATCGCCTCACCCAGGAAGCGCAAGGGGTCAGGGAATTCCCTTTCATAGCCAAGCAAAGCTGTGACAGATGGCACCTGGAATTTTGGGTCACTCCCACCCTAATACTGCGCTTTTCCAATGGTCACAGCAGACGGCACACCAGGAGATTATATCCGGCACCTGGCTCAGAGGGTCCCACGCCCAAAAAGCCTCGCTCATTGCTAGCACAGCAGTCTGAGATGGAACTGCAAGGCAGCAGTGAGGCTAGGGGAGGGGTGCCCGCCATTGCTGAGGATTCAGTAAGTAAACAAAGCAGCCTGGAAGCTCGAAATGGGTGGAGCGCACTGCAGCTCAAGGAGGCCTGCCTGCATCTGTACACTCCACCTCTGGGGGCAGGGTATAGCTGAACAAAAGGCAGCAGAAACCTCTGCAGATTTAAATGTCTCTGTCTGACAGCTTGGAAGACAGTAGTGGTTCTCCCAGCACGGAGTTTGAGATCTGAGAATGGACAGACTGCCTACTCAAGTGGGTCCCTGATCCCAGAATAGCCTAGCTGGGAGACACCCCCCAGTAGGGGCAGACTGACACCTCACACAGCTGGGTACCCCTCTGAGATGAAACCTCCAGAGGAACGATCATACAGCAACATTTGCTGTTGAGCAATATTCGCTGTTCTGCAGCCTCTGCTGCTGATACCCAGGCAAACAGGGTCTGGAGTGGACCTCCAGCAAACTCCAACAGACTTGCAGCTGATTGTCCTGACTGTTAAAAGGAAAACTAACAAACAGAAAGGACATCCACAACAAAACCCCATCTGTATGTCTCCATCATCAAAGACCAAAGGTAGATAAAACCACAAAGATGGGGAAAAAACAGAAGAGAAAAACTGAAAATTCTAAAAATCAGAGCGCCTCTCCTTCTCCAAAGGAACGCAGCTCCTCAACAGCAATGGAACAAAGCTGGATGGAGAAGGACTTTGACGAGTTGAGAGAAGAAGGCTTCAGATGATCAAACTACTACCAGCTAAAGGAGGAAGTTCGAACCCATGGCAAAGAAGTTAAAAACACTGAAAACAGATTAGATGAATGGCTAACTAGAATAACCAATGCAGAGAAGTCCTTAAATGACCAGATGGAGCTGAAAACCATGGCACAAGAACTATGTGACGTACGCACAAGCTTCAGTAGATGATTCGATCAATTGGAAGAAAGGGTATCAATGATTGAAGACCACATGAATGAAATGAAGTGAGAAGAGAAGTTTAGAGAAAAAAGAATAAAAAGAAACGAATAAAGCCTCTAAAAAATATGGGACTATGTGAAAAGACCAAATCTATGTCTGATTGGTGTACCTGACAGTGACAGGGAGAATGGAACCAAGTTGGAAAACACTCTGCAGGATATTATCCAGGAGAACTTCCCCAATCTAGCAAGGCAGGCCAACATTCAAATTCTGGAAATACAGAGAACACAACAAAGATACTCTTCGAGAAGAGCAATTCCAAGACACATAATTGTCAGATTCATCAAAGTTGAAATGAAGGAAAAAATGTTAAGGGCAGCCAGAGAGAAAGGTCACATTACCCACAAAGGGAACCCCATCACACTAACAGAGAATCTCTCAGCAGAAACTCTACAAGCCAGAAGAGAGTGGGGGCCAATATTCAACATTCTTAAAGAAAAGAATTTTCAACCCAGAATTTCATGTCCAGCCAAACTAAGCTTCATAAGTGAAGGAGAAATAAAATCCTTTACAGACAAGCAAATGCTGAGAGATTTTGTCACCACCAGGCCTGCCCTACAAGAGCTCCTGAAGGAAGCACTAAACATGGAAAGGAACAGCCATTACCAGCCACTGCAAAAACAGGCTAAATCGTAAAGACCATCGAAGCTAGGAAGAAACTGAATCAACTAATGAGCAAAATAACCAGCTAACATCATAACGACAGGATCAAATTCACACATAGCAATATTAACCTTAAATGTAAATGGGCTAAATGCTCCAATTAAGACACAGACTGGCAAATTGGATAAAGAGTCAAGACCCATTAGTGTGCTGTATTCAGGAAACCCATCTCACGTGCAGAGACACACTTAGGCTCAAAATAAAGGGATGGAGGAAGATCTACCAAGCAAATGGAAAACAAAAAAAGGCAGGGTTTGCAATCCTAGTCTCTGATAAAACAGACTTTAAATCAACAAAGATCAAAAGAGACAAAGAAGGCCATTACATAATGGTAAAGGGATCAATTCAACAAGAAGAGCTAACTATCCTAAATATATATGCACCCAATACAGAAGCACCCAGATTCATAAAGCAAGTCCTTAGAGACCTATAAAGAGACTTAGACTCCCACACAATAATAATGGGAGACTTTAACACCCCACTGTCAACACTAGACAGATCAACGAGACAGAAAGTTCACAAGGATATCCAGGAACTGAATTCAGCTCTGCACCAAGCAGACCTAATAGACATCTACAGAACACTCCACCCCAAATCAACAGAATATACATTCTTCTCAGCACCACACCACACCTATTCCAAAACTGACCACATAGTTGGAAGTAAAACACTCCTCAGCAAATGTAAAAGAACAGAAATTATAACAAATTTTGTCTCTCAGACCACAGTCCAATCAAACTAGAACTCAGGATTAAGAAACTTACTCAAAACTGCTCAACTACATGGAAACTGAACAACCTGCTCCTGAATGACTACTGGGTACATAACGAAATGAAGGCAGAAATGAAGATGTTCTTTGAAACCAACGAGAACAAAGACACAACATACCAGAATCTCTGGGACACATTCAAAGCAGTGTGTAGAGGGAAATTTATAGCACTAAATGCCCACAAGAGAAAGCAGGAAAGATCTAAAATTGACACCCTAACATCACAATTAAAAGAACTAGAGAAACAAGAACAAACACATTCAAAAGCTAGCAGAAGGCAAGAAATAACTAAGATCAGAGCAGAAATGAAGGACACAGAGACACAAAAAACTCTTCAAAAAATCAATGAATCCAGGAACTGAGTTTTTGAAAAGATCAACAAAACTGATAGACTGCCAGCAAGACTAATAAAGAATAAAAGAGAGAAGAATCAAATAGATGCAATAAAAAATGATAAAGGGGATGTCACCACTGTTCCCACAGAAATATAAACTACCATCAGAGAATACTATAAACAACTCTACGCAAATAAACTAGAAAATCTAGAAGAAATGGATAAATTCCTCGACACATACACCCTCCCAAGAGCAAACCAGGAAGATGTTGACCAATAACAGACTCTGAAATTGAGGCAATAATTAATAGCTTACCAAACAAAAAAGTCCATGACCAGAAGGATTCACAGCCAAATTCTACCAGAGGTACAAGGAGGAGCTGGTACCATTCCTTCTGAAACTACTCCAATCAACAGAAAAAGAGGGAATGCTCCCTAACTCATTTCATGAGGCCAGCATCATCCTGATATCAAAGCCTGGCAGAGACACAACAAAAGAAGATAATTTTAGACCAATATCCCTGATGAACATTGATGCAAAAATCCTCAATAAAATACTGGCAAACTGAATCCAGCAGCACACCAAAAAGCTTATCCACCATGATCAAGTGGGCTTTATCCCTGGGATGCAAGGCTGGTTCAATGTACACAAATCAATAAACGTAATCTAGCATATAAACAGAACCAAAGACAAAAACCACATGATTATCTCAATAGATGCAGAAAAGGCCTTTGACAAAATTCAACAGCCCTTCATGCTAAAAACTCTCAATAAATTAGGTATTGATGGGATATATCTCAAAATAATAAGAGCTATTTATGACAAACCCACAGCCAATATCATACTGAATGGGCAAAAACTGGAAGCATTCCCTTTGAAAACTGGCAACAGACAGGGATGCCCTCTCTCACCACTCCTATTCAACATAGTGTTGGAAGTTCTGGCCAGGGCAATCAGGCAGAAGAAAGAAATAAAGGGTATTCAATTAGGAAAAGAGGAAGTCAAATTGTCCCTGTTTGCAGATGACATGATTGTATATCTAGAAAACCCCATTGTCTCAGCCCAAAATCTCCTTAAGCTGATAAGCAACTTCAGCAAAATCTCAGGATACAAAAATCAATGTGCAAAAATCACAAGCATTCTTATACACCAATAACAAACAAACAGAGAGCCAAATCATGAGTGAACTCCCATTCACAATTGCTTCAAAGAGAATAAAATACCTAGGAATCCAACTTACAAGGGATGTGAAGGACCTCTTCAAGGAGAACTACAAACCACTGCTCAACGAAATAAAAGAGGATACAAACAAATGGAAGAACATTCCATGCTCATGGATAGGAAGACTCAATATCATGAAAATGGCCATACTGCCTAAGGTAATTTATAGATTCAATGCCATCCCCATCAAGCTACCAATGACTTTCTTCACAGAATTGGAAAAAACTACTTTAAAGTTCATATGGAACCAAAAAAAGAGCCCGCATTGCCAAGTCAATCCTAAGCCAAAAGAACAAAGCTGGAGGCATCACGCTACCTGACTTCAAACTGTACTACAAGGCTACAGTAACCAAAACAGCATGGTACTGCTACCAAAACAGAGATATAGACCAATGGAACAGAACAGAGCCCTCAGAAATAATACCACACATCTACAGCTATCTGATCTTTGACAAACCTGACAAAAACAAGCAATGGGGAAAGGATTCCCTACTTAATAAATGGTGCTGGGAAAACTGGCTAGCCATATGTAGAAAGCTGAAACTGGATCCCTTCCTTACATCTTATACAAAAATTAATTCAAGATGGATTAAAGACTTACATGTTAGACCTAAAACCATAAAAACCCTAGAAGAAAACCTAGACAATACCTTTCAGGACATAGGCATGGGCAAGGACTTGATGTCTAAAACACCAAAAGCAATGTCAACAAAAGCCAAAATTGACAAATGGGATCTAATTAAACTAAAGAGCTGCTACACAGCAAAAAAAAAAAAAAAAAAAAAAAAAAAAAAAAAAAAAAAAAAAAAAAAAACTACCATAAGAGTGAACAGGAAACCTACAGAATGGGAGAAAATTTTTGCAATCTACTCCTCTGACAAACGGCTAACATCCAGAATCTAAAAGAACTCACAAAAATTTACAAGAAAAAACGAACAACCCCATCAAAAAGTGGGTAAAGGATCTGAACAGACACTTCTCAAAAGAAGACATTTATGCAGCCAACAGCTACATTTATGAGCCATGAAACAATGCTCATCACCACTGGCCATCAGAGAAATGCAAATCAAAACCACTATGAGATACCATCTCACACCAGTTACAATGGCGATCATTAAAAAGTCAGGAAACAACACGTGCTGGAGAGGATGTGGAGAAATAGGAACACTTTTACTCTGTTGGTGGGACTGTAAACTAGTTCAACCATTGTGGAAGACAGTGTGGCGATTCCTCAGGGATCTAGAACTAGAAATACCATTTGACCCAGCAATCCCATTACTGGGTATATACCCAAAGGAATATAAATCATGCTGCTATAAAGACACATGCAAACATATGTTTATTGCGTCACTACTCACAATAGCAAAGACTTGGAACCAACCCAAATGTCCAACAATGATAGATTGGATTTAGAAAATGTGGCACATATACACCATGGAATACTATGCAGCCATAAAAAATGATGAGTTCATGTCCTTTGCAGGGACATGGATGAAGCTGGAAACCATCATTCTCAGCAAACTATCGCAAGGACAAAAACCCAAACACCGCATGTTGTCACTCATAGGTGGGAAATGAACAATGAGAACACTTGGACATAGGGTGAGGAACATCACACACCGGGGCCTGTTGTAGGGTGGGGGCAGGTGGGAGGGATAGCATTAGGAGATATATCTAATATAAATGAAGAGTTAATGGTTGCAGCTCACCAATATGCCACATGTATACATATGTAACAAACCTGCATGTTGTGCACATGTACCCTAGAATTTAAAGTATAATAAAAAATATATATATATAAATATCCAGAATATATTAAAAACTTCTACAACAACAACAACAACAATGAAAAACAATTATAAAGTGTGCAAAGGACTTTGTCATTTCTCCAAAGAAATTAAAATGGACAAGACACACATTAAAAAGATGTTCAACAACACTAATAGAGAAATGAAAATCAAAACCACAATGATATATCACCTCACACCCATTAGAATGGCTACTATCCCAATAAAAGGAACAAAGAACAAAGAATAACAAGTTTTGGTGAGGATGTGGAAAAATTGGAAACCTTGTCCACTGCTGTTGGGAATATAAAATGATGCAGCCATTATTTAAAACACTATGGTGCTTCCTCAACAACGTAAAAACAGATTTAACATATAATCCAGAAATTCCACTTCCAGATACGTATCAAAAGAATAGGAGCCTGAACAACATAGCAAGACCCTGTCTCTACAAAAATAAAATAATTAGCTGGGCGTGGTGGCACATGTATGTAGTCCTAGCTACTTGGGAGGCTGAAGTGGGAGGATCACTTGAGCCCAGGAATTAGGGATTACAATATGCTATAACTGTGCCACTGCATTCCAGCCTGGGTGACAGAGTGAGACTCCATCGCAAAAAAAAAAAAAAAAAAAAAAAAATTAAGTTGGGAGCAAGGACTCAAAAATATACTTTTACAAAAATGTTCCATTCAGTATTATTCACAAAAGCCAAAATGAGGAAGCAACCCAACGTCCACTGCCAGATGATAAAAACAATATGGTATATACAACCAATTAAATATTATTCAGCCTTAAAGAGGAAGGAAATTGTGACACATGCTACAATATGGATGACTTTTGGGGACACTACGCTAAGTAAAATAAGCCAGATACAAAAGGAAAAACATTGTATGATTCCTCTTATATGAGGTACCTGGTCAAGTCATGTTCAGAGATAGAAAGTAGATTGGTGGTTGTCAGGGGTAGGTGGAATGATTTATTTAATGGTTAGGGTTTCAGTTGAAATGATTTGTTTAATAGGTAGGGTTTCAGATGAAAAAGTTCTAAAGATTGACCTAACACTACTGAATTAAAACCTAAAAATGGAACTAATCTAAAACCTAAAAAAGTGGACTAACACCTAAAAATGGTCAAGAAGGTAATGGACCTTCTTGGAACTAACCTAAAACCTAAAAAAGTGAACTAACACCTAAAAATGGTCAAAAAGGTAAATTTTAAGTGCATTTTACTACACTTAAAAGTAAATTACTAGCAGGACAAAGAGCACTAAACTGGGAGTCGTGGGACACAAGACCAAGCCCCTGATCACCTTATGAACCAGAGGATCTTGCACATGCTGTTTAGTTTTTTATCTTATATTTTACTTATAACATTTATTACCATCTCTGACCAGATGCACATTAAACATTTTGTATATATATATAAAAAAAAGAAATAATAGCGTTCCCATGGACTCTTTACCCAGTTTCCCCAGTGGGTAACTGCAGTACAATATCACAACCAGGATACTGAAACTGATAGTCAAGATACCAACAATTCCACTAGGCAAACTCCTGCTCTCCTTTAGTAGCCACACCCACCTCCCCCTCATACCCACCACCTCCTCGGAGTGTGGACTCTGTCCTTAGCCCTTCATAACCATTAATCTGTTCTCTATTTCTTTAATTTTGTCAAGAAATTTATGTAAATGAAACCATACAGTACATAGCATTTTGAAATTGGCATTTTTCACTTAACATATTCTCTGCAAGGTGTTGCATATATTTAGTTTGTTCTTTATTGCTGAGCAGTATTCCATGGTACAGATGGACCACAGTTTGTTTAACCCTTTACCTGTTGAAGGACATCTGGGTTGTTTTCAGTTTTTGACTATATGAATAAAAATGCTATAAGTATTCATGTAGAGGTTTTCATATAAACAGAAAGTTTGATTTTTTTCTGGCATATATGGCCAAGAGTACAATTTGTACAATTGTTGGGGCATATGGCATTTGCATATTCAATTTTTTAGAAAACTGACAAACTGTTTTTCAAAGTGGCTCCATACTATTTCATATTTCTATTACATAAATGAGCCAAAGGTAGCCTCTGCATATGGACCTTATGTTGTTTATTTTTTCTTAGCAGGCTGGGAACTCATTCACTCAAAAGCCTGCTAGTACCAAACTCAAATTTTTACACATCCAATTGTTTTAAATAGCCAAACTAAGCATATTTTTAACCCTTTAGAGCCTGCCTGTCTTGCATACCCCACAAAACTGCCCCCAACATCTGCTAACCAAAGATAAGATTAACTCCAGAGTAATAAAGACCCCACATCACTGCTGCCCTTCAGAACCCTCTGACCCAGCAACTTCCTGACATGCTGCCTAGTCATCTAAACACGTAAGCCCCTCTGATATTCCTCTTTCTTGAAGAGAAGTTTCCTTGCCTTCCTCCCCTTCTGCGTGCTGGCCTCTACACTCATGCTAACCTGTCAAAGTGTTGCCTGCTGAACACCCCACACACCCCTCAAAAAGCTTGTTGTGTGCTACTGTGGTCATATCTTTTCCTTCTTTCCTTGATCAGTCCTGAAATCCCTCAACTCATTACAAGTGGCAACAAGGATGGAATTTTGGTGATGACCAGGAAATCAATATGGGACCTACCAAGTCAATAGGAGGATTAACTGTCAAAACAACCCTGGACGACCTTAAGTGCTTGGGACTCAGAATTTGGAACACGTTCGCATAACTTTGGCATGGCATTCTTCTGTACTGAATTACACTCTATATTTTCTATGGTCTCCCCCATGCCTCATGAGCCTGGACAAGTGGTAGTGCCAGTATTTGAGTAAATCCTCGCCATCAGAACTGACTTTTGAGAGAGAGGCACCAAGCTGCCCAGGGAAGGTCAGCCTGATCACCTGGATCTCCCACTAGAAAGGCACTAGGTAGGCACCTGTGGGCCTGAATAGAAAAAGGGAAAGTACATACCTCTGGACCACATGTGGGTTACCCCAGATCCCATAATGGGCTATAGTAGGAGAGTTCCCCATGTCCAGACTGGTGATATGTGATGAGAATACTCTGAGATGAGAGAATATCCTTGTCCTTGGACACTGCTATGGCAGGCAAACAAGCTGATAAGGCAGATATGTCAGTCCGATGCTGGTCTCCTAAGCACAATTGGGAGACACTTGCAAGCAGCTAGTAGTCCTCTGCTATCATGACAATTATGCTTTAGATACTCTCATTCTAGTCCTTTGTTGGAAGTATGTTGAGCTCTCCATCTTTTGGCTGAGCCGACTAAAGCATTATTTCAAGTGACTAAATCAAGGAAAGTTACATTCCAGGACACCAAAGGAAGTGGCTATCCTACTCAAGGGATGCTCCAAACCATAAAGTAGGTGCATGTTGGACCTCGCTGTTGGTTGCTTTTCACCAGGGTTTGCACAGAGAGGAGGTAGAAACTCAAACTCCTGCAGGAGATGAGTTGGAAGGGAAGATCCTGGGGAAGAGAACTGGTGACCTCTAAAGAAGAAAGCAGCAGCATGGTGTCATCATGCTAGGGACTAGGATCATTTACCCTCTGCTTTGCCAGTAACCACTGGCAAAGTCATAAAGACAGAAAAACAAAAGAAGAGGGCCACTTCTCTTTTGGAGCAGAAAATGCATCATCTTTCTTGCCCTTATGTCCAGTCTCTCCGTAAGGACCTGACCCAGGAACTGAATGAAAAAGGGGCTGCCTGACTATATATACAGAATGTATCTGGCAGGGAGCAAACTCCACCTAATAGGGGAATTAAAC
This sequence comes from Homo sapiens, assembly GCF_000001405.40. Lineage (NCBI taxonomy): Eukaryota > Metazoa > Chordata > Mammalia > Primates > Hominidae > Homo > Homo sapiens. The sequence goes on from NC_000023.11 coordinate 64,292,812, forward strand.
AATTGGCTGCCATAGTACAAGATGGAAAAAAATGGTGTCACTGCCAAAGTATCCCGCATAATAAGCATGGAAGGTAGGAGTGACCCTCAAAAGAGGCTTTGTGCCTCAGTCCACATATACCTTGTTGATGTGGATTTTTACGGCTTGGCTTGGTGGGCTTTCCATCCTATACTAGGCCTTATAAAGGCCTGGGAAGACTGTCAATGGAAAATGTTAACCAAGGTCAAAGATCTCCTACATCAGCTGGGGATGCTGAAGTGGGTTTATCAGGCAACAGATGACCTGCAGCATGATGACTTGGCAAGTCCAGAGGAAACGGAATTCAATCCCTTGTCTAACGACTTATTTCTCAGGAGGGCGCCTGATAAGTGTAAGTCCTCTTTTTGGGCAATAATGGCTAATGCTAAAACAACTGAAGAGTTCATAGCTTCACTGGATTTAGTAGAAATACATGAAAGACAAACTCAAGTGTTGCCTGTTAATTCTATGACTATAACCCCTTCTAGCCTAAATCAAAATTACTATCAACAGTTATGCTGCACCCTTCTAGACCAAGCAAACCACGTAGAGCCAGGTCCGTGGTTTAGCTTGAACCCTGAGTAAACAAAAGGGGTTACATTGGACCCTAAGGGACAAAGGGGCCCAAATTGGATGTTCTCTCATACATTGGTGAAGCAAGTATTAACATTTACTAGGGTTAGATTACAATCTGCAGCAGGTATTCAAAGTCAGCCTCACTTGGGAAGCCTGCTCCTGATCTCCTCCAGTGGCAGGGACCCACACCCACATAGGGATCTGGTGGTTGCAGAAGGTGGCTACTTCCAGTAGACAATCACCCTTTTACCATATTAACTGTAGTTTGGCTCTACAACATTGGCTGGCTTTGTTGGACATGGGTGCCCAAATCTCCCTAATCCTAAGAATCACTCATGCTCTAAAGGAATCCCCTCACTCCTCACCCTGTCCAGGAGGATGATTATGTAAAGGAGCAATTACTTACTTAACTATTAAAATTGATCCAGTTCTGCTAAAAGATGCTTTGATTCTGGTTGTACCCCTGAGACTATCCCCTTTCCTTATTTGAATGGACTTCTTCAATCAGCTCGTAACTCCATAGAACCTAAGGCTTTTATGGTATTGGTGGGCACTACCTGGTGGGAACCAGTTAACTTTCCCCTACCAGGGCAGGTGGTAAATACGGCACAGTACAAGCTAAGGCAAGACCCTGAAGGATTATAGGCTATCATAGCTTATTTAAATAACGTGTACTGATTCTTACCATCTCACCTGTCAATCCTCTGGTATAGCCTATGTGTAAAGCCACTATTAATAAATGGAAGCTAACTATAGAGAGTTAAATAAGAGCACCTTTTTATTGGAGCACTTCTACTAGATATCATCACCTTAATGGATGACATTCAAAACAACATAGATAAATGGCATGGAGTTATAGACTTGCCTAACATGCTCCAATTGGGAAATATTTTGTAGGAGAGTTAATCACAATTTGCCTTCACTTTTGAGGGTGAAGAGTATATTTTTTCCCAGCCACCTATGGGATACTCAAATAGCCCTGTGATCGAACTTGTGCAGATATGACCTAGATGCCTGCCCCATTATTTCCACCAGAAATTCAGCTTTGGCATTATATTGATAAAATCCTCCTTACTAAATCTTACCAAGATTCTGTCTCTGAGGTTATCACAACTGTGAGCAAACACTTCAATGAGAGGGGATGGTATCTTAGTCCACTTAGGCTGCTATAACAAAATACCATAAATTGGGTGGCTTATAAACAATAGATATTTATTCCTCACAGTCATGGAGGCTAGGAAGTGCAAGATCGAGATGACAGCAGATTTGGCATCTGGTGAAGGTCCTCTTCCTACTTCATAGATGACTGTCTTTTTGCTGTGTCCTCACATGACAGAAGGAGAAAACAATGTCTCTGGGGTCTCATTTATAAGGGAACTAATCCCATTCATGAGGGCTTTGCCTTCTCTTAATGCCTAGGCCTTATCTCCTAATACCATCACATTGGGAGTTAGGATTTCAACATATGAATTTGGGAGAACATAAATATCGCCTATAGCAGATGGGCAACTGCCCCCACATAAGGTACAAGACCTCTTTATTAAATCTTGGGGTTACCTTTGGAACTCAGAAGGGTGAAGTATTCTCAGTCTGGTAAGACAAGCTCCTAGTGCTCCAACCTCCCACACTGGTAAAGAAGATCCAACATTTGATAGGAATGTTTATATTCTGGCTCCAACACACTCCTCACCTCCAATATTTGCTACTGAGTCACCTGTAAGTCTCACTTTTCAGTGAGAACCTGAGCAACGAGGTACTAGATAAACTAAAGGAAGCTATTACTTTGGCTCTCCCGTAAGTGCACCTGAATAAAACTTAAAATGAGATGTTTCTGACACACACACACACACACACACAAAATTGTTTCCTAGATTCTCTTGAGGTAAACCTAAATGCAAGAACTAAAACTGTAAAATTCTTTTTTTCTCTCACAAGATTTACAAGACTAAAACTGTAAAATTCTTAGAAGAGAACATAGGGGGAAATCTTCATGACATGGAATTTGGCAATGATTTCCTCAACATGACACTAAAAGCACAGGCAACAAAGAATAAATTGATAAACTGTACTTTATCAAAATTTTGTGCATCAAAAGATACTATCAAGAGAATAAAAAGGTAACCAGAGAATGGGAGAAAATATTTGCAGATCATATATATGGTAAGGGATTGATATAAAGAATATATAGAGAATTCCTAAAACTCAACCACAAAAAACAACCCAATTCAAAAATGGGCAATGGACTTGAATAGATATTTCTCCAAAGAAGATATACAAATGGACAATAAGCACATGAAAATATGCTCAATGCCACTAGTCATAAGGAAAATGCAAATCGAAACCACGAGATACTACTTCATACCCACTAGGATGGATACTATCCAAAAAATAAAAGGAAAAATGCAATTATTGGTGAGGATACAGAAAAAATAGAGTCCTTGTGCATTGCTGATGGGAATGTAAAATGGCACAGCCACTGTGGAAAACAACTTCGAAGTCGTTTAAAAAGTTAAATATAAAATTACCATATGATCCAACAATCCACTTTTAGGTTATACCCCAAAGAACTCGAAGCAGGAAATCAAACAGACAGTTGAATACCAATATTCATAGACAAATTATTAGCCAAAGCTAAAAGGTAGAAGCAACCCAGATGTCCATCAATGGATGACTAAACAAAATGTGCTATATCCATACAATAGAATATTTTTCAGCCTCAAAAAGGAATGAAGTTCTGATACATGCTGCAACATGGATGGACCCTGAAAACACTATGCTAAGTGACATAAGCCAGACACAAACACATACAAAAACAAATATTCTATGACTTCACTTACATGAGCTACCTAGAATAGGTAAATTCATAAAGACCAGAAAGTAGAATAGAGGGCTGCCAGGGGCTGCTGGGAGGGGAAAATGGAGAGTTATTTTGTTATGCTATGGAGTTTCTGTTTGGGATGATGAAAGAGTTCTGGAAATGGATAATGATGGTAGATGCACAACTTCTGATTGCTGATTACACTGTACACTTAAAATGGTTAAAATGGTAAATTTTATGTTATGTATATTTTACAAAAACCAAAACAAGCAAAAAATACCATGGGGCCAGAGGACGGACTGTTATATAAATGAACCACAGATAGCCTCTGTATATGGACCCTATGCTGGTTTTTTTTTTTTTTTTTTAATTATACTTTAAGTTTTAGGGTACATGTGCACATTGTGCAGGTTAGTTACATATGTATACATGTGCCATGCTGGTGCGCTACACCCACTAACTCGTCATCTAGCATTAGGTATATCTTCCAATGCTATCCCTTCCCCCTCCCCCGCCCCCAACACAGTCCCCAGAGTGTGATATTCCCCTTCCTGTGTCCACGTGATCTCATTGTTCAATTCCCACCTATGAGTGAGAATATGCGGTGTTTGGTTTTTTGTTCTTGCGATAGTTTACTGAGAATGATGATTTCCAATTTCATCCATGTCCCTACAAAGGACATGAACTCATCATTTTTTATGGCTGCATAATATTCCATGGTGTATATGTGCCACATTTTCTTAATCCAGTCTATCATTGTTGGACATTTGGCTTGGTTCCAAGTCTTTGCTATTGTGAATAATGCCGCAATAAACATACGTGTGCATGTGTCTTTATAGCAGCATGATTTATAGTCCTTTGGGTATATACCCAGTAATGGGATGGCTGGGTCAAATGGTATTTCTAGTTCTAGATCCCTGAGGAATCGCCACACTGACTTCCACAATGGTTGAACTAGTTTACAGTCCCACCAACAGTGTAAAAGTGTTCCTATTTCTCCACATCCTCTCCAGCACCTGTTGTTTCCTGACTTTTTAATGATTGCCATTCTAACTGGTGTGAGATAGTATCTCATAGTGGTTTTGATTTGCATTTCTCTGATGGCTAGTGATGATGAGCATTTTTTCATGTGTTTTTTGGCGGCATAAATGTCTTCTTTTGAGAAGTGTCTGTTCATGTCCTTCACCCACTTTTTGATGGGGTTGTTTGTTTTTTTCTTGTAAATTTGTTTGAGTTCATTGTAGATTCTGGATATTAGCCCTTTGTCAGATGAGTAGGTTGCGAAAATTTTCTCCCATTTTGTAGGTTGCCTGTTCACTCTGATGGTAGTTTCTTTTGCTGTGCAGAAGCTCTTTAGTTTAATTAGATCCCATTTGTCAATTTTGGCTTTTGTTGCCATTGCTTTTGGTGTTTTGGACATGAAGTCCTTGCCCATGCCTATGTCCTGAATGGTAATGCCTAGGTTTTCTTCTAGGGTTTTTATGGTTTTAGGTCTAACGTTTAAATCTTTACTCCATCTTGAATTGATTTTTGTATAAGGTGTAAGGAAAGGATCCAGTTTCAGCTTTCTACATATGACTAGACAGTTTCCCCAGCACCATTTATTAAATAGGGAATCCTTTCCCCATTGCTTGTTTTTCTCAGGTTTGTCAAAGATCAGATAGTTGTAGGTAGGCGGCGTTATTTCTGAGGGCTCTGTTCTGTTCCATTGATCTATATCTCTGTTTTGGTACCAGTACCATGCTGTTTTGGTTACTGTAGCCTTGTAGTATAGTTTGAAGTCAGGTAGTGTGATGCCTCCAGCTTTGTTCTTTTGGCTTAGGATTGACTTGGCGATGCGGGCTCTTTTTTGGTTCCATATGAACTTTAAAGTAGTTTTTTCCAATTCTGTGAAGAAAGTCATTGGTAGCTTGATGGGGATGGCATTGAATCTGTAAATTACCTTGGGCAGTATGGCCATTTTCACGATATTGATTCTTCCTACCCATGAGCGTGGAATGTTCTTCCATTTGTTTGTATCCTCTTTTATTTCCTTGAGCAGTGGTTTCTAGTTCTCCTTGAAGAGGTCCTTCACATCCCTTGTAAGTTGGATTCCTAGGTATTTTATTCTCTTTGAAGCAATTGTGAATGGGAGTTCACTCATGATTTGGCTCTCTGTCTGTTGTTGGTGTATAAGAATGCTTGTGATTTTTGTACATTGATTTTGTATCCTGAGACTTTGCTGAAGTTGCTTATCAGCTTAAGGAGATTTTGGGCTGAGACAATGGGGTTTTCTAGATATACAATCATGTCATCTGCAAACAGGGACAATTTGACTTCCTCTTTTCCTAATTGAATACCCTTTATTTCCTTCTCCTGTCTAATTGCCCTGGCCAGAACTTCCAACACTATGTTGAATAGGAGTGGTGAGAGAGGGCATCCCTGTCTGTTGCCAGTTTTCAAAGGGAATGCTTCCAGTTTTTGCCCATTCAGTATGATATTGGCTGTGGGTTTGTCATAGATAGCTCTTATTATTTTGAAATATGTCCCATCAATACCTAATTTATTGAGAGTTTTTAGCATGAAGGGTTGTTGAATTTTGTCAAAGGCTTTTTCTGCATCTATTGAGATAATCATGTGGTTTTTGTCTTTGGCTCTGTTTATATGCTGGATTACATTTATTGATTTGCGTATATTGAACCAGCCTTGCATCCCAGGGATGAAGCCCACTTGATCATGGTGGATAAGCTTTTTGATGTGCTGCTGGATTCGGTTTGCCAGTATTTTATCGAGGATTTTTGCATCAATGTTCATCAAGGATATTGGTCTAAAATTCTCTTTTTTGGTTGTGTCTCTGCCCGGCTTTGGTATCAGAATGATGCTGGCCTCATAAAATGAGTTAGGGAGGATTCCCTCTTTTTCTATTGATTGGAATAGTTTCAGAAGGAATGGTACCAGTTCCCCCTTGTACCTCTGGTAGAATTCGGCTGTGAATCCATCTGGTCCTGGACTCTTTTTGGTTGGTAAACTATTGATTATTGCCACAATTTCAGCTCCTGTTATTGGTCTATTCAGAGATTCAACTTCTTCCTGGTTTAGTCTTGGGAGAGTGTATGTGTCGAGGAATGTATCCATTTCTTCTAGATTTTCTAGTTTATTTGCGTAGAGGTGTTTGTAGTATTCTCTGATGGTAGTTTTTATTTCTGTGGGATTGGTGGTGATATCCCCTTTATCATTTTTTATTGTGTCTATTTGAGTCTTCTCTCTTTTTTTCTTTATTAGTCTTGCTAGCAGTCTATCAATTTTGTTGATCCTTTCAAAAAACCAGCTCCTGGATTCATTGATTTTTTGAAGGGTTTTTTGTGTCTCTATTTCCTTCAGTTCTGCTCTGATTTTAGTTATTTCTTGCCTTCTGCTAGCTTTTGAATGTGTTTGCTCTTGCTTTTCTAGTTCTTTTAATTGTGATGTTAGGGTGTCAATTTTGGATCTTTCCTGCTTTCTCTTGTGGGCATTTCGTGCTATAAATTTCCCTCTACACACTGCTTTGAATGCGTCCCAGAGATTCTGGTATGTTGTGTCTTTGTTCTCGTTGGTTTCAAAGAACATCTTTACTTCTGCCTTCATTTCGTTATGTACCCAGTAGTCATTCAGGAGCAGGTTGTTCAGTTTCCATGTAGTTGAGCGGCTTTGAGTGAGATTCTTAATCCTGAGTTCTAGTTTGATTGCACTGTGGTCTGAGAGATAGTTTGTTATAATTTCTGTTCTTTTACATTTGCTGAGGAGAGCTTTACTTCCAACTATGTGGTCAATTTTGGAATAGGTGTGGTGTGGTGCTGAAAAAAATGTATATTCTGTTGATTTGGGGTGGAGAGTTCTGTAGATGTCTATTAGGTCTGCTTGGTGCAGAGCTGAGTTCAATTCCTGGGTATCCTTGTGGACTTTCTGTCTCATTGATCTGTCTAATGTTGACAGTGGGGTGTTAAAGTCTCCCATTATTAATGTGTGGGAGTCTAAGTCTCTTTGTAGGTCACTCAGGACTTGCTTCATGAATCTTGGTGCTCCTGTATTGGGTGCACATATATTTAGGATAGTTAGCTCTTCTTGTTGAATTGATCCCTTTACCATTATGTAATGGCCTTGTCTCTTTTGATCTTTGTTGGTTTAAAGTCTGTTTTATCAGACACTAGCATTGCAAACCCTGCCTTTTTTTGTTTTCCATTTGCTTGGTAGAGCTTCCTCCATCCTTTTATTTTGAGCCTATGTGTGTCTCTGCACATGAGATGGGTTTCCTGAATACAGCACACTGATGGGTCTTGACTCTTTATCCAATTTGCCAGTCTGTGTCTTTTAATTGGAGAATTTAGTCCATTTACATTTAAAGTTAATATTGTTATGTGTGAATTTGATCCTGTCATTATGATGTTAGCTGGTGATTTTGCTCGTTAGTTGATGCAGTTTCTTCCTAGTCTCGATGGTCTTTACATTTTGGCATGATTTTGCAGCAGCTGGTACCGGTTGTTCCTTTCCATGTTTAGCGCTTCCTTCAGGAGCTCTTGTAGGGCAGGCCTGGTGGTGACAAAATCTCTCAGCATTTGCTTGTCTGTAAAGTATTTTATTTCTCCTTCACTTATGAAGCTTAGTTTGGCTGGATATGAAATTCTGGGTTGAAAATTCTTTCCTTTAAGAATGTTGAATATTGGCCTCCACTCTCTTGTGGCTTGTAGGGTTTCTGCCGAGAGATCCGCTGTTAGTCTGATGGGCTTCCCTTTGAGGGTAACCCGACCTTTCTCTCTGGCTGCCCTTAACATTTTTTCCTTCATTTCAACTTTGGTGAATCTGACAATTATGTGTCTTGGAGTTGCTCTTCTTGAGGAGTATCTTTGTGGCGTTCTCTGTATTTCCTGAATCTGAACGTTGGCCTGCCTTGCTAGATTGGGGAAGTTCTCCTGGATAATATCCTGCAGAGTGTTTGCCAACTTGGTTCCATTCTCCTCATCACTTTCAGGTACACCAATCAGACGTAGATTTGGTCTTTTCACATAGTCCCATATTTCTTGGAGGCTTTGCTCATTTCTTTTTATTCTTTTTTCTCTAAACTTCCCTTCTCACTTCATTTCATTCATTTCGTCTTCCATTGCTGATACCCTTTCTTCCAGTTGATCGCATCGGCTCCTGAGGCTTCTGCATTCTTCACGTAGTTCTCGAGCCTTGGTTTTCAGCTCCATCAGCTCCTTTAAGCACTTCTCTGTATTGGTTATTCTAGTTATACATTCTTCTAAATTTTTTTCAAAGTTTTTAACTTCTTTGCCTTTGGTTTGAATGTCCTCCCGTAGCTCAGAGTAATTTGATCATCTGAAGCCTTCTTCTCTCAGCTCGTCAAAGTCATTCTCCATCCAGCTTTGTTCCATTGCTGGTGAGGAACTGCGTTCCTTTGGAGGAGGAGAGGTGCTCTGCGTTTTAGAGTTTCCAGTTTTTCTGTTCTGTTTTTTCCCCATCTTTGCGGTTTTATCTACTTTTGGTCTTTGATGATGGTGATGTACAGATGGGTTTTCGGTGTGGATGTCCTTTCTGTTTGTTAGTTTTCCTTCTAACAGACAGGACCCTCTGTTGGAATACCCTGCCGTGTGAGGTGTCAGTGTGCCCCTGCTGGGTGGTGCCTCCCAGTTAGGCTGCTTGGGGGTCAGGGGTCAGGGACCCACTTGAGGAGGTAGTCTGCCGGTTCTCAGATCTCCAGCTGCGTGCTGGGAGACCCACTGCTCTCTTCAAAGCTGTCAGACAGGGACATTTAAGTCTGCAGAGGTTACTGCTGTCTTTTTGTTTGTCTGTGCCCTGCCCCCAGAGGTGGAGCCTACAGAGGCAGGCAGGCCTCCTTGAGCTGTGGTTGGCTCCACCCAGTTCGAGCTTTCTGGCTGCTTTGTTTACCTGAGCAAGCCTGGGCAATGGCGGGCGCCCCTCCCCCAGCCTCGCTGCTGCCTTGCAGTTTGATCTCAGACTGCTGTGCTAGCAATCAGCGAGATTCCGCGGGCGTAGGACCCTCCGAGCCAGGTGTGGGATATAGTCTCATGGTGCGCCGTTTTTTAAGCCGGTCTGAAAAGCGCAATATTCGGGTTGGAGTGACCCAATTTTCCAGGTGCGTCTGTCACCCCTTTCTTTGATTCGGAAAGGGAACTCCCCGACCCCTTGCGCTTCCCAGGTGAGGCAATGCCTCGCCCTGCTTCGGCTCGCGGACGGTGCGCACACCCACTGGCCTGCGCCCACTGTCTGGCACTCCCTAGTGAGATGAACCCGGTACCTCAGATGGAAATGCAGAAATCACCCGTCTTATGCGTCGCTCACGCTGGGAGCTGTAGACCGGAGCTGTTCCTATTCGGCCATCTTGGCTCCTCCCCTCGGACCCTATGCTGTTTACTTCTTCATTACAGGTTAGGAACCCATTAGCTGAAAAGCTTGATAGTACCAATCTGAAAATGTTACACAGCCAATTGTTTTAAATATAGCCCACATGAGTATATTTTTAGGCATTAGAGCCTGCCTGCTTTACATACACTGCAAAACTTCACAAAATATCTACTACCCATAGACAAGAAAAACTGTAGGGCAATAAAGACCCCAAGCTGCTGCTGGTCTTCAGAGTTCCCTGACCCACAGACTCCCTGCTGTGCTGCCTAGCAACATCATATATTAATAGACATGTCAGCTCCGTCTCCTTCATGAGTTCCTTAGCCCTCCTCCCCTTATGGGTTGTGCCCTCAGGCCTATACCAGAGAGTCTGGATGGCCTCGTGCTGTGAAGGATTTTCCCAGGTGCAAATCTGTCAAAGGATCACTTAAAGTTTGCTGTGCGTTAATGCCATCTCGTGATTCTTATCAGATGTAAAATCCTTCAAAGTCACTATAATCCCCACCAGGAAGGCAGGAAAAATTCAGCTTTTCAGTATCTTTGACAGCACTTTGTATTGTAACCATTTTTTTTTATTTTAGCCATTCTGATAAATGTGTAGTAGTATCTGATTGAGCATTTGCATTTACCAAATTGGCTAATGATGTTGAACATTTATCTTTTTTTTCTTTTAAGTTTTAATGTTTATTTCTCCAAGACAGCCTAGCTTGTACTCTATTTGGATAAATTTCATAAGCTAGTTTTCTGCTGTTACTAGTTTTAAACTTTATATTTCTGATGACAAGACACACTGCAAAAATACTCTAGTTCAACAGAGTTATGTTCACAAAACAATTTTTATCCATTCTACAGTGTTTCAGAATTACTAGTTGATTTTTAAACACAAAGTAGATATAGAGGCTATTGGTGGTTAACGTGATATATTTCTTATAGCAAACTGTGGTTCACACAATACTTGTGCTCAAAGGGGAAGGCACATGATTTCCTAAAATGAGCCACCTTATAAAGAGTTCTTACTGTATAAATTACATCACATTTACTGTACATAACCTCAAAACTGAGGTATTATTCAATTTACAAAAACTACTTTATCAGTCTTTATGAAGCAGTACATATGTGCCAAATTCCATTTTAGAAGTTTCCACATCATTTTCATATAAAACAAAGTTTGAAAACAAGTAACATTTAAATACAGCATGGTATTCTAACACAACTGAAACTTTTTTCTTCTTCTTCTCTACAGGACCCAACAAAATCTGAAAATGAACTATGCTGTAAATTTACCTCATGCAAAGATCTTTATGTTCTCTCTGAAAGTGAAAAGCATGGCCTTTTAAGCACATTTTACTGTTTTATACTATTATGGCAACTTGTGTACTGCAGCACAGTCTGTTTTGAGAAAAAGTTATGATTTTTTTCATGCAAAAATCTACACAAATTAGCTTTGATAAGGAAAGACATTCATAGCATCAAACATTCATTCAGTGCAAATGCACAGGGAAACCTTCCTGAAATGTTTTCTGACTTGAGAGTCAACTAAAAAGAAAGCCATACTAGGTAAATAAAAACTTACAGGGGCGGGGAGGAAAAGGGGTAAGGGGAAATAGAAAACATAAGTTGCAGAGTAAACAAATGTCTGCTGCTGATCCAGTATTTGTTTTTATGTCCAGTGTACATTAACACTCAGGATCTCATTTTGATGATTTACTAGGCTATCAGCCACCTGAAGGCAAATCAAGCTTGCATGTGTTCACATACAGCACCACTACCACACTCCTGTACATAGTCACTCCAGGACTAGGAGTCTAATTCATGAATGAGAGCCCTAGATTTTAAAGATGATACTGACTGTCCATCACTGAGCCAGACATTCATTCAACATTTTCCATTTGGACACTGCTTCATAGCAAGGCCTAGGCTCATTTTCCTTTTACTTATGTGGGCATCCAATTCTCTTTTACGGTTACAAGCCTTGAAGATAATAGTACTACACTTTCCCCTCAGTTTATATAGAGTAAGTCAATGTTCTTTCTCAGGCACTGAAGATCTGTGACCTGTAGCCCTTTTTACTATGAACAGCCTAAATAAGCATTCATGTAAAGTTTTCATTACATTTTGCCACTCATTCTCACTCATACCCATTCACCATCTTGACCACATTTGGGCATTTTCTGTGATTCCAAATGAAATCTTCACATTTTCTTTCCCAATTTAATGCAGAAGCAGATCCCATGAGCTAAGCTTGATGGATCAAACATTTATATATATATATATATATATATATATATATATATATATATATATATACACATACATATATATATACACATATACACACATATATGTATAAACATATATATATGTATATACATATATATGTATATACATATATACGTATGTATGTATGTATATAAATTGTACCTAACTTCCACAATACTGTTCTAAAACTGGAACTGTTCTATTGGTATACTGGCAGATAAATTGAAACCAAATGTTCCACCTTGAATTGCCTCTGGATCAAGGCTAAGATCTTCATCAATATCATTTGAAGAGAACTGAGCAATCATCTCATAGGCTAATTTGTAGATGTCTCCATTTTTATGATTTTGAAGTTGTTCAATTTTCTCCAGTCCTCCACATTTTTCTATAAGATTGGCTATGGATTCTGCCTCATTTTTAGCCATTTTTAATATATTAATTCATCCAGTACTACTTGTACAACTTGTGCATCTTTTACAGTCAGCTTCTGAGTGCCAATATCCCCCTTATCCAAAAGGTTTATTATTCTTGGTACAATATTGGCATCTATTACTGCCTGTATCTGCAGCTGATTACCTGCAGTGATGTTACAGAGAAACCATACTGCCTCTTTATTAATTTTCTCTTTGGGATGTGTCAGGATTGCCCACAAGTATGAAAGAGCATCATAATTCACAACTACTTCTGTTTGCTCTTCAATTCCAGTAGCCATGTTGCTCACAGCTTGAGGTGCAGCAGTCTGAACCACCCGGCGGCTGAGAAGAGGAACCAAATGAGGAACTATTCCAGAGTCTACTACCATCTGTATTTGTTCATTGCCAGCACCAGTAAGGTAAGAGAGGGCCCAGTCTGTATCTACTAATATATTTACAAATGTATGATGAATTAGAACACAAAGAGCTGAAAGCATTTCCTGTATGGTTTCCATTGGTGGTGGTGGCTCTTTGTGGTGACATAAATTGGCCATAACCCAGGCTGGGCATGGTGGCTCACACTTGGAATGCTAGCACTTTGGGAGGCTGAGGCAGGAGGATTCTTGAGTCCAGGAGTTAGAGACCAGCCTAGGCAACATGGTGAGACCCTGTCTCTACAAACAATTTAAACATTTAGCTGGGTGTGGTGGCACGCACTTGTGGTTCCAGCTACTCGGGAGGCTAAGGCAGGATGATTTCTTGAGCTCCAGAGGTTGAGGGTGCAGTTAGCTGTGTTTGCGCCACTGCATTCCAGCCTGGGTGAGCCCCTATCACAGAAAAAAAAAATGTTTTGAAGTAAAATAAAGGTTTCACAACTCCAAGACTTATGACATAATCTCTACATCGGGAGGACCATCACTTATGATAGTTCTCAATGCCCACACTGCTTGCTCACAAACATTCTGATGAAGTGAATGGAGGAGCCTCAGGAAATGTGGCACAGCATTGGACTGAACTACTGTTTGAGCTTGTTCAGAGGTTCTAGATGCAGTGTTTGTCAAAGCCCATGCAGCTTCTAACTGTAAAGCATTGTCATCTCTTTCAAGACAATAGACTAGAACAGGTAGTATTCCAGATTTTATTTTTATAAATTGGTAGACTTCGATCACTGGACAAAGCTTCCTAGCAGCCCGAACTGCATTTAATTGAATTTCTTAGTTATCACTTGAAGCATTTTGAATAATAGCTACTAGAGAGGTATTTTACACTCCATAATCATCATTTGTATCAGTCTTCACAGGTATCTTCATTCAGTACGTTCCTTCTCTTTAAGAGATGTTCATCTCTTTTATTCTTCCTTAATTCAACTACAACTTCATTTTGCTGTCTTCTCATAATCCCCAAGTTGTGGACTTTGTTCTCAAAATTCTTGAGCCATTGGCTGTCTAGTTTTTCATTGTCCACTATGAACGAGCTGATGACTCCTTCCCCTACCCAGGCCCCACAGGATCTGCCCCAACCACCATGCCACACCGACACTCCCAGGAACCAGGCTGCCTGTGCTGCTATGCCGGCTGTGCCACTGCTTCCTTCCTCCTCCTCAACTGCCTCAGCTGAGGCCTTCTCCTCTCCCTGTACAACTCCCTTCCTCAACCCCAGCATGAGAGCAGATCAGGTGGAGACAACTACGGGAGCGGAATGGCAGCAACGGTGGCGGAATGTAATGCATGCTGAGAGTGAGATGGCCTCAATCTCTGCACACCTTTTCATGTGCTTATTTTCCATCTGTTATATTTTCTTCAGTGAAATGTTTATGTCTTTTGCCTATTTTTAACTAGGCTTGCTTTTACTATTACGTGTTAAGAGTTCTTGATATATTCTAGATACTAGTTTGTTACTGGATACGTTATTTGTAGTATTTTCTCCCAGTCTGTAGCTCTGTAGCTTCTGTAGAGGAAAAGTTTTTAATTTTATTGAGGTCTAATATATCAACTTTTCCTGTTATGAATCATACTTTTAGTATCAAGTGACTTACCTGAAATTTTTCTAAGTTTTCTTCTAAAAGATTTATAGTTTGAGCATTTTACATTTAAATTTATGATCCATTTTGTATAAAGTATGAGGTGTAGGTGAAGGTTAATTTTGAGCGGAGAGGGCAATGGATTGTTCAGCATCATTTGTTGAAAAGACTATCCTTCCCCCATTTAATTACTTCTGTAATAATTTAGGCGTATCTGTGCAGGTCGGCTTTTGGGTTCTCTATTCTCTTCTATTGAGTTTCGTATCTATCCCTCTACCACTGCCGCACAGACTTGATTACCATAGCCATATAAATGTCTTGAAATTGAGTATAATGGTTCCTCCCACCTTATACTTCTTTGTCAAATTGTCTTAGCTATTCTACCTCCGCTGACTTTACATACACATTTTAGAATAATGTTGACTACATCTCCAAAAAAAATCTGCCTGCGATTTTCATAGGAAATGTATTGTAATTGCATACCAATTTGGGAAGGGCTGACATTTTTACTGTGTTGATTTTGACAATCCACGAACATGCAATGTGCCTCTCCATTCATTTAGATCTTTAATTTCTTTATCAGCATTTTCTAATTGTCAGCAGATCTTATACATGTTTTGCTACATTTGCATTTACGTATTTATTTGAATGATTATGAATGATATATTTTTTATTTCAATGTCTGTATGTTCATTGCTAGTATATGAAGCACAAGTGATTTATGTATGTTGATATTGTGTCCTATGATTGCGTTGAAGTCACCTATGTTGATGGGTGCAGCACACCAACATGGCACATGTATACATATGTAACAAACCTGCACATTGTGCACATGTGCCCTAAAACTTAAAGTATAATAATAATAATAAAAATAAAAAGAGAATTAGCTAAGAATTCAAAAAAACTTTTGACGAAGCATAATACTTTTTTTTTTATTATTATTTTTTGAGACAGAGTCTCACGCCATTCTCCTGTCTCAGCCTCCAGAGCAGCTGGGACTACAGGTGCCTGCCATCACGGCTGGCTATTTTTTTTTTTTTTTTTTTTTTGTATTTTTAGTAGAGACGGGGTTTCACTGTGTTAGCCAGGAGGGTCTCGATCTCCTGACCTCGTGATCCACTGGACTCGGCCTCCCAAAGTGCTGGGATTACAGGCATGAGCCACTGTGCCCAGCTGACAGGGCATAATACTTTTTATGATTTATTTTTTAGTTTTTTGGCTTTCCTATTTATAATTCAGAATATAGTATCATCTATTATAGTTATACCTATATTTTTCTGACAATATTTCCTAATTTTTTATTTTCCAATTTTATAAACAATATTTTCATTTGATTCCAGTCTATAAACTATTTCTACATAACGATTAATAATACCATTTCTATAAATGTCATGTGCTGTATACGTGGCATGGCGTATACAGATAGTTTTGTGTTTTATGTTTTGTTATATAACCTATATTGAGTTAAATTTTGTGGAGTGTGTAAGCTCTGTGTCTAGATTCAATTTTTTTCTTTTTTAATATGTGGATGTTGAGTTGTTCTGGCACCATTGGTTAAAAAGACTTTCCTTTCTCTGTTGAATTGTCTTTGTTCCTTTGTCAAAGCTGAGTTGATTATATTTCTGTGGGTCAATTTCTGGGCTCTCCATTCTGTTCCATTGATCTATTTGTACTTGTTGTTTGTTTGTTTCCAATAACACCCTGTCTTAATTATTGTAGCTTTGCAGTAAGTGTTAAAGTCAGGTAGTTTCAGTTCTCCAACTTTGTTATTCTGATTCAATATTGTGTTGGCTATTCTGAGTCTTTGGTGTCTCTATATAAACTTTACAATCAGCCTGTCAGTATTCACAAAGTAACTTACTAAGATTTTGATTGAGATTTTATTGGATCTATAAAGTTGGGAAGAACTGACAGATTGGCAATATTGAATCTTTCTATCCATGAGCATAGAATATCTCTTCATTTATTTAGTTCTTTGATTTCATCAGATTTTTATAGTTTTCCTTGTGTTGATCTTGCATATATTTCGTTAGATTTATAGCTAAGTATGCCATTTTTTGTGTGCTAATGTAAATGGTATTGTGTTTTTAATCTGAAATTCCACTTGTTCATTGCTAGTATGTTGGAAAGCAATTGATTTGTGTATATTATATTAAACTTGTAAATGCAAAAAAAAACAGTTGTTCTCTGGTTTTCTAGATTCGTTGGGATTTTTTCTACATAAACAATCATGTCATCTGCAAATAGAGACAGTTTTATTTCTCCCTTTCCAATCTGTAGGTCTTTCATTTATTTTTCTTGCCTTAATTCTATGGCTAGGACTTCCAATACTAGTTAAGATTTTGAAGTCACAAATTATGAATTAAATTACTGTCAAACCTTGGAGATAATGTAGGTTCAGTTCCAGGCCACTGCAATAAAGCAATTGTCACAGTAAAGTGAGTATCACAATAAAGCCAGTCACACAATTTTTTGGCATGTAATTATGTTTACAATATACTGTAGTCTATTAAGTATGCAACAACATTATATCTAAAAACTGTATATATCTTAATTAAAAATACTTTATTACTAAAAAATGCCAGCAATCGTTTGAGCTTTCAGCAGGTAGTAATCTTTTTGCTGGTGGGAAGTCTTGCCTCGACGTTGATGGCTGCTGACTGCTCAGGGTACTGGTGGTTGAAGGTTGGAGTGGCTGTGGTAATGTCTTAAAATATGACAACAATGAAGTGTGCCACATCGATGTACTCATCCTTTCATGAAAGATTCCTCTGTAGCATGTGATGCTATTTCAGGCATTTTACCCACAGCAGAACTTCCTTCAAAACTGGAGACGATCCTCTGAAACCGTGACACTGCTTTTTCAACTAAGTTTATATAATATTATAAATCCTTTGCTATCATTTCGACAATGTTCACAGCATCTTTACTAGGAGTAAATTCCATCAAATAAATCACTTTCTTTGCTCATCCATAAGAAGCAACTCCTCATCCATTCAAGTTTTATCATGAGATTGCAGCAATTCAGTCACATCTTCAGGAACCACTTCTATTTATATTTCTCTTGGTATTTCACCATATCTGCCGTTATATCCTCCACTGAAGTCTTGAACTCATCAAAATCATCCATGAGAGTTGGCATCAACTCTTTCCAAACTTCTGTTAATGTTGATATTCTGACCTCCTCCCATAAATCATGAATATTCTTTTTTTTAGAAAAATTATACTTTAAGTTTTAGGGTACAAGTGCACAATGTGCAGGTTTGACACATAGGTATACATGTGTCATGTTGGTTTGCTGCACCCATCAACTCGTCATTTACATAAGGTATTTCTCCTAATGCTATCCGTCCCCTAGCCCCTCACCCCCCAACAGGCCCCAGTGTGTGATGTTCCTTACCCTGTGTCCAAGTGTTCTCATTGTTCAATTCCCACCTATGAGTGACAACATGCGGTATTTGGTTTTCTGTTTTTGTGATAGTTTGCTGAGAACGACGGTTTCCAGCTTCATCCATGTCCCTGCAAAGGACATAAACTCATCCTTTATTATGGCTGCATAGTATTCCATGGTGTATATGTGCCACATTTCCTTAATCCAGTCTATCATTGATAAACATTTGGGCTGGTTCCAAGTCTTTGCTATTGTGAATAGTGCCACAATATACATACGTGTGCATGTGTCTTTATAGTAGCATGATTTATAATCCTTTCGGTATATACCCAGTAATGGGATTGCTGGGTCAAATGGTATTTCTAGTTCTAGATCCTTGAGGAATCACCACACTGTCTTCCACAATGGTTGAACTAATTTACACTCCCACCAACAGTGTAAAAGCATTCCTATTTCTCCACATCCTCCCCAGCATCTGTTGTATCCTGACTTTTTAATGTTCGCCATTCTAATTGGTGTGAGATGGTATCTCACTGTGGTTTTGATTTGCATTTCTCTGATGACCAGTGATGACGAGCATTTTTTCATGTCTGTTGGCTGCATAAATGTCTTCTTTTGAGACGTGTCTGTTCACATGCTTTGCCCACTTTTTGATGGGGTTTTTTTTTCTTGTAAATTTGTTTAAATTATTTGTAGATTCTGGATATTAGCCCTTTGTCAGATGGGTAGATTGCAAAAATTTTCTCCCATTCTGTAGGTTGCCTGTTCACTCTGATGATAGTTTCTTTTGCCATGCAGAAGCCCTTTAGTTTAATTAGATCCCATTTGTCTATTTTGGCTTTTGTTGCCATTGCTTTTGGTGTTTTAGTCATGAAGTCCTTGCCTATGCCTATGTCCTGAATAGTACTGCCTAGGTTTTCTTCTAGGGTTTTTATGGTTTTAGTTCTAACATTTAAGTCTTTAATCCATCTGGAATTAATTTTTGTATAAGGTGTAAGGAAGGGATCCAGTTTCAGCTTTCTACATATGGCTAGCCAGTTTTCCCAGCACCATTTATTAAATAGGGAATCCTTTCCCCATTGCTTTTTTTTTTTTTTTTTGGCAGGTTTGTCAAAGATCAGATGGTTCTAGATGTGTGGTGTTATTTCTGAGGGCTCAGTTCGGTTCCATTGGTTTATATATCTGCTTTGGTACCAGCACGATGCTGTTTTGGTTACTGTAGCCTTGTAGAATAGTTTGAAGTCAGGTAGCGTGATGCCTCCAGCTTTGTTCTTTTTGCTTAGGATTGTCTTGGCAATGCAGGCTCTTTTTTGGTTCCATATGAACTTTAAAGCAGTTTTTTCCAATTCTGTGAAGGAAGTCATTGGTAGTCTGATGGGGATGGCATTGAATCTATAAATTACCTTGGGCAGTATGGCCATTTTCACTATATTGATTCTTCCTACCCATGAGCATGGAATGTTATTCCATTTGTTTGTTCCTCTTTTATTTCGTTGAGCAGTGGTTTTTAGTTGTTCTTGAAGAGGTCCTTCACATCCCTTGTAAGCTGGATTCCTAGGTATTTTATTCTCTTTGTAGCAATTTTGAATGGGAATTCACTCATGATTTGGCTCTCTGTTTGTTTGTTATTGGTGTATAGGAATCCGTGTGATTTCTGCACATTGATTTTGCATCCTGAGACTTTGCTGAAGTTGCTTATCAGCTTAAGGAGCATTCCCTTTGAAAACCAGCACAAGACACGGATGCCCTCTCTCACCACTCCCATTCAACATAGTGTTGGAAGTTCTGGCCAGGGCAATCAGGCAAGAGAAAGAAATAAAGGATATTCAATTAGGAAAAGAGGAAGTCAAATTGTCCCTGTTTGCACATGACATGATTGTATATTTAGAAAACCCCATTGTCTCCGCCCAAAATCATGAATATTCTTAATGGCATCTAGAATAGTGAATTGTTCCCAGAAATTTATTTACTTGGCCCATGTACATTGGAGCAATTACAATCTATGGCAGCTATGGCCATACAAAGTGTATTTCCTAAATAATAAGACCTGAAAGTCAAAGTTACTACTTGATCCATGGGCTGCAGAATGGATATTATGTTAGCGGCCATGAAAACATTCATCTGCATGCAGATCTCCATAAGAGCTCCTAGATTACTTGGTGTACTGTTATTGAGCAGTAATACTCTGAAAGAAACCTTTTCTTCTGCACAGTGCACCTCAACAGTGACCTTAAAATATTTAGTAAACCATGCTGTGAGCAGACATGCTATCATCTAGGCTTTTTTGTTCTATTTATAGAGCACAGGCAGAATAGATTTATTATAATTGTTAAGGGCCCTAGGATTTTTGGAATGATAAATGAGCACTGGCTTCATCTGAATGTCACCAGCTGCATTAAACCCTAACAAAAGTTAGGCTGTCCTTTGGAAATTTGAAGCCAGACACTGACTTCTTCTTTCTAATTATGAAAGTACTAGGTAGCAGCTTCTTCCAATAGAAAGCTGCTTCATCTATATTGAAAAATCTGTCCTTCAGTGTGGCCATCTTCACCAATTATCTTAGCTAGATCTTCTAGATAACTTGTGCAGCTTCTACATCAGTACTTGTTGCTTCACCTTGCACTTTTGTGTTATGGAGATGACTCCTTTCCATAAAACTCATGAACCAAGCTCAGGTAGCTTCCAACTTTTCTCCTGCAGCTTCCTCACTTTTCTCAGCCTTCAAAGAATTGAAGACAGTTAGGAACTTTTATCAACAATAGGACTGTTTTGCTTTCTTATCGTTTGTGTTTTCACTAGAGTAGCACTTTTAATTTCCTTCAAGAACTTTTCCTTCACATTCACAACTTGGGCTGTTTGGTGCAAGAGCCCTAGCTTTTGTCCTTTCTCAGCTTTTGACGTGTCTTCCTTGCTAAGCTTAATGATTTCAAGCTTTTGATTTAAAGTGAGAAACATGTGACTCTTCGTTTCACTTGAACACTTAAAGGCCATTGCATGGTTATTAGTTGGCCTAATTTCAATATTGTTGTGTCTTGAATCCAGAAGACTGAAAAGATGGAGCAATTATCTTCATTTCTTTCCATATTCTGCATTCTAGTTCTGTGATTTCAGCCATCTTAGCCTGGTTAAGAACCCTTGTTGAAGAACTAGTACTGTCATTTGGAGGAAAGAAGACACTCTGGCTTTTCAAGCTGTCATAGTTCTTGCACTCATTTTTATCAGCTGATGTTTCTTCAATCTTTGAAGTCACTGTCCTTTGGATGTTTTTAAATTTTATTCTATTTGAGGACCTTGGGGTTTGATTGTGGCAAAAGGTGGGTTCAGTTGACTGGGTTCATTTCTGGAAGATTTTAGGAGGCCAAGCCTCAGCTCAGGACTCCGGAACTCCATGTGCTAACTCTGGATGACTGCTATCAAGCCTCTGCTTTGTTCTTTGGCTCCTTGAAATTATGAACCTGCTGTGCTAGAAGGGCCGAGGTGCTCACAGACCGCTGGTCACTACACTCTAATGAGTGGTAACAGCTAAAGTGTTTCATAGGGTGATGGTAGTGGGATTCATCTTTGTTTGCATGTGTCAGCAGTGGTGGCAGTGGCAGCACAGCGGGGTGCATGCTTGTTTGCTGCAGCAGGGTGCTAGGAGGTGCCAGCATGCCTGCCTCCATGCAGGCATTCACAGTAGTGGCGGTGGAGGCTCAGGAGGGCAGAGGCCTGACTGGTGACTGTGTGTGTGGTCCTGCTAGTGGTGTTAGCATGGGGGTAGGGCACTGGTGGGTGCAGGACTGTGTCCACCCTCTGTGCATGTTTATGCAGGCTCAGGGCAGGGGAGGGTCTGCTAGTCTCTGTGCCTAGTTTCACTTGCAGGGGCGGAACTGCCTGGCTTTGTGCCTGCCAAGGCTCCAACTGCAATGGCGGTACAGCAGCGGTGGAGGGTAGAGAGTTGTAGTGAACTGCTGCTGGCAGCAGTGGCACAGCATGGTTCAGTGCATATATGTGCTGGCCAGGCAGGGAAGAAGGCAAGATTGGCCCCACGTACACATGTGCGGTCAAGGCAATGTGGGAAGTGGCCCTGGGCCCACAGGAAGCTGTATTGTGGGTATCGAGTGGGTGGGATGGTACGTGACCTCGGGGGCCACCCTGCTATAGCTCATCAGCAGTCAGGTGCAGTCCACCAGCTCAGAAGCTATGATGCAGACCCCCAGGGTACCAAGACTGCACTGCAAACCAATGTGGCCAGGCTGGGGCCCTAAGAGAGGCCAGAAGACCAAGGGGTGCACAGATCAGACTGGCCTGAGTGATGGACAAGACCACCCTGCAGAGTTCAGGCCCACTAGTTCCCCTAAGACTAAAGTCTACTATGACAGCAAGTCGAGTTAGGGGGATGGGCATCCCTGGCTCTGCTCCAATACAGATGTTCCTGCACCAAGCCCTCTGTGCTCCACAACTGGCTGGCATGCTGCCCCTAACACTTCTCTAAACTTCTCTCCCTGCCAACTCAAGTGTCCATCATGGTCTGGGGGTCTTCTCCTGCCAGGATTCCAGAGGCCCATGGCAAGAGAGGGTTGCTCCTTGCCAGTTCAACTCACCCATTCCCCCATTGTTGTTAGGAGCCAGTAACAAGTCCCAGGCATGGTGGCCCCGTGCAGGGTCCCCAGCTTCCTCCAACTTCAGCCCAGCTTCTGTGTCTTCCCTCTGCCTACTCTCAGTGCCTTCCCTCTGCCCACTCTCAGTGCCTTCCCTCTGAAGATCTTCTAGGAGTGCACTAGTTGTCCCAGTTCCCTTGGTGGCAGCTGTTCCACCTGGCTGTGTCATCAGCCATCTTGCCCAAATAAATTTCTTCTGAAGTCTATTTAATCTGATACTATGTGATATGGCCTCTGCTGCTTCCATTTATGTTTTCATAATGCTTCTCTTTCCATCCTTTTTTTTTTACTTTCAACTTGTCTATTTCATTATAATTGAAGTGCAATTATTGTAGACAGCATATATTTTTTATCCACTCTGCTAATTTTTTTCATTTAATTGGTGTATTAAGATCATTTACATTTAAGATAATTATATATGTTAGAGCTTAATTCCCCATGTTATTGTTTTTGTTTGTTCAATCTGTCATTTCTGTTTTCTTGTCATGCCTTCCTGTGGGTTACTTTTTTACAATTTCATTTTGATTAATCTAAAGTGTTTTTGAGTGTATCTCCTTGTATAGGTCTTTCAGTGGTTTCTCTAGGCAGTATATTATATGTGTGCCTATACATACTCTCTCTGTGTGTCCGTGTATCATCGTGTAGTGGTGTCAGCATTTTATAAGTTTGAATGAAGTCTACAAATCCTCCTTCCTTTTACATCCCTTTTCCCTCCCCTATTTATAATATAATTATCTTAAACATTTCCTCTCTATACATTTAGAATCATATCAGATAGCGTTATAATTTTTGCTTCCACTGTCATACATTTGAGACAATTCAAGAGGAGATGAAAAGTCTATTGTATTTATACATATTTCTATTCTTTCCATTCTTCTTTCTTCTTTTCTGATGTTCCAAGATTCCTTCTTTTATCATTGCCATTCTCTTTAGAGAACTTCCTTAAGTCTTCCTTTTAAGGTAGGTCTGCTGGTGACAAACACGTTTTATTTCATCTGAGAATATCATCATTTCTCCTTCATTCCTAAAGAATATTTTTGGGCCAGATGCAGTGGCTCACACCTGTAATACCAGTACTTTGGGAGCCCAAGGTGGGCAAATCACTTAAGCTCAGGAGTTCAAGACCAGCCTGGAGAATGTGGCAAAACCCCAACTCTGCAGAAAATACAAAAATTAGGTGGGCATGATTGGTGCATGCCTGTTGTCCCAGCTACTCAGGAGGCTGAGGCAGGAGGATCATTTGAGCCTGGGAGGTCAAGGCTGCAGTGAGCCATGATTGCACCAATGCACACCAGCCTGGGTGACAGAGCAAGGCCCAGTCTCAAAAAAAGACTATTTTCACCATTTATAAGATTTCGCATTGATATATTTTTTTTGGCACTTAAAAATGTGCAACTTCCTTCTGGCTTCCATGATTTCTGATGAGAAATCCACTGTCATTTAAACTGTTTTTCCCCTATAAGTAAGGTGTAATTTCTCTCCTGCTGCTTTCAATAGTTTGTTAGGCCAGGTGCAGTGGCTCACGGCTGTAATCATAGCACTTTGGGAGGTCAAGGAAGGTGGATCACTTGAGGTGAGGAGTTCGAGACCAGCCTGGCCAACATAGCAAAATCCCGTCTCTACTAAAAAGACAAAAAGTTAGCCAGGCGTGGTGATGTGTGCCTGTAGTCCCAGCTACTCGGGAGGCTGAGGTGGGAGGATCACTTGAACTTGGGAGACAGAGGTTGCAGTGAGCCGAGATCATGCCACTGCACTCCAGACTGGATGACAGAGCGAGACTGTGTCTCAAAAAAAAAAAAAAAAAAGAATATTTTAGTTTTCACAAATTTTGCTATGATGTATTTTCATGTAACTTTATTTGGGGTTTATCCTGTTTGATGTTCACTCAGCTTCTCGAATCTATACGTATAAGCCTTTTGCCATACTGGAATATTATCAGCCATTATTTATTTGAGTGCTTTTTGAGGTTTTCCATCTTTCCTCTTTCCTTCCAAGTTTCCAATTATACAAGTGTTAGAACTTTCATTATTGTCCCACAGACCCCTGTGACTCTGTTTATTTATTTTTTTCGTCAGTTTTCTCCCAGACTGGGTACTTTCTATTTTTATATCTCAAGCTCATGTATTCTTTCCTCTTTCCCTTCCACTCTGCTGTTGAGCTGATCCATTTAGTTTTCTTCATTTCTATATTATTCATTTGAATAATTTTCATTTGGTTCTCCTTTATATCTTGAATTTCTTTGCTGAGACTTTTTTCATTTGTTTCAATCAGGTTTGCAATTGTTTCTTGAGGCATCGTAATGATGGCATCCATTGACTGCCTTTTTTCAGTTGTTAGTTTCCTTGTTCTTGGTCTGATGGCTGATTTTCAACTAAAACCTAAATATTTAGGTAATTTTGTGAAGAGACTCTGGATTGCATTTAGATCTGCTGTTTTAGCAGGCTTACTATAAAACTGTTTTGGCAGGGGATAATAAAGAAGGAGGAGTGCCTCCTCATTATTGCCAGGTGGGAATGTAAGTCAAGGTTCTCCATTTAGTTTCCACTGACACTTGAGTTGGGGAGGTGCCCCATAGTACTACTGGGTAGAAGTGGGGATTCAGGCCCCCCACTCAGTCTATGTTAATAACACCCTAGCTGCATTGGATAAAAGTGGCTCATTGCTTTTCCCCATGTGACCTCCAATGACAACACAGGGCATGGACACATTAATGCTAGGTGAAAGTCCAGACTCTCCACTAGCCTTCCTCTGATCATATCCAAGTGGGGAGGGGAAGAGTTACCTTATTACCACTTAGTGGAAGTCCAGACTTTCCATATGGTCTCCACTGACACCTCAGGAACAGAAGTGTCTTTTAGGGATTTAAATTCCAACTCCCCACTTGGCTTTTTCTGACACCACCCTGGCAGGGGGCCATTTGGGTATTTTGTGATAGCTTGATGAGGCCAGAAATCTAGACTCCTGACATGGCCTTTTCTGGCTAAGTAGAGCCATAGTGTTTTCTGTAGTATTTGACATAGAGCAGTTATTTTCTCAAGTTTTCTGTGTTACTAGGCTCTTTTCTGGTCCTTTGGCTAGAAAGAGATGGCTTCTATTTGTGGCTTTTTTTTCTGTTCCCGTGTTATGTATGGGTTGCCAGCTTCTTCAGCTCCAAGTCTGGGTTATATGAGGCAAAAAGAAAACCCATGAAACTCACAATCGTGTTGTTCCTTAGGTCCTGTGGACCCTAGTCAATCTGCCTTCTACTCTGAATTTTTCATGATGGGTTAATATTTGTTTCATAATGTCCATGGGCTTTAGTTTTACTTAGTGGGGGGAGTAGGAAAAATATGTTGACTCCATCTTCCCCTAAAACTAGTTTGTTTGGTTTGGTTTGGTTTTTTGTTTTTTTTTTTTTTTTTGAGATGGAGTCTCCCTCTGTCGCCCAGGCTGGAGTACAGTGGTGCAATCTTGGCTTACTGCAACCTCCACCTCCAGGGTTCAAGCAATTCTCCAGTCTCAGCCTCCCAAGTAGCTGGGGTTATTTTTGTATTTTTAGTAGAGACGGGATTTCACCATACTGGTCAGGCTGGTCTCGAACTCCCAACCTCAGGTGATCCACCCGCCTTGGCCTTCCAAAGTGCTGGGATTACAGGCATTAGCCACCACGCTCAGCCTAAATCTGGTTTTTATATCTTAAGGAAATGCAGAATTTCTGGCACTACAGTTGTCAATAAGTACATGTAAACTACCTTCGCTTCACTGAGAAGTTCCCATTTGAAATACTCAAAGCTAAAAAGAATAATTGGTGGCAATGAAAAATACCTATCATTGGTGATATCACCAAAAATGGTGGAGTAGGGAACTCCGTACCTCCATGAAAGCAATAACTAAGCAGGAAGAAACTATAAGAATAAACATTTTCAAATTCTAGAATCTAATTTAAATAAACTTACACCAACTACAAAAACCAGGGAAATGCTTAGTTAAAAAAAGAGACTACTTTGTCAGATGAGTAGATTGCAAAAATTTTCTCCCATTCTGTATGTTGCCTGTTCACTCTGATGGTAGTTTCTTCTGCTGTGCAGAAACTCTTTAGTTTAATTAGATCCCATTTGTCAATTTTGGCTTTTGTGGACATTGCACTTGGTGTTTTAGATATGAAGTCCTTGCCCATGCCTATGTCCTGAATGGTATTGCCTAGGTTTTCTTCTAGGGTTTTTATGGTTTTAGGTCTAACATTTAAGTCTTTAATCCATTTTGAATTAATTTTTGTATAAGGTGTAAGGAAGGGATCCAGTTTCAGCTTTCTACATATGGCTAGCCAGTTTTCCCAGCACCATTTATTAAATAGGGAATCCTTTCCCCATTGCTTTTTTTTGTCAGGTTTGTCAAAAATCAGATAGTTGTAGATATGTGGCATTATTTCTGAGGGCTCTGTTCTGTTCCATTGGTCTATATCTCTGTTTTGGTACCAGTACCATGCTGTTTTGGTTACTGTAGCCTTGTAATATAGTTTGAAGTCAGGTAGCGTGATGCCTCCAGCTTTGTTCTTTTGGCTTGGGATTGACTCGGTGATGCGGGCTCTTTTTTGGTTCCATATGAACTTTAAAGTAGTTTTTTCCAATTCTGTGAAGTAACTTATTGGTAGCTTGATGGGGATGGCATTGAATCTATAAATTACCTTGGGCAGTATGGCCATTTTCACGATATTGATTCTTGCTATCCATGAGCATGGAATGTTCTTCCATTTGTTTGTATCCTCTTTTATTTCGTTGAGCAGTGGTTTGTAGTTCTCCTTGAAGAGGTCCTTCACATCCCTTGTAAGTTGGATTCCTAGGTATTTTATTCTCTTTGAAGCAACTGTGAATGAGAGTTCATTCATGATTTGGCTCTCTGTTTATCTGCTATTGGTGTACAAGAATGCTTGTGATTTTTGCACATTGATTTTGTATCCTGAGACTTAAGAGACTACTAAATTTTGGTAAGAGAGTGATACAACATGCTGACTTCCCTCTCTGCCATCCCCTATTCCCCAGCTTAGTGGCGGCCTTGGAGATGGTAGTCTACATTACTGATGTGGCTCGCTGCTGCAAGGGAAGCAATATACATCTTCATCTCAGAAAACTATGGTTATATATTTTGGCCTGCCTGGTAGCTCCCTAAGGTATGGGCTCAGGACCTTGACTTTATTTTGCCCACCTTGGAACTTTCTCAGAGCTAGAGTGGCCTTTTTCATAATATTTGTTGAAAGCACTTAAAGGCAAATGTACTAGCCACAGCCAACTGAGGCAAGGGATAATAGATGGAGCAAGCAGCAGACAGAATAAAAAGCCTGGGAAGGAAAAGGCTGGGGAAGCAGATACATGAGAAAAAAAATGCTCTGGAAAGCTCCTGCAAATATCAGGGAATGTAGGAGGTCAGATACATGCTGAGGGTCAGACCTATTCTCAGAAAATATGTGAAAAGACCCTAAGCTTTCACCTGTGGCTTACTTTTAAGCTCTACAGAAGCAGGACATGGCTAAAATATAAGTGGCCCAGCTAAGCATTGAAGATAATACACCAACAAAAAGCCAATCTGCAAAGACTAGGAGAACTATTGTTATTTTTCTGGAATTTAAGGAAATCTCTGCGAAATCACTATCTGAGAACTAAGCTAACTGACAGAGAATTCACTGACTACATGTGGCAAATAACACAACCTTTACAAACATAATTTAGAAAAGCTACTAAACTAACAATTACAACCCACAACAAGTAGCAACAAAAAATCCTAGAGAGAGGTAAAAATCTGATTTCTACCACATTATAATATTGAAACTACCCAGTTTTCAACAACAACAACAAAAAATTATGAGGCATTCAGAAAAAAAACAAAAACGTATGCCCCATTCATAGGAAAAACAATTAATAGAAACTGTTTATGAGGAAACCCAGATATTAGACTTGCTAGTCAACAAATTTAAATCAACTGTTTTAAATATGCTCAAACAGCTAAAGGAAACCATAGAAAAATAACTAAGGGAAACCTGGAGAATAGTATCTCACCAAATAGATAGCATCAATAAAGAGACAGAAATAATAAAAACAAAACAAAACAGAAATTTTGGATATGAAAAGTACAATAATTGAAATGAAAAACTCACTAGAACAGTTAAACAACAGATTTCAGCAGGTAAAAGAATGAATTAATGAACTTGAAGATAGGTCCATTGGGGTTACCCTGTCTGTGAGACAAAAAGAAAGAAAAATGATGAAAAGAGCCTCAGGGTCCTGTAGAAGATTAGTAAGCAGACCAATAAGTGCACAGAGAGAGTCCTAAAAGGATAGGAGTGATAGAAAGGAGCGGAAAGAATATTCCAAGACATAATGACAGAGTATGTCACAAATTTGATGAAAGACATTAATCTACATATCTACAAAGCTCAATAAACTCCAAGTAGGAAAGCTTTAAACTTTTCCCTGATGAATATAGTATTACCTGTGGGTTTGTCATATGTGGTCTTTATTGTATTGAGGTACATACTTTCCATACATAATTCGTTAAGTTTTTATCATGAAGAGATGTTAAATTTTGTCAAAT
The DNA here is from genome assembly GCF_000001405.40 of Homo sapiens. Lineage (NCBI taxonomy): Eukaryota > Metazoa > Chordata > Mammalia > Primates > Hominidae > Homo > Homo sapiens. Next base: position 64,321,889 of record NC_000023.11, read on the forward strand.
ACTTTTTCTTCATCTGTTGAAATGATCATAGGGTTTAGTCCTTCATTCCACTAGCATTCTGTATCACATTTATTGATTTGCATATGTTGAGCCATTCTTGTATCCTTGGGATGAATTATGTTTTTAACGTGCTGTCGAATTCTGTTTGTTAGTATTTTTGTTTTTTTTTTTTTGAGGCAGGGTCTTGCTCTGTGACCCAGGTGGGAGTGCAGTGGTGCAACCATGCCTCACTGCAACCTTGATCTCCTAGGCTTCAGTCATTCTCCTGCCTCATTTTTTGATTTTTTTTTGTAGAGACGAGGTCTCACTATGTTGCCCAGACTGGTCTCAAACTCCTGGGATCAAGTGATCCTCCACGTTAGCCTCCCAAAGTGATGGGATTACAGGTGTGAGCCACCATGACAAGGCCCTGTTTGCTTGTATTTTGTTGAGGATTTTTGCATTCATGTTCATCAGGGGTATTGGCCAGGGATATTCCTTTTACTGTTATGTCCTTCTCTGGTTTTTGTATTAGAGTATGCTGTTTTTATAGAATGAGTTTGGATGTATTGTCTCCCTTCAATTTTGTTGACTAGTTTGAGAAGAATTGGTATTTGTTCTTTAAATGTTTGGTAGAATTCAGCAGTGAGGCCATTAAGTCCTGGGCTTTTCTTTGATTGGAGACTTTCTATTATGGTTTCAATTTAATTACTCACTGTACACCTTTCCCTCACCAAAACCCAAGCTGCAGCTATACAGTGCCATCTTGAAAACAGAGCCACAGCTAGCATGTATCCTGCTCCAAGAGCCAGCAATAACTGCATCTTTTCATTGCTGAAGCTGCACTGCCATTACACCACCTTAGTGGTGGTGCACCATTCCCCAGCCAAGCTGTTACAGCACTCTATCCTCTGAGAATAAGCTGCCTAGGAAGGGCTCTGTCTTGCACATTCAGGTGACTGCAGCAACCAACCCTAGCCTCTCAGAGCCTAAGTCCACTGCTCCAGCACAAAGGCAAGTGGTACTCTGTCCCTAGAGGAATAGGTAATCTTGCCAAGTAAAGAAACTGAGTACTGCCCAGTGATGTGCACAGTCAGCACACTCACCAGCCAGGTTCACTGTCCATGTGCAACCCTGTGCGCTCACTAGCCAGGCATGTTGCTTCCAGGTGCCCCTGCCCCAAGTTGGTGATTTGGCCCCCGTGTGACAATGGCATACCAGCCAGACATGTTGCTTCCATGGAGCCCTGCCCCAAACTGGCAGACTTCTGCTGCCTACATACTTACCAACCAGGCATACCAATTCCAGGGGGTACCTGCTCAGAGTGACAGGTACACTGAAAGTGAAGAGATGGAAAATGATATTCCATGCAAATGGAAACCAAGAGAGAGCAGGAGTAGCTATAATCATAACAGATAAAATAGGCTTTAAGGCAAAAACTATAAAAAGAGAAAAGAAGTTCATTATATAATGAAAAGGAGTCATTTCCACAAGATGATACGAAAAATTTTAATATGTATACACCTAACACCAGAGTACCCAAGTAAATGAAGCAATTATTATAGATCTAAGGGAATAGACTGCAATAAAATAATATAAGGAGACTTCAGCATGCCACTCTCAGCAATGGACAGATCATCCAGACAGAAAATAAAGAAACATCACATTTAAAGGACACACTAAATCAAATGGACCAAGCAAACATTTACAGCATATTCGACCAAACAGCTGCAGAATAAACAGTCTTCTCAACAGAACATGAAACTTTCTCTAGGACAGATCATATGGTAGCCTGTAGAACAAGCCTTAACAAATTTAAGAAAACCAAAATCATTTCCAGTATATTTTTTTTTACCACAATGGTATAAAACTAGAAATCAGTAACAACAGGAACTTCTGAAAATTCACAAATACACATGGAAATTAAACAACATGCTCTTATATGACCAACAGGTCAATGAAGAAATTAAAAGGAAGTCTAAAAATTTCTTGAGAGAAATGAAAATGGAAATACAGCATACCAAAATCCTTGGGACACAGCTAATGCAGTTCTAAAAGGAAATCTTATAGCAATAAATGTCTACATTGAAAAAGAAGAAAGATCACAAATAAAAACCTAACAATGCACCAAAGGAATTAAACATTTTAAAACCCAAGTAAACCTAAAACTAGTAAAAGGAAAGAAATAATAAAGAGTAGAAATAAATGAAAGTGCCCAGGCACAGTAGCTTATGCCTATAATCCCAGCACTTTTGGGGGGGCCAAAGTGGGAGGATCACTTGAAGCCAGGAGTTTCCACCAGCCTGGGCAACAAAGCAAGACCTCATCTCTACAAAAAATTAAGATTAGCCAGGTGTGGTTGCATGTACCAGTAGTCCTAGCCACTTGGGAGGCTGAAACAGGAGGATCATGTGAGCTCAGGAGTTTGAGGCTACAATGAGCTATGATTGCATTACTGTACTGCAGCTTGGTAAACAGAGTGAGATCATATCTCAAGAAAGAAAGAAAATAAAGAAAAGAGAAGAGAAGAAAGAGGACGGACTTGGTGGCTCACACTTGTAATCCCAGCACTTTGGGAGGCCAAGAGGGAGGACTGCTTGAGGCCAGGAGTTCAAGACCAGCCTGGGCAACATAGTGAGACCCCCATCTCTACAAAGAAATTAAACAACTAGCCAGATGTGGTGGCATGCACCTGTAGTCCCAGATACTCAGGGAGCTGAGGCAGGAGGATCACCTGAGCACAGGAGGTCAAGGCTGCAGTCAACCATGATTGTGGCATTGCACTGCAGCCTGGGTGACAGAGCAGGACCCTGTCTCAAAAAAAGAAAAGGAAAGAAAAGAAACCCAAATCTTATAAAATGGCCCTACCCCTATCTCCCTTCGCTGACTCTCTTTTCGGACTCAGCCCGCCTGCACCCAGGTGAAATAAACAGCCTTGTTGCTCACCAAAAAAAAAAAAAAAAAAAAAAAAGAGAGGTTTAAAATAAAATAGATCAATGAAACAAAGAGTTGTTTTTTTGAAAAGATAAACAAAATTGAGATGCCTTTAGCTGGCCTAAGAAAAAACAGAGAAGATTCAAGTAAAATTAGATACCAAAAAAAGAGACACTACAACTGATGCTACAGAAATAAAAAGCATCACAAGACAGTATCAGGAACAATTCTATGCCAGAAAACCCAGATAACCTATAAAAAATGGATAAATTCCTGGTCATATACAACCTTCCAAGATTAAAGAATGAAGAAATAGAAAATCTGAACAGACCAATAGTGAGTAATGAAATCAAAGCAGTAATAAAAATCTCGCATCAAAGAAAAGCCCAGGACTTGATGGCTTCACTGCTGAATTCTACCAAACATTTAAAGAATGAATGCCAATTTTCCTCAAACTAGTCGGCACAACTGAAGAGGAGACAATATTTCTAAACTCATTTTATAAGGATAGCATTACCCTGATAGCAAAGCCAGGCAAGGACACAATTAAAAAAGAATATCCCTGATGAACACAAATGCAAAAATCATCAACAAAATACTAGCAAACAGAATTCAATAGCACATTAAAAAGATTATTCACTATGATCAAGTGGAACTCATCCCAGGGATGCAAGAATGGCTCAACATATGCCAATCAATAAATGTGACACAGAACACTAATGGAATGAAGGACAAAAACCGTATGATCATTTCAATAGATGAAGAAAAGGCATTTGACAAAATTAAATATCCCTTCATGATAAAAACAATACATTATGTATAGAAAGTATGTACCTCACTACAAATAAAAGCCACATATGACAAACCCACAGCTAACACCATATTGAACAGGGAAAAGTTGGAAGCTCTTCCTTAAGATAGGGAACAAGACAACAATGCCTACTTTTACCACTTCTATTCTACTTAGTATTTGAATTCCTAGCCACAGCAATTAGGCAAGAGAAAGAAATGAAAGCTATCCAAATTGGAAAGGAGGAAGTTAAACTATCCCTGGTTGCAGATGACATGAGTGTATACAGTTGGCCCTCAAACAATACCAGTGTTAGAAGTGTCAGACCCTTGCACACTGGAAAATCAATATATAAGTTCTTACTTACCAAAAACTTAACTACCAGTAGCCCACTGTTGACCAGAAGCCTGATCAATAACATAAATCATTGATTAACACCTATTTTGTATATTATATGTATTATACACTGTATTCTTATAAGTTAAGCTAAAGAAAAAATTATTATTAAGAAAATACATCTACTATTAATTAAGGGGACATGGATCATCATAAACATCTACATCTTTATCATCTTTGTGTTGAGTAGGCGGAGGAAGAGGAAGAAGAAAAGTTGGTCTTGCTGACTCAGTGGTTGCAGAGGTGGAAGAAAATCCACATATAAATGGACTCACACATTTCAAATCTGTGTTGTTTAAGGGTCCACCATATACAGAAAACCCAAAAGACTCCACCAAAAAACTGCTAGAGCTAATAAACAAATTCAGTAAAGTTGCAAGATACAAAAATCAGCAGTATTTTTATACATCAATAGTAAACTATCTGAAAAAGAAATCAAGAAAACAATCCCACTTACAATAGTTACAAAAAACATATACTTAGGGATAAGTTTAACCAAGGAGGTGAAAGATCTTCACACTGAAAACTATAAAACATTGATGGAGGAAATTGAAGAGGACACAGATAAACAGAAGGATAGCCCATCTTCATGGACTGGAAGAATTAATATTGTTAAAGTGTCTACACTACCCAAAGTGATCTACAGATTCAACGTAATCTCTAACAAAATACCAATGGCATTCTTCACAGAAATAGAAAAAAGAATCCTAAAATTTGTAAGGAACCACAAAAGATCCCGAATAGCTGAGGCAAACTTGTGGGGAAAAAAAAAAGAAGAAAGAAAGCTGAAGATATCACTCTATCTGACTTCAAAATGTACTACAAAGCTATAGCAACCAAAATAGAATGATACTGATCTAAAAATAGACACACAGACCAATGGAATAGAGAGCCCAGAAAAAAAATGCATATACAGGCAAAGGTGTGAAGAACAAACATTGGGGAAAATACAATCTTCAGTAAATGGTGCTGAAAAAAAAATGGATGCCCATATGCAGAAGAATGGAACTAGGTACATATCTCTCATCACATATAAAAATCAACTCAAAATGGATTAAAAACTTAAATGAAAGACCGAAAGCTATGAAACTACTGGAAGAAAACATAGGGAAAACACTTCATAATATTGGACTAGGCAACAATTTTTTGGCTATGACTCTAAAAGCACAGGTAACAAAAGCAAAAGTAGACAAATGAGATTACATCAAACTAAAAAGCTTCTGCTGCACAGTAAAGGAAACAATCAACAAAGTGAAGAGATAACCCACAGAATGGAAGAAAATATTTGCAAACTACCCTTCTAAAAAGGATTAATAACCAGAATATATAAGAAACTCAACTAAATAGCAAAGCAAACAATCTGATTTTAGAACGGGCAAAAGATCTGAATAGATACTTTTCAAAAGAAGATATACAAATGGCCAATAGGTATATGAAAAAAATGCAACATCACCAATCATCACGAAAATGCAAATCAAAACCACAATGAGATATCATTTCACCAAGTTTGAATGGCTATTCACAAAAAGACAAAACATATCAAGTGCTGACAAGGATGTGGAAAAAGGGGAACACTCACATACTATCAGTGGAAATGTAAATTCGTACATTCATTATGAAAAACAGTATGGACTTCCTAAAAATATAAAAAGAGAACTGCCCTATGATCTATCTGGCAATCCCATTACTGGGTATATATCCAAAGAAAATGAAGTCATTGTGTCGAACAGATATGTGCACTCCCATGTTTATTGCAGCACTATTCACAATAGCCAAGATATGAAGTCAACCTAAGTGTCCATATGGATGAATTGAGAAGGAGAATGTGGTATACATACACGAGGAAATACTATTTTAGCAATAAAAAAGAAAGAAATGCTGTCATTCACAGCAACACAGATGAGGTTGGAGAACATTATGTTAAGCGAAATAAGCCAGCCACACAAAGGCAAATACAGCATAATCACTCTATACCTCATATGTAGTACAATTATTGTGTCAATTAAAATTTAAAATGTAATAGCAAAAAAATACAATAAATACTCAACTGAAAACAGAAGAGAACATCCTAAACATGAAAAAGGAAATTTGTGAAAAACCTACAGCTAACATCAATACTCAATAGTGAAAGACTGAAAGCTTTCCCCCTAAAATCAGGAACAGGACACCAGTGCCTCTTTTCACTACTTTTACTCAACACTGTACTGGAAGTTCTAGCCAGAGCAATTAGGCAAGGAAATAAAAGACATCCAAATTGAAAATGAAGAAATAGAATTCTCTTTTCAGAGATGACATGATCTAATATTTACAAAATCCTAAAGAATCCACAAAATGAGCTATTAGAGCTAATAAATATATTAATCTCTGTTTTGTATTCTTTGTGAGTGCCTCAGCCTGCAGAAGCTTTGGAAAAATATAGCAAACATTACCAGCACACTCCTGATTTGTCTCATTTTTCTTTTCTTTGTTGGGGAAGGGAAAGACAAGTAGAAGATACAGAGGAAGAGTAAATGAATCAAACAAACGTTATCTTGACTGGTTGTATTCCTACAAATCAACTATAATTTCTTATTTATTTCCCTAAGCAGGTAACAGCAAAGCCCTGAAAACCAAAAGGAATTGGGCTCTTGTTTTCAGAAGCAGCAATGTATGGGTGATATGAGGACAGAGTATCCTACTCCATAGCCAGGCTTGTACAGATGGTGGCAGCTATCCAAGGAGAAGCAAGGAAGCTGAGACCCTGGGACCTGCTATAAGAAAGGAGGGAAAAACTTAAGAACTTACTGAATGTTGTAGGGCACAGTACTAGGATTGAGTACCCCATACATAGTGAAGCCTTTATAGAGAGGGTTCCTGAAGTCTGGTTTCCTCTGAACCAAGAAAGGCCACACAGAATGTGTTTTCTCATAGACTCTGTTAGAAAAGAAAAACAAGCCAAAAAATTAAAAGCAGGAAGCAAGTAATCTCAATAGTCCTGTTGAACTGATAAGCAGCAAATTTTACTAATAAGTAACCCAGCTCAAGAAAGGACGACAGGATATGACAGAAGAAAAATAAGTGGATAAAAAGTGTTGATGGAGTAACAAATTATCTGGGCTTCAATTTATCCATCTTTAAAATAAATGAGAGGTTAGAAAGAGTTCCATATTGGAGAACAGGAGATTCTAAGTCCAGTCTCTGTGTGGAATAGCTGTGTGATCTTAAGAAAATCCCGAGTTTTTTTCTGGGCCTATTTCCTCACCGTTAAATGTGACCTCTAAGTTATCTTCCAAATCAAGGATTTTATGAACTAATGACTTTTCTGGTTTTAAAAATTCTGGAATTGCTTTTACAAGTCTGGTAAGTTAAGTGATAGGTTCTATGGGGTGAATTTCTGGCTCTTCTATATTTCATTTTACTTAAAGCCAGCTACTTCTCCCTTCAGAAGGTTTAAGACAGTGAAAGACAATTGGAAATTTATACTAGAAAATGTCATGAGTTATCCCAGGTGGGCAACTAAAGATTATGGCATTTATATTACAAAATTGATTCTTATACTTTAGTTCAGACCATGGGGAGGCTGCTTAACCAGTAAGCAAGTCCCTTAGTTAACACCTCAAAATACATGAGATCCACTGGTTCCCAAAGAGAGTTACTGTATAACCACCCATGAGAAGGTCATTTGCACACACACCATGTCAAAGGAAGCTAAAGGAGAACTGAAGAGTGATATAAGTGGTAAGACCTAAAATTGTGGTCTTGTAACTTTTGCAATTGTCAGAGCATTTCAGTGAGGCCAAAGGCTTTGTACATCCATCTTTCTCATTTGCTGTTGGTTTATAACAGAAAAAAAAAAATATTGCGTTGGTAAGGTAACTAATTTGTTGAGTATTTACTATGTGTTCAAACACTATTCCAGACTCTTTACCTAAAATACCTCCTTAAATTTTCCCAATAAAACCTTGTGAGATATTTTAGCCCAAAATTACTAATGAGAAAATGAGACTAAATATTAATTTGCTCAAGGTCACATAGCTAGTAGGTGAGAGAGCCAAAGTTTGAACCCAAGTCTGCCTGATTCTAAAGCCCATCCTTTTCTGTTCATGAATGAATGACACTTCTGCTTATTTTAAGTAATCACTATTTTAAAATATGTTAAAATGTTCAACTGTTATGTTTTTTAAATGGATATTCAGATTTGTGTGAAAAATACCACATATATTGACCAATTTTAAGAGAAGGAAAAAGATTATGGAAAAGATTCTGTGTTTTAACGCGTAGGTAAACAAAGACAGAATGAATATCTTAAAAGAATTTGGGGAGAAAGTGACAAAGGTCTAGTTGTAAAGACAGAGAGAGAGAAACATGCATGGCATCAAGAGAGAAACTACCAAGTAAGTACAAATGTTGAAACAGAAAGACTCATTATTGTTCTCTATGTTGACAGGAAAACCAAATCACAGAGAAGTAACTTCATCTTGCTATGCTATAAAGGGGCCTGAGGGTTGGGCTAACTACTAACTCAGCCAACAGCTGTGAAATAGGAGTGAGTTGTGAAACAGCTACTATCCTATTTCTTTTTCTCTGTCTCTAACATAATGAAAATACTGTTCACAGGAGCTCTACCTTGTCAATTTTGAAAAGTACTTATGTCTCATATATTGCCAAGCTGTTAGTTTAAGTGAGGGGTGCAAACTCAACTGCCTACTAGAACTAGGCAGATAACATTAGAAATGGGCTAAGAATAAACTATAGAGAATGGTAAGAACTGCAGTCAACAAGAGTGAGTTTGCCTCATCCAAATGGAACAGCTACTATTCAGCTCTAGCTGTTTATTATCATGAGAAAATAGTCTAGTATTGCCAGAGCTCCTGATTTTTCAGAATATTTAGAAAAAACATCCTAAAATAACTGGATTTTAATGTGAAATCTACTGATATTTAAATGTTAGCAACTAGGCATAAGAATGACACAATGGACTTTGGGAACTCAGAGGGAAAGGGTAGGAAGCGGGTGAGGGATAAAAGACTACAAATTGGGTTCAGTGTATACTGCTCAGGAGATGGGTGAACCAAAGTCTCACAAATCACCACTAAAGAACTCATTCATGTAACCAAATACCACCTGTTCCTCAAAAACCTACGGAAATAAACAAAAATGTCGGCAACGAATTAGGAGTTTTAAAAAATACTCCACAGATTAAACAAACCACGCCTGTTGGGTTGGGTTCGGCCTATGAGCTGCTAGTTTGTAATCTCTGATATGAGTGAGAAAGGACTGTAGATAATGACTACTCATACCTGCACAGCAATTAATTATTTGCAAAGGCCTTGTACATCCATTATTTTACTGGATCCTCATGACTGCTCTAAAAAGTAGGCATTATTATCCCTATTTTACAGATGAGATATCTTAGGGTTCTGAGAGATCTCTGTGCAAACATTGAGTGCTTTATGCTTCAAAAGTTCTTTTTATTATTGTTATCTCCTCCCCTTTCTTGACTGCTATGCCAAATTCAGGGTGGTAGGTACATTCTTTTTGCACTGACCACCTTCTCCCTGTTCAGTGTCTTCTCACAAAGTAAATTCACCTTAGATCTTCCCGATCCTTCTGGCAGTTACCAAGGAAGTTTCCAAACTGGCAGGAGAAAACATGGTCATGAATCTCCAGCAGGAAGTTTTCATTAAACTCAAAGGCACAGGGAAACTGTTCCATTAATTGCCAGATACAGTCTAGGAACTGGGTGAAGATAGGGGACACTTCTTTAGAGTCCCCATCGAGGTGGCCACACCTGAGAGATGAAAATAAAGGTAAAGAAAGACACTAGTTAGCATTAAGGATTACACTGTTGGGAATAGGCTGTAAGAGGGTCATCTTTTGTCTCTGTTGGTAGTGGCAAGGAAACACCTCATACCAAAATGCCAGCCAGAATCTCAAAGCTAGTCAATCCCAGCAGACCTCTTAGCTGCTGGTGTCCTTCACTGTCATCCATACTGTAAACCCTTTGGTCATCTAGTCTATTTTTTTATACACCCTCTTTCCAATAGAACTTTCTGCAATGATGGAAAATTTCTACAGTTGTGTTGTCCAATATAGCAGCCACTAACTGTTAAGCACTTGAAATGTGGATACTGTGACTGAGGAACTGAATTTTTAATTGTATTTAATTTTAATTAATTTAATTTAAATAGCTACATTTAGCTCTATGTGAGCAACGACCACATCTATATTGTTTACTGCATAGTGCCTGGCACAAAATAGGTATTAAAGAAACATTTATTAAGTACATGAATGAAACCTCATCCCAGAACTGTTTAATATTTCCTCCCCACAATGTTTTCTTTACCAACCCTATCATCGACTGAAACACTATTCCACTGGAAATGAACACGGCACTCTCAGTTTCTACACTGAATGTTCTCTACCTTCTGATATAATTACAACCTGGCTCACAACGATACCACCTTTCCTTGGGGTCAAATAAAAATGGAGAATGCTGATCATTCCACTTTCCACATACCATAATTCTAAAACAAAGCAGAGGTGGGTTTAGCTTTCTCCTTGCACCTACTGCTGCTTCTGCTGCTTCCAAGCTACTATTCTTTTCATGCCCTTAAGAACACTTCCTTTATGGGTCATGCTATTTAGCTTATTTACCTTCTCCTTCCACAATGCTGTCTTCTAGAATCTCTGTGTCACTTCCCTACATTCTCTGAATAATCTGATGGTCTTAAGCTTTTGTGTTGATGTAGATGACTTACACTAGCTCAACAGATTCCTTAACTAACGCAAATCAAATTACCTTCACTGATCTTTACCTCTACTCCAGCCTTTTGAATCCACTGGCCACAGGCTGGCTAGTAGTTCTTACTCCATCTTTGAAATCTTAATCACGATATCCCACTCTGAACACCATATATTATATTTCCAAAGGCTGCTCATCTTCTTAACTCCTGCAGACCTCATCTCAGGACATCTCCACATGCTAGATTCCTGTTGGCTTCTCTTTTTTCTTATCAAGCCTAAATTCCATGATCTGCCCTATTAACTACTCTCTCCCCATTTTGTTCAGCTTTCTGGTCTTTCTTGTAATTATTTTCCTTCTAAATCCAACCACAGATCAGCCTGAAAAGCTATGTTCTCTGCTTCCACATCCTGACTGATTAATAATGCTCAAGAAAATTATAAAATCATACAAATTCACACCATTCAAATTGAGTCTCCACATTCAGCTGTGTTTTAACTGCTCTCAAATAATCTTTGTGTAGGTCCTTAACAACATTTTCTCATTACCTTTACAGCTCATACAAATTTTCAACTACCTTGTCAAACCCCTAATCCATTTCATATCTTCCTTCACTCCAGTGCCACTGAAAAATATCAAGGCCATTAAGTAGAAAAAAAAATTTCTAACTTCTGCCTCTAATATTCACATATAGCACCTTTTCTGCCTGTCTTTCCACCTAATCTCCATGGAAAAGGTGTTCTTCATTATAGCTCAAGCTAATCTTTCGTTTGGACTGGAACTTTCACCGATTTGCCCAGAAGTCTTACTCTACCAAAAACTCACTGTTTTGGCATATCTTCCACCTTATCTTCTTTAATGTTTCTTTCTTCTCAGCATAAGAAACTGCTCAAATATCTCCTGTCTTGAAATACACTTCCTCAGACCCAAACCCGACCCCTTCTCTTCTACCCCCTTGAGAGCCAAGGTTCTTGGAAAGAGATTTATATACTCACATTCCACTTCTTCATCCCTCACTCATGCCTCCATTCACAAACATTTGGCTTCTGCTTTCACCACTTTGCTCAACCAGTTATCACTAAAGATCATTAAAACCTGCATATTGCCAAAGTCGATTCTTGGGTTATTCTGAGGCATATGACACTGCTGACTACTCCCTTGAGATTCTCCTCTCTTATGTTTCTTCTTTCCTATCCTTAGATTTATTCTTATCTCACTAATCACTCTTTCACAGTCAACTTCATGGACTTCATTCTTCACTAGACTTTCAGGTGTCAGTATTATCCAAGGCTCTGTCCCACCCCTTGGCTCTTCTTCCTCTTTATACAATTTTTTGAGTTACCTTATCTGAATCCATGGTTTAAACTACCAATTATATGCAGATAACTCTTAAACCTCTACACCACCTCTCTATCCAACCCAGAACTAGTGAGCTCCAGATTACTACTGAATAGTCTCCCTACTAGATATCTTCTCCTGGATGCCCTATGCCAAATAAGTCCCAAACTGAAGCCATCTTCCCCACCAAACCTGCCCTGTATTATCCTATATCCTCTATCTCAATAAACCCAGCTACCTCAGGCAGAAACCTTTGAGTTTTATTGGACTTTTTCTCCCATCTCCTGGTGAGTTCTACTTCCTGAATACCCTTGTATCTATATCATTGCTTCTGTCTTTTTTTCAGGCCCTCATCAATTCTGGTAGCCTACTAATTCAGCCCCTTGCCACCAATTTCAATCTTCTACATGCTGTCAGAGGGATATTTGTAAAATATAGATCTGAACATCATGTCACTGCCTTGTTCAAAGTCCTCCAATATAGCTTTACTATGTACACAAAACACTCAAATCTTTCAGCTTAAAAAAAAAAAAAAAAAAAAAAAAACAGGGCTCTGAATGATCTTCTCCTCACTGGCTCGGCTTCCCTGGCCTCATTTCCTCTATTCTCCCTACACACCCTTTGACCCAGCCACACTGAATTGCTTGCAGCTCCTCAAACACGTAATCCTGTTTAATGCCTTTATGGTTTCAAACACATCAGGGCTAGAATGCTTTCTCCCTTTCTAAATAACATCTACTCATACTTTAAATCTCAGTTAAAATGTCACCTATTACAGGAAGCCTTCTTTGCCCCAGAATGGATAAACGTCCTTTGTTTATGTTTTCCTCTGTCTTAAGCACTTATCATACTACACCGTCATCACTGATTTTTCTTTTCTTTCAAAGATGAGATAGGAACTATATCTGATTCAGCTCTGTCTTCTCAATACCTAACATAATGACTGGTCCAATGTTTGTGGGTGAAGGAAGAATAAATAAATGGACCCAAATGGCTAGAGAGTGGCAACCAAATGAAATTAAATTAATGCATATCAATGGGGGAAAATAAGACCTGAATTATAATCTCCTTGGGGTAAAACTCAATTTTTTTTTTTTTTGAGATGGAGTTTCAGTCTTGTCACCCAGGCTGGAGTGCAATGGCATGGCCTCAGCTCACTGCAACCTCCGCCTCCCGGGTTCAAGTGATTCTCCTACCTCTGCCTCCCAAGGAGTCAGGATTATAGGCACCCGCCACCATGTCTGGCTAATTTCTGTATTTTTAGTAGAGAAGGGGTTTCACCATATTGGCCAGGCTGGTCTCGAACTCCTGACCTCAGGCGATTTGCCCGCCTTGGCCTCCCAAAGTGCTAGGATCACAGGTATGAGCCACTGCACCCGGCCAAATCTCAAATTTTATTTGCCTTTGGAATCAGCTTAGTGTCTGATATAATATACAGCACATTGTTAGGCATTTGACAAATATTTATCGATTGTTCTGATAACACAGGTAAAGCCTTAGTGAGGCAGTTTGGTTTATAGCAGACAACAGATAAATATAAGCCCTTGTCCTCATCCCTTAAAAAAGAACAAATCTGCCCCTTTTATCTTACAAAAGGTTAAAAGGTGCATTGTCTTGATATTAGTCCCTCTGAATGACCTCATCATTCCCTTGTTCTTCCTGTTAAATTTCTATTCATTTCCAAAAATTCATCCTCAAATGCTGTGTACTCCTGGAAGCCTACCCTGACCTCTTCGTGCAATGTTAAGCACTTTTCCTTCTGTAGCCTGTGATGCCTTGTTCTTCCTTGAAATATTTAACAATTTGATATAATTACTTGTACTCCTTGAAAACAGGGATAATATTCTGGTTACTTTTGTCACCTTAGTGCCCTAGCATAGTATCTAGAATACTTGTTTCTTGATGAAAAGAGATTTATGCCATGTTCAACTTCCTCTTCCTTCCTTTACATGTACATACTGAGGTTTTGATATACTTCACCCTAATGAACTATCCTCAGCCCCTTCCTTCAAAATGAGTATATTTTTACCTTTGGGAAAACTTGTGGCCCATGGATATCCATTCCTTCTCTATCAAGATCTTCATTTTATAGAAAAGAAAGTGTTTGCATTAGGAAAATCATAAAATGAATTAACCATACACACAAGAATGTCAAAACACTTTGCTGAAATAGTTGAACTGATCATAAAATAGTTAATTTCCTAAATGATAAATAAGTAAGTAACTTAGATTTCATTCATAAGCCTATACAGGGTGCCTTCAAATTTCAGATGCTCTCAGACATATCCAGAGTCAAATTTCCTTTGGCTTTCACATGTGTGACAAGCCACTGAGCCATAACTAAATGCAATCCTGATAAGCACGATATTAAATTCACACTTTGAAAAACAGAAATCCAAAGGCAGCTCTTAGCTTTATACCAGTAACAAAACCATTTTTAACCATTAAAAAAAAAAAAAAAATTCTAGCCAGGCATGGTGGCTTACACCTGTAATCCCAGCATTTTGGGAGGCCGAGGAGGGCAGATCACATGAGGCCAGGAGTTTGAGACCAGACTGGCCAATGTGGTAAACCCAGTCACTACTAAAAATACAAAAATTAGCCAAGCATGGTGGTGCACATCTGTAATCCCAGCTACTTGGGAGGCTATGGCACAAGAATCACTTGAACCCAGGAGGTGGAGGTTGCAGTGAGCCAATATCGCACCACTGCACTCCAGCCTGGGTGACAGAGTAAGACTACTTCAAAACAAAAAAACAAAACAAAACAAAAAAAAGCTTTCCAAAGAAATGAGAATAAACCACTATGGTGAGTTCTGTTTCTTAGAAAGATCAACTAAGAGGCTTTAGATTCAGCATTAGAAAACAATCATAAGTCTGACATTCAAACAGCTGACATGTTAAAGATGATGAGCCCCTTGGACAGTCTATTTGACAGTCATCCATTAAGCTCTGCAAACTTTTTGAGCTTTTCCTACTCTGTACAGTAGTCTGCTACATATAACTTACCTTCTGATAGGTAAGAAGTATGTTGAACATACAAAAGAAAGTATACAGATAGTACACACCTAAATTTAATGAAAAGAAGCTAAATTGGAAAAGCTATTTTTGTAGACTTAGAGCTAACTCTGGCAAAAAAAATATTGTTTGACAGTTATTTTTTATTTTGTCGCAATCTGTCTCTTACACAAAGTAAAATATAGTAGCGTGCTCTCTTACCATGAGTCCTTTGAATGTCCTATAAAATGGATCTAGGAGGATGCTAGCCACTGAGCAGACTTGTGCTGTGCGGTCCCATCCATCAGAACAATGGACTAAGACACTGGCCTTTTCTACCTTCACTGCCTGTGAAGACAAGAGGCAAAAAAGTACCACAAGCAACCTTTGCACAGCTTGTTGGATTAAAGAGTTGCCAAATACTGTCCCTAAAGCACAGAGAACCTGGTCTTATGGGCTACATTAATTTTTTCTCATAACATTAACATCCTCTATGGGGAATGAAAAGGAAAACAATGGAGTTCAAGAGAAGGAGAGCTTACCACATAGGAAAAGAATATCAAAACTAACCCATAATGCAGGGCAAAAAGAAAGATGAGGGGAGTTCTAAATTCACTAAACTTCTGAAGAAACCAAGGATCAATTCTCAGAGGAATAGGTGAACTGGAGGAAGAATTCACACTCAAAAACACAGACAGCTCTGCATTCTAGTCCCAGATCTGACAACAATCTCCTCTAGCTGTTTTAGTGTTACTAACACAAATGCTTTCAACTTAAGATGGAGGTGCTTGCCTGTCTTAGGTCGCTTTAACAAGTGATTGTATAAACACAATCAGAATGATGTAAAGATCTGGGCAGTTATTTAACCTGGGAAATTTTGGCAATGGTACATATTGACCACTCATTTATTCATTCTAACAATTTTGTGCCTCTATGTGCCAGGTATTAGAAATACAAAGACTCAGTTTCTGCTTTCAAGGAACCCACAAACTAGTCAGGGTGACCGAAAATAAATAAATAATTAAAATACAATGGAAAAACTACTGGTAATATACAGTAATGTGTAGTAACAATATTCTTTTGCAGGAGCCAGGGAAGCTTGACCCTTGAAGAAAGAGCTGGGTTTCCTTAGGTGAAGAAGGACATTAATTCACCCATTCATTCATCCACACACCTAGCCAATAATTACTGAGTGACTGTACAAGAGGCACTATGATGTGCATTGGGAATACAAAAGAGACAAACACTTAAATGCATGACTGCAAACCAATGAAAAATAAAAGGGGAAAATCCATGCCAGGTATAACAAAGGCACAAAAGATAACCAGCAAGGAGGAGACAACTAAGGTGGGTCTGGAAAGATGAATAAGAATTTACCAGATGGACCAGGAGGAAAGGACATTCCAGGCTGGGGAATGATGTAACAGCGTGTACATTGCAAGGAGGCATGACATAGAGGAAGAACAATTAATGACTCAGGCTAAGCTGGAAGTGAGAGAATAAGGAGAGATAGAGCCAGCTAGGAGGACAAGGGTCAGACCAATCAAGTATACATTTTATCTGATGGCAATAGGGAGTTGGAAGCAGAGGAGTGCCATGATCAGATGTACATCTTTGAAAGATCACTGTGGTGGCAGTAAGGAGAATGGATTGAGAAGACATGAGTTTGGATACAGGAAGACCAGTTAGGAAGCTACTAAAATCGTGGAAGTCCATATAGGCCTGAGGTAAGGTAGTAGCAGTGGAGCTGAAAAACAGAAGAAGGATTTTAATTATGAACATTTTAACAGGACAGAGTGAGAGACTAGTCATGGGATGAAAGAAAAGGAAAAGTTAAAGATAACTCTGAAATGTGTGGTTTAGCAACCAGGTGGATGGTAGTGCCATTAGACTAAATAATGAACACAAAAGCAAGTTTTAGGTAGTAGTGGTGGTATGTAAGAAGATTTATGTTTTGGCCATGGTGAGTTTGAGGTAGTTCGGGAACATCTAATGGAAAGTCCAGTGAGACAACTGGATATGTGGGTTTGAAGTTCAGGAGAGGGAAAGATCTGAACCAGAGTATAGATTTCACCACTATCTGAATAGAGATAGTAGTATACACTGTGTGCATAGTTGATGCTGCCCAGGCAGAGACCAAATGTGACAAAAGAAAAGACCTTAAAAAGCAGTGACCCTTAAAGGGCAAGCAGAGGAAGGAGGATTATTATAGGAGTCAGCCTGTTCAAAAAAGCCCAAAAGGTAAAAAGAGAGCCAGGAGGGAATAGTTGGATAAAAGTCAGGACTACAAAAAGGGTTCAAAGTGAAAAGGAGTGAACTGTGCCAAACACAACAGAGAGGTCAAAATAGAGTGAAGACTAACAAGTGACTCTTAGATATGACAAGTCAAAGGTCATAAGACCTCTGGAAGAGCAATAGTAATTATATGAAAATTGGATCACAGTGGGCTGAAAGGTGAAGGGAGATGAAGTACTAATAGGAAAGACTAACTACTTTTCAGAAGGCGCCAACCAAGAGGAAAGAGGGCAATAACTAGAAGATTGAAAAAGTACTTTTTCTTTAGGAATGAGAAAATATTTGAGCATACTACTGAGAGAAGAAGCCAGTTGAAAAGAATAGGTTGAAAATGTAAGACAAAGAGGGTTTAACTGACAGAGTTGGTTCCTTAAAGTAGGAAGAGATGGAATTTCAAATATAGGTAGAGTGAGTATCCTTACACAGAAGATGGGGCACTATGTCCACCGAGATAGCAAAGAAGTCGGTAAGGATAATAGTGAGAAGAGGTATTATATACATTTTTCCATGAAGGACATGTTTCAATATGAGCTTACAGAGAGGGGAGTTACCATGGTGTAGCCAGTTTGAAAGCAAGGTACAAGGAATATCTGCTTGGTGAAACAGGACTGGGAGCCAACCAAAAACACATAAAATAACTGTTCAGCTCAGCTAAGACTATAAGGCATAAACCTGTGATGGTACCAACTAACATATCTATGGGATACATCTATTTGCAGCAATGCTTAGAGGTCAGGGTGTAAGAGCAGAGAATGACCGTGGCTAGCAGGGCAGGTAGAGTGGAAGGATAAGAGACAAGGTGGAATGGATGAAGTGCTACACCACCCGGTCTTGGTATATAGGGAAGAAAAAAGAAGTTTGGAAAAAGAGGAGTTAAAAGTACAGAGGTTTCCATGAGATAGAAGAACTATGCTAGCTGGATTAAGGATGTGAAAGCTGGAATTATAAAAAGTCCAAAGAACTGTAAGTGTAGAATGTTTGATAAGTTGTACATTGACACTCAAATCTCTTCAGATGACGGGAAGAACCAGGATGGAAAAGAAGACGGCAAGGCTGTTCCCAACATCCTTAATGGAGGGGGAAGAGTAACTAGAAGGTATAGAGGATGGTATAGCTAAATGAAATAGATCTGAAAGGAGGGGGAGGCTTTTGTAAGGAGCAAGGAGAATAGTGAAACTGCCCTGGGCCATGTGGTTCATATGATGTGGGACAATGAGTAATCTTTGTAATAGGGGTACAAGAAAAAATCGTATTCCTAGAAAGGTAGTCAGGTTTCAGGTAAAAAAGGAGTTAAAGAGATCTGGAAAAAAGTTTTTCAACCTTTTTGACTTCTCAATTAAGCAGACACCTCAGGTAGTAGCAGAACATGACGGCAGCAACCATGTTCTTTGTTTAGGGCTCCAAACAGAGTCAAAAGTCACTGGTGGACAGAAAATGATACTGGATTTCACTAATGATTAAAGAAATACAAATTAAAACATGATACAAAATCTATCACCTATCACATTGGCAAAGATCAAAAAGATTGATGATAACCATTGCTGCCAAAATGGAGAAATAGGCACTGTTGGTAGGAATGGAAACTGGTATTACCTACTTGGAGGGCAATTTGGCCACATCTATTAAAATCTGAAATATTCATACTCTTTGACACAGAAAATCCACTTCTATAAAGATATATGTTTAAGAATATTTGGTGCAGCAATATCTGCATTAGCGAAAAATTAGAAACAACTAAGTTACCACAATTGAATATAACATAGTTGCTGAAAAGAATGACGTAGTACTGACTGAACTGTCTTAAGAAATGCTCATTAAATAGTATAAGTATAAAAGGTCAATTAAAGAACAGTATGGGCCGGGCGTGGTAGCTTACGCCTGTAATCCCAGCACTTTGGGAGGCCAAGGCTGGTGGATCACCTGAGGTCAGGAGTTCGAGACCAGCCTGGCCAACATGGCAAAACCCCGTCTCTGCTAAAAATACAAAAATTAGTCAGGCGTGGTGGCATGCTCCTATAATCTCAGCTACTCAGGAGGCTGAGGCAGAAGAATCCCTTGAATCCGGTAGGCGGAGGTTGCAGTGAACCGAGATCGTGCCACTGCACTCCAGCCTGGGCAACAAGAGCAAAACTCTGTCTCAAAAAAAAAAAAAAAAAAAAAAAAGAGTATGCACAGTATGAGCTCATTTTCACAAAGTATTAATATGTGTAACTCTATATGTTGAAAAATTCTACAGCAGCACTGTCCAATATGGTAGTAACCAGCCACCTATAGCTACTTAAATTTGAATTTGTTAAAACTAAATAAAATCATAAATTCAGTTCCTCAGTCTCACTAGCCACATTTCAAGTGCTCAATTTCCACATGTAGTGGTACTGTATTAGACAGTACAGATACAGAATATTTCCATCATCACAAAAAGTTCAAATGGACAGTGCTGACTGAAGGACATAAACATTAAACTACTATCAGTGATGTGTATGCACTGTGGTACAAACTATGGGGAATGTTTACATTTTATGTTATATATTTCTGAAATGTTTACTTCTTTGATAATGTACATGTATTGCTTTTGTAATGAGAAAATAGGTAAATAAAATAAACATTTAAAAAAGAGAGAGAAAAAGAAGTAACATAGTATGTTAGAGAACAGCAAGAGGTCCACTACAGCCAAGCTGGGGCGACATTGTGAAAGACTCTGAATGTCAAGCTTATGGGGTCTTATTGGCAATAGAATTGATAACCAATGGAGGATTTTGAGTTTAAAGTGACATGATCAGACATGTTCAAGAAAAATAACTTTAGTAGCAATTTGGTTCCCGAACTAAAGAGTAACTACTAGAGACAAGTAAAGCAGTTAAGAGGTTATTACACTGTGAACAATGGATTGTGGCTATCTTAACTAGAGAAATAGCAGTGGAGACTGGGAAGAAAGGACAGATTTGAGAAACACTTTTGAAGCAGAACACATGGGACTTGGCAATAGCCAGATGGAGGAGAAGAGGTAGAGTTCAAGGCTGACTGAAGTTCTCACGCTTGGGATATTGGATAGGTGGTAACAGAGATAGGGAACACAGAAACACTGTGCAATCCAAGCCTATCTTTTTGGTTCATTCATTTTAATTCAACCAATATTTATAAGGCTGTACTGTCTATCAAATCTCCCTCTTATCCATCCTCACTCTCTTTGGTCTAATAAATTTGGTTTCAGAAAGGGACTATAGATATATGGATGTAGAATCTATGAAAAAGGAACAGAACAAAGAATAGTTAGAATAGTGGGCTTGAAACAACTGACAGGGTCACATAGTGAACATCAATAACAATGAAAAGTGCAGGCAACAGGATTAGGAAAGCAAAAAGCATTAGGGCTTGGATATTTAAGGCAGTTCATTATATACAATCTTCAAACCTTTTAAGCCAGAAGTTATATATAACATTGCCTTCAACTGAGAAAATTATAGCAGATGTATGAAAAGTCATTATCTCCTTTGCTTTTACCAAATAATGGGGGTGGGATGAAGAGGTAGAGTACTCATGTAGAAATACATAAAAACAAAACGTCAAAATGAGAAAATATACACTGAATTTTGTTTTTGTTTTTGTAAGAAAACAAACCACTTAACAAAGGCTACAGAGCCTAGGGTCCTAGAGATCAGAAAATAAATGAGTCAGCATAAATACAGGGTGACAAAGCCTGCCTAGACTGCATTTGGAGGCAGATCTATACAAAGAAGTTTAAAAAAATAGGTCTTTGTACTCAGAGTTCTGAAAACTCATAGATACATAAGCTCTGCATTTATTTCACACCCACCCTTGTACTTAATACCTTAGAATCAACACAAAAATATATCACAGAATAACTGAGCTAGAGATCAATTATTATCAATTATCAATTAGAGATCACCTAAGAGTTTTTAATGTGAAGTCCAGGGGTCTGTGGACCCCCTGAAATTGAGGTTCATTTTCTGTATGTATCATCATATGTTCATTTTTCCAGTGGGGGAGAGGGTTAATCATATTCCCAAAGAATTCTGTGGCCACCTAAAAGTTACATCATTAGATTATAGTTCAACCACCTTGTTTAAAGATGGAGACACTGAGACCCAGAGAAGAAAAGAGACTTGCCCAAGGGCACACAGTGAATTAGTGGCAGAGCTGAATCTAGAAACTAGATTTCTTTTCAATATTCTTTCCACCATGGCACACTACTACTTCAATATATCCCATAATTAAAGTCAGTGCAAATTTTAAAAGTCCTGATTATTACCTTTGTAATGAAAATTCCAGCATCCATAATAGCTTTAATGTGTCTTAACCACCCTGAGCTCTCCAGGCCGCTAAGAAATTCACTCATTGTTGGAGTTTTCAATTCACAAACTAAGGTAGAAAAGGAAGCAGAGATTGAAATTCACAATCAACTCAGTTTATTCATTAAGGGGAGAAAGTGGATCTCCATATCGTAAGTGAGGAAGCTGAGGCAGAAAGGTTAAATGATTAGTTAGAAACCACACAGTGAGTCAGGGACAGAACTAGGTCTAAAGCCTACCAGATCTCCTCGCCTGGGCCTCTGCTTTATCATGCTGTAGAACCCACTCTCAAGCCCTTAGAAATCTCTCAAGAAGAGAGCCAGAAGACTGAATTAGCATCTACAGGAAAACACACCTCCTCTGATTAGAAAACATATTTGATCCCTATCCTAATCCCACCCACTTATGCTAACTCTGAAGGCCCTCAGCATCTGTCTCTACTCCCACACCCCCATCTACTCCCTGTAGCCCTGTTCTGTCAACAGGTTGAAAAAAAAAATACCAGTTAATTTTTATGCACTTTGCAATAATTATCCAGCAGAGGGAAATCTTTTGCCTTAAAAATCTGTAAAACAAAGTCCTCTTCCATAAAATATTCTGGGGCAAAAAAGAAAGGAGTAAGAGACCTAAGGAAGAGGGATATTAATATTTTAAAAGGGATGCAGACTGAGCAGATGAGATCTGGCAAGGGTGATGTAAAGGAGAGGTCATGGCAGACTACGCAAGTACAAAGTTGAAGAAAGAAGAGGAAGAATGGGGAGTTCACTAAAGAAGGCAGGTTTTCACTATCTCTGCCTGAGTTGACATAGAACATCATGGAATCCTGGGTAGTGGTTTTAGGAGAAATGCTCTACACCCAAGAGTCTTGTAAGGCCCCAATCCCACCTTGCCCCCTTTCTGACCCTAATCATTTTGTAGTCGATAACAGATCACCAAAACTGTCTGATATCAACTTTATTCTTTTGAGGTCTAAATTCAACTTCATCAGCACAGTGATGAAATCAGACTGAATCCTTATACCAAATTAAAGAAGATAATTTCTTACCTTAAGGATGATAAAATGAATCCCAAATTTATTTAATACTTATGCTGGTTTGCCTATCCCTGAAAATCAACCTCTGTATTTCCACAGAGAGAAATAATTTTCATACCAACTAGACCCAGATGAACTTTATTGAATTATGAAACTGCACATCTTAGTCCCTTTTCCAGATCAACACTGCTATAATTCAGTACTATTTAAGCTAGATTTGTACAATAGTTAAACACCTAACCACTTATTGACTCTGCTCACCTGCTTGCTTTTATATTCCACCCCAAATCAGGCATGCTTTCTGCTTACATGATAACGCAAAGCTATGGCCGCTTGCCTAGCCAAGGTGAAATCCCTGTACCTTCCAAGAGTTTCTGCAGACTGCTCCGCATTACATGGATGTTCTCAATGCCCATGAATCTGAAGCGAATGTTGGCATAGTTGTCTTCATTTTCATACCCCTTCCCAGCTGCTCGGTTGGCCATGGCATTCAACTGCAATAGCAGAGGACATAATAGAGCAGATAGGCCAGATGATGAAAGAATGGAGTTCATCAATCTCAATGCCTCATTCTGAACCGTTTAAAATCCTACCCAATTAAAAAGAAGTTAAATCAGATGAGATACATTCTGGAATGGAGAGAATTTCACTAGTTTTTACATCAGGTACTTTTAGTAACAGACTCATATAGGGGAAAAATAGGGAGATACAGTGTTTTGTTTCATTATGAAAACCTTTCTTAAGAGAGAAAAGTTATGGCAGCTATGAGGATATCTGATCTAAAAAACTGAAATAATAATTTTGAGCTGCCTACCACAAATGTTTTCTCAGCTGAAAGGGTTTTATACTGAGAAACATGCAAAAGTTCAAAAATATTTACAACTGAGAAGCTCTAGAAAGAAGCCTAAGAACTTCAGGATGAATTAATTTTATTTATTTATTTAAGAGACAGTGTCTCACTCTGTCATTAAGGCTGGAGTGCAGCAGCACAATCACAAGGTTCAATGCAGCCTTGAACTCCTGGGCTCAGGCAATCCTTCTGCCTCAGCCTCCTGAACAGCTAAGACTACAGGCACGTACCACCATGCCTGGCTAATTTTTTTTACAAAAAATGTTTTTTGTAAAGACAGTCTCGCTGTTCCCCACACTGGCCTTGAACTCTTGGACTCATGTAATCCTCTTGCCTTGGCTTCCCAAAGTGCTGGGATTACAGGCATAAGCCACCACATACAGCCCAATTAAATAGCTATTCTAGAAAAATGTCTAAAATGTGACTGCATGAGATAAATGACTTTTACTCACTGACAAAATTGAAATGGAGACATCACCAACTGTTTTAACACTATGTTCAGTTTGTGGTAATCAGAAAATCTCTAGGTCATATGAAGAATGCTGGGTGGGGTAGGGAGTAAATGAGACTTGTGGAAATATGAATATAATAACCAGAAGGCAGCCAAGATACTGTCTACGATAATGACCATCTTACTAATTAAGTGATTTTCTGTTTTCTGGGCCTATTTTCTCATCTCCCAATATTGTGCATTTCAGAAGGCAGGAGGAGCATGTATGTGGACAGGGTATAATTTTTGTATTAAAAGAATACAAAAACCTCAAGACACAAACTATTCAAGTTAGAACATGCAGAGGGAAAAAAGTCAGTGTGCTAAACATATTCTGTTTACAATGCAAGACATCTGTTAAAAGGGGAAATGTGATGGTAATTTTGATCTTTTATCACATTGATAGTGTTACTGAGCTTTCATTAAATTAATGACAAATGTCAAAGGAACACCCGTGGAAGCATAAGCAATAGTCACCTAGTAGCAAGGATGTTTGTTATGAGTGATGCTTCAGCAAAAATAATAATAATAATAATAATTACAGTAGTCACTACCCAGGCCTGGGTAGGCCACCTAATGCAGATAACTAGCTACCTCATACCAGTATTCACTCTTTAAAAATATGTCTGGCAGATCTGAGTAACAGATACCTATTTAATGTTCAGGTGGCAAACTGAGAGGAAAATGGAGAGACAAAAATGGAACCTGTTAAAAGGGGCTTTTTGGTGTTGGATTTGAACAAAATGCACCAACCCTTTTGTTTCTTCAAAAGCTTGGTGTAGTTCTCTTTACTATTTTAAGATTATTTAATCTTTAAAGATACAGACGCGATTAAACTCTTTCCAATTGCAGAATGTCAGATGTAATATTTATTGTAATGTAATATTTATTGAGCTCCTATTATATGCCTGACACTGTGCTAAATCCTTTATGTACATTATCTCACTTAATCCTCATTACAGCCTCTCAAAATGGGTGCTATATTATCCCCATAAGAAAACAGGCTCAGAGAGATGAACCAATTTGCCCAAGATGATATGGATAAAGGCTGAAAGCAGGATTTGACCTCAGGTTTGACTGACTCCTAGAACAAAATTTTGTCAGTATAATATAGTTCCTACTAAAAGTACGGATCTAGCCATCCAGAAGAGAGGGAATGCCAGATATTTCTAGGCCTGTCTTAATTTGCTCAAATTGGAGAGAGGAAAATGGAACCTGTTAAAAAAAAGGGGGCTTTTTGGTGTTAGATTTGAACAAAAGGCACCAACTCTTTTGTTTCTTCAAAAGCTTGGTGTATTTCTCTTTACTATTTTAAGATTATTTAATTTTTAAAGATACAGACTCGATTAAACTCTTTTCAATTGCAGAATTTCAGATGCAGTTATGGCTGAAACAAGACAGCAAGCTTCTGAGAAACTGAAGGATGGGCCTGAACAGAAAGGGAAATTATTTTCTCTCCTGAGCTCAGTCAGTCCTAGGTAGCTCTGGAGAATAGCCACTGAGGGATCACAAAGATGGGGCAGAAAGCTGTCTAAGGCAACTATCTGGTTTCATGTACATCCAACTGCTCAACTCTTAAGTCACAACCATCTGGCTTAGGCTTAGATGAAAATCACCAATTTAGTAATGACTAGAATCAGCAATGAAACCTCTTAGTCAGTCACACTTTACATACCAAATTATAAGCAAAATTATTTCTTTCTGGGGCTGTTTGTAAAAAGGACAACATTTAAGAATATGGAATCTATCCTTTACTTCTTTTGTGGGACACAATGAGTTCTTCTACAGCCCATATAGAGCCACACAAAACTTTGAAGGTTAAGGAATTAATGCAGAGAGGAGTTTAAGCTGATACTTAGGTTAACATGAGGACACTCTGTTCAGCAATGTTCATATTTGAAAGAGACAAAGCCTGAGAAAACACATTGCAACAAATCATGCAGCATTAGATTATTGGAAAGATCAAAGGATTTGACTAGGTCTATCCATGTCCACTGCCAAAATCCACGGCAAATTTATGAACTTGGTCTTTTTAATTCTCTGGGACGAAGATTTAAACTGCACTGTACTAAACCGGCAAAAATTTAATCAGCTAACAGTACTAGATGCTAAAAAAGAATTACTGCCATATGAGCTAAAGATTTTTTGTTAATTGCATAGCAGTAAAATTTGTGAACCCTGGTGCTTTGGGAGAACCAAAGTATTATTAAATTACTGTGGCCTAACACATTTATAGAAAAAAAAAAAACATGTTGGTTGTAGTAAGTTTCCAATGTCTAAGTTGAAGCTCTTTCTCTAACAGTAAATCTAGACCACAGAATGGGAATACTGAAAATTCTGGTTAAGGAACAGACTTGGTAAAAAAGATGAGGGATGTTAAGGAGCCTTCTATGCAGGACGTCACACTGAGGTGGGAAAGACAGGTTGCTTGAAATACCCTCTCATAACCTCACTTGACAGTGGCAACCTTATAAAAGGAGCCCCAAATGGCTTCCTGAAATGATTTTACACAATGTCTGACATAATAAACACACATACACAAACCTAACTTTCCCAATAACACTGCATGTCTCAATATATGAGGAGGTAGAATGCAAGAGGCAGAAATATCAAAGAAATCACTGAGAAATAGATACCTTTGGTCTTGTGTCTACAACATACATAAACTGGCTCCCTGGGTTTGTTTGGCTAATGGCCTCCAACAAGAGCTCATCATCTACACAGCGAGTGTAAAATCCAGAGAGAGGCTGGCTACAGCGGCAAATGGCAGCCTGTAAGGAAAAGGTGTGTCAGTTGAGTGATTATATTCACAAATGGTCAAAAATCTTTCTTGACCCTTGCCAGGTTCCATGAGTAGAGGGAGAGGATGAGCCAACTTAAGATAGTGTCCAAAGCAAAGAGAAATGTGACTCTAAAGTCATTCTCCACTGACATTGGGCTTAACCTCCTGCCTACCCTGGGCATGTGGCTCTAATTTCCAACCCAGTCTTGGTAAATCAGACTACAAAAAAAATCACATCATGAGTATTTCCTTAGTGAAATTCTATTCTCGATATATAATGGGCTATTTTTCTGAAACCGCCTCACTTTTTACAGTCCCAGTAATATTGCCCACATAAACCATAAGCTTGCGGAGGCAGCAGAATTCAAGATAGAGCAAAGATCTACAGCGTCTTAAGAAAACAGGGTTCACTAGTTTCAGAAGTTAATGCCAAATCAGAAGGGTGGTTTGTTTCAAGCCACTTTAACACAAAAACAACGTAACTATTTAACATGAATGTCTGGTAATGATTAGTTCATGAAATTCGTTACACTTTGATGTGGCTTTTAAGGGGTCAACTCACTTCAATAATATGACACCCAATTGCATTACTATACTCCTTAGCACTTGAACGGTTGCCCACCTGACAACTTGCCTATTTGTCTAACCCCAGATCTCAGAGTGATTACAAGAGGTGATAAATATTATCACTTCCTACATAAGTAAGGGGATTGAAACACAGAGGAGTCAAGTGCTTTCTTACTACTACCTGAAATTATATGAAAAGCACTAAGAAAGTATCAAGGATATCTGTATTCTACTGGGAGGCCACAGCCCCCAAAAAATCCTGTATACAACTAATTTTCTGTCATTTCACAACTTTCCACAAAGCTGGATCCCACAGAAAAGGAAAAAAAGAAAAAGAAATAAACATACTAAAATGACACTTAACATCTGCATAACATTTTACAATTTACAAAGTACATTGTACATATTATTCCTACTGAGATCCTCTCAAAAACCTTCAGAAGTATGAAAGTCCAGAGAAGTTAAGTAACTTGCCTGAGGTCACACAGCTACTAAGTGGCAGCATGAAACTTAAAACAGGTCTTCCAGAGCCATGTTTAATTATCATTAGAGAAATCTGCTTAACTTACATTGTTCTCTTTGTAGAGGTAGGAGAGCACAGGGACACGTTCTTTACTTCTGAACTTTGAACTTCCAACCACCGTTCCCAAGGTAACAGATTTAGGAACCACTATTTCAGGAGGGTAGGTGCTGCATATCTAAAAGAAAATAAGCACAATATATATAAATATATATTTATACATTTATATATAACTGTCTCTTTGGAAATACGTATTTTGGTAACCACTAAAAGCTGATAAACTTGAGAAAATATGTCAGTCTTTTCATAGAGTAAGTCACACCTAAAATGTCAACACCTCCACCCCAAGACTAGTGTTTTAAAGGCCGTCCAGATATGAATACTAGGAACCTAGTATGTAGTTTATGAAAGAGTACATCATATTTCCTCCTCCTCTACCTGTCTGCTTCATATTTGTGTCCGTTCATATTAATTCACTTGTTTACAGTTATTGTTTTTGCTCTGATATGCACACGTAGGAATTTCAACATGGGGTTTTATGTGTGTTTCTGTCTATGATTTTTGTTTTTCTAATTCTAAAAGTACATTTTGTTCTTATATGTCTCAATCCCTTCCTTTCTAGAAAATAATAGCACACTTGGAAAAGCTTTTATACCAAGGATATTTTCATTTCTATTTCTGAGGAATAGATGATTAAATACCAGCTAGCTAATGCTTGAGTGATTGCTAATTCCAGCCTGTTGCTAGCAAGTGAAAAATGTATATATATAAACTGCATACTAGGTTCCTAGTGTTCATATCTGGACGGCCTTTAAACCACTAGTCTGGGGGTTGGAGGTGTTGACATTTTAGGTGTGACTTACTCTATGAAAAGACTGACATATTTTCTCAAGTTTATCAGCTTTTAGTGGTTACCAAAATACATATTTCCAAAGAGACAGTGACAAAATATTATAACACCACAGACCTGACATTGCAAAATTAATTCTAATCACTCCCCTAACTAAAGAACACCCCCAAACATTTAACAACAGATGAAACAAATATAAACTGAACAGGCAAAAATAAAAAAAGTTAAAGGTAGATAAGATTAAGAATGCTCTATGTAACTCATTAAAGTCAATGTCCCCAGAATGCAGACCATTTGAAAATGTTTTCTACCCACCCCCTTACCTGGACTTAAACTTTGGAGAAGACAGTCATACAAAGAAAAATAAATGGAGCTCCCCATTCAGCTTAGAAGGTTATACACATCAAAAAGACCAACAAGAGTATTTCAGACCTTCTTTGGGAGACTCAGACACACATTTGAGGTGGACAGATTTCACCCCCAATCTCTACTTATTCCTCTCAAGCATGACCCTAACAAGCCACCTCACAGATGACCCTGCGAAGTCACAGCTCATCAATCCCCATACCTAGTAGACATTCAAAGCTATGTTACCAGAAAGTCAATGCAATAACAGTCTTATTATGATAGTAAAAACACTGTTAAAGATGAACGATTCAGGAATATCACTTAAACACCAATGACTCTCTCTGCAGAAAAATTATCCTAGCAGGCCTGATTGCTACCTGTGTTAGAGTTCTCTAGAGGGACAGAACTAATAGGATATATGTATATAGGAAAGGGAGTTTATTAAGGAGAATTGACTCATACAATCAAAAGGTAAAGTCCCACAGTAGGCCGTCTGCAAGTTGAGGAGCAAGAAAGCCAGTAGTGGATCATTCCGAGTCCCAAAACCTCTAAAGTAGGGAAGCCAACAGAGCAGCCTTCAGTTTGTGGCTGAAGGCCCGAGAGCCCCTGGCAAACCACTAGTGTAAGTCCAAGAATCCAAAAGCTGAAGTACTTGAAGTCTGATGTTCGAGGGCAGGAAGCATTTAGCATGGGAGAAAGATGAAGACTGGAAGATTCAGCAAGTCTGCTCATTCCACCTTCTTCTGCCTGCTTTTTCTAGCTGCACTGGCAGCTGAGGGAATGGTGCCCACCCAGATTAAGGGTGGGTCTGCCTCTCCCAGTCCACTGACTCAAAGGTTAATCTCCCCTCTAGTAACAGCCTCACAGACACACCCAGAAACAATACTTTGCATACTTCAATCCAATCAAATTGACAATATTAACCATCAGACTACCCTTAGAAAGGCCTACTTGCATTGTGCTTAAAACTGTTTGTACAAACAATGTGGCTTATCCTGAACACCTGCCTTCCTTCTGGACTTCTGGAATTCTGGCATACACTAAGCAGAACGTGCCTATGTGGGCAGGCTCCAATAGAATCCCTGAGCACTTTGCCTCTAATGAGCATCCTGGCAGACAACATTTCATAAGTGTTGTCACAATTTCTGCTGGAGGAATTCAGTGTGTCCTACGTCACTCTGCTGAGAGAGGACTCTGGAAGCTTGTTCCTGGTTTTGTTGACTTTGTCCCCTGAACCTTTTCCCTTTGCTGATTTTTGCTTTGGATCCTTTCACGGTAATAAATCACAGTCATAAGTATGACTATACACCGAGTCCTATGAATTTTCCTAGTAAATCACAAAACCTGAGGAACGGTCTTTGGGACCTTCAACACATTCCCAGATGTCCATATTTGGCCCAGAGCTCTTTCTTGAGATCCAAACCCAAATGCTTGAAATCAAATACTTGATATCTGTTTAATCACCTTGAAGTCAAGTGTAAAATTGAAGACACCATCTGCCCCTCTTCTTGTGGTCCTTATCTTTGTTAACATCACCACTACTCATTGGTCATCAAAGCCAAAACCAGGAAAGCTGGGATGCATATTAAATTCCTTCACTTTTCTAGCCACATTTGATCTGTCACCAGTTGCTTTCAATTCTACCACCTAAATATCTTTTAAAACCATCTCCTTTCCATCTACAGCCATTGCCTTAGTTCAGGTTCTCATAACTTCACATATCATTCTTCTGCATTCTTAGCTCCAGCAAACGAATTCTCCACACTAATAACAGTTATCCTTCTAAAACACAAATATATATATATATGTTCCTTTCAAGCGTAAATACTCTTGTGGCTCACAACTGTCTTCATGATAAAGTTCAAATTCCTTAATTTGGTCACGAAGCGCTTTATGATATGGCTTCACTTCCTGACCTCCTTCCTTCTCCCCCTGCATAAATTAGGAGAAATAATCCAGACATTTACAGTTCAGTCATTTTCAACAAAGGCACCAAGGACACATATTTGGGGGAAATAAGTCTCTTCAATAAATGGTTCTGGGAAAACTGGATGTCCATATGCAAAGAAACACTTTAGGATATTGGTCTGGGCAAAGACTTCTCGAGTAAGACCTCAAAAGCATATGCAGCCAACTAAAGCAAAAATAGGCAAATGGGTTAACACTGAGCCAAAAATCTCCATGGCAAAGGAAACAACCAACAAAGTGAAAAGACAACCCACAGAATAGGAGAAAATATTTGCAGATTACCCATCTGACAAGGGATTAATAACCAGAAAATATAAGGAGCCCAAGAAACTCAATAGAATGAAAACAAATAATCCAATTAAATATGGAGAAAGTATCTGAATAGACATTTCTCAAAAGAGGACACACAAATGACCAACAAGTATATGAAAAAATGCTCAACATCAATAATCATCAGAAAGATGCAAACCAAAACCACAATGAGATATCATTTCACCTGTTAAAATGGCTTTTATCAAAAAGGCAATAATGGATACTGGTGAGGATATGGAGAAAATGAAATCTTCATACACAATTGGTAGGAATGTAAATTAGTACAGCCACTATTGGCCAGGGGTGGTGGTTCACACCTATAATCCCAGCACTTTGAGAGGCCAAGGAGGGAGGATCGCTTGAGCCCAGGAGTTCAAGAATCCCATCTCTACAAAAAATGAAACAAATTCGCCAGGCATGGGTGTGGGTGCTTATGGTCCCAGCTACATGGGAGGCTGAGATGGGAGGACCACTTGAGCCCAAGAGATTGAGGCTACACTGAGCTATGGTCATGCCACTACACTCTACCTTGGGCAACAGAGTGAGGCCTTGTCTCAAAAAGAAAGAAAAGAAAACTGTGGTACATATGCACAATAGAATATAACTCAGTCACAAAAAAATGTAATCCTGTCATTTGCAACAACATGGATGGAACTGGGGGACATTATATTAAGTGAAATGAACAAAGCATAGAAAGACAAATATTGCATAATCTCATTCACATGTTGTAGGAGCAAAAAAAAAAAAAAAATGAACTCATGGAGACAGAGAGTAGAATGATGGTTACCAAAGGTTGGTAAGGGTAGTGGAGTGGGGGGGATAAAAAGAGGATCCTCAACGGGTACAAAAATACAGTTAGATAGAAGGAATAAGATCTAGTATTCAGTAGCAAAACAGGACGACTACAGATAACAATAATAAAATAACTGAAAATGGAATTGGAATGTTCCTAACACAAATAAATGATAAATACTTGTGGTGATGGATACCCCAATTACCCTGATCTGATCATTACATATTGTATGCCTGTATAAAAATATCACATGTACCCTATAAATATGTACAACTATTATATATCCATAATAATTAAAAATAAAAAATGTTAAAATAAATTAGCCTTCACAAGGCTACTCTGCAAAGCATCAGGTTGTTTCTGGCTTCCTTAGGCTGATTTTCATGCCCTGCACCTATGCTCCCATAACACCCTATGCTTTAGGCCATGAGATCTCTTACTCAGTGCCTATTGCACTGTAGGTACTCAATAAATGTCTGTTGAATGGCTGAATGTTGAATGGAAAGGAGAGAGAGATTATGAGTCATTTCTCTCTTTTTTCAAAATCTTGTTTCCTGATATTCTACCATCTTAATTAAATGCACCAAAAGGCAAACAACAAGGACAAAATTACCTCATAGTTTCTGTTGGCATCTGTTATGGTCCAGTTTCTGTTGGGTATTCCCATACGCCCAAAGTCTGATATTGGGTCAATCAGTTTCCATCCACTTTCCCTCATCTCTTTTGAGGATTTGGGATTATAAGAAAAAGCATAAAGATCTTCAGGTAATGCTGGAGAAGAGAGATAGGCATGGAAAACAAAATGATGAATGAAACCTAAAAATCATCAAACAATGCAAATAAAGGCTAGATTTCCTTTTCCTAAGGGAATGTTTGTCAAACAGCCCCAGAAAAGGACTGTGGTGTGTGCAAGTTTGCCTTTATGTAAGGAATAAAAACTGGAATATTGTTTGGGTTCTTTGAAAAAATGTTTTAATTTTTTGTGTTATCAATACGAAGTGGGATCTTTCTGCCTGGCTTCCTATAAAAAAAGAATGCTGGATAATTGACTGAACTGAGGCTTCAGGGTTTCACATGTTAAGAAAAGAGTCCTTACCAAAAGTTTTTAACTGGGCTCCCATGTCCTAATAGTACTGCTTATTGTAACATGTTGCACATCTTTAACAATGTTTTTGCATTGTACTTGTCAGACCAACAGCAACTTCTGACTTATAAATGGCCCCTTCCTCTCTTTTCTCTGTCAGTCCTGCTTCCTCCCTTCACGAGATACAGCATCCAATCAAATAACTCATTTGACCAATTTATATGGCAACAACTTCTCCAGAGATTAATGGAGCCTATCAGAGACTTGTAAAATGCTAGGCCATCCAGCAGGTAACTTTATCAATAAAAATCAGCAAATATTGAGGAATTACTCTGAGGGAAAAGGGGAAAAATGGGAGAGAAAATGTAAGAGCATGATTAAAATCAAAGACTAAAATCAGAGGAAGCTGGTTAATTGCCTAGGGGTGGGGGCTGGGGAATGAAAGGGTGATGCTGGAGGAAGCATTAAGTCCTACATTAATGAGGACTTTGATGAACTGCCTTAGTCTTCTAGTTGGAATTAAAAGTAGGGGTGGAAATCGTGGGCCAAACAAAAAGTCTGCAGGACAGCAGGAAACAAATTTTCTTCCAAAGCAGTCTTCCTTCCTGAACTGAGAAAACATTCACAAGTTGATACTTTAAAGGAGGGAAGGAGAGAGAAGAAAATATCTATTAAACATCTACTATATACTAATACATGAAGGTATTCAAGGCTCAAAACAATCCCCTTGAAGAGCTTTTACTCTCCTTACTTTTACAGGTAAAGAAAATGAGTTCAGAGGTTATATAACTTGCCCAAATATAATGGAGCTAATAAGTGGTACAGCCCAGATCCAAACCCTCCTCTGACTCCATAGCCCTGATCTTTCCATTATGCCATTTTGGAAAAATATTAAAATGGTTTTAGATAAAAATACTATCATAACTACCTGGCTGAGAAAGCTTGAGCAGTGAAATATAAACCTCATGGCACACAAGGTCAGAATCTAAAACAAAGTGGGCCACCCGGAAATTCTTGCAGCGGAGGGTCAGGGGACAACCCAGGCTAGTGATGGGTAACTTCTCCACAGTGGCAATGTGATGGAGTGCAATCTGAAAAACATAAAAGAACCAGCGTAAACATACAGATGTGCAATATCTCTATCACTATCAGTATTCCTGACTCTCCGTAATGGTAACAGCATGACCAGATCTGTAGGCTACATCTACAGCCTACAACCATTCTTTGTAAGACACAACTGGGGTTCTCTCAAATAGAACTAAAGCATAATAGTGGTAAAGCAACAAGAAGCAGACTGCAGTGTTAGAAAACTTCTCTCTCCTTAAGGATACGAGATTACCAAGTTTGTGGGACAATTTTGGTAGATCAGCTCAGAATAGATGACTTTTAGCATGCTGTGATAGAGTTCACAATCAGAATAATTGTTACAGAGGAAAACAGGAATTTTTTTTCTTATATCAAATTACTAATTAAGATAATTATTAATAGCAGGTATTGTGCCTTATCATAAACAAAGTAGTCCATGACCATTAGCTATTTAAGAAGAGCCATTTGACGTGTAATCATCCTATTTCAGGAATGAAAAAAAAACAAAGCTCTGAGAAGTGAATTCCTCATCAGATATCATATAGCCAAGAAGTGGCACAAACAGAATTTGAACCATAGCAGTCTAAACTTAAGTCCAGGATTAAGTTCTGGAATAAGGATTTAACTAGAAATGTTAGGGAGGAACTATTCCTCTACATTTTAAACTCTAGTGACAGTAAAGCAAAGAATGTAGGATGATTACTTCTGTTCATGCTGATGCCAGCAAAAAAAGAAATGCATGGAAAGGGAACTGATGAAACAAAATGTGTCCAAATAATATAATTCTCTCTTAATTGATTCAAAAAGCCATATAATCATGGTTTTGCATTTTGATCTTTGATGTTCTCCTCCTATCCCTGTCTTATGTTTCTGCAACTATGGAGCCTGGATGTGCTCTTTCCATTCTCTAGACTCCCTGTCCTGTGCCTGGAATGGTCTTCCAATCAATAGTGCCTTTTCTGCTCTCCCATCACCTCAATGCCCCAGTCCCTAATTTCTTTGGAAAAGTCATCTCTTCAATGAAGTCTTTCAATCATATCCACCATCTAAGAATGGAGCAAGTGTGGAAATGATTCAGATATTCCTAGGATAAATTTTCTATTTTTTTTAAGGCAGGGTCTCGCTCTGTTGCCTAGGCTAGAGTGCAGTGGCTTAATCATGACTCACTGCAGCCTCAACCTCCTGGGTTCAAAGGAGATCATCTTGCCTCAGCCTCCTGAGTAAGCTAGGAATACAGTTGTGTGCTACCATGCCTGGCTAATTTTTTTAACTTTTGTAGAGACTAGGTATTGCTTTGTTGCCCAAGCTGGTCTCAAACTCCTGGCTTCAAGCGATCCTTCTTCCTTAGCCTCCCAAACTGCTGGGATCACAGGTATAATTAAGTTCTATCTTAACTGTTTTGTCACACTCAAGTCCTGCAATGGCAGTTCTGGAGGCATCACAAAATGTAATATGAATTAATATATTCAACCTCAAGAAAATCAAAGATCTTCCAGTCAACATGAGAGATGTGTGTTTTGGTAGTACGATACTGATAATTGAGATCAGGGCCCAGGCAAACAATTGTGGTGAAACTGGGAAGGGTCCAGGGAAGGTAGGCAGACTAAGGCTGGGAAGAACTTCCCTAATTGGGTAAATAAGCCTCCTTTGACATGCAGAAATAAGTGTAAGTGCTCCCTTCCAGATACAGTCCACTGGGTTTGAAATAATACCCAAAAGGAACAAATCTGGAGACATCTGTACTGTCTATAAATGCAGGTAGATAGGAGATAGGCTTACGGCACAGTACTAAAGAACTGGTTCCTAAACTGTTAGAATTACAAGAATCCTTACTAATTATATAATCTAACCACCTCATTTTACAGATGAAGAAACAAGCCCAAGGAGTAAGAATCACTTGCCTAAGGTTACATAGCCAGTTAGCATCAGAGCTTAGTCTAGCCCAGTTCTCATTCCTCTTTTGACATTCTTATCACAGCAAAAGGAGCAAAATACAATCTCACATGGGGAAAGTTCAGTTTTAAAAGGAAGTATTAAGATACTTCTTTCATGTGCATACTCAATTCATTTTATACTTATATGATAGTATTTACCATGTTCCAGGCATTGTTGTAAGCACTTATAAACATTCACTTTATAATTCTTGTATCTTGACTTTTTAAAACTAATTCAAGGTATTATTTTATCTGTATTTTACAGAAGAAGGAAGCGAGACACAGAAAAGTTAAACAACTTGCCCAAGGTTACAAAAGTAGTAAATGTTGAAGCTGGGATTTCAACCTGAGCAGACTGGCTCTAAAGCTTTAATCACTAAGCTATGCGGTATAAAAGAAGCATGTTGTACTTCTTATAAATGGAGAGGTCTAAGCATAAATCTAACTAATGATTAAGTTAAGATTAAATTATGATCTTTAGGATGGGTAAGGCATAAAGTAATGTTGGGGTGCTGAATTAATTAGAAAACATTACTTACAGGTATAAAAAGAAACACATACACATGCCCGTGCATGCACACACACACACACACACACACACACACACACACATATATATATACCCAGGTAAAATCCTGTCTTAGGACAGAGAGATGGTCTAAATTAGTGTTGCCCAAGGTAAAGTCCATGAGGCCTTAGCATCAGCATAACCTGAGCCCTTTTTAGAAATTCAAAATCTTAGGCTTGAGATTTTGCATTTTTATCAAGTTCCCATACGCTACAGATGCTGCTGGTTCTTGAACTATATTTTATGGGCAGCAAGGCTTTAAATTACTTCAAGATGCTTACAAACATAGTTCAGAAAATTAGCAGAAACTATTCTACCTAAAAATAATTTAGCTAAACCCCAGGAATATTCCCATGTAGAATAAAATGACTATGATGACCAGAGCCAATAACTTGAAAAAAGAGGAGTAATACAATTCAGACCATAAAAAGATTATTAGAATAGGTCCTCTGAAGAAAAGGTTTTACAGCAATTTAAAAATTACACTTGAAATTTCAAGAAACTACCATATAGAGAGCATGTATGCACAACTCTTTAAGACTCTTTGATACTTCTTCTCATGAACATACCCATGTTTCTTTCCGGGCTGCACCTGAAGCCTCCACATAGATCAGGTGGGTTGCAGTAAGATAAAGAATCCCATTAGCTGGTTTCTTACTCACATAACGATCCACCAATTTCACGTTTTCTACCTGTTATTGGAGGAAAAAATACTGAATAAGTTACCAACTCACCACCTATGATTGAAGTGGGGCCATTCAAAGCAAGATAAACGCTGTTAATTTGCTACAAAACTCGAGTCTTTCCAGTTCCTGCCAAGGTGGCAAACTACTATGATCTGTATTACCTTTTCTGAAATCAGTGCGGGAAAAACTATGAAAGTGAGAGGAAAACCCGTATTCTAGAAAAGATAAAAATTCTAGACAAAGTTTACAAGATGAGGTACGTATAACTGGAAAATATATAGAACCTGAGAGCCTGCTGAGGTACTTATCTTGTTGGAAGAAGGTGCAGTTATTGTATGTGTAAAAAAATCAGTAAGGGTAAATAACATGAAGATAGATCTTACGTTACAGGGCAAGAATAGAAAAAAAAAAAAAACAGAAAAAGAGAAAAACAAAACAAAAAAAAGGAGTACCATAAATAAAACACATAAAAAGAAATGCCAGAATTAAATCCCAATATAGAAGTAATTGCAATAAATGTACAAGAATTAAACTTACCAATTAAAAGAAAGACACAGACTAAAACAAAAGATTCAACAATATTCAGACTAGAAGAGATATACTTTAGAGTCACAAACTGAAAATAATAAGATATGCCAGGCAAATATGAACCAAAATAAAGCTGAGGTAGCAGTCTCAATATCTGACTAAATAGAATTTACGTGACAAAAATCAACAGGACAAGAAGATATAGCCATCATAAATATAAACATATTGTATAATACAGTCTCGAACTATATCAAGCAACTAGCAGAACTGCAAAGAGAAAAGGAACAAGTGCACATGGATATTTTAATACTCTTCTTAGGAACTAATAGGTCAAGCAGACCAAAAAAAAAAAAAAAAATCAAATGAAGATACGGAACACTTACACATTACAACTGAAAAACTCAAGCTATTATATACAGAGTAGGACTCTATATCCAACAAATAGAACATTCAAGACAACAAAAAAAAATTCCCAAAAAGAGACCATGATTACAGCTGTAAATGAAACATCAATAAATTCCAAACGTTCAATATCATACAGTTTAGGTTCTCCAACCACAATGCAATAGCACTAGAAATTAATAACAAAATAATAGCCAAAATGTAGCGTATGTTTGAAAACACAATAGCTTATTACTAAATTAACCTTGGGTTAAAAAGAAAAAGGAAAGGAAACTAAGAAATATTTAAAAGTGAACGATAATAAAAACACAACAAATAAAAATTTGAAGGACAGAGTTAAACAAGAACTAAGAAGTAAATGTATAGTAGTAAGTAAGTTTACCATGAAATGAGAAAGGTTAACAACATACTAGTTGAACAGTCAATGTAATGGAAATAAGCAAAAGAACAGAGAAATAAGATGATAAAGCACAGAAATTTAAAACCAGAGAATCCTCCTCCACAGATACACACACATAGCCTGAACAGAAAAGATTAACAAACCAGAATTTAATTATTTCAAAAGGTTAATAGGATAGATCTTTGCTAAAAAAGAGAAAAGATGCAAATAAACAAAATACAGAATGAAAAAGGGAAAATATAAAAAATTAAAACTATCACTATTATGAACAACAATATGCTAATAAATTGGAAAACTTATAAGAACTGTTTTTAAATATCAAGAAAAAAATAAAATGGCAATGGTAGTCAAAGATTTTCCCTAACAAAACCCTCAGGCCCAGATGATGTTATAGGTTTATTCTACTAAACTTCCAAAATATAATTAATTACTACCTTATCCAATTGATTCCAGTCACTGGAAAAAGAATAAAGTTACTCAGTCCATTTTATGAGGGCAATTTAATCTTGATTCTAAAATCAAATAAAGACAATTATAAAGTAAGAAAGTTTAGGGCTACTTCATTTATGAAATGTAGACACAAAAAATGCTAAATAATGTTAATGAATCAACAGTATATTTTAAAAAATACATTTTGATCAAGTGCAGTTTATCACAAGAAAGCATGGGGAGTTCAACATCAGAAAATGTCAACGTAATACATCACCAAGACTAAAAAGAAAAATCATATGCTTTATCTCAATTGATACAGAAAAAGAAGTATTTAATATAGCTTAATTCTATTTATAATGATAATCCTTAGTAAACAAGGAATAAAAGTAAACGATCTTAACTTGGTAAAAATTATATACAAAAAACCTACAAAGTATGTTATGAATAATGAAGAAACTAACTGCATTAATTTAAAATCATGAACACGACAAACTTGACTCTAACTATTACTGCTATTGTTTTAAATATCCTGGCTAAATACTATGAGGAAAGGGGGCGTGGAATTAAGAAATGCAAGGATCAGAAGGGAAGTTCTATATTTGGCACCACTTACAGAAGGTAATCATTCAACTAGAAAAAAATGAAAGAAAAGAATCAACCAAACTCTCAGAACTAATATAAAAGAGTTCAGCAAGGATACCAAATATAATATCAACCACAAAAGTCAATAACATTTTCCTATATCAGCAACGATCACTTAAAAAACATAATTAAAAAAATAACATTCACGATGGCAACAAAAATTATATAGAATCTAGAAATTAGCTTAATTAACCAAGTATACACAAGACCTTTACAGAGAAAACTTTAAAAGTCTAATGAAGGATATAGAATATAATCTAAAGAAATAATGTCTATGCTCTTGGATAGGCCAACTTAATATAATAAAGATGGCAATTATCCCTCAATCTATAAATTCAATACAATTTCAATCATATTTCAAAGTGGATTTTCTAATAAACTTATTCTAAATTTACATAGAAGAACAAAACCCCACAAATTGCTAAATCAACCTCAAAAAAAAGTAAAGGGGAAAGATTTGCTCTACTAGGTATTAAAACATACTCAAAGCTGTGGGGGAAAAAAATCAACAACAACAACAACAAAAAACCTCTAGTACTATTGCAGAAAAAAAAAAAAAAAAAAAAAAAAAAAAAAACAGAAAAATAAACCAATGGAAAAGGACCAGAGCTCAAAATCAGATTGATGTAAAAAATGGGAGTCTAATAGAGCATAAACATGGCACTACAAATTGACAGACAAAAGAGTAT
The DNA here is from genome assembly GCF_000001405.40 of Homo sapiens. Taxonomy (NCBI): domain Eukaryota; kingdom Metazoa; phylum Chordata; class Mammalia; order Primates; family Hominidae; genus Homo; species Homo sapiens. The sequence goes on from NC_000023.11 coordinate 64,362,615, forward strand.
TTGCTAGATGTGTTGGGGAAACAGTATTAGTACATGCAGTAAGCTAAGGCCATATCCTTACCTAACACCATATACAAAACTAGACTCTAGATATATCTATATGTAACTCTTACATAAAATATAAAGTTACTGAAAAAATGCAGAGTACCTTGGATCTATGAACAGGGAAAGACTTTTTAAAAATTAATAAGAGAATAGGAGAACATATGTGCCACTCCTAAAACTAACAAGGAATTATTATCTAGAATATACAAGGGACTTTTGCAACTCAATAAGAAAAAGAGGCCCCAAAAGAAAAATATATGAAGCATAAGAACAGGCAAGTTGCATAAGAGGCAATCCCAGAAGCATATAACCATGAAGAGAAGCTCAAAACATTGGGAATAAAATAAAGTTAAATTAAAATAAGATATTGCTTTAAGACTACAAGATTTGCAAAAACTAGACAGCTAGAAGATGCCAAGTGTTGGTAGGGTTCAAGGCATATAGGAATCCTCATCCACTACAACCAGGGGGTTACAGATACGTGGGGACCATTCGGAAGGGCAATCTGGCACTACTTAATAAAAAAAAATGTATTTCCTATGACTCAGCAAATGTCCATCACTTTGAGAATAGTCAGGTAATACAGTTTGGATACTTGTCCCCACCCAAATCTCATGTTGAAATATAATGCCCAATGTTGGTGGTGGGGCCTGGTGGGAAGTGACTGGATCATGGGGGTGAATTCCTCATGAATGATTTAGCCCCATCCTTTCATGCTGTCCTCATGATAATGACTGAATTCTTGTGAGATCTGGTTGTCTAAAGGTGTGTGGCACTTTGCACTCTCTTGGTCCTGCTCCAAACATGTGAGATGCCTGCTTCTCACCTACAATTTATGCCATGATTGTAAGCTGTCTGAGGCCTACCCAGAGGCAGATGCCTGTGTTATGGTTTCTGCTCAGACTGCAGAACTGTGAGCCAATTAAACTTCTTTTCTTTAAAAATTACTCAGTCTCTTCTTTTCTAATATGGCCGAATAGGAACAGCTACAGTCTGCAGCTCCCAGCGTGACCGACGCAAAAGATAGTGATTTCTGCATTTCCAACTGAGGTACCTGGTTCATCTAATTGGGACTGGTTGGACAGTGGGTGCAGGCCATGGAGGGCAAGCTGAAGCAGGGTGGGGCATCGCCTAAACCAGGAAGTGCAAGGGGTGGGAGATTTCCATTTCCTAGCCAAGGGAAGACGTGACGGACTGTACCTGGAAAATCGGGACACTCCCTCCCAAATACTGTGCTTTTCCAACAGTATAAGCAAATGGCACACCAGGAGATTATATCCCGTGCCTAGCTCAGTGGGTCCCACGCCCACGGAGCCTTGCTCACTGCTAGCACAGCAGTCTGAGATTGACCTGCAAGGCAGCAGCCTGGCAGGGGGAGGGGTGTCCACCATTGCTGAGGCTTGAGTAGGTAAACAAAGCTGCCAGGAAGCTCGAACTGGGCAGAGCCCACTGCAACTCTGCAAGGCCTGCTGCCTCTCTAGAGCCCAACTCTGGGGCAGGGCATAGCTGAACAAAAGGCAGCAGAAACTGCTGCAGACTTAAATGTCCCTGTCTGACAGCTCTGAAGAGAGCAGTGGTTCTCCCAGCATGGTGTTTGAGCTCTGAGAAAGGACGGAATGCATCTTCAAGTGGGTTCCTGACCACTGTGTAGCCTAACTGGGAGACACCTCCCAGTAGGGGCCGAATGATACCTCATACAGGCGGGTGCCCCTCTGGAATGAAGCTTACAGAAGAAGGATCAGGCAGCAATATTTGCTGCTCTGCAATATTTGCTGTTCTGCAGCCTCCACTGGTGATACCCAGGCAAACAGGGTCTGGAGTGGACCGCCAGCAAACTCCAACAGACCTGCAGCTGAGGGACCTGACTATTAGAAGGAAAAGTAACAAACAGAAAGGAATAGCATCATCATCAACAAAAAGGACGTCCACACCAAAATCCCATCTGTACGTAACCAGCATCAAAGACCAAAGGTAGATAAAACCACAAAGATGGGGAGAAACCAGAGCAGAAAAGCTAAAAATTCTAAAAACCAGAGCGCCTCTTCTCCTCCAAAGGACTGCAGCTCCTCACCAGCAACGGAACAAAGCTAGATGAAGAATGGCTTTCACAAGCTGACAGAAGTAGGCATCAGAAGGTCAGTAATAAACTTCTACGAGCTAAAGAAGGATGTTCGAACCCATCGCAAGAAAGCTAAAAACCTTGAAAAAAGATTAGACGAATGGCTAACTAGAATAAACAGTGTAGAGAAGACCTTAAATGACCCGATGGAGCTGAAAACCATGGCACGAGAACTTCATGATGCATGCACAAGCTTCAATAGCCGATTCGATCAAGTGGAAGAAAGGGTATCAGTGACTGAAAACCAAATTGATGAAATAAAGTGAGAAGAGAAGTTTAGAGACAAAAGAGTAAAAAGAAAGAAAAAGCCTCCAAGAAATATGGGATTATGTGAAAAGACCAAATCTACATTTGATTGGTGTGCCTGAAAGTGACGGGGAGAATGGAACCAAGTTGGAAAACACTTTTCAGGATACTATCCAAGGGAAAGTCCCCAACCTAGCAAGGGAGGCCAACATTCAAATTCAGGAAACACAGAGAACACAACAAAGATACTCCTCGAGAAGAACACCACCAAGACACATAATTGTCAGATTCACCAAGCTCTACATGAAGGAAAAAATGTTAAGGGCAGCCAGAGAGAAAGGTCATGTTACACACAAAGGGAAGCCCACCAGACTAACAGCGGATCTCTCAGCAGAAATTCTACAAGCCAGAAGAGAGTAGGGGGCAATATTCAACATTCTTAAAGAAAAGAATTTTCAACCCAGAATTTCATGTCCAGCCAAACTAAGCTTCATAAGTGAAGGAGAAATAAAATCCTTTACAGACAAGCAAATGTTGAGAGATTTTGTCACCACCAGGCTTGCCTTACAAGGGCTCCTGAAGGAAGCACTAAACATGGAAAGGAACAACCATTACCAGCCACTGCAAAAACAGGCTAAATTGTAAAGATCATCGAGGCTAGGAAGAAACTGCATCAACTACCAAGCAAAATGACCAGCTAACATCATAATGACAGGATCAAATTCACACATAACAATATTAACCTTAAATGTAAATGGGCTAAACACCCCAATTAAAAGACACAGACTGGCAAATTGGATAGAGTCCAAGACCCATCAGTGTGCTGTATTCAGGAGAGCCATCTCACATGCAGAGACACACATAGGCTCAAAATAAAGGGATGGAGGAAGATCTACCAAGAAAATGGAAAGCAAAAAAAAGCAGGGGTTACAATCCTAGTCTCTGATAAAACAGACTTTAAACCAACAAAGATCAAAAGAGACAAAGAAGGCCATTACATAATGGTAAAGGGATAAATTCAACAAGAAGAACTATCTTAAATATATATGCACCCAATACGGGAACACCCAGATTCATAAAGCAAGTACTTAGAGAACAACAAAGACACTTAGACTCGCACACAATAATGATGGGAGACTTTAACACCCTACTGTCACTATCAGACAGATCAACGAGACAGAAGGTTAAAAAGGATATCCAGGACTTGAACTCAGGTTGGCACCAAGCAGACCTAACAGACATCTACAGCACTATCCACCCCAAATCAACAGAATATACATTCTTCTCAGCACTACATCGCACTTATTCCAAAATTGACCACATAGTTGGAAGTAAAGCACTCCTCAGAAAATATAAAAGAACAGAAATCACAACAAACTGTCTCTCAGACCACAGTGCAATCAAATTAGAACTCAGGGTTAAGAAACTCACTCAAAACCACTCAACTACATGGAAGCTGAACAACCTGCTCCTGAATGACTACTGGGTATATAACAAAATGAAGGCAGAAATAAAGATGTTCTTTGAAACCAATGAGAACAAACACACAATGTAACAGAATCTCTGGGACACATTTAAAGCAGTGTGTAGAGGGAAATGTACAGCACTAAATGCCCACAAGAGAAAGCAGGACGGATCTAAATTTGACACCCTAACATCACAATTAAAAGAACTAGAGAAGCAAGAGCAAACACATTCAAAAGCTAGCAGAAGGCAAGAAATAATTAAGATCAGAGCAGAACCGAAGGAGATAGAGACAAAAAAAACTTCAAAAAAATCAATGAATCCAGGAGCTGGGTTTTTGAAAAGATCAACAAAATTGATAGACCACTAGCAAGACTAATAAAGAAGAAGAGAGAAGAATCAAATAGATGCAATAAAAAATGATAAAGGTGATATCACCATCGATCCCACAGAAATAGAAACTAACTACCATCAGAGAATACTATAAACACCTCTACACAAATAAACTAGAAAATCTAGAAGAAATGGAAAAATTCCTGGGCACATACACCCTCCCAAGACTAAACTAGGAAGAAGTTGAATCTCTGAATAGACCAATAACAAGCTCTGAAATTGAGGCAATAATTAATAGCCTATCAACCAAAAAAAAGTCCAGGACCAGACAGATTCATAGCCGAATTCTACCAGAGGTAAAAAGAGGAGCTGGCACCATCCTTTCTGAAACTATTCAAATCAATAGAAAAAGAGGGAATCCTCCCTAACTCATTTTATGAGGCCAGCATCATCCTGATAACAAAGCCGGGCAGAGACACAACAAAAAAAGAGAATTTTAGACCAATATCCCTGATGAACATCGATGCCAAAATCCTCAATAAAATACTGGCAAACCGTATTCAGCAGCACATCAAAAACCTTATCCACCATGATCAATTTGGCTTCATCCCTGGGATGCAAGGCTGGTTCAACATATGCAAATCAATAAACTTAATCCATCACATAAACAGAACCAACGACAAAAACCACATGATTATCTCAATAGATGCAGAAAAGGCCTTTGACAAAATTCAACAGCCCTTCATGCTAAAAACTCCCAATAAATTAGGTATTGATGGAACGTATCTCAAAATAATAAGAGCTATTTATGACAAACCCACAGCCAATATCATACTGAATGGGCAAAAACTGGAAGCATTCCCTTTGAAAACTGGCACAACACAGGGATGCCCTCTCTCACCACTCCTATTCAACATAGTATTGGAAGTTCTGGCCAGGGCAATCAGGCAAGAGAAAGAAATAAAGGGTATTCAATTAGGAAAAGAGGAAGTCAAATTGTCCCTGTTTGCAGATGACATGATTGTATATCTAGAAAACCCCATTGTCTCAGCCCAAAATCTCATTAAGCTGATAGGCAACTTCAGCAAGGTCTCAGGATACAAAATCAATGTGCAAAAATCACAAGCATTCCTATACATCAATAACAGACAGAGAGCCAAATCATGAGTGAACTCACATTCATAAATGCTACAAAGAGAATAAAATACTTAGGAATCAAACTTACAAGGGATGTGAAGGACCTCTTCATTGACAACTACAAACTACTGCTCAACAAAATAAAAGAGGACACAAACAAATGGAAGAACATTCCATGCTCATGGGTAGGAAGAATCAATATCGTGAAAATGGCCATACTGCCCAAGGTAATTTATACATTCAATGCCATCCCCATCAAGATACCAATTACTTTCTTCACAGAATTGGAAAAAAAACTACTGTAAAGTTCATACGGAATCAAAAAAGAGCCCGCATTGCCAAGACAATCGTAAGCAGAAAGAACAAAGCTGGAGGGGTCACACTACCTGACTTCAAACTATACTTCAAGGCTATAGTAACCAAAACAGCATGGTACTGGTACCAAAACAGAGAGACAGACTAATGGAACAGAACAGAGGCCTCAGGAATAACACCACACATCTAGAACCATCTGATCTTTGACAAACCTGACAAAAACAAGAAATGGGGAAATAATTCCCTATTTAATAAATGGTTCTGGGAAAACTGGCTAGCCATATGTAGAAAGCTGAAACTGGATCCCTTCCTTACACCTTATACAAAAATTAATTCAAGATGGATTAAAGACTTAAATGTTAGACCTAAAGCCATAAAAACCCTAGAAGAAAACCTAGGCAATACCATTCAGGACATAGGCATGGGCAAGGACTTCAGGACTAAATCACCAAAAGCAATGGCAATGAAAGCCAAAATATACAAATGGAATCTAATTAAACTAAAGAGCTTCTGCAATGCAAAAGAAACTACCATCAGAGTGAACAGGCAACCTACAGAATTGGAGAAAATTTTTGCAATCTACCCATCTGACAAAGGGCTAATATCCAGAATCTACAAATAATTTAAACAAAATTACAAGAAAAAGTCAAACAACCCCATCAAAAAGTTGGTGAAGGATATGAACAGACACTTCTCAAAAGAAGACATTTATGCAGTCTAAAGACACATGAAAAATTGCTCATCATCACTGGTCATCAAAGAAATGCAAATCGTTTTAAACCACAATGAGATACCATCTCACACCAGTTAGAATGGTTATCATTAAAAAGTCAGGAAACCACAGATGCTGTAGAGGATGTGGAGAAATAGGAATGCCTTTACACTGTTGATGGGAGTGTAAACTAGTTCAACCACTGTGGAAGACAGTGTGGCAATTCCTCAAGGATCTAGAACTAGAAATACCATTTGACCCAGCAATCCCATTACTGGCTATATACCCAAAGGATTATAAATCATGCTACTATAAAGACACATGCACATGTGTGTTTATTGCGGCACTATTCACAATAGCAAAAGCTTGGAACCAACCCAGATGTCCATCAATGATAGACGGGATTAAGAAAATGTGGCACATATACACCATGGAATACTATGCAGCCATAAAAACGGCTGAGTTCATGTCCTTTGCAGGGACATGGATGAAGCTGGAAACCATCATTCTCAGCAAACTATCACAAGGACAGAAAACCAAACACTGCATGTTCTCACTCACAGGTGGGAATTGAACAATGAGAACACTTGGACACAGTGCAGTGAGCATCACACATGGGGGCCTATCATGGAGGAGGGGGCAGGGGAAGCGATAGCATTAGGAGAAATACCTAATGTAAATGATGAGTTGATGGGTGCAGCAAACCAACATGGCACATGTATACCTATGTAACAAACCTGCACATTGTCCACATGTACCCTAGAACTTAAAGTATAATTTTAAAAAAAAATTATCCAGTCTCAGGTATTTCTTTATTGAAATGCAAGAACAGGCCTGTTCAGGTCAAATGTGATGGGATATTATGCAGCTATTAGAAGCAATGGGTTAGATGTACATACAGCAATATAAATATGACAGGGAAAAAAGTAAGAGAATGATATACAGAAGGCATCACTATATAAACTAAAATTTCATGTGTATAAAACAACTATCATGTTTTGAAAGATGCATTCTAATACAAATCACATTAATCATATTAGAATGCTTGCCTGAGATGGGGGAGTGGAATGGGAAAAAAATGGGCTAAGTAATTAAATAAAAACAAGAGGTAGCTTTTCATGGACCAATGATGATAAGTACCAAGAATTGAGGAGCACATTATGAACTCAATGCAATACACCTGAGGTTAGAAAAATAGAACAAAACAAACTAAAAAGCCATCTTTCCTTTTCAGAAACATGAGAAATAATCTTAGATATTTAAATGGTGTTGTATGATGTTGGCCTCTTTAACTCATAGGTGAATGAGTGGTTCAGAACCCCTGCTTCTAACATGTATATTCATACCCTTAGATGTCATAATTTTCATTTACAAAATGAAAATTTTCATTTATAAAAAAAAAAAGGAAAGGCGAGATGCTTGTGAACATAAAATCCCTAGCCCAATGATCTTTTCATTCACATGTTCTCTTGTTGACATCCATGAGTCATTAGCCCAAAGTCTGCCAGTGTGACAAATTATGTAGGCAAATTACATATAGCTAAAAGGGATAACACAAAAATGGTATCACCTTTTTCCCTGAAGGCATTTAAGAAAAGGATATTCATTTATCTACTGAGGCCTTGATACTTTCTCTTATATAGTCATGCACCACATAACAACATTTCAGTCAACAACGTACCACAAATACAATGGTGGTGGGAGCAATAGGCTATATACCACATAGCCTAGGTGTGTAGTAGGTTTGTGTAAGTACACTCTATGTTGTTCACACAATGACAAAATTGCCTAGTGAGGCACTTCTCAGAACATATCCCCATGGTAAAGTGATGCATGACTGTAACTCTAAATGTGCTCTAATTAGGGATCCTCAATATCCAAGACAGACCAGGTATGGTGGATCAAACCTGTAATCCCAGCACTTTGGGAAGCCAAGGTGGGAGGATTGCTTGAGCCCAGGAGTTCAACACTATCCTGGGCAACATAGCAAGAACTCGTCTCTACAAAAAACAATAAAAATAATTAGCCAGACATGGTGGTGCATGCCTGTAATCCCAGCTACTTGGGAGGCTGAATCAGAAGGATCACTTGAACTCAGGAGTTTGAGGCTGCGATTGCACCATGACACTCCACACCAGCCTAAGTGAGACAGCAAGTCCCTAGCTCAATCAATTAACAAATCAATCAGTATCAAAAATGTTCTCCTTATTAATCTTGTAAAGTATAAATAGCTTATTTACATTTATAAGAAAAGCATTACAAGCTCAACAGATGAAGTAGCCAAAGAACATGAACAGATAATTCACATAAGAGAAAATAAAAATGTGATGAGTTAAATTTCACTAGTAATGACAGAAATGCTAATTTTAAATGACATGGAGCTACTATTTTATACGTATTAAATTTGAAAAACATCAAATACTAGCATGGTTGTGGTAAAACTGGTATGCTTATACAGTGCTGATTGCAATGCTATATCACGTTTAGAAAGCAATATGGAAAAACTGTCAAGAACATATAAGTATAAACCAGTATCCTTTGACCCAATACCCTACTGTTAGAAGTTTATCCTCAGAAATGTATCTTTATACATAGCTGATTGCAATGCTATATCACTTTTAGAAAGCAATATGGAAAAACTGTCAAGAACATATAAGTATGAACCAGTATCTTTTGACCCAATATCCCTACACTTAGAAGTTTATCCTCAGAAAATCAAATTTATACACATGAGAATATTCCCTGAGATTCTGCCAATAATAGGAGAAAACTAGAAATACCTGTATGTCCAATAATAGGGGAAAGGATTAGGTAAATTTAAGAACATTATATTAAAATGGACTATTAAGTAGATAAATAATACTATGGTTCCTAGGTAGGTGCCTTTCACATATTAAGTGTACAAAAATTAACTAGATCTGAAATTTGGTGCCATTAAAAATTTTTCCAGAACTGTATAAAAATATTTAACATAATAAATTTAAAAGTTAAGTAAAAATATTATAAATATGTTAAACAATGTAGGTATGCATACCTACATACCTACATTGATGAGAACATAGATGAGAACATAATGGAATGAAAACGGTAGCCTAAATTTAGAATGACAGGATTTGGGGTAATCCTTAATGTTAAGATTTTTTAAACTTTTTTATTATTAAATAATTATAGATTCATAGGAAATTGCAAAAAAAAAAAAATTACAGGAAGTTCCCAAGGACCTTTTGCCCAGTCTCTCAAAATTTAACATCTTACAATAACTATATTATGTCATCAAAACCAGGAAAATGATATTGGTACAATCCACAGATCTTATTTGGATTATACCCATTATATATGTAGTTATACATGTATACCAGGTAACAGTTATAAATTGTGTGTGTGTATGGCTATATGCAATTATATCACACGTATAGCTTTGTGTAACTATCAGCACAATCATGATACATACATACATACCACAAAACTCCCTTCTGCTATTTCTTTAGAGTCACACCCATCCCTTCTCCATCGAGCCCTTGGCAAACACTAATCTGTTCTTCATCTCTACAATTAATTCTTAAAGAATATTATATAAACAGAACCATTCAGTATGTAACCTTTTGAGATTGGCCTTATTCACCCAGCATAATTCTCTTAAGATTCATCCAGGTGTTTGCCTATATCAATAGTTTACCTCTTTTCATTGATTAACAGTATTGCAACTGTATGGATATATCATAAGTTATCTAACCATTTACTCACTGAAGGGACATATGGGTAGTTTCCAGTTTGGGGCTATTATGAATAAAGCTGCTATGAACATAGTACACAAGTTTCTGCATGAAAATAGGTTTTCATTTCTCTGGGATAAATGGCCAAGAGTGCAATTTCTGTAATATTTTTTAATGACAAATTAAAATTCATATGTATGCACTTAAAGGAAAAGAGTACTTCATTGTCAGACAAATAACTCTGACAGGGCTGGGCCAATCAATCCACAGACCCCAATAACACCAATCTAGGAAGTATGTCCAAGCCAAAAGTGGGAACAAAGAGAGATGATAAACACTGTGCTATACTCTACATGTTATCTCATTTAATCCTCATAATAACTATTTAAGATAGGTGATATTGTTAATTCCATTTCATATATGTGGAAATTGGGTCTCAGAGAGGTAAATTAACTTATCGAAGACCACATGGGTGGTTAAGTGGTGAGGTAAAGGCAGGCAGTGAGAAGCAAGAACCCAAACTCTTAACCATTTGATATGGTTTGGATTTGTGTCCTTTCCCAAATCCTATGTTGAATTGTAATCCCCAATGTTAAAGGAGGGGCCCAGTGGGAGGTGATTAGATCACGAGGGCAGATTTCCCCCTGGCTGTTCTCATGATAGTGAGTTCTCATGAGATCTGGTTGTTTAAAAGTGTGTAGCACATCCCTCTCTCTCCCTCTCTCCTGCTCCAGCCATTTGAAAATAAACCTGCTTCCCCTTCACCTTCTGCCATGACTGAAAATTTCCTGAGGCCTCTTCAGCCATACTACTCATACAGCTTGCAGAACTATGAGTCAATTAAACCTCTTTTCTTTAGAAACTACCCAATCTTCAGTTATTTCTTTATAGCAGTGTGAGAATGAACTAATACACCATTATACTATACTGCCACAGACTTATTAACCGTGTGTGGTTGGGGAGAGGAAGGGAACTGAAAAAACCTCCCACCCCTATGGCCCACCCTCTAAAAGAGGAAAGGTAACAAAAATGTAGTCAAAGCATGGAGGCTAGGGGAAGATGCCAAGATACCCCAATCTAAGCACACCACATTCTCTTTGGGCAGGGACAGATTAGAAGAGACAAGGCAGTAATAATGGGAACTTCCTGCCAAAGTAACTGTATCTGAAGAATACTGATCTTGTAGTAAGATGGTACAGCACTGGGCTCAAAGAAAAAAAGCCAAATGGACTCAGGAAGTTTTCTTTCAGCCAGATATCTTGATGTTCACTCTACCACAGAGCCAGACAACAGCAAAAATACAAACAACTAAAGCTAGATTTAATTCAGTAATTCTTTTTTGAATGCCTACTATGTACCAGATTCTGTGCTAAACCATCCCATGGGAAATAAAAGTAGAATGTATGAGACATTATAAATTATAAACTCCCAGGAGTTTATAATTTGTTGAAGAATGCAAACATGAACCCAACTCAATGCAACATAACAAAAGACATCCTGTGGTAAATGCCAAAACAGGTGCATGAGCAGAGCACTAGGGCAACCAGAGGTCCAAGTTTCAGAAAGATTCCCCTGGGAGACACCTAGAACTGAATATTCAAAGGTATTCTTTCTTTAATTCAAGATTCTGTAGTATCTACTATTTTCAGACTATGGAGTTAGGCATTTTAAGGGAAAATGAAATAAACAAGGCATGATCCCTCCCGACAACCATCCATTTAACAAACATTCATTGAGAATCTACTATATGCCAGGCACTGTGTCAAATGTTATAGAATTAAAGATGTCTAAGCACGCTCTTTATCCTAAAGGACTAACAGAGTTAGTGCTCACAAATCAGGCAAGGAAGTACCATCAGTATTTAGGAAACAGAATAAGGATTGTACTCAGCCAAGAGTGGAATAAAAGTAGTTAAAGAGAAGTGAAAAAGGTTGCTGAACACCTATAGTAGGTTGAATGGCAGCCTCCTGAAAGACAGGTCTTCTTTCTAATACCTGGACCCTGTGAATGTTACCCTATTTGGAAAAGGGGTCTTTGCAGATATAAGTAAGTTAAAGATCTAAGATGAAATCATCCAGGACTGCCAAGGTGGGCTGCAAATCCAGTGATAAGTGTCCTTATAACAGACAGAGAGGAGACGGCACACAGAGAAGGATATGTGAAATGGAGGCAGAGATTGGAGCGATGGATATAGCCACCAGGAATGCTGACAGCTACCAGAAATTGGAAGATGCAATAAGGAAGGATTCTCCCTTAAAGCCTCCAGAGAGAGGGCAACCCTGCCAACATGTGAATTTCAGACTTCTGGGCTCCTGAATGGTGAGGGAATAAATTTCTATTGTTTTAAGCAAAAAAAAAAAAAAAAAAAAGTGAAGGAAGGGCCAGCTGTGGTGGCTCACACTTGTAATCCCAGCACTTTTGGGAGGCCAAGGCAGGAGAATCATTTGAGCCCAGGAGTTTGAGACCAGCCTGGGAAACACAGCAAAACCCCATCTCTACAAAACTTAGCCAGGCATGCTGGTGGGTGCCTGTAGTCCCCGCTACTCAGGAGACTGAGGAGGTGGGAGGATTGCCTGAGCTTGGGAGGCAGAGACTGCAGTGAGCTGAGAGCACACTACTGCACTCCACCCTGGGTGACAGAGAGAGACTGTCTCAATAGAAAAAAAAAAAAGTAAAGGGATGGAGAAAGATATACCATGCTTACACTAATCAAAATAAGTTGAAGTACATATATTAATATAAGACATAAAAGACTTCAGAGCAAGGAAAGTTATCAGGAATGAAGAGAGGTGGAATGGTCTGAATGCTGGTGTCCCTCAAAAATTCATATGTTGAAATCTAACCCCTGCCAATGCAATAGTATTAACAGGTGGGGTATTTAGGTGGTGATTAGCTCATGAGGGTTCTCTGCTCATAAATGGGATTAGTGCTCTTATGAAAGAGGCTTAAAGGAGCTGTTTGCCCCTTCTGCCATGTGAGGAGGCAGCAAAAAGACCACTGTCTATGAACCAGGAAGTAGGCCCTCTCCAGATACCAAATCTGCATGCATCTTATCTTGGACTTCACATCCTCCAGAACTGTGAGCAATAAATTCTATTGTCTCACTGAGCGATATGGTTTGGCTCTGTGTCCCCACCCAAATCTCATGTTGAATTGTAATCCTCAGTGGTGGAGGACAGGCCTGGTGGGAGGTGACTGGATCATGAGGGTGGACTTCCCCCTTGCTGTTCTCATGATAGTGAGTGAGTTCTCACACGATCTGGTTGTTTAAAAGTGTGTAGCACTTCCCCTTCACTCTTTCCTGTTCCACCATGTGAAGATGTGCCTACTTCCCCTTTGCTTCCACCATTATTGTAAGTTTCCTGAGGCTTCTCCAGCCATGCTTCTTGTACAGCCTGCAGAGCTGTGAGTCAATTAAACCTCTTTTCTTCATAAATTACCCAGTCCCAGGTAGTTCTTATAGCAATGCAAGAACAGACTAATACAGAAAATTGGTACCAGAAAAGAAGAACATTGCTAAAAAGATACCTGAAAATGTGGAAGCAGCTTTGAAACTGGGTAATAGGCTTTGGGTGGAAAAGTTTGGATGGCTCACAAGAAGACAGGAAGATAAAAGTTTGGAACTTCCTAGAGTTGTTGAATGGTCGTGACCAAAATGTTGATAGTGATATGGACAATAAAGTCCAGGCTGAGGTGGTCTCAGATGGAGATGAGGAACCTATTGGGAACTGGAGTAAAAGTCACTCTTGCTATGCTTTAGCAAAGAGATTAGTGGCATTGTGCCCCTGCTCTAGGGATCTGTGGAACTCTGAACTTGAGAGTGATGATTGAGGGTATGTGGCGGAATAAATTTCTAAGCAGCAAAGTGTTCAAGATGTGCCCTGGCTGCCTCTAACAGCATACGCTCATATATGTGAGCAAAGAGATAATCTGAAACTCTAACTTATATTTAAAAGAGAAGCACAGCATAAAAGTTTAGAAAACTTGCAGCCTGGTCATGTGGTAGAAGAGAAAACCCATTTTCAGGGGAGGAATTCAAACTGGATGCAGAAATTTGCATAAGTAAGGAAGAGCCAGATGTTAATAGCCAAAACAATGGAGAAAATACCTCAAAGGCATTTCAGAGACCTTCACAGCAGCCCCTCCCATCACAGGCCCGGAGGCCCAGGAGTGAATCAAGGTTTTGTGGTCTGGGCCCAGGGCCCTGCTGCCATACACAGCCTCGGGACACTGCTGTGTCCCAGCCACTCCAGCTCCAGCCATGGCTAAAAGAACCCCAGATACGTCTCAGGATGCTGCTCCAGAGAGTGCAAGCTACAAGCCTTGGCAGCTTCCACATGGTGTTAAGCCTGCAGGTGCTCAAAGGGCAAGAGTTGAGGCCTAGGAGCCTCCACCTAGATTTCAGAGGATGTAGGGAGATGCCTGGATGTCCAGGCAGAAGTCTGCTACAGAGCTAGAGCCTTCATGAAGAACCTCTACTAGGGTAGTGTGGAAGGGAAATGTGGGATTGGAGCCCTCACAAAGAGTTTCCACTGGGGCACTGCCTAGTGGAGCTGTGAGAAGAGGGCCACCATCCTCCAGACCCCAGAATGGTAGATCCACCCACAGCTTGCACTGTGCACCTGGAAAAGATCCACCCACAGCAAGCACTCTACACCAGTCTGTGAAAGCAGCCAAGAGGGCTGTACCCTGCAGAGCCAAAAGGCAAAATGCCCAAGGTCTTCTGAGCCCACCCCTTGCATCACTGTGGCCTGGATGTGAGACATACAGTCAAAGGAGATTATTTTGGAGCTTTAATATTTAATGACTACGCTGCTGGGTTTCAAACTTGCATGGTGCCTCTTTGTTTTGGCCAATATATCCCCTTTGGAATGGGAATATTTACCCAATGCCTGTACCTCTATTGTATCTGGAAGTAACTAACTTGTTTTTTATTTTACAGGCTCATAAGCACAAGGGATGTGTCTTGTCTCAGATGAGACTTTGGACTTGAACTTTTGAATTAATGCTAGAATGAGTTAAGACTCTGGGGAACTGTTAAAAAGGCATGACTGTTTTGAAATGTGAGAAGGACATAAGATTTGGGACGGGCCAGGGTGGAATGATATGGTCTGGCTCTATGTCCCCACCCAAATATCATGTCGAACTGTAATCCCCAATGTTTGAAGAAGGGCTTGGTGAGGGTAATTGGATCATGGGGCAGACTTCCCCCTTGCTGTTCTCATGACAGTGAATTATCACGAGATCTCATTGTTTAAAAGTGTGTAGCACTTCCCCTTTTGCTCTGTCTCTCTCTTACTCTGCCATGTGAAGATGTGCTTGCTTCCCCTTCACCTTCTGCCATGACTGTAAATTTCCTGAGTCCTTCCCAGCCATGTTTCTTGTACAGCCTGTGGATCTGTGAGTCAATTAAACTTCTTTTCTTCATAAATTATGCAGTTTCAGGTAGTTCCTTACAGCAATGCAAGAAAAAACTAATACACTAAATCTATAGTATTTTTGTTATAGCAGCCTGAACAGACTAAAACAAGAAGAAATACATAAAAATAGAGGGGTCAGTTCTCTAAGAACATATTTTTTAATATGATCATGGCTCATTGCAGCCTCAACCTCCTGGACTCCAGTGATTCTCCCATCTCAACCTCCCAAGTAGCTGGGATTACAGGCATAAATCACCATGCCAACATAATTTTTTAACTTTTTGTAGAGAAAAGTTCTTACTATGTTTCCCAGGCTGGTCTCAAACTCCCCGCCTCAAACGATCCTCCTGCCTTGGCCTCCCAAAATGCTAGGGTCTCAGGCATGAGCCACTGTGACCAGCCTGACACTTGAATGTAACAACACAGTTCTAAATAGCACATGGATCAAACAAGTTGCAAGAAAAATGTTTTTAAAACATTTCAAACTAAAAGAAAATACCTCTTAAAATTTGAAGGATATAGCAAAAGCAGTGCTTAGAAGAACATCTATAGCATTGAATGCATATATTAGAACAAAGAAAAATCTAAGGTCAATAATCTAAGCTTTTACCTTAGAAAACTAAAAAATACAAGAGCAAATTTAATCCAAAGTAAACTTCTGAAATATTATAGAGTAGAAATCAATGAAATTGATAACAGGAAATCAATAGAGAAAATCAACAAAACCCAAAGCTGGCTCTTTGAAAAGATCAAGAAATTGATAAGATGCTAGCCAGGCTACCTAAGAAAGAGAGTGAAGACACAAATAACACCAGAAATGAAAGAGGGGCCATCACTACTGATCCCATGTACATTAAAAGGATAATGAAACAATATTATGAATAACTGTATGTCCACAAATTTGATAATCTAGGTGAAATGGACCAATACATCAAAAGACACAGTCTACCAAAACTCATACAAGGAGAAACAGATCATCTGATTGGGCCATATCTATTAGAGAAACAAAATCCAAAATTAGCAATCTTCTAAAACAGAAAGGTTTAGGTCCAGATGGTTTCACTGGTGAATTCCACCAAACAATTAACAAAAAAATTATAGCAATTATCTACCATCTCTTCAAAATGGAAGCAGACAGAATACTTCCTAACTCATTCTATAAGGCTAGCATTACCCTAATTCCAAAACCAGAAAATACATTACTAGAAAGGAAAAGTACAGACTAATATTTTTCATGAACATAGATGCAAATATCCTCAACAAAATATTGGTGTATTAGTTTGCTAGGGCTGCCATAACAAAGTACCAGAAACTGGGCAGCTTAAGCAACAGAAATTTATTACCTCACAGTTCTGAAGTTCAGACAACCAAAATCAAGGTGTCAGCAGAACCGATTCCTTCTCAAAGATGTGAGGGAAGGATCTAACCCAGTCCTCTCCTCTAGGCTTATAGACATCTTCTCCCTCTGTCTTTTCACATCAGCTACCCAATATGCATGCCTGTGTCCAAATTTCTCCTTATAACCCAGTCACATTGGGTTAGGGCTCACCCTAATGACATCATTTTAACTTGATTACCTTTGTAAAGTCCCCATCTCAAAAAAAGTCATATTCTGAGGTTAGGACTTCAACATATGAACTTTTTGGGGGACACAATTCATACCATAAAAATTAGTAAATTGAATCCAACAATGTATAAAAATAATTATACACTACAACCAAGTGGGTTTTATTCCAGGTATGTAATGTTGGTTCATCATTTAACAATCAATTAATGTAATCCATTACATCAACAAGCTAAAAAGGAAAAAAAAATCAGTGTCATACCACTAGATGAAGAAAAGCATTTGACAAAATCCAATCCCCAATAATGATAAAAACCTCTCAGCAAACTAGGAACAGAGGGGCATTTCCTCAGCTTGATAAATAACATCTACAAAAAACCTACAGATAACATCAGTGGCTTAGCCTCACAAACACAAACCTCCTTTCAGTTAAACCAGGGAACTGACTTCACTGCACTGTGCCAGTTTCCCAACTATGCCTGCCA
Source organism: Homo sapiens (assembly GCF_000001405.40). NCBI lineage: Eukaryota > Metazoa > Chordata > Mammalia > Primates > Hominidae > Homo > Homo sapiens. The sequence goes on from NC_000023.11 coordinate 64,380,168, forward strand.
CTGAGGTTATTACAAACACCAAATGAATATGTGTCTGACTTCACTTTGTAAACCACAAGAGATGATTATTCCAGAATAGTGTTACCCAGAAATGCTCACACGTTTCAGATTTCCATTAAATAATTATGTTATGGCTGTAGCAATTAAACTCTGCAGTGACTTAGCCTCACAACACAAACCTTCTTTCAGTTAAACCAGTGGTACTACCTGGGCTATATGCCAGGGGAGATTTAACAAAACATATTCGGGCTCCACCCTCAAAGGTTAACTTAATTGGCCTGAGGTGAGGCATTTAAATATTTTAAGCTCCATGGGTGATTCCATTGTGTAGCCATTGTTGAGAACCACTGAATTAATCCAAACTTCATCTAAATAAAATTTTTATTTGAGAAAAATTAAGGACATGGAAAAATCCATTGATCTGGAATTATTTTTTCATATTATACTTTAAGTTTTAGGGTACATGTGCACAATGTGCAGGTTAGTTACATATGTATACATGTGCCATGTTGGTGTGCTACACCCAGTAACTCATCATTTAACATTAGGTATATCTCCTAATGCTATCCCTCCCCCCTCCTTCCACCCTACAACAGGCCCTGGTTTGTGATGTTCCCCTTGCTGTGTCCATGTGTTCTCATTGTTCAATTCCCACCTATCAGTGACAACATGCGGTGTTTGGTTTTTTGTCCTTGTGATAGTTTGCTGAGAATGATGGTTTCCAGCTTCATCCATGACCCTACAAAGGACATGAACTCATCATTTTTTAGGGCTGCGTAGTATTCCATGGTGTATATGTGCCACATTTTCTTAATCAAGTCTATCATTGTTGGACATTTGGCTTGGTTCCAAGTCTTTGCTATTGTGAATAGTGCCGCAATAAACATATGTGCACATGTGTCTTTATAGCAGCATGACTTATAATCCTTTGGGCATATACCCAGTAATGGGATGGCTGGGTCAAATGGCATTTCTAGTTCTAGATCCCTGAGGAATCGCCACACTGAATTCCACAATGGTTGAATTAGTTTACAGTCCCACCAACAGTGTAAAAGTGTTCCTATTTCTCCACATCCTCTCCAGCACCTGTTGTTTCCTTACTTTTTAATGATCACCATTCTAACTGGTATGAGGTGGTATCTCATTGTGGTTTAAAACAATGTGCATTTCTCTGATGGCCAGTGATGATGAGCATTTTTTCATGTGTCTTTTGGCTGCATAAATGTCTTTTTTTGAGAAGTGTCTGTGCATATCCTTCGCCTACTTTTCGATGGGGTTGTTTTTTTTTTTTTTTTCTTGTAAATTTGTTGGAGTTCATTGTAGATTCTGGATATTAGCCTTTTGTCAGATGGGTAGATTGCAAAAATTTTCTCCCATTCTGTAGGTTGCCTGTTCTCTCTGATGGTAGTTTCTTTTGCTGTGCAGAAGCTCTTTAGTTCAATTAGATCTCATTTGTCAATTTTGGCTTTGTTGCCACTGCTTTTGGTGTTTTAGACATGAAGTCCTTGCCCATGCCTATGTCCTGAATGGTATTGCCTAGGTTTTCTTCTAGGGTTTTTATGGTTTTAGGTCTAACATTTAAGTCTTTAATCCATCTTGAATTAATTTTTGTATAAGGTGTAAGGAAGGGATCCAGTTTCAGCTTTCTACATATGGCTAGCCAGTTTTCCAAGCACTATTTATTAAATAGGGAATTGTTTCCCCATTTCTTGTTTTTGTCAGGTTTGTCAAAGATCAGATGGTTGTAGATATGCGGCATTAGTTCTGAGGGCTCTGTTCTGTTCCATTGGTCTATATCTCTGTTTTGGTAGCAGTACCATGCTGTTTTGGTTATTGTAGCCTTGTAGTATAGTTTGAAGTCAGGTAGTGTGATGCCTCCAGCTTTGTTCTTTTGGTTTAGGATTGACTTGGCAATGTGGGCTCTTTTTTGGTTCCATATGAACTTTACAGTAGTTTTTCCAATTCTGTGAAGAAAGTCATTGGTAGATTGATGGGGATGGCATTGAATCTATAAATTACCTTGGGCAGTATAGCCATTTTCACGATATTGATTCCTCCTGCCCGTGAGCATGGAATGTTCTTCCATTTGTTTGTATCCTCTTTTATTTCGTTGAGCAGTGGCTTGTAGTTCTCCTTGAAGAGGTCCTTCACGTCCCTTGTAAGTTGGATTCCTAGGTATTTTATTCTCTTTGAAGCAATTGTGAATGGGAGTTCACTCATGATTTGGCTCTCTATTTGTCTGTTATTGGTGTATAAGAATGCTTGTGGTTTTTGCACATTGATTTTGTATCCTGAGACTTTGCTGAAGTTGCCTATCAGCCTAAGGAGATTTTGGGCTGATATGATGGGGTTTTCTAGATATACAATCATGTCATCTGCAAACAGGGACAATTTGACTTCCTATTTCCCTAATTGAATACCCTTTCTTTCCTTCTCCTGCCTGATTGCTCTGGTCAGAACTTCCAACACTATGTTGAATAGGAGTGGTGAGAGAGGGCATCCCTGTCTCATGCCAGTTTTCAAAGGGAATGCTTCCAGTTTTTGCCCATTCAGTATGATATTGGCTGTGGGTTTGTCATAGATAGCTCTTATTATTTTGAGATACAGAATTATTTTTAAAAACAACAACAAATTTAGGCCAATGGCTCTCCCTCTTAGCTGAATATTGGAATTGGAGAAGTTTAAGAAATACTGATTATTTGGTCCCACCCCTAGATATTCTAACATAAATGATCTCAAGAGTGAAAAAGTTCCCCAGGTGATTCTAGTATGCAGCCAAGGATGAGAACACATTCATCCCATTCATCCTCTTATTTTCCAGGGGTAGGTTCCAAGCTTCACCCTTAAATACAGAAACAACAACAACAACTATAATAACAAAATAGAGAAGTTACTATACACCAAGTATTGAGCTTTACATGTCATATTTCATTTGAGTCCTTACTACAACACAGTGCAGTTATTCTTCAAAGAAAAAAGATCTCTTTTGATCACCTGCCCCTAGGATTCTGTCCTGCAAAGTCATTCTTAAAACTGTTTTCCAATCCCAAGAAGTCTTATTTTCATGTACAAGCTAGGAAGGCATTCATTTCCAGCATAGAGCCATCCTTGCTGGAGGCATATAAATACAGATTAGATATATAGATAGATATAGCTACAGATATATTTTAACAAAATTATTGGAGACAGTATTATATATATGATATAATTTATAATTATATAGAATTCCAAAACCAAAAATTATATATATGATATATAAAACCAAAATCAGAAATTATGTATATTATTATACATACATAATTTATTATATATTATATAATTTGGTTCATGGTTCTGCAGGCTGTACAGTAAGCATGATGTTGGCATGTACTCAGCTACTAGGGAGGCCTCAGGAAACTCACAATCATGGTGGAAGGTGAAGAGGGAGCAGGCACTCACACTGCGAGAGAAGAAGTAAAATGGGGGGAAGAAGCCACACACTTTCAAATGACCAGATTTCATGAGAACTCACACAATATCATGAGAACAGCACTAGAAGGATGGTACTAAACCACTCATGAGAGATGCACCCCCATCATCCAATCACCTCCTACCAGTTCCCACCTCCAACACCAAAGATTATAATTCAACATGAGGTTTGGTAGGGACAGAACCAAACCATATCATTCTGCTCCTGGTCCCCCAAATCTCATGTCCTACTCACATTGGAAAATACAATCATGCCTTCCCAATCATCCCCAGAAAATCTTAACTCATCCCAGCATTAACTCAAAAGTCCAAAGTCTCATCTGAAACAAGGTAGGTTCCTTCTACTTTCTAGCCTGTAAAATCAAAAACAAGTTAGCTACTTCCAAGATACAATGGGGTTATAAGCATTGGGTAAACATTTCCATTCCAAAAGGGAAAAATCAGCCAAAAGAAAGGAGTTATAGGCCCCATGCAAGTACAAAACCCAGCAGAGCAGTCATTAAAACTTAAAACTCCTAAGTAAATAATATCCTTTGACTCCATGTCCCACATCCAGGGCACACTGCTGTGAGGGGTGGACTCTGAAGGCCTTCTGCATCTCTGCCCCTGTGGTTTTGCATTGTTCAGAACCTGCAGCTGCTCTCACAGGTTGTAGGTGAATGCCTCCAGGTTTTTCAGGTGCAGGGTGCAAACTACCAGTGGATCTCCCATTCTGTGGTCTAGAGGGTGGTGGCCTCCTTCTCACTGCTCCACTAGGTAGTGCCCTGGTGGAGACTCTGTGTGTAGGCTCCAACCCTACATTTCTCCTCTATACTGCCCTAGTAGAGGTTCTCTGTGAGGGCTCTGCCCCTGTAGCAGGCTTCTGCCTGGGTACCCAGGCATTTTCATACATCCTCTGAAATATAGGCAGAGGCCCCCAAGCTTCCTCTTTTGCAATCTGTGCCCCTGCAAGCTTAACACCATGTGGAAGCCACCAAGGCTTATGGCTTGAACCCTTTGGAGCTAGAATCCAAGCTATATCTGGGCCCCTTTGTGCCAAGGCTGGAGCCAGAGTAGCCCAGATTTGAGAACCAGTGTCTTAAGGATGCCCAGGGCTGCAGGGCCTTCGGCCTGACCCACAAAACTATTCTTCCTCCTAAGTCTCTGGGTCTGTGATGGGAGGGGCTGCCATTAAGGTCTCTGAAATGCCTTTGAGGTCTTTTTCCCATTGTCTTGGCTATCACTATTTGCCTCATTTTTAGTTATGCAAATTTATCCAGCAAGTGGTTGCTCAGGAACCCATTTGAATTCTTCTTCTGAAAATGTGCTTTTCTTTTCTACCACATAGCCAGGCTTCAAATTTTCCAAATTTTTATACCCTGAAATATAAGTTCCAACCTTAGGACATTTCATTGCTCGTGCATCTGAGCATAGGCAGTTAGAAGCAGCCATGCCATTCTTGAACACTTTGCTGATTAGAATTTTTTTCATGCCAGATACACTAAATCATCATTCTCAAGCTCAAACTTCCACAGATCCCTAGGGCATGGACACAATCCAGCCAAGTTCTTTGCTAAGGCATAACACATGTGACTATTGCTCTAGTTCCCAGTAAGTTCTTTGTTTCCACCTGAGACCTCATCAGCCTGGACTTCATTGTCCATATCACTATCAGCATTTTGTTCACAACCATTTAACCAGTCTCTAGGAAGGTCCAAACTTTCCCTCATCTTCCTGTCTTCCTCTGAGCCCTCCAAACTCTTCCAACCTCTGCCCATGACCCAGTTCCAAAGCTGCTTCCAGGTTTGCAGGTATCTTTATAGTAATGCCCCACTCCTCGGTATCAATTTTCTGTATTAGGCTGTTCTTGCATTGCTATAAAGGAATATCTGGGACTGGGTAATTTATAAAGACAAAAGGTTTAATTGGCTCACAGTTTTGAAGGCTTTAAAGGAAGAATGGTGGTGGTATCTGCACAGCTTCTTGGGAGGCCTCAGGAAGCTTATAACCATGGTGGAAGGTGAAGGGAGAGCAGGCATCTCACATGGCAGAGCAAGAGCAAGGGTAGGCGGTGAGGTGCCACATACTTTTAAACAACCAGATCTCATAATTCACTCACTATCATGAGGACAGCACCAGAAGGATGGTGCTAAACCATTCATGAGAAGTCCATCCCCATGATCCAATTACCTCTCACTAGGCCCCGTCTTCAACATTGGGGACTACAATTCAACTTGAGACTTGGTGGGGACAAAGATCCTAATCACATCAGAGACCATTGTTTTGGACAGAGCTCCTGCACTTGGTCCCAAGAGGCCAGACCAAACCAATAGGGAGTCACTCAAGTTAAATGTCTCATAATCAAACTGAAACTTTAAAGAAACATACAGATCCCCAAACGGACCAGTTTTTCCTGAAAACAGGAGACTCCAATCTACCTGAATCAGCTTAATAAGGAAGTCTTCTCTGCTTTCACCCTGACAAAAAAAAAAAGTAACCTGAAGTAACCTCATGTTAACTGATTATTTTTATTCTATTCTGTTTTCCGGTTCCCACCTTACAAAATACACTGTTCTGTTAATGCCCAGTGGGAACGCTCATTCTATTTTGTAGAATGGAGGTTCCCCAATTCATGAATTAGATCTATAACTAAATTTTCTTGTAATTTTGTCTTTTGATAATATAGAAGGTGGCTAAAGGGTGGCTGGAGAAGCAGATGCAAGTGAAGTCAGCTACAAGGGGCCAGCTATAGAAAGGAGGGAGCAAGGTGGGACAAGGCCAGAGAAGGATTAAACAGTTAAGTGAAAAGCCAGAGGGACCAGTGTAAGATAAATGAAAAAGAACTCTCAGAATTCAGGGGGCACTTTAAAACCAAAAACCCACATGGGGATGAGAGGGGAAAAACAACTCACAGGAATCTTCAGGCACAGAATAAGTAGAACACTCCCCCTACCACCACGGAAAATACTTATGGGAAAAGCTGCAAAGAACTACAGCAAGAGAACCATGGGTATAAACCATTTCCTTACCTGATGGGGAAGCTGCAGGGAGGCATTGTGCTAATCTCAATGCAGAAGGATATGTAAACATGATAGAAATAGTTTGGTGAAAGCATGTCATCATTTCAGCCAACTAAAAGTCAAAAAGCGCCAGGTACAGTGGCTTTCACCTGTAATTCCAGAACTTTGGGAGGCCCAAGTAGGAGGATTGCTTGGGCCCAGGAGTTCAAGACCAGCCTGGGCAACATAGTGAGACCTCATATCTACAAAAAAAAAAAATGCTAAAAAAATTAGCCATGTGTGGGGCCATGCTCCTGTGGTCCCAGCCACTCAGAAGGCTGTGGTGGGAAGGATCGCTTAAGCCTGGGAAGTTGAGGCTGCAGTGAGCCAAGTTCATGCCACTGCACTCCAGCCCAGGCGACAGAGCAAGGCCTTGTCTCAAAAAAGAAAAGAAAGAAACTAGGCTTGCCCCTGCTAGACAAAGTGTATTGTGATTAGATTAAAAGAAAAACATCAGTGTCAATTGCACAGGGCCTCACTCACTCACACTCAGGAAAAGAAGTCACACTTCAGGGGAAAGAAATGGTCAAGGGATGAGTAGTAGGAATTGAAAAAAACAAAGCATCTTTAGCTTTCTCCTGACTGTCCCAGAGATCCTTATGCAGTCCTGAATGGTAGGAGATGCTCAACAAGAGGAAAAACTGGCCACTCAGAAGAAATTCCTGCTAAGGCCCAGGGCACTACCTACCAAACGGCTACATTATGCAAGTACAAAGAGTGCTGTGTGACACTTAAAGAACAGTCTTTGAGGAAGCCTGAAGGGAGGGGAAAATTATTGATATCCAGGCTGAACTTCCTCTATAGTATGTCTCCCAAAGGCAGGAATCCTGTGCCTATTAGCAGGTAGGACCTTCTAGGAGACTTGCAGTTACTCAGACCCTCCCCTCTTTCTACTCAAAGGCACCAGGGCCCCATCTGTTTCTGATACAGTGTTATAAAGCACTACCGGTAGTGCTTTTACCTGGCAGAAACTGAGGTCTCACAGAATATGTGTGTGGGGTTGGGGGTGAGGGGAAGAGAGAATGAGAGAGAGAGATTGGGGGGAGAGAGAAGGAAAAGACAAAAAGGAAGGGGAGAGAAAGGGATGCAAGAGGGAAGGTAAAAAAGAAGGGAGGAGAGAGGAAAGGAGGGAGGAGGAGAGAGAAGAAAAAGGAGAAGAGAGGCAGAGTAAAGAGAAGGAGACAGAGAAAGATGAAAAAAGAGAGAAAAGGAGAGAAAAGAGGCTGACCACCACTAGGTACGGTACAGATTTTAATTCCCAGGCAGGCCACCCAATTGTTTTGTTATTTCTCCACTCCTGAGCTGTAGATAGAGCACTCTGACATTTATAAGAACTTTGCTCTTGGAGAAGCTGTGAACCATAATCCACGTTTATCTGTTTGTTTTTCTCATTTTCTTTCTAGGAAGGGAGGAAGAGAGGAAATCAGGTGTACTTCAGAGGTCTCTGAATCCATCTACTGTCCTGATTTGCCACAATTATTGGTAACAAGTTAGATGCACTGCAATAATAAATAAAAGAAGTGACACCTGGCTCTAGAATACCAACCAGTGTAATGATATTCATCAGTCACATCCATGTCCCAAGCAAGTCCTGCCCCTTGTGTCATTGCCCCCAACAGCAGAGAGCATTCATCATGAAAACAACTGCTGTGCCCTGTATGTATTAAAAACGGCAGGCTTTTATGACAAGCCTCTCTAATTTAGGTCTCTTCTTTAAAGTAATAAGCGAGAAAATATGTAACAGGAGGAAGGAAGGGGAATGGTGGAATACTTTTGTGTCAAGATGTACAAGGTCATTGAAGGTTAAGTGTTAAAAATACAATCCAGACTAGCCTTGAACTTATGCCTCTCCACACCCTACTTCTCCATGTGCCTCCAACTAAAGCAAATTTCAGACTTGGAAAGGAATCCTGCATCTTGCAGTCCCCACATCTATCATTTTTAAATGCTGAAAGCACTCAAGAGTTAGAAGGAACCTTCCAGATTGATACCAGCATTTCTTAAGGCATGTTCTATGAATCCTAGTTCCACAGATGTTAATAGGCATGTACACACATGCACACACACAGTTCTGTGGTCAGCATAGGGGAACACTGGGTGAAACAAACATAAGCAGGTTTATTGCAGGGCTTCTCGGAGCCTTTAATAGGTGAACGTTCACTATGAATCTCCACAGTGTTTGTGGTGTTAATATATTTTACCTTAGAATCATTTTTTTAAAACAAATTATCTTGTGGGACTAGTGTTCATCAGGAACATAGTTTAGGAAATGCTAGTATATCCACTCAGCTCATTTTATTGAAGCACTATAGTACATGGGTAAAGAGCACAAACTTGGGTCACAGACTGTTTGGCTTCGTATTTCCAGCTCTGGGCAAGTTGCTTAAGCTTTCTGGATGCTTTCTTTATATTTAAAATGAAGATAATAGTATTGTTGCAAGGGTTAAATTAGCATATAAATATGTAATACTTACATAAAGCACTTAGAATAGTACCTGGCACATAGCAATTGCTCTATAAAGGTTAAATATTATTTTACTGATGAAGAAAGTGAAGCCTAGAGAGGTAAAAAGACAGTCTAAGGTCACATAGCATGTCAGTATCAGAAGTGGGGCCAGAATTCAGGTCTCCTAACTCTCTGTCTAGTATTGGTGTCTCAAATGATGAAAATGTCTTTAGTACTTAGCAAAACGTCTCTCTAAAGCACTTAAGTATTTTACCACAAAAACCAGAAAATGATATCTAAAAAGACACAACCCTAAAACAAATCCCAGTGGTTTCTAGGAGTAACTGCTTAGTTGGGGTTTCCCAAGTACAAAATGAGGTTGAAGGAGTGGGTTTTGGTGGTGAGGAAAATTATTCCAATGCCTATAAAACAGTGTCTAAAATGCCAGACCACTGCCACCAGGGCTTTCTAGGTAGCCTCTTTCCTTGCAATGTAGTACCAAGAGCCTTTCTGGATGCTCAGGCAAATCTCCCTGAGACAGGCTGATCTTTGACACCTCCCATGACTAATGTATACTAAAGCCTCTACTATTGTTTGGCTCTGATGGAGAGAGGAAAAAACACACAGTTATAGAGCACTTATAATGTGCCAGGCCCTCATCATACCTTATCTTAATCTTCATCATAGTCCCAACAGACTCAGAGTGTTTAAGTGATTGCCCAAGAACTCAGAGCTAATAAATAATATAGATTGAATTCAAAGCCAGCTTTGTCCATGCTTTTTCCATTATATCACACTATTTCCTAGACTGGAAGGATCACAGTGAAGCCAACTGGAGTTGCAATTTTGGGAACTGGAAGGGGAGCACAATTCTCACCTCTGGAAATCTCATTTCCTTCATAATGAAAAACACTTCTTTACCCAGTTTTATGTTTCTTTATTTTGACCCTGCTTCTTGTCTAAATGCATTTCAGGTTGTTTATAATAAAAGACAGATCTACAAATAGGTTATTAGAATGAAAACCAAAGCCATGAAGACTGGGAGGAAGCAATTATGCTAAGTACAAGGGCTAATGTAGTTAACATGACTGAACATTTGGCCTTAGTTTCCTGGAAGTAAAGGCAAAAATTATCTGCTTTTAAGAAAGCTTCATACAAATTGTAATCTCCTGTGTGGTACTACAAAGTGTTACAAAGTGTTATTAACATACTACAAAGTGTTATTATTTTTTATTATTACTATCCAGGATAGCATTCTGTACCCATCTGGCACTCCAATTATTTTGGATGTCGTTTCTGTGATAACTCCACAGTTTATTATAGTCTGAACAAGCTATGCATACTAAACAATTAAAAGACAATGCTACCTCTGCTACTTGCTAGATGTTTGACCTTGGATAAAAAACTCTAGCTCTCTGGACTCAGTTTTCACATCTGTGAAATGAGAGGCTTGGACCATCACTAGATGATCTTTATTTATTAATTAACTTCGTTATTAGCAGCTTTATTGAACTATAATTTACATACCATAAAATTCACCCTTTTTTTTTGAAACAGGATGTCACTCTGTCGCCTAGGCCAGAGTGAAGTGGCACTATCAGAGCTCACTGCAGCCTCGACCTCCCAGATTCAAGCCATCCCCACCGCCCCCCCAGCCTCTCGAGTAGCTGAGACCACAGGTGCAAGCCACCACACCCAGCTAATTTTTTTTAATTTTTTGTACAGATGAGGTTTCACTATGTCACCCAGGCTGGTCTCAAACTCCTGGGCTCAAGTGATCCTCCCATCTGGGGCTCCCAAAATGTTGGGATTACAGGCTTGAGCCAACCAGGCCCAGACAAATTCACTCTTTTAAGTATACAATTCAATTAGTTTTAGTAAATTTGGAGTTGTACAACCATCATCACAATGTAATTTTAGAACATTTCCATCATTCCAAAAAGAAACTTCATCCCCATTCCTCATTTAGATAATCTTTTAAAAGGTCCTTTCTAACTTTTCCATTTCTAGACTTATAAAGCTTTAGTAGCTCCTTGGCTATTTACAAGTTCAAATTCCTCAGTGTAACATTCAAAGTCCTTTACAATCTATAAAATCTTTCACTGTCTTTTTTTTCTACCCACACAAATGTAGAAATTACTTTTTTTGTGTTAAAACATTCCTTAATGAGCTAGCAATTATTTATGTGAAGGAGAGTCCAGAAAACAGATTTTTGACTAAATTATCCTTGTCCTTGATTAAAGAGATTCATGAATTAAACACATAACACTATTCTCTAGAGTAGTTATTGAGGTCTAAGAGGCTGTAAACTTGGAAGAGCTTCTCCCTGCCTGTCAGGCTGCTCCCATCAGATCACAAGACAGAATAGACATATTTTTCAGTCTCTTTCATTTTTGGACCTTGTGCTTGGCATCTCATCACCTTACTTAAGAGATCCCAGAGGGCAGTTGCCATATCCATATCCAGTTATGTATCCTTGACTCCCAATGTGATATTCTGCATATAATAATTAATAACGATGATGATAGTGACTGGTAGCTAAATTAAGCATCTACCATGTGCCAGACATTGTTCTAAGCACTTTACAGATACTAACTTATTTAATTCTTATAACAACCCTGTGAGATAGGTACTATTTTCAACACCATCTTATAGATGAAGAAACTGAGGCAAAAGAGATTATATATTTGCCAAAATCACAAAGCTAGTTAAGTAGCAGAGTTGAGATTTTATTTCAGACAGCCTGGCTCCAAAGTATGCACTCTTAAACCACAGCAAATTGTCAAACCAGTTGAAGCTCAATAAATGTTAATTGCATAAAGCCTTATTATTAAGGTTCCATTCCAGGAAAGAAAAGTAATTAAGAATTCTGGGTGCCAACTGACACAGATGTAATGAGGGTAGGGAAAAATACATAGAACAAATTCTGATTCAGATAGGAGAGTCACCAAACTTTAGGGCAGGTCTGAGACGCTCCAAAAATGGTTGTTGAACCCTAAGCTATATCTTAGATAGATCTGTTCTCATACATAGGTCGTGGGAATGTAAAATTGGTAGTGTCTAGATGAACATATGCATATTCTACGGCCCAGAAATTCCACTCCGATGGCATATACCAACAAAAATGTATATTTAAATCTGTCAAAATGTACTATTGGCAAAAGGCAGAAACTGGAAATTCCCCATCAACAGAAGAATGGATAAATCACATGTGGCATGTTAACAAAACATAATATAGCAATGAGAATGATCTATAACTTCAAGAAATAATATGGATAAATCTTTCAAACAATGTTGAGCAAAAGAAGTCAAACACAAAAGAGAATGTATTAATCCATTTATATTAAGTACAACAAAAGAGTAAAATGAATGTATCCTGTTAGAGGTCAGTATAGTAGTTTACCCTTGGGAGGGGTATTGACTGGAAGGGGGCATGAAGTGGACTTCTAGTAATGTTCTTTTTTTTGTTTGTTTGTTTGTTTTTTGTTTTTGTTTTTTTTAATCTCAGTAGCGGTTGCACAGGTGTGTCCAGTTTTTAAGTTTATAGCACAATGAATACTTCCAATCTATACACTTTTCTTTATGTGTACTGTACTTCAATAATTTTTTAAAGTCTTCCTGAGTAAAGAAAAAGACTCAAGCAAGAGCCAAAAATAAAAGTCACTTTTGTACTTGACATACACAACTAATGACTGACAAACTCAAAGTTATCCCTTTGACCTGAGATGGACAAGGCAGATGTCTCTCTCTTTTATGGAAACAGTGAGTTAACAAAAGGGAGGCCATTTTAATCCCGAGCCATTAATGCAACCCTAATCCTTTCTAGAAACTGAGAAAAAAACAGACTCACAGCAGCATACCACCTGTGGGCACTCACAGCCCTGCCAGGCACCAAAACAAATACTAATTCTGCTTAAAGAATCAAGTCTTCATTTGGAGTTTTTATTTATATTTCAAGACTAATCACACTATCCATGCAGTACAAATGGAGTCTGACCATGATGCAAGTTTAAGTTTTCTTGAGCACGAACCCTATCCCAGCACCAGTCTGAGCACTCCTATCTTTGTTTATTAGGCAAGCATTCCACATCTATGGATCTCAGTTTCCTCATCTGTAACATGGGAATAATAATAGTATCTCCTAATAGGTTATTGTAAGGATTCAAGGCATATTTCAGGTAAAATATTGAACACAGTGCCTGTCACATAGTTAAATATTCTATACGTATTAGCTGCTATTATAATTTTCATATGGGCCCGTTAATGGTTTCTTCTCCCTTCCAATTTCCATAGAGCCAGCCCAGTTTATAGCTTCAATCCCTAACAGGGGAATTTTAATATTTTAACACTCAAGGACAGGAGCAGTTCTGCCTCCCCATCTTCCCCAGTTGTCAAAAGAGAGAAAAAAGGAGTATTCGAGTGAGCTGATTTTGAACTAGACAAGTAACGTGGCCCAAGCTTAGGTGGGTTGGGAGAAGAGGGAGTCTGGACAACAGAAGTTCCTTTCCTTTAATGGTACCACCTTCTTATACCATGTCAGAGGACCCGTACAAATGACATGATCCGGAAACAAAGGGACACAGAAAAAGGCAAGGCTGGCTGGCTTTTACACGGGATGTGGTTATCCTCCACAGAGAAAGGCCCTGAAGAGGAGGGAGTCAGAAAAAAAGGTTAAAGGTTGGAGTTTGTGCTTTGCCCATCAGGCAGCATCAAAGTTTTATGCTAAAAAGTGGGCAAAACATTACTAGTTACAAAAACTCTTTCACACACATCCTCTTATTTAATCCCACAACCATCTTGTGAAGTGAGCCGGGCAAATTTCATTATCCTCATTTGGTAGGTGTATCAGTCTGTTTTCACGCTGCTGATGACATACCCAAGACTGGGCAATTTACCAAAGAGGTTTATTGGACTTAACAGTTCCACATGGCTGGGGAGACCTCACAATTATGGAGGAAGGCAAGGAGGAGCAAGTCACATCTTACATGCATGGCAGCAGGCAAAGAGAGAGCCTGTGCAAAGAAACTCCCGTTTTTAAAACCATCAGATCTCATGAGACCCATTCACTATCACAAGAACAGCACAGGAAAGCCCTGCCCCCATGATTCAACCGTCTCCCACCGGGTCCCTCCCACAACACGTGAGAATTACGGAAGCTACAAGAGGAGATTTGGGTGGGGACACAGAGAAAAACCCTATCAGTAGGTGAGGAAAGCTAAGGCTCAGAGAGGTTAAATAATTTGTCCAAAGTCATTAGCTAAGTAGTTGGTGGGGGTGCAGTGGGCAGCACTTTAATTCAAGTCTTCTGGCTTCAAAATCCATGCTCTTTCCATTAAAAACACGCTGGATTTTTTACCAGGACTTCAATTAGCCTGGACCACGTGTGTTATGATCAACAGGAAAAAATAACCACAGACTAGTTGTGAATTTTTCACTGTTCCCCAGCCCCAGACAGGAGAAAGGAGGGAAGTGGATTTGAAACAGAAAGGGGCTGGCGTTGGGAAGGGAGGGAGTAGGATCTGGAAAGATGAGAGGAAAAAGTAGCAGAAGTAACTCTAACTCGGGACTGGCTAAAAACAGGTGACAACTGGCTAGATAAACCTCTTGGGTTTCTCCTACCGGCTGAGCAGAGCCAGATCCACTCTGCCCCACTCCTCTTCCTTTTCCATTGCCCAGCTTTGGCTGAAGAGATGCTGTGGCCCCCACAAACCCTCACAGGCATGCCGTGGAGCTGGAGCGAGAGTGGGGTTCTGGGCAATCCCTGGGGAAGGTTAGTGGCTGGAGGAGCCAAGAGGATGGTGAAGAAACGCTCGATAAAGGAAGTAACTCCGCAGGAGGCAGAGCAATGTGGGGTATTCGCGAATGGCGGTTACAAGTGCAGCTAGTATAAAAAGCTGAGATAAGGGTGAGTGTGAGGTCAAGGCTAGGGAGGAGCTGGAGTCAGAGGGCCAGAACAGGCGTGCACCAGGAGCGGGGGCGGCGTCGCGTAAGGGGACAGTGGTGCAGACCACCTCTTTCCCGGCCGCTGACGCCCGCAAGCAGATCCTAAGAAGAGGTGTTTGGTTGAAAGGGGGTGTGGACCCAGAAAGAGAACCCGGGACCCCCCACAGGAAAGACGCGTCAAAGAAGGCTGAGAAGGCTGAGGAGGTGTGTCTGGGCTCCCAGGTGAGCACCAAGAGGAAGCTCGCGGCTGTCAGCCTCGCTTAACTCTTCTCCTTACCTTGGGTACCGTAATATGATCCATGACTGCAGTTCCCGCCACCGGAAGATCTCAGTGCTACTCCAGATGCCGCCGCCACCGGTCTAGCCGCCTCCTGCCTCAACCCGGGTTTCTACCCCCGCCCTCCCGGTCCTGGCTCAAACTCTCGTCACCTGATCCTCGGCGAAAGCTCCTATCGCGACACTTTGACCGTAGCCGTTCCCGCCATCTTGCTTCCTGGCAAGTGCCCTTTTCTTCGGGAAATTGATTATTCTGGTTCAGGTTCAACGTTTGGCCGAGTCTTTAAGTCCCAGATTCGAGTACTGCCACCCTTCTCACCCTTCTTGATGCTATAAGGGCTCTGAACACAGATATCACTCCTTTACTCTAATATTACAATGATAGCATCCTGCAGCAGTAACACAGGCTGCCCCATGCTGGCAATTGGGTTTCTGAAGAGCTTCCTAGCTGTGAGACCTTGGGCAAGTCACCAGAGAATATTTTTTGAAATATGGAAAGGTATATCCTCCTCTCTATCTCTCCTTTATGTGTCTGCTGCCATCAACCTAGTTAAAATCTGGAATACTACAGTATCCTCATCACTTTTGCCATCGTAGATATGGGAAGAGGACCAAGAAAGGGCCCACTGGACCAGCTATCAGATGAGGGGTAAATAGGTGCAGACCCTCAGTGGTGTGCTCCAAGTCAGATTTGTGGTGGAAAAAAGAACAATCTGAGAGTTGGGAAATCTGGATTCTACTCCTCTCAGGTCTGCCACTAACTTGCTATGTGACCTTGGGGAAATCATGCCACCTCTCTGGGTCTTAAGTTGACCAAGGTTACAATGAGGGTATTGGCCACTATCTCAGGGTAATTTCTAGCTCTACTATTGCAGTGTTATGGTTTGCAATCTCACTGCCCCTACAAAATAATTTTGTTCTTCTTTGAGTTCTTATAACATTTGCTAGCAAAATTACTCGTTTATCATATTCTGCCTTCTTCCCTAGCCTGAAGGCCCTTCCCTCGATCCATGACCCTATTCTCCCTTGTACCATCGTTCCATCATGTTCAGCCCTTTCACTGCCAAATATCTCAAAAGAATAGTCTACTTATCATCACCTTCACTTCTCCATAACAAACTCACTCCTCCCTACCACTCCACTCAATTGGCTCTTTCACATCATCCTAAATTCCAGCTGCTGATTCCAACAGCTCTTCTCAGTGCTCGTTTTCTATTTGTTTTACAGCATTTAAAACTATTGATTCATATTCCTTTTTGACATTCTTTCTTCCCTTGACCTTTATTATAAACAAACTCACTGCCTGCATCCCCAACTGTTCCTTCTCTGACTCCTTCCCAGCAACTTTCTCTTTTTTTTAAGCCATTTTCCTGGCTTCTATCCTCATTCCTCTTCTATTTTCTTTCTTTTGGTTATCTTGATCTCTTCCACAAGTTAAACCCTTACTCCTGGATATGGCTTGGATCTGTGTCCCCACCAAATCTCATGTTTAATTGTAATCCCTTACGTTGGAAGTGGGGCCTGGTAGGAGGTGATTGGATCATGGGGGTGGTTTCTTCTGAATGGTTTAACACTAGCCTCCTTGGTATTGTCGTTGCCATAGTGAGTGAGTTCTCACGAGATCTGATGGCTTAGAAGTGTGTGGCACCTTTCCCTGCCCATTTTCCTCCTGCTCTGGCCATGTGAAGTGCCTCACTCCCCATTTGCCTTCCACCATGACTGGAAGTTTCCTGAGGCCTCCCCAGAACCAGAAGCCACTATGCTTCCTGTACAGCCTGCAGAACGGTGAGCCAATTAAACTTCTTTTCTTTATAAATTACCCAGTCTCGGTTATTTATTTATAGCAGTGTGAAAAGGGGCTAATGAACCCTCAGTAGGGGACACCCAACTTCATATCTCAAGTACCATGACCTTTTTCCTGAGTTCAAATTTAGAACTTCCAATTGCCCTCTGACAGTTCTACTTGCATGTTCCTGCTAGCACATTAAAGGCATCATGGCCCAAAACAAACTCATCTTTCACACTGTCTCACAACCCCCTTGCATTTTCCCACCTCTATCACTTGCTCTTTCTCAAGTTTTTCCTATCCCTACTAATTGCACCACCATATACCCAGTTACTCAGACTCAAAACCTTGTTTCCATGCTGTTTAGGATAGTGGAAAGAGTGTGTGGACTCTAGTCAGACAAGGTTCAAATTTTGGTTTAGCAATATGCTAATAATACATGGCCCTGGGCAAATTACACAAACTCTCTGTGCCTTAGTTTTCTCAGCTGTAAACCTATTCTCTTAAAGTCCTTGTGGGAATTCAAAATGTAATGTATATGAGGTTCCAGGAACATTGTAAAGACACAATGAATATTGATAGGTTCCTTCCTTTCCTCAACTTTATTATCAAATATTTCTGTTTTCTCTCTCAAATGCTTACCTTCTTCCTAGTTTGCTGATAAAAATAGAAGCTATGAGAAGGGAACTTCCACATCATCCCAAAACCAAATTTGCTTGATGCCCTGCATGTGAGCCCGTATAATCTGTCTTCAATTAACGAACTCTTCCTGAGCTTTCCTAAGGCAACCCTTCCACTTGTCCACTCAATTTCATTCTCTTTAGCCTGCTCAATTGTTTCCTTGCCTTTATTACTAAATGTTCCCACTTTACTGGATCACTGCCATCAGCATGAAAGCATTCCATAGTATTTCCAATCTTAAAAAATATCTTTTTGGATGCACATTTCTGTCCCCAACCTGCCATCCCCCCATTCCTCTTATACTTTACAGCAGAACTCTTCAAAAGATTTATCTAAATCCATTCTCTTCTATTCCTATCCTATTCTCACTTGAAACCTCTCTAATCAGGCATTTCTTCCACCACTCCACCAAACTGTTCTTGTCAAAGTTACCAATATTCTCCCCATTGCAAAATCCATTGGTCATCCTCAGATCTCTTTTTGTCCTCTCAGCAGTATTTGATCACTCCCTTCTCCTTGATACATTTTGTTCACTTGGCTCCAGGGATAGGGATACCACTCTCTCTCCTACATCACTGACTTCTCATTCCCAATCTCTTTTGCTGTTTCGCTTCACTTTACCTATCTCTACATGTTGTAATGCTGCCAGTGCTCAGAGGTTGGTCCTCTTTTTTTTTTTTTTTTTTTTTTTTTTTTTTTGAGACGGAGTCTCGCTCTGTCGCCCAGGCTGGAGTGCAGTGGCGGGATCTCGGCTCACTGCAAGCTCCGCCTCCCGGGTTCACGCCATTCTCCTGCCTCAGCCTCCCAAGTAGCTGGGACTACAGGCGCCCGCCACTACGCCCGGCTAATTTTTTGTATTTTTAGTAGAGACGGGGTTTCACCGTTTTAGCCGGGATGGTCTCGATCTCCTGACCTCGTGATCCGCCCGCCTCGGCCTCCCAAAGTGCTGGGATTACAGGCGTGAGCCACCGCGCCCGGCCGGTCCTCTTCTTTATTTACACTTATTCCATGGGTGCTGTCATCCAGTGCCATGGCTTTAAATAGCATCTATTTGTGGACAGCTCCCAAAATTTTATCTCTAATCTTTATCTGTCCTCTGAACTCAAAGCTTACATAATATTCAGCAGCCTACTGACATGTCTGCTCAGATATCTTAGAGACCTCTCAAACTTATTACATCCAAAACAGAATTTTTGATTTCCACCTGAATCCTCAAGCCTGCTCTTTACACAGTATTATCATCTCAGGAAATTGCAATTTTATCCTTCCAAGTTTATCCTAGTGCATTTGTGCTGCCAAAACTAAATACTCTAGACTGGATAATTTGTACAGAACAGAAATGTAATTATCACAGTTCTGAAGGCTGGAAAACCAAGATCAAGGTGCCAGTAGGTTCAGTGTCTGGTGAGAAGTGCTCTCTCTTTGCTTCCAAGATGACATCTTAAATGCCATCTGGAGTGATGAATGCTGTATCCTCACATAGCAGGAGATACTCACATGGCTAGTTCCATCCAGCCCTTTTATAAGGCACTGATCCCATCTGTAAGAATACAGCCCTCATGGCCTAATTACCTTTTAAATGCCCCTTAATAATTAATTCTTAATACTGTTGCATTGGGATTAAGGTTCAATACCAATTTTGGAGGAGACACAAACATTAAAACATAGCACAGTCATTCAGGACAAAAGTCTTGGAGGCATCATTTTCTCTCATATCCCACACCTGATTCATCATCAAATCCCATGAGTTCTTCCTTCAAAATTGTCTCCAAATTCAATCACTTCTCACTGCTGTATCCTGGCCCAAGCCTCTGTTTTATTTTATTTTATTTTTTATTTTTTAAGACAATGTCTCTGTCAACGAGGTTGGAGTGCAGTGGTGTGATCATAGCTCACTGCAGCCTCCAACTCCCAGGCCCAAGTGATCCTCCTGTCTCAGCCTGCCAAGTAGATGGAACTACAGGTGTACCACCGTGCCTGGCTAAATTTTTTTCTTTTTAATTTTTTTTAGTGGACACAATGTCTTTCTATGTTGCCTAGGCTGGTTTCCAACTCCTGGACTCCAGCAATCCTCCCAGCTCCACCTCACAAAGTGCTGGGACTATAGGAATGAGCCACTGTGCCTGGCCTCAAGCCTCTGTTACCTCTTACCTGGATTGCTGCCACAGCCTCCAGCTGGTCTGCATGTTTTGGCCTTGGTCCCCCTAGAACCTATAATCTACATAGCATCTTCTATGGGACTAGAATCTAAAATCTAGAATGATATGATTCCTTGATTTAAAACTGTCTACCGGCTCTCCATTTTAGAGTAAAAGCCAAACATTAACCATAGTGTATAAATCCCTACATAATATCTAAGCCCAGTACAACTCTTATTATATCAATCTTCTATCACTCTTTTTTCTGTCTCCTCAAGTCATATTGATTTCCTTGCTGTTTCTTAAATATACCAGGCATTCTTCTGCCTCAGGGACTTTATGTTTGTTATTTCCTTTGCCTAGAATGCTCTTCCCCCAGATATTTATATGTTTACTCCCTCATCTCTGTCAGGTCTCTGATGAAATGTCTCTGTATTGACACACATAGGCTCAAAATAAAAGGATGGAGGAAGATCTACCAAGCAAATGGAAAACAAAAAAAGGCAGGGGTTGCAATCCTAGTCTCTGATCAAACAGACTTTAAACCAACAAAGATCAAAAGAGACAAAGAAGGCCATTACATAATGGTAAAGGGATCAATTCAACAAGAAGAGCTAACTATCCTAAATATATATGCACCCAATACAGGAGCACCCAGATGCATAAAGCAAGTCCTGAGTGACCTACAAAGAGACTTAGACTCCCACATAATAATAATGCGAGACTTTAACACCCCACTGTCAACATTAGAGAGATCAACGAGACAGAAAGTTAACAAGGATATCCAGGAATTGAACTCAGCTCTGCACCAAGCGGACCTAATACACATCTACAGAATTCTCCACCCCAAATCAACAGAATATACATTTTTTCAGCACCACACCACACCTATTCCAAAATTGACCACATAGTTGGAAGTAAAGCTCTCCTCAGCAAATGTAAAAGAACAGAAATTATAACACACTGTCTCTCAGACCACAGTGCAATCAAACTAAAACTTAGGATTAAGAAACTCACTCAAAACCGCTCAACTACATGGAAACTGAACAACCTGCTCCTGAATGACTACTGGGTACATAACGAAATGAAGGCAGAAATAAAGATGTTCTTCGAAACCAACGAGAACAAAGACATAGCATACCAGAATCTCTGGGACACATTCAAAGCAGTGTATAGAGGGAAATTTATAGCACTAAATGCCCACAAGAGAAGCAGGAAAGATCCAAAATTGACACTCTAACATCACAACTAAAAGAACTAGAAAAGAAAGAGCGGACACATTCAAAAGTTAAGTAGAAGGCAAGAAATAACTAAAATCAGAGCAGAACTGAAGGAAATAGAGACAGAAAAAACGCTTCAAAAAATTAATGAATCCAGGAGCTACTTTTTTGAAAAGATCAACAAAATTGATAGACCGCTAGCAAGACTAATAAAGAAGAAAAGAGAGAAGAATCAAATAGATGCAATAAAAAATGATAAAGGGGATATCACCACCGATCCCACAGAAATACAAACTACCATCAGAGAATACTACAAACACCTCTACGCAAATAAACTAGAAAATCTAGAAGAAATGGATAAATTCCTCGACACATACACCCTCCCAAGACTATACCAGGAAGAAGTTGAATCTCTGAATAGACCAATAACAGGATCTGAAATTGTGGCAATAATCAACTGCTTACCAACCAAAAAGAGTCCAGGACCAGATGGATTCACAGCCGAATTCCACTAGAGGTATAAGGAGGAACTGGTACCATTCCTTCTGAAACTATTCCAATCAATAGAAAAAGAGGGAATCCTCCCTAACTCATTTTATGAGGCCAGCATCATCCTGATACCAAAGCCTGGCAGAGACACAACAAAAAAAGAGAATTTTAGACGAATATCCTTGATGAACATTGATGCAAAAATCCTCAATAAAATACTGGCAAACAAAATCCAGCAGCACATCAAAAAGCTTATCCACCATGATCAAGTGGGCTTCATCCCTGGGATGCAAGGCTGGTTCAATATATGCAAATCAATAAATGTAATCCAGCATATAAGCAGAACCAAAGACAAAAACCACATGATTATCTCAATAGATGCAGAAAAGGCCTTTGACAAAATTCAACAACCCTTCATGCTAAAAACTCTCAATAAATTAGGTATTGATGGGACATATCTCAAAATAATAAGAGCTATCTATGACAAACCCACAGCCAATATCATACTGAATGGGCAAAAACTGGAAGCATTCCCTTTAAAAACTGGCACAAGACAGGGATGCCCTCTCTCACCACTCCTATTCAACATAGTGTTGGAAGTTCTGGCCAGGGCAATTAGGCAGGAGAAGGAAATGAAGGGTATTCAATTAGGAAAAGAGGGAGTCAAATTGTCCCTGTTTGCAGATGACATGATTGTATATCTAGAAAACCCCATTGTCTCAGCCCAAAATCTCCTTAAGCTGATAAGCAACTTCAGCAAAGTCTCAGGATACAAAATCAATGTACAAAAATCACAAGCATTCTTATACACCAATAACAGACAAACAGAGAACCAAATCATGAGTGAACTCCCATTCACAATTGCTTCGAAGAGAATAAAATACCTAGGAATCCAACTTACAAGGGATGTGAAGGACCTCTTCAAGGAGAACTACAAACAACTGCTCAACGAAATAAAAGAAGAGGATACAAACAAATGGAAGAACATTCCATGCTCATGGGTAGGAAGAATCAATATCGTGAAAATGACCATACTGCCCAAGGTAATTTATACATTCAATGCCATCCCCATCAATCTACCAATGACTTTCTTCACAGAATTGGAAAAAACTACTTTAAAGTTCATATGGAACTAAAGAAGAGCCCGCATCGCCAAGTCAATCCTAAGCCAAAAGAACAAAGCTGGAGGCATCACGCTACCTGACTTCAAACTGTACTACAAGGCTACAGTAACCAAAACAGCATGGTACTGGTACCAAAACAGAGATATAGACCAATGGAACAGAACAGAGCCCTCAGAAATAACGCCGCATATCTACAACTATCTGATCTTTGACAAACCTGACAAAAACAAGCAATGGGGAAAGGATTCCTTATTTAATAAATGGTACTGGGAAAACTGGCTAGCCATATGTAGAAAGCTGAAACTGGATCCCTTCCTTACATCTTATACAAAAATTAATTCAAGATGGATTAAATACTTAAACATTAGACCTAAAACCATAAAAACCCTAGAAGAAATCCCAGGCATTACCATTCAGGACATAGGAATTGGCAAGGACTTCATGTCTAAAACACCAAAAGCAATGGCAACAAAAGCCAAAATTGACAAATGGGATCTAATTAAACTAAAGAGCTTCTGCACAGCAGAAGATACTACCATCAGAGTGAACAGGCAACCTACAAATTGGGGAAAATTTTCACAACCTACTCATCGGACAAAGGGCTAATATCCAGAATCTACAATGAACTCCAGCAAATTTACAAGAAAAAAACAAACAACCCCATCGAAAAGTGAGCAAAGGACATGAACAGACACTTCTCAAAAGAAGACATTTATGCAGCCAAAAAACACATGAAAAAATGCTCACCATCACTGGCCATCAGAGAAATGCAAATCAAAACCACAGTGAGATACCATCTCACACCAGTTAGAATGGCAATCATTAAAAAGTCAGGAAACAACAGGTGCTGGAGAGGATGTGGAGAAATAGGAACACTTTTACACTGTTGGTGGGACTGTAAACTAGTTCAACCATTGTGGAAGTCAGTGTGACAATTCTTCAGGGATCTAGAACTAGAAATGCCATTTGACCCAGCCATCCCATTACTGGGTATATACCCAAAAGACTATAAATCATGCTGCTATAAAGACACATGCACACATATATTTATCGCGGCACTATTCACAATAGCAAAGACTTGGAACCAAGCCAAATGTCCAACAATGATAGACTGGATTAAGAAAATGTGGCACATATACACCATGGAATACTATGCAGCCATAAAAATTGATGAGTTCATGTCCTTTGTAGGGACATGGATGAAATTGGAAATCATCATTCTCAGTAAACTATTGCAAGGACAGAAAACCAAACACCACATGTTCTCACTCATAGGTGGGAATTGAACAATGAGAACACATGGACACAGGAAGGGGAACATCACACTCTGGGGCCTGTTGTGGGGTGGGGGGAGGGGGGAGGGATAGCATTAGGAGATATACCTAATGCTCAATGACGAGTTAATGGGTGCAGCACACCAGCATGGCACATGTATACATATGTAACTAACCTGCACATTGTGCACATGTACCCTAAAACTTAAAGTATAATAATAATAAAATAAAATAAAATAAAAAAAAGAAATGTCTCTGTATCAGAGAATCCTTACCTACCTGAACACCATATATAAAATAAAACTATCACTACTTCTTCTCCAACATTCTCTACACTCCTAACTTTTTTCCTTCATAGTTGTCAATACTACCTGATATATTATAGGTGTATTTGTCATTTATTACCTCCCTCTCTATTATGTCATCTCTGTGAGGGCAGGGATTTTTGTTCACTGTTGGATTTCCAAAGTCTAGAATAGTCCTAACACATAGTAGGTACTCAATAAATATTTGTTGAATAAAAACAACAAATATTTTTATCTGTAGCTCATATTTTTCCCACCATTAATATTAGTGATTTCTCATAATATTCCCTTTTTAAGGCAAGTTGGTGTCATTTCAGGGTAAACTGATGCACTCACACTGACTTGCCAAAGGTTACAGAAGAGCCGCAAGTCAGAATGTACCCCCATAGGAATAGAGAAAGCCTGGAAATAAGAGAGAAAATCTGGAAGAAAAAACTGCTAGGCTAATGAAAATATTTTCAGTGAAAGAGATACTAGTAGCATCTATTATTTGTTTCTTCCCTGTAGAATGTCACCTCCATGAGGGCAGCAGTTTGTCTCTGTTCTGTTCACTACTGTACCCTACTGCCTAGACAAGTTCTTGGCAAAGAGTAAATGTTTGATAAATAACTAAATGAATGACTTTGGACTAACAGCTAATGTAGGCCAGAGGGTAAACTAAAGGGAAGAAGTCTGGAGGCAAGGAAACCAAGTAGGAAGCTGTTGTGATCATCTCAAAAGAAGTTGTGAACTGACAGTCCTGTGGGCTTTTTGATTTTGTACCTATAGCTCGGGTCTCAGTAAGATTAACCAACATATGAGATACTAATTACTGCAGTAAATCTCACCTGTCCTATTTCACATCTAAGCCTTCAACTCAATTATTTCCCACTTATGTTCTACTAAGGTCTTTCCTACTATTGGGAGTTGGTATTTTTCCCACAGTACACCAGGGGAGTAAGTAAGTATACTTTGCACCCACTGTCTTTATAGCTATAGATACAGCCTCAGAAAGCTACTGCCAGAAATCACCAATGATATAGTTGATTATGACTCCTTAAAAAGTCACAGAACCTTTGTGACCTCACTCCTATTCTTGAGGTAGCTTGATAAATCACAGCAGATGGCAGCTGAGACACAACTTTATTCAAGTCACCAAGACCTCCTCTACCTTGCTTCTGGGGAAAGGCCATAAGAAAGAGACTGTATTTTTAGTTTATTTCAGTCTCAGCTGATCAGACTTCTTGAGCCAAGTGCTAACTAGTTTCCTTTGAAGACCAACTTGCTAGAGACAGCTTACCTGAATCATGCAGTGTATACAGGATGTCAGTGAAGAGGTCTGGCAGGAATGCCTCACTCTCTTCCTACTGACTGGTACATGTTATGATGCAGTAATTATCACCAATTCCCCACCCTGGTTATTAGCATCTTACTCTGAAGGTAACTTGTTCCAGTTGACCCAGGAAGAAATTCAGATTTTACTGGCAAGAGAGGGGAGAGAGAAATTGTTTCTCCAAGGAGTCACCCTTGCAGGGACCAAATGCTTGTTGATTTGAGACAATCTGTACACTGAAGGCAACAACACCATGTACCTGCGCACCAAAGGCCAGAGTCAGGGCAGCCGGGCAGTGACGGTAGTTCAGATCGAGTCTGTAAGGCTTGTGGTGATTGGACAGAAAGGAACAGAAGGAGGGCCTCTCAACCTCGAAGCTTTTGAGATGGCAGGTTATGTCAGAGAGGCCATTGAGCAACATGTGGCCCATTTATAACTAAATAAAAAATAGTTGGTGTTTGACCTGTAATTTGAATTCAGTGTTATGTGTTTCACCTACTAAATTAATATGTTCTTCAGGAAAATAGAAGATTCCAGACCAGGTTTGGAGGTGTGTGTGTGTGTGTGTGTGTGTGTGTGTGTGTGTGTTGGGAAGAGATATGGGTTAGAGTAGTTCCTTCAACGGTTTGGGATCTGGTCCATTATTTAACAATTGTGTGCACCTAGAATACCAACCTTTCTGTATTAGTCTATTCTTGCACTTCTATAAAGAAATATATGAGACTGGGTAATTTATGAGAAAAAGAGGATTAATTGGCTCACGGTTCCACAGGCTGTAGAGGAAGCACGATGCTGACACCTGCTTGGCTTTTGGAGAGAACTAAGAAAACTTACAATCATGACAGAAGGCAAAGGGGTAGCAGACACTTCACATGGTTGAAGCAGGAGCAAAAAAGATTGAGAGGAGAGGTGCAACACACTTTTAAATGACCATATCACACAAGAACTCACTGACTATTTTGAGGACAGTATTGAGAGAGATGGTGATCAAACATTCAGGAGAAATCCAACCCCATCATCCAATCACCTCCCACCAGGCCACACATCCAACATTGAGGATTACAATTTGACATTAGATTTGGTAGAGACACAGATTCAAATGATATCATTCCACTCCTGGCCCCCAAATCTTATATCCTTCTCACATTGTGAAATACAATTATGCCTTCCCAAATGTCCCCCAAAGTCTTAACTCATTCCAGCATTAACTCAAAGTCCAAAGTCTCATCTGAGACAAGGGAAGTCCCTTCCACCTATGAGCCTGTAAAATCAAAAACAAGTTATTTACTTACAAGGTCAATGGGGGTATAAGAATTGGGTAAATATTCTTATTCCAAAAGGGAGAAATTGGCCAAAAGAAAGGGTCTACAGGCCCTACGCAAGTTTGAAACCCAGTAGGGCAGTCATTAAATCTTAAACTTCCAAAGTAATATTCTTTGACTCTAAGTCCCAAATCCAGGGCATACTGGTGTGAGAAGTGGGCTCCCAAGGCCTTGAGCAGCTCCACCCTTGTGGTTTTGTAGGGTTAAGCCTCCACAGATGCTTTCATGCGCTGGTGTTGAGTGCCTGTGGCTTTTAAAGGTGCAGAGTGCAAGTTGATAATGTACCAACCATTCTGGGGCTGGAAGATGGTGGCCCTCCTCTCACAGCTCCACTAGGCAAAGCCACAGTGGGTACTCTGTGTGGGGGCTCCAGTGCCACATATCCCCTCTGCATTGCCCTAGTAGAGGTTCTCTGTGGGGGTTCCAATCCTGCAGGAATCTTCTGCCTGGACACCTAGGCTTTTTCGTACATCTTCTGAAATCTAGGCAAAGGCTTCCAAGCACTAACTCTTTCACTCTGTGCAGCAGAAGGCTTAACATCATGTGGAAGCCACCAAGCCTTATGGCTTGCACACCCTCCAAAGCTGCAGCCCTGAGCTGTGCCTGGGCATTTTTGAGCCACAGCTGGAGCAGGAGTGGCCAGGATGCAGAAAGCAGCATCCTAAGGCTATGTAAGAGCATTGGGGGCTGCGGGCCTGGCATACAAAATCATGCAGTTCTCCTAGGCCTCTGGGCCTGTGATGAGAGGGACTGCTGCAAAGGTCTCTGAAATGTCTTTGAGGCCTTTTCCCCATTGTATTGGCTATTAGCACTTGGCTCCTTTTTACTTATGCAAATTTCTGTAGCCTGCTTCAATTACTTCCATGAGAATTGGCTTTTCTTTTCTTCCACGTGGCCAGGCTGCAAATTTTTCGATCTGCTTTACACTCTGCTTCACCTTTATATATAAGTTCCAACTTTAGATCATTTCTTCACTCACATATATGATGATAGGATGTTAGAAGTAACCAGGACACATCTTGAACACTTTGCTGGCTAGAATTTTTTCTACAAGATACCCTAAATTGTCACTGTAAAGTTCAAAGTTCCACAGATCCCTAGGACAGGAAAACAGTACAGCCAAGTTCATTTCTTAGGCAAAAAAAGTGACCTTTGCTCCAGTTCCAAATAAGTTCCTTATTTTCATCTGAGACCTCATCAACCTGGACTTTATCATACATATGTCTATCAGCATTTTGCTCAAAATCATTTGGCCAATCTCTAGGAAGTTCTAAACTTTCCCTCATCTTTCTGTTTTCTTCTGAGCCCTCCAAACTCTTGGTCTCTTAACCAATTCTAAAGCTGCTTCCACATTTTCAGGTATTTTTATAGCAATGCCCCACTCCTGGTGCAATTTTCTGTATTAGTCTGTTCTTGCATTGCTATAGAGAAATACCCGAGACTCAGGATACAAAATCAACGTGCAAAAATCACAAGCATTCCTATACAACAATAGCAGGCAGAGAGAAAAATCATGAGTGAACTCACATTCATAATTGCTTCAAAGAGAATAAAATACCTAGGAATCCAATTTACAAGGGATGTGAAGGACCCCTTCAAGGAGAACTACAAACCACTGCTCAACGAAATAAAAGAGGACACAAACAAATGGAAGAGCATTCCATGCTCATGGGTAGGAAGAATCAATATAGTGAAAATGGCCTTACTGCCCAAGGTAATTTATAGATTCAATGCAATCCCCATCAAGATACCAATGACTTTCTCCACAGAATTGGAAAAAACTACTTTAAAGTTCATATGGAAACAAAAAAGAGCCCTCATTGCCAAGACAATCCTAAGCCAAAAGAACAAAGCTGGAGGCATCACGCTACCAGACTTCAAACTATAATACAAGGCTATAGTAACCAAAACAGCATGGTACTAGTACCAAAACAGAGATATAGACCAATGGAACAGAACAGAGACCTCAGAAATAACACCACACATCTACAGCCATCTGATCTTTGACAACCCTGACAACAACAAGCAATAGGGAAAGGATTCCCTATTTAATAAATGGTGCTGGGAAAACTGGCTAGCCATATGTACAAATCTGAAATTGGATCCCTTCCTTACACCTTATACAAAAATCAATTCAAGATGGATTAAAGACTTAAATGTTAGACCTAAAGCCATAAAAACCCTAGAAGAAAACCTAGGCAATACCATTCAGGACATAGGCATGAGCAAGGACTTCATGACTAAAACACCGAAAGCAATGGCAACAAAAGCCAACATAGACAAATGGGATCTAATTAAACAGCTTCTGCATGGCAAAAGAAACTACCATCAGAGTGAACAGTAAAACCTACAGAATGGGAGAAAATTTTTGCAATCTACCCATCTGACCAAGAGGTAATATTCAGAATCTACAAAGAACTCAAACAAATTTACAAGAAAAAAACAAACAACCCCATCAACAAGTGGGTGAAGGATATGAACAGACACTTCTCAAAAGAAGACATTTATGCAGCCAACTGACACATGAAAAAAATGCTCATCATCACTGGTCATCAGAGAAATGCAAATCAAAACCGCAATGAGATACCATCTCACACCAGTTAGAATCGTGATCATTAAAAAGTCAGGAAACAACAGATGCTGGAGAGGATGAGGAAAAATAGGAAAGCTTTTACACTGTTGGTGGGAGTGTAAATTAGTTCAACCATTGTGGAAGACAGTGTGATAATTCCTCAAGGATCTAGAACTAGAAATACCATTTGACCCAGCAACTCCATTACTGGGTATATACCCAAAGGATTATAAATCATGCTGCTATAAAGACACATGCACATGTATGTTTATTGTGGCACTATTCACAATAGCAAAGACTTGGAACCAGCCCAAATGTCCATCAGTGATATATTGGATTAAGAAAATGTGGCACATATACACCATGGAATACTATGCAGCCATAAAAAAGGATGAGTTCATGTCCTTTGCAGGGACATGGATGAAGCTGGAAACCATCATTCTCAGCAAACTATCACAAAGACAGAAAACGAAACACCGCATGTTCTCACTCATAGGTGGGAATTGAACAATGAGAACACTTGGACACAGGGTGGGGAACATCACACACCGGGGCCTGTCGGGGGCTGGGGAGCTGGGGGAGGGATAGCATTAGGAGAAATACCCAATGTAAATGATGAGTTGATGGGTGCAGCAAACCAACATGGCACGTGTATACCTATGTATCAAACCTGCATGTTGTGCCCATGTACCCTAGAACTTAAAGTATAAAAAAAAAAGAAAAGAAAAAAAAAGAAGTACCTGAGACTGGGTAATTGATAAAGGAAAGAAGTTAAATTCATTCATGGCTCCATAGGGTGCACAGGAGGCATGATTCTGGCATCTGCTCAGCTTCTGTGGAAGCAACCGGAAACTTACAATCATGGTGAAAGGCCAAGGGGAAACAGGCACTTCACAAGACCAGAGCAAGAACAAGTGAGAATATTGGGAGAGGTGCCACACACTTTTATGTGACCAGATCTTATGAAAACTCACTCACTATCATGAGGACAATACCAAGGGGGATGGTGCTAAAACATTAATGAGAAATCCACCCCCATGATCCAATCACATCTCACCAGGGCCCACATCCAACACTGGGGATTATCAATTCCACATGAGTTTTTCTGCGGACACAGATCTAAACCATATCACCCCACTTCTCAACACCTGGTGAACAGAGCAGTCGACTGGGAACCCAAAATCCTTAGTTCTTTTGTTTTTTTAAAAAAGTTTTAACTTATTTTAGGTTCAGGGGTACATGTGCAGGTTTGTTATATAGATAAATTCGAGGTCATGGGGATTTGTTGTACAGATTATTTTGTCATCTGAGTACTAAGCCTAGTACCCAATATTTACTATTTTTAACTCTTATTTTAGGTTTGGGGGTACATGTCAAGGTTTGTTACATAGGTGAACTCGTGTCATAAGGGTTTGTTGTACAGATTCTTTCATCACACATGTATTAAGCCCAGTACACAATAGTTACATTTTCTGCTCCTCTCCCTCCTCCCACCCTCTACCCTCAAGTAGAATCCAGGGTCCGTTGTTCCCTTCTTTGTGTTCATGAGTTCTCATCATTTAGCTCCCACTTATAAGTGAGAACATGCAGTATTTGGTTTTCTGTTCCTGCATTAGTTTGCTAAGACTAATAGCCTTCAGCTCCATCCATGTTCCTGCAATGACATACTCTTCTTTCCTATGAATGCACGGTATTCCACGGTATATATGTACCACGTTTTCTTTAACCAGTCTGTCATTAACAGGCATTTAGGTTGATTCCATGTCTTTGTTATTGTAAATAGTGTTGCAATAAAGATTCTCATACATGTGTCTGTATGGTAGGATGATTTAAATTCCTCTGGGTATATAACCAATAATGGGATTGCTGAGTCAAATGGTACTTCCACTTTTAGCTCTTTGAGGAATCACCATACTGCTTTCCACAATGGTTGAACTAATTTACACTCCCATCAGCAGCGTATAAGTGTTCCCTTTTCTCCACAAACTCACCAGCATCTGTTATATTTTTTGGCTTTTTAGTAATAGCCATTCTGACTGGTGTGAGATGGTATCTCATTGTGGTTTTGACTTGCAAATCATTCTGTAACGATCAGTGATGTTGAGCTTTTTTATATATATGGTTGTTGGCCACATGTGTGTCTTTTGAAAAGTGTCTGTCCTTGTTGTTTGCCCACTTTTTAATGTGGTTGCTTGTTTTTCTCTTGTAAATTTATTTAAGTTCCTTACAGAAACTGGATATTAGACCTTTGTTGAATGCATAATTTGTAAATATTTGCTTTCATTCTGTAGGTTGTCTGTTTACTCTTTGATAGTTTCTCTTGCTGTGCAGATGCTGTTAATTACATCCCATTTGTCATTTTTTTGCTTTTTTATGTGATTGCTTTGGATGTCTTCGTCATGAAATCATTGTCCATTCCTATGTCCAGGATGCATAGGTTGTCTTCCAGGGATTTCAAAGTTTGAGGTTTTTCATTTAAATCTTTAATCCATCTTGTGTTGATTTTTGTATATGTTGAAGGAAGGGGTTCAGTTTCTACCTTCTGCATTTGGCTAGATATGTAACCCAGCACCATTTATTGAGTCGTGAGTCTTTTCCTCATAGCTTCTTTTTTTCAGCTTCGATCAGATGGTAATAGGTGTGCAGCTTTATTTCTGGGTTCGCTTTTACCTCCCTGGTTAGCTGTATTTCTAAATATTTTATTCTTTTTGTGGCTACTGTGAATGGAATTTCCTTCCTGATTTGGCTCTTGGCTGGACTATTGTGGATGTGTAGGAATGCTAATGATTTTTGTACATTGATTTTGCATCCGGAAACTTTGCTGAAGTTGTTCATCAGCTGAAGGAGCTTTTGGGACAAGACTATGGGGTTTTCTAGACATGGAATCATGTCATCTGCAAGCAGGGATGGTTTGACTTCTCTTCTTATTTGGATGCCTTTTATTTCTTTCTCTTGCCTGATTGCTCTGGCTAGAACTTCCAATACAAAGTTGAATAGGAATGGTGAAAGAGGGCATCTTTATATTGTGCTGATTTTCCAGGGGCAATGCTTCCAGTTTTTGCCCATTCAGTGTGATATTGGCTGTCGGTGTGTCCTTGATGACTTTTATTATTTTGAGATACGTTACTTCAATACCTGGTGTATTGACATTTTTTAACCTGAAAGGGTGTTGAATTTTATTGACAGGCTTTTCTGCACCTGTTGAGATAATCATGGGGTTTTGCCTCTAGCTCTGTTTATGTGATGAATCACATTTATTGACCTGCATATGTTGATCCAACCTTGCATCTCAGGGATAAAGTCTACTTGATTATGGTGGATTAGCTTTGTGATGTGCCACTGGATTCGATTTGCAAGTATTTTGTTCAGGATTTTTGCACTGATGTTCATCAGGGATATTGGCCTTAAGTTTATTTTTTATTTATTTTTTATTTTTTTGTTTTTTTTATTGTGTCTCTGCCAGTTTTTGGTATCAGGATGATGCTGGCCTCATAGAATGAGTTGGAGAGGAGTGTAACCTCAATTTTTTGGCATAGTTTCAGTGCGAATGGTGTCATCTCTTCTTTGTACATCTGGTAGAATATGACTGTGAATTCATCAGGTCCTGGGCTTTTTTTTGGTTGGTAGGCTATTTATTACTGATAAATTACTGATTCAATTGTGGGGCTCATTTTCAGTCTCTTCAGGAAACCCATCTCTTCCTGGTTCCGTCTTGGAAGGGCGTGTGTGTGTGTGTCCAGGAATGTATCCATCTCGTCTAGGTTTTCTAGTTTGTGTGCATAGAAGAGCTCATCATAGATTCTGATGGTTACTTTTATTTCTATGGGGTCAGTGATAGCATTCCCCTTGTCATTTCTAATTGTGTTTATTTGGCTCTTCTCTCTTTTATTCCTTATTAGTCTAGCTAGTGGCCTATATATTTTGTTACTTTTTTAAAAACTGAATTTATTGATCTTTGGAATTTTTTGTGTGTGTTTCAATTTCCTTCAGTTAATTTCTGATTTAGGTTATTTCTTGTCTTCTGTTAGCTTTGGGGTTGATTCATTCTTGCTTCTCTAGTTCTTTTAGTTGTGATGTTAGGTTGTTAATTTGAGATCTTTCTAACTTTTTGTTGTGGACATTTAGTGCTTTGAATGTTCCTTTTAATACTACCTTAGCTGTGTCCCAGAGATTCTAGTATGTTGTATCTTTGTTTTCATTAGTTTCAAAAAACTTCTTGATTTCTTCCTCATTCATTATTTACCCAAGAGCCATTCTGGAACTTGTTTAATTTGTATATAATTGCATGGTTTTTAGCAATATCTTAGTCTTGACTTCTATTTTGATTGTTCTGTGGTCTGAGAGAGTGTTTGGTATGGTTTAGGTTCTTTTGCATTTGCTGAGGATTGCTTTATGTCTAATTAGGTGGTCAATTTTAGATTATGTGCCATGTGGCAATGAGAAGAGTGTGTATTTTGCTGTTTTTAATTGGAGAGTTCTGTAGAGGTCTATCAGATTCATTTGGTCTAACGTTGATGCCCAAGGCCTTGGAAGCGCACCCCTTGCATCAGCGTGGCCAGGATGTGAGACATGGAGTCAAAGGACTTTATTTTGGAACTTTGAGATGTAATGATTGCCCTGCTGAGTTTCAAATTTGCATGGGGTCTGTAGTCCCTTTGTTTTGGCCAATTCCTCTCTTTTGAAATAGGAACATTTACCCAATGCCTGTACCTTCATTGTATCATGGAAGTAACTAACTTGTTTTTTTATTTTACAGGCCCATAAGCACAAGGGACTTGCCTTGTCTCAGATGGGACTTTGGACTTGGACTTTTGAGTTAATGCTGGAATGAGTTAAGACCTTGGGGGACTGTTGGGAAGGCATGATTGTGTTTTGAAATATGAGAAGGACATGAGATTTGGGAGGGGCCAGGGGCAGAATGATATGATTTGGCTCTGTGTTCCCACACAAATTTCATGTTGGATTGTATTTCCCAGTTTTGCAGGAGGGGCCTAGTGGAACGTGATTGAATCATGGAGAGTGGACTTCCCCCTTGCTGTTCTCATGATAGAGTTCTCACAAGATCTGGTAATTTGAAAGTGTGCAGCATGTCCCCGTTTGCTTTCTCTCTTCCTCCTGCTCTGACCATGTGAAGATGTGCCTTGCTTCCCCTTCATCTTTGCCATGATTATAAGTTTCCTGAGGCCTCCCCAGCCAGTTGGAACTCTGAGTCAATTAAAGCCTTTTTCTTTATAAATTACCCAGTCTCCGGTGTGTCTTTATAGCAGTGCAAGAATGGACTAATACGTTTGAGTTCTGGTCCAGATTATCTTTATTAATTTTCTGCCTCAATGATCTATCTAATATTGGCAGTGGAATGTTGAAGTATCCCACTATTATTGTGTGGGAGTCTGTTTTTCTTTACAGGTCTCTAAACACTTGCTTTATGAATCTGGCTGCTTCTGTGTTTGATCTTTGTTGTTTTAAAGTCTGTTTTGTCTGAAATTAGGATTGCAACTCTTGCTTTTTTCTGTTTTCCATTTGCTTCGTAGATTTTCCTCCATCTTTTTATTTTGGGCTTATGGGCGTCATTACATGTGTGATGGATCTCTTAAAGACAGCATACCTTTGGGTCTTGCTTTTTTTATCCAGCTTGCCACTTTGTGGTGGCATTTATCCTGTTGACATTCAAGGTTAGTATTGATAAGTATGGATTTGACCCTGTCATTGTGTTGTTACCTGGTTATTATGCTGGCTTTAAGAATATTGAATATAGGCCCCCCATCTCTTCTGAATTGGAGTGTTTCATCTCAGAAGTCCACTGTTAGCCTGATGGGGTTTTCTTTGTAGGTAACCTTCCCTTTCTCTCTAGCTTCCTTTAACATTCTTTTTTTCATTTTGATCTTGAAAAATCTGAGGATTCTGTGTCTTGGTGATGACCTTCTTGTGTAGAATGTTTCAGGAGTTCTCTGTATTTTCTGAATTTGACTATTGGCCTCTTTCACAAGGTTGAGGAAGTTTTCACAGATGGTATTTTGAGATATGTTTTCAAGTTGTTTGCTTTCTTCCCCTCCCTTTCAGGGATGCTAATGATTCACAGATTTGGCCTCTTTACATAATCCTATACTTCTTGAAGTTTTTTTTCCTTCCTTTAAAAAAAAATTTTTGTCTAACTGTCTTCTTTTAGAGAGCTAGTCTTCAAGTTCTGAGATTCTTCTCTCAGCTTGGTTTATTCTGTTGTTAATACTTGTGATTGCATTGTGAAACTCTCCTATTGTGTTACTCAGCACTGTCAGATCCATTAGGTACTTTTTTATACTGGCTACTTTGTCCTTCATCTCCTATAACGTTTTATTGTGGTTTTCAGTTTCCTTGGATTGCATTTTTCCATTCTCCTGAACCTGGATAATCTTTGTTCTTATCCGTATTCTGAATTATAGTTCTGTTATTTCAGCAAGCTCAGTCTGGTTAAGAATTCTTCTTGGAGAACTGGTGCAATTGTTTGGAGGACATACAACACTCTTTCCATTTGAGTTACTGGAGTTCTTTCTCATTTCTGTGTGTGTGTGTTTGTGTGTGTGTGTGTGTGTTCATTTAATTGTAGTGTTGATTAATTACAGTCAATAGACTTCTTTTCTGGATGTTTTCCCAGGGCTGATTCTTTGTGAAGCATCTTTATTTGAAGCTGATTTCTTGTCCTTGGTTTCAGTGGGGGGTATGTTAGCAAGGTATTTCTGGTGTTGAAGCTTTGGGGTATAATCTGATAGGTAGCACTTAGGTGTATTAGTCAGTTGATAGGCTCTTGCTCAGTTGTGTGATTTCCCTATGTTTCCTCACAGTTACAGCCATGTTCCTTCTGAATGCTCTGAAAGTGTGGATTCCTCTCCCTCTTGAATGCTGGCTGTAGATAGGAGCATGGCACTCCTGGGCTGCCCACTGTAGCTCTGGGGTGATATCAGTGCTTATGTTCCTTCCCAAACTTGGAGACAGCAGAGGAAGGGAACTTAGTAGTGGTTGTAGCTAAGGGTCTTTTGCTTGTATCCTGGAGACACCACCCCAGAAAGATGCAGGTCAGTCATCACTCAGTGCAATCAGCCCAGGATAAAGGGTCTGTGTTCTGTGCCCAAACTGTGGGTTTCCTGTCTGGTGACAAGTAGTGGGGGTGGGTGGGACCTGTGGGAGATGGACTGGCCTTCTCTCCTTGGCTCAACTACAGCTTATTGCAGGTGTGGACTTAGGGTCTCCGCACCTTCATTAGTCCAAGGATAGCAAGGGCAATTCCACTGCATAGGTGGTGGCAGAAAGGCTTTCAGTTGCCCCTGGAGACTCTGTCCAGGAAGTTGCAGAGCTGCTATTGGCTCAACAGCTCTGGTGGGGACTGGTTGGAGGCCCAGGCCTGGAGGACCTGCCTAATGAGGAGTTATAGAAATGGGCACCCATGTAACAGTCTGGCCAATTTTCCATAGGGCTGCTGTGATATGCTAGTGGCCCACTCCACTTCCTAGTTACCTCGGATTTTCCAGTATCTAGAGGTATCAACAGTGAAGGCTGTAAAATATTAAAGATGACAGCCTGCCCCTCCCTCTGCAAGCTCAGTCCCAGTGAGGTATGCATCTGCTGCTGGCTTGAACACACTTCTAGGAGGTGGCTGGAGACCCCATTTGAAAGGTCCTACCCAATGAGAAAGAAAGGGATCTGGGACCCGCTTTAAAAAACCAGTCTGGCTACATTTCTGTAGGGTAGCTGTGCTATGCTAGGGGTCTGCTTCAGCCCCTGGTCATATCAGAGACTCCAAAGCTCAAAGGCTGGAACAGCTAAGTCACCCAAACAGCAAAGACTGTGGCCCACCCCTTCTTCTGGGAGCTCTATCCCAGGATGATTGGAAACCTCTCCTGGCTAGAGAACACTAGCAGGTGTAGCTGGAGAACTCGGTTGGGAGGTCTCACCCAGTGTGGAGGAATGAGATCAGGAACCTGCTTTAAAAAGCAGTCTGGCCACGTTTTCATAGAGGAGCTGTGCTGTGCTGGGACTCTGCTCCAGCCCTCAGACACCTTGGACTCTCCAAAGTCCAAAGACTGAAACAGCTAAGTCACCCAAACAGCAAAGATGGCAGCCCACTCCTTCCTCTTGGAGCTTCATTCCAGGGAGGTTTGAAACCTCTGTCAGCCAGAGAACACCAGTGGGTGTAGCTGGAGACTTTGGTTGGGAGGTCCCACCCAGTGATGAGGAACAAGATGGGGAACTTTAAAAAGCAGTCTGGCCACATTTTCATAGAGCAGCTGTGCTGTGCTGGGTGTCTGTGTTAGCCCCAGTTCACTTGGACTCTTCAAAGTCTTAAGGCTGGAATGGCTAAGTTACCCAAACAGTAATGATGGTGTCCTGTCCCTCCCACTGGAAGCTTCATCCCAGGGAGGTTTGAAATTTCTGCAAGCCAGAGAGCACTAGCGGAGATGGCTGGAGACCTTGGTTGGGAGGTCCCACCCAGTGATAAGGAACAGGATTGGGGACACGCTGTAACAAGCAGTCTGGTCACGTTTTCATAGAGCAGCTGTGGTGTGCTGGGGAACTGGTTCTGTCCCCAGGTGGCTTGGACTCTCCAAAGTCCTAAGGCTGAAATGGCTAAGTAGCCCAAACAGCAAAGATCGTGGCCCACCTCTCCCCCAGGAGCTCTGTTTCAGGGAGTTGCAACACTCATACCAGTGGCTGGCTGGGATTCCAAGCCAGTGGGTCTTATCCTGTGAGGTGCCATGAAAGTGGGACCTGAAAACTGTTGCTACCCAGCCCCCTGGTTTCAACCCCTTTCCTAGAGGCATGTACAGGGGTTTAACTTCCCACTTTACTAGAGTTGCCGCTACTTTTGCTGAGAAGCCCAGAAACCCTGGGTATCTAAGGCTCCCAGGTCTCTATGTGTGCTTGAGTGGCTGCCCTGCTGACACTCCATGTAGCTGAGTATATCAGACTGAAGGCCCTAATGGAGTGGGTTCCAAGGAGATCTCCTGAGCCTAGGGTTGCAAAGATCCATGGGAGAAGCATAGGTTTCTGGGGTTGCACATTTACTCACTGCTTTTCTGAATGGGAGAGGTTCTCCTGGCTCTATGTCACTCCTGGGTAGGCTGTCATTTTGCCTTGCTTTTCTCCATTCCCTGTGGGTCGAGTTGTTTTCTTTTTCTTTTCTTTTCTTTTCTTTTCTTTTCTTTTCTT
This sequence comes from Homo sapiens, assembly GCF_000001405.40. Lineage (NCBI taxonomy): Eukaryota > Metazoa > Chordata > Mammalia > Primates > Hominidae > Homo > Homo sapiens. The sequence continues at coordinate 64,418,742 of NC_000023.11, forward strand.
TTCTTTTCTTTTCTTTTCTTTTCTTTTCTGTTTTTTCTTTCTTTCTTTTTGTTGTTTGTTTGTTTGTTTTTTGAGATGGAGTCTTGCTCTGTTGCCCAGGCTAGAGTGCAGTGGTGCGATCTCGGCTCACTGCAACCTCCACCTCCCGGGTTCAAGTGATTCTCCTGCCTCAGCCTCTGAGTAGCTGAGATTACAGGCCTGCCACCATGCCTGGCTAATTTTTGTATTTTTAGTAGAGATGGGGTTTCACCATCTTGGCCAGGCTGGTCTCGAACTGACCTGGTGATCCACCTGCCTCAGCCTCCCAAAGTGCTGGGATTACAGCTGTGAGCCACCACTCCCGGCTGAGTTGTTCTCTTGATTAGTCCCAGTGCATGCACCTGGATGTTTCAGTTAACGTTACTGTATCTACTCGCCCCTTGCATTCCTCTCTGTGAGAGCTGTGCACACTAGCTGCTTTTAGTTAGCCATCTTGGCAAACCCCCAAATAGTTATTTTTTCTGATACTCCCCCTCCTCTCACCTTCCACTCCCTGATAGGCCCCAGTGTGTTGTTCCCCTCTGTGTGTACATGTGCTCTCATCACTTAGCTCCCACTTATAAGTGAAAACATGCGGTATTTAATTTTCTGTTTCTGTGTTAGTTTGCTAAGGATAATGTCCTCTAGCTCTAACCATGTTCCTGCAAAAAACAGGATTGAATTCTTTTTATGGCTGCATAGTATTCCATGGTGTATACGTACCACATCTTCTCTACCCAATCTGCCACTGATGGGTGTTTGGGTTGATTACATGTCTTTGCTATTGTAAATAGTGTTGCAATGAACATACACATGCATATGTATTATGGTGGAATTATTTATATTCCTTTGGGTATATGCCCAGTAATAGAATGGCTGGGAATAATGGCAGTTCTGTTTTTACCTATTTAAAGAATTGCCATGCTGCTTTCCACAATGACTGAACTAATTTACACTCCCACCAGCAGTGTATAAGCATTCCTTTTTCTCCACAACCTAGCCAGCATCTGTTATTTTGAATTTTTTGTAATAGCCATTCTGACTGGTGTGAGATGGTATCTCATTGTGGTTTTGAGTTGCATTTCTCTAATGATCAGTGGTATTGAGATTTTTTTCATGTGCTTGTCAGTCACATGTTTGTCTTCTTTTGAAAAGTGTATGTTCATGTCTATTACCCACTTTTCAATGGAATTGTTTGGTATTTTTTATTGTAAATTTGTTTAAGTTCCTTGTAGATGCTGGATATTAGACCTTTATCAGATGCATAGTTCACTAAATTTTTCTCCCATTCTGTAGGTTGTCTCTTTACTCTGTTAATAGTTTATTTTACTGTGCAGAATCTCTTAAGTCTAATGAGATATTTGTCAATTTTTGCTTTTGTTGTGATTGCTTTTGGTGTCTTTGTCATGCAACCTTTGCCAGTTTCTATGTTCAGAATGGTATTGCCTAGGTTGTCTTCCAGGGTTTTTATACTTTTGGGTTCTACATTTAAGTCTTTCATCTATCTTGAGTTAATTTTTGAATATGGCAGAAGAAATGGTCCAGTTTTTATCTGCTGCATATGGCTAGCCAGTTATCCTGGCATTATTTATTGAATAATATTGAATATTGAATTTATTGTTTTCATTGATTTCATAAAAGATCAGATGGTCATAAGTGTGTGGCCTTATTTCTGGGCTCTCTATTCTGTTCCACTGGTCTATTTGTATTTGTCGCAGTATCATGCTCTTTTGCTTACAGTAGCCCTGTGGTATAGTTTGAAGTTGAGAAACATGAAAATAATCTTAGTTCTAATCTCAACATTTTCCTGTGATTTTATTTCTCTCTGGGCCTCAGTTTTCTTATCTGTACAATGAGAAGTGCACTATGTCATGTAGGGTCCTTCAAGCTCTGGAAATCGTGGATCTTGAAACATCACACACATTCTTCAAGGAATAGCTCAAGTACTACCCCCACCAAAAAGCTTTCTCTGACTGTCTTAGCCCTTAGACCTATCCCTTATTTGAACTCCTAGAGCACCAACTTTCTGGGTCATTTGTTTTCCTCTTAATCACTTTTTTCCCATCATTTCTTGGATGACTGTTCTTCATTCTTGTTTAACTTTTCACCCACAAGTGAGCTTTAGTTCCCGACTTTCTAATTTCCTAGAGGATAATTAGAAAAAGTCTCTTACTTTTCTATTGCCTTCTTGGGATAACCCAGCATACAGATCTGCTGTGGGAGTTGGTTACAGGTATAAAATTATTTATCAGGCAGAGATATATTTTCTGAAGTGGTGGATTTTGCAGGGTGTGGATGGTTCGGAGTGCTTGTGGCTAGATTTTCTTCTTCCAATTTGTAGCTCACCTTTGCACCATTTATGTGTTCATTAATGTCACCATCAGGGGAAACATGGGTGGGCAGCAAGAAAGAAGGTTAAAAAAATGTAGCCATTTATTCTGGCTTGTGGCTACCAGCTCTGTGACAAGCTTGGATGACAAATGGCACAAATGAGAAAGATGAGGTAGAGTAATAAATCATAGTGCTTATTTGACCCTGCTGTCACCAGTCCCTAGTAGCAGTGATTATGAAGAACCCTCTTCTGTGTAAATTACAAAGAGCTACCTCTACCACACACACATGCACGCACGCACACACACACACACACACACCTCACAAGCTTGTAAAGGTGACAGTTTAAACACGGAGGTGGTCAAAATTTCCAAAGCAGTGCTACTTAATACAGATATGATGCTGGTTACATATGTAATTCTAAGTTTTCTAGTGGACACATTTAAAAAGAAAAAAGAAGCAGGTGATCGTAAATTTAGGAATATATTTTATTTAACCTAGTACATTCAAATTATTATTTAAATATATAATCAATAAAAACATGATTACAGAAATATTTTACATGTGTTTCTGCCAAAGCTTCAAAATCTGTTGTATATTTTACATTTGCAATACATCACAATTCAGACAAGCCTCATTTCAAGTGCTCAATAGTCACATGTGTCTAGTAACTACCGTACTGGGTGGTGTGGGTCTAGGCAAACCCCCATCCAATGTTTAAACCCCCATGCAACGTCATTGCCAATACATTCATCAATTTATCCAATACATACCAATCCAGGCATTGGCTAAGTAATTAGTGAAAATGTCAAGAAAGCCTAAAAAGAGGCTTCCTAGGTAAATTTCCAGCCAGCTCTAATATTTGTCAGGTATTGTTATAGACACAACAGTGGACAAAGCACACAAAACCCTATGATGACAGATAATTTGAATCAGAAGATTGTAAGTGCTATAAAGATAATGAAGTGTCAGAGAAGATAGACAATGATGGGAGGAACTATTTTAAATAGAGGGTTTGAGGCAGCCTCTCTGGAGAAAATATATCTGTACACAGGCCTAAGGAAGTAAGGGAACGAGCCATGTCAAAAACTGCAGGAAGTGTTTTAGGCATAGAGAATGGCCTATTCAAAGCCCTTTAAGGCAGGAACATTCTTGGTCTGGTGAGAAACCAACAGGAGGCCAGTGTCATTGCAGTCTCCCAGGACAGTGCCCTTTTTTCTTTCCATCTGTAGCATCCTTAATCATGGCAGTGAAGCAGCAGGCACTGCCTCCCAGGGTGGAGCAGCAAAGCAGCATAAAGCTCTTGCCACTTTCCTTCTGGGCCCTGTTTTCTGATTAAATCGTATTAATTTTTTTGGCAGCCACATCACACCGCTGACTCATATTGAGCTCCTAGTTAACTAAACCCCTAAGGTTGTTTTGCTCTGGCGCTGCTAAGAGCTCAAAAAAGTGGTGGGACAATGAGCCAGAGAAATAATTTAATGTGAAATTTCCTTCACTAGAGTCCTCATCTTGGACAGAGCATCAGTATGGCATGACACAGATCCCTGAATGGAGAGGGAGGTGAGCTGGAGAGAGAGGAAGATGAATTCTTAAGATAATTGAGCCTTCTACACTAGTATTTGAAGCCTGGATCTCCCAAATAAAGAGACAAAAATAGAACCACTGAAGAAAAGGGACCTTGCCAGTTCATTGGAGGGGCCCAGCCAAATCATTAGAGGACAAGCTAAAGCAACCATATGCCCCATTGAACAAGAAACTTAATTGGACCTAAGGCTGACTGAGGCTCACAACTGGTAGGCTGGGAAAGGGAAAGGAGCCCAGGTGGTGGCCACCCAGCAGAAATTCTGCCTTTTCCAGCAAGAAGGAAGCACTTCACTGCTGGGCCAGGAAATGGCCCTAGCCTGTTTCTATGGTGAAGTCTTTCCCTGGAGACTGAATGTTTCTTGTACAAATAAGCTTGAACTGAATGTGAAGAGAAACCACTGCGGCTCTCCTATGTCCAGAAGATATCAGAGAAGGCTGTAATAGGAGGGATAAAGGCCAGAAAAGAAAAGCTTGAGTCTCACTGAGAGGACCCATCTCCTCTCTCCATCCACCATTAGCCCATGGTGTTTTCGGTGCCCATAATGGAACTCAGGTCCCTTCAGAAGCTACTCTTACCTTCCTCTGCCGCCTTGGTACCCACTTTTTCTCTATAGCATTCTACAGTCTATTCACATCGAACTCCTCTGTTTTCAGGATATGCATCTCAGTTTCTCCCATGGTGTTCTCAGAATTCTTTCTGACTCCCTGTCTCTGCTCCTCCCTTCATTCTTTAACGATCTCAAGTCCATGTCTGTAACCATCAGATGAGTTCTTTCTACTTGCTGCACAAACAAAGACCATGGAATTGCTGTAAAGGAAGTTTAATTTATGTGAAGTCAGCCATACCACACAGGAGATGGGGTAATTACTCAAATTAATCTCATCAAAGGCTGAGATGTTAGGGATTTTTCAAATACAGTTTAGTTGGCAGGGGGCTATGGTATGGGGAGTGCTGATTGGTTAGGTTGGAGATTAAATCATAGGGAGACAAAGCTGTCCTCTTGCACAGAGTTGCTTCTGGGTGGGGCCACAGGAGTGGTTGGTGAGTCCAGATGGAGCTATTATCGTCAGACAGGAAAATAACATAAAACAGATATCTCAAAAGCAGGGCAGGAGACTGCCCCTTTTTCCAACCAAGAATGTCAGGCAACCATCAGGTGATGGTCAGGAGGTTGATAACTATCTCTCTAAAATAATAATTGATCACAGCCAGCACCAGGAAAAGGCAGTCTCCCAATAGATAAGAACATCTGAACTTGGTAATAAGCAGCTTTTCAATAACATCTCAGGAGTTGTGTGAGTGGGCTCAAGCATGTGCACTAAGAGGCAAAATGGCAGATGAACTTCTTCTAGGAACAGTGGACTTGTATGGGAAAAATGCTGCAAGTGAGCATGCATACAACTTTAGTAAATCCACTGCACGTGACCCCTCCCAAGTGCTGGCAGGCTACTGTGTATGTGGACAGCCCACTTCATGGGAAGAATTAGGGAAGAAGAAACAAAACCCTCCGGAAGCATGCCAACATATAAAGCCCCAAGTCAAAGGTCAAACTGCGCACTTGATCTCTCAGATCACCCACTCGGCCCTCTTTCAAGTGTACTTCACTTCCTTTTATTCCTGCCCTAAAACATTTCAATAAACTTTCACTCCTGCTATAAAACTTGCCTTTGTCTCTTCTTCTGTCTTTTTTTTTTTTTTTTTTTAGTCAGGGTTATTTTCTTTTTTTTTCTTTTTTTTTTATTATACTTTAAGTTTTAGGGTACATGTGCACATTGTGCAGGTTAGTTACATATGTATACATGTGCCATGCTGGTGCGCTGCACCCACTAACTCGTCATCTAGCATTAGGTATATCTCCCGATGCTATCCCTCCCCCCTCCCCCCACCCCACAACAGTCCCCAGAGTGTGATATTCCCCTTCCTGTGTCCATGTGATCTCATTGTTCAATTCCCACCTATGAGTGAGAATATGCGGTGTTTGGGTTTTTGTTCTTGTGATAGTTTACTGAGAATGATGATTTCCAATTTCATCCATGTCCCTACAAAGGACATGAACTCATCATTTTTTATGGCTGCATAGTATTCCATGGTGTATATGTGCCACATTTTCTTAATCCAGTCTATCATTGTTGGACATTTGGGTTTAATACCCCTCGGTTGAATTATTTCTTCTGAGGAGGCAATAATTGAGGTTGCTGCAGACCCATATGGATTCACTGCTGCTAATACTTGCACATTACCCCAGTAAAGATACATATTGTTTGCTAATTAGGAGTTCTACAAGTTGCATATTCACTTCTTTATATATTTGTTTTCACGTCAAGTTGTCTACAATGGCATTTACAGCTGAGTGAAAAGGCTTGAAATCTGAATCCTAGCCACGTCACCTCTCCTGGCCTCTGGTTCTTCACCTAGAATGTGAAAATGTTGGTCCCTGCAGGGTTGGTATGGGGATAAAATGAATGAATGGAAACAACGTGCTTTGGAAAATGTAAAAATGCTGTAGGTATTGTAAATCCAAAATATTGGAGTCAGGTCTCAGTCAGCTAAGAAAGTTTATTTTGTCAAGGTTAAGGATGCACCCATTATACAGCCTCAGGAGGAACTGACAACATGTGTCCAACGTGGTTGGGGTACAGCTTGCTTTTATACAATTTAGGGAGACATGAGGCAATAATTAATACATGTAAGATTTACATTGGTTTGATCTGGAAGGGCAGGATAACTTGAAGCAGAGGATTCCCGGTCATAGATAGATTTAAACATATTCTGATTGGCAATTGGCTGAAAGAGTTATTATCAGTATATAGGAATGTCTGGGGAAGATAAGGGGTTATGGAGACCAATGATTTATCATACAGATGAAGCCTTCAGATAGCAGACTCCAGGGAAAACAGATTGTAATTTTTTTTAATCATACTTAAGGTCTGTGTTAATGTTAATACTGGAGGGGTATAATGAGGCATGTCCAACCCCCTCTTCCATCATGGCCTGAACTAGATTTTCAGGTTAACTCTGAAATACCCTTAGCGAAGAGGAGGGGGAAATTCAGATGAGTGGGGCACGGCTTAAAATTTCATTTTTGGTTTACAGTATCAGGTAGGAGGAAGGAGGCAGACTGAACACCCGTGTGGTTGACAACAGAATCTAGAAACCTTGGATTTAAAGCTCCAATTACAGCAAAGGCTTTAATTGATATTAAGGTGACAGGGGAGGGGTAGAAAGAAGTGCTGCCTTTTGTGTAAAGTGTTGGAGCAGCTCTTAGGAGCAGCAGCAAACAGCCTCATCCTTGTGGTCTAGAAGGAAAGAGAATGGCCATTTGTTAATGATAAAGCATGGTTTAGTTGGGTGTGGTGGCTCATGCCTGCAATCTCAACAATTTGGGAGACTAAGGCAGAAGGATGGCTTGAGCCTAGGAGTTTGAGACCAGCTTGAGCAACATATTGAGACCCCCATCTCTACAAAAGAAAATTTAAAATGAGCCGGGTATGGTGGCACACACCTGTAGTCTCAGTTACTCAGGAGGGTGAGGCAGGAGAATCCCTTGAGCACAGGAGTTTGAGGTTATAGTGGGCTAATTGTGCCATTGCACTCCAGCTGAGTGACAGAGAGAGACCCTGTCTCAAAAAAAAAAAAAAAAAGTTTGTGAAAGGAAAGTATCTTCGGCACCCAAAATCACTAAGCTAAAAGGAAAATTCAAGCTGGGAACTGCTTAGGGCAAACCTGACTCCCATTATATTTAAAGTCATCCCTCTGCTCACTGAGACAAATGCATATCTGATTGCCTCCTTTGGAGGCTTTGTCAAGGGCAGGCATCCTCAACCTTGATAAAATAAGCTTTCTAAATTAACTGAGCCCTGTCTCAAATTTTCAGGTTCTCATTTGGTTACCATGAAGGGATTCTGAGTGGAGATGCCCCTGACATTTGACAAATCTCCTATCGGTGCTTGGTACCAGCATGAGCTAACTTTATGGCTCAAATCAATAGGAAATTTTGCTGAGGTCTGAGAGAACACCCTCCAGAGAATCCCTGTTCTCCCCAGATTTGGTCAAGATCTAAAGTTTATTTTGCAGTACAACTCCACTTCCTTTTTGGAGTGTTACTTGCTTCCAACACAAGAAAGGCAAGTTTTTCCTGCTTCCATGACAATGGAAGGCAGATAACTCCTTTATGGAGTTTGAGCTCACTTCCAACAGGGAAGATAAGGGTTCTTTTTCTGCTTCTAAGGTGGTAGAGAGCAGTCTTCACCCTGAGACCCATCCCTAGGTAAGTAACTGAATTGGGGTTTGTCTTGGCTAAAGTTAAGATTAACAACCAGTTGATATTAATTTCTCTTTACCATTAGAGCACTCCTCAATGATCATATTGCTGGGCTTTGTTGTTGTTTGTTCCAGTGTTTCTCCCAACAGATTTGACCTACTCTGCCTGACTTGGTCAAATCCGAGTGAGAATTCCAAATTGTGTGTAACAAGTCCTCTCTAGTTTGGCTAAAATTCCTCACAGGTGCAAAAGGAAAAAAAAAAAAAAAAGGAGAAAATGGAAACCATGTGTTTGGTTTCTGTGTTTGCTTCTTGTCTTTAAAAAATTCCATAATTGTTATTTTCATTTACTTTTCTTTCACCCTATACCTCCTTCCCCATTTGCCATCTGCAGTACCAAAAAATCTAGAAAGGGCTTCTAATGACTTGAACTCCTTTAAAGAATTCAGATTATTTTTAGGCCTAAACCTCTGTTTTCCTGTATTGCATGACCTGACCTTTTTGGCTTTTGCATTGTGAGAGGATTTGACCTTGGTATGTATGGTGGCACACAAGAGCTACAAAGTTATGGGTGACTGAGCACAGTTTACAGGAAGTTGTCTTGGCTGGTTTTTTTTTTTTTTTTTCTTTTTTCTTTCTTTTCTTTCCTAGGAAGTTGTTGTTTAAGGATCCTAATTCTTGTTCAGAGATGCATTCTAAAGGGTCTTCTCTATTGATTTTTCTCCCAGAATTAATCTTAATTCAATTTGTCTGTGCACATTTGCATGAGGAACTGAACTGTTGTTTTCATATGTTAATGACAGGCTGAGATTTCCTCAGCTCCAAAGAGAAAGGGCATTTGCTCCTCCAAGCTGAAAGGCACCCCTGGGTGATCAGGAGCCTTGTAGGAGTTTCTAGGGGGTTGACCTGCATGACATGCAGTGACCCTGTAGAGAAATCCCCAAGAAAAATAATTTTAAAAATGTCTCATCCAGGAAACACATATAAGGGCTGATCATCTGGCATTTTGAGCCCTCTCAGAGGTTATAGACCTCTGGAGTGAAACTGAGACACGTAAGAGGGTGGAATTGACTCAGTTGTGACCAACTGTGGAGTCCTGCCCACAAGCAGCACATATTGATCCACAACACAAAACCCCTAGGCCACAGCTCAGTTTCTCCTTTTAAGAAAAAAAAAAAAAGTAGGAAATGAATAATCTAAGAATGAAGAGAAAATAAGGAGAATGACCCCGTTTTGAGCACTCTGTAAGTTTTATGGAACCTCTACTTACCAGAGTAAAATGGAAGTAATATGGTTTTTGTGCATATTTACATTAAAGTAAAAGAGTCCCAAGGTTGACCTGCAGACTATAGAGTTTGTAGGTCCCAATTTTCTATATTTTTCTTTTCTGCCTGCTTTAAATCTGCCGTTATTTTCCACTGAAATAAAAACCACTGTTTGGATCTAACTTTTTTTTTTTTTTTTACAAGCTGGTGAATTTGTATTTATCTCATGGCTGAAGTAAAAGCTATAGAATCTTTGTGTGTGTAGTATGTGTGTATGTATATGTTTGTGTATATATTTGAAGGCCTTTATAATAGACTACTATAATTTTATGTTCAATTGGCAATTAAATCCCTTTCAATTTCCCTCTAGCTCACCAGACAGTCTCTTTGTACCTTATAATGTAAATTTTGCTATCTGATTTTCACCAGAATTGTTTCCTTTAATATGCAGATTTAGGGCTGTGAAGCTGACAACTGCCAGGGTAAGGAAACAAGTTATCAAGAGTTTGCAAGTTTAAGACAGGAAAAAAAAGAGGAGGTTTTGAAAATCTATAAGATGTACTTCTATTAGCATGCCTAATACATCTATGTATTTGTGTGTTGTGTACAAAATGTTTCACTACTGAAAATATATAAAGAGCTCTAATTAATTGGCTTAAGAAAATAAAAGCACTTGAATCAAATACTTTGTCAGGAAAAAAGAAAAGACTAGTCAAATACTTTTTCAAGTTTATGTAACTTAAAGTTTTTATTAAATAAGCTAGCTTTAAAATTATTGGTAAAGTAATATTAGAAATGTCTTAAGAATTGCCAGCATACATTTTATTTGCATTTATTAATCAAGCGATTTCATACTTATTCCTGCCAAATACTGTAAGTTGTCAAAATTTGGCATAGGGATTGCAAAACTATAAACCCAACCCTAAACAGAATAATATTTTCTTGTGTAGTTTTAATAAATAAGACTGATATTGGTTTATAAGATTGATATTGGTTTAATGAAAATAGCTGCATCTTGAATTTAGTAAGATTATCATAGCTTCTAATCCTGTGGCTTTAGGCAGTCTAGTTCCCTGGCAATAAGGTTTGTTTTCAGAAAGGACTGTTATCATATTCATTTCAAAGCTAAACTATAAACTAAGTTCCTCCCAAAGTTAGTTCAGCCTATGCCCAGGAATGAACAAGGACAGCTTGGAGGTTAAAAGCAAGATGGAGTCAGTTAGGTCAAATATTTTTCTCTGTCTCAGTTATAATTTTGCAATTGTTGTTCAATAACTTTAAATGATGACTATCACAGTTTTCCTAAATAATCTATGTAAACAATTAAAATAAAATGAGTAAACATAATGGGATAAATACTTGTAGACAAACTTGTCATAACTTAGAATATACAGTTATATTAAATTAAATAATAGATATTTCATTATTTGGGTATTTTCCAATAAAAATATATTATAGGAAAACATTCTTGCTAAAAAAGTGTGTACTTTTTAAAATGATGAAAACTTTTGTGTAATTTGAACCTTATTTAAAGATTATATATAAAACAAGGAAAAGGAAGCAGGAAATAAGAGATGTAAAGAAAGTTATAAAAATAGAGAGGTTTTTTATGGAAGAAAGCTTAATGAGAAATAATTTTATATGAGAAAGAATCTTGTATGGTAAATTTAGACCTAAAATAAAATGACTAGTTGTTTTAGAAAGAGTGATATTCAGGATGAACCAGAAAGTTCCAGCATGTCATGAGTGGTCTGTGTAAGTCACAAAAGAGGATTTAAAAAAAAAAAAAAAACCCTTTTATATGATCAAGTTGTATATAATTAAAGAAAAATTATAATGCTCTTTCTAGAGATTGGGCTTGATGTAAAAAAAAAAAAAAACACATACACTAAATCATTTGTTAGAACAATGAAATTTTCTTAAGGGGTTGATTTACTCTTTATAAATTATAAGATATTTTAATTTCTTTTAACCAAAAGTTCAACTTTCATTGCATCTCACTGTTTTTCAGCTTTCTCTCACTCCCCTTTTAAAAGGTACATTTTCTTAAAGGTCTAAAGGAAATGTTTTCTTCCAACGTAATATTCTGTGCACTGCAGAAGGTCTTTTATTTTGCCTTTTGGTAACTGGACTAATATATTGTAAGTTTTATCAAAATAATTTCTATGCCATTATTATTACATTTGGTTTGCTTAGGAAAAAACTGAGATTTAATTTTTTTAATTAATGTTATTACATTCATGTATCTTCCTTTATGTGCTTTTAATGTCCTTGTGACATTGAGTTACAGGGCTTTGACTCCTGGGTGTAAAAAGTGCACCAAGTCTTGCTAGATCTTAAACACTGAGAGCAATTAAAGTCTCATCTTCAGGCCCTGTAGAAGATGCCAACCAAAATAAACTGTATTCCTGAGATACAGGCCAAAAATTCAAGCTATGTCAACTCAAGACCCAGAGACTATCATGGAAAAGTTGGACATGGAAGATTGTAAGGGCTGATTTTGAAAGATAAAATAAATTCAGTTTCACTATAAATTAATCATTAATGTCAGAGACACAATGATGCAAAACCAGCATATGGGCCCCTGTGTCAAATTAACAAGGTTTTCTTGAAGCATTAACCAACTCCTTAATAAAGGTTATAAAGGCTTATGGAGGTTATATCTGATGGTCAAAAATTAAAATTTTATAGATTGTTTATAAAATTTTGAGAAACAAATTTAATCGGCTTCATGCTGTTATTAGGAGTTATTTTGAAAATCAAGTCTCCTCTCACAACAGATAATGTTTTTTGCCTTTTTTTTTGAAACCCTTGAGTTATCACTTTGGTGATTCATTGAGAATGACATATTTTACAATGACATGTGATTCTATTTTGTAATATCAAGTGTTTTAAACCTTTTATATTTGACAAGGTTTCCAAAATGAAATGATAGATTATGTATTTTTGGACCTGATTAATTCTTCAAGATATTATGTTCCCTAAAGTTCAAAAATGACATAATTTGACTTATTTGGTACAAAAAATATACAGGAAGCATTGTCAAATATGAAATTGTGTTTGGTTTTCTTTGGGGTGTATTTGTATAAATATGTTATTGGTATGTTTTCCAAAATTATGGGAAACTCCTGTAATTCTGATATGATTTAGTGTTCATTATCGGTAATAATAATAATTGTTATGTTAAAATTATTGTGTGCCACAGAAATAACACATTTCATTGTCAATTGTGTCTTTGAGTATGGCTGCCCTAAAATTTTTGTTATCCATAGACAATTGTCATGTTGTTTTGGTCTTCTTTAGAAGGTAGTTTTATAATTAGCTATAAAGTTCTTAACAAGTGCTCTTGAATGCAGGTTTCTGATAACTTTGGAGACTGTGACATGAGAATAAACAGTTTCAGGACTCATGGAGAGCTAAAACTTTAATGACTATCAAGCAAAACAGGAATTAATGGCATGGACTGGACTAATCTTTTTGACTTTTCACTAAAAATGTTGCTGATCCTTTGTTTGGTTTTTTAGTCTCGAAACTTTTCTTTAAAGCTATTGACAGCTTTTAACAATTTAGTATGTTCCGCTGAACAAAATTTGGAGCATATTTTTTTCTCTCTACCTGATTTCTCCAGGATTTGGAAACTATTTTTAAGTATTCTTAACTTATGACAATACAATTATTTGCATAAAGAATCTGTTTTCATTTGCAACAGGACACAATTGGAGAAGCTGATTATTTTACCAGGGCTTTGACTGGAATAGTGTGCTTTACTTTAAGGAATCAAAACTGCCCTCATACCTTTGTCTACACAACCCTTGTACAGGGTTTCTGACCTGTGGTAGTTAAAGAATGCCACTTTCTGACAGGTCCAGGAGCCCCAGGTTTATCTTGGAACCTCAAGAGGAGAGGAAACTTACCCAACTTATAGGTATTTGATGATACAAATCCATGGCTGGGCTCAGCTTAAAAAGTTTTATCTGAGGAAGAGGCTCCACATTGGGTGGGGATGGGGCCCAAAACTGTCTGGGTGTGAGCTGGGGAGCAGAAACCACCTGTCCCTCTCATTCCCCAGGACTTCTGTGACTCCTGGGCCACAGAGGTCCGATCAGGCTAAGGGCTTGGGCATACCCCCTGCCTGGCCTCCTTGCCCAAACTGACAGAGGGGCCAGGCTGAGCAGCAGCCCCTCTCTTACCTCAGCTATGAATCTCCTGCCCCCCAAGTCCAAGTGCAATCCACTGTGGAATGAGTCTCTGTCATCGCTGGAGGAGGGGCCTTCAGGGTCCACCCCACCAGAGGAGCTGCCTTCCCCATCAGCCTCATCCCTGGGGCCCATCCTGCCCCCTCTGCCTGGGAACCATAGTCCCACTACCCTGTGCTCCTTCTTCCCCTGGATGAGCAACCTGAGGCTGGCCAATTGGGCCGGGGGACACCTGGGGCCTAATGGGGAGCCAGGAAGGGCAGCCAATGATGGGGAGGGCATTGTAGGGGCAACCATGCCAGACTCATTCCCCTACCCCTCCTCCAGGACATGAACAAGCTGAGTGGAGGTGGTGGGTGCAGGACTCAGGTGGAAGGGGGCCAGCTGGGGGGTGAGGAGTGGACCCGCCATGGGAGCTTTGTCAATAAGCCCATGTGGGGCTAGCTGCATCCCAATGACAAAGTCACGAGACCTGGGGTTTCCTACTTGGTTTGGTACATGGGCTGTGTGGAGGTCCTGCAGTCAATGAGTGCCCTGGACTTCAACACCTGGACTCAGGTCACCAGGGAGGCCATCAGTTTTGTGTGTGAGGCTGTGCCAGGTGCCAAGGGGGTGACAAGGAGGAGAAAGCCCTGTAACCATCCACTCAGCTCTATCTTGGGAAGGAGTAACCTGAAATTTGCTGCAATGACAATCACTCTCACCATCTCCACCAGCAGCCTCAACGTCATGGTTGCAGACTGCAAACAGATTATCACTAACCACCATATGCAATCTATCTCACTTGCATCCAGTGGGGATCCGGACACAGCCAAGTATGTCGCCAACGTTGCCAAAGACCCTGTGAGTCAGAAAGCATGCCACATTCTGGAGTGTCCTGAAGGGCTTGCTCAGGATGTCATCAGCACCACTGGCCAGGCCTTCAAGTTGCACTTTAAACAATACCTCAGAAAACCACCCAAACTGGTCACCCCCCATGACAGGATGACTGGCTTTGATGGCTTAGCTTGGGATGAGGAGGAGGAAGAGCCGCCTGGCCATCAGCACTATAATGACTTCCTGGGAAGGAATCCCCTCTTTGGCATGTGGTATACATGAGGCTTCGGGAAGGAGCCACTCCAGGGGCTGCTCGACCCACTCCACCCAGTGCCCAGACCCCCAGCCACTTGGGATCTACACTGCCTGTAGGACAGTCTGTTGGGGGAGATCCAGAAGTTTGCAAATAGATGCCACCTCCACCACCCTGTCCAGGCAGAGAGCTCTTTGATGATCCCTCCAATGTCAACGTGCAGAACCTAGACAAGGCCCGGCAAGCAGGGGGTGGTGCTGGGACCCCCAATCCTGCCATCAATGGCAGCACACCCTGAGACCTGTTTGACATGAAGCCCTTTGAAGACACTCTTCACATGCCTCCTCTTCCCCAGTTGGTGTCCATGGCTAAGCAGCTCTGAGGGGACCCTGGTTCCAAGGGAAGCTGAGCTAGCAGGGGGCTGAGGCACTGCTGCAGTTCAATGGGGACTTCCTGGTGCAGGAGAGCATGACCACACCTGGCCAGTATGTGCTCACTGGCTTGCAGAGTGGGGAGTCCAAGCATCTGCTACTGGTGGACCCTGAGGGTGTAGTTCGGACAAAGGATCACCGCTTTGAGAGTGTCAGTCACCTCATCAGCTACCACATGGACAATCACTTGCCCATCACCTCTGCTGGCAGTGAATTGTGTCTACAGCAACCTGTGGAGCAGAAACTGTGATCTGCCCCAGCGCTCTCTTCCAGAAGATGCCCTCCAACCCCTTTCCACCCTATTCCCTAACTCTCAGGACCTCAGTTGGGAGTGTTCTGTGGGCATGGCTTTGTGTCAGAGCTGGGAGTAGTGTGGACACTGGGTTTCATATCCAGCTGAGTGAGAGGGTTTGAGTCAGAAACTTGGGGGAGAATACTGCTTCTCCCCAAGCATTAATCAATCATCAAAGTATTAATGTACAGAGTGGCCCCTTACCTGGGCCTTTTCTGTGCCAACCTGATGTCCCTTCCCCAAGAAGGTGAGTGCTTGTCATGGAAAATGTCCTGTGGTGATAGGCCCAGTGGAACAGTCACCCTTCTGGGCAAGGGGGAACGAATCACACCTCTGGGTTTCAGGGTACTCCAGACCCCTCTCAACACCCCCACCCCCATGTTTAAACTTTGTGCCTTTGACCATCTCTTAGGTCTGAAGATATTTTATGCAAAGAGTTTTTGGGACCTTGAGTTCAATGACAGGGATGCCAACACCTTCTTGGTTTCTGGGACCTGTCTTCTCCTTGCTCAGCACCCTCTCCAGTTTGGGTTGGGAGAACAGAGGCAGGAGTGGCAGCTGTCTCCTCTCCCTGGGGATATGTAACCCTTAGAGATTGCCCCAGGGCCCTCTCCTGGCCAGGGAGGAGATGGATCCCTCCCTTGCTCAGTGCCTCCTGGCCGGGGGGGGGGTGCCCTCACCCCAAGGCGTGTGTATATACATTTCATAAGGCCCACCCTCCCATGTTGCATGCCTATTGTACTCTACAGCCAAAGTGTAGCCCTCCCTCCTGGAGCCTCTGCCCTGCTTCCCTTTCTGGGAGGGGGGTGGGGGTGACTGAATTTGGGCCTCTTGTACAGTTAATGCTCCCAGGTGGATTTTGTGGAGGTAGGAAAAGGGGCATTGAGACTCTAAAGCAGTAGACAATCCCCAAATACTATCTGTAGAGTTGGAACTGCATTCTTTTAAAATTTTATATGCATATATTTTAGGGCTGTAGACTTACTTTTCTAATTTTGTTTTCCATGGCTTATTCTTGAGCACAAAATGATAATCAATTATTACATTTATACATCACCTTTTTGACTTTTCTGAGCCCTTTTACAGCTCTTGGCATTTTCCTCACCCAGGCCTGTGAGGTAACTGGGACCGGCAGCATTATCTTTTATACCAGAGACCTGAGGCAGATGAAATTGATTTCCAGCTAGGACTAGAAAACCTTGGGCCTCTTACTGCGAGGCTGAGAGGCAGAAGTTTGCCTGAATGCCTGTCAGTTTCACGGATGATAAATGCAAACCTACAATTAATGAGTACCTTCTACAGGCCTGGAACAGCCTAGGCCTGGAGTGGCCACACCACAGCAAACAGACCCCGCTCTTTTGGCCTTGTGGTTAATGGAGAGTTCACTGTTTTCATCCTGCCCTCCTTTTGTTGTTGTTTGGATGTTTCCATGGTCTCACTTATACCAAAAGGAAAACTCTTCATTAAAGTCCGTATTTCTTCTTAAAGAAATAAAAAAAAAAAAAGTTTCATCTGAGATTCCTTCTATGGAACAAAGTTTCATCAAAGTCAACCCAAGTCTATGTAAAAAATAATTATTCTTGCTGCACTGTATACAAATAATTAGGCCAAGTATAATAAAGCTAACCAGTCCTACCATAATTTGTCTTTAGTTAAAATGGAAAACTGAAGAGAGAAAAGTTCTGTTTCAAAAACTGTAGTACACTTGTTGTTAGAGTCTAGCCTTGCCTAATTTTTTTAATTTTTATTATTTTCTACAGTTTGAACCAAATTCTAATTTTTCTTGACTATAAAACTGCAAAATAATGCTTTTATTTTTTTCCTTTTTCCCCATTTTTCCTAATTTGAAATTACTGAAAACTAAGCTGTGCTTTCATAAAGCCATGAATACTGAAGCTAGAAAACTTAACTTCAGAAGAAAATAATAGTCCTATATACATACATAAGTGACTTTCATATCTGGCTACTGATGTATGAACTTCAGACTATGTGGCCTATATCGATTTTCCAGGATTGTTCTTTTGTTTGTTGTTGTTTTCCTCCCTTTTTTACCCCTATTTTCTTTTCACAGGACATGAGACTTCAAAACCTTCTAAAAATGAGCTTTCCTAATAACTTGGGGCCTACCTTTCTAGGAATAAAACATCCTAGCCATAAGAGATCAGATGAAACTGGAGACCAAAGACTCATTTTCTTTTAATATGCTTTCTCTAAAAGATTTTTCAAAAGAAAAGGGGGAAAATGTGAAAGAAAAATATCTTGGGCCCCCAAAATCACTGAGCTAAAAGGAAAATTTAAGCTGGGAACTGCTTAGGGCAAAACTGCCTCCCATTCTATTAAAAGTCATCTCTCTGCTCATTGAGATGACTGCATATCTGATTGTCTCCTTGGAAAGGCTAATTAGAAACTCACAATAATGAAACTATTTTCTCTCATCTACCTGTGACTTGGAAGCCCCCTCTCTGCTTTGAGTTGCCCCACTTTTACTTCAAGTTGTCTCACCTTTCTGGATAGACCAATGTTCATTTTACATATATTGACTGATGTCTCATGTCTCCCTAAAATGTATAAAACCAACCTGTGCTCTGACCACCTTGGGTGCATGTTATCAGGACTTCCTGAGGCTGTGTCATGGACAAGCATCCTCATCTTGGCAAAATAAACTTTCTAAATTAACTGAGACCTGTTTCAAATTTTCAGGTTTCATAAGATAAAGCATTGTATGAGTGCTTTAGGGTTCATAAAAGACTTTTATTATTTATTAATTCAACAAATATTCATTGAGTGCCTATTATATACTTAGTGTGAAGAGATAAATTACAGTATTATGTAGTAAGTGATATTAGAAAATGTATTTATTTATTCTTTCAAATATTTACTGAGTGTTGACTATGTTTCAAGCACTGTTGCAAGCACTGACAACACAATAGTAAGCAAAATAGGAGAAAAAAAACAAACCCTGCTGTCATGGTGTAGCAGGATGAGCCACGGACAAAACACCACAGACACTGAGGTAGTAAAGGAAGTAGCTTTAATCAGCTGGAAGCATCCGCAGACTAACGTCTCAAAATCTGAGCTTCTTGAGTGCACAATTTCTGTCCCTTTTAAGGGCTCACAACGCTAAAGATTTTACATGAAAGGGCCATAATCGATTGAGCAATCTAGGGGGTAAGTGACAGGGGCTGCATGCACCAGTAATCAGAGTGAAACAGAACAGAATGGGAAGTTTCACAATGTCCTTCCATACAATGTCTGGAATCTATGGATAACATTGGTTGCTAGGTCATTGGTTGAATTTTAACTACCAGGTTAGGTCAGGCAGGCCCAGGCCTGAATTTGGGTCTGGTGCCTGGTGCCAGGCTGCCTGCCTTTGGTTTCGCTTCCTTGTTTCTTCTTAAAATAGGTACTGAGTATAAAATACTATAAAACAATATGGGGGGTCTCTTTGTCTCTTCTCTCAATGGAACTTACATTTTAACCTGGGAGATAGATAGTACACAAAATAAATGAAATACACAATGTGTCAGATGATGATGAGTTCCAAGAAAGAAAGAAAGAAAAAAAAAGAAACAGAAAAGGTAAACAGGGAGTACTGGAGCAGAGTGGGGGAAGTTTTACAATTTTAAATGTTGGAGTTAAGGAGTGCCTTACCTATATCTTATGCTGAGTCAGCTCCTGGGTGGAGGCCACAGGACTAGTTGGTGCGTCCTGGTGGTGAAGGCATCCAGTTGTCAAAAATGCAAAAATCTGAAAAGACATCTCAAAAGGCAGTTCTTGGGTTCTATAATAGTGATGTTACCTTCAAGAGTAATTGAGGAAGTTGAAAATCTTATGACCTCCAGAATAATGACTGGCAATTATTTAAAATTCAGGTTTCCCTCACTCTCCTAACTTGGTGTCCTTTCACTAGTTTTAAACAGTTTAGTTTTTGCGAAAGGTTTTTATCATTTAAACTATAAACTAAATTTATCCCAAAGTTAGCTTGGCCCACACCCAGGAATGAGCAAAGACAGCCAACTTGTGAGGCTAGACACAAGATGGAGTCAGCTATGTCAGATTTCTCTTACTGTCATATTTTTGCAAAGGCAGTTTCAATAACACCAGGGTTTCAGACCTTAACAACTGGAGGAATTTTTCATTTGCTAAAATGGACAAGAAAGCAGGGGAAATTTTGTGGTGGGGAGCATGAGGGGATTTTAGATTGGGAGGTCAGTTTAAGTCATGCTAAGTTTAAGATGACTATTAGACATCCAAATGAAAATAAAAAATTTTAAATAGGCAGTTGGTTATACAAGTCTGCTATATAGGTTTTGCATCCAGAAGATATGTCTGGATTGGAGATATCAATTTGGGAGCTTTCAGAATATATATGGTATTTAAAATCACAAGAATGGATGAAGTTAACAAAGATGTGAGTGCAGACAGAGAAGCCACATGGTTAGTCTGTGGCAGTGATATAGGAGCTAAGAATAAATTACTTAGGCAGATAGTAAGGGTATGGGAATCCTTGGTAAGGCTTTTCTTTTTAATGAAAAGCAGCCCCAAGTTATTTTCCTTTTTAACAAAGAGCAGCCTGTAAAATTGAGCTACAGACATAGATACCAGAAGTTGTGCCAATCATGTTCAAGATGGCGCCTCCATCTTCCCTTCTCTTTGTTAGCGACGTGTACAGTAAGAAGCAGACAAGATGGTGCCAATCAACTGGAATGCTCATTTGCATAATAAGATTAGGGTGGGGCAACCAGCCTTCCCCACCCACTATGTAGACATCATAACTGATCGAACCAATCTATGAGCCCCATGTAAATCAGACACCACCTCCTCAAACTGGACTATAAAACTCAGCGCATTCACACCAGCGAGTTCTTTTTTCCACTCTGACGTTCTCTTTTGGGCTTTCTCAACATGAGGTAGCTTTTTCTCTCTCTTTTATTTTTCTATTAAACCCTTCTGCTCTAAACCCACTCCTCATGTGTGTCTGTGTCCTGAATTCCTTCTCGACTGACCGAGAGCCAGGGTATATACCCCAGACAACAGAGTCATTTCAGCAGGACTGAAATCAGTGGTGTGCTAATAAATGTTTAACAACAAATTGTCTAAAGGACAGAAGCCCTAATTTGTAGCATTTACCAGTTTTTGTGATGTAAATTCTTCTACTGCGGCCAATTTCAAGCTACAAGATGATGCCAATTAGTCATGAAATTCCTGAAAATTTACCAATTATCTCCCACTAGCATAGGTGAGTTCCAGCATACCATCAGCTGGGATAGAATGGGATAGAATGGGATAGACGTGGGCTTTTCCACTGAGTCCCAGTCTTCCTGACATTTGGGCCAAATCAGAGATGTACTAAAAAAAAAAAAAAAAAAAAAAAAAAGAGGTTAGAAGCGGTATCCGAGTCTTGGGTCCTTTTGGGTTTGGCCTACTGTTACTTACCAGAGGGATATAGATTACTTCACCCTTTGATGGGAAAAAAAAACCTTCTTATCTGCAAATCAGTTTTCAATTTTCCACACTGCCTCTTTTAATAAAAGCATCCTCTGCAAAAGACTATTGGCAAAATGCCAAGGTCAGTTCTATAAGGGGTGGCATATTAACTCATTGGCACTAATTAATATTACTTAGCTCTAGTCAGTTACTCTGCTGAGCACAAAGGTCCTGAGGAAATGATACCCAGGAAAACCAAATTTGGATAGGATATGAGGGTAATGGAAAGACAGTAGGGGATAGAAGTGACTACAATAAGATCTATATGATTTCAGTATTTCTTCTCTTCAGAAATTCACCACCATCTTCCCAAATGCTTAAGACAGGCACTTGGCGATCATCTTTAACTACTCCTTCTCTTTCAAACCTACCACCACTCATCGTCAGTCACCAAGTGCTGTTTATTATATTTCCTAAGTCTCTCGAAAGTCTGTCCACTTTCTTTTCATTGCCACCTGCACTACACTAATATATGTCACCCTCATCTCATTCCTAATTTCACCTTCCAGCTAGTGTCTCCTCCTTCAGGCTATTTATCCCACCACCAGCCTATTCTCCACAAAGTAGCTAGAATGATGTTTTTAACATGCAAATCTGATGGCACTCTCTTACCTAAAACACTTCGGGGCTTCCACTTACCCTTAGAATAAAAACAGAAAACCCCACCATAGCCTACAAAAGCCTGGCAACGTTAGGTTCTATCTACCTATTCAACTTTACTTTTTACTACAGTCCTTTCCTGTACACTTTAGTCATACCTTAGGGAGCTTTGCGCATATGTTTCCCTCTGCCTGAACCCCTCTTTCTCTCCCTCCTTTACATCTGCCCTCTGGTGTCTCTTGATGATGCTTTCTCAGCCTTCAGATTTCATTAGAAAAGTTGCTTTCTCTAGAAAACCCTCAAAGAATATTCATACTAGGTTAGGTCCATCCAGGATATGCTCCTAAGCACCCTGCACTTGTCTTTCAGATATTCAAAGAACTTGGTCATTGGTCATCCTTCTCTATCAGGCTGATAGCATGAGAAGAGTTGAAATTAGTTTGCCTCATTCACTATTTCACCTCTCCACAATCACATAATAAATGACCAGTAGATATTTGTTGAATGAATCAATGAATTAATATTTTTTAGGATCCTAATCCAAGCACATTCAGAGGCTGAAGTGGAAGAATTGCTTGAGCCCAGGAGTTCAAGACCAGCCCAGACAACATAGGGATACTCCATCTTTACAAAAAATAATTTTAAAATTAGCTGGGCTGGGCTCAGTGGCTCACACCTATAATCTCAGCACTTCGAGAAGCTGAGGCAGGCATATTACTTGAGGTCAGGAGTTTGGGACCAGCCTGACCAACATGATGAACCTTGTCTATACTAAAAATAAAAAAATTAGCCAGGCATGGTGGTGCACCTGTAGTCCCAGTTACTCAAGAGGCTGAAACAGGAGAATTGCTTGTACCCAGGATGTGGAAGTTACAGTGAGCTGAGATTGTGCCACTGCACTGCAGCTTGGGTGACAGAGTGAGACTCCATCTCAAAAAAATAAGTTAATTAATTAAAATAAAAATTAGCCAGGCATGATGACACATACCTGTAGTCCCAGCTACTTTGGAGGCTGAGGCAAAATGATGCTTAAACTCAGGATTCAAGGCTGCAGTCAGCTGTGATTGTGCCATTGCACTCCAGCCTGGGTTGTAGAGTGAGAATTTCTCTATTATCTATCTATCTATCTATCTATCTATCATCTGTCTATCTATCCATCTATCATCTGTCTGTCTGTCTATCTATCTATCTATCTATCTATCTATCTATCTATCTATCTATCTCTATACTCCTGCTCACTTTTAGTTTCCATTTGCATAAAATATCTTTTTATGCGTTATTTCCATTACCTTCACATCCTATCAAAATTTGCTTTTCCTGGGTCTTATTCCCTCAGGACCCTTGTGCTCAGCAGAGTAACTGATATATATGTATATCAAAGTACATACAGAGATATCTATATATATATATATATATACATAGAGAGATTTATATCTTTCTCTCTCTGTACATATATATACATATATGTACATGTATATGATATATAGATCTACAGATAGATATACATATATGTACATGTATATGATATATATCTACAGATAGATATACAAATATATACATATATGTATATATATGTACAGAGAGAGACAGAGAGATAGCATATGTCTCACTTTCTCTCTATATATATATAGAGAGAGACAGAGAGAGATAGCAGGTTAAAAACATATAGATGGCATAAACAAAAAGCAGTAACAACTTCTGGAAATGAGGGACGCACTTAAAGAAATGCAAAATGCACTGGAAAGTCTCAGAAATAGAATCAAACAAGCAGAAGAAAGAAATTCAGAGCTCAAAGAAAAGGCTTCTGAATTAACCAAATCCAACAAAGAAAAAAGAAAAAAATAATTAAAATAAATGAACAAAGCCTCCAAGAAGTTTGGGATTATGTTAAATGACCAAATCTAAGAACAATTAGTTTTCCTTAGGAAGAAGAGAAATCTAAAAGTTTGGAAAACATATTTGAGGAAGTAATCAAGGAAAACTTTCCTGGTCTTGCTAGAGATACAGATATCCAAATACAAGAGCTGAAAAAACACCTGGGAAATTCATCACAAAAAGGTCATCACCTAGGCACCTATTCATCAGGTTATCTAAAGTCAAGATGAAAGAAAGAATCTTAAAAGCTGTGAGGCAAAACATCAGGTAACCTGTAAAAGAAAACATATCAGATTAACAGCAGATTTCTCAGCAGAAATCCTACAAGCTAGAAGGGATTGGAGCCCTCTCTTTAGTCTCCTTAAACAAAACAATTGTCAGCCAAGAATTTTGTATCCAGTAAAACTAAGCTTCATAAATGAAGGAAAGATACAGTCATTTTTCAGACAAACAAATGCTGCGAGAATTTGCCACTACAAAGCCAGCACTACAAGAACTGCTAAAAGCAGATGTAAATTTTAAAATAAATCTTTGAAATACCCAAGAATAGAACATTCTTAAAACACAAATCTTACAACACCTACAAAACAATAATACAATAAAAACAACAACAACAAGGTATTCAGGCAACAAATAACACAATGAGTAGAAGAATAGAAGAGTACCTCATATCTCAATACTAACGTTGAATGTAAATGACCTAAATGCTCCACTGAAAAGGTACAAAATGACAGACTAGATAAGAATTCACCAACCAAGAATCTGCTGTCTTCAAGATATTCACCTAACACATAAGGACTCATATAGACTTAAGGTAAAGGGGCAGAAAAAGATATTTCATGCAAATGGAAACCAAGTGTGAGCAGGCATAGCTAATTTTATGTGAGACAAAAGAAACTTTAAAGCAACAGCCCTTTAAAAAGACAAAGATGGACATTATATAATGATAAAAAGACTTGTCCAACAGGAAAAAATCACAATTCTAAATATATATACACCTAACACTCGAGCTTCCTAATATATAAAAGAATTATTACTAGACCTAAGAAATGAGATGGACAGCAATACAATAACAGTGAAGGACTTCAATACGCTGGTGGGAATGTAAACTATTACAACCCTATGGAAAACAGTGTGGTGATTTCCTAAGAACTAAAAGTAGATCTACCATTTGAGTTAGCAATCTCACTACTGGATATCTACTTAGAGGAAAATAAGTCATTATACCGAAAAGATATTTGCACACACATGTTTATAGCAGCACAATTTGCAATTGCAAAAATATAGAACCAGACCAAACACCCTTCAATCGACAAGTAGATAAAGAATTCCTGGATGGAATTGGTGACCATTGTTCTAATTTGAGTAACTCTGGAATGGAAAACCAAACATCATATATTCTCACTCATAAGTGGTAGATAAGCTATGAGGGTGCAAAGGCATAAGAATGATACAATGGACTTTGCAGACTTGGAGGAAAGTGTGGAAAGGGGGTTAGAGATAAAAGATCATTAATTGGGTACAGTGTATACTGCTTGGGTGATAGGTCACCAAAATCTCAGAAATCACCATTAAAGAACTTATTCATGTAACCAAACATCTCCTGTTTTCCAAACACCTATTGAAATAAAAAATTAAGAAAAGAGTTGTCTTCCTGAACATCATTCAGAGGCTAGAAGATACACTTTATCCTATCAGTTCCCTTTCTCTACTAATTGAATGTTGCCTCTGGGACCATTAATTTTCTCTCCATTTCTAAGCTACTTTTGAGCAAGCTCTACAGCATCAGAAAAGGCAGTGGGGAAGAATGCAGAAAGATGTTTATTGTGCTCTTGAGGTAGGATATTAGTAGCTTCAGGTGAGTCAGAGCTGTCCACCACAGCTGCAGGTAGACTCAGAGGTAGCTCAAAAGGATGTGATGTGGGTTCCAAAGGTTTCTGCTCAACTACTGCATTAATTTCTATTGATGTGTAAAACAAATTACCTACCATCTTAGCAGTTTTGTTTGTTTGTTTGTTTGTTTGTTTGTTTGTTGGAGACAGGGTCTTGCTCTGTCACCCAGGATGCAGTGCAGTGGTGCCATCATAGCTGCCTGCAGCCTCAACCTTCTAGTCTCAAGTAATCCTCCCACCTCAGCCTCTGGAGTAGCTAGGGCAACAGGCACATGCCACCATGCCAAGCTAATTTTTTAAAAGAAAAAAATTAGTAGTGAGGAGGTTTTGCTATGTTGGTGAAACTCATTTCAAACTCCTTAGCTTAAATGACCTTCCTGCCTCAGCCTCCCAAGTGCTGAGATCACAGGTGTGAGCCACAGCACCTGTCCAAATTTAGTAGTTTAAAACAAAACTCATTTATTAACTTGCAGTTCTGTATGTCAGAAATCTAGATGGGTTTAGCTGAGTTCTTTGCTTAAAGTTTTACAATGCTCAAATCAAGATGTCAACCAGGCTGGCCTCCAATCTGAAGGCTCTGAGGAAGAATCCACTTTCAAAATCATTCAGATTACTGGCAGAATTCAATTTCTTATGGTTATAAGACTGAGGTACCTATTTCATTGCTAGCGTCAGCTGCTGAAGGTCACTATCAGATCCTAGAGGCCATTCTCAGGCACTTTCATATGGCCTCCCCCACATCAGAAATGAAAAATCTTCCTCATTTTAAATTTAACTCACTTTGAACATCTCTGGCTTCTTCTTTTGCTTCCTTCTGGATCTGCTTTTGAAGGGCTCATATGATTAGGTTAGGCCCACCTGAATAATCTTCTTTCTTATGGTCAACTGATAAGTAACATTAGCAATATCTGCAAAATCCCTTTAGCAATGTAACGTCACGTAATTATGGGAGCAATACCAAGGAACAAAGGTTATGGGGGTCATCTTAGAATTCTTCCTACTTTAACTATCATCTACTTAGTTGCATCCTTTTTCTCCTCTCTCCCCATATTCAATCACTACATCATATCAATTCTACCTTGTCTCTAATTTCTTCTATTTCTACCCTCTCCTCTCCATCCCTCTACTATGTGGAGTCAGGTCCTCATCTTCTCCCAGCTGTACAATTGAAACAATCTCTTGACTGATCTCTCCACTTTCAATCTCACTCCTCCCTAGTTCATTTTTCACAATACAGTTAGTCAGAATTGTGTTTCTAAAGTGTTGTCCAAGTCATGTCACTCTGCTTTTAAACTTTTTTATGGTTTAAAAGAGAAAGCTCAAATCATGTATATTTTATTTATGTATTCATACTCTGCCTTTCCAACAAACAAATGACAACTTATAAAATATCTCATACAATATTATAGTAAATAATAAAGTCACAACACACAATAATGGAAGACAAACAGAAAATGAGGATCAAGGGAAAGAAAAAATATAAAATGAAGATTGTAGAGCTTGTTGAGTTTTACCCTAGGTTCTCAGCTTCCCCATAAGCAAGAAAATGGTGGGATATGATCAATTACATTAATCTTATTACCCAGAAAGGAGAAAGTAAATATGTGGTTATCACTTGGTGATGAAATAAATGATGTTTTGCCCCAACATTTTTATAGTATAAGCAGCGAGATTTCAAATAACTATATGAAACAGCTGGGCAGAACATAGCAAATTCTTTGCAGTCCATCTTTTGCTTTCTTTTCAGATCCACTTCTGCCATTCCTTAAGAAAACAATTCTGCCTTGGGGCTGGGTGCAGTGGCTCATGCCTGTATTGCCAGCACTTTGGGAGGCCGAAGTGGGCAGATCACCTGAGGTCAGGAGGTCGAGACCAGCCTGACCAACATGGAGAAACCCCGTCTCTACTAAAAATACAAAATTAGCCGGGCATGGTGGTGCATGCCTGTAATCCCAGCTACTCAGGAGGCTGAGGAAGGAGAATTGCTTGAATCTGGGAGGTGGACGTTGCAGTGAGCTGAGATCGTGCCATTGCACTCCAGCCTGGGCAACAAGAGCAAAACTCTGTCTCAAACAAACAAACAAAACACAATTCTGCCTTAGCTCTCAAAACTACTTTCTGCCCTGAAAACATAGCATGAGGGTTGATGCATCCGTGACTTTGCTCGAGCCTGTCCCTCTGCCCTATTTTTAAAGGCCTAGGTCAAACATTTCCTTTGTGAAATGTTTTTGTCACCTACTCTAGATTACTCCCCTTTATAACAGAGGTTGGAAACTCAAATGCTTTCAGGAGTCAGACAAATAAAATAGCAGCCATGGAGAGCTTATTATATTAACTCTTTAAATCCTCACAACTATAAGTTGGCACTATTATCTTCCCCATATTACAGATAAGGAAATTGAAGGACAGATAGTAAGTGACAGGTGCAGGCTATGTAAGCAGGAGATCTGACACCAGAGCCCCAGTATTCTTAGCCGTTGCACATACTGGCTCTCAGAAAGCAGGTATGATGATAGGGAGTGGTATGGACTCCAGAGTTTATACCCCATGTAAAAGTCATCAGGCTAATATTTTTTAAAACACCATGCTGGCAAAACATACATGACCTCGGGTCATTAGGGCACTAATTACTAGTTTTCCACCTTTGTTTTATCCTCTTAACCATAAGCTGTTTGACATTTCTCTTAATGAGCTGTATCCCACACCATGTGCATCCTGAAGCCAAGTCTGCTTTCATAAATATTTCCTCTACATAGCCCCC
The DNA here is from genome assembly GCF_000001405.40 of Homo sapiens. Lineage (NCBI taxonomy): Eukaryota > Metazoa > Chordata > Mammalia > Primates > Hominidae > Homo > Homo sapiens. The sequence continues at coordinate 64,446,807 of NC_000023.11, forward strand.
CACCTCTCATCCAGGTTTCAGCTAGCCAGAGGGTGAAGCAGCTGTATTGCCAATTGCCACTTCCAAGGGGCCAGGAGTAATATAGAGCTTAAGCTCTGTCTTTTTTTTTTTCAAGATAGTTTCTGGAACTGAGTTTATGAGAGGGGGATCTTATATCTAATGGGGTTCCATCCATCTTGTGGATCGGCTGTTCAATGTCCTTTGACTAAATAAGTTTCAATACCAAATGCTGGTAACAAAAATAGTCACATTGCTGCTTGTGATCTGGCTCTTTCCTCCTTCTCTTCCTCACTATTTCCTTTGGTGCAGCACCCCAGGACTATGTAAGACTCTAGTCCATCTCTCTTTGTCCATCTCCACTGAACACCCTCCACAAAAACAGGGTCTTATTCTACTTCTGGCATGGCCTGAGAAGAGAGACAGAGATGCACTTTTCTTCAGATATTGAACCTATTTGAGGAGGGAGAATTCCCTTCTTTGGGCAAACCAAGAGGATAACCCAGAGTGTAATTGATTCAACAAAGAGCAAGCCAAACAACCTCTCAATTCTAGAAATCTGCTCTGAATCTCTGTTTCAGTTTAGAAAACTCTATGAGTTTCCTGCCTCAAGCAGCTTTCAGATCCTTCTTTAGGTTTGAATTATGGGTGTGCCTAGTGTAGTCCATACACTTGGCTCTACCTGGGACACAGGCACTAAGCACCTGGGAAATGGGGTGGTTGTCCGAAGATCAGTGAGCAAAGAGTGAGTAGCTAAACCTAGAAGGTGAAAGCCCTGTGTCTGAGGTGAGCCGTGGAGTCTAAACTGGCCATAGGCTTAGTATTCTTTCAACAAGCCCTGCCGCTTCTACTTCATCTGTTTTCTATCCTCATCTTTTAAATTTATTTTTAACTCAGTTGTTGTCAACAGAGTCTAAGAGATTTGACTCTGCACTACCCTGACCTTGTCTTTGACACTGGTTTTCTCACTTATTCTGCTTCAGCTACACTGGCCCCTATGCATGGTCTTACCTCATGTCATTTGCACTTGCTGAATCCACAACTTAAGACACATTTTCTCCAGGTATCCTTATATATAATTCTCTTTCTTATGGTAGATTTCTACTCAAATGTCATCTTTTATGAGAGGCCTTCCCGTACTCTCCTAACACAAACTTTACCCCTGTAATTTTATGCCTCTTACACTGCTTAATTTTTATAGTATTTGTCACTACCTTACCTATGCTATATTTATTTGTTTATTATCTGTATCCCATGTATTAGTCTGTTTTTACATTGCTATAAAGCAATACTCGAGACAGGGTAATTCATAAAGGAAAGAGGTTTAATTGACTCACAGTTCTGCATGGCTGGGGAGGCCTCAGAAAACTTACAATCATGGTGGAATGTGAATGGGAAGCGAGTAACTTCTTCACATGGTGGCCAGAGAGAAAGAGTGTGTGGAGGAAAAAATGTCAAAGACTTATAAAGCTATCAGACCTTGTGAGGACTCACTATCATGAGAGCAGCATGGGGGAAACTGCCCCCATAATCCATTCAGCTCTGACCAGATTCTGCCCTCCACATGTGGGGATTATAAGGATTACAATTTGAGATGAGATTTAGGTGGAAACACTGAGCCAAACCATATGATCCTGCCCCTGGTGCCTCCCAAATTTCACATCCATTTTACATTTCAAAACCAATCATGCCTTCCTGACAGTCCCCCAAACTGTTATCTTATTTCAGCATTAACTCAAAAGTCCAAGTCCAAAGTCTCATCTGAGACAAAGCAAGTCCCTTCCACCTAGGAGCCTGTAAAATCAAAAGCAAGTTAGTTACTTCCTAGATACGATGGAGCTACAGGCACTGGGTAAATTCTCCTGTTTCAAATGAGAGTCATTAGCCAAAACAAAGGGGCTTTAGGCCCCAGGCAGGTCCAAAATCTGTGGGCAGTCAATAAATCTTAAAGCTCCAAAATGATCCCCTTTGACCTTATGTCTTACATCCAAGTCATGCTGATGCAAGAGGTGGGCTCCCATGGAATTGGGCAGCACCACCCCCATGGTTTTGCAGGATACAGTCCCTCTCCAAGCTTCTTTTATGAGCTGACATTGAGTGTCTTTGGGTTTCCCAGGTGCATGGTGCAAGCTGTGGGTGGATCTACCATTCTGGCTTCTGGAAGATGGTGGTCCTCTTCTCACTGCTCCACTAAGCAGTGCCCCAGTGGGGACTCTGTGTGGGGGCTCCAACTCCACATTTCCCTTCTGCACTGCCCTAGCAGAGGTTCTCCATGAGGGCTCTATCCCTGCAGCAAACCTCTGCCTGGACATCCAGGCATTTCTATACATCCTCTGGAATGTAGGCAGAGGTTCCCAAACCTCAACTTGACTTCTGTGCATCTGCAGGTCCAACACCACATGGAAGTCATCACTGTTTGGGACTTGCACACCCTGAAGCAATGGCCTGAGCTGTACATTGGCCCATTTTAGCCACAGCTGGGATGTGAGATGCCAAGTCCCTAGGCTGCACAGAGCAGCCATGGGACCCTGTGTCCAGCCCATTAAAACATTCTTCCCTCCTAGGCCTCTGGGTCTGTGGCAGGAGGGGTTGCATGAAGTTCTCTGACATGCCCTGGAGACATTTTCCCCATTATCTTGGATATTAACATTCCTCATATTAATGAGGAACATTCAGTTTCTGATTATTTATGCAAATTTCTGCAGCTGGCTTGAATTTCACTCCAGAAAATGTTTTTTATTTTCCTTATCACATCATCAGGCTGCAAAGTTTCCAAACTTGTGTGCTCTGCTTCCCTTTTAAACATGTTTCAATTTCAAACCATCTCTTTGTGAATACATGTGACTAAACACCTTTGAAAGCACCCAGGTTATCTCTAGAACACTTTGCTGCTTAGAAATTTCTTCCACCAGATACCCTAAATCATCTCTCTCAAGTTCAAAGTTCCACAGATCTCCAGGGCCGAACAAAATGCTTTCAGTCTCTTTGGTAAAGCACAGCAAGAGTGATCTTTGCTCTAATTCCCAACAAGTTTCTCATCTCAATCTGAGACTTCTTCTGCCTGGACTTCATTGTCAACATCACTATCAGCATTTTTGGTCAAAACAATTCAATAAGTCTCTAGGAAGCTCCAAATTTTCTCATATCTTTCTGTACTCTTCTTAGCCTCCAAAACCGTTCCAACCTTTCCTTTTACTAGTTCCAAAGTCACTTCCACATTTTCAAGTATCTTAATGGCAGTACCCCACTCTCTGTGGCACCAATTTACTGTATTAGTCCATTTTTACACTGCTATAAAGAAATGCCCAAAACTGGGTAATTTATAAAGAAAATAGGTCTAATTGTCTCTTTCATATGGCTGCGGATGCCACAGAAAACTTACAATAATGGTAGAATGTGAATGGGTAGCAAATACCTTCTTCACATGGTGGCCTGAGAGAGAAGAGTGTATAGGAGGAAATGTCAAAAACTTACGAAACCATCAGATCTTGTGAGAATTCACTCACTATCATGAGAACAACATGAGGGAAACTGCCCCCATTATTCAATCAGCTCTGACCAAGATCCACACTTTATATGTGGGGATTATGGAGATAATGATTTGAGATTAGATTTGGGTGGGGAGACAGCCAAACCAAATCATCCAATAATAGAGTGTAAGTACATATAAATATGGGTGTTTGAGTGTTATAGTTACTGCTGTACCCCAGTAACTAGCACAGTGCCTGCCACATAATAGGTACCCAATAAATATTTGTTGAAAGAATGAATGAGTAAAAAAATAAACAAAGATTTACAAGGGCCTACTGTGCAGCAGATGTTATGTTAGACTATGCTGAGAAAGTGAGATGGATGGTATATTACTCAGGGTTCTTTACAGAGAAAGAAGTAATGGAATATATATATACATATATATATATACACATACATATATATATATATATATATATATATATATATAAATATATATGAAGAGGAGTTTAGTAAGTATTAACTTACACATAACAAGGCCCCACAAGAGGCCATCTGCAGACAGAGGAGAAAGGAGAGTCAGTCTGAGTTTCAAAACTGAAGAACTTGGAGTCTGATGTTCAAAGACAGGAGTATCCAGCATGAGAGAGTGATGTAGGTTGGGAGGCTAGGCCAGTTTCTCTTTTTACATTTTTCTGCCTGCTAATATTCTAGCAATGCTAGCAGCTGATTAGATTGTACCCACCCAGATTAAGGGTGGGTCTGCTTTTCCCAGCTCATGGAGTCAAATGTTAATTTTTCTTGGCAACACCCTCACAGACACACCCAGGATCAATACTTTGTATCGTTCAATTCAATCAAGTTGACACTCAATATTAACCATCACAAGTGCACTCCTGGTCAAATTGAACCCATACACATCTCCTGAGATCATATATAATCTTCAAATAAAGACAATGACAATGCTGACTTGATGACAATGGCGACTTGATGACTCATACTCAAACATTCAGTTACCATCAAAGCCCAGTAACAGGCCAATAGCTGTTTCTCAAAAGGAGGGTAGTTATCTGCAGAAGATGGCAAGGCCTTGGTCCAAAATCCTAGAGGCTTCCACTGTGAGTCACCTAAGGGGCTTGCCAAAGGCTCCAAACAGCATCCCTGTCTGCCACTGACACCTCAAGAACCATTGAATCTTCTGGGTCATATGGCCTAAGTTGCAGAGCAGCTTGCACAGCAGCCTGGACCTGTTGCAGAGCTTTCTCCTGTTCTGGACCCCACTCAAAACTGGCAGCCTTTTTGGTCACTCAATAATGGGCCAGACTAATACACTGAAATGTGGAATCTGTTGTCTCCAAAGTCCAAATAGGCCCACTAGGTGTTATGCCTCTTTCTTCATTGTAGGAGAAGCCAAATACATCAACTTATACTGCACCTTAGAAGGACTATCTCAACAGGCCCCACACCACTGGCCCCTAGAAATTTTACTGAGGTAGAAGGTCCCTGAATTTCAGTCGGATTCATTTCCCATCCTCTGGCATGCAAATGTCTCACCAATAAGTCCAGTGTGTTTGCTACTTCTTGCTCACTTGATCCAATCAGCATAATGTCATCAATGTAATGGACCAGTGTAACATCTTGTGGAAGCAAAATGCAATCAAGTTCTTGTTGAATAAGATTACGATGCAAAGCTGGGGAGTTGATATATTTCTGAGGTAGGACAGGAAAGGTATATTGCTGGCCTTGCCAACTGAAGACAAATTGCTTCTGGTGGGCCTTATATACAGGAATGGAGAAAAAGGCATTTGCCAATTCAATGACTGCATACCAGGTACCAGGAGATGCATTAATTTGCTGAAGCAATGAAATCAAATCTGTTAGCACAGCTGCAACTTGAGTCATTACTTGGTTAAGCTTACAATAATCCGTCATTCTCCAAGATCCATCTGTCTTCTGCACAGGTCAAATGGGTGAGTTGAATGTGGATGTGGTGGGAATCACCACTCCTGTGTCTTTCAAGTCCTTGATGGTGGCACTCATCTCTGTAATCGCTCCAGGGATGCGATATAGTTTTTGATTTACTATTTTCTAGGTAGAGGAAGCTCTAATGGCCTCTGTTTGGCCTTTCCCACCATAATAGCCCTCACCCTACCAGTCAGAGAGCCAATGTGGAGGTTCTGCCAGCTGCTAAGTATGTCTATGCCAATTATACATTCCAGCACTGGGGAAATAACCAAAGCATAAGTTGGGGGACCCACTGGACCCACTGTAAGTTGGACCTGAGCAAAAACTCCATTAATTACTTGACCTCCATTAGCCCCTAATTTAACTGGCAGACCAAAATGACGCTTTGGGTTCCTTGGAATCAACATCAGCTCAGAGCCAGTTTCCAGTAGTCCCCAAAATGTTTGATCATTTCCTTTTCCTCAATGCAGTTACCCTGGTGAAAATCCAGAGGTCTCCTTGGAGAAGAATGGGAGAAAGATTTACTGCATAAATTGTCAGTAATGTAGTGGGGTCCTTTCTCAAGGGAACACGGCCTGTCCTTTATTCAAGAAGTTCTGTGTCTATAAACTGGCTCAAGTCTGGAAATTGAGGGGCCATGATTCTCTGATTTTATAATTTAAATTAGTCCTTTGTACATTTGACCTAGAAGTTTTCTGCTTGCATGAATTAAGTAGAAATGTATTAGGCTTCCTATGAATTTCACTTCTAGGCACACCGTGATTAATTAGCCTATGCCAGAGCTCTACACAAGTCAGACTATTCTGATTGCTGGTTTGCCTCTGCTATCCATTATGGTAGCTATGCCCAGCTCATTTTTGACAGTTGGGTGCCACCACTTGGCCCCTGCCACCCTGGGATTTAATTATTCCCATTGTATTTCAATTTTATGGTTTAGCGACTGCAGTTTCCACCATTAGATCTGAGATACGGAGAAGAGCAATTACAGGGCTCTTCAAAGATGCAGGTGCTGCCCTCACAAATCTATTTCACAAGGTATTGGTCAAAGGTATGTCTTCTGGACCCTCCCAACTGGGATGAGTAGGTCTAAAGTGACTAATCCACTCCACCATCCCAACCTCCCTAAGCCTTTTGATCCTTCTCTACATTAAACCAAGGGAGATCAGGCATTTCCAGCTCGCTCACAGTGGGCCACCTTTTAATCCATATTTCGGCAGACCAACCAAAGAAACTATTAGAACCTTCTTAGCTTCCCGAGCTGAAACATTAAATGCAGCGTCCCTACTTAGTGGGCCCAAATCAATAAATTCAGCGTGATCCAACTCCATGTTCCTTCCACAATTTTCTCAAACCATTAATATCCATTCCCATGCCTGTTCTCCAGATTTCTGTTTCTATAAATTAGAAAACTCAAGCAGTTCTTTTTGCATGTAGTACACCTCCTCATGGATTACACTGTCAACCTTACCACTAGGGGCCCACCAGGACTCGAATCTAGTTATAGGTCTAGAAGCAAAGAGGGGTGTTGGAGGTGGCTCCTGAGGAGAATCAATATTACCTTGCCTGGCAACTGCCTCAGGGGAGGCCACCACTGTTGCCTCAGGCAGTGCAGGGTTTATCTCCTAAGACAAAGGTGGAAAGGCTGATGGCAGCATGTGTAGGGGAGGAGATATTGCCATTACTGCAGATGGGGAGCTGTATCTTCTGGCAAAAAAGGTTCATCAGAGTTTACAAACTCAGTGTCCCCAGGTTCATCAGGGTCATCCCACAAGTCCTCATTCCAAGTTGCAATTTCCCACTCTTTTTCAGTCAATGCCCTCACTTTAACAGTAGAAACCTGGCGAGGCTGTGCATACATCTTTCATTGCAGGTCAGCCACTGGCATGATAAGAGCTGTGTCTGTTTTTTTACGATTTCAGCTCTTTCTCTACAGGAGGTAAGACTCACTCAGGGCAATCTTAGTAGATTTGAGGCTCAGTATCTGCTTCTGAAGCCGGGAGATAGAGTCTCTGAGTTCATTTTCTTTCATCACTTTGTCCACTGAACTTAGGAGCAACCAACCAGCTTCATTATGTCCATTGGTTCTCCAAATATGGTCAAAGTTATTATGTATAGAGTCACTAAACTCCTTGCCTCCCATGAGCAATTAATCATAAGTGTCAAATGCATTTTTTGTATTACTCTCTAAACAGCTTACACAAAGGACTATCAGTGCTCTCTATACTATTAAAAGTAGAGTCCTTAGCACTTTTGCATCTAATCATATCAAGCAGCCAACTCCAGAAACCCCAAAACCTGCAAAATAACTCCATCATTAATATTCTGTTCATCCAGAACCACTCCTGGTACAAAAATCTGTTTTATTCAGGTTTCTCTATAGAGACAGAAATGATGGCATATACGCATATTTAAAGGGGAATTTATTAAGTGTTAACTCACACAATCACAAGGTCCAACAATAGGCTGTCTGCAGGCTGAGGAGCAAGGACAGCCAGTCCACATTCCAAAACTGAAGAACTTGGTGCCTGCTTATATTCTAGCTGTGCTGGCAGCTGATTAGATTGTGCCCACTCAGATTAAGTGGGGTCTGCCTTTCCCAGCTCACTGACTCAAATGATAATCTTTTTTGGCAACACCCTCAGACACACACCTAAGATCAATACTTTGTATACTTCAATCAAATGAAGTTGACACTCAATATTAACCATCACAGGTGGAGATAGAGTCTCTATCTTGTTTTTGAAAGAGAGACTTTATAAATCAGTCAGGCAGCCAAATCTACCCATGAGTAGCTCTCTTGAGGTACAATGTGGTAGCTGCCATGACAAGAGCCAAAGAATGTTCAATTGGAGGCCACAGGTGAGAAAAATTAATCCAGAATGAAGTAATCTGTGGAATATTTTGAAGGAAATGGAATTTGAGTTGTGGTTATGGGGATGAGCAGAACTGTCAAAGGTGAGAAGCAGCAAACAGAAGAGAATTTTGGGTATAGAGGGGATAGTTTAAGCAATGGCACAAAAAATGGCAAAAAACATTTGGACAAAAAACAGGTTGTCTATGACAGCTGGCTGAAAAGTAATTTGCATTGATGGGGGCTAGAGTGAGTGAGAAAGGCTAACTAGGGTCAGGGAGAGAGATGTCTGGCTCTTTAGACAAATAATAAAAATTAACAAGCACCTGAGAGAGATAAATAGTGTGCATTTATAAAAGCAAGCAGTAAGCATACTGGCCTCACTTTTTTTTTTTTTTTTTTTTTTTAAAAAACTCTAATCTTTTTCTCCAGTTAATGCAATGAAACAACAGAAAAGTCCATGCAGGAATACTTGTGGATGTTGAAATATATAGAATATATTTTTCAGGCTCTTTGATTTTTCTGAACCTGAGTAGAAGTCTGATTTTAGATGTCTCAAAAGGCTGCTACCTCATTCTCAAAACTGGAGACAAATTATTGTGACCAAAAACATCTGTATTTTTTTTTTTTTTGTCAAATGACCCATCATCCATGAAATCTGGAACAATTGCTTGCTATTTATAAAAAAAACATTCCATGCACATTTCTAGTTTAAAATCTCCCAAGCCTCCGTTGCTTTCTTGTAATGTCAGCTGTCTAGTACGTTTTGCCCCATCACTGTCATCTTTGTTATTGTCATCATCACTGCCACCACTGTATTTATGCTATTATTTCTTTAGAGTAAGAAGAGGGAACAAGGAGTATTTCAGGGCTTACTTGAAAATGACCATTATCCTTGCAGATCTTTCCTCTCTCAGCCAAGAAGGACCTTAGTATGAGCATCTTTGTTATGAGTGTTTGTTTTTACATTCCCAGTAGCTTTTTTTTTTTGCCTTTTGGTAACAGCCTCCTCAATTTCCTTTTGGGGAACATCCCCTTTCATTGTAAGTCCATGTGGGTCAGATGGGCTAATACACTTCCTCCTCCTGACTCCAGTGGGCTGGTACGTGATACAACTCTGGCCAACGAGATCTCACAGTGAATGTTCAGGGATGGAAAATGACCAAAACTGAACCAACTCTCGGAATTTTGCTGGGACTATTGGTAACAGTATGTTTTATTTCCATTGGAATTAATGGATGTTCAAATTAAGATAGTAACAGCAAGTACTTGTTGAATATTTATTATTGTTCTAAATCCTTTATGTATATTAACTTGTTTCATCATCACAAAAACTTGGTGAGGTAGATAGTAGTATTATCCAGATTTTATAGAGGATACAGATTCAAGTAACATTCAAAGTCATACAGAGTAAGTGGCAGAACCAGGATTCAAACTCCAGCAGTGGGACTCCAGAGCTTGTGCTCTTTACCACAATGGTATATTGTAGATGAATGTGTGATAAAAGCCTGAAGTTGCTGAGGGTGGAGCTGGAGATGACTGAGGGTGAACGTGAATTATGAAGAGAGAGGCCAGGTTCTAAAGATGTAATTGAACTTCTGAATCCAAACTTCCTTGGTCTATTTAGGTATCTGAATTAATACAGTTTTTTGTTTGTTTGTTTGTTTGTTTTTTGTTTGCTTAGGCCAGTTAGAATTGAGTTTCTGTCACTGGCGACCAAAATAATTTTGACTAGCCTCCCTTCCCTTCTTCCCTGTTATCTTATTCACAGCCTCAGATTTCCGTGAGTTGGAGGAAGGAAGGAAGAGTCCTGGATAGCATCAGGCTCTTACTGGCCTCCTCATCTCTCACATCTAGAGCCACATGACCTCTGCCTATAGGTCGAAGACCACACTGGCCTTTGGAACTATCACTGACTAGAGACAAGGGAAGTGAAAGCATGGCTCATAAGATTACTCATCAAGTGTCATTTGCTGGGAACCTTACTTAAATCTTGAATCACAATACTATTCACTGGCTTCCAATTTGTTATCCAGACACTGCCCCTACCTTAAATCTTGGTTTTAGTCAGTCATTCACTTCCTGTATTACTTTTTTTCCCCATTGCCTTGGAAATCTGCCTAAAATTCCCTGCTCTCACGAACAAGGGTCAAGGCTTGTTCTTGTCATTTACTCTTAGCTACTGGAGTCCATCTTGAAGCCCCAAGTTGATAGCTGGGGTTCTGCTACCTGCTGAGAGATGTCCCAAATGCCAAATATCTGCTGAATTTCCTTGTATCTCACATATCTGTCTTCCGTATGGGTCTTGCTATCAATCTGTCTTTGGTCTCTTGAATATAGGACAAGCTCTGTAAAAGATAGCTTATTGTAATGGACACTTATTGTTTACCTTTTAAACACCCATTGTGAAACAATTAACAACCCCTTTCCCAACAATTCCAGATTTCTATTTTTTTTAGACCCACCATTTTCCTTGCATATATTTATAGGGTACAATGTGATTTTTTAAAACTTTTATTATAAGTTCAGGGGTACATGTGCAGGTTTGTTACACAGGTAAACTTTGGTGATGGGGGCTTGTTGTACAGGTTATTTAATCACTGAAGTATTAAGCCTAGTACCCATTAGTTATCTTTCGTGATCCTCTACCTCCTCCCACCCTCCACTCTCTAATAGGCACTAGTGTGTGTTGTTCCCCTCTATGCATCCGTGTGTTCTCATTATTTAGCTTCCACTTATATGTGAGAACATTTGGTATTTGGTTTTCTGTTTCTGTGTTAGGTTGCTAAGAATAATGGCCTCTAGCTGCAACTATGTCCTTGCAAAGAACATGATCTCATTCTTTTATATGACTGCATAGTATTCCATGGTGTATATGCACCACATTTTCTTTATCCAGTCTAATATTGATAGGTATTTGTGTGGATTCCATGCCTTTGCTATTGTAAATACTGTTGCAATGAACATACGCCTGAATGTGTCTTTATAATAGAATGATTTATATTTCTTTAGGTATATACCCAGTAGTGAGATTGCTGGCTCAAATGGTATTTCTGTCTTTAGGTCTTTGAGGAATCACCACACTGTCTCCCACAATGGCTGAACTGGTTTACACTAACAGCAACAGTGGATAAGCATTCCTTTTTCTTCAAAACATTGACAGCATCTGTATTTTTTTTGGCTTTTAATAATAGCCATTCTGACTGGTGTGAGATAGTATCTCATTGTGGTTTTGAGCAGCATTTCTCTAATGATCAGTGACGTTGAGCTTTTTTTTTCATACGCTTTTTGGCCTTCTGTATGTCTTCTTTTGAAAAGTGTCTCTTCATGTCCATTGCCCACTTTTCAATGGAGTTTTTTGTTTTTTTTTTTTGTTCCTGTAAATTTATTTAAGATCCTTATAAATGCTGAATATTAGATCTTTGTTGGATGTGTAGTTTGCAAATATTTGTTCACTTTCTGTAGGTTGTCTGTTTACTCTGTTGATAGTTTCTTTTGTTGTGCAGAAGCTAATTTGTTTAATTAAATTCCATTTCTCAATTTTTCCTTTTGTTTTAATTGCTTTTTGTGTCTTTGTTATGAAATCTTTGCCTGTGCCTATGTCCAGGATTGTATTACCTAGGTTGTCTTAAAGGCTTTTTTTTTAGTTTTGGGTCTTACACTTAAGTCTTTAATCCATCTTGAGTTATTTTTTGTATATGGTGTAAGGAAGGGGTCCAGTTTCAATCTTCTGCATATTGCTAGCCAGTTATCCTAGCACCATTTATTAATATGAAATTATTTTCCCATTCCCTGTTTTTGTCAGGTTTTTTGAAGATCAGGTAGTTGTAGTTGTGCTATCTTATTTCTGGTTCTCTATTCTGTTCCATTGGTCTACATGCCTGTTTTAGTCCCAGTACCATGCTGCTTTGGTTATACTACCCTGTAGTATAGTTTGAAGTCAGGTGGCATGATGCCTCCAGCTTTGTTCTTTTTGCTTAGGATTGTCTTGGCTATTTGGGATCTTTTTCGACTCCATATACATTTTAAGATTTTTTTCTAGTTCTGTGAAGAATTGCAATGATAGTTTATTAGAAATAAAGCATTGAATGTGTAAATTACTTTGGGCAGTATGGCCTTTTTAACAATATGATTTATTTCTACCTATGAGCTTGGAATTTTTTTTTCATTTGTTTGTGTCAACTTTGATTTCTTTGAGTATTGATTTTTACTTCCCCTTGTAGGGATCTTTCACTTCTCTAGTTAGCTGAATTTCTAGGTATTTGATTCTTTTTGTGGCAATTGTGAATGGAAGTTCATTCCTGATTTGGCTCTTGACTTGATTGTTGATGGTGTGTAGGAATGCTAGTAATTTTTGCACATTGATTTTGTATCCTGAGACTTTGCTATACTTGTTTATCAGCTTAAGAAGCTTTTGGGCTGAGACTATAAAGTTTTCTCGGTATAGGATTTTGTCATCTGCAAACAGGGATAGTTTGACTTTCTCTCTTCCAATTTGGATGCCCTTTATTTTTTTTTCTTTTGCATGATTGCTGTAACCAGGACTTCCAATACTGTGTTGAATGTAAGCAGTGAGACAGGGCATCCTTGTCATGTGTTGATTTTCAAGGGGAATGCTTTCAGCTTTTGCTCATTCTTTGGGTTTGTCACATATGGCTCTTATTATTTTGAAAATAGTTTTTTTTTTCTTTTAATATGAATGGATGTTTAATTTTATTGGAAGAATTTTCTGCATCTATTGAGATAGTCACGTGTTTTTTGTCTTTAGTTGTGTTTATGTGATGAATCATATTTCTTGATTTGTGTATGTTAAACCAAACTTGCATCCTGGGGATGAAGCCTACTTGGTCATGGTGGATAGACTTTTTGGTGTGGTGCTAGATTCAGTTTGCTAGTATTTGTTGAGAATTTTTACATCAATGTTCATCAAAGATACTGGCCTGAAGTTTTCTTTTTTTATTGTATCTCTGTCAGGTTTTGGTATCAGGATGGTGCTGGCCTCAGAGAATGAGTTAGGGAGAAGTCCATCTTCCTCATTTTTTTGGAGTAATTTCAGTAGGAATTGCACCGCTCTTTTTTTGTAAATCTGGTACAATTCAGCTGTGAGTCTGTCTGGTCCTGGGCTTGTTTGTTTGTTTGTTTGTAAGCTATGTGTTACTGCCTTAATTTCAGAGCTCATTATTGTTCTGTTCAGGTATTTAATTTCTTTCTGGTTCAGTCTTGAGAGGGTGTATGTGTCCAGAAATTTATCATTTTTTTCCAGATTTTCTAATTTGTGTGCATGGAGGTGTTCATAATATTCTCCAATGGTTGTTTGTATTTCTAAGGGCTCTGTGGTAATATCTTCCTTGTCATTTCTGATTATGTTCATTGAAATCTTCTCTATTTTTTTATTTTTCTAGCTAGCAGTCTCTTTGTTTTATTACTATTATTTTTTTAAAAACAGCTCCTGGATTCATTAATTTTTTGAATCTTTTTTTTGTGTCTCAGGCTCCTTCAGTTCAGCTCTGATTTTGTTTTTTTCTTGTCTTCTGCTAGATTTGGGGTTAGTTTGCTCTTGGTTCCCTAGTTCTTTCAGTTGTGATGTTAGATTGTTAACTTGAGCTCTTTCTAGCTTTTTGATGTGAGCATGTAGCGCTATGAATTTCTCTCTTAACACTGCCTTAGCTGTGTCTAAGAGATTCTGGTATGTTTTATCTTTGTTCTCTTTAGTTTCAAAGAACTTCTTGATTTCTGTCAATTTCATGATCTACCCAAAAGTCATTCAGGAGCAGGATATTACACTTCTATTTAATTGTATGGTTTTGGGTAAATTTTTAAGTCTTTCATTGTAATTTGATTGTGCTCTGGTCTGAGAGACTGTTACAATTTCAGTTCCTTTGAATTTGCTAAGTGGTGTTTTACTTCCAATTATGTGATTGATTTTAGAGTATCTGCCATGTGACAATGAGAAGAACGTATATTCTGTTGTTTTGGGTGAAGAGTACTGTAGATATTTATCAGGGTAATTTGATCCAGTGCTGACTTCAGGTCCTGAATATCTTTGTTAATTTTATGTCTCAATGATCTGTCTTATGTTGTCATTGGGATGTTAACAACTCTCACCATTATTGTGTGGGAGTCTAAGTCTCTTTGAAGGCTTCTAAAAACTTACTTTATAAATCTGGGTGCTCCGTTGATGGGTGCATGTACATTTAGAATAGTTAGGTCTTGTTGAATTGAACCCTTTACCATTATGTAGTGCTCGTCTTTGTTTTTTTTGTTCTTTGTTGGATTAAAGTTTTTTTTTTGTTTGTTTTTCAGAGACTAGGATTGCAATCTCTGCTTTTTTTCTGCTTTCCATTTGCATGGTAGATTTTTCTCTATCCCTTTATTTTGCATGAGAGATGGGTCTCTTGAAGACAGCATACCAATGGGTCTTGGTTCTCTATTCAGCTTGCCACTCTGTGTCTTTTAATTGGGGCATTTAGCTCACTTAAATTTAAGGCTATTATTTATATGTGTAGATTTGTTCCTGTCATCATGATTTTAGCTGGTTATTTTGCAAACTTGTTTATGTGGTTACTTTATAGTGTCACTTGTCTGTTTACTTTGGTGTGTTTTTTTAGTGGCTGGTAATGGTTTTTTATTTTCATATTGAGTGCTTACTTCAGGAGCTCCTGTAAGGCAGGTCTGGCGTTAAGGAATTCCCTCAGCATTTGTTTGTCTGAAAATAATCTTTTATTCCCCCTTCACTTTTGAAGCTTAGTTTCCTCAGTTATGAAATTCTGGGTTGGATTTTTTTTCTTTAAAAATGTCTAATATTTGCCACCAATCTCTTCTGGCTTGCAGAATTTCCACTGAGACATATGCTGTTAGTCTAATTTGTCTTTTAGATGATCTGACCTTTCTCTCTAGTTGCCTTTAACATTTTTTGTTCCATTTCAACCATGGAGAATCTGCTAATTATGTGTCCTGGGGATGATCTTCTTATGAAGTGTCTTACTGGGGTTCTCTGCATTTCCTGAATTTGAATGTTGGCCTCTGTAGCTAGGTTGGATAAATTATCATGAATAATATCTTGAAATGCTTTTCAAGTTGGTTCCAATCTTTTCATCTCTTTCAGGTACACCAATCTGTCATGGATTCCATCTCTTTACATAATCCCATATTTTGTGGAGCTTTTGTTTATTTATTTGTATTTTTTTCTCTATTCTTATCTGTCTGTTTTATTTTGGAAAGGCAGTCTTCAAGCACTTAGATTCTTTCCTCTGCTTGTCCTACTCTACCATTAATAGTTATGATTGCTTTATGAAATATTTGTAGTGTGTTTTTTAGCTCTGTCAGGTCAGTTACATTCTTCTCTGTACTGGCTATTTTGTCTATTAACTCCTGCAGTGTTTAATCATGATTTTTAGCTTCCTTGCATTAGGTTATAACATACTCCTCTAGCTCAATGAATTTCATACCTATCCTTCTTCTGATTTCTACTTCTGTCATTTCAGCCATCTCAGCATCAGCCTGATTCCAAACCCTTGCTAGAGAGGTGATGTGGTCACTTGGAGGAAAGAAGCCACTCTGGCTTTTTGTGGTTTCAGTGTTCTCGTGCTGATTCTTCCTCATTTTTGTGGGCTTATCTAACTTTAATATTTGAGGTTACTGAGCTTTTGATGTTTCTTTTTCTTTTATCTTATTCAACGACCTTCAGGGTTTGATTGTGGAGTTAGGTGGATTCAGCCAACAGTCTTCATTTCTGGGAGATTTTTAGGGGACCAATGCTCAGCTCCCAATTCCATGATTGCATGCTCTAACTCTGGGGGTCTTTTATTGGGCCCTGACTTTGTTCTCTAGCTCCTTGAGGTTTAAAATTTACTGTGTTGTGAAGACTGAGATGTGGCAGCTGCTGCAGAGTGCTAGCAAATGCAAGGATGCCTGTTTCCCTGTGGATGTTCACCACAGCGGCAGAGGCAAGGCAGCTTGGGTGGGGGGGGTGCAGGGGGTCCCCGTTGGACACTGTGTGCACTGTTGCACTTGAGGTGGTGTTGGCTTAGGACAGTGTGCTGGCCAGCACAGATCTGGGTACCTTCTCTGTGTCCTGTAAGCAGGAGTGATTGGTCATTTTCTGAGACCCTGGGAGAGGCCAGCAAATGAAGGAGTGCTCAGGTAAAACCAGCCTTGTCTGATGTGCAAGAACACCCTGAGATATCAGGTCACCCTGAGAGATCAGGTCCAACAGGTCTGCTAGGGCTAATGTCTCTTATGGTAGCAAGTAGAGCCTAATGGGATAGCTGTCCCTGGCTGTGGTCCACTACAGACACTCCAGCACCAAACCCTCTGGGATCCATATCTGCTGGCTTGCTGTGCCACCATGTTGCTTGTCTCCTGGGTGTTCTACCCTGGAGAGATGCAGGCCATCAATTGCTCATGGCAATCAGCCCAGGATGGAGACTCTGTACTGTGGGCCCAAGCCAGGGGTTCTTTTTCTGGTTATGAGCACTGGAGTGTGTATGGGACCCATAGGAGATGGACTGTCCTCCTCTCCTTGGGCCGATTGCAGCTTATTAGAGATGTGGATAAGGCATTTAAGTTCTTGGCACCTTCGTTAGTCTGAGGGAAGCAAGGAGAATTCCACTGCAGAGGCAGTAGCAGAGAGGCTTTCAGTTACTCCTGGATGCTCTGTCCAGAGAGTTGCAGAGCTGCTACTACTGGTTCAATAGCTCTAGTGGGGGCCGGGTAGAGGCCCAGGCCTGGAAAGTCTGCCCAGTGAGAAGATATGGGAACGTACATCCACATAACAGTCTGGCCACTTTCCGATAATGCTGCTGCAGTATGCTGGAGGTTCCTAGTCATCTTGGATTTTCCAGTACCTGGAGGTATCATCAGTGAAGAGTGTGAAACAGCAATGATGGCAGCCTACTCCTCCCCCTGGGAGCTCCATCCCAGGAAAGTATGGACCTGTTGCTGGCTCAAATGCACCTGTAGGAGGTGGCTCCTGGTTGGAAGGTCTCACCCAGTGAGGAGAAATGGGGTTTGGGTCCTGCTTTAAAAAGCAGACTGGCCACATTTTCATAGAGCAGCTGTGCTGTGCTGAAGGTATGCTTCATCTCCTTGTCGCCTCAGACAAGCCAAATCCCAAAGGCTGGAATGGCTAGGTCATACAAACAGCAAAAATAGTGGCTTGCCCCTCTCTCTGGGAGCTCTGTCCGAGAGAGGTCTGAAACCTCTGTCAGCTGGAGAACACTGGTTGGGGTAGCTGGAGTTTCTGGTTGGGAGGCTGCACAAGTGATGAGGAATGGGATTGAAGACCCACTTAAAAAAGCATTCTGGCCATGTTTTTGTAGGACAGCTGTGCAGCTGTGCTGTGCTGGAGTACTCTTCCTGGCCCCAGTCAGCGTGAACTCTCCAAAGCCCAAAGGCTGGAATGGCTAAATTGTCCAAACAGCAAAGATGACAGCTTTCCCCTCCCTCTGGGAGCTCTGATCCAGGGAGGTTTCAGAGCTATGTGGGCTGGAGAACACTGACAGGGGTGGCTGGAGACACCAGTTTGGAGGTCTTGCCCAGTAAAGATGAAAAGAATTGGAGACTTGCTTTAAGAAGCAGTCTGACCAAGTTTTCACAGAGCAGCTGTGTTGTTCATGGGGGCAACCTCCACCCTTGTTTGGCTTGGACTCTCCAAAGCCTGAAAGCTGGAATGGCTAAGTCACCCAAACAGCAAAGATGGTGGCTTACCCCTCTCTCTGAGAGCTTCATCTCAGGGAGGTTTCAAAACTCTGTTTGCCAGAGAACACTGGCAGATGTGGCTGGAGACCCTAGTTGGGAGGTCCCACCCAGTGAGAAGAAACGGGATCACGAACCCACTTTAAAAAGCATTCTGGCCACATTTTTGTAAAGCAGCTGTGCTGGGATTTCTTCTGCCTTCGATTGGCTTGGACTCTCCAAAACTAAAAGGCTGGAACAGCTAAGTTGCCCAGACAGGAAAAATAGCAAACCAAACCTCCCCTTGGGAGGCCCATCTCAGAGAGGTGTAACGCTACTACTGGTGTCCAGCTGTAATTCCAAGCCAGTGGGTCTTGTCCTGAGAGGCGCCATGGAAGTGAAGCCTGAAGACTCTTGCTGCTCAGCCCCCCTGGATTTAGTCTCTTTCCTAGGAGTATGTATGAGAGTCTAACCTCCTGCTTTAATGGAGTTGAAGCTGCTTTAGCCAGAAAGCCCAGAAAGTCTGAGTATTTAAGGTTCCTGGGTCTCTGTGTGTGCCTGAGCAGCTGCTCTGCCAAGGCTCCACATAGCTCTGTGTGTCAGACTGAAGGCCTTGGGTTCATGAGGTGATCTCCTGACCCAAGGGTTACAAAAATCCATGGGAGAAGCATGGATTTCCAGGTTCCCACATCCATTCACCACTTCCCTGGGCAGGGGAAGTTCTCTTGGCTCTGTGTCACTCCTAAATGGGCCATCATCCTGCCTTGCTTTTCTCCATTCTGTGTGGGTTAAGTTGTTTTCTTGATTGTTCCTAGTGGGAGTACCTGGATGGGATGTTTGATTGATGGTACTGTGTTTACTTGCCCCTTTCGGTGTTTTACCTGCTTTTAATCGACCATCTTGGTCACCTCCCCTTCCTGATTTCTTTTGGGGATCTATGTGATGTGGATTCAAGGAGGTTAGCTTATCCATAACTCTAGGGGGTTGAGCAATCAATAAATTGTATCCCCCATACACAGAGATTAATGTGTGGTTATGTGATTCAAGCTGGTCAAATCAGAATGAATCTCAGGAATATAAAGGGAGCACTGAAATGACGATGCTTTCTTTTTTTTGTAGAAAATTTTGTAAAAATTGAATCAGGTAGCCCTTGTAGATATTGTCAGCCATCTTGGGATTCAACCTTAGTTTGAAGCCAGCATCATGGCAAGTAGGGTGGAGAGAAGAAAAGAAACCAAGTGCTTTTAGACAATGTTGAGCTACCAGATAAAGCCTCACCTGAATCTAACACTATCCCTGGACTTCTCAGTTATGTGAAATCATTTTATTTCTTAAATTGGTTTGGACAGGATCTCATTTTATATGCAACCAGAAGAATCCTAGTTGATATACCCATTGTTTTTGTGGTCCCAAGTATTTCTGGCCAGCTGCTAACCAGTCTACTCACAATAGCTTTGAGATATAAGAAGCTAACATATGCTTTATGAAAGGCATAAATGAGTAGGGACAGTGTATGGAAACAATGTAAGGACAAGATACTTGAGTTAGAGGAAGGCTATTTTTTAAAGTCTAGAGATGTACTGTCTAATACAATAGCTGTTAGCTACATGTGGCAATTCAAATTTAAATAAATTAGAAATTGTGTTTCTCTATTTCACTAGCCACATTTCTGGCTTTTGTTGTTGTTGTTGTTGCTGTTTTGAGACAAGGTCTTACTCTGTCACCCAGGCTGGAGTGCAGTAGAGCAACTACCAATCTCTGCAGCCTTAACCTCTTGGGCTCAAGTAATCCTCCCTCATCAGCCTCCTGAGTAGTGGGAACTACAGGTGTACATTACCATGCCTGGCTAATTTTTAATTTTTTTTGTAGAGATGGGGTTCTCACTATGTTACTAAGGCTGGTCATGAACTCCTTGGCTTAAACAATCCTCTCACCTTGGCCTCTCAAAGTGCTGGGATTACAAGTGTGAGCCACTGTGCCAGGCTGATAGTCATATTTCTAGTCCTTAACAGCCACATGAGTGGCAACTGTATTGGATAATGCAAATTAACGAAAGTTTTCATCATCAGAGAAAGTTCAATTGGACAGTGCTGCTCTAGAGTAAGAAGCAAGAGCAATGATTCTCAACCATAAGTGTACATTGGAAACATCTGGGGAGCTTAAAAAACCAAAAATGCTAACACTCACACTCCAAAGAAGATCAAGTCAATCAGGGTTTCAGGGGCTGGGACACCGTATCAATTTTTTAAAAAGCTTCCCAGATGTTTCTAATGTGCATCCATGGCTGCAAAACATTATGAGACTTGCTTTTTAAAATGTGGGCAAAGAAAACCAGCAGCATTGATGTTAAGGCTATAAAATCTTAGACCCTGCTTCAGATCTACTGAACCAGAAACTGAATTTTAACAGAATTCCTAGGTGATTTATATGCACATTAAAAGTTGAGAAGCGCTTTTCTGTGAGAAATCAGGAAGGGTCAATAAAGAAACTGTATTAAAAGGTATGAGTCTTAGGGGATACCTAAGCCTAACTGGAAGGTGTTGCTTTTCTCTCTAAGCTTCCATTTAATCTAACTGTAAAATGAAAGGGTCAGACAACATATCTATGGTCCTCCAATTTGCTTGGCTTTGTGTTGTCAGGGACCTTAAAAGTCTGTGGCTCAAGGTTTCCAAGCCTAAACTAGACTTCAGACCGGTAAGTGCTCTACTATGAATCCTAGGAATGAGGAACAGAAATTTGAGGAGCAAAAGATTTGAGATTGAACACGTTTTACCTTGAAAAGGGTGAGAGAGGGAACAAGCTTGAATAAGTAAAAATCTGCCTCAGTGAGTTAAGGACCAGTGGCTTGGAAACAGTACTTGTGGCTAACTGCTCCCAACCTAAAGCTTGAATTCATCTATGGCATTTCATCTAACTGGCTGTTCTACCACTTCTTACAGATGTGCAGTGATCAGATGTCCCCTAACTCATCAACAAGGTCACTCATTCCATTCATGGTCAGCCCTGCAAATTCTTCCTTGTGGTGAGAACTCAATATCCCTGTTTCTAACTATGAGTCCTATAGCTCTGGCCCTTGAGTTATATAGACTGCACCCTCTGTCATGTGAGAGCACATCAATGGTTCAAAGACAGAGACCTTGTCCCCCTGAGTCTTTTCTTCTGCAGACCACATACTCCTGGTTTCTTCAATTAGCCTTCATGGAGCTTGGCTTAGAGCCCTCTCCCCAACCTGCTCACTCCCCTCTGGACATGCCTCACATTGTCTACCTCATTGAATTGCAAGACCTAAAACTGAACGAATTCTCCTGGAGATGTCATACCAGTACAGAATCAACTATTTAATGTAGACCTACAGCAGAGGAGGCACATGTATCAGCAGGCAATATTATTTCATGAGTAGAAGCTAAGGCATTGCCAAGATCTGTGACCAATTCAAGATCCCCATCCTTGGCCAAGCATGGTGGCTCATGCCTGTAATCCCAACACTTTGGAAGGCTGAGGTGGGAAGATTGCTTGAGCCCAGGAGTTTGAGACCAACCTGGGCAACATAGTGAGACCCCCATCTCTACAAAAAAAATTGAAAAGTAGCTGGGTGTAGTGTCATTCACCTATTGTTCCAGCTACTCTGGAGGCTGAGGTGGAAGGATAGCTTGAGCGTGGGAGTTTGAGCTGCAGTGAGCCATGATCATGCCACTGCAATGCAGCCTGGGTGATGGAGTGATGCCCTGTCTCTAAAAATAAAAAAAATAAATAAAAATTTTAAAAAGATCCCCATCCTTAAGCTGTGAGTCATCCAGCTATGTTAATGTCCTGGTGACTTCTTCCCCAAGTGTCAGAGCCAAAATTCATGCTTTCCTGCCCTAATGAAGATCAAGAATTCTATAAAACCAAATGATCTAAGTTCACTTAGGTGCATGTGTATTCCTTTGTAAAAACCTGTATAGATTTATATTAAAACATTAATTCAATTAACACAATTACTTGGCAGCTCTTTTAAGGAGTATAGGGTCTGCTGGCAGTATTTCTGAAAGACAAAGTGCAGGAGGAAGAGTATTAGTCTACTCAGCTTAGGAAGCAGCTGTAGTCACTGTCAACAACATTAAGTTCAATCAAATTGCTAGTTTTTTTTTTTTTCAGAACCTATGATTCCTTTCTGCAAAGGGAGTGTCATCTGAGAATGAGGATTTTTAATGTAAGTGGAAGTTACAATACGTGCTCTTCTAGCCTCTGGATCCAACTGCTATACACCTAGTGATCAAAGGAAATCCCCAAACCTTGAAAGACTGACCTGCATTTACTGAGCACCAACTATGTGCCAAATACAGTACTAAGCACTTTACATATACAAGCACACCTAATATTTACCATCTATGGAAGGTAGATATTATGATCCCCACTTTTCAGATGGTCTAAAGTTTAAGGTCTATAGATGCTGTGAGTCTTTCAAGGTTACCTTCCCGGTGTGGTGGAGCTACAGCCCAAACTCAGGATTGCCTGTAAAGATCATGCTTTTTTCCTATTATGCCACAGATATTCCCTTCAAAATTAACTAGTATTTCTCAAAGACAGCCAGTAAGCCTACCCAACTTGAGTGATCATGATTTGGATATTACACTGATGGCTGCAATTCTCAACCAGCACTATGTTTTAGGTGGGCCAATGGGTCTGAGATAGCAGAGGATCTGAACCAGAACAAGTTTGCTTATTTGTGTACTGATAGATTGAAAGTTTCCTCTATCTCCTAATACATAAACACTTAGATAATAGTTTTACAGGTGTGAATTAAATAGAACTGGAGTCCAGCAAGCCTCACGAATTTGACAAAATCTGGATTTAGACAAAGGAGCAACTGGAGAGGTAGAAGAATGGTTGGTAGGCATGACTATAACTAAGCATGAGGGCATGATTAACCAAGACAAAATTCTAGGCTGGCAGATAAGTGGTAGAGTTAGGGCTGAGAAATCAAAAGGGAGGATTCAGAAGGCCTTACATATACATTATCATTTGATCCAGTAATGCCATTTTGGGAAATTTATTTTACAGATACATTTTCACAAGTGTGAAATGATGCATGTATGAAGTTATCCATTGTAATGAATGTAAAATTTGCTTCTAATAGCAAAAGACTGAAAAAAGACTGCTTCTAATAGCAAAAGACTGAAAACCTTTGTTCATCAACAAAAATTTGGTTAAATACTATATATACATACTATACTATAATTAGTATGATCATACAAATAAATATTATGAAACTACAGAAAAAATATGAAGACATTCTCTGTAATTATGAAAGATCACCAAGACAAATTATTAAGGGAAAACAGAGGACAAACAATATGCTATTTTTTGTTTAAGAAAGAGAAAGAATAACAACATATATTTATATTTGTTATATTTGGTTATATTTCCATAAATAAAATATATCTGCAAGGTCATAGAAAAAAATTAATAGAAGTGGCTAATTGTGCAAGTGGAGTGTGGGGAAGAAAAGAAGCAGACAAAGCAGGGGTGGGAATCAGACTTTTTGCTTTATACCTGTTTATATTTGTTGATGTTTTAATCATGTGGGATTTTTTTAACATTGGTTTTTATTGTTAGAAAAGACAGAGTGAGAAGGGAGAGAGATATAATGAGAGACAGAATAAAGAAGCAGGGCAGCTTGAGGGTTAAGTTCTGGGGCAAGAAGCACAAAGATTCTAATGAAAGCTATTGTAAGTATGACAAATATGCAGAAAAGTGTATGTGGCTTTCCAGATCCCAGGGTCAGCTGGAAGCCACAGGCTACTCAGCTTCAAATCCAGGACTCATTAAAGTAGGCTCAACTCTTAACAAAGTAATATACTGCGTCCTTATCTTCCCAGGACTTGAGCATCCATGTAGGTGTGTAATGTGGGTGGATTTAGGTCATTCTGAATGGGGAAAGCTCCTAGCTGTTCTCTTGGGCCCCTCAGGTTTCCATTTTCCTGAGACTTCCTTTAGGATTCTCTACCACTAAGCGTGGCATCCAGGTCTTGGCAGAAAGCCTCCAACTCACTCCTGGACAATTAAAGTATTTTGGCACTTCAAAATGGACTATGTTCAACCTGGCAGAGTGATCTATTCTGCCTCTATTTGCGTGTGTATGTATGTGCTTTTACTTTATTTTATTTTTATTTTTTTCCAGCTTTTTTTCCAGCTTTATTAAGATATAATTGACAAAAATATGTATATTTATGGTATACAATGTGATGTTATGTGATATATATGTGTTTGTATATATAGTGAAATGAGTAAATCAAGGTAATTAACATATTCATCAACTCACATACTTATTTTTTTTGGTGAGAACATTTAAGATCTATTATCTCAGCAATTTTCAAGTATACCATGTTATTTTTAACTATAGTCAGTTTGCTGTGTGATAGATCTCCAGAATGTATTCTTTCCATGTAACTGAAATATTATATACTTTGACTAACATCTCCCCATTTCACCACACCCCCACCATATCCACCTCCTGCCAACCACCACTCTACTGTCTGCTTCTATGAATTCAACTTTTTTAGATTCCACATGTAAGTGAGATTATACAATATTTGTCTGATTTATTTTATTTATTTATTTATTATTTTATTTACTTATTTATTTATTCCCGTGTCTGATTTATTTTACCCAACATAATATCCTCCAGGTTCATTCATGCTGTTACAGATAGCAGGATTTCATTCTTTATTAAATTTGGATAGTATTCCATTGTGTATATATACCATATTTTAAAAATCCATTCATCTGTTGATGGACACTTAGGTTGATCCTGCAGTAAACATGGGAGTGTAGACATCTCTTCAACATCTTAATTTCAATTCCTTTGGATATATACCCAGAAGTAGGGTTGCTTCATAATGTTCTTGCCTGGCTTTGGTTTCAGGGTAATACTGGCCTAGTAAAAAAGGTTTGGAAGCGTTCCCTCCTCTTCAGGTTTTTGGAAGAGTTTGAGAAGTATGGGTATTAATTCTTCTTTAAATATTTGGTAGAATTCACCAATAAAGCCACTTGGTCCTGGGCTTTTCTTTTTTGGGAGGTATTTGAACAGATTCAATCTCTTTACTCATTATTGTTCTGTACAGATTGCCTATTTCTTCATGATTCAAGCCTGGTAGGTTGTAAATAAAATTATAAATGAAAGAGGACACGTTACAATTGATACCACAGAAATACAAAGGGTCATAACAGACCACTATGAATAATTATATACCAAATTGGATAAACTAAGAGAAATGGTTTTTGAAATAACATTTTATTGATATATAATTCACATACCATAAAGTTCACCTTTTTAAGGTGTAACATTCGATACTTTTTTTGTATACTCACAGAGTTCTGTGACCACAATCAATTTGAGAATATGTTCATCAACCCAAAATGAAACACTGTATCAAGTACTCACTATGTCTCCCTGAGACTTTCTCCACAAGCCCAGAACTTGGCAATCACTAATTAACTTTTTGCCGTTATAGATTTGTTTATTCTGGAAATTTTGTATAAATGGAATTCTACAATATACAGCTTTTCAGGACTGATTTGAACATTCATATAATTTTTCTATAGAAATATAATTTACATATCATCAAATTTACCCTCTTAAAGTAAAAGATTGATCGTTTTTAGTATATGTATGAAATTGTACAACCATCATCGCTTTCTCTTGTTTTTTTTTTTTTTTTACTTTTAGGTTAAGGGGTACACGTGCAGGTTTTTTATATAGGTAAGTTGAGTGTAACAGTTGGTGTACACATTATTTCATCACTCAGATAATAACCATAGTGCCTGGTAGTTTTTCAAGGCTCTCCATCCTCCCACCTTCCACCTTCAAGTACACATGTATCCATGTGTATTCAAAGTTTAGCTACCACTTATAAATGAGAACATGCAGTATTTGGTTTTATGTCCCTGCATTATCGTTCACTTAGGACAATAACTTCTAGCTCCATCCATGTTGCTGCAAAAGACATTGTATTAATTTGTTCTCACACTGCTCATAAAGACATACCCAAGACTGGATAGTTTATAAAGGAAAGAGGTTTAATTAAGTCACAGTTCAGCATGGAAGGGAAGGCCTCAGGAAACTTACAATCATTGGGGCAGGGAGAGTGAACACATCCTTCTTCACATGGTAGCAGGAAGGAAAATGAATGCTGAGCAAAGGTGCAAAAGCCCCTTATAAAACAATCAGACCTCATATGAACTCACTATCACAAGAACGGTAGCGGGGGATTACCGCTCCCATGATTCAATTACCTCCCATCAGGTTTCTCCCAGGACACATGGGGATTATGGAAACCACAATTCAAGATGAAATTTGGGTGAGAACACAGCCAAACCATGTCAGACATGATCTCATTTTTTTCGTGGCTGTATAGTATTCCATGGTATATATGTACCATATTTTCCTTTTATTTATTTATTTTTAATTGTGAGTACATAGTAGGTGTATAAATTTATGAGGTATATGAGATATTTTGGTATAGGCATGCAATGTGAAATAAGCACATCACAGAAAATGGGGTATCCATCCTTTCAAGTATTTGTCCATTGAGTTACAAACAATTCAATTACACTCTTTATTTTAAAATGTACAACTATTATTGCCTACAGTCACCTAGTTGTGCTATCAAATAGTAGGTCTTATTTATTTTTTTAACTATTTTTTGTACCCATTAACTATCCCTGCCTTCCCCCCTTTGGCCTCCCACTATATTTCTGAGACTCTGGTAACCATCCTTCTATTATCTATGTCCATTAGTTCAGTGGTTTTGAGCCTTAGGTCCCACAAATAAGTAAGAACATGTGATGTTTGTCTTTCTGGGCCTGGATTATTTCACTTAACAAAATGATCTCCAGTTCCATCCATGCTGTTGCAAATAAATGAATTCCATTCTTTTTATGGCTAAATAGTGCTCCATTGTGTACACATAACATATTTTCCTTATCCATTAATCAGTTGATGAACACTTAGCTTGCTTCGAAATATTACCTATTGTAAACAGTGCTACAACAAACATAAGAGTGCAGATATCTCTTCAATATAATAATTTCCTTTCTTTTGGGCATATACCAGGCAGTGGAATTGCTGGATCATATGGTAACTCAGTATTTAGTGTTTTGAAGAGCCTCCAAACTGTTCTCCAGAGTGATTGTATTAATTGATATTTCCACCAGTAGGGTACAAGGGTTCTCCTTTTTTACGTTATCGCCAGCATGTTATTGCCTGTCTTTTGAATATAAGCCATTTTAACTGGTGTAAAATGGTATCTCATTGTACTTCGATTTGCATTACTCTGATGATCAATGACGTTGAGCACATTTTCATATGTCTATTTACCATTTACATGCCTTCTTTTAAGAAAGGTCTATTCAAATCTTTAAGCCATT
Source organism: Homo sapiens (assembly GCF_000001405.40). NCBI lineage: Eukaryota > Metazoa > Chordata > Mammalia > Primates > Hominidae > Homo > Homo sapiens. Next base: position 64,474,177 of record NC_000023.11, read on the forward strand.
TTTTGATAAGATTATTACATTTTTTTTCCAATAGAGCCATTTAAGCTCCTTATATATTCTGGTTATGAATACCTTGTCAAATGGGTAGTTTGCAAATATTTTCTCTCATTCTGTCAAGTGTCTATTCACTTTGTTGACTGTATTCCTTACTATGCAGAAGCTTTATAACTTGGTGTGATCCAATTTGTCCATTTTTTGTTTAGTTTACTTGTGCTTGTGGGGTATTGTTTAAGACATTTTTACCCTGACAAATGTTGTGAAAATTAGTATATTGAAGAGATATCTGCACTCTTATGTTTGTTGTAGCACGTTTACAATAGGTAATGTTGCTGGCCTCATAAAATGAGTTAGGGAGGATTCCCTCTTTTTCTATTGATTGGAATAGTTTCAGAAGGAATGGTACCAGCTCCTCTTTGCACCTCCGGTAGAATTCGGCTGTGAATCCATCTGGTCCTGGACTATTTTTGGTTGTTAGGCTATTAATTATTACCTCAATTTCAGAGCCAGTTATTGGTCTATTCAGAGATTCAACTTCTTCCTGGTTTATTCTTGGGAGGGTGTATGTGTCCAGGAATTTATCCATTTCTACTAGATTTTCTAGTTTATTGTGGGATTGATGGTGATATCCTCTTTACTATTTTTTATTGAGTCTATTTGATTCTTCTCTTTTTTATCCTTTATTAATCTTGCTACTGGTCTATCAATTTTGTTGATCTTTTCAAAGAAACAGCTCCTGGATTCATTGATTTTTTTGAGGGATTTTTTTGTGTCTCTATCTTCTTCAGTTCTGTTCTGATCTTAGTTATTTCTTGCCTTCTGCTAACTTTTGAATGCGTTTGCTCTTGCTTCTCTAGTTCTTTTAATTGTGATGTTAGGGTGTCAATTTTAGATCTTTCCTGCTTTCTCTTGTGGGCATTTAGTGCTATAAATTTCCCTCTACACACTGCTTTGAATGTGTCCCAGAGATTCAGGTATGTTGTGTCTTTGTTCTCCTTGGCTTCAAAGAACATCTTTTTCTCTGCCTTCATTTCATTATTTACCCAGTAGTCATTCAGCAGCAGGTTGTTCAGTTTCCATGTAGTTGTGTGGTTTTGAGTGAGTTTCTTAATCCTGAGTTCTAATTTGATTGCACTGTGGTCTGAACATCAGTTTGTCGTGATTTCTGTTCTTTTACATTTGCTGAGGAGTGCTTTACTTCCAATTACATAGTCAATTTTAGAATAAGTGTGATGTGGTGCTGAGAAGAATGCATAATCTGTTGATTTGGGGTGGAGAGTTCTGTAGATGGTTAGGTCTGCTTAGTGCAGAGCTGAGTTCAAGTCCTGGATATGTTTGTTAACCTTCTCTCTCGTTGCCCTGTCTAATATTGACAGTGGGGAGTTAAAGTCTCCCATCATTATTGTCTACAAGTCTAAGTCTCTTTGTAGGTCTCTAAGGACTTGCTTTATGAATCTGGGTGCTCCTGTATTGGGTGCATAAATATTTAGGATAGTTAGCCCTTCTTGTTGAATTGATCCCTTTACCATTATGTAATGGCCTTCTTTGTCTCTTTTGATCTTTGTTTGTTCTGTTTTATCAGAGACTAGGATTGCAACCCCTGCTTTTTTTTTTTTCTCTCCATTTGCTTGGTAGATCTTCCTCCATCCCTTTATTTTGAGCCTATGTGTGTCTCTGCAAGTGAGATGGGTTTCCTGAATACAGCACACTCATGGGTCTTGACTCTTTATCCAATTTGCCAGTCTGTGACTTTTAATTGGGGCATTTAGCCCATTTACATTTAAGGTTAATACTCTTATGTGTGAATTTTGTCCTGTCATTATGATGTTAGCTCATTATTTTGCTCTTTAGTTGATGCAGTTTCTTCCTAGCCTCGATGGTCTTTAAAATTGGCATGTTTTTGCAGTGACTGGTACCAGTTGTTCCTTTCCATGTTAGTGCTTCCTTCAGGAGCTCTTGTAGGGCAGGCCTGGTGGGGACAAAATCTCTCAGCATTTGCTTGCCTGTAAAGGATTTTATTTCCCTTTCACTTATGAAGCTTAGTTTGGCTGGATATGCAATTCTGGGTTGAAAATTCTTTTCTCTAAGAATGTTGAATATTGGCCCCCACTCTCTTCTGGCTTGTAGTGTTTCTGCAAAGAGATCCACTGTTAGTCTGATGGGCTTCCCTTTGTGGGTCACCTGACCTTTCTCTCTGACTACCCTTGACATTATTTCCTTCATTTCATCCTTGGTGAAGGTGATGATTATGTGTCTTTGTGTTGCTCTTCTCGATGAGCAACTTTGTTATGTTCTCTGTATTTCCTGAATTTGAATGTTTGCCTGCCTTGCTAGGTTGGGGAAGTTTTCTTGGATAATATCCTGAAGTGTGTTTTCCAACTTGGTTCCATTCTCTCCTCACTTTCAGGTACACCAATCAAACATATATTTTGTCTTTTCACATAGTCTCATATTTCTTGGAGGCTTTGTTCATTTCTTTTTATTGTTTTTTCTCTAATCTTGTGTTCTCACCTTGTTTCATTAATTTGATATTCAATCACTGATATCCTTTCTTCCACTTGATTGAATCAGCTATTGAAGCTTGTGCATGTGTCACAAAGTCCTCATGCCATGGTTTTCAGCTCCATCAGGTCATTTAAGGTGTTCTCTACATTGTGTATCCCAGTTAGCCATTCATCTAACCCTTTTTCAAGGTTTTAGCTTCCTTGTGATGGGTTAGAACATGCTCCTTTAGCTCAGAAGTTTGTTATTACCAACCTTCTGAAGCCTACTTCTATCAACTTGTCAAGGTCATTCTCCATCCAGCTTTGTTCCATTGCTGGTGAGGAGCTGCAATCCTTTGGAGGAGAAGAGGCGCTCTGATTTTTAGAACTGTCAGGTTTTCTGCTCTGGTTTCTTCCCATCTTTGTGGTTTTATCTACTTTTGGTCTTTGATGGTGACCTACAGATGTTGTTTTCATGTGGATGTCCTTTTTGTTGATGTTGATGCTATTCCTTTCTGTTTGTTAGTGTTCCTTCTAACAGTCAGTTCCCTCAACTGCAGATCTGTGAGAGTTTGCTGGAGGTCCACTCCAGATGCTGTTTGCCTGTGTATTACCAGAGGAGGCTGCAGAACAGCAAATATTGCTGCCTGATTCTTCCTCTGGTGGCTTTGTCCTGGAGGGTCACCCACCAGTATGAGGTGTCTGTCGGCCCCTACTGGCAGGTGTCTCCCAGTTAGGTTGCATGGGGGTCAGGGACCCACCTGAGGAGGCACTCCGTCCATTCTCAGCACTTAAACACCATGCTGGGAGAACCACTGCTCTCTTCAGAGCTGTCAGACAGGGACGTTTAAGTCTGCAGAAGTTCCTGCTGCCTTTTGTTCAGCTATGCCCTGCCCATCGAGGTGGAGTCTATAGAGGCAGTAGACTTTGCTGAGTTGCATTGTGCTCTGCCCAGTTTGAGCTTCCCGGAAGCTTTGTTTACCTATTCAAGCCTCAGCAATGGCAGACGCCCTTCCCCCCACGAGGCCGCAGTCTTGCAGGTCAAACTCAGACTGCTGCACTAGCAGTGAGCAAGTCTCTGTGGGTGTGGGACCCACTGAGTCAGGCAAAGGAGAGAATCCTCTGGTCTGCCAGTTGTTAAGACTGTGGGAAAATCACCATATTTGGGTGGGAGTTTCCCATTTTTCCAGACAGTCTGTCTCAGCTTCCCTTGGCTGGGAAAATGAAATCTTCAGACCCCTTTCACTTCCCAGGTGCGGAGACACCCTACCCTGCTTTGGCTCACCCTTCGTGGGCTACACCCACTGTCCAACCAGTCCCAGTGAGATGAACCAGGTACCTCAGTTGGAAATGCAGAAATCACCCATTTTCTGCGTTGATCACGCTGAGAGCTGCATACCAGAGCTGTCCCTATTTAGACATTTTGGAACTGCCTCCTACATTGATACCTCTTCTTATAGTTTTTATGTTGAAATCTATTCTGTCTAAGTACAGCGATCTTTTTCTTTCTTTTTTTTTTTTTTGGTTTCCATCAACATGGGATGTCTTTTTCTATTTTTAAATTTTCAGTCTATGTGTGTGTTTACAGGTGAAATGTCTTTCTTGTAGTCAACAGATCAATGAGTCTTGATTTTTTCATCCATTTAGACAGTTTATGTCTTTTGTTTGGAGAGTTTAGTCCATTTATATTCAATGCTATTATTTTATTTTATTTTATTTTATTATTATTATACCTTAAGTTTCAGGGTACATGTGCACAACGTGCAGGTTTGTTAAATATGTATACATGTGCCATGTTGGTGTGCTGCACCCATTAACTTGTCATTTAGCATTAGGTATATCACCTAATGCTATCCCTCCCCCTCCCCCCACCCCACAACAGTCCCTGGTGTGTGATGTTCCCCTTCTTGTGTCCATGTGTTCTCATTGTTCAATTCCCACCTGTGAGTGAGAACATGCAGTGTTTGGTTTTCTGTCCTTGCGATTGTTTGCTGAGAATGATGGTTTCTAGCATCATCTATGACCCTACAAAGGACATGAATTCATCCTTTTTAATGGTTGCATAGTATTCCGTGGTGTATATGTGCCACATTTTCTTAATCCAGTCTATCGTTGTTGGACATTTGGGTTCGTTCCAAGTCTTTGCTATTGTGAATACTGCCACAATAAACATACGTGTGCATGTGTCTTTATAGCAGCATGATTCATAATCCTTTGGGTATATACCCAGTAATGGGATGGCTGGGTCAAATGGTATTTCTAGTTCTAGATCCCTGAGGAATCGCCACACTGACTTCCACAATGATTGAGCTAGTTTACAGTCCCTACAACAGTGTAAAAGAGTTCCTATTTCTCCACATCCTCTCCAGCACCTGTTGTTTCCTGACTTTTTAAGGATCACAATTGTAACTGGTGTGAGATGGTATCTCATTGTAGTTTTGATTTGCATTTCTCTGATGGCCAGTGATGATGAGCATTTTTTCATGTGTTTTTTGGCTGCATAAATGTCTTCTTTGGAGAAGTGTCTGTTCATATCCTTTGCCCACTTTTTGATGAGGTTGTTTGTTTGTTTCTTGTAAATTTGTTTGTGTTCATTGTAGATTCTGGATATTAGCCCTATATCAGATGAGTAGGTTGCAAAATTTTTCTCCCATTCTGTAGGTTGCCTGTTCACTCTGATGGTAGTTTCTTTGCTGTGCAGAAGCTCTTTAGTTTAATTAGATCCCATTTGTCAATTTTGGCTTTTGTTGTCATTGCTTTTGGTGTTTTAGACATGAAGTTCTTGTGCATGCCTATATCCTGAATGGTATTGCCGAGGTTTTCTTCTAGGGTTTTTATGGTTTTAGGTCTATCATTTAAGTCTTTAATCCATCTTGAATTAATTTTTGTAAGAGGTGTAAGGAAGGGATCCAGTTTTAGCTTTCTACATATAGTTAACCAGTTTTCCCAGCACCATTTATTAAATAGGGAATCCTTTCCCCATTGCTTGTTTTTGTCAGGTTTGTCAAAGATCAGATAGTTGTAGATAAGTGGCATTATTTCTGAGGGCTCTGTTCCACTCCATTGCTCTATATCTCTGTTTTGGTACCAGTACTATGCTGTTTTGGTTACTGTGGCCTGTAGTATAGTTTGAAGTCAGGTAGCATGATGCCTCCAGCTTTGTTCTTTTGGCTTAGGATTGACTTGGCAATGCCAGCTGTTTTTTGGTTCCATATGAACTTTAAAGTAGTTTTTTCCAATTCTGTGAAGAAAGTCATTGGTAACTTGATGGGGATGGCATTGAATCTATAAATTACCTTGGGAGGTATGGCCATTTTCACGATATTGATTCTTCCTACCCATGAGCATGGAATGTTCTTCCATTTGTTTGTATCCTCATTTATTTCATGGAGCAGTGGTTTGTAGTTCTCCTTGAAGAGGTCCTTCACATCCATTGTAAGTTGGATTCCTAGGTATTTTATTCTCTTAGTAGCAATTGTGAATGGGAGTTCACTCATGATTTGCCTCTCTGTTTGTCTGTTATTAGTGTATAAGAATGCTTGTGATTTTTGCACATTGATTTTGTATCCTGAGACTTTACTGAAGTTGCTTGTAAGCTTAAGGTGATTTTGGTCTGAGACAATGGGCTTTTCTAGATATACAGTCATGTCATCTGGAAACGGGGACAATCTGCCTTCCTCTTTTCCTAATTGAATGTCCTTTACTTCTTTCTCCTGCCTGATTGCCCTGGCCAGAACTTCCAACACTATGTTGAATAGGAGTGGTGAGAGAGGGCATCCCTGTCTTATGCCAGTTTTCAAAGGGAATGCTTTCAGTTTTTGTCCATTCAGTATGATATTGGCTGTGGGTTTGTCATAGATAGCTCTTATTATTGTGAGATACGTCCCATCGATACCTAATTTATTGAGAGTTTTTAGCATGAAGGGCTGTTGAATTTTGTCAAAGGCCTTTTCTGCATCTATTGAGATAATCATGTGGTTTTTGTCTTTGGTTCTGTTTATATGCTGGATTACATTTATTGATTTGCCTATGTTGAACCAGCCTTGCATCTCAGGGATGGAGCCCACGTGATCGTGGTGGATAAGCTTTTTGATGTGCTGCTGGATTTGGTTTGCCAGTATTTTATTGAGGATTTTTGCATCAATGTTCATCAGGGATATTGGTCCAAAATTCTCTTTTTTGGTTGTGTCTCTGCCAGGCTTTGGTATCAGGTTGATGCTGGCCTCATAAAATGAGTTAGGGAGGATTCCCTCTTTTTGTGTTGATTGGAATAGTTTCAGAAGGAATGGTACCAGCTCCTCCTTTTAGCTCTGTGAGAATTTGGCTGTGTATCCATCTGGTCCTGGACTTTTTTTGGTTGGTAAGGTATTAATTATTGCCTCAATTTCAGAGCTTGCTATTGGTCTATTCAGAGATTCAACTTCTTGGTTTAGTTTTGGGAGGGTGTATGTATCAAGGAATTTATCCATTTCTTCTAGATTTTCTAGTTTATTTGCATAGAGGTGTTTATAGTGTTCTCTGATGGTAGTTTGTATTTCTGTGGAATCAATGGTGTTATCTCCTTTATCATTTTTTATTGCATCTATTTGATTCTTCTCTCTTTTATTCTTTATTAGTCTTGTTACCGGTCTATCAATTTCGTTTATCTTTTCAAAAAACGAGCTCCTGGATTTATTGATTCTTTGAAGGCTTTTTTTGTGTCTCTATTTCCTTCAGTTTTTCTCTGATCTTAGTTATTTCTTGCCTTCTGCTAGCTTTTGAATGTGTTTGCTCTTGCTTCTCTAGTTCTTTTAATTGTGATGTTAGGGTGTCAATTTTAGATCTTTCCTGCTTTCTCTTGTGGACATTTAGTGCTATAAATTTCCCTCTACGCACTGCTTTGAATGAGTCCCAGAGATTCTGGTATGTTGTGTCTTTGTTCTCATTGGTTTCAAAGAACATCTTTATTTCTGCCTTCATTTCACTATGTACCCAGTAGTCATTCAGGAGGAGGTTGTTCAGTTTCCATGTAGTTGAGCGGTTTTGAGTGAGTTTCTTAGTCCTCAGTTCTAGTTGGATTGCACTGTGGTCTGAGAGATAGTTTGTTATAATTTCTCTTCTTTTCCATTTGCTGAAGAGTGCTTTACTTCCAACTATGTGGTCAATTTTGGAATAGATGTGGTGTGGTGCTGAAAATAATGTATATTTTGTTGATTTGGGTGGAGAATTCTGTAGATATCTATTAGGTCTGCTTAGCGCAGAGCTGTGTTTGATTCCTGGATATCCTTGTTAACTTTCTGTCTCGTTGATCTGTCTAATGTTGATAGTGGGCTCTTACAGTCTCCAATTATTATTGTGTGGGAATCTAAGTCTCTTTGTAGGTCACTAAGGACTTGCTTTATGAATCTGGGTCCTCCTGTATTGGGTGCATATATATTTAGGTTGGTTAGCTCTTCTTTTTGAGTTGATCCCTTTACCATTATGTAATGGCCTTCTTTGTCTCTTTTGATCTTTTTTGGTTTAAGGTATGCTTTATCCAAGACTAGGATTGCAATCCCTGCCTCTTTTTGTTTTCAGTTTTCTTGGTAGATCTTCCTCCATCCCTTTATTTTGAGCCTATGTGTGTCTCTGCACATGAGATGGGTTTCCTGAATACAGCACACTGATGGGTCTTGACTCTTTATCCAATTTGCCAGTCTGTGTCTTTTAATTGGAGTATTTAGTCCATTTACATTTAAGGTTAATATTGTTATGTGTGAATTTGATCCTGTCATTATGATGTTAGCTGGTTATTTAGCTCATTAGTTGATGCAGTTTCTTCCTAGCCTTGACAGTCTTTACAATTTGGCATGTTTTTGCAGTGGCTGTTAATGGTTGCTCCTTTCCATGTTTAGTGCTTCCTTCAGGAGCTCTTTTAGGGCAGGCCTGGTGGTGACAAAATATCTCAGCATTTGCTTGTCTGTAAAGGATTTTATTTCTCCCTCTCTTATGAAGCTTAGTTTGGCTGGATATGAAATTCTGGGTTGAAAATTCTTTTCTTTAAGAATGTTGAGTATTGGCCCCCACTCTCTTCTGGCTTGTAGAGTTTCTGCCAAGAGATCAGCTGTTAGTCTGATGGGCTTCCCTTTGTGGGTAAACCGACCTTTCTCTCTGGCTGCCCTTAACATTTTTTCCTTCATTTCAACTTTGGTGAATCTGACAATTATGTGTCTTGGAGTTGCTCTTCTCCAGGAGTATCTTTGTTGTGTTCTCCGTATTTCCTGAATTTGAATGTTGGCCTGCCTTGCTAGATTGGTGAAGTTCTCCTGGATAGTATCTTACAGAGTATTTTCCAACTTGGTTCCATTCTCCCCGTCACTTTCAGGTACACCAATCAGACATAGATTTAGTCTTTTCACATAGTCCCATATTTCTTGGAGGCTTTGTTCATTTCTTTTTATTCTTTTTTCTCTAAACTTCTCTTCTCGTTTCATTTCATTCATTTCATCTTCCATCACTGATAACCTTTCTTGCAGTTGATCGCATCTGCTACTGAGGCTTCTGCATTCATCATGTAGTTCTCGTGCCATGGTTTTCAGCTCCATCAGGTCCTTTAAGGACTTCTCTGCATTGGTTGTTCTAGTTAGCCATTTGTCTAATTTTTTTTCAAGGTTTTTAACTTCTTTGCCATTGGTTCGAACTTCCTCCTTTAGCTCAGAGTAGTTTGATCTTCTGAAGCTTTCTTCTCTCAACTCGTCAAAGTCATTCTCCGTCCATGTTTTTTCCATTGCTGTTGAGGAGCTCTGTTCCTTTGTAGGAGGAGAGGTGCTCTGATTTTTAGAGTTTCTGGTTTTTCTACTGTCTTTTTTCCCCATCTTTTTGGTTTCATCTACCTTTCGTCTCTGATGATGGTGACGTACGGATGAGTTTTTGGTGTAGATGTCCTTTATGTTTGTTAGTTTTCCTTCTAACAGTCAGGACCCTCAGCTGCAGGTCTGTTGGAGTTTGCTGGAGTTCCACTCCAGACCCTGTTTGCCTGGGTATCAGCAGCGGTGGCTGCAGAACAGCAGATATTGGTGAATCGCAAATGCTGCTGCCTGACCGTTCTTCTGGAATTTTTGTGTCAGAGGAGTACCCAGCTGTGTGAGGTGTCAGTCCACCCCTACTTGGGGGTGACTCCCAGTTAGGCTACTTGGGGGTCAGGTACCCACTTGAGGAGGCAGTCTGCCCATTCTCAGATCTCAAGCTGCCTGCTGGGAGAACCACTAATCTCTTCAAAGCTGTCAGACAGGGACATTTAAGTCTGCAGAGGTTACTGCTCCCTTTTGTTTGTCTGTGCGCTGCCCCCAGAGCTGTAGCCTACAGAGGCAGGCAGGCCTCCTTGAGCTGTAGTGGGCTCCACCCAATTCGAGCTTCCTGGTTGCTTTGTTTACCTACTCAAGCCTTGGCAATTGTGGGGGCCCCTCCCCCAGCCTCTCTGCTGTCTTGCAGTTTGATCTCAGACTGCTGTGCTAGCAATGAGCGAGGCTGTGTGGGCTTAGGACCCTCCAAGCCAGGTGCAGGATATAATCTCGTGGTGTGCCATTTGTTAAGCCTGTTGGAAAAGCTCAGTATTTGGGTGGGAGTGACCCAATTTTCCAGGTGCCATCTGTCACCCCTTTCTTTGACTAGGAAAGTGAATACCCTGACCACTTGTGCTTCTCGGGTGAGGTGATGCCTCGCCCTGCTTCGGCTCATGCATGGTGCGCTGCACCCACTGTCCTGCACCCACTGTCCAGCACTGCCCAGTGAGATGAACCTGGTACCTCAGTTGGAAATGCAGAAATCACCCTTCTTCGGCATCGCTCAGGCTGGGAGCTGTAGGCTGGAGCTGTTCCTATTCGGCCATCTTGGCTCCACCCTCTCAATGTGATTATTGATAAAACTTACTCCTGCCATTTTTTATTAGTTTTCTGATTGTGATGTGGTTTTGTTTTCTTATTTCTTTCCTTCCTGTCTTTTTTATTGAATATAATTTTCTCTGGTAATATGATACAATTCCTTGCTTTTTATTTTGGTGTACATTGTATGTTTTTTGTTTGAGGTTACCCTGAGGATTGCAAATACTTTATTATAATCCATTGTTTCAACCTGATAACAACAAAACTGTTTGTAAAAACAAGCAAAAAGAAAACTAATAAAAACTCAATGCCTTTACAGTAACCAAAACAGCTTGCTACTGGTACCAAAACAGAGATATAGACCAATGGAACAGAATAGAGCCCCTGGAAATAATACCACCCATCTACAACAATCTGATCTTTGACAAACCAGACACAAACAAGAAATGGGGAAAGGATTCCCTATTTAATAAATGGTCCTGGGTAATCTGGCTAGCCATATGTAGAATGCTGAAACTGGATCCCTTCCTTACACCTTATACAAAAATTAATTCAAGATGGATTAAAGACTTAACTCTTAGACCTATAACCATAAAAGCCCTAGAAGAAAACCTAGGCAATACCATTCAGGACATAGGCATGGGCAAGGTCTTCATTACTAAAACACCAAGAGCAATGAATGACAACAAAAGCCAAAATTGATGAATGGGACCTAATTAAACTAAAAGGCTTCTGCACAGCAAAATAAACTGTCATCAGAGTGAATAGGCAACCTACAGAATGGGAGAAAATTTTTGCAATCTACTCATCTGAAAAAGGGCTAATATCCAGAATCTACAAAGAACTTAAAGAAATTTACAAGAAAAAAACAAACAACCCCATCAGAAAGTGGGTGAACGATATGAACAGACACTTCTCAAAGGAAGACATTTATGCCGCCAAAAAACACATGAAAAAATGCTCATCATCACTGGCCATCAGAGAAATGCAAATCAAAACCACAATGTGATACCATCTCACACCAGTTACAATTGTGATCCTTATAAAGTCAGGAAACAACAGGTGCTGGAGAGGGTGTGGAGAAATAGGAACACTTTTACACTGTTGGTGGGACTGTAAACTAGTTCAACCATTGTGGAAAACAGTGTGGTGATTCCTCAGGGTTGTAGAACTAGAAATACCATTTGACCCAGCAATCCCATTACTGGGCATATACCCAAAGGATTATAAATCATGCTTCTATAAAGACACATGCACACGTATGTTTATTTCAGCACTATTCACAATAGCAAAGACCTGTAACCAACCCAAATGTCCATCAATGATAGACTGGATTAAGAAAATGTGGCACATATGCACCATGGAATATTATGCCTCCATAAAAAAGGATGAGTTCATGTCCTTTGTAGGGACATGGATGAAGCCAGAGACCGTCATTCTGAGCACACTATTGCAAGGACAGAAAACCAAACACAGCATATTCTCACTCATAGGTGGGAGTTGATCAATGAGAACACTTGGACACAGGGTGGGGAACGTCACACACTGGGGCCTGTCATGGGGTGAGGGGAGGGAAGAGGGATAGCATTAGGAGATATACCTAATATAAATGACGAGTTAATGGGTGCAGCACACCAACATGGCACATGTATGCATGTGTAACAAACCTGCATGTTGTGCACATGTACCCTACAAGTTAAAGTATAATTAAAAAAAAACTCAGTGCCTTAACTTTCTCCCCCAGCTTTTTACCTTTTTGTTTTTTCTATTTATATTTAATTATACTACTATGTTTTGAAAACTTGTTGTAGTTATTATTTTTGATTGGCTCATCATTTAATCTTTTTACTTAGGATTTAATCTTTTTACTTAGGATAAAGGCAGTTTACACACCACTGGTTTAGTGTTATAATATGCTGTGTTTTTCTGTGTACTAACTATTTTTTTAAAGTTTTATTTGAAGTCCTGGGGTACATGTGCAGGATGTGAAGGTTTGTTTTATAGGTAAACGTGTGCAATGGTAGTTTGCTGCATAGATGAATCCATCACCTAGGTATTAAGTTCAGCATCAATTAGCTATTCTTTTTGATGTTCTTCCTCTCCCCACTTCCTCCTGACAGGCCCCAGTGTGTGTTCTTTTCCCATATATCTGTGTGTTATCATTCAGTTCCCACTCATAAGTGAAAACGTATGGTGTTTGGTTTTCTGTTCCCATGTTAGTTTGCAGAGAATAACAGCTTCCAGCTCCATATATGTCCACACAAATGACCTAATCTCATTCCTTTTTATTGCTGTGTTGTATTCTATGCTGTATATATACCATATTTTTAAAATTCATTCTAACATTGATGGGCATTTGGGTGAATTCCATGTCTTTGCTATTGTGAATAGGGCTTCAATGAACACACACATGCATGTATGTTTGTAATAGAATAACCTATATTCCTTTGGGTATATATTCAGTAATGGGATTGCTGAGTCCATTGTATTTCTGACTCTAGGTCTTTGAGGAATCACCACACTGTCTTTCACAACGGTTGAACTAATTTACACTTCCACCAATAGTTTAAGAGCATTTTTTTCTCTGCAACCTGGCCAGCATCTGTTGTTTTTTGACATTTAATAATTGCCATTCTGACTGGTGTGAGATGGTATCTCATTGTGCTTTTGAGTTGCATTTCTCTAATAATTGGTGATGCTTAACTTGTTTTATATGTTTTTTGGCTGCATGTATGCCTTTTATTGAAAAGTGTCTGTTCATTTTCTTTGCCCACTTTTTAGTGGGGTTGTTTGTTTTTTTCTAGTAGATTTGTTTAAGTTCCTTGTAGATTCCGGATATTAGATCTTTGTCAGATGGATAGGTTGCAAATTTTTTCTCCTATTCTGTAGGTGGTCTGTTCACTTTGATGATAGTTTCTTTTGCTGTGCAGAGCTCTTTAATTTAATTAGATTCTATCTGTCGATTTTCATTTCTGTTGCAATTGATTTTGACATTTACATCATGAAATATTTACCCATGTTTATGTCCTGAATGGTATTGCCCAGATTCTCTTTTTGGCTTTTTATAGTTTCGGGTTTTACATTTAAGTCTTTCATCTATCATGAGTTAATTTTTGTATAAGATGTAAAGAAGGAGCCCAGTTTCAATTTTCTACATTTGGCTAGTCATTTCTTCTAGCCCCATTTATTAAATAGAATATCTTTTCCCAATAGCTTGTTTTTGTCAGGTTTGTCAAAGATCAGATGGTTGTAGGTGTGCAGTTTTATTTCTTATTTTTCTGTTCTGTTCTATTAATCTATGTATCTGTTTTTGTACCAGTACCATGCTGTTTTGCTTACTGTAGCCTTGTAGTATAGTTAGAAGTCGGGTAGTGTGATGCCTCTAGCTGTGTTCTGTTTGCTTAGGACTGTCCTGGTTATTCGTGCTCTTTTTTGGTTCCATATGAATTTTGAAATAGTTTTCTCTAATTCTATGAAGAATATCAGTGGTAGTTTAGTGGGAATAGCATTGAATTTATAAATTACTTTGGGCAGTATGGCCATTTTTATAATACTGATACTTTTTATCCATGAGCATGAAATGTTTTTCCATTTCTTTGTGTCCTCTCTGATTTCCTTGAGCAATGGTTTCTAATTCTCCTTGAAGAGGTCCTTCATTTTCTTGTTAGCTGTATTCATAGGTATTTTATTCTCTTTGTAGCAATTGTGGATGGGAGTTCATTCATGATTTGGCTCTCTGCTTGATTGTTTGCTGTTGATGTTTAGAAATTCTTGTAATTTTTGCACATTGATTTTTATCTTGAGACTTTGCTGAAGTTTTTTGTCAGCTTAAGAAGTTTTTGGGCTAAGACTATGGGATTTTCTAGATATAGAATTATGTCATATGCAAATAAAGATAATTTGACTTTCTTCCTTTTTATTTGAATATCCTTTATTTCTTTCTCTTGCCTGATTGCCCTGGCCAGAAATTCAAATACTGTTGAATAGGAGTGGTGGTAGAGGACAGTCTTGTCTTGTGCTGGTTTTCAAGGGGCATGCTTCCAACTTTTGCCCATTCAGTATAATATTGGCTGTGGAATTGTCACATATGGCTTTTATTATTTTGAGATATGTTTCTTCACAACCTAGTTTATTGAGAGTTTTTTTTTTTCACATGAAGGGATGTTGAATTTTATCAATGGTCTTTTCTGCATCTATTGAGGTAATCATGTGGTTTTTGTCTTTAGTTCTGTTTATGTCATGAATTACATTAATTGATTTGCATATGTTGAACCAATTTTGCATGTTGGGAATTAAGCCAAGTTTATCGTGGTTGACATGTTTTTTGATGTGATGCTGGACTTGGTTTTCCAGTATTTTATTGAAGATTTTTGTGCCAATGTTCATCAGGGATATTGGCCTGAAGTTTTTTTTTTTTTTTTTGTATCTGCTAAGTTTTGGTATCAGGATAATGCTGGCCTCATAAAGTGATTTAGGGAGGAGTCCCTCCTTTTCAATTGCTTGGAATAGTTTCAGTAGAAATGTTACCATCTCTTCTTTGTACATCTTGTAGGACTCAGCTGTAAATCCGTCTGGTCCTGCATTTTTTTGTTTGTTTGTTTGTTAGGCTATTTATTACCACTTCAGTTTCAGAACTTGTTATTGATTTATTCAGGAATTCAGTTTCTTCATGATTCAGTCTTGGGAGGGTATATGTATCCAGTAATTTATTAATTTCTTCCTGGATTTTCTGGCTTATGTGCATAGAAGTGTTTATAGTATTTTCTGATGATTGTTTATGTATTTCTGTGGAGTCAGTGATAATATTCCCCTTATCATTTCTGATTGTGTCTATTTGATTCTTCTCTTTTTTCTTCTTTATTAGCATAGCTAGCTGTCTATCTATTTTATGAATTTTTTTTCAAAATACTAGCTCCTGTATTGGTTGTTTTTTTGCAGGGATATTTATGTCTCTATCTCCTTCAGTTCCTATCTGATCTTGGTTATTTCTTGTCTTCTGCTAACTTTGGGGTTTGTTTGCTCTTGGCTTTCTAGTTCTTTTAGTTGTGATGTTAGATTGTTAATTTTAGATCTTTATAGGTTTTTAATGTGGGCATTTAGGGCTGTAAATTTTCCTCTTAACACTGCTTTAGATGCATTCCAGAGATTCTGGTACATTATCTCTTTGTTTTCAGTAGTTCTGAAGAACTTCTTGATTTCTTCCTTAATTTCCTTATTTACCCAGGAGTTATTCAGGAGTGGGTTGTTCAATTTCTATGTATTTGTGTAGTATTGGGTGAATTTTTTAGTCTTGTGTTGTAGTTTGATTGCACGGTGGTGTGAGAGACTGTTATAATTTCAGTTATTTTGCATTTATTTAGGAGTGTTTTTCTTCTTATTATATGAGCAATTTTAGAGTAACTGCCATGTGACAATGAGAAGAGTGTATATTCTTTTTTTTTTTTTTTGAGATAGGGGTGTGGAGAGTTCTATAGATATCTATCAGGTCCCCTTTATCCAGAGCTGAGTTCAGGTCCTGAATATCTTTGTTAATTTTCCATCTTGATGATCTGTCTAGTATTGTCATTTGGGTGTTAAAGTCCCCCATTATTATTGTTTGGGAGTCTAAGTCTCTTTGTAGGTGTCTAAGAACCTGCTTTATGAATCTGGGTGTTCTTGTATTGGGTGTATATAAATTTAGGATAGTTAGCTCTTCTTGTTGAATTGCTTTCCTTAAGTATCAAGCTGATTGGTTGTCATATCTTCAAGTACAGTCAGAGCTTAACAACTTGTTGAATAAAATATTAGAAATGGCAAAAAGGCAGACTAAATTTCAAACTAGAAAAAAATCCATTCAATTATTGCATTCAGTTTTTGAAACAGTTACTAACATGACAACAGATTTGGTTTCAGGTGCCTTTGTATACACTCACACTCACAAGAGGCACTCCAGCCACTGGTCTTCTTTGCAATACAAGACTGTATAGTCAGAGATGGCATTTTCCAAGCCAAACTTTAAATAGATTTTAAAAAGTAAATTTTAATTTTACAGAAATGCTACTTCAAAAAATGTTTCCTCTCACTCCCTCATCTCTTATACTAGAAAGTGTAAATTTTTTATTTCTTCCAAGCTAAATCCAAAGCCTCAAAATTGATTCCTGGAAAAAAATCTCTGCAAATAATAATTAAAAACAAAAATATAGAAAAATTATACTTTTTATCTATGTACGTGTGGATAAATAGATAAAGTAATGGATAGCTAGATATAGATAGACAGATAGATAGATAGATAGATTAGATAGATAGATAGATAGATAGATAGATAGATAGGAATCCTGCAGCCTTTAAAAATCACATTAAAGGTGAATTTTTGGGATCATATCTGATATGGTTTGGCTGTGTCCTTACCAAAATCTTATCTTAAATTTTATTCCCATCATCTCCACTTGTCATAGGAGGGACCTGGTGGAAGGTAATTAAATCATGGGGGAAGTTACCTCATGCTATTCTCATGATAGTGAGTGAGTTTTCTTGAGATCTGATGGTTTTATAAGAGACTTTTCCCCCTTTGCTTGGCACTTCTCTTTCCTGCCACAATGTGAAGGAGGACATGTTTGCTTTCACTTCCACCATGATTGTAAGTTTCCTGAGTCCTTCCCAGCCCTGCAAAACTGTGAGTCAATTAAACTTCTTTTCTTTATAACTTACCCAGTTGTGGGCAGCTCTTTATAGCAGCATGAGAATGAATTAATATAGTAAATTGGAACTGAGGGAGCAGGACGCTGATGTTAGGCTACGCAAAAATGTGGAAGTGACTTTTTAACTGGGTCACAGGCAGAGGTTGAAGCAGTTTGGAAGGCTCAGAAGAAGACAGAAATATGTGGCAAAGTTTAAAACTTCCTAGAGACTTGTTGAATGACTTTGACCAAAATGCTGATAGTGATATGGACAATAAATTCCTGGCTGAGGTGGTCTCAGATGGAGATGAGGAACTTGTTGGCAACGAGCACAGGTGACTGTTGTGATGCTTTAGTAGAGACTGACAGCATTTTGCCCCAGCCCTAGAGATCTGTGGAACTTTGAACTTGAGAAAGGTGATTTAGGGTATCTGGTGGAAGAAAGTTCTAAGTGGCAAAGCATTCAAAAGGAAGCAGAGTGTAATAGTTTGGAAAATTTGCAGCCTGATGATGAGATAGATAGAAAAGAAAAACCAATTTTCTGGGGAGAAATTCAAGTTAGCTGTAGAAATTTGCATCAATAACAAGAAGCTAAATGTTAATCTCCAAGAAAATATCTACAGGGAATGTCAGAGACCTTTATGACAGACCCTCCCATCACAAGCATTAGGAGATATAATGTTAAATGGTGAGTTGATGGGTGCAGCACACCAACATGGCACATGTATACATATGTAACTAACCTGCACGTTGTGTACATGTACCCTAAAATTTAAAGTATAATAAAAAAAAAATCTTGGGATACCAGCAACAAAAAAGAAAGGATTATAAAACCAGCAAGAGGAAAAAAAAAAAAACAAATAGCATACAATAGAGATTCAACACATCTGGCAGCAGACTTTTCAGTGGAAACCTTACAGTCCAGGAGAGTGTGTCATAGCATATTTAAAGAGCTGAAGAAAAAACAAAAACAACAAAAAAAAACTTTTGCCCTAGAAGAAGATATCTGGTGAAAACATTCTTCAACCCCAAAGGAGAAATAAAGACTTTTTCAGACAAACAAAAGCTGAGGGATTACATCAGCACCAGATTTGTCCTAAAAACAAATGCTGAAAAACGTTCTTCAATCTGAAAGCAAAGGATTTCAATGAGCAAGAATAAATTATCTGAAGATACAGAACTCACTAGTAATAGTCAGCACACAGAATATTATAACACTGTAATTGTGGTGTATAAATACTAACATCTTAAGTAGAAAGACTAAATGATGAACCAACAAAAAAAAATGACTACAACACTTTGCAACAAGAAGTTAAAAAGTGAGAGGATAAAGTTGAAGTGTAGAGTTTTTATTAGTGTTTTTTGCATGTTTTTTTATTTGTTTCTTTATGCAATTAGTGTTAAGTTGTCATCAGTTTGAAATAATGAGTTGTAAGATAGGAATTGCAAGTTTCAGAGTAACCTCAAATCAAAAAACATACAATAGATACAAAAATAAAAATAAAAAGCAAGAAATTAAATCATACCACCAGAGAAAATTTATCTTCACTGAAAAGAAGACAGGAAGGAAGGAAAGAAGGAAGATAATACCACAAAACATTCAGGAAACTAACAAAATGGCAGCAGTAAGTTCCTACTTATCATTAATAACATTGAATGTGAATGGACTAAACTCCCCAATCAAAAGACATAGAGTGGCTTAATGCATGAAAGAACAAGCCCTTATGCTCTATTGCCTACAAGAAACACACTTTACTTGCAAAGATATGCATAGACTAAAAATAAAGAGGTAGAAAAAGATACTTCATGCCAATGAAAACCAAAACAAGGGCAAGAGTAGCTATTTTGATATCAGAGAAAATAGATTGCAAGGAAAAAACTGTAAAAGATAAAGAAGGTTATTATATAATGCTAAAGGGATCAATCCAACAACAGGATATAATGGTTGTAAATCTTTATGCACCCAACACTGGAGCACCCAGATATATATAGCAAATATCATTAAAGCTAAAGAAAGAAATATATCTCAATAAAATAAAAGCTGTAGATATTACAAACTCAGTGTCAGCATTGGGCACATCTCCCAGACAGAAACTCAACAAAGAAACATCAGACTTAATCTGCACTACACAGCAAATGGACTTAACAGATATTTATAGAACATTTCATCTAATAGCTCTAAAATACACATTCTTCTGCTCAGAACATAGATCATTCTTAGGGACAAACAATATGTTAGGTGACAAAACAAGGCATAAAACATTCAAAAAATTTAAATATAAGCATTTTCTCTGACCACAATGGAATAAAATGATAAATCAATAACAAGAAGAAATTTAGAAACTAAAAAACATATGGAATCTAAACAATATGCTTTTGAATGACCAGTGGGACAATGAAGACATTATAAGGAAAATTGAAAAATTTCTTGAGACAAAGTATAATGGAAACATCAAAACCTATGGGATACAGCAAAAGCAGTAATAAGAGGAAAGTATATAGCTGTAAGTGCCTACACAAAAAAAGAAAAAAAAACTTCAAATACACAACTTTAACATTGCATCTCTAAAAATTAGAAAAGCAAGAGCAAACCAAACACAAAATTATTAAAAGAAAAAAATAAGTATGAGGGCAGAAATAAAATAATTTGAAATGGAGAAAACAACATAAAAGATAAAACAAAAAGTTGTTTTTTTGAAAAGAACAACAAAATTGACAAACATTTAAGGAGACTAAGGAAAAAAGGGAGAAGACCCAAATAAATAATAGCAGAGATTCAAAAGGAGACATTATGACTGATACTGCAGAAATTGAAGGGATCATTAGTGGCTACTATGTGCAACAATATGCCAATAAATTGAAAAATCTAAAAAAAATAGACAAATTCCCAAACACACACCACCTACAAGGATTGAACCATGGAGAAATTAGAAACCTAAGCAGACCAATAACAAATAAAAAAATTAAAGCCATAATAAATACTTTCTCAGTGAAGAAAAGCCTGAGATCTGATGGTTTCACTGCTGCATTCTACCAAATAGTTAAAGAAGAAATAATACCAATTCTACTCAAACTATTCTGAAGAATAGTGGAAAAGGGAATACTTCTAAACTCATTCTATGAGGCCAGTATTAATTACCCTGACACCAAAACTGAAGACACATTAAAAAAACAAACAAACTACAGGCCAATATCACTGATGAATAGCGATGCAGAAATTTCCAACAAAATACTAGTAAACCAAATCCAGCAACACATTAAAAAGATCATCCATTATGATCAAGTGAGATTTTTCCCTGAGATGCAAGTATGGCTTAATAAATGTAAAAATGACAAAAACCTTATGATTATTTTAACTGATGCTGAAATAGCATTTGATAAAATTCAACATCCCTTCATGATAAAAACCCTTAAAAAACTGGTTATTGAATAAATACATCTCAACATAATAAAAGCCATATACAATGGACCCATGGCTAGTAGCATACTGAATGGGGAAAAACTGAAAGCTTTTCAGTTTGTAGTAAGTGGCATGATCATAATTCACTGCAGCCTTGACCTCTCAGGCCGAGTGATTCTCCCACACTTAGCATCCAAAGTGTACGCCACCATGCCTGGCTAATTCTTTTATTTTTCTGAGAGGTGGGATCTCACTATTTTGCCCAGGCTGGTCTTAAAATCCTAGGCTCAAGTGATCCTCCTACCTTGGCCTCCCAAGGTGCTGGGCTTTCAGGTGTGAGCTACCTTGTCTGACCCTAATTCTTGTATTTAACCTACCATTTGTATTTCAATTTTATCAACTGACTCAATAATTTCTTTTTATAGTTTTTCCCTCTCCAGTACAGACTCTGGTTTAGCACAATCAATAAAAGGAAATAGATGAATTGGACTTCATTGAAATTATAAATGTTTGTGTTCCAAAAGACACCACTAGAAAATGGAATGAAAAACAACAGGGAGACAATATTTGTACAGATACTTGCTACAACATGATGAACTTTGAAGGCATACTATGTGAAATAATCCAGTTACAAAATATCACGTCATAGATTTTGATTTATATAAAATCCCTGGAATGGGCCAATTAATAGAAATAGAAAATATATTAGTTTTCACCAAGGGCTGAGGGTAGGGATGTAGTGGATGGGGAATGACTACTAAAGAGGTTTCTTTTGGGAATGATGAACAAGTTCTGAAATTAGAAAGTAGTGATGGACCCTAAACCCCATCCCCACCTAAGCCCTGCCACTGGAGTAAGCACACACAAGAAAACCACAGTCTCACTCCCACTGCTCCCCCTCACCTCTTGACATATGTTTACCCCACTTTGCTGCCATGGATCCTGGCATATGTAAGTGAGCATGGATCCTGCTTCCACAGCCCAAAAGAAGCACATAGGTTGGCACTACCCATTGAAATGTTGTGGCCAGTGGGCCAGGAACACATCAGCACCTCCAGTGCTGCAGGTTCCTAACTTTGAGGCCCCAGAGAACAAAGCCAGGGTCCCAGTATCAGGCACACAGAGTAAGAGTATGCAGACCAGGAGTGCTGAGCTGAGTTTTGGTCCCCTAGAATCTTTCAGAAATAAACACAGTTGAGTGAACCTACCTTATACAACAATCAAACCTTCAAGGGCATCAACAAAGAAAAATAATAAAAAAGCCATCCAAAGGAAAACAACTTCAAAGATAGAAGGAACATCAGCTTACACAGATGAGAAATAAAGAACACAAGAACTCTGGCAACTCAAACAGCCAGATGTCTTCTCACATCCAAACAAGTCTATACTTCCCCAGCAATGAATTTTAACCAGGCTGAAATGGCTGAAATAACAAAAATATAATTTAGAATATGGATAGAAAAAAAAGTCAAGGAGATTCAGGGGAAAATTTAAACAAACCAAAGAAATTTAAGAAATAGAATAAAATAATACAGGAGATGAATAATAAAATGGCCATTAAAAAAACTAAACTGTATGATAGCTAAGAAAAACTCCCTTCAAGAATTGTATAATACAATTGCAAGTATTAACAGCCGAATCAACTCAACTGAGGAAAGCATCTCAGAGCTCAAAGGTTAGTTCTCTGAAATAACTCAGTAAGCAAAAATTTTAAAAAATGAAGGGAAAAAAACTCTTCTGAGCAACATGGGATTATGTAAACATACCAAATCTATGACTCATTGGCATCCCTAAAAGAGAAAGAGAGAAAACAAGCAACATGGAAAACATAAGTGAAGATGTCATCCATGAAAATTTCCTCAAACTCACTTGAGAGGCTAACATTCAAATTCAGGAAATGCAGAGAATGCCATCAAGATACTATACAAGATGGCCATCCCCAAGAAAAATATGCATGAGATTCTCCAAAGTCGAAATGGAAGAAAAAATGTTAAAGGCAGCTAGAGAGGAGGCCACCTAAAAAAGGGAACCCTAACAGGCTAACAGCAGAATTTTCAACAGAAAACCTGCAAGCGAGAACAGGTTGGGTATCTATATAAAGCATACCCAAAGAAAAGAATTCCACCAATAATTTTATATCTAGGAAAACTATGCTTCATAAACAAGAGAGAAATGAAATCCTTTTCAGAAAAACAAATACTAAGAAAACTTATTATCACCAGACTTACCTTATAGGTGGTTTTTAAGGAAGTGCTAAATATAGAAAGCAAGACTACTGCTGGCCAACATAAAAACACACTTAACTATATAGACAATTGAAACTAAAAAGCCATCACACCATCAAGTCTGCAAAATGACCAGCTATCAACACGCTGACAGGAAAAAATCTAGACATAATATTAACCTTGAATATAAATGGGATAAATACCTCAAATTAAAAGGCAGAGTGTGAAGTTGGATAAAGAAGCAAGACCCAACTGTTCACTCTCTTCGAGAGACTCTTCTCACATACAGTGACAACCATAGGTCTCAAGTAAGAAGATGGAGAAAAATACACCAAGCAAACAGAAAACAGAAGAAATGGGCTTCTATTCTAATTTCAAATAAAACAGACTTTAAACCAACAAAAATTTTTATTTATTTATTTATTTATTTTTATTTTTTTTATTATTATTATACTTTAAGTTTTAGGGTACATGTGCACATTGTGCAGGTTAGTTACATATGTATACATGTGCCATGCTGGTGCGCTGCACCCACTAACTCGTCATCTAGCATTAGTTATATCTCCGAATGCTATCCCTCCCTCCTCCCCCCACCCCACAACAGTCCCCAGAGTGTGATGTTCCCCGTCCTGTGTCCATGTGTTCTCATTGTTCAATTCCCACCTATGAGTGAAAATATGCACTGTTTGGTTTTTTGTTCTTGCGATAGTTTACTGAGAATGATGATTTCCAATTTCATCCATGTCCCTACAAAGGACATGAACTCATCATTTTTTATGGCTGCATAGTATTCCATGGTGTATATGTGCCACATTTTCTTAATCCAGTCTATCATTGTTGGACACTTAGGTTGGTTCCAACTCTTTGCTATTGTGAATAATGCCACAATAAACATACGTGTGCATGTGTCTTTAGAGCAGCATGATATATAGTCCTTTGGGTATATACCCAGTAATGGGATGGCTGGGTCAAATGGTATTTCTAGTTCTAGATCCCTGAGGAATCACCACACTGAATTCCACAATGGTTGAACTAGTTTACAGTCCCACCAACAGTGTAAAAGTGTGCCTATTTCTCCACATCCTCTCCAGCACCTGTTCTTTCCTGACTTTTTAGTGGTTGCCATTCTAACTGGTATGAGATGGTATCTCATTGTGGTTTTGATTTGCATTTCTGTGATGGCCAGTGATGGTGAGCATTTTTTCATGTGCTTTTTGGCTACATAAATGTCTTCTTTTGAGAAGTGTCTGTTCATGTCCTTCACCCACTTTTTGATGGGGTTGTTTGTTTTCTCCTTGTAAATTTGTTTGAGTTCATTGTAGATTCTGGATATTAGCCCTTTGTCAGATGAGCAGGTTGTGAAAATTTTCTCCCATTTTGTAGGTTGCCTGTTCACTCTGATGGTAGTTTCTTTTGCTGTGCAGAAGCTCTTTAGTTTAATTAGATCCCATTTGTCAATTTTGGCTTTTGTTGCCATTGTTTTTGGCGTTTTAGACATGAAGTCCTTGCCCATGCCTATGTCCTGAATGGTAATGCCTAGGTTTTCTTCTAGGGTTTTTATGGTTTTAGGTCTATAATTGAAGTCTTTAATCCATCTTGAATTGATTTTTGTATAAGGTGTAAGGAAGGAATCCAGTTTCAGCTTTCTACATATGGCTAGCCAGTTTTCCCAGCACCATTTATTAAATAGGGAATCCTTTCCCCATTGCTTGTTTTTCTCAGGTTTGTCAAAGATCAGACAGTTGTAGATATGCAGCGTTATTTCTGAGGGCTCTGTTCTGTTCCATTGATCTACATCTCTGTTTTGGTACCAGTACCATGCTGTTTTGGTTATTGTAGCCTTGTAGTATAGTTTGAAGTCAGGTAGTGTGATGCCTCCAGCTTTGTTCTTTTGGCTTAGGATTGACTTGGCGATGCAGGCTCTATTTTCGTTCCATAAGAACTTTAAGGTAGTTTTTTCCAATTCTGTGAAGAAAGTCATTGGTAGCTTGATGGGGATGGCATTGAATCTGTAAATTACCTTGGACAGTATGGCCATTTTCATGACATTGATTCTTCCTACCTATGAGCATGGAATGTTCTTCCATTTGTTTGTATCCTCTTTTGTTTCCTTGAGAAGTGGTTTGTAGTTCTCCTTGAAGAAGTCCTTCACATCCCTTGTAAGTTGGATTCCTAGGTATTTTATTCTCTTTGAAGCAATTGTGAATGGGAGTTCACTCATTATTTGCCTCTCTGTTTGTGTGTTGTTGGTGTATAAGAATGCTTGTGATTTTTGTACATTGATTTTGTATCCTGAGACTTTGCTGAAGTTGCTTATCAGTTTAAGAAGATTTTGGGCTGAGACAATGGGGTTTTCTAGATATACAATCATGTCGTCTGCAAACAGGGACAATTTGACTCCCTCTTTTCCTAATTGAATACGCTTTATTTCCTTCTCCTGCCTGATTGCCCTGACCAGAACTTCCAACACTACGTTGAATAGGAGTGGTGAGAGAGGGCATCCCTGTCTTGTGCCAGTTTTCAAAGGGAATGCTTCCAGTTTTTGCCCATTCAGTATGATATTGGCTGTGGGTTTGTCCTAAATAGCTCTTATTATTTTGAGATACGTCACATCAATACCTAATTTATTGAGAGTTTTTAGCATGAAGCATTGTTGAATTTTGTCAAAGGCCTTTTCTGCATCTATTGAGATAATCATGTAGTGTTTGTCTTTGGTTCTGTTTATATGCTGGATTACATTTGTTGATTTGCGTATGTTGAACCAGCCTTGCATCCCAGGGATGAAGCCCACTTGATCATGGTGGATAAGCTTTTTGATGTGCTGCTGGATTCCGTTTGCCAGTATTTTATAGAGGATTTTTGCATCAATGTTCATCAGGGATATTGGTCTAAAATACTCTTTTTTGGTTGTGTCTCTGCCCAGCTTTGGTATCAGGATGATGCTGGCCTCATTAAATGAGTTAGGGAGGATTCCCTCTTTTTTATTGATTGCAGCAGTTTCAGAACGAATGGTACCAGTTCCTCCTTGTACCTCTGCTAGAATTCGGCTGTGAATCCATCTGGTCCTGGACTCTTTTTGGTTGGTAAGCTATTGATTATTGCCACAATTTCAGAGCTTGTTATTGGTCTATTCAGAGATTCAACTTCTTCCTGGTTTAGTCTTGGGAAAGTGTGTGTGTTCAGGATTTTATCCATTTCTTCTAGATTTTCTAGTTTATTTGCATAGAGGTGTTTGTAGTATTCTCTGATGGTAGTTTCTATTTCTGTGGGATTGGTGGTGATATCCCCTTTATCATTTTTTATTGTGTCTATTTGATTCTTCTCTCTTTTTTTCTTTATTAGTCTTGCTAGTGGTCCATCAATGTTGTTGATCCTTTCAAAAAAACCAGCTCCTGGATTCATTAATTTTCTGAAGGGTTTTTGTGTCTCTATTTCCTTCAGTTCTGCTCTGATTTTAGTTATTTCTTGCCTTCTGCTAGCTTTTGAATGTGTTTGCTCTTGCTTTTCTAGTTCTTTTAATTGTGAAGTTAGGGTGTCAATTTTGCCTCTTTCCTGCTTTCTCTAGTGGGCATTTAGTGCTATAAATTTCCCTCTACTCACTGTTTTGAATGTGTCCCAGAGATTCTGGTATGTTGTGTCTTTGTTCTCATTGGTTTCAAAGAACATCTTTATTTCTGCCTTCATTTCGTTGTGTACCCAGTAGTCATTCAGGAGCAGGTTGTTCAGTTTCCATGTAGTTGAGCGGTTTTGAGTGAGATTCTTAATCCTGAGTTCTAGTTTGATTGCACTGTAGTGTGAGAGACAGTTTGTTATAATTTCTGTTCTTTTACATTTGCTGAGGAGAGCTTTAGTTCCAACTATGCGGTCAATTTTTGAATAGGTGTGGTGTGGTGCTGAAAAAAATGTATATTCTGTTGGTTTGGGGTGGAGAGTTCTGTACATGTCTATTAGGTCCACTTGGTTCAGAGCTGAGTTCAATTCCTGGGTATCCTTGTGGACTTTCTGTCTCGTTGATCTGTCTAATGTTGACAGTGGGGTGTTAAAGTCTCCCATTATTAATGTGTGGGAGTCTAAGTCTCTTTGTAGGTCACTCAGGACTTGCTTTATGAATCTGGGTGCTCCTGTATTGGGTGCATATATATTTAGGACAGTTAGCTCTTCTTATTGAATTGATCCCTTTACCATTATGTAATGGCCTTCTTTGTCTCTTTTGATCTTTGTTGGCTTAAGGTCTGTTTTATCAGAGACTAGGATTGCAACCCCTGCCTTTTTTTGTTTTCCATTTGCTTGGTAGATCTTCCTCCATCCTTTTATTTTGAGCCTATGTGTGTCTCTGCACATGAGATGGGTTTCCTGAATACAGCACACTGATGGGTCTTGACTCTTTATCCAACTTGCCAGTCTGTGTCTTTTAATTGGAGCATTTAGTCCATTTACATTTAAAGTTAATATTGTTATGTCTGGATTTGATCTTATCATTATGATATTAGCTGGTTATTTTGCTCGTTAGTTGATGCAGTTTCTTCCTAGTCTCCATGGTCTTTACATTTTGGTATGATTTTGCAGCGGCTGGTACCGGTTTTTCCTTTCCATGTTTAGTGCTTCCTTCAGGAGCTCTTTTAGGGCAGTCCTAGTGGTGACAAAATCTCTCAGCATTTGCTTGTCTGTAAAGTATTTTATTTCTCCTTCACTTATGAAGCTTACTTTGGCTGGATATGAAATTCTGGGTTGAAAATTCTTTTCTTTAAGAGTGTTGAATATTGGCCCCCACTCTCTTCTGTCTTGTAGAGTGTCTGCCAAGAGATCCGCTGTTAGTCTCATGGGCTTCCATTTGAGGGTAACCCGACCTTACTCTCTGGCTGCCCTTAACATTTTTTCCTTCATTTCAACTTTGGTGAATCTGACAATTATGTGTCTTGGTGTTGCTCTTCTCGAGGAGTATCTTTGTGGCGTTCTCTGTATTTCCAGAATTTGAATGTTGGCCTGCCTTGCTAGATTGGGGAAGTTCTCTTGAATAATGTCCTGCAGAGTGTTTTCCAACTTGGGTCCATTCTCCCCGTCACTTTCAGGTAAACCAATTAGGTGTAGATTTGGTCTTTTCACATAGTCCCATATTTCTTGGAGGCTTTGCTCATTTCTTTTTATTCTTTTTTCTCTAAACTTCCCTTCTCGCTTTATTTCATTCATTTCATCTTCCATCACTAATACCCTTTCTTCCAGTTGATCGCATCGGCTCCTGAGGCTTCTGCATTCTTCACGTAGTTCTCGAGCCTTGGTGTTCAGCTCCATCAGCTCCTTTAAGCACTTCCCTATATTGGTTATTCTAGTTATACATTCTTCTGAATTTTTTTCCAAGTTTTCAACTTATTTGCCTTTGGTTTGAATGTCCTCCCGTAGCTCGGAGTAATTTGATCGTCTGAATATTTCTCTCAGCTCGTCAAAGTCATTCTCCGTACAGCTTTGTTCCGTTGCTGGTGAGGAACTGTGTTCCTTTGGAGGAGGAGAGGTGCTCTGCTTTTCAGAGTTTCCAGTTTTTCTGCTCTGTTTTTTCCCCATCTTTGTGGTTTATCTACTTTTGATCTTTGATGATGGTGATGTACAGATGGGTTTTTGGTGTGGACGTTCTTTCTGTTTGTTAGTTTTCCTTCTAACCATCAGGACCCTCAGCTGCAGCTCTGTTGGAGTAACGGGCCATGTGAGGTGTCAGTCTGCCCCTGCTGGGGGGTGCCTCCCAGTGAGGCTGCTCAGGGGTCAGGGGTCAGGGACCCACTTGAGGAGGCAGTCTGCCCGTTCTCAGATCTCCAGCTGTGTGCTGGGAGAGCCACTGCTCTCTTCAATGCTGTCAGACAGGGACATTTAAGTCTGCAGAGGTTACTGCTGTCTTTTTGTTTGTCTGTGACCGCCCCCAGAGGTGGAGCCTACAGAGGCAGGCAGGCCTCCTTGAGCTGTGGTGGGCTCCACCCAGTTCGAGCTTCCTGCCTGCTTTGTTTACCTAAGCAAGCCTGGGTAATGGCGGGCGCCCCTCCCCCAGCCTCGCTGCCACCTTGCAGTTTGATCTCAGACTGCTGTGCTAGCAATGAGCGAGACTCCGTGGGTGTATGACCCTCCAAGCCAGTTGCGGGATATAATCTGGTGCGCCGATTTTTAAGCCCGTCAGAAAAGGGCAGTATTCGGGTGGGAGTGACCCGATTTTCCAGGTGCCATCTGTCACCCCTTTCTTTGACTAGGAAAGGGAACTCCCTGTTCCCTTGCACTTCCCAAGTGAGGCAATGCCTTGCCCTGCTTTGGCTGGCACACGGTGCGCACAGCCACTGACCTGCGCCCACTGTCTGGCACTCCCTAGTGAGATGAACCCAGTACCTCAGATGGAACTGCAGAAATCACCCGTCTTCTGCGTCACTCAGGCTGGGAGCCATAGACCAGAGCTGTTCCTCTTCAGCCTTCTTGGCTCCTCCTTCTAAACTAACAATAATTAAAAAAAAAAAAGAGAGAGAGAGAAAGGAATTACATAATGATAAACGGTTCAATTCAACAAAAAGACCTAACCATCCTAAGTACATATGCACCCAACACAGGAGCACCTAGATTTATAAAGTAAGTTTTTAGAGACCTATGAGAAAACTTAGATACCCATACAATAATAGTGAGAGTCTTCAGTGCCCTACTAACTGTTTTAGACAGACCACTGAGGCAAAAATTTAACAAAGATATTTGGGGCCTGAGCTTGGCACTTGACCAAACGGGCTTAACAGACATCTACAGGATTTTTCACTCCCAAAAAACAGAATATACATTCCCATCTGCACATGGCACATACTTTAAAATTGAACACAAAATCAGCCATAAAACAATTATCAGCAAATTCAAAAAACCAAAATCGTACCAAACGCAATCTCAGACCACAGCCCAATAACAATAGAAACCAATACTAAGAAAATCACTCAGAATCATACATTCACATGGAAATAAAGTAACTTGCTCCTGAATGATTTTTGGTAAGCAATGAAATTAAGGCAGAAGCTAAGAAATTCTTTAACACTGAAAACAAATATACCACATACCAGAATCTCTGAGACACAGCTAAAGCACTGTTAAGTGGCAAGTTTATAGCACTAAAATCCCACATCAAAAAGATAGAAAAATCTCAAATTAACAACCTAACATCACACCCAGAGGAACTACTGAAAGAAGAACAAACGGACCCCAAAGCTAGCAGAAAATGAGAATAAAACAAAATCAGTGTTGAACTGAGGGAAATTGAGATGTGAAAACCATACAAAAGGTCAACAAATCTAGGATCTGCTGTATTGAAAGAATAAATAAGATTGATATACCACTAGCTAGACTAATAAAGAAAAAGAGAGAGAGAAAATCCAAATAAACATAATCAAAAATAACAAAGGGGAGTTAACCTCTCACCCCACAGAAATACAGCAAACAAACCTTAGAGACTGCTACAGACACATCTATACACACAAAATAGAAAACCTCCTATGTTTTCCTAGAAACATACAAATTCCTGGAAACACACAACCTCCCAAGTTTGAACTAGTAAGTTGAATCCCGGAATATACCAATAAGGAGTTCAAAAATTGGTCGGTATTAAAAAGCCTACCAATGAAAAAAAAGCCCAGGATAAGACAGATTCACAACTAAATTCTGCCATCTCTATAAAGAGCTATTACAATTACAACTGAAACTATTCCAAAAAATTGAGGAGGAGAGATTCCTCCCCAACTCATTCTAGGAGGCCCGCATCATCTTAATACCAAAACCTGGTAGAGACACAATGAAAAGAGAAAAACTCAGGCCAGTATGCTTGATGAACATAGATGATTTAATCCAGCAGCACATCAAAAAGCTAATCCACGATGCCATAGTCTATTTTACCCCTGGGATGCAAGGTTGGTTCAGCATATGCAAATAAATAAATTTTATTCATCATATAAACAGAGCTAAAAACAGAAACCACATAATCATCTCAATAGATGTAAAAAAAGTTTGTGATAAAACTCAACATTTCTTCATGTTAAAAATTCTCAAGAAATTGGCATTGAAGGATCATACCTTGAAATCAGAGCTATCCATGGCAAACCCACAGGCAACATCAACTAAATGAAAAAAAGAAAAGCCAAAAGCATTCCCCTTTGGAACCAGAACAAGACAAGGATGGCTATTCTAACCACACTTATTCAACAGGGTACTGGAATTCCTAGCCAGAGCAATCAGGAAGGAGAAATAAATAAAAGGCATCCAAATAAGAAGAGAGGAAGTTAAACTCTCCCTATTGGTAGATGACATGATTCTATATGTAAAAAATTGCACAGTCTCTGCCCAAAAGCTCCTTCACCTAATAAACAACTTCAGCAAAGTTTCAGGATACAAAATCAATGTACAAAACGCAGTAGCATTTCTACACACTAACAGCATGCAAGATGACAGCCAAATCAGGATCATAATCCAACTCATATCTACCACGAAAAGAACAAAATACTTAGAAATACAGCTAACCAGGAAAGTGAATGTTCTGTACAATAAGAATTACAAAACACTGCTCAAAGAAATCAGAGATGGCACAAACAAGTAAAAATTATTACATGTTTATAGATAAATAGAATCAATGTGATAACCATGGCCACACTGCTCAAAGCAACTTACAGATTTAATGCTATTCCCACTGACCTACTAATGACATGCTTCACAGAATTAGAAAAAAAACTATCTTAAAAAAATTCATATGAAACCTCAAACAGCCTAAATACCCAAGGCAAATTTAAGCAAAAAGAACAAAGCTAAAGGCGTCATGCTACCTGACTTTCAACTACATTATAAGACAACAGTAACCAAAAATACATGGCACTGGTACCAAAACAGACACATAGACCAATGGAACAGAATAGGGAGCCCAGAAGTAAGGCCCTACACCTGCCTCCATCTGATCTTTGACAAAGTTGACAAAAACAAGAACTAGGGAAAACACTCACTATTTAATAAATGGTGCTGGAATAACTGGCTAGCCATATGCAGAAGATTAAAACTGGATTCCTTCCTATCCTACATACAAAAATCAACTGAAGATAGGTTAAAGAAATGAATGTAAAATCTAAAACTATAAAAAACTTAGGCAATACCATTCTGAATATGGAAACTGACAAAGATTTCATGATGAAGATAGCAAAAGCAATTGCACAAAATGAAACATGAGCAAATGGTACCTAATTAACCTAAAGAGCTCCTGCAGCAAAAGAAACTATCAACAAAGTAAACAACCTACAGAAAGGGAGAAAAAATTTTCAAACTATGCATCCAACAAAAATTGGATCCATAATTCATAAGAAACTTAAATTTACAAGCAAGAATCAAAAACACTCGTTAAAAATGGGCAAAGGACATGAACAGACACATTTCCAAAGAAGTCATACATGCAGCCAACAAGCATATGAAATAGTGCTCAACATCACTAATCATTAGAGAAATGCAAATTAAAACCACAATGAAATACCATCTCACACCAGTCTGAATGACTATTGTTAAGAAGTCCACAAACTGAATCCAGCAACACATCAAAAAGCGTATCCACCATGATCAAGTTGGCTTCATCCCTGGGATGCAAGACTGGTTCAATATACACAAATCAATAAACATAATCCAGCATATAAATAGAACCAAAGACAAAAACCACATGATTATCTCAATAGATGCAGAAAAGGCCCTCGACAAAATTCAACAGCCCTTCATGCTAAAAACTCTCAATAAATTAAGTATTGATGGAAAGTATATCAAAATGCTAAGAGCTATTTATGACAAACCCACAGCCAATATGATACTGAATGGGCAAAAACTGGAAGCATTCCCTTTGAAAACTGGCACAAGACAGGGATGCCCTCTCTCACCACTCCTACTCAACATATTGTTGGAAGTTCTGGCCAGGGCAATCAGGTAGGAGAAAGAAATAAAGCGTATTCAATTAGGAAAAGAGGAAGTCAAATTGTCCCTGTTTGCAGATGACATGATTGTACCTCTAGAAAACCCCATCGTCTCAGCCCAAAATCTCCTTAAGCTGATAAGCAACTTCAGCAAAGTTTCAGGATACAAAATCCATGTGTAAAAATCACAAGCACTCTTATACACCAATAACAGACAAACAGAGAGCCAAATCATGAGTGAACTCCCATTCACAATTGCTCCAAAGAGAATAAAATACCTAGGAATCCAACTTACAAGGGACATGAAGGACCTCTTCAAGGAGAGCTACAAACCACTGCTCCATGAAATAAAAGAGGATACAAACAACTGGAAGAACATTCCATGCTCATGGGTGGGAAGAATCAATATCGTGAAAATGACCATACTGCCCAAGGTAATTTATAGATTCAATGACATCCCCATCAAGCTACCAATGACTTTCTTCACAGAATTGGAAAAAACTACTTTAAAGTTCATATGGAACCAAAACAGAGCCCGCATTGCCAAGACAATCCTAAGCCAAAAGAACAAAACTGGAGGCATCACGCTACCTGACTTCAAACTATACTACAAGGCTACAGTAACCAAAACAGCATGGTACTGCTACCAAAACAGAGATATAGACCAATGGAACAAAAGAGAGCCCCCTGAAATAATACCACACATCTACAAGCATCTGATCTTTGATAAACCTGTCAAAAACAAGAAATGGGGAAAGGATTCCGTATTTAATAAATGGTACTGGGAAAATTGGCTAGTTGTATGTAAAAAGCTGAAACCGGACCCTTCCTTACACCTTATACAAAAATTAATTCAAGATGGATTAAAGACTTAAATGTTAGACCTAAAACCATAAAAACCCTAGAAGAAAACCTAGGCGATACCATTGAAGACATAGGCTTGGGCAAGGACTTCATGTCTAAAACACCAAAAGCAATGGCAACAAAAGCCAAAATTGACAAATGGGATCTAATTAAACTAAAGAGCTTCTGCATAGCAAAAGAAACTACCATCAGAGTTAAGAGGAAACCTACAGAATGGGGAAAAATTTTTGCAATCTACTCATATGACAAAGGGCTAATATCCAAAGTTTACCAAGAACTTAACCAAATTTACAAGAGAAAATCAAACAACCCTATCAAAAAGTGGACAAAGGATATGAACAGACACTTCTCAAAAGAAGAGACTTATGCAACCAAAAGACACATGAAAAAATGCTCATCATCACTGGCCATCAGAGAAATGCAAATCAAAACCACAGTCAGATACCATCTCACACCAGTTACAATGGCGATCATTAAAAAGTCAGGAAACAACAGGTGCTGGAGAGGGTGTGGAGAAATAGG
This sequence comes from Homo sapiens, assembly GCF_000001405.40. Classification (NCBI taxonomy): domain Eukaryota; kingdom Metazoa; phylum Chordata; class Mammalia; order Primates; family Hominidae; genus Homo; species Homo sapiens. Next base: position 64,508,088 of record NC_000023.11, read on the forward strand.
AACACTTTTACACTGTTGGTGGGACTGTAATCTAGTTCAACCATTGTGGGAGACAGTGTGGCGATTCCTCAAGGATCTGAAACTAGAAACACCCTTTGACCCAGCCATCCCATTACTGGGTATATACCCAAAGGATTATAAATCATGCTGCTGTAAAGACACATACATACGTAGGTTTATTGCGGCACTTTTCACAATAGCAAAGACTTGGAACCAACCCAAGTGGCCATCAGTGATAGAGTGGATTAAGAAAATGTGGCACATATACACCATGGAATACTATGCAGCCATAAAAAAGGATGAGTTTATGTCCTTTGTAGGGACATGGATGAAGCTGGAAACCATCATTCTCAGCAAACTATTGCAAGGACAGAAAACCAAATACCACATGTTCTCAATCATAGGTGGGAATTGAACAAAGTGGGGGGAGGGGAGAGGGAAAGCATTAGGAGACATACCTAATGTAAATGATGAGTTAATGGGTACAGTACACCAACATGGCACATGTATACATATGTAACAAACCTGCACGTTGTGCACATGTACCCTAAAACTTAAAATACAATAAAAAAAACAAAGAAGAAAAAAGAGCACTTCTAACCAGATTTCAACATTTCAAATATTAAGTAAAGCCCTTCTTCGCCTGTGGTAACATGGCTTCAAAGTTCCACTGCTCTAAATGTCATCTTCCATTACGATCTGACCCTTTGTATAAAGGAGCAGAAACTATGAAAATACAGGGAAAGCAATTCAGTAGAGACATTCCCTGATATCTCTGCTTTGTTAGAGAGAGATCAAAAAGAGGCTAATTTTACTCTGACGAACAAGAAATGAAGTTGAGGCACTTTAAAATGCCTGAGTCCTGGCAACACAACAGATTAGAATGGTGCCTTTAAACTCAATCTCAGTTGCCTAGTTTTCTTTATTAGATTTTTTTTTTTTTTGAGACAGTGTCTCCTTCTGTTGCTTAGAATAGAGTGCAGTGGTGTGATCACAGCTCACTGCATCCTTGAATTCCTGGGCTCAAGCAATCCTTGCACCTCTGTCTCCCAAGTAGCTGGAACTACAGGGGCATGTCACCACACCCTGCTAATTTTTATTTATTTACTTATTTATTTTAGAGATGGAGTCTTGCCGTATTTCCCAGGCTGATCTTGAACTCCTGGCCTCAAGGAATCCTCCTGCTTCAGCCTCCCAAAGGGCTGGGATTACAGGCATGAACCACAGCATCTGGCAAGTTTTCTTTAGAACAGGTCATGTAAAGGCCTACAGGTGAGAGACGGTCCAAGAGGAGACATTAATACTGAGTCTGCCACAGGCCATTTATCCTGAGTTGAAGAATGCTCAGATCCCTAGACAATTCACACCATTTTAATCTTTTTCATTTTTTCCACATACATGGTAAATGGATCTCTTCTCTCTCATTCTCTGTCTCACTCTTTTGTTTTTTAAGCACCCAACATTAAAGACAGCTTAATTGAGATGAATCATGTGGGTGGGCAAGGAAGCAATGAAATAGACTATAACTTACTGAAGTCAGCCCATATGTGTCAATTTTGCAATAGACATACAATCTGATTACCCAAGCCTGAAGCATCTGCAAACTCAGTCAGTGCCAGATGTAGGGCTTCCTAGGTTCTTATATATGGGAGTTTCATAGCACCTAGGTACTTGATAAACAAAAGCAAAGCAACACTCTACACTTTCAAGACTTCTAGTAGTCCCACATCTGGTAAGATAATCAAAAGTATATCAAATGCGTGGAATATTTCCAGAATGTCCCCAGTGGTGTTGATGCTGTTGGTCCAGGGCCCACACTTTATAAACTACTGATGTAGACTAAGGCTTGTTCGAGTAGCTTCTCGACACTTATCTTCTCCCTATGACTGCAGTATAACCAGTCTAAGCTTCCCCCTTCATAGCTTCTTTCCTATGGAGCCCACTGATCCTACTGGGCTTACCACATTAGCTATATGGAAGTGAAAAATAGAGAGTTATCTAAATGAGAGTGCACCATGAAGATGCATATTATCAGTAAGAAAAGACGTATTAACATCTCTTACCCCTACTAATTGTACCTTTCTTTCTGTCCCCCACCCACAAACCCTTAGCAATTCCTCCACAGTAGTAGTAGTGATAGTGGAAATCTTGACCACTTTCTGTAGTTAGCATGTGTTACAGACAGTTCTCTACATTTTCTTCTTCCTCTAGCTAAATAAAATGAGCCTAACTGTAGGGCTTGTAGTCAACCAGGGTTGCTTTTGTCTTCTTCATGGGAAACAATCAGCAGAGTACCAGAAAAGTCCTGCTGTACCACCATTAAACCTATCTCTCTAGTTGTTGGCACTGTACCTGGGACCAATAAGATGATTAGATCATTAGATCAGCCCCTCAAGGTCTTCAATGAATGTCTCTCTGAAACTCTCCTTAGAGTCTACTTAAATGCATAAGGACATTGCTTCAATTAAGCTAATTCCAAAGCTATGCTACAAAAAATGCCAGGAAGTCATCTTCTTATTTTCCATCTTTAATTGTGCTCAATTATATTATACCAGATAATAGCATCAGTATAGTCCCAAGAATTCAGTTCCAGTAATACAAAATGTACCAATTTTCTACTTTTTCTTTTTTTTTTAATTATACTTTAAGTTTTAGGGTACACGTGCACAATGTGCAGGTTAGTTACATATGTATACATGTGCCATGTTGGTGTGATGCACCCATTAACTCGTCATTTAACATTAGGTGTATCTCTTAATGCTATCCCTCCCCACTACCCCCACCCCACAACAGACCCCGGTGTGTGATGTTCCCCTTCCTGTGTCCATGTGTTCTCGTTGTTCAATTCCCACCTACGAGTGAGAATATGTGGTGTTTGGCTTTTTGTCCTTGCAATAGTTTGATGAGAATGATGGTTTTCAGCTTCATCCATGTCCCTACAAAGGACATGAACTCATCATTTTTTATGGCTGCATAGTATTCCATGGTGTATATGTGCCACATTTTCTTAATCCAGTCTATCATTGTTGGACATTTGGCTTGGATCCAAGTCTTTGCTATTGTGAATAGTGCCACAATAAACATACGTGTGCATGTGTCTTTATAGCAGCATGATTTATAATCCTTTGGGTATATACCCAGTAATGGGATGGCTGGGTCAAATGGTAATTCTAGTTCTAGATCCTTGAGGAATCGCCACACTGTCTTCCACAATGGTTGAACTAGTTTACAGTCCTACCAACAGTGCGAAAGTGCTCCTATTTCTCCACATCCTCTCCAGCACCTGTTGTTTCCTGACTTTTTAATGATCATCATTCTAACTGGTGTGAGATGACATCTCATTCTGGTTTTGATTTGCATTTCCCTGATGGCCAGTGATGATGAGCATTTTTTCATGTGTCTGTTGGCTGCATAAATATCTTCTTTTGAGAAGTGTCTGTTCATATCCCTTACCCACTTTTTGATGAGGTTGTTTGTTTTTTTCTTGTAAATTTGTTGGAGTTCATTGTAGATTCTGGATATTAGCCCTTTGTCAGCTGAGGAGATTGCAAAAATTTTCTCCCATTCTGTAGGTTGCCTGTTCACTCTGATGGTAGTTTCTTTTGCTGTGCAGAAGCTCTTTAGTTTAATTAGATCCCATTTGTCAATTTTGGCTTTTGTTGCCATTGCTTTTGGTGTTTTAGACATGAAGTCCTTGCCCATGCCTATGTCCTGAATGGTATCGCCTAGGTTTTCTTTTAGGGTTTTTATGGTTTTAGATCTAACATTTAAGTCTTTAATCTAACTTGGATTAATTTTTGTATAAGGTGTAAGGAAGGGATCCAGTTTCAGCTTTCTACATATGGCTAGCCAATTTTCTCAGCACCATTTATTAAATAGGGAATCCTTTCCCCATTGCTTGTTTTTGTCAGGTTTGTCAAAGATGATATGGTTGTAGATATGCAGCATTATTTTGGAGGGCTCTGTTCTGTTCCATTTATCTATACCTCTGTTTTGGTAGCAGTACCATGCTGTTTTGGTTACTGTAGCCTTGTGGTATAGTTTGAAGTCAGGTAGCGTGATGCCTCCAGTTTTATTCTTTTGGCTTAGGATTGTCTTGGCAATGTGGGCTCTTTTTTGGTTCCATATGAACTTTAAAGTAGTTTTTTTCCAATTCTGTGAAGAAAGTCATTGATAGCTTGATGGGGATGGCATTGAATCTATAAATTACCTTGGGCAGTATGGCCATTTTCTTGATATTGATTCTTCCTACCCATGAGCGTGGAGTGCTCTTCCATTTGTATATATCCTCTTTTATTTCATTGAGCAGTGGTTTGTAGTTCTCCTTGAAGAGGTCTTTCACATCCCTTGTAAGTTGGATTCCTAGGTATTTTATTCCCTTTGAATAAATTGTGAATGGGAGTTCACTCATGATTTGGCTCTCTGTTTGTCTGTTATTGGTGTATACGAATGCTTGTGGTTTTTGCACATTGATTTTGTATCCTGAGACTTTGCTGAAGTTGCTTATAAGCTTAAGGAGATTTTGGGCTGAGACAATGGGGTTTTCTAGATATACAATCATGTCATCTGCAAACAGGGACAATTTGACTTCCTCTTTTCCTAATTGAATACCCTTGATTTCCTTCTCCTGCCTGATTGCCCTGGCCAGAACTTCCAACACTATGTTGAATAGGAGTGGTGAGAGAGGGCATCCCTGTCTTGTGCCAGATTTCAAAGGGAATGCTTCCAGTTTTTGCCCATTCAGTATGATATTGGCTGTGGGTTTGTCATAGATAGCTCTTATTATTTTGAGATATGTCCCAGCAATACCTAATTTATTGAGAGATTTAGTATGAAGAGTTGTTGAATTTTGTCAAAGGCCTTTTCTGCATCTATTGAGATAATCACGGAGCCAAGATGGCCAAATAGGAACAACTCCAGTCTACAGCTCCCAGCCTGAGTGACGGAGAAGATGGGTGATTTCTGCATTTCCAACTGAGGTAATGGGTTCATCTCACTGGGGAGTGTTGGAAAGTGGGTACGGGACAGTGGGTGCAGCACACTGAGCATGAGCCAAAGCAGAGTGAGGCATCGCCTCACCCTGGAAGCACAAGGGGTCAGGGAATTCCCTTACCTAGTCAAAGAAAGGGGGTGACAGATGGCACCTGGCAAATCGGGTAACTCCCACCCCAATACTGTGCTTTTCCAATGGTCTTAGCAAATGGCACACCAGGAGATTATATCCCATGCATGGCTCGGAGGGTCCTACTCCCAGGGAGCTCACTCATTTGTAGCACAGTAGTCTGAGATCAAACTGCAGGGTGGCAGTGAGGATTGGGGAGGAGAACCTGCCATTGCTGAGGCTTGAATAGGTAAGCAGAGTGGCCAGGAAGCTCGAACTGGGTGAAGTCCACCACAGCCCTAGGAGGCCTGACTGCCTCTGTAGACTCCACCTCTGGGGGCAGGGCATAGCCAAGCAAAAGGCTGCAGAATCCTCTGCAGACTTAATTGTCCCTGTCTGACAGCTTTGAAGAGAGTAGTGGTTCTGCCAGCATGCAGCTTGAGATCTGAGAACGGACAGACTGCCTCCTCAAGTGGGTCCCCGAACCCTGAATAGCCTAACTGGGAGGCACTCCCCAGTAGGGACAGACTGACACCTCACGTGGCTGGGTACTCCTCTGAGACAAAACTTCCAGAGGAACGATCAGGCAGCAACGTTTGCTGTTCACCAATATCCTCTGTTCTGCAGCCTCTGCTGCTGATACCCAGGCAAACAGGGTCTGGAGTGGACCTCCAGCAAACTCCAACAGACCTGCAGGGGAGGGTCCTGACCGTTAGAAGGAAAACTAACAAACAGAAAGGACATCCACACAAAAACCCCATCTGTATGTCACCATCATCAAAGACCAAAGGTAGACAAAATCACAAAGATGGGGAAAAAACAGCAGAAGATCTGGAAACTCTAAAAATCAGAACACATCTCCTCCTCCAAAGGAGCACAGCTCCTCACCAGCAACGGAACAAAGCTGAATGGAGAATGACTTTGACGAGTTGAGAGAAGAAGACTTCTCCCTTTACTACAACTTCTTTAACTTAGCAGTAAAAATGCTTCCTGTTACCACATTAGTCCTTTGTTATCAGAAAGAAATTTGACTTCCCAGATGTACAGCAGTAACTTTCCTTCCTAGTTTATTGTCATTATGCTTATTCTCAGACCTGCTGGATAAGAAATTCTGGGCCTAAATCCTTGCTTCTCAAAATGTTGTCTGTACAACAACAACATTGATATCACCTGACAACTTGTTAGAAATGCAGAATGTGAGGCCGTGCTCCATATTTACAGAATCAGAATTGTCATTTTGACAAAATTCCCAGAAAGTTCCTACAGATCATAAGAATTAAGGATCACTGGTTCTTAACATTGGCTGCTCCTAACCTGAGAAGCTTTGTAAAATCCCATTGCTCAGACCACAGCTCAGAGCAATTACAACACAATCTCTGAGCTTGGGATCCAGGCATTAGCATTTTCAAAATCTCCTCAGGCAATTTCAATGTGTAGTCAATGTTGAAAACTCTTGTTCTAGACCATAAGTTATGGAGCCAAAATTAGGTCCATGGGCTTATACTTGGTCTAGTTTCATTTATCATGGAAGAAAATCACACAAGTATTTGGCGCCAAAGTTTCTAGCTAGTAATAATATATATTTGCCTGGAGTGACTCTGCATATGGCCCACAAGGATATGCAGGAACCTCTGGCCAGTTTCAAGGACTTGGGATTCCAGTGAAATATCTCATTCTTTCTCTGAAGGCAATCTGGCTTATGATTTCTAAGATTCACATCTCTAAGACCTATTCTGGGAATAGGTCATCACGTTTGCCACAGTATCAGGTGGCCTGAACATAGTGCCAGCAGAGCAACATAAGTTTCTCCCCTTGGATGACACTCTCTGCTGCCTGGTGCTTGCTGGCAAAGGCTTGGTAATGGTATTTGTTTTGCCAGTCCTCCCAGCTAGCCTAAAGCTCTTGCTCTAGACCATAAGCTATGGAGGGGAAAGTATCTCTAAATTCTGGCTCCTCTAGATTCTGACTAGGTTGTAGAGTTATGATGGTGTGTTGCAAGAAAGAAGCAAGGTGGACACCAAAAATACTGTGGTGAAGGATGATCTGTTTAAAGTAATGACAACATTAGGGAATTAATGTGACAGGGACAAAAAATTAATATTTAAGTATTCACAGGCTTTTCTGTTCCTTCGTATTCTAACCCACAGGTTGGCAAACTACGGGTCTTGGGACAAATCTGAGTCCATGACTGTCTATGTATGGCTCTCAAGTTGAGAATGATTTCAATTTTTTTTTTTTAATTATACTTTAAGTTTTAGGGTACATGTGCACATAGTGCAGGTTAGTTACATATGTATACATGTGCCATGCTGGTGCGCTGCACCCACTAAATCGTCATCTAGCATTAGGTATATCTCCCAATGCTATCCCTCCCCCCTCCCCCCTCCCCACCACAGTCCCCAGAGTGTGATATTCCCCTTCCTGTGTCCATGTGATCTCATTGTTCAATTCCCACCTATGAGTGAGAATATGCGGTGTTTGGTTTTTTGTTCTTGGGATAGTTTACTGAGAATGATGGTTTCCAATTTCATCCATGTCCCTACAAAGGACATGAACTCATCATTTTTTATGGCTGCATAGTATTCCATGGTGTATATGTGCCACATTTTCTTAATCCAGTCTATCATTGTTGGACATTTGGGTTGATTCCAAGTCTTTGCTATTGTGAATCATGCCTCAATAAACATACGTGTGCATGTGTCTTTATAGCAGCATGATTTATAGTCCTTTGGGTATATACCCAGTAATGGGATGGCTGGGTCAAATGGTATTTCTAGTTCTAGATCCCTGAGAAATCGCCACACTGACTTCCACAATGGTTGAACTAGTTTACAGTCCCACCAACAGTGTAAAAGTGTTCCTATTTCTCCACATCCTCTCCAGCAACTATTGTTTCCTGACTTTTTAATGACTGCCATTCTAACTGGTGTGAGATGGTATCTCATTGTGGTTTTGATTTGCATTTCTCTGATGGCCACTGATGATGAGCATTTTTTCATGTGTTTTTTGGCTGCATAAATGTCTTCTTTTGAGAAGTGTCTGTTCATGCCCCTCGCCCACTTTTCGATGGGGTTGTTTGTTTTTTTCTTGTAAATTTGTTTGAGTTCATTGTAGATTCTGGATATTAGCCCTTTGTCAGATGAGTAGGTTGCGAAAATTTTCTCCCATGTTGTAGGTTGCCTGTTCACTCTGATGGTAGTTTCTTTTGCTATGCAGAAGCTCTTTAGTTTAATTAGATCCCATTTGTCAATTTTGGCTTTGGTTGCCATTGCTTTTGGTGTTTCGGACATGAAGTCCTTGCCCACGCCTATGTCCTGAATGGTAATGCCTAGGTTTTCTTCTAGGGTTTTTATGGTTTTAGGTCTATCATTTAAGTCTTTAATCGATGTTGAATTAATTTTTGTATAAGGTGTAAGGAAGGGATCCAGTTTCAGCTTTCTACATATGGCTAGCCAGTTTTCCCAGCACCATTTATTAAATAGGGAATCCTTTCCCCATTGCTTGTGTTTCTCAGGTTTGTCAAAGATCAGATAGTTGTAGATATGTGGCATTATTTCTGAGGGCTCTGTTCTGTTCCATTGATCTATATCTCTGTTTTGGTACCAGTACCATGCTGTTTTGGTTACTGTAGCCTTGTAGTATAGTTTGAAGTCAGGTAGTGTGATGCCTCCAGCTTTGTTCTTTTGGCTTAGGATTGACTTGGCGATGTGGGCTCTTTTTTGGTTCCATATGAACTTTAAAGTAGTTTTTTCCAATTCTGTGAAGAAAGTCATTGGTAGCTTGATGGGGATGGCATTGAATCTGTAAATTACCTTGGGCAGTATGGCCATTTTCACGATATTGATTCTTCCTACCCATGAGCATGGAATGTTCTTCCATTTGTTTGTATCCTCTTTTATTTCCTTGAGCAGTGGTTTGTAGTTCTCCTTCAAGAGGTCCTTCACATCCCTTGTAAGTTGGATTCCTAGGTATTTTATTCTCTTTGAAGCAATTGTGAATGGGAGTTCACTCATGATTTGGCTCTCTGTTTGTCTGTTGTTTGTGTATAGGAATGCTTGTGATTTTTGTACATTGATTTTGTATCCTGAGACTTTGCTGAAGTTGCTTATCAGCTTAAGGAGATTTTGGGCTGAGACGATGGGGTTTTCTAGATAAACAATCATGTCGTCTGCAAACAGGGACAATTTGACTTCCTCTTTTCCTAATTGAATACCCTTTATTTCCTTCTCCTGCCTAATTGCCCTGGTCAGAACTTCCAACACTATGTTGAATAGGAGTGGTGAGAGAGGGCATCCCTGTCTTGTGCCAGATTTCAAAGGGAATGCTTCCAGTTTTTGCCCATTCAGTATGATATTGACTGAGAACTTCCACAATCTAGCAAGGCAGGCTGACGTTCAGATTCAGGAAATACAGAGAACGCCACAAAGATACTCCTCGAGAAGAGCAACTCCAAGACACATAATTGTCAGATTCACCAAAGTTGAAATGAAGGAAAAAATGTTAAGGGCAGTCACAGACAAAGGTCGGGTTACCCTCAAAGGGAAGCCCATCAGACTAACAGCGGATCTCTTGGCAGAAACTCTACAAGTCAGAAGAGAGTGGGGGCCAATACTCAACATTCTTAAAGAAAAGAATTTTCAACCCAGAATTTCATATCCAGCCAAACTAAGCTTCATAAGTGAAGGAGAAATAAAATACTTTACAGACAAGCAAATGCTGAGAGATTTTGTCACCACCAGGACTGCCCTAAAAGAGCTCCTGAAGGAAGCACTAAACATGGAAAGGAACAACCGGTACCAGCCACTGCAAAATCATGCCAAAATGTAAAGACCATCGAGACTAGGAAGAAACTGCATCAACTAACGAGCAAAATAACCAGCTAACATCATAATGACAGGATCAAATTCACACATAACAATATTAACTTTAAATGTAAATGGACTAAATTCTCCAATTAAAAGACACAGACTGGCAAGTTGGATAAAGAGTCAAGACCCATCAGTGTGCTGTATTCAGGAAACCCATCTCATGTGCAGAGACACACATAGGCTCAAAATAAAAGGATGGAGGAAGATCTACCAAGCAAATGGAAAACAAAAAAAAGGCAGGGGTTGCAATCCTAGTCTCTGATAAAACAGACTTTAAACCAACAAAGATCAAAAGAGACAAAGAAGGCCATTACATAATGGTAAAGGGATCAATTCAACAAGAGGAGCTAACTATCCCAAATATATATGCACCCAATACAGGAGCGCCAAGATTCATAAAGCAAGTCCTGAGTGACCTACAAAGAGACTTAGACTCCCACACATTAATAATGGGAGACTTTAACACCCCACTGTCAACATTAGACAGATCAACGAGACAGAAAGTCAACAAGGTTACCCAGGAATTGAACTCAGCTCTGCAACAAGCGAACCTAATAGACATCTACAGAACTCTCCACCCCAAATCAACAGAATATACATTTTTTTCAGCACCACACCACACCTATTCAAAAATTGACCACATACTTGGAAGTAAAGCTCTCCTCAGCAAATGTAAAAGAACAGAAATTATAACAAACTGTCTCTCACACTACAGTGCAATCAAACTAGAACTCAGGATTAAGAATCTCACTCAAAGCCGCTCAACTACATGGAAACTGAACAACCTGCTCCTGAATGTCTACTGGGTACATACCGAAATGAAGGCAGAAATAAAGATGTTCTTTGAAACCAATGAGAACAAAGACACAACATACCAGAATCTCTGGGACACATTCAAAGCAGTGTGTAGAGGGAAATTTATAGCACTAAATGCCCACAAGAGAAAGCAGGAAAGATCCAAAATTGACACCCTAACATCACAATTAAAAGAACTAGAAAAGCAAGAGCAAACACATTCAAAAGCTAGCAGAAGGCAAGAAATAACTAAAATCAGAGCAGAACTGAAGGAAATAGAGACACAAAAAACCCTTCAAAAAATCAATGAATCCAGGAGCTGGGTTTTTGAAAGGATCAACAAAATTGATAGACCGCTAGCAAGACTAATAAAGAAAAAAAGAGAGAAGAATCAAATAGACACAATAAAAAATGATAAAGGGGATATCACCACCGATCCCACAGAAATACAAACTACCATCAGAGAATACTACAAACACCTCTATGCAAATAAACTAGAAAATCTAGAAGAAATGGATACATTCCTCGACACATCCACTCTCCCAAGACTAAACCAGGAAGAAGTTGAATCTCTGAATAGACCAATAACAGGAGCTGAAATTGTGGCAATAATCAATAGTTTACCAACCAAAAGGAGTCCAGGACCAGATGGATTCACAGCCGAATTCTACCAGAGGTACAAGGAGGAACTGATACCATTCCTTCTGAAACTATTCCAATCAATAGAAAAAGAGGGAATCCTCCCTAACTCATTTTATGAGGCCAGCATCATTCTGATACCAAAGCCGGACAGAGACACAACCAAAAAAGAGAATTTTAGACCAATATCCTTGATGAACATTGATGCAAAAATCCTCAATAAAATACTGGCAAACTGAATCCAGCGGCACATCAAAAAGCTTATCCACCATGATCAAGTGGGCTTCATCCCTGGGATGCAAGGCTGGTTCAATATACACAAATCAATAAATGTAATCCAGCATATAAACAGAGCCAAAGACAAAAACCACATGATTATCTCAATAGATGCAGAAAAAGCCTTTGACAAAATTCAACAACCCTTCATGCTAAAAACTCTCAATAAATTAGGTACTGATGGGATGTATTTCAAAATAATAAGAGCTGTCTATGACAAACCCACAGCCAATATCATACTGAATGATTTTAATTTTTTTAATGGCTGGAAAAACGTCAAAAGAAGCATATTTTGTGACATGTGAAAATTATTCCATGACTGCTTTTAAGCTTCAACAGTAGAATTAAATAGTTGTGACAGAGACTATATGACTCACAAAGCCTAACATATTTACTATTTGGCCCTTTAGAGAAAAAGTTTGCCACCCCTTGCCAGTGCTTCTCAAACTTTTAATATGCACTGGAATCAAATCATCTGGGGATCTTGTGGAAAAGCAGGTTTTGAGTCAATAGGTCCTGGGGGGAAGGGGTTGAAATTCTTCATTTTTAACAAGCTCCCAGCAAAAGGTCCATGGGCCACATGTGTATCAAGGGGGTAGAAAGATTGTTTGTTCATTTGTGTTGCTCAGCTCCCAAGGTTTTATTGTGCTGATCAAGTTAATGAGTGATTATCCCAGGGGTGAAAAATAGGTAGTCAGAAAGCCAAATTCATTTCATAGGTGTTTTTACGGTGTTTTAGAGATCCCTGGCTTCCCATGAAAAACTGAAAGATCATGGGCCCAATTTTCAAATGGCAACAATTGTCTGGGCTGAATATAGGCTGCCCCCTTCAGACAAGACATGCACTGTCTAATTTTCCACAGTCTTCACCATTCCCTCCAGTATTACCCTTGGCCTATTTTACCTTCAGGTTACCTGCCTGGCCCACGTAGTTACTGGAGCTTGCTATTCCTATGGAAGAGACTTCTATGTGTCATCCAATATTTATTATCCCGCTTTCTCCTTATTAATGGAATCACTTAGTTTTAGTTTGCACATAGTTGATCCAGCCACTCCCAACCTCTCTGTAGCTAAATGTGGCTACACAACTAAATTATAGCCAAGGGGATATGAGTAAAAGTGATGGGTATAACTTCTATGATGCATTTTTAAAAGGATGAATATGCCCACTCCTTATACTTTCCCTCTTCCTAATGTCTGTGATATGGTTAGGCTTTGTGTCCCCACTCAAATCCCATCTTGAATTGTAATCCCCAGGTGTTGAGAAAGAGACCCGGTGGGAGATGGTTGGGTCATGGTAGCGGTTTCCCCCATGCAGTTCTCATGATAGCGAGTGAGTTATCTCAAGATCTGATGGTTTTATAAGGGGCTTTTCCCCTTCCCCCTTCGCTCCTCACATTTCTCTCCTGCCACCATGTAAGGAAGCTCCTTGCTTCTTCTTTGCCTTCCACCATGATTGTAACTTTCCTGATGCCTCCCCAGCCATGTAGAATTGTGAGTCAATTAAACCTCTTTTCTTTATAAATTACCCAGTCTCGGGTATTTATAGCAGTGTGAACATGGACTAATACAGTCTGGAAAGCTGATGTGTAAGATGTGTAAGCAGGAGCTAGAGCAGCCTTCTTAAACCATGACGTGCGAAAGCATGTTGAAGACGATACAACAACATGATCTCCAATACCATGGGGCCAACACGTCAGCCCTGGACTACATTTTCTCAGAAATTTACATGAGATAAAACTTTCACTCATAAGCCACTATATTTTTTTTTTACAGTAGCTGAACTGGCACCCTAAGTTATATACAACTCCCAGACTACTCCAAAATGAAGTGTCAGTTGTGTCATGTATTCAATGGCTCCAGCAAGCTATCAGAGAATATAAACATATCAAAACATACTAAAATTAATTTCCAGAACAAATTGATCTACTGAAGCTGTTTATAATCTTATTTCACCCTCCAAATCTACATTGTTATCAGCTGTAGACCATGACAGATATGTAGTGTAACTTGGGAAATGAGGCAAGGAGGTAATCAGGAAAAAAAAAAAAAGAAAACAGAAAAAAGAAAAAGAAAATCACTAGAACTTCATGGTTTCTGCTTCTCTAAGTATATCAGGCCATCCAAGAGCACTGTCCAGAGGGTGTACATGTGATCTGCAAACTCAATTGGAAGAATTCTCCTAACAAAAGGTTAACTGTGGTATTAAGATTTCCACATCCTTGAGAGGTTAGAACCCTCCATGCATGTAGTTTTCCTTTTCTCTTGAAAAATAGTATCTGAAACATGTCTGTATTCTAACAAAACTTAGAAATTTGCTTTGCTGATCCTTCCATGTAGGCCTTCTCCACTTCTCCAAAGTGCCCCCCTTTTTTTCAATACCTTTTAAAAGCTCTAAAACATTTTATTTTCCTAGTTTACAATATTTCAATATATTATTCTTCCATATTCTCTTCTTCCCATGTCCTGTCTCCTCACCCTAAAATGAGTGTGGACTGTCTATAGACAGGATCTACACATTTTCTTGTGAGCAAGCATCCTCACATTGATAATAGACAACTTTCTAGGCAAAATTTGATTTGAAGTGTTTGAAATCTGTCATCTGCTTAGGATTTCTGGAACACCTTTTCATGCAAGTCCAATTGAATTTGTCAGATATCAACTTGCCTCATAAGATGTTAACTAACAAGATTTGCTGTGTCTTGCTACAGCCTCTGTGACCTCCCACCTCCTTCCATTCATTTACCCCATTCTCTCTGAAACACATGCTTAATAGTTGGATCCTCCTTGAGGTCCAAGAGTCAAGGTAAATCTGAATCATAGAATTAAAAAAAACAGCATTGGCCTTACTTGGATAATAGAAGCAGGTAATTTTACATCTGAAACATAACAAAATGAGAATATATTGATCAAGTAAAAAAAGGGAAAACCTCCCATTGCAACATTTTAATTTTATAATCTTCTCCCAGTTCAGCACCTTCACAATGTTTTTCTCATGGCAAACAACAGGACTATTATGAGGAGTGAAAAAAAAAGGCATGCACTGACAGATCTTTGATCATCAGTGCAGATATGTTAGTTACAGATATCTGAACCAATAATCTTATCTTTATCTTGGGGACATTTGGCTTTTTCTGACATAATCAGCACCTGCCTATGCAATATATGCAGTTTCCAGATGGGCTTTCTCAAAAATGTGGCACCCAAGGAAACTACTTAGGCCAACCCACAAGAGTATTGTCTCTTCAAGTGTGGACTGTGGATCACCAGTACCAGAATCACCTATTGAATCAGAACCTTTGGGAAAATGGATCTGGGGAATCTGCATGTTTAACAAACTCCATTTGTTTTCTTATATAAAAATAATTTTTACCACATAAAAGTACATAGATATTAGAATATTAGAAACTCATATACTAACCACCCAGCTTAAGAAATAACTTCTTAATCCAGTCTATCATTGTTGGATATTTGGGTTGGTTCCAAGTCTTTGCTATTGTGAATAGTGCCACAATAAACATATGTGTGTATGTGTCTTTATAGCAGCATGATTTATAAACCTTTGGGTATATACCCAGTAATGGGATTGCTGGGTCAAATGGTATATCTAGTTCTAGATCCCTGAGGAATCGCCACACTGACTTCCACAAGGGTTGAACTAGTTTACAGTCCCACCAACAGTGTAAAAGTGTTCCTATTTCTCCACATCCTCTCAAGCACCTGTTGTTTCCTGACTTTTTAATGATCGCCATTCTAACTGGTGTGAGATGGTATCTCATTGTGGTTTTGATTTGCATTTCTCTGATGGCCAGTGATGATGAGCATTTTCTCATGTGTCTTTTGGCTGCATAAATGTCTTCTTTTGAGAAGTGTCTGTTCATATCTTTTGCCCACTTTTTGATGGGTTTTTTTTTTCTTGTAAATTTGTTTGAGTTCATTGTAGATTCTGGATATTGGCCCTTTGTCAGATGAGTAGATTGCAAAAATTTTCTCCCATTCTGTCGGAATACTATGCAGCCATAAAAAATGATGAGTTCATGTCCTTTGTAGGGACATGGATGAAGCTGGGAACCATCATTCTCAGCAAACTTTCACAAGGACAAAAAAACCAAACACCGCATGTTCTCACTCATAGGTGGGAATTGAACAATGTAAACACATGGACACAGGAAGGGGAACATCACACACTTGGGCCTGTTGTCGGGTGGGGGAAGGGGGGAGGGATAGCATTAGGAGATATACCTAATGTTAAATGACGATGAGTTAATGGGTGCAGCCCACCAACATTGCACATGTATACATATGTAACTAACCTGCATGTTGTGCACATGTACCCTAAAACTTAAAGTATAATACTAAAAAAAAGAAATAACTTCTGAGATAATCTTATATACATCACGGCCTGTGAATCAGTGAATTTGGGAAACATGAAAGCAAAGGATTTTGAGTCAAGAGAGTGCAGGTAACTATAAAATAGCCTGGATTAATGGGTGAGAACAAAATGACAGCAAGAATGTGGGGAAAAACAATAATAAATTTTCAAAGAAATACCATCAATCATCAAAGTATACTATGAACACCTCTATACACATAAACTACAAAATCAAGGAGAAATTGATAAATTCCTGGATACATACATACTCCTAAGACAAAAACAGGAAGAAACTGAATCCCTGAACAGAACAATAATGAGCTCTGAAATTGAGGCAGTAATAAATAGCTTACAAACCAAAAAAAATCCAAGACCAGACAGACTCACAGTTGAATTCTACCAGATTTACAAAAAAGAGCTGCTACCATTCCTACTGAAACTACTCCAAAAATTTGGAAGGAGAGACTTCTTCCTAACTCATTCTATGAGACCAGCATCATCCTGATACCTGGCAGAGATACAACAACAAAAACAAAAACTTCAGGCCAATATCCTTGATGAACATCAATGTAAAAATTCTCAAGAAAATACTGGCAAATCAAATCCAGCAGCACATCAAAAAGCTTATCCACCACAAGCAAGTAAACTTTCTCATGGTTATCAACCTTATGCAAGGTTGGTTAAACATACACAAATCAAGAAATGTGATTCATCACATAAACAGAACTAAAGACAAAAAGCACATGATTATCCCAATAGATGCAGAAAAGGCTTTCAATAAAAATTCAATGTCCATTCATGTTAAAAGAAAACTCTCAATAAACTAGGTGTTGAAGGAACATTCCTTAAAATAATAAGAGTTATATATGGCAAACCCACAGCCAACATAATACTGAAAGGGCAAAAGTTAAAAGCATTCCCCTTAAAAGTCCGTACAAGACAAAGATGATCTCTCTCACCACTCCTATTCAACATAGTATTTGAAGTCCTGGCCAGGGCAATCAGGCAAGAGAAAGAAATAAAGCCCATCCAAGTAGGAAGAGAGGAAGTCAAACTATCCCTATTTGCAGATGACATAATCCATAATCCTGTATCTACAAAACCCCATAGTCTCAGCTCAAAAGCTTGTTAAGCTGATAATCAACTTCAGCAGTCTCAGAAAACAAAATCAATGTGAAAAAATCACTAGTATTCCTATATACCAACAGCAGTCAAGCTGAGAACCAAACTAGGAATGAACTCCTATTCACAATTACCACAAAAATAATAAAATACCTGGGAATACAGCTAACTGGGGAGGTGAAAGAACTCTAAAAGGAGAACTACTCAAAGAAATCACTGCCCTAAGAAATTAGAGATCATACAAACAAATGGAAAAAAGCATTCCATGCTCGTGAATAGGAAGAATTAATATCGTTAAAATACCCATACTGCCCAAATCAGTTTACAGATTAAATGCTATTCCTGTTGAGCTACTATTAAGATTATTCAGAGAACTAGAAAAAAACTATTGTAAAATTCATATGGAACCAAGAAAGATCCTGAATAGCCAAGGCAATCCTAAGCAAAAAGAACAAAGCTGGAGGCATTTTGTTACCTGACTTCAAACTATACTACAGAGCTACAGAAACAAACAGAGCATGGTACAGGGGCAAAAACAGACATGTAGATTAGAGGAAGAGAATAGAGAGCCCAGAAGTAAGACCACACTCCAACAGCTATCTGATCTTTGACAAACCTGACAAAAACAAGCAATGTGGAAAGGATTACTTATTCAATAAATGGTGCTGAGATAACTGGTTAGCCATATGCAGAAGATTGAAACTGGACCCCTTTTTTATACCATATTCAAAAATTAACTCAAGACAGATTAAAGACTTAAATGTAAAACACCAAACCATAAAAACCCTAAAAGTCAACTTAGGTAATACCATTCAGCATATAGGCACAGGCAAAGATTTCATGACAAAGATGCCAAAATCAATTTCAACAAAAGCAAAAATTAACAAATGGGATCTAATTCAACTAAAGAGCTTCAACACAGCAAAAGATAGTATCAACAGAGTAAACAGATGACCTACAGAATGAGAGAAAATTTTTGCAAACTCTACATTTGACAAAGGTCCAATATCTAGCATCTATAAGGAACTTAAGCAAATTTACACACATAAAAAAGAAACCCAAACAACCCCATTAAAAAGTGGTCAGTGGACATGAACAGACACTTTTCAAAAGAAGACACACATGTGGCCACCAATCATATGAAAAAAGCTCAACACCCCTGATCATTAGAGAAATGCAACTCAAAACCACAATGAGATGCTATCTCACACTAGTCAGAACGGCTATTACTATAAAGGCAAAGCATAACAGATGCTGGTGAGGTTTTGGAGAAAAATGAATGCTTAAACCCTGTTGATGGGAGTGTAAATTAGTTCAACCATCGTGGAAGACAGTGTGGCGATTCCTCAAAGACCAAAGGCAGAAGTACCATTTGACCCAGCAATCCCATTACTGGGTATATACCAAACCAAAGGAATACAGATTGTTCTATTATGAAGATACATGCATGCCTATGTTCATTGCAGCACTGCTCACAATAGCAAAGATATAGAACCAACTTAAATGGCCACCAGTGATAGATTGAAATTGAAAATGTGGTACATATACACAATGGAATACTATGCAGCCATAAAAAAGAACAAGATTATGTCCTTTGCAGGGACATGTATGGAGCTGGAGGCCATTATCCTTAGTAACCTAATGCAGGAACAGAAAACCAAATACCACATTTCTCACTTATAAGTGGGAGCTAAATGATGAGAACACATGGACACAGAGGGAAACAACACACATTTGGCCTACTTGAGGGTGGAGGCTGAGATGAGAGAGAGGATCAGGGAAAATAACTAATGGGTATTATGCCTAACACTTGGGTGATGAAATAATCTGTACAACAAACCCTCATGCCAGAAGTTTACCTAAGTTAACAAACCTGCACATGAACATCTTAACTTAAAATAAAACTTAATAAGTAAATACAAAAGAGAAAGCTAAAAAATTAATGGGAGAGGAAATGCAGGGCATTGCTAAACTGAAGAATAAAGTAGGGGAAAGACCAGCCAAGGCCAAAACTCCAGCTCCTTAAGTGAGGATTTCCGATGATAAATTATTCCTGAATTAAACCTGAATTTTTTTTTTTAAGAGACAAGGCCTTGTTATGGTTCCCAGGCTAATCTTGAACTCCTAGCCTCAGGTGATTCTCCAGCCTTGGCCTTTCAAAGTGATCATTGATTTTTAAGCCTCCCTTACTAGTTGTAAATGGCTGTCTCCTTTAACCTCTCTTGCTGCCACGGTTCATCTTTTGAGGACCAGGACAAAATCTGCATTTGTGTAAGGTGGTTCTATTCCTTCTGGATATGATTTTTTCTCTCCAAAGCCAGGGAAGGTTTTCTCATCACTTGACTCATCCTAAAAGCTCTAGATCCTTTTTCTATTTCTGTACAAATGTGATTTCCAGAGCCAAGGCACAAGAGCTATGGTTGGTTAAAACTAACACTTTGGCCATTGGATTTGTAATTGGTTTAATTTCCACTTCACTTCAGCCCACAGGGATAACTCCTTCCTTATACACCTTATGCCTTGCTCCCTCTTTGTGGTATATATGTGTTTTGGCCATGGAAGAACCCAACTGATACCTCTCAGGCTCCTGACATATATGTTCAAGGCCAAGTATCTCCTCTTTATGTAAGAGGGCCAGGATAAAAAGGCAAAGAGAACATGGGGCAGTGGCCACGGGGTCATAGACTATTTTAGAAGTCTACACAGAGGAATGTCGCCAATTTTAATGTGAGCCAACCCTGGCCAAAGAAATAAATCCCTGGTACTGCCAGGAACAGATCCTGCCTGTTCCTGGCAGCTTCATAGATTCATTTTGTCCTTGCCCAGGTCTGACTATATTTTCCTGTGGGGTGGGACTTTAGGGAGCAGAGTTCTGATCTCCTCTGGTGTAGCAATAATACTAGCAATAATACTGACAATAATGATAATGATAAAGATTTCACAGCTTGATTAAAATGCTACTTCCTTTAGGAGGCAATCTGATTTCTCAACTAGAAATGAGCCTAGCTTGCTCTTTCTCCCACAGCATATATATTTGTCTTATTATACATGCCCCATCTCCTCTGTGTTAAAGTGATTCAGGTATCTGTTAACTTTCACTTGGTTCTGTGCTATTTGGAAACTAGGGTCATGTCTTTTTTATGCTTGTACTTACCACAGTGTCTATCATAGAGCTCTGCACATGGCTGGCCTTTAAACATTTTGCCATCCACATTGTTGTGAGCTCTTCAGCTCACCCTGCCAGTGTCCATGTTGACTAAAAAGTATTCAATATACTCAGTCAAGAAAAAGCTTTTCTGAAAACTTCATTGTGCCATGTATTTTAGCCTGTGGCCAGAGCATGTGAGCAGATAGAAAAGAAATAGAAATCGGAATGCCCTTCTTTCAAATCCAGAGATCCTTCTAGTCCATATGGAAGTACATCAATGAAAATCTACAGTAAACCCTGAAATTCCTCTTCACTGGAATCTTGGTACTATCCATGGAGGCAAAAAGAGGAATACATTACAACCTTGCTGAGACTATGGTGGGCTGAAGAGGGTAGTGGTGTAGCAGCCAACATATGTCTCTATTTTTCTTCCCAGACTTGCTGTAAGGGCCTTCCCGTTTGTGTTCTCACCTTTATCCTGCTGTCCTTTCCCTTCTTTTCCTACCTCACTATGCATTTGAGGTCAAACTTCTGCAATCTCAGGCAGCTCCAGGCCTTCCAGAAGTTAAGCTAGAAAGAGGTACACATTCCAGGTAGCAAGAACCATTGTACAAATGTTCAAGCCCACTAAGTGTGTTGGAAGCTTTCCTTTATCAAAAAATCTCCTACCTAGAACATACTGTTGTCCTGCATTTTCACCAGGAGCTCAAGGTTTATCTAGTGACTGCAGAGGAGACACATACATGGTTGAATCTCCAGGATTACTGGGTCCTGGCCCCAGAAAAGGTCAAGTGCAAAAATTTTTCATAAACTCAAATCCACCTAAAAGTCTTAAAGGCAAGGCCCAAACCCAGCTAAACATATTGCTCTTGTAAAGAACATAATCTAGGGCAGCAATCTCTAAACTTGCATCAGTCAAGTAAGCTCAATATGATGGAGGAGCTTCTTTGGTTGAAGACAAGGTAGGGCCTTTTCCTTTTCCCCCACAGTGGTCTCTAGTGAATCTCCACTGAATTCAGGAATAAAGCTCAGACTTCAGAAATCTTAGGGCCTTGGCAGTGAGGGCTATTGGGCCACTAGAGAAGTGATCATGAACTTTTTGCTTC
The DNA here is from genome assembly GCF_000001405.40 of Homo sapiens. Lineage (NCBI taxonomy): Eukaryota > Metazoa > Chordata > Mammalia > Primates > Hominidae > Homo > Homo sapiens. The sequence continues at coordinate 64,529,515 of NC_000023.11, forward strand.
TCTATCTACACTCACTTCCTAGGTTATGATTTTAAATACCACCTGTACACTGATGAACTTCAAATGTACATATTGAACCCTGATGACTTTCCTGAAATTGAGAGTCATATGTCCAATTGCCTACTCAATATCTCTATGTAAATATCTAATGCTTATCCCAAACTTAACATATACAAAACTGATCTCTTGTTCTTTCTCTTAATCCTTGTCCCTCACTCTTCATTTTATTAAATGGCAACATCATCCTTCCAATTTCTCAGACAAAATACCTTTGAGTCATTTTTTACTCCTCTCATTCACACAGTATCATCAAGAAACTGTATAGGCTCCACTTTGAAATATATCAAGAGATATATAAATACATTTTATAAAATCCAACTCCCTCTCATAATAAAAACACTCACACATTATAGATAGAAGGGAATTTTCTCTACCTGTGAGAAGACATCTATATAACCTGACAGCTAACATCATACTTAATGGTGAAAGACTGAATGCAAACATCAGGAACAAGACAGAGATGTCTGTTCTCACCATTGCTGTTTATTGTAGTGGGGATTCTAGCCAGGGCAATTAGGGAAGCAAATGAAACAAAACACATCCAGATTGGAAAGGAAAAAGAAAAACTACTCTATTCACAGATACATGCATGGATGTGGTGAAAAAGAAACATTTTTACATTACTGGTGGGAATGTAAACTAGTACAATCACTATGGGAAACAGTATGGAGATGATTTAAGAAACTAAAAGTAGAACTACCATTTGATCCAGCAATCCCACCACTGGGTATCTACCCAGAGTAAAAGAAGTTATTATATGAAAAAGACACTTGCACGCACATATTTATAGCAGAACAATTTGCAATTGAAAAAATATGGAACCAGCACGAGTGCCCAACAACCAATGAAAGACCATTATTCTTTGTGAAGTAACTCGGGAATGGAAAACCAAACATCATGTGTTCTCACTCATAAGTGAGAGCTAAGCTATGAGGATGCAAAGGGTGAAGAATGATACAATGAACTCTGGGGACTTGAGGGGGAAGGGTGGAAGGGAGATGATGGATAGTTTTAAGGAACTAAAAGTAGAACTACATTGGTGCAGTGTACACTGCATGGGTGGTGGGTGCACTGAAATCTCAGAAATCACAACTAAATAACTTATCCATGTAACCAAATACTACTTGTTACCCTAAAACCATTGAAATAAAAAAATAAGGAAAGTCTCAAATCAGTAACCTAAGTTTCTACCTTAAAAAACCAGAATAGAGTAGAAATTAATAAAATGGAGAAGAGAAAAGCAATACAGAAAATCAACAAGGCCAAAGTTTGGTTATTTGAAAAAATAAAATTGACAAATCTTTACTTAGACTGATGTGTGTGTGTGTATGTGTGTGTGTGAGAGAGAGAGAGAGAGAGAGAGAGAGAAAGAGAGAGGAGAGAATAGACATGAGAAAGACTCAAATTACTAAAATCAGAAATAAAACAAATCAGTACTCCATTCCTTTCATGGCTAAATAATATTACATTGTGTAGTTATACAAACACTTTAACACATTTTGTTGTCAATTCACCAGTTTAGGGACATTGGGTTGTTTTCACCTTTTGGCTACTATTAATGCTGATATGAACATTCATATATAAGCTTTTGTGTAGACATATGTTTTCCTTTTTCTGGGGTATATATATAGGAGTGGAGTTGATGGATCAAATAATAACTTTATATTTAACTTTTTGAAAATTGTCATATTGTTTTCCACCAGCAAAAGTAGCTCAGTGACAAAATATGAACACTCCAATTTCTCTACATCCTCTCCAACACTTACTGCTATTGTGTGACTTTTTGTTATTACAGCCATACTAATATGCATGAAGTGGTATCTCATTGCAGTTTTGATTTGCATTTTCCTAGTTACTGACAAGCTTGAGTGTTTGTTCTTATTTATTGACTATTTGTATATCTTCCTTGGAGAAGTGACTATTCAAATCATCTGCTCATTTTAAAATTTAATTATTTGTTGCTACAGTCCAAATGTTTGTGTCCTCCCCAAATTCATATATTGAAATCCCAACCTCCAAGGTGATAATATTAGGAGGTGAGGCCTTTTTGTGACGATTAGGTCAGAAGGGTGGAGTCTTCATGACTGGTATTAGTGCCCTTATAAAGAGACCCCAGAGAGGTAGTAAGTCCATTCTACCATGTGAGGACACAACTAGAAGCTGGCATCTATGAACCCCAAAGTAGACCCTCATAAGACACTGGATCTGCTGACATCTTGATCTTGGGCTTCCTAGCCAAGAAATAAATACATTTTTGTTGTTTCTAAGCTACATAGCTTAGGGTATTTTGTTGTTGCAGCCCAAAGAGACTGAGACATTTTCTTTTTTATTGTTGAGCTGAAAATATTCCTTATATATCCTGGAAACAAGTTCCCTATCAGATGCATTATTTGGTAAAATTATCTCCCATTTTGTGGCTTGTCTTTTCTTTTTCTTGGAATGCCATTTGATGCACAAAAGTTTACAGTCTTGGTAAAGGCCTATTTATCTATTTTTTGTCTGATGTTGCTTGTGCTTATGGTATCATATATAAGGATTTTTTTTCTAATCTAAGATTTCAATGATTTATGTTTTTTTTTCTAAGAGTTTTATGGTGTTAGCACTTACATTTAGGTCTGTGATTCATTTTGAGTTAATTTTCCTGTGTGGTGTGAGGTATTTTTTCAACTCCATTCTTTTAGATATGGGTATCTAATTGTCTCAACACAATTTGTTGCAAAGATTTCTTTCTCCATTTAATGTCTTGATATCCTTTCAAAAAGAAATTGAAGACAATTGTATGGGTTTAACTCTCTTTTCTGTTCCATCAATCTATATGTCTTTATTTATGCCAGTACAACACCGTTTTCATTACTACAGCTTTGTGGTAAGTTTTGAAATCAGGACACATAAGCCTTTACAGTTTGCTCCTCTTTTTAAATATTATTTTGGCTATTGTGGGTCCCTTGCATTTCCATATGAATTTTAGGATTAGCTTGTCACTTCTAAAAAGAAGGGCTTAGGTGTTATTCTTAGCTCTCTTTTCTTTTGGCTTTATATCTCTTTATTAGCTAGGGATCTCCAGGTAAACAGAACGAATAAGAGGGAGAGAGAGAGAGAGAGAGAGAGAGAGAGAGAGAGAGAGATTCATCTAGATAATAGATAAATAGATTTATTATAAGGAATTGGCTCATATGATTATGGAGGCTAGCAAGTCCAAAATATGTATTGTGGGCTGGCAGGTCCAAGACCCAGGAAAGTTTATAGTGCAGTTTCAGTCCAAAGACTGGGCAGCCAGGAAACCCAAGAAGGCTGATGGTGCAGATGAATTCTAATGGCATTATTCTGGGGAATTTTCTTTTGCTTAGGGAGGCTGGTCTTTTATTCTATTTAGGCTTTCAACTACTTGTGTAAGGTCCATTCACATAGACAGCAACCTGCTTTAGTCAAGGTTCAATGATTTAAATGTCAGCCTCATCCAAAAATACCTTCAGAGTTGACGCATAAAATTAACCATCATGACCTCCTCCCCAGCATTTAAAACTTTTGCCATAAATTACTTATGATTTACAAGCCTCTATCTTCTGCTAAATAGTTCTCTTGAGAAATTTATTTATATACACACACAAACACCTACTTCCATATATCCATTTACCTAGTTCACATCTTCATCTGAATATCCATCGAGCCCCTCAAACCAGGTTTGTTCAAAACTAAATTCATCTTCTCTCCCTCCCTCACCGAGGAAGCAAACAAACCTGCTACTCATCCTCACCATTCACCCACTCAATTGAGTCAGAAACTTGGGAATCTCTCATTCCTGTCACTCATCATCCAACCCAGTGACATCCTAACTATTCCTCCCCTGTATCTCTCCTATTACCTCTTTCTTTTCATTGCACCATCTCATTGTTGCTGCCACTTCCTTGCTGCAAGCCCTTATCCTCTACTACCTTGGCAAGAGCCTACTAACTGTTCTCCCTTTTCTAGCCTCACTTTCTACGTAACCAACCTACATGTTGATTCCAAAGTAGCCTGTTTAAAATTGGCATCTGTTTAAATCTCTTCTTGCTTAAAACCTTCTGATGGCCACTTAACACCTAAGGTACATCGAACCCACATGATGCAGCTATCAAGTTATTTCAAGATATGGATCTTGCCTGCCTCTCCAACCTCATCTCTATCTAGACCTCCTTGGCACTCCCTCACATTTTATGCTCCAGCAATACCAAATTGGATACTATTTCCAAAATATACCACATCATTTCTCACCTTTGCACACACTACTGCCTCCATATAAACTTTTGCTCCCACCCCCTTAATCCTCTGGAAAACTTGAATGCATTGCTCAATATCCTGCTGCCATGGTTTCTCCACAATGATGCTTCCCATGACACCCAGAGTTATAGACAATCATCAATTTCTCCATGTTACTGTCATAAAATATACCTGATTACATTTTTGCTCTTTTCATAATGTCTTGGCTTTAGATTTATTACACGTCCCTCCTATTAGTCAAAAAACAGGAAACTATGTCATATTCAGCACTGATCTCCAATGCCTTGCTAAGGGCTTAGCTCATACAGGACTCAGTAAATATTTGAGATGGAGTTATTGTTGAATACATATTCAAGCAACTGATTGAAATGAAAATGGTTTCACTTGATACTTATATGCTGTTGGCTCCCAGATCTTTGTTGCCAGTCCTTTCCTGAATTCTAGACCTATGTGCAGCTGTTACCTAAACATTTCCACTTGGATACAATAACTTCCACTCAACCTATTCAAACTTACCTCATCAAACCTGCTCCTTCAACTTATGTAGGTAAATGGCATCACCTAGAAACACAAGTTCAGAATCTGAAACTTATTTTAAACTTTCCACAACCCTGCCCTTCAGCTTCTGTCACCTCCCCTCCAATCTGTCACAAGGTCCCCCTGATTCCAATTCCATAACTTCTCTTATATGTGTTCCCCCATCCCCTGTCTGACCTAGTGGGAGCATTTAATATGGCAGTCTACATCAAGGTATGGGTTTCTAGGAATTGTGTGGAACCAGAAGAGCTGTGAAGCTCAAATAATATAGTAAGTGAGAAAGGCCCAAGAACACTCTAACATGTTTCTAATTCCTATTTTGATATGACTGTGAGCAGCTCCTCCTCTCTTCATCACTTATCAGAAATCATCACTTTGCCAATGCCACATATCAGCCAGAGAAAATGACTGAATCCCTTTTGCACGGGCTGGAGCAGACCAGGCAGAAATGCTGGCCTTATCATCTGACACCAAGGTATGGCCCTGAGAGTTGAGGTTAGATAAGACAGCTTTGTTCACAAAACAAAAATATTTTGTGTGACTAATAAGCCCTCAGAGAGACAGGATAGAACAGCGATTAAGAGTAAACTGCTAGGTTTGACTTACGCTACTGTGGTATGTGACCTTGGAAAAGGAACGTAGTCTTTTCTCTTTGTATAATGATAGTACCTACAGGATAATTATAGTACCTACAGATTATGAGGTTGTTGTGAAAATTAAAAGAATCATTACATAGAAGGCTCACTGAATCATACTTGACACATTGTAAACACAATATAAATATCTGTTATATATTATCATTATTTTATGGGCCAGGCCCTGTGTTCCTTGCAACATTGTTGCTCCTATAGCTTGAGACAAATAAAATGCATAAATTGAAAGCACATTCTATGTGGAGAAGAGACAAGGCCTGTGTTGGAGTTGTAGTATCATGTGTCAGGTCCAAAGATCAAAGGGAAAGCCAAAGACAAGAGAGGGTGAAAGAGACAAAGACCAAAGATAAAACCAGAGGTGGAAAGCAAGGCAAGTAGAGAGACTATATGGGTCAGGAGATGGGGCAGAAGACACCAACTAGCAGCGGGGTCAGAGCCTAGGAACCGCATCAGACTAGATGAACTGTTTTACTGAAGCAGCAGAAAGTGGTATAATCAGAAGAGCAGTGTAGGGGAATAGAACCTGGATGGAGCTGGGAGAACCTTCCCAAGTGTCAAGGATGAAGAAAGATGAAGAGCTGTGTAAAGGTGTCAAAATCTGCGAAGATCAGGGCATGAGAAGTAGGATGAAGGCATTTGTGTATTTTGGGGTTGAGGGAAGGGTCTGCCAGGGTCTTAGGGCCAGGCCGCATGTGGGGTACAGGCTGGGGTCTAAGCAGGTGGGCTCTGATAAGGAGCAGTAACAGTGATCATGGTAATATTAGCCAATAACTAAGTCTACTAATCACTTGGTATGGGAGCTAAACCCACTCAACAATTATTATGGGCTGGAGAAAGTGGACATGATGGTTGAGCCAGACTGGGGGAGAGGAAGCTGGAAGGACACAAGGCTGGGCCATGAGCTCTGAGATTTTGACTGGGCCTAGGAAAAATTCCTTGACATTGGTCTGAGACAAGACATGCAGTCAGGGTAGGAAGAGATCCAGAAGGAGGCACCTACCTGCACTGATTGTCTAGGGACCCATGCTCTTTGACAGAAGTGATATCAATCAGAAAGGGCCCTGCTTGTTCCCATGGGCAGGCTGGCACTTCCCCAGAGAAAGACCAGGAGTTGAGGTTGTGGTGATGCTATCAGTAAAGAACTGACTGGAAATGAGAAACAGGAAGGCAGGTATCTACATGGACAAATTCAGAGAGGTATATACACATAGAAACAGTGTGTTGGAGAGGAAAAGATCACTTGACCTGTAATATGTCATGCCTGTGGTGGAATATAAGGCTCTGTGACCTTAGGCAAGTTGTTTAGCCTTTCTGGGCTTCTGTTCCTTTCTTGTCATACAGGAGCCAAGAGTCATGCTTCTCTCATGAGCCTCTTGTGAAGGTGAAATGATATGGTGCCTGTGAAGCACATAGCATGGCATCTGATGTAGAGTGAATGTAAGATGAATACTAGTTATCATTATCATCAGTATTATTACTATACTCTCAAACAGAGGGCATCAGGACTATGCTCCCACAAGTTCCATTCTAGAGGAAAATAAAATCAGACCTGGGCAAGGACAAAATGAAATCTTTGAAGCTGCCAGGAGCAAACAGAAATCCGTTCCTGGCAGGACCAGGGATTTATTTATTTTACCAGGGATGGCTCACATTAAAATTGTCCTCATTTCTGTGTGTGGACTTCTGTGCAGTCTATAGCCCTCTGATCTACTGGCTGAGCTATTGAATGGCGCACCTTTGGGTGGACTTCCAAAAGAGCCTATAACCCCATGGCCACTGTTCCGCATTATCTCTGCCTCTTTATCCTGATCTTCTTGGGTTCTGGGGAAAAGAGGAAGTACTTGGCCTTGATCATGTATGTCAGCAGCCTGAAAGGAATGGATGGGGTTCTCCCATGACTAACATACACACACACACACCCTAAACAGACAAAGAGAGAGCAGAGCCTGAGCTCTATAGGGTATGAGTCATCTCCATGGGCTGAAATGGAGTGGAAATTAAACTGACTACAAATTCAATGGCCAAAGAACTATTTTTATCTATACCTGTTTTATCTATACAACAGAGCCTATACCTGTTGTATCTTGGCTCTGGAAACTACATTTGTACAGAAATAGAGGAAGAATCTGGAGCTTTTAGGATGGGTAAAATGATGAAAAGACTTACTCAGGTTTTAGAGAGAGAGAAAAAAATAATGTCCAGAAGGATAAGACCACCTTATGCAAATGTAGATTTTGATCTTGTCCTCAAAAGATGAACTGTGACAAAGAGACAAAGAGGTTAAAAGGGGCAGCCATTTAGAACTAGTGAGGGAAGCTTAAAAATCAGTCAGAATTCGAGGATGATTCATGTGGGATCTCCACTTAAGGGACTGGTGGTTTGAAGCCAAATATGCCTTAGCTGGTCTTCCCCTTCCCCGCTTTGTCCTTTTGTATATATACACACACAGAAGATACAAAAATCATTCATATTTTTATATATATATATATACATACATATATAAAAATGATTTTCAAAGAAATAATATAATAATGGAAATTAAAAAGAAAATTCAATGGACATATACAAAAGAAATGAACCACTGAACAGATTTGAAGAAATAGCCTAGGATACAACATAGATAGCACAGAGATGGAAAATATAAATGAGAGACAAAGAAAGTAGAGTGAGATGTTGTAATATACATCTAATTGGATTTCCATAAAAAGACAATAGAAATATTTTTTGAATTGAGGAAATGCAGCTGTAGTTGAATTCAGATAGCCTAATTGATCCTAAGCAAACATTCTAAGATGTCTCACCCTAGAACCATTATGGTGAAACTGTAGAACCCCAAAGACAAAGAAAAAAAAATCATTAAAAAGAACCAAAAAAGATGGATTACTTACTCAGGAATAATAATTAGATTGACAATTTACTTCTCATAACAATGAAAATGAGAAAAAATAAATTTATATTACCAATGTGTTGAAAAAGAATAATTGTCAATTAGGAATTCTATACCTGGTAAACTGTCTTTAAAGAATGAAGGAAAAATAAAGCCATTTTTAACCAAACCAAACCAAGCCAAAAAGAAAACTGAGATGGTCTGTCATAAAGAGACTTTTGCTACAGGAAATTCTAAAGGATACATTTGAGTCAGAAAGATACCCCAGATGGAAAGCCTGAGATGCAAGAAAGAAGGATGGGTAAAATAAGAATGTAAATATGTGAGCAGATGTTTAACTACTGACTGAATGAAATATTGATAATAATGTCTAATTTGTGGGGTTAAAAAAGATAACTAAAATACTAAGAAGAAAAGCATATATATTGGTATGCAGTAAATAGAGCTAAGATTTTCTGTGGCTTCTGTATTTTTCTGGATGAGTATATGAATGTTTTTATTATTATTATTATTATTATTATTATTATTATACTTTAAGTTTTAGGGTACATGTGCACAATGTGCAGGTTAGTTACATATGTATACATGTGCCATGTTGGTGTACTGCACCCATTAACTCATCATTTAGCGTTAGGTATATCTCCTAATGTTATCCCTCCCCCCTTCCCCCACCCCACAACAGTCCCCAGAGTGTGATGTTCCCCTTCCTGTGTCCATGTGTTCTCATTGTTCAATTCCCACCTATAAGTGAGAACATGCGGTGTTTGGTTTTTTGTACTTGCGACAGTTTACTGAGAATGATGATTTCCAGTTTCATCCATGTCCCTACAAAGGACATGAACTCAACATTTTTTATGGCTGCATAGTATTCCATGGTGTATATGTGCCACATTTTCTTAATCCAGTCTATCGTATGGATATTTGGCTTGGTTCCAAGTCTTTGCTACTGTGAATAGTGCTGCAATAAACATATGTGTGCATGTGTCTTTATAGCAGCATGATTTACAGTCCTTTGGGTATATACCCAGTAATGAGATGGCTGGGTCAAATGGAATTTCTAGTTCTAGATCCCTGAGGAATCGCCACACTGACTTCCACAATGGTTGAACTAGTTTACAGTCCCACCAAATGTTGATTTTTTTTTAACTTTGTTAAGCATACATGTTAAATGTTCTAGATAAAGTGATTGCTAAAAGCAAAAACAAACAAACAAACAAACAAAAAAGAGTGTGCTTCCAAAGTAGTAAAGAGAAAAAAGAAAACGGGTAATATAAATGAAAAAGGAAAATTTTCTCCCATTTTTTAGGTTGCCTGTTCACTCTGATGGTAGTTTCTTTTGCTGTGCAGAAGCTCTTTAGTTTAATTAGATCCCATTTGTCAATTTTGGCTTTAAGAAAATTTTCAGAACCTACTCATCTGACAAAGGGCTAATATCCAGAATCTACAATGAACTCCAACAAATTTACAAGAAAAAAACAAACAACCCCATCAAAAAGTGGGCAAAGGACATGAATAGACATTTCTCAAAAGAAGACATTTATGCAGTCAAAAAACACATGAAAAAATGCTCACCATCACTGGCCATCAGAGAAATGCAAATCAAAACCACAATGAGATACCATCTCATACCAGTTAGAATGGCAATCATTAAAAGTCAGGAAACAACAGGTGCTGGAGAGGATGCGGAGAAATAGAAACACTTTTACGCTGTTGGTGGGACTGTAAACTAGTTCAACCATTGTGGAAGCCAGTGTGGTGATTCCTCAGGGATCTAGAACTAGAAATACCATTTGACCCAGCCATTCCATTACTGGGTACATACCCAAAGGACTATAAATCATGCTGCTATAAAGACACATGCACACGTATGTTTATTGCGGCACTATTCACAATAGCAAAGACTTGGAACCAACCCAAATGTCCAACACTGATAGACTGGATTAAGAAAATGTGGCACATATACACCATGGAATACTATGCAGCCATAAAAAATGATGAGATCATGTCCTTTGTAGGGACATGGATGAAATTGGAAATCATCATTCTCAGTAAACTATCGCAAGGGCAATAAACCAAACACAGCATGTTCTCACTCATAGGTGGGAATTGAACAATGAGAACACATGGACACAAGAAGGGGAACATCACACTCTGGGGACTGTTGTGGGGTGGAAGGAGGGGGGAGAGATAGCATTAAGAGATATACCTAATGTTAAATGACGAGTTAATGGGTGCAGCACACCAGCACGGCACATGTATACATTTGTAACTAACCTGCACATTGTGCACATGTACCCTAAAATTTAAAGTATAATAATAATAAAATAAAAAAAAGAAAAGGGAAAGGTAGAAAAAGTGGGTTAAAGAGAAATTCCAAAATAAGATGGTAAAAATAAATTCAAATATATCAGTAATAACAAGTGTACTAAATTATCCATGTAAAAGACAGTTTGTTCAAAATGGAAAAAATCTATCTATATTCTGTTACAAAGGACATATTTAAACATAGTAATATAGAGAGACTGGCTGTAGGAAAAACAGTGGAGAAAAAAGTACTAGGTAAATACTAACTGACAGAAAGCTGGTGTAGCTATATTAATGGCAAACCAAATAGACCAAGGCAAAAAGCATTACTAGAAATAAAGCCACTACATAATTGTAATAGATTTAATTTACTTTGAAGGTACAACAATTTTACATGTATCTAATAACACAGCTTTAAATATTTATATTAGAAAGTAAGGAAGGCTGAAAATTAAGATGTTGAGCATATCTTATTAAATCAAAAAAGACCAGTGGAATTAAAGCAAGGAAAATAAAAAGAATGAGTGGTGGCTCATGCCTGTAATCCCAGCATATTGGAAGGCTTAGGCGGGCAGATTGCTTCAGCCCAGAAGTCTGAGACCAGCCTGGGGAACATGGCAAAACTCTGTCTCTACAAAAAATACGAAAATCAGCCAGGTGTGTTGGAGCCCAATTTAGTCTCAGCTACTTGGGAGGCTGAGGTAGGAGGATTGCCTAAGCCCAGGGAGGTCAAGGCTGCAGTGAGCTGTGATTGTGCCACTGCACTCCAGCCTGGGCAAAAGAGTAAGACACTGTCTGAAAATAAATAAAAATTAAAGAAAGAAAGAAAGAAAGAAAGAAAGAAAGAAAGAAAGAAAGAAAGAAAAATGTCAGTAATCACAAGTGAAATAGAAAATAAATATATGTCAAAGAATATTAACTGAGCCAAAAGATGATGCGCTGAAAATGTTAGTAAACCCCTGGCAAGTATTCTCAATGAAAAAGCAAAACAACAACAATGACAACAAAACATGGCTTGGCAGGATGATGCATGCCTAAGATCTCAACATTCTGGGAGTTTGAGGTGGGAGGATTGCTTGAGCCCAGGAGTTAGATATCAGACTGGGCAACATGGAGAGATCCTGTCTCTACAAAAAGTTTAAAAATTGGCCTTGTGCGGTGGCTCATGCCTGTAATCCCAGCACTTTGGGAGGCCGAGGCAGGTGGATTACCTGAGGTCAGGAGTTCAAGTCAAGCCTGGCCAACATGGTGAAACCCCGTCTCTACTAAAAATACAAAAATTAGCCAGGCGTGGTGACAGACGCCTGTAATCCCAGGTACTCTGGAGGCTGAGGCAGTAGAATCACTTGAGCCCAGGAGGTGGAGGTTGCAGTGAGCCAAGATTGCGCCATTGCACTCCAGCCTGGGCGATGGAGCGAGACTCTGTCTCCAAAACAACAACAACAAAAAATTTAAAAAATTTAGCAGGTTGTGGCAGCACATGCTGATAGTACCAGCTGCTCGAGAGGCTGAGATGGGAGGATCAGTTTAGCCTGGGAGTTTGAGGATGCAGTGAGCCATGATCTCACTACTGCACTTCAGCCACTCCAGCCTGGGTGACAGAGCCAGACCCTGTCTTAAAAGAAAAAATAAAAAGAGCAGGAGAGAGAAAGCACAGTATTAAAAATAAGAAAAGGTACATGCCTACAAGGTCTGCAGAGGTTATAAAGATACTAAGAGGACACTATAAACAATATAAACATTTTTTTCTATAAAGACAGAACTTGCCAAAAGTGATTCAAAGAGAAATTAAAACCTTGACTAATTATTCAATAATTTTTAAAATGATCTGGTAGTGGAAAAAACATCCTTAATAGACATTAGGCAGAGATAGTTTAAAGGCAATTTGAAAAACTGGTAATTCCAACCTTATAAATACTCTTCTAGAATACAGGAAAAGAGGGAATAATTTCCAACTTTTTTTTTTTTTAAGAAAAGGCCTCGCTCTGTCACCTAGACTGGAGTGCAGTGGTGTGATCATGCTCTCTGTAGCCTAGTACTCCCAAGCTGAAGTGATCTTCCCACATCAACCTCCCAACTAGCTGGTACTTCAGGCACCTGCCACCACGCCTGGCTAATTTTTTTTATTTTTATTTTCTGTACAGACGAGGTTTCACCATGTTGCCTTGGCTGGTCTCAAACTCCTGGGCTCAATGGATCCTCCTGCCTTGGGCCTCCCAAAGTGCTGGGATTACAGGCATAAGCTATCATGCCTGGCTCCCAGCTGTTTTTATGAGACTAGCTTAAACTTGGTACAAAAACCAAACAATAACTAAATGACAAAGGAAAACCCACGGATCATTTAACTTTTGAATATGAATGCAACAATCCAGCAATATATGACAAAAGAAAAGATCAAAGTGGGTTTAGCCCAGGAATGCAGGAATAGTGTTACTTTGAAAAATCTGGTAATGTATTTCACATTAGCAGATCAAAGCCGAGGGATAAACTATGTGATCGCTCTAAGAGATACAGAGAAAGCATATAATAAAATTCAACATTCTTTCATGGTGACTAAAAAAAAAAAAAAAGTAGCAGGCCAGACTCAGTGGATCATGCCTGTAATCCTAGCATTTTGGGAGGTCAAGGTGGGCAGATCGCTTGAATTCAAGAGTTCAAGACCAGTCTGGGCAACATGGTGAAACGCTGTCTCTATAAAAAATACAAAAAATGTGGCCAGGTTTGGTGGTTGCATGTCTGTAGTCCCAGCTACTTGGGATGCTGAGGTGGGAGGATGGCTTGAGCTTGGGAGGCAGATGTTTCAGTGAGCTGAGATTGTGCCACTGTACTCCCACCTGGGAGCAAGACACAGTCAAAAAAAAAAAAAAAAAAAAAAACCTTAGCAAACTAGAAATAGAACGGAACTTCCTTGAGCTAATAGAGAATAACCATTAAAAAACCCTACAAGCAATATCATTACTTAATGGTGAAATATTTTTATTTCTATTTTTAATTAATTCATTAGACAGGGTCTTGCTCTGTTGCCCAGGATGGATTGCAGCAGTAAAGACAGCTCACTGCAGCATCAACCTCCTGGGGTGAAGTGATCCTCTGCCTCAGCCTCCCTCATAGCTGGAATCACAGGTATGCAACACACCCAGCTAATTCCTTTATTTTTTGTAGAGATGGGAGTGTCACATCATTGCCCAGGCTGGTCTCTTACTCCTGGGCTCAAGCAATCCTCCAGCCTTTGCCTCCCAAATAAACCGCCAAAAGGCCAATGGTGAAATCTTAAAAGTGTTCACATTACTATCAGAGAAAAGCAAGAAATAAACAAAACTGTTATTATAGACACAGAGATAAATGTCCATGTAGAAAATGCCCCAAATTATTGACAAATTATTATAATCAGTAAGTTATTTTGTAACAAGATGGAAGGGGGGAAAATTAATGCCTAAACTGTAACACACTTCTCAATCTCAGTGCAAAACTGAAAACATAATTTTTAAAAGATAATTTACAAATGTGGTAATAAATGCAAAGGTAGTAGGAATAAATTTAACAAAAGATGTATACGATGTTTGTGTATGGCATGAGAAAATTTTTTTTAATTTCTTTTTTTTAATTTTATTATTATTGTACTTTTAGTTTTAGGGTACATGTGCACAATGTGCAGGTTAGTTACATATGTATACATGTGCCATGCTGGTGTGATGCACCCATTAACTCGTCATTTAACATTAGGTATATCTCCTAATGCTATCCCTCCCCCCTCCTCCCACCCCACAACAGTCCCCAGAGTGTGATGTTCCCCTTCCTGTGTCCATGTGTTCTCATTGTTCAATTCCCACCTATGAGTGAGAACATGTGGTGTTTTTATTTGTCCTTGCAATAGTTTACTGAGAATGATGATTTCCAATTTCATCCATGTCCCTACAAAGGATATGAACTCATCATTTTTTATGGCTGCATAGTATTCCATGGTGTATATGTGCCACATTTTCTTAATCCAGTCTATCATTGTTGGACATTTGGCTTGGTTCCAAGTCTTTGCTATTGTGAATCATGCCGCAATAAACATACGTGTGCATGTGTCTTTATAGCAGCATGATTTATAGTCTTTTGGGTATATACCCAGTACTGGAATGGCTGGGTCAAATGGTATTTCTAGTTCTAGATCCCTGAGGAATCACCACATTGACTTCCACAACGGTTGAACTAGTTTACAGTCCCACCAACAGTGTAAAAGTGTTCCTATTTCTCCACATCCTCTCCAACACCTGCTGTTTCCTGACTTGTTAATGACTGCCATTCTAAATGGTGTGAGATGGTATCTCATTGAGGTTTTGATTTGCATTTCTCTGATGGCCAGTGAAGGTGAGCATTTTTTCATGTGTTTTTTGGCTGCATAAATGTCTTCTTTTGAGAAATGTCTGTTCATGTCTTTCGTCCACTTTTTCATGGGGTTGTTTGTTTTTTTCTTGTAAATTTGTTGGAGTTCATTGTAGATTCTGGATATTAGCCCTTTGTCAGATGTGTAGGTTGCAAAAATTTTCTCCCATTCTGTAGGTTGCCTGTACAATCTGATGGTAGTTTCTTTTGCTGTGCAGAAGCTCTTTAGTTAAATTAGATCCCATTTGTCAATTTTGGCTTTTGTTGCCATTGCTTTTGGTGTTTTAGACATGAAGTCCTTGCCCATGCCTATGTCCGGAATGGTAATGCCTAGGTTTTCTTCTAGGGTTTTTATGGTTTTAGGTCTATCATTTAAGTCTTTAATCGATGTTGAATTAATTTTTGTATAAGGTGTAAGGAAGGGATCCAGTTTCAGCTTTCTACATATGGCTAGCCAGTTTTCCCAGCACCATTTATTAAATAGGGAATCCTTTCCCCATTGCTTGTGTTTCTCAGGTTTGTCAAAGATCAGATAGTTGTAGATATGTGGCATTATTTCTGAGGACTCTGTTCTGTTCCATTTATCTATATCTCTGTTTTGGTACCAGTACCATGCTGTTTTGGTTACTGTAGCCTTGTAGTATAGTTTGAAGTCAGGTAACATGATGTCTCCAGCTTTGTTCCTTTGGCTTAGGATTGACTTGGCGATGCGGGCTCTTTTTTGGTTCCATATGAACTTTAAAGTAGTTTTTTCCAATTCTGTGAAGAAAGTCATTGGTAGCTTGATGGGGATGGCATTAAATCTATAAATTACCTTGAGTGGTATGGCCATTTTCACGATATTGATTCTTCCTACCCATGAGCATGGAATGTTCTTCCATTTGTATCCTCTTTTATTTCATTGAGCAGTGGTTTGTAGTTCTCCTTGAAGAGGTCTTTCACATCCCTTGTAAGTTGGATTCCTAGGTATTTTATTCTCTTCAAAGAGAATTAAATTGTGAATGGGAGTTCAGTCATGATTTGACTCTCTGTTTGTCTGTTATTGGTGTATAAAAATGTTTGTGATTTTTGCACATTGATTTTGTATCCTGAGACTTTGCTGAATTTGCTTATCAGCTTAAGGAGATTTTGGGCTGAAACAATGGGGTTTTCTAGATATACAATCATGTCATCTACAAACAGGGACAATTTGACTTCCTCTTTTCCTAATTGAATACCATTTATTTCCTTCTCCTGCCTGATTGCCCTGGCCAGAACTTCCAACACTATGTTGAATAGGAGTGGTGAGAGAGGGCATCCCTGTCTTGTGCCAGTTTTCAAAGGGAATGCTTCCAGTTGTTGCCCATTCACTATGATATTGGCTGTGGGTTTGTCATAGATAGCTCTTATTATTTTGAGATACGTCCTATCAGTACCTAATTTATTGAGAGTTTTTAGCATGAGGGGTTATTGAATTTTGTCAAAGGCCTTTTCTGCATCTATTGAGATAATCATGTGTTTTTTGTCTTTGGTTCTGTTTATATGCTGGATTAAAGTTATTGATTTGTGTATATTGAACCAGCCTTGCAACCCAGGGATGAAGCCCACTTGATCATGGTGGATAAGCTTTTTGATGTGCTGCTGGACTCAGTTTGCCAGTATTCTATTTAGGATTTTTGCATCAATGTTCATCAAGGATATTGGTCTAAAATTCTCTTTTTTGGTTGTGTCTCTGCCCGGCTTTGGGATCAGGATGATGCTGGCCTCATAAAATGAGTTAGGGAGGATTCCTTCTTTTTCTATTGATTGGAATAGTTTCAGAAGGAATGGTACAAGTTCCTCCTTGTACCTCTGGTAGAAGTCGGCTGTGAATGCATCTGGTCCTGGACTTTTTTGATTGGTAAGCTATTGATTATTGCCACAATTTCAGATCCTGTTATTGGTCTATTCAGAGATTCAACTTCTTCCTGGTTTAGTCTTGGGAGGGTGTATGTGTCGAGGAATTTATCCATTTCTTCTAGACTTTCTAGTTTATTTGCGTAGAGGTGTTTGTAGTATTCTCTGATGGTAGTTTGTATTTCTGTGGGATCAGTGGTGATATCCCCTTTATCATTTTTTATTGCATCTATTTGATTCTTCTCTCTTTTCTTCTTTATCAGTCTTGCGAGCAGTCTATCAATTTTGTTGATCCTTTCAAAAAACCAGCTCCTGGATTCTTTAATTTTTTGAAGGGTTTTTTTTTTTGTCTCTATTTCCTTCAGTTCTGCTCTGATTTTAGTTATTTCTTGCCTTCTGCTAGCTTTTGAATGTGCTTGCTCTTGCTTTTCTAGTTCTTTTAATTGTGATGTTAGGGTGTCAATTTTGGATCTTTTCTGCTTTCTCTTGTTGGCCTTTAGTGCTATTAATTTCCCTTGACACAATGCTTTGAATGTGTCCCAGAGATTCTGGTATGTTGTGCCTTTGTTCTCATTGGTTTCAAAGAACATCTTTATTTCTGCCTTCATTTTGTTATGTACCCAGTAGTCATTCAGGAGCAGGTTGTTCAGTTTCCATGTAGTTGAGCGGTTTTGAGTGAGATTCTTAATCCTGAGTTCTAGTTTGATTGCACTGTGGTCTGAGAGACAGTGTGTCATTATTTCTGTTCTTTTACATTTGCCGAGGAGTGCTTTACTTCCAACTCTGTGGTCAATTTTGGAATAGGTGTGGTGTGGTGCTGAAAATAATGTATATTCTGTTGTTTTGGGGTGGAGAGTTCTGTACATGTCTATTAGGTCCGCTAGGTGCAGACCTGAGTGCAATTCCTGGATATCCTTGTTTACTTTCTGTCTCGTTGATCTGTCCAGTGTTGATAGTGGGGTGTTAAAGTCTCCCATTTTTATTGTGTGGGAGTCTAAGTCTCTTTGTAGGTCACTCAGGACTTGCTTTATGAATCTGGGTGCTCCTGTATTGGGTGGATATATATTTAGGATAGTTCGCTCTTCTTGTTGAATTGATCCCTTTACCATTATGTAATGGCCTTCTTTGTCTCTTTTGATCTTTGTTGGTTTAAAGTCTGTTTTATCAGAGATTAGGATTGCAACCCCTGCCTTTTTTTGTTTTCCATGTGCTTGGTAGATCTTCCTCCATCCTTTTATTTTGAGCCTATGTGTGTCTCTGCACATGAGATGGGTTTCCTGAATACAGCACATTTATGGGTCTTGACTCTTTATCCAATTTGCCAGTCTGTGTCTTTTAATTGGAGCATTTAGTCCATTTACATTTAAAGTTAATATTGTTATGTGTGAATTTGATCCTGTCATTATGATGTTAGCTGGTTATTTTGTTCGTTAGTTGATGCAGTTTCTTCCTAGACTTGATGGTCTTTACAATTTGGCATGATTTTGCAGCGGCTGGTACTGTTTGTTCCTTTCCATGTTTAGTGCTTCCTTCGGGAGCTCTTTTAGGGTGGGCCTGGTGGTGACAAAATCTCTCAGCATTTACTTGTCTGTAAAGGATTTTATTTCTCCTTCACTTATGAAGCTTAGTTTGGCTGGATATGAAATTCTGGGTTGAAATTTCTTTTCTGGCTTGTAGAGTCTCTGCTGAGAGATCCACTGTTAGTCTGATGGGCTTCCCTTTGTGCGTAACCCGACTTTTCTCTCTGACTGCCCTTAACATTTTTTCCTTCATTTCAACTGTGGTGAATCTCACAATTATATGTCCTGGAGTTACTCTTCTTGAGGAGTATCTTTGTGGCATTCTCTGTATTTCCTGAATCTGAATGTTTGCCTGCCTTGCTAGATTGGGGAAGTTCTCCTGGATAATATCCTGCAGAGTGTTTTCCAACTTGCTTCCATTCTCCCCTTCACTTTCAGGTACACCAACCAGACATAGATTTGGTCTTTTCACAGAGTCCCATATTTCTTGGAGGCTTTGTTCATTTCTTTTTACTCTTTTTTCTCTAAACTTCCCTTCTCGTTTCGTTTCATTCATTTCATCTTCCATCACTGATACCTTTTCTTCCAGTTGATCACATCGGCTCCTGAGGCTTCTGCATTCTTCACGTAGTTCTTGAGCCTTGGCTTTCAGCTCCATCAGCTCCTTTAAGCACTTCTCTGTATTGGTTATTCTAGTTATACATTTGTCTAAATTTTTTTCAAAGTTTTCAACTTCTTTTCCTTTGGTTTGAATTTCCTCCTGTAGCTCGGAGTAGTTTGGTCCTCTGAAACCTTCTTCTCTCAACTCGTCAAAGTCATTCTCCATCCAGCTTTGTTCCGTTGCTGGTGAGGAACTGCATTCCTTTGGAGGAGGAGAGGCACTCTGCTTTTTAGAGTTTCCAGTTTTTCTGCTCTGGTTTTTTCCACATCTTTGTGGTTTTATCTACTTTTTGTCTTTGATGATGGTGACATACAGATGGGTTCTTGGTGTGGATGTCCTTTCTGTTTGTTAGTTTTCCTTCTAACAGACAGGACCCTCAGCTGCAGGTCTGTTGGAGTTTGCTAGAGGTCCACTCAGACCCTGTTTGCCTGGTTATCAGCAGCACTGGCTGCAGAACAAGGGATATTCGTAAACCGCGAATGCTGCTGTCTGATCGTTCCTCTGGAATTTTTGTCTCAGAGGAGTACCCGCCCGTGTGAGGTGTCAGTCTGCCCCTACTTGGGGGTTCCTCCCAGTTAGGCTATTCGGGGGTCAGGGGTCAGGGACCCACTTGTGTAGGGCGTCTGCTTGTTCTCAGATCTCCAGCTGCATGCTGGGAGAACCACTGCTCTCTTCAAAGCTGTCAGAGAGGGACATTTAAGTCTGCAGAGTTTATTGCTGTCTTTTTGTTTGTCTGTGCCCTGCCCCCAGAGGTGGAGCCTAAGGAGGCAGGGTGGCCTCCTTGAGCTGTGGTGGGCTCCACCCAGTTCGAGCTTCCTGGCTGCTTTGTTTACCAAAGCAAGCATGGGCTATAGTGGGCGCCCCTCCCCCAGCCTCATTGCCGCCTTGCAGTTTGATCTCAGACTGCTGTGCTAGCAATCAGCGAGACTCCGTGGGCATAGGACCCTCCAAGGCAGGTGGGGGATTTAATCTCCTGGTGTTCCACTTTTTAAGCCCATTGAAAAAGTGCAGTATTAGGGTGGGAGTGATGGATTTTGCAGGTGCCATCTGTCACCCCTTTCTTTGACTAGGAAAGGGAACTCCCTGACCCCTTGCACTTCCCGAGTGAGGCAATGCCTCACCCTGCTTCGGCTCGTGCATGGTGCGCTGCACCTACTGTCCTGCACCCACTCTCTGGCACTCCCTAGTGAGATGAACCCGGTACCTCAGATGGAAATGCAGAAATCACCTGTCTTCTGCATCTCTCCCACTGGGAGCTGTAGACTGGAGCTGTTCCTATTCGGCCATCTTGGCTGCCTGATCCAGGCATGAGAAAAATTTTATTGAAAGACATTAAAGGCTGTGCACAGTGGCTCATGCCTATAATCCCAGTATTTTGGGAGGACAAGGCAGGAGGATCACTTGAGGACAGGAGTTCGAGACCAGCCTGGGCAAGATAGCAATATCTCACCTCTACAAAATAATTTAAAATTAGCCAGGCATTGTGGCATGTTCCTGCCATCTCAGCTACTCAGAAGGTTGAGGTGGGAGGATTACTTGAGCCTGGGAGGTTGAGGCTGCGGTGAGTCATGATTATGCCAGTGCACTTCAGCTTGGGCAACAGAGCAAGACCCTGTCTCAAAAAAAAAAAAAAAAAAAAAAGACAGACATTAAAGAAGAGCTAAATGTAGGGAGACATGTAACATCCTCATGGAAAGAAAAAAACTATTTCATAGAGATGCCATGGCTTCCAATATTAATGTATGCATTCAGTGCAATTTCAATAGAATTTCAACAGCATATTTATGACATTTGGCAAGCTGATTCTAAAATTTTTATGAAAAAGAAAACTACCAAGTACAGCCAAGATATTTCCAAAGAAGACAAAAAGTTAGGGTTTTTGCCATACCAAATGTCAACATTTACCATAATTCTATAGAAATTAAGACAGTGTGATTTTAGTGTAGGGATACAGAAATACACTAGTGCAACAGTACAAAGGCCCCATAAAATGACCAATGCACATAATGAAAGCTTATTAATTACATAGCTTGCATAAGGATCTTGAGGAAAAGAGTCAGTAAATGGTACTGAGAAATTGATTATCAATTTGGGGAAAAGATAATTGTAATCCTAATTCACATCACATACAATTTTATTTCAGTTGGATTAAGGAGTCAAATATGAAAGAAAACTGTAACATTTTAGAAGATAATATAGGAAAATGTCTTTATGACTTTTAGGTAAAAAGTGAGTTTTCAACAAGTCACACACACATAAATGATCATAAAATAACAGAGTAGCAAAATCCCCAAATTCTGTTTATCAAAAGAGTATGTAAGAAGACTTGTACATCGAAAACTGCAAAAAAGTATAAATAACCCTTATACACTGAGCAGTGGTTCATGTTTGTAATCTCAGTACTTTGGGAGGCCGAGGCAGGTGGATTTCTTGTGCCCTTGAGTTCGAGACAAGCCAGGGTAACATAGCACGACCCCATCTCTACAAAAGCTTTTAAAAAACTAGCCAGATGTGGTGGTTTGTGCCTATAGTTCTATCTATGTGAAAGCCTGAGATGGAAGGGTCACTTGAGCCCAGTAGTTTGAGGTTGCAGTGAGCTACGATTGTGCCACTGCACTCCAATCTGAACAAAAGAGTGAGACCTTGTCCCTAAAAAGGAAAAGAAAAAGAAAAGAAAAGAAAAAAGAGAACACTTAAACTTAATGAAAAGACAAATAACCCAATTTAAAAATGAGAAAAAGGTCTGAATAGATATTTTAACAAAGAAGATATAAAATAACCAATAAACATATGAATGGATGCTCAACCTCATTAGTCAATAAGAAAATGCAAATCAAAATCATGAGAAAATACCACTGTTCGCCCGTGAGGATGACTGTAAGAAAAATGTCAGAGGATAACAAGTATTGGTGAAGATGTAGAGAAATTGAGACACTCACGTTGATAGTGGAAATTTATTTATTTATTTATTTATTTATTTATTTATTTATTTTTGTACTTTTAAGTTTTAGGGTACATGTGCACAACATGCAGGTTTGTTACATATGTATACATGTGCCATGTTGGTGTGCTGCACCCATTAACTCGTCATTTAACATTAGGTATATCTCCTAATGCTATCCCTCCCACCTCCCCCCACCCCACAACAGGCCCCGGTGTGTGATGTTTGCCTTCCTGGGTCCATGTGTTCTCATTGTTCAATTCCCACCTATGAGTGAGAACATGCGGTGTTTGGTTTTTTGTCCTTGCGATAGTTTGCTGAGAATGATCGTTTCCAGCTTCACCCATGTCCCTACAAAGGACATGAACTCATCCTTTTTTATGGCTGCATAGTATTCCATGGTGTATATGTGCCACATTTTCTTAATCCAGTCTATCATTGTTGGACATTTGGGTTGGTTCCCAACCCAAATGGAAAATAGTCTGGCAGTTCCTCAAAAAAGCTGAAATAGGTTGTGTGCAGTGTCTCACTACAGTAATCCCATCACTTTTTGGCACCAAGGCAGGAGGATCACTTGAGGCCAAGAATTAAAGACCAGCCTGCTTAGCACAGCAAGAACCCGTCTCTACAAAAAAAATATAAATAAATAAAGCTAAAAAAAAAGCTAGGCATTACACATTTACAGCCATCATCTGATCTTCAATAAACCTGACAGAAACAAGCAATGGGGAAATAATTCCCTATTTAATAAGTGGTGCTGGGAAAACTGGTGAGCTATTTGCAGAAAACTAAAACTGGACTCCTTCTTTACACCCTATACAAAAATTAACTTAAGATGGATTAAAGACTTAAATAAATGTAAAGTCCAAAACCATAAAAAACCCTAGAAGAAAACCTAGGCATTACCATTCAGGACATAGGCATGGGCAAAGATTTTATTATGGAAACATCAAAAGCAATTGCAACAAAAGCCAGAATTGACAAATGGGATCTAATTAAACTAAACAGCTTCTGCACAGCAAAAGAAACTATCATCAGAGTGAACAGGCAAACCACAGACTAGAGGAAAATTTTTCAATCTACCCATCTGACAAAGGTCTAGTATCCAGACTCTACAAGGAACTTAAACAAATTTACAAGAAAATCACAAACAACTCCATCAAAAAGTGGGCAAAGGATATGAAGAGACACTTCTCAAAGGAAGACATTCATGTGGCCAAAAAACACATGAAAAAAGCTTAACATCACTGTTCATTAGAGAAATGCAAATCAAAACCACAATGAGATAAAATCTCATGACAGTCAGAATGGTGATTATTAAAAAGTCAAGAAAAAACAGATGCTGGCAAGGATGTGGAGAAATAAGAATGCTTTTACACTGTTGGTGGGAATGTAAATTAGTTCAACCATTGTGGAAGACAGTGTGGTGATTCCTCAAGGATCTAGAACCGAAAATGCCATTTGACCCAGCCATCCCATTACTGGGTATATACTCAAAGAAATATAAACCATTCTACTATATAGACACATGCACACATATGTTTATTACAGCACTATCTACAATAGCAAAGAAATGAAACCAACC
Organism: Homo sapiens; assembly: GCF_000001405.40. Classification (NCBI taxonomy): domain Eukaryota; kingdom Metazoa; phylum Chordata; class Mammalia; order Primates; family Hominidae; genus Homo; species Homo sapiens. The sequence goes on from NC_000023.11 coordinate 64,553,166, forward strand.
CAAATGCCCATCAATGATCGACTGAATAGAGAAAATGTGGTACATATACACCATGGAATACCATGCAGCCATGAAAAGGAATGAGATCATGTCCTTTTCAGGGACATGAATAAAGTTGGAAGCCATCATCCTCAACAAACTATCACAGGAACAGAAAACCAAACACCACATATTCTCACTCACAAGTGGGTGTTGAACAATGAGAACACGTGGACACAGGGAGGGGAAAAACACACACCAGGGCCTGTTGGTGGGGGCAACAGGAGGGAGAGCATTAGGACAAATAGCTAATGCACACAGGGCTTAACACATAGATGTTGGGTTGATAGGTGCAGCAAACCACCAAGGCACAAATATACCTGTGTAACAAACCTGCATGTTCTGCACAGGTATCCCGAGACTTAAAGTAAAAAAAAAGAAATGAGCAAAAAAGCAAATTAAACTTAGAATAAGCAAATGAAAGGAAATAAGGAAGGTTAGACTGGAAGTCAATAAAGTAGAGAACAGAAAAATGATTTTATAAGTCAATTAAATCAAAGTTAGTTCTTTGAAAAGAGCAATAACATTGATAAATTTCTTACAAGACTAATCGGCAAAAAAGAGAGAAGACGCAAATTGGTGGTATTGAGAATGGGAGAGGTGACATCAATACACATTTTATAGATGATAAAAAGTTAAAAAGGGAACATTATGTACAACTTTATGTTGATAAATTTGACAAGTTATAAAAAATTAACAAATTACTTGAAAGGCAAACTACTGAAGCTCACTTAATAAGAGACAGATAACTTGTATAGCCTAAATCTCTTTTAAAAATTGAACTTTCAATCAAGCACAGTAGCTCATGTCTATCATCCCCATAATTTGAGAGGCCAAGGTGGGAGAATCACTTGAGCTCAGGAATTCAAGACCAGCTTGGGCAACATAGTGAGACTCTGCCTCTTAAAAAAAAATGAACTTTCAGTTCATAACCTTCCCACAAATAAAGCACTAAGTCCATATAATTTTACTGGCTAATTCATCCAAAAATTTAAGAAATAATACCATTGGACATGATGTCACAGGCCTGTAATCTCAGCACTTTGGGAGGCTGAAGTGGGATGATTACTTGAGCTCATGAGTTTGAGACCAGCCTGGGAAGAATCATGAAACTTTGTCTCTGCTGAAAAGTTTCTTTTAAAAAAATTGCTGGGTGTGGCAGTGCACACCCATCCCAGCTACTTGGGAGGCTGTGGTGGGAGGATTCCTTGAGTCAGGAGTTTGAGACCACTGTGAGCTGTGATGGCACCACTGCACCCCGGCCTGGGTGACAGAGTGAGACTCTGTCTCGAGAAATAAAAAAAAAAGGAAAAAGAATGAATACCTATTCTATAGCAACTCTTCCTGAAAATTGAAGGGGAGAGAATATTTCACAACTCATTCTATGAGACAAGCATTACTCTAATACCAAAACAAACAGACACAGTACAAGAAATGAAAACTACAAATATCCCTCATAAGCATAGATGCCGATATTCTAAACTAAATTTCATTAAATCAAATTCAACAATATAAAAAATATATTATGGTCAAGTAAGAATGCTGGGTTGAACAAATACTTCTGAAAAGAAGACATAAACACATCCAACAAGCATATGGAAAAATGCTCAACATCATTAATCATTAGAGACTTGCAAATCAAAACCACAATGAGATACTATCTCATGCCAGTAAGAATGGCTATTTAAAAAGTTAAAAGATAGGCTGGGTGCGGTGCCTCATGCCTGTAATCCCAGCACATTGGGAGGCCAAGGCAGGCGGATCATTTGAGGTCAGGAGTTCAAGACCAGCCTGGCCAACATGGTGAAACCCTGTCTCTATTAACAATACAAAAAAATGAGTCAGGTGTGGTGGTGCACGCCTTATATTTTCGGCTACTCTGGGGGCTGAGGCATGAAAATCACTTGAACCCAGGAGGTGGAGGTTGCAGTGAGCCGAGATTGCACCACTGCACCCCAACCTGGGTGACAGAGTGAGACTCTGTCTCAAAAAATAACAAATGATGAGGCTGTGAAGAAAAGGGAACACTTATACACTGCTGGTGGGAATGTAAATTATTTCAGCCACTGTGGGAAGCAGTTTGGAGATTTCTCAAACAACTTAAGACAGAGCTACCATTCAACCCAGCAATGCCATAACTGGATATATACCCAAAGGAATATAAATACTTCTACCAAAAAGACACACACATGGATATGTTTATCACAGTCCTATGCACAATATCAAAGACAAAAATCCAACTAGATGTCCATCGGTTGTGGACTGGTTAAAGAAAATATGGCACAAAGACAGGCGTGGTGGTTCACACCTGTAATCCCAGGACTTTGGGAGGCTGAGGAGGGCGAATCACTTGAGCTCAAGAGTTTGAAACCAACCTTGGCAACATGGCGAAACGCTGTCTCTATTAAAAATACAAAAATAAAAATAAAAAATCAGCTGGACATGGTGGCACTTGCTTGCGATCTCAGCTACTCGGGAGGCTGAGCTTGCTGTGAGCTGAGATTGCGCCACTGCACTTCATCTTGGGTGACAGAGTGAGACACTGTCTTAAAAAAGAAGAAGAAAGAAGAAAAAGAAGAAGGAGGAGGAGGAGGAGAAAATGTGATATATATACACCATGGAATACTACAAAGCCATAAAAAAAAAAAGAAACCATGTCCTTTGCAGCAGCACGGATGGAGCTAGAGGCTGAGGTGGGGAGAATGGGAGGAGGGTGAGAGTTGAAAAACTATCTATTGAGTACCATACTTACTAATTGGGTGATAAAATCATTTGTACAGCAAACCCCACTGACACGCAATCTACCAGTGTAACCAACCTGCACATGTACCCCCTGAACCTAAAATAAAAATTTTCAAAAGAAAAACAAAGGAATGCTTGGTTGGCTTAATACTTACTACATATGGATACATATGCAAAAAAAGAAACTTTGATCCATACCTTGCACTATATGCAATAATTAACTCAAAATGGCTCATAGACCTAGCTGTAAAATCCCCAACCCTAAGTTTTCTAGGAGAAAATCTTTGTTTCTTGATGTCATGGACTGAATGTGTCCTCACCAAACTTCATATGTAGAAGTCCTAACCCCCAATCTGACTGTATTTGGAGAAGGGCCAATTATGATTAAATGAGGACATAAACATGTGGCCCTAATCCAATACGGTAGTACTGACGTCCTTATAAGAAGAGTAAGAGACACCAGACACCAGGGATCTATCTCTCTTTCCACTCACAAAGGAAAGTCCATGTGGAAAACACAGTGAGAAAGTGGTCATTTTCAAACCAGGAATAGAAAATTCACCAGGTGCCAAACGGTTGGCACCTTGATCTTGGACTTCCAGCCTCCAGATTGAGAAAATAAATGTTTTTTAAGCTATCCAATCTGTGTTACCTTGTTATGACAGCCTGAGATGGTTTAGGCAAGTCTTAGATATGTCACCAAAAGCAGGATCCATTAAAAAAAAGATAAATTGGACTTCATTAAAATTAAAATATTCTGTTTTCAAAATGTATTTCTGGGAGAATGAAAAGACAAGCCAAAGATGTTGAGAAAATATTTGCATAGCAGATTTTGATAAACAATCTGTATCCAAATTATACATATAAGGAATTTTCAAGTCTTAATGCTATGAAAATAACCCAATAACAAAATGGACAAATTATTTGCACAGACATGTTACCAAAGAGGCTAACATGGGTGGCAAATAAGCACATAAAAAGATGTTTATCATTATTAGTAATTAGAGAAGTGCAAATTTAAACCACAATGTAGGCTGGATGTGGTGGTTCCCACCTGTAATTCCAACACTTTGGGAGGTGAAGAGGAGTACTTGAGACCAGGAGGTTGAAGCTGCAGTGGGTCGTGATTGCACCACTGCACTTCAGTCTGGTGACAGAGTGAGATCCTGTCTCAAAAAACAAAATTAAATAAATAAAACCACAAGGGGATACCACCGTTGGCAGAGATGTGGAGGAATTGGTGGCCTGAATGAAAAATGATAAAACCACATTGGAAAACAGCTTGGCAGTTTCTTTTTATTTTTCCCTTTTAAAATGTAGTCTATTTTCATCAATCAAAACACACATAATGTATTTTATTGTAAAACATTAGGCAATATTACTTTTGAGATATGCAACCTTAAAGGTCACACCTGTATTTACTAACAGTATGGAATACCAGAGGAGTTACATTAAAAATCAACCAGATACACTCACACATTATTATCATGACTTACACAGCATTAAATCCTTATTAAATCAGTATCCCATTCAGTGTTTCAAATATGAACCTTGGGTATCATCAAGGAGCCCTGCAGAGGGCCCCAGTTCTTTTCAGCACTGGGGCTCTGAGTTTCATGTGTCAAAGATAAGAGCAGAGCTCTGTTTTCATCTCTAGGCTCAAGGCTGATTCAATGTGTGCAACCAGTGATTCCAGAGTGTGTTCCTATTCTAATAGAACCCTGCCTGTTATCCGGAATCTGTACTTGAGATTCATACTTGAACAGAGAGGAGGCAGTCATTTCCTTTTTGTCTAAAAACAGCTAACAAATGAAACAAACCTAGTCCAAATTCCATGATGATAATAAATTACCTGGTTTATAAAAATACATGTCCAAAATGGTGACTTCCAATGCTGTGTGCAATATAAATTACAAAAATAAAATAGAAAAAAATGAACAAGTTGAGCAAATTGTTCGGTTCTATATCCAATATCAGCATTTATCCATAGAGATCACTTTGAAGCCATTTACATTGCAACAGGACCCTGGCATATCTAGGCTCAGGAGAGAGGACCCTGAAATTGGGGTGAGGTATTTCAATGGAGTTAAGTGGCCTGTCTTAGGTGCACTGACCCATACTGGAGGGATCCCAATCATGGGATCCCTCTGTGATAACAGACTGAATGCACAAAGGAGTGTATACGTAGCAAGCCAATCTGTGGGGCCCCTTGCTCCGCTTACAAATGTCTCCTTCTCATAAGTGGAACCTTGATGGGTCTTCATAACCAGCATGCTGCGTTTATACAGCATAGGGCAGATAACACATTTTAAAAACTTTCCTGTTTTTGGTTTTCCCTTTTAAATGTAAGTTTAGTAAAGTCTTCAAAAAGAATATGCATTAGAGAAAAGGCCATTTTAAGATGTTTAAATATGTATAGTGATTACTTTCTTAACTGTACCACCAGGCCTCCAAGGCTAAAATAATCTACACCATATAATAGGTGTTTTTGCCTAATCTGAGTTAGTGCTACCATTTTATACTTGACACAATATAAAACAATTTCTTATTTCAATATTAATTTTGTTCATCGAAGTTTTCAGTTTCCAGTGATAAGATCAACTAATAAGATACAACTGGTGCAGAGATAATCATATATTTTAGATGACATTTGTGACAAACTTGTAAGTCAATTTCTCCTCAGAATTCATTCTAGAGAATGCTGACAAAATATCTTCCAAAATAACTGAACACAAGGTACAAATCAGTAGCAAAATAAGCTCAAATAATAAAACATTATGAACACAGGTAGCCAAAATGTGACCATCATAACACTATTTCTTCAGTGACACTTAAACACTCAATATTTTAATGAATTTTGAATAATTTACCTACCATAAAATATGAAAGTATAAATTTTAGGCTATCGGTTTGTTTGTTTGTTTGTTTGTTTTCAGACAGGGTCTTACTCTATCACCCAGGCTGGAGTGCAGTGGTGCGATCTCAGGTCACTACAGCCTCAACCTTCCAGGCTCAAGTGATCCTCCTACCTCAGCCTCCAGAGTAGATGGGACTGTAGTCACACACCACAACACCTGGCTTTTTTTCTTTTTTCTTTTTGGTATTTTTTGTAGGGACAAAGTTTTGCCACGTTGCCTGGGGCGGTCTCTCCTGAACTCAAGCGTTTTGTCCACCTTGGCCTCCAAAAGTGCTGGAATTACAGGCGTGAGCCACCAAGCCCAGCCTAGCAAGCAGTTTTAAATCAGAAAATATTAAGTAGTTAATCCCTATTCTTTAAGGTATTTCCTTCATATCCCTCTGAAGAGTTTTCTCACAATATTCATGGATTTCACTGAGGAAAAGAAAACAGTTGGCATTTTCTAAAAAAGTTAAACATATACATACCACATGATCTGTCCTTTCAAATTCTAGGTATTTACCCAAGAGAAGGGAAAACATACATCCACACAAAACTTGTACATGAATGTTCATAGAAGCTTTATTTATTTATTTATTTATTTATTTATTTATTTATTTATTTTTGAGATGGAGTCTCGCTCTATCACCTAGGCTGGAGTGCAGTGGCATGATCTCAGCTCACTGCAGCCTCCACCTCCTGGGTTCAAGCAATTTTCCTGCCTCAGCCTCCCCAGTAGCTGGGATTACAGGCGCCCACTACCATGACTGGCTAATTTTTGTATTTTTAGTAGAGACGGGGTTTCACCATGTTGGCCAGGCTGGTCTTGAACTCCTGACCTCAGGTTATCCGCCTGCCTCAGCCTCCCAAAGTGCTGGGATTACAGGCATGAACCACTGTGCCCGGCCAGAAGCTTTATTTTTAATAACAAAAAACTGGAAATGACCTAAATGTCCCTTAATGACTTAATAAATAAACACATCTTGGTATATCCATAAACTTGAATATTACTTAGCAATATAAAGAAATGAACCATTGACACTAAACAGCTGCATGATTAACAACATAATTATGTTGAGTGAAAAATCCAGATAAATAAGAATATATACTTTATGGTTCCATTATATGAATCTCTAGATAATTCAAACTAATTTATGCTGATAGAAAATATGTCAATGATTTCCTGGGAATGGGTGGGAGGGATTGCAAAGGGACATGAAAAAATGTTTGGGAGTGGTGGATTTGTTCATGTTCTTGATTGTGATGTTGGTTTTGTGGCTTTATGCATATATCTGAAGTTATCTAATGGTACACTTTATACATGTGCACTTTACTAGATATCAATTATACCTTAATAAAGCTGTCCAAATGTATCAACAACAACCATAAATCCAAATAACAATGGATTAAATAAGATAGGGTCATTTTTTTCTCTCTCATCATAACAAGAAGTACAGAGATGGGCAGTCCAGGGCAGGAACAGTGGCTCCAAGGATGTCAGAATAAGGTTTCCGATTCTTTTGGCTTTTCTCTCATGGTGGAGCACAGTATGGCTGCTGACACTCCAGTCATTACTTACACATTTCAGTGAGGAAGAAGGATCAATTACAAAGGGAAAATTATATGTGTTATCTGAGCTTCTTTCATATTTCTGAAAACATACACACAAGCTGCTATGGTTTAGATATGTTTTTTTGCCTCTTGTTAAAATTTGATCCCCAGTATTCAAAGTGGGGCGTGGTGGGAGGTATCTGGTCATTGTGGCAGATTCCTCATGAATGGATTAGTGTGATCCTGGTAGTAATGAGTGATTTCTCCCTGTATTACCCACTCCCTAGCTGATTGTTAAAAAGAGCCTGACACCTCCTACACTCTGTCTTGCCTCCTTTCTCATCATATTATCTCTGCACGCACCATCTCCCTTTCCCCTTCCTTCATGAATGGAAGCAGCCTAAGGCCCTCCCAAACGCTGGCACCTTGCTTCTTATACAGCCTGCAGAAATGTAAGCCAAATTAACCTCTTCTCTTTTTAAATTATCCAGCCTCAGGCATTCCTTTATTAGGAAAACGAATGGACTAAGACACACCCATATTTTAAGAGCTTGCCACAAAGTGCCACCAAATAACTTTTGGTTACATTTATTGTCCAGTACTGTGTTGCATGACCATCCTTATCTGCAAGGAGGTAGGGAAGTGTTGACTCCTTAAAGTCTGCGAACATTTCTACCCCTAACAAAATCAGAGTTCTTTTAGTCAGAGAGAAGGGGAGACTGGATATTGAATAGACAATTAGCAATCTCCACCACAGATGAGAGCTACCTTTCTTTTTTAAATTTATTTTATTTTTTATTTATTTTTTGAGGCAGGATCTTGCATTGACACCCAGACTAGAGTACGATGTTGCAATCATGGCTCACTGCAGCCTGAATATCCCAGGCTCAAGTGATCCTCCCACCTCACCCTCTCAAGTAGCTAAGACCACTGGCATGTGTCACCATACTTGGCTAATTTTTTTTTTTTTATTTAGAAATGGGGTCTCACTATGCTTCCCAGGCTGGCCTTGATTTCCTGGACTCAAGCAATCCACTAACCTCGGCTTCCCAAAGTGTTGGGATTACAGATGTGAGCAACTGTAACTGGTCCAGAGCTACCTTAGTCTGATAAAAAGTTTCTACAAAAAGTGTACAGCAGACATCACACTTAAAAGTGAAACATTAGAAGTATTTCTTTCAAAGTCAGGAAGAAGACAAGGAGGCCCATTACTAGTAAATACCTTCTACTACCACCACTACTACTCAATGCTGTTCAAAAGGTTTTAGCTGGTACAGTAAGACACACACACACACACACACACACACACACACACACACACACACGAGAGAGAGAGAGAGAAAAAGTACTATTAATTGGAAAAGAATAAATAAAACTCATTTTTCATAAAAAATATATTTGTCTACCATTAAACTCAAATAAAAAACTTCAAATAATCTATGTAAAAATTATAATAAAAAATTGAGCAGTGGTGTTGGGTATATGATCAATATATAAAAATCCACTGCATTTCTATATACCAGCAATAAACAGCCTGAAAATGTAATATTTTTAAAAAATTACCATTAAAATGGCAATAAAATTTATCAAGTATCTAGAAGTAAATTTAACCAAAGATGGACATGACCTTCATGGAAAAAAGGATAAAAATTTATTGAAAGACTTTAAAGAAGAACAAAAACATGGTGAGGCATATTACTCTTATTTATAATATACAAAATCATAAAAATGTTAATCCCCCCAAATTAATTTATAAATTCAGTGCAAATCCTAACAAGATTTCTAAAATGAAATTTGACAGACTTAGTCTAAAATATATATGGTATATTAAATATGCAAGAATAGCCAGAATAATTTTTATAAAGGACAAAGATAAAGTACTCTCTCTGTAAGATATCAAGATAGATAATAAGGCCATAGTGATGAAAACAGTGTGGTATTGATAAGAAAAGTGCAGACAAATATATAAATGGACCAAGAATAAGAATAAAGAATCCAGAAACAGACTAATGTATATATGAAAATTTAGTACATCATAAAGGTGACATATCAAATAAATTGAAAACAAACAATTTAATAAATATCTGTGGACAACTGGGCATTAATTGGGGGAAAAATTAACTCTTTGTTCTCTATCATACACTTTTCATAAAATACATCCCAGTTATATTAAAAGTTTAGCCACCAAAACCAAAATTATAAAAAAAGTATTTGAAAAATGTATAGGCACATATGCTCATGGGTTTAGAGTATGGAATGCCCTTTTAAAGAGGACACAAAAAAGTTAAGAAAAATATTGGTAAATTTGACCACATTCCACATAAAATTTTTGTGCAGAAAATAATTATAAATAACGTAAAAGACAAATCACAGGCTAGGAGAAAATATTTGCGATATAAATAATAGACAAAATATTTGCATCCAAAATAAATCACCGGCCTCTACAAATCATAAAAAGAGACAAATGACTCAAGAGAAAAACAGGCAAAGGACAATTCACAGAAAAGTATGTTGAAATCCCAACCTAGACAATTCACAGAAAAAGAATTATAATGTGGCCTACAACCTGATAAAATTATACATGATTATGGAACCTCATTAGTATAATCAAGGAAATGCAAATTAAAATAATTATGAGAAACCATTTTATACCAGCAGTTTGTTAAAAAGTTAAAATATTAATAATATAAAGTTTTGAGGGTATGGGGAAATGAATAGACAGTTTGACCAAGTGCATATGAGTATGGCTACTGTAGAGGCCTAAGAAAAAAATGAGATGCTTCTAATGATTTAGCAAACAGCAGCTGTCATCCAAAAGGCCCTCACATTCCAGTCACACAATGCCTTTTTTTTTTTTTGAGAAGGAGTCTCGCTCTGTCCCCCAGGCTGGAGTGCAGTGGCGCGATCTCGGCTCACTGCAAGCTCCGCCTCCCAGGTTCACGCCATTTTCCTGCCTCAGTCTCCCTAGTAGCTGGGACTACAGGCACCCGCCACTACGTCTGGCTAATTTTTGTATTTTTAGTAGAGACGAGGTTTCACCATATTAGCCAGGATGGTCTCGATCTCCTGACCTCGTGATCTACCTGCCTCGGCCTCCCAAAGTGCTGGGATTACAGGCATGAGCCACCGCGCCTGGCCCACAATGCCTTCTTAGAAGTAAGGAGGAGGTATATTGGGAGGTAAACTTATTTCATAGGTTATACACCAGGTAGACTTACACTGACCTTCATCACCAGGTAGACCTATACTGACCTTCATCGTCAGGGAGACTGAGACTGTGCAGATCTTGGGGCTAGAATAATTTCTCACTGAGACAATGGAGAGTACTTAATCAAGGAAACAAGTAGAGCCAAGAACTATGTGGAAACCAGTGTTGGAAAAGCCTGAAGAAAGTGAGTCTCAAGGATCCACATCCAAGGGGTCAAGACAGATTCAGGTGCTGAGGTTTCTTTTATGTGTCAAGCACTGTACTAGGCATTGGGGTTTTACATCAGCTGAACAAAATAAACAAGGTCCCTGACTGCATTTCAAATAAATATGTTAGTTGGTGATACTTACGATGAATTATCAGGATATAATATAGAGTGATGCAAGGGAAAAGTGGTAGTAGCTATTTTAGAAAATCTCTAGAGAAAATGTTTTGGGTCCTTAAATAAGTTTGGTGTTTGAAGAACAACAAGAAAGTTAGTGAGGCTGAGGGAAAGTGGCTGGGAGCAGAAGATAAAGCTGAAAAGGCAAGGAAGGGCTAGATCCTGTAGGGCCTTTTTAGACTTTAGTAAAAAGTTTGATTTTGTTCCAAGTATAATGAGAAGCCACTTGAAGATTTTGAGTAGGAAAGGATTGTGACCTACCTTATTTAAAAAAACAAAACAAAACAAAAAAAACTTGGCTGCTGGTGCAGAATGGACTTTAAGGGGACAAGAAGGGAAACAAGTAAACAAATAAGGAGGCTACTGCAAGTGTCCAGATGAAAGATTATAGTGGCTTGGACCAGGGTGGAGTTAGTAGAGGTGATTAGAAAGGATTAGATTTCCTCTTTTCCTAATCATCTCAGCCCAAAATCTCCTTAAGCTGATAAGCAACTTCAGCAAAGTCTCAGGATACAAAATCAATGCACAAAAATCCCAAGCATTCTTATACGACAATAACAGACAAACAGAGAGCCAAATCATGAGTGAACTTCCATTCACCATTGCTTCAAAGAGAATAAAATACCTAGGAATGCAACTTATAAGGGATGTAAAGGACCTCTTCAAGGAGAACTGCAAACCACTGCTCAAGGAAATAAAAGAGGATAGAAACAAATGGAAGAACATTCCATGCTCATGGGTAGGAAGAATCAATATCATGAAAATGGCCGTACTGCCCAAGGTAATTTATAGATTCAATGCCATCCCCATCAAGCTGCCAATGACCTTCTTCACAGAATTGGAAAAAACCACTGTAAAGTTCATATGGAACCAAAAAAGAGCCCTCATTGCCAAGTCAATACTAAGCCAAAAGAACAAAGCTGGAGGCATCACACTACCTGACTTCAAACTATACTACAAGGCTACAGTAACCGAAACAGCATGGTAGTGGTACCAAAACACAGATATAGACCAATGGAACATAATAGAGCCCTCAGAAATAATGCTGCATATCTACAACTATCTGATCTTTGACAAACCTGACAAAAACAAGCAATGGGGAAAGGATTCCCTATTTAATAAATGGTGCCGGGAAAACTGGCTAGCCATATGTAGAAAGCTGAAACTGGATCACTTCCTTACACCTTATACAAAAATTAATTCAAGATGAATTAAAGACTTAAATCTTAGACCTAAAAGCATAAAAACCCTAGAAGAAAACCTAGGTAATACCATTCAGGACATAGGCATGGGCAAGGACTTCATGACTAAAACACCAAAAGCAATGACAATAAAAGCCAAAATTGACAAATGGGATCTAATTAAACTAAGGAGCTTCTGCACAGCAAAGGAAACTACCATCAGAGTGAACAGGCAACCTACAGAATGGGAGAAAATTTTTGCAATCTACTCATCTGACAAAGGTCTAATATCCAGAATCTACAATGAACTCAAACAAATTTCCAAGAAAAAAAGCAACCCCATCAACAAGTGGGTGAAGGATATGAACAGACACTTCTCAAAAGAAGACATTTATGCAGCCTAAAGACGCATGAAAAAATGCTCACCATCACTGGCCATCAGAGAAATGCAAATGAAAACCACAATGAGATACCATCTCACATCAGTTAGAATGGTGATCATTAAAAAGTCAGGAAACAACAGGTGCTGGAGAGGATGTGGAGAAATAGGAACACTTTTATGCTGTTGGTGAGACTGTAAACTAGTTCCACCATTGTGGAAGTCAGTGTGGTGATTCCTCAAGGATCTAGAACTAGAATTACCATTTGACCCAGCCATCCCATTACTGGGTATATACTCAAAGGATTATAAATCATGCTGCTATAAAGACACATGCACACGTATGTTTATTGCGGCACTATTCACAATAGCAAAGACTTGGAACCAACCCAAATGTCCAACAATGATAGACTGGATTAAGAAAATGTGGCACATATACACCATGGAATACTATGAAGCCATAAAAAATGATGAGTTCATGTCCTCTGTAGAGACATGGATGAAGCTGGAAACCATCATTCTCAGCAAACTATTGCAAGGACAAAAAACCAAACACCACATGTTCTCACTCATAGGTGGGAATTGAACAATGAGAACACATGGACACAGGAAGGGGAACATCACACTCTGGGGCCTGTTGTGGGGTGGGAGGAGTGGGGAGGGATAGCATTAGGAGATATGCCTAATGCTAAATGTTGAGTTAATGGGTGCAGCACACCAACATGGCACATGTATACATGTGTAACAAACCTACATGTTGTGCACATGTACCCTAAAACTTAAAGTATAATAAAAAAAAAGAAAGGATTAGATTTGGGTTATATTTTGAAGATACAGCTGATGGTAAGCCTTTCTCAGGTGGAAGATAAAGAAAAGAAGGAATCAACACTAAAAACTGGGACCATCAGCCAGATCTTCTAACTTGTAGGTCAGTGCTTGGAGTGTCATTCGACTCCAGCATTAAAGCAATAGGTTATCATTTATTGCACTCTTACTGTGTAGTATCTACCTTACTTATATTATTCACAACCATCCTGTAAAGTATCTGTTAGTATTCCCATTTCCAAGATTTGGAAACTAGAGTTCAAAGAGGTGAAGTTAGTTGCCTAAAGACACAAAGGCTACCAACTTGGGATTTCAACCTACATCTTTTGAACTACAAAGCCTGTGCTCCTTCTATTATACCACTGATTTTCAAATTTTTTCATAAAAGCAGAATCTTTTTTTCAAACAAGGTTTCTCATGGAAACCTAATACATAAATAAACACACAAACAAAAAACAGAATTCCCTTGGTTGAAGCATAGGTGAAGGACCTGGTACCCTATACACTAGGTCCTTCTTAATAACAGCTCCTTTCTTAATAACAGCTGACAATATTCTGTGGCCAGCATTGAGCTAAACACTTGTGAAAGGAAAATAAATCAAGATCTCTTGAGCTCAGGAGTTCGAGACCAGTCTGGCCAATGTGGTGAAACCTCGTCTCTACTAAAAATACAAAAATTAGCTAGGCTTGGTGCCAGGCGCCTGTAATCTTAGCTACTCAGGAGGCTAAGGAAGGAGAATCACTTGAACCCAAAGGCAAAGGCTGCAGTGAACCGAGATCTTGCCACTTCACCACTGCATTCCAGCCCGGGTGACAGAGTAAGACTCCGTCTCAAAAGAAAAAAAAAAAAAAAAAAAAAAAAAAGGAGAGAAAGAGAGAGAGAGAGAAAGGAAAAGAAAAAATCCACCACACTACCTTCATACTTAGTCAATACAATAGAATACATCCTTCCCATCAATGCCACCCCTTCACCATGGCATATTTGTCCATATTCATTCTTGCCTTTGTGCCTTTGCTTATGCTGTTCTCCTACCTGGAACATCCTACCTGTTCAAGTGATCTAAACTGTCCTCCGTCCTTCAAAATATGCTCGAATCTCACTTCCTTCAGGAAGTTTCCTCCTAAAACCTGAGTCCTCAGTGACTTCCTTCTTCTTTGAAAACCTGCATATGGAGTCTGAATTACATACTAAGGTTTTGCATTATTCTCCAATGCAGTGATTTGCAAATTGTATTCCAGGAAGCCATAGGATTTGTTAGGGATGCCTCAGACACTTCCTGGGAAGAGATAGGGAGCCAAGCAGACAGGACTCCAGGCTTCCAGGCTTGACACCTTGTTCTGCTAAAAGCCATTTATTTTATCTGTTTTTCAGATATGGCTTTCACATAAAATATTTTATGAATAAAGGGTCTGTTAAAATCAACAACAAGGTAAAAGTGTAAACATCTGCTGCTCCTTTTCAAGATGTTTTACCTCCCAAATATTAGGCTGAACCACAAGAAAGTGTCATTTGTATAGGTCAATAGCCGTCAGATACCAACAATTTTTGTGGTTCAAATTCATATTCCTGTTGTTCCTGAATTGTCCAGCACAGGTTGGAAGATAATCACAGAAGGCTTTAAATTGAATCTGTAGTGGCAACTGGATCCTATTTCATGTAGGCATTTGTCTAGGCAACTATTGGAGGATCAGTAGAAAGAGCTGGGAGGAGATGAGACACACATATACTGAAAATGATGGTTCGGGCCAGTGAATATTCTGTGGCCTCTGAAGCCATTTCATTTCAGCTGCTAAGTGAGTCTTAAGCTATTTGAAGGGCCCAATTAACCCAGAAATAGGTCTGGGAGCATGGTGTTCCCTGTAAAGGCAAAACCATTGAAATATGATGCTCCACATTTCTTAAAAGTGGTCTCCGAATATTCTGTTCCAAAGGCATATTTTGCATAATGCAGCTGGGTTATATGAAAAAAAAAAATAGATTTTTTCAGAAGTCCTTGGGGATGGTCTCTTTTGTTTTCATTAGATTTGCATAAGAAATCATTATTTGCCCAAGTTGGAACTGCCATTGCAAAGGGCTTTTTACAGAAGCGTGATCTTTTTCCCTTTTTTTATTATTATAGTTCTGTGGTATATGTGCAGAACGTACAGGTTTGTTACATAGGTATACACCCATCAACCCATCATCTAAATTAGGTATTTCTCCTAATGCTATCCCTCCCCTAGCCCCCCACAACCCAACAGGCCTAGGTGTGTAATGTCCCCCTTCCTGTGTTCATGTGTTCTCATTGCTCAACTCTCACTTATGAGTGAGAACATGTAGTGCTTGGTTTTCTGTTCTTGTGTTAGTTTGCTGAGAATGATGGTTTCCAGCTTCATCCATGTCCCTGCAAAGGACATAAACTCATCCTTTTTTATGGCTGCATAGCATTCCATGGTGTATAAGTGCCACATTTTCTTTATCCAGTCTATCATTGATGGGCATTTGGGTTGGTTCAAAGTCTTTGCTATTGTGAACAATGCCACAGTAAACATATGTGTGCATGTGTCTTTATAGTAGAATGATTCATAATCTTTTTGGTATATACCCAGTAATAGGATTGCTGGGCCAAATGGTATTTCTAGTTCTAGATCTTTGAGGAATTGCCACACTGTCTTCCACAATGATTGAACTAGTTTACAGTCCCACCAACAGTGTAAAAGTGTTCCTATTTCTCCACATCCTCTCCAGCACCTGTTGATTCCTGATTTTTTAATAATCGCCATTCTGACTGGTGTGAGATGGTATCTCATTGTGGCTTCGATTTGCATTTCTCTAATGATCAGTGATGATGAGCTTTCTTTCATATGTTTGTTGGCTGCATAAATGTCTTCTTTTGAGAAGTGTCTGTTCATATCCTTCACTCACTTTTTGATGTTTTATTCTTGTAAATTTGTTTAAGTTCTTTGTAGATTCTGGATATTAGCCCTTTGTCAGATGGATAGATTGCAAAAATTTTCTCCCAGTTCACTCTGATAGTTTTTTTTTTTTCTTTGCTGTACAGAAGCTCTTTAGTTTAATTAGGTCCCATTTGTCAATTTTGGCTTTTGTTCCCACTGCTTTTTGTGTTTTAGCCATGAAGTATTTGCCATGCCTATGTTCTGAATGGTATTGCCTAGGTTTTCTTCTAGGGTTTTCATGGTTTTGGACCTTATGTTTAAATCTTTAATCCATCTTGAGTTAATTTTTGTATAAAGTGTAAGGAAGGGATCCAGTTTCAGTTTTCTGCATATGGCTAGCCAGTTTTCCCAGCACCATTTATTAAATAGGGAATTCTTTCTCCATTGCTTGTTTTTTGTCAGGTTTGTCAAAGATCAGATGGTTGTAGATATGTGGTCTTATTTCTGAGCCCTCTGTTCAGTTCCATTGGTCTATATATCTGTTTTGGTACCAGTGCCATGCTGTTTTGGTTACTGTAGCTTTGTAGTATAGTTTGAAGCCAGATAGCATGATGCCTCCCAGCTTTTTTCTTCTTGCTTAGGATTGCCTTGGCTATGTGGGCTCTTTTTTGGTTCCATATGAAATTTATAGTAGTTTTTTTTTTCTAATTTTGTGAAAAAATTCAATGGTAGCTTGATGAGGATAGCATTGAATCTATAAATTACTTTGGACAGTATGGCCATTTTCACGATATTGTTTCTTCCTATCCACGAGCATGGACTGTTTTTCCATTTGCTTGTGTCCTTTCTTACTTCCTTGAGCAGTGGTTTGTAATTCTCCTTGAAGAAGTTCTTCATATCCATTGCTAGTTGGATTCCTAGGTATTTTATTCCTTTGTAGCAATTGTGAATGTGAATGTGAATTCACTCATGATTTGGCTCTCTGTTTGTCATTACCTCAGTCAGTATTTAGCAATTGCTAAGGAAAGTATTGACTTTCAAAGGATTGCAGACCTCTTTGTGCATGTAGAGTACAAACTCCTGTATTCTACTGATCCCTTTACTGTACCACAAATTAAGACCCAGCTCTCAATAGTACTAGCTAAAGCTATGCTGCTGCCAGGCCACCAGAGGGAGGACAAGTACAGAGCACTACATTTTCCCAGCTGGAGGAGAGAGGAAGTATGAAGAGCCAGAAAAACAACCATTTCCAAAATTTTGGAAAAAAATTTCCCCTAAATTTTGTCAAGGATCCTCACAAGATCCCATGTGGTGGGCAGAGCATGTGTATGTCTAAATCTATTTAACCAATGAAGAATGGATCTCAGGGAGGTGAAGAGACTGAGCATCTTTCCCAGAGGCTTCTGAATTTCTCCAAAGAAGCAGAAGACAGGATAGCCATGGAAGGAGTTGGGAAAGAGCTTGCTGACTAGGTCTCTTCAGGAAGAAGATATAATCTTGCATATGGGAGCTAGAGTTGGCAGGGCTCAGGAAATACTCCAATCCCAAAGAATGCCTATAGAGTGAGGTTCAAGAATTGAGGTATACAGGAACAGAATTTTTATGATGGAGATAGGCAGATCTGACTTAATATTTGTGGTGCTATGAGCTAGATGTGTAACCTCAGACAAGTTATTTTTGCCTCTCTGAGACTATTGTCTCACTTATAAAATGGGGCCAATACTACTAATCTCATGCAATTATTTTGTGGACAAAAAGTTCAATGTATGTGGAGTACCTTGCAAAAAGTAGGCATTCAGTAAATGATGGCTACTATCGTGCAAGCACCCAGCAGCCAGCAGAGTGGGATATTTCAGTAGGTCCTCTCACACAGAAACCTGGGCCGACTGGGCTCCTGACACCAGGGAGGGGAAAGAACTTGCCAGGTATTTTGACTCCCATGTCTGGGCTCTTTCTGCTGCTCTGAGGGAGGTAATTACATTAAAGAGGCTCTGTTTCTGTGTGGTGCTAACCTTAGTTGCTGAAAGGAACTGAGAAAAGAAAAGAACTCTTGTCTGAGGAATGCAAGTCCTTTCAGATTATCGGGCCCAGAGAGACATTCAAATGAGACAGCAATCATGTCCTACTCCTCCGTTTGAGCTATGTATTCATCTCTTAAAACTGCTCACTATTGCCACAAACAGCTAGAAACTAACCTAATAAGGCAACATCAGACACTATGACCTACACCCCATAGCTTAACAATGTTATTAATACTATTTCTGTAAAACATTTTATACAAATAATCAGGCCAAATAAAATATTATAATTTATTTTACAAATAAATTACTCCTGGTAAAATTTATCTGTAGTAAAAAAAAGACTGAAAAAATATGTTTTAAAACACCTATAGTGTACCTGTTATTTAATTCTAGCCTTGTCCATTGTTTTTAAGTTTCATTATTTGTTTTTTGTTTTTTTTAATTTTATTATTATTATTATACTTTAAGTTTTAGGGTACATGTGCACAATGTGCGGGTTAGTTACATATGTATACATGTGCCATGCTCATGTGCTGCACCCATTAACTCGTCACTTAGCATTAGGTATATCTCCTAATGCTATACCTCCCTCCTCCCCCCACCCCACAACAGGCCCCAGAGTGTGATGTTCCCCTTCCTGTGTCCATGTGTTCTCATTGTTCAATTCCCACCCTTTGTCCGATGAGTAGGTTGCGAAAATTTTCTCCCACTTTGTAGATTGCCTGTTCACTCTGATGGTAGTTTCTTTTGCTGTGCAGAAGCTCTTTAGTTTAATTAGATCCCATTTGTCAATTTTGGCTTTTGTTGCCATTGCTTTTGGTGTTTTAGACATGAAGTACTTGCCCATGCCTATGTCCTGAATGGTATCGCCTAGGTTTTCTTCTAGGGTTTTTATGGTTTTAGGTCTAACGTTTAAGTCTTTAATCCATCTTGGATTAATTTTTGTATAAGGTGTAAGGAAGGGATCCCAGTTTCAGCTTTCTACATATGGCTAGCCAGTTTTCCCAGCACCATTTATTAAATAGGGAATCCTTTCCCCATTGCTTGTTTTTCTCAGGTTTGTTAAAGATCAGATAGTTGTAGATATGCGGCGTTATTTCTGAGGGCTCTGTTTTGTTCCATTGATCTATATCTCTGTTTTGGTACCAGTACCATGCTGTTTTGGTTACTGTAGCCTTGTAGTATAGTTTGAAGTCAGGTAGCGTGATGTCTCCAGCTTTGTTCTTTTGGCTTAGGATTGACTTGGTGATATGGGCTCTTTTTTGGTTCCATATGAACTTTAAAGTAGTTTTTTCCAATTCTGAACTTTAAAGTAGTTTTTTCCAATTGGCAGCTTGATGGGGATGGCATTGAATCTATAAATTACCTTGGGCAGTATGGCCATTTTCATGATATTGATTCTTCCTACCCATGAGCATGGAATGTTCTTCCATTTCTTTGTATCCTCTTTTATTTCATTGAGCAGTGGTTTGTAGTTCTCCATAAAGAGTCCTTCACGTCCCTTATAAGTTGGATTCCTAGGTATTTTATTGTCTTTGAAGCAATTGTGAATGGGAATTCACTCATGATTTGGCTCTCTGTTTGTCTGTTATTGGTGTATAAGAATGTTTCTGATTTTTGTACATTGATTTTGTATCGTGAGACTTTGCTGAAGTTGCCTATCAGCTTAAGGAGATTTTGGGCTGAGACAATGGGGTTTGCTAGATATACAATCATGTCGTCTGCAAACAGAGACAATTTGACTTCCTCTTTTCCTAATTGAATACCCTTTATTTCCTTCTCCTGCCTGATTGCCCTGGCCAGAACTTCCAACACTATGTTGAATAGGAGTGGTGAGAGAGGGCATCCCTGTCTTGTGCCAGTTTTCAAAGGGAATGCTTCCAGTTTTTGCCCATTCAGTATGATATTGGCTGTGGGTTTGTCATAGATAGCTCTTATTATTTTGAAATACGTCCCATCAATACCTAATTTATTGAGAGTTTTTAGCATGAAGGGTTGTTGAATTTTGCCAAAGGCCTTTTCTGCATCTATTGAGATAATCATGTGGTTTTTGTCTTTGGTTCTGTTTATATGCTGGATTACATTTATTGATTTGCGTATATTGAACCAGGCTTGTATCCCGGGGATGAAGCCCACTTGATCATGGTAGATAAGCTTTTTGATGTGCTGCTGGATTCGGTTTGCCTGTATTTTATTGAGGATTTTTGCATCAATGTTCATCAAGGATATTGGTCAAAAATTCTCTTTTTTGGTTGTGTCTCTGCCCGGCTTTGTTATCAGGATGATGCTGGCCTCATAAAATGAGTTAGGGAAGATTCCTTCTTTTTCTATTGGTTGGAATAGTTTCAGAAGTAATGGTACCAGTTCCTCCTTGTACCTCTGGTAGAATACGGCTGTGAATCCATCTGGTCCCGGACTCTTTTTGGTTGGTAAGCTATTGATTATTGTCACAATTTCAGATCCTGTTATTGGTCTATTCAGAGATTCAAATTCTTCCTGGTTTAGTCTTGGGAGAGTGTATGTGTGGAGGAATTTATCCATTTCTTCTAGATTTTCTAGTTTATTTGTGTAGAGGTGTTTGTAGTATTCTCTGATGGTAGTTTGTATTTCTGTGGAATCGGTGGTGATATCTCCTTTATCATTTTTTCTTGTGTCTATTTGATTATTCTCTCTTTTTTTCTTTATTAGTCTGGCTAGCGGTCCATCAATTTTGTTGATCCTTTCAAAAAACTAGCTCCTGGATTCACTAATTTTTTGAAGGGTTTTTTGTGTCTCTATTTCCTTCAGTTCTGCTCTGATTTTAGTTATTTCTTGCCTTCTGCTAGCTTTTGAATGTGTTTGCTCTTGCTTTTCTAGTTCTTTTAATTGTGATGTTAGGGTGTCAATTTTGGATCTTTCTTGCTTTCTCTTGTGGGCCTTTAGTGCTATTAATTTCCCTTGACACAATGCTTTGAATGTGTCCCAGAGATTCTAGTATGTTGTGTCTTTGTTCTCATTGGTTTCAAAGAACATCTTTATTTCTGCCTTCATTTCGTTATGTACCCACTAGTCATTCAGAAGTGGGTTGTTCAGTTTCCATGTAGTTGAGCAGTTTTGACTGAGTTTCTTAATCCTGAGTTCTAGTTTGATTGCACTGTGGTCTGAGAGATAGTTTGTTATAATTTCTGTTCTTTTGCATTTGCTGAGGAGAGCTTTAGTTCCAACTATGTGGTCAATTTTGGAACAGGTGTGGTGTGGTGCTGAAAATAATGTATATTCTGTTGATTTGGGGTGGAGAGTTCTGTAGATGTCTATTAGGTCCACGTGGTGCAGAGCTCAGTTCAATTCATGGGTATCCTTGTTAACTTTCTGTCTCATTGATCTGTCTAATGTTGACAGTGGGGTGTTAAAATCTCCCATTATTATTGTGTGGGAGTCTAAGTCTCTTTGTAGGTCATTCAGGACTTGCTTTATGAATCTGGGTGCTCCTGTATTGGGTGGATATATATTTAGGATAGTTCGCTCTTCTTGTTGAATTGATCCCTTTACCATTATGTAATGGCCTTCTTTGTCTCTTTTGATCTTTGTTGGTTTAAAGTCTGTTTTATCAGAGACTAGGATTGCAACCCCTGCCTTTTTTTTTGTTTTCCATGTGCTTGGTAGATCTTCCTCCATCCTTTTATTTTGAGCCTATGTGTGTCTCTGCACATGAGATGGGTTTCCTGAATACAGCACACTTATGGGTCTTGACTCTTTATCCAATTTGCCAGCCTGTGTCTTTTAATTGGAGCATTTAGTCCATTTACATTTAAAGTTAATATTGTTATGTGTGAATTTGATCCTGTCATTATGATGTTAGCTGGTTATTTTGCTCATTAGCACCCCCTAGTAGGGGCAGACTGACACCTCACATGTCCAGGTACTCCTCTGAGAAAAAACTTCCACAGGAACGTTCAGACAGCAGCATTCATGGTTCACAAAAATCCACGGTTCTGCAGACACCGCTGCTGATACTCAGGCAAACAGGGTCTGAAGTGGACCTCTAGCAAACTCCAACAGACCTACAGCTGAGGGTCCTGTCTGTTAAAAGGAAAACTAACAAACAGAAAGGACATCCACACCAGAAACCCATCTGTACATCACCATCATCAAAGACCAAAAGTAGATAAAACCACAAACATGGGGAAAAAACCAGAGGAGAAAAACTGGAAACTCTAAAAAGCAGAGCGCCTCTCCTCCAAAGGAATGCAGTTCCTCACCAGCAACGGAACAAAGCTGGATGGAGGATGACTTTGATGAGCTGAGAGAAGAAGGCTTCAGAGGATCAAACCACTCAGAGCTACAGGAGGGAATTCATACCAAAGGCTAAGAAGTTGAATACTTTGAAAAAAATTTAGACGAATGTATAACTAGAATAACCAATACAGAGAAGTGCTTAAAGGAGCTGATGGAGCTGAAGGCCAAGATTCGAGAACTATGTGAACAATGCAGAAGCCTCAGGAGCCGATGCGATCAACTGGAAGAAAGGGTATCAGTCATGGAAGATGAAATGAATGAAATGAAGCAAGAAGGAAAGTTTAGAGAAAAAAGAACAGAAAGAAATGAACAAAGCCTCCAAGAAATATAGGACTCTGTGAAAAGACCAAATCTACATCTGATTGGTGTACCTGAAAGTGACGGGGAGAATGGAAGCAAGTTGGAAAACACTCTGCAGGATATTATCCAGGAGAACTTCCCCAATCTAGCAAGGCAGGCCAACATTCAGATTCAGGAAATACAGAGAACACCACAAAGATGCTCCTCGAGAAGAGCAACTCCAAGACACATAATTGTCAGATTCACCAAAGTTGAAATGAAGGAAAAAATGTTAGGGACAGCCATAGAGAAAGGTTGGGTTACCCACAAAGGGAAGCCCATCAGACTAACAGCCGATCTCTCGGCAGAAACTCTGCAAGCCAGAAGAGAGTGGGGGCCAATATTCAACATTCTTAAAGAAAAGAAATTTCAACCCAGAATTTCATACCCAGCCAAACTAAGCTTCATAAGTGAAGGAGAAATAAAATCCTTTACAGACAAGCAAATACTGAGAGATTTTGTCACCACCAGGCCTGCCCTAAAAGAGCTCCTGAAGGAAGCACTAAACATGGAAAGGAACAACCGGTACCAGCCACTGCAAAATCATGCCAAAATGTAAAGACCATCGAGACCAGGAAGAAACTGTATCAACTAATGAGCAAAAGTTTCATTATTTGCCTACTTCCTGACTATGAGTCTCTTAAGAAAACCTACATTTCATTTTCTTCATGTTTTTAATTGACTCCTCAATAGAATAGTTTTTTCGTTCTAACATACAAATGTTCTTTTTGTTATAATCCACATATGTAGTTGTTTTACTTCATAAAAAACTAAATTCATAATACTCCAAAGATTCTACAAGCAACAACAGCCATAAATCAGTAACTTTGACAGGACTACCCAGAAATGTGCCTTCCTGGCAATGAGAGACATCTCAACACTCAAATTTTGATCATCAATATGAATATTTCAATCTGGTGAGAGCTAAAGAGAAAATACAGAAGGGATGCAGAGTATAGATCTGGATCAGTGGGATTCATAATAATAGCAGCAGGAGGCAGCCAAATGCCTAGGCAGATGGGTGAGTCCCCAGTGAAACCCCATCTCCAGGCAGAAAACAGTTTAAAGCCTGAAAGCCAAGCTAGAAGTCAAATCCACGAACCGGATTGAGAACATGTCTCCCCTTTTGACATGCTTTCCTCTGATTGATTCCCACTCCTCATCTATTTTACATTTCCCTTCCCTTTCCTAGTTGGTTTTCTACACTGTCATGTCCACCTTTGAGTGGTGTCTTTACCTTAACCATTTCTGAATACTCACAAACCAATCAGTGTGCACTCCCCATTCTGAGTCCATAAAAAAGCCTCAGACCCAGCCACACTGAGAGAAAAATTACCCGATTACGGGGATGGGGGACCACCCCCCGTGTCCCCTCTCTGCTGAGAGCTGTTCTGTGGCTCAAGAAAATTCTTCTCTGCCCATCTTCACCCTTCTGATTGTCGGTGTAACTTCATTCTTCTTGGATGTGGAACAAGAGCTCACAAACTGCAGAATGTGGGTACAATCTATAACACAGGCAGGCCAAGTAAACAGTGTGCCTCCAGGGGCAGGCCTGAGGACAAGCAAACCCCCAGGCATGGGGGCATTGCCATCCATGGAGGTCCCTGGTTGGCAAAGTGGCTGAGAAAAATCCTGCATCAATAACATATGCATCACATGTTCTTAGGCAATACTAGATATTAGGTATCAAATGCCTACCCTTTGCCAGGCATTCCACATACATTATGTTTTTCTCTTCAAGAGAATTATAAGTGATAAGTAGTATTAAACTTTATGTGTGTGTGTTTGTGTGTCATATTCAAGTAATTCAGTCAGTGGGCCAGGAGTGAGTGAAATGAGAATTGTGAGCCGCACCATGGTGTGGAGGGAAGAATACTTACAGTCTTCTGGTAAGATCTATATTTTTTAAGTTCATATTTTGAATTGGTAAAAAACACTAATAACATAAATTCAAGCTATAAAAATATATATAGTGAATAGAAAGATTCCCTCCCTCCCCTGTACCTAAGTCACGCCAAATTCACCTTCCTGGAAAAAATCACTATTATGGTTTCTTAAATTTCCACACAAATGATAGCATACCTATAACATGCTGCTTTGCATCTTGCATTTTAAACTTACATTATTCTGCAAGAGCAAATAGAGTTCATACTTGTCAATGGCTGCATAGTACTCTGACATACAGATAGATGTACTGTAATTTATTTAAAGAGACCCCTGATAGACATTTAGATTGTTTATAAACTACACTTCATTGAATCTCCTTGTATATCCATAATATGCAAGTATATCTGTGAGATAAATTCCCACAAGTGGAATTGCTGGGTCAAGGGATATGCACATTAAAAATCTTGATATAGACAAAATGCCCACTGTAGAGGTTGTTCTTGATTTATATTCTCACTGGCCATGCATAAGAATGACTGTTTCTTTATATCCTTGCTAATACAGTGCTTACAAACATTTTCATTTATGCCAATATGATAGGTGAAAAATGATATAGCACAGTTTGATTTTGCTTTCCTCTTATTATGATGAGACTATAAGCATCTTTTATATATTTAAAAGACACTTGTGTTTCCTTTTGTATAAACTGTTCTATTAATATATTTTGCCAATTTTTTTGTCTCTGAGTTTTTGGTCTTATTCCTATGACTTGTAGGAGCTTTTGTTTTTTGAGACAGGATCTAGCTCTGTCAACCAGGCTGGAGTGTAGTGGTGCAATCTCTGCTCACTGCAACCTCCACCTCCTGATCTCAAGCTATCCTCTCACTTCAGCCTCCTGAGTAGCTAGCTGGGACCACAGGCCCATGAATCATGTCTGGCTATTTTTTTTTTTTTTTTTTTTTTTTTTTTTTTTTGGTAGAGACAGGGTTTCACCATGTTGCTCAGGCTGGTCTTGAATTCCTGGGCTCAAGCCATCTGCCCAACTCAGCCTCCCAAAGTTCTGGGATTACAGGCATGAGTCACTGCCCTAGGCCGACTTTTAGGAGCTTTTTAAACAGAAAATTAGCCATTTGTGATAAGAAAGTTGCAAATATTTATTGTTGCATTTTGCTTTCTGTTGCCATGCAGAAAATTTGAATTTTATAGAGTCAAATTTATCCTTTTTTTTGTGTGTGATTTCTGGGTTCTATGTCATTGTTAGATTGATTATTAAAAATGTATTTAATATTTTATCTTATAATAATAACTTGTTTTACACTTAAGTTATTGATCCATAGGGAAATTATTTTGATGTATGACATGAATTAGAGAGGTATATAGCTCTGTTTTTTTCCAGATGACTACTCAATTGTCCCAATGCCATTTACTGCAATTTTTTTCTCTACTGATTTGAAAAACCACCTTTACCATGTATATTTGAATTCCCATGTGTATTTGAATCAACTTCTGAACTTTCTATTCTGTTCTAATTTATCAGACAGTCCTGGATGAGTCCTGGCCCTGTCACTTCTGTCTGTGTGAGTCTGGGCAGACTACAATTCTTACCAAGTCTCAGTTTTCTCATCTGTGAAGTGGAAGATCACTTACCTCATGGGCTTGTAAGGAATGCAAGAGATAACAGATGGGAAGATGCTTTGTAAACTGCAAATACCACACAGTTGAATATTATGGGAACTGTATAGTTGGAGAAAAAAATGTTAAGAACTAATTTTTTAATCAAAGATCAAAATAAGCACATCTAGACCCTAAAGAAAGAATCAACTGGATCCTGGCAAAATTAAAGAAAACTGGGGTCAATTGTAACAGTGAGATAGTACAGTGCTATGACCTAGAAAACACTTAACAGATATTAATGTTTATTATAAGGAACTGTGTATGGATTAGGGTGTAGGTATATATGTGTGTGTGGTTGTGGGGAGGGTTATAAAGAGCCCAGAAGTAACCCTAGCAGAGACAGATAGGCGCTTGGCAGTCTGTGGGGAGAGGGCCTGCCATAGTGAGTCAGGAAAGAGAAGGGCAGAAATTAAGGGTTACTGAAAGAACAGATCGAGATTGTTGTTACTGTGCATTTCCCTGTGAAATAAATCCCCAAAACATATAACATTTGAGCTGGAAAAGACTCAAGAGGTTATCTTCTGCAATTTCCCATTGTATAGGATTTGAAAGTGAATTTCAATAATATTATAAGGTTATAGATCTTATGATAAAATATTTTCAGCTTTAATATTAACAATTGAGCACCCAGCAATTCCCATGTGAACACATGTACACCCCTCTGGACTGCACTGGTGTGAATAAAAAGAGGCAGCCAGTAAAGGGAAATAGGAGAAGGGGAGGGAAGTGGGTAGAAACCCAGTCTCTCAGCTGCTAGCTAGAGGCAGCAGGTGGCTGGGGCACGGATGGGGGCAGGGCAAGAGTGGAGAGCAGGATGAGTAGTTCAGGCTTCTCACGAAGGAGCTATAAGGTCAGCCGAGAGAAAGGAAGAGTAGACCCAAAGCCAGGCGAGTAAGTTTATTGAACCTGCCAGGATGCTCCACCACACTCAGAGGAGACAGCCCTGAGCTTACAAAATGAGGGGTTTGTATTGGGGAGGGGAGTTTGGGGCAGTTCTTTGGTATGGCCGCATTACGGGCTTGTTTGCTGGCTAATTTTGCCACATATCACCTTGTGACATTTATGGTAGCAGGAACTTACAGAAGGGTGTAGGTAAAGTTTGTTTATGTTTCCCATGACCTCCCCCTGTGTGGTCTGGATGGTTTGTAATTGGGGTTTGCTTATTGCAGCAAGGTCTGATAAGTGAAGTCTGCTGGCTTCACTGTGGTGCCTTGATAAGGGGTTAGAAATGTAAAGTGGCTTGGGGGAAGGGTGGACAGTGCGGAGAGGTTTGGGGAAAGTGTCTGCAGTACTAAGAAGCTTTTTGGGGCCATCTGTCCCTAACAGGAGCCACCTGAGACCTGCCCTGGGCTTCCAAGCAAGACAAGCTGTGGCTAATGGGTGGCTGAGCAGTGCTGGGCGATCAGAGCCATGTGTGTGGGAGGGTGTCTAGGCCACTTGTTATGGGTAAGGCTCGGCGGTCTGGTTTGAGGCTGCTATTCCAGGCCAGTGTCCTGCTGCTGGCTATGCCCAGAGGTGCCATGGCTCAAGGTGAGTTCTGGATGGATAGTACCTGGTTATGGCATGGAGGCTTCCAGTGCCCAGAGGGAGGTGATAAGCCCAATACTACTTTCTGCTGTGGGATACATAATCTTCATTACTGTTGTACCACCTTCCAGGCTCGGCTAGATCAGGGACAGTCTCCAGAGGATGCACCTTGGCACTCCGATGAGGCTATGATCACATCTCCAGAAGCTAATCCTGGGGTTGAGGTGAGTAGCAGAGGGGAGCTAAGACTGTGGCAGGGGAGGGAGATGTCTTCTTTCCACTGGGTTCATGTATTGGTGCCAGGGGAATTCAAGGTAGTTGGCATGGTAAATGGAGGGTCAGATGACCAATGTTGGAACTCCAATTCCACCCCATCCCAACTGTGTGACTTTAGGTCAGGCACTTTGCTTCTCAAAACCTGCTTCCTCAATAGCCTGCTACTTATATCATGTTGGGATGGAGCTATGAGGAATCAAATGTTTTCTATGAATTACAAAAGTCTTGTTATATCTCAGAGGAAAGTGCTTCGGGATAGTCTTGAACCCAGCAACCTAGGTCTACCTTGGGAAGTCAGACCCCAAGACCCTTTGCCTCATAATTTTGCTTTCAAATGTAAGTGTTTGTCAGGCAGGGGTTTGGAATGCTCCCACAGTCCACCTTCACCTGAGCTATTGGGGAAGTATGGGACTCCCTGTCTAGGAGAAGCAGTTACTCATCAGATTCCCTTTACCCACTAAGGTGTGTTCCTGATTGGTCTCAGCTTGAGATAAATAAAATATCATTTATTTGCTTATTATTGAGCACCTACCCTGTACCAGACAGCAGAGACCCCATGCTGAAAAGTATTGCCTTTGCTTCCCCCTCCCTTTGAGGATGTGTTGGGGAAGAAAAGATTTTGAGAATTGTGACAGGGACAGGACTTCGAGAAGGCTTGTCTGACCCTTCTCCCTTCAAAGCACTTTAAAACTCATTTTTCTTGATTGGACAACATTTTTGTGCTTCTGAGCCCACCTTGGGGCTCTCTCCCTGCCCTCCTCATTCCTGTTTGTCTTCCCTGTGCTCAAATAGCCTGGATGTCCTGGGACTCTTGCAAGCAGTACTCCCCAGTCCCCAACCCCAAGGCTACCCTGGAGGCTTTGCATTTCTTTGGGCCTAGGATGGCCTTCGCCAGAAAAATTAATACCCATGGAGGCATCAGGGAGCTCAGTATCAGATTTCCTCCAGCCCAACATGTCCTCTGTATAGTGTCTTCACTACTCAAGTCCCTAGATCTGAGGGCTTGGAGTATCCAAAAGTATTGGAAAGGGCCAGCAGGCCTAGGGGGACCTGGACCACAGCCATGTGTGGCCTAGTGTAAAACAGGTCTAACCCCTGCTTTGCAGGATGGCTGAGGACTAAAGGAGACCATACATGTAGCATTGTGCCTGGCACATACATATTTTAAATATATATGATAATGTCTCCACTGCCTACTGGTGTCCCCTGAGGTTCTACTATAAACTGCCCGACTGGCTGGCTGAACTCCCCTTCCAGGGTCACTTCTGAAGTGAAGAAAGATCCCTCCTCTAACCCACAAAGCAGAGCAGAGGTGCTCATTTAGACACCTGCAGAGCCTGTCCCACTTGGTAGGCGGAAGTACCAAGAAGTACTTCCTATTTTCCCATCCTATTTTCCCTCACAGATCCCACCTCTTCCAGAATGTATCCTCATTTCTCTTACTCTGCCACCCTTATTCCTTTTGCTTGGAACTTCCATTACCTCTGTCTGTTGTCTCAAGAGTCAGTAGAACACAGTGATTAAGAAGCATTTAAGGGTCAGTTGCCATGGTTCAAGCCTGTAATCCTGGCACTTTGTGGGGCTAAGATGAGAGGATTGCTTGAACTCAGGAATTCAAGACCAGCCTGGGCAACATAGTGGGACCTTTTTCTCTACAAAAAATACAAAATAACTGCATGTGGTGATGTGTGCCTGTAGTTTCAGCTATTCGGGAGGCTGAGGTGGGAGGATCACCAGAGCCCAGGAGGTCATGGCTGCAGTGAGCCGTGATGGCACTATTGAGCTCCAGCCTGGGTAACAGAATTAGACCCTGTCTTGAAAAAATAAAAATAAAACAAAATAAAAAGGAAGCAATTGAGATCTGGAATCAGAAAAAGTGGATTTAAATCTGGCCTCTTTCTATTTAGCAACTGGTTCACCTTGGGTAAATTACTTTATCTTTGAGACTCAGTTTTCTCATTTGTAAAATAAGGTTGTTGTGAGGATTAAATAAATGCACGCAAAACACTTAGCATAGCATCTGGCACACAATAAGTGCTAAATAAATGGTACTACATTTCCTTGAAACAGCATCTGGCATACAACAGTGCTTTTTCTTGAAATTTCTGATCCAATTCCAGCTCTTCCAAGAAGCCAGAGTGAAGTTCTCTCCCTTCTCACAACTCCCAAACTTCTATTACAATATTTGTCAGAGTCACCTTTCTAGTAGACACACTTTTTTACCTGTCTCTACTAGACTAGGGTGGAGATAGTATCTTATTCATCTTTGCATTCCCTACAGTGGGGAGAAGCAGAGTGCCTGGCACTTATATACTCAGGAAATACTGATAAAATTTGCTTTGGCCTCCCACTAAAAGGCAGTCCCCTGTCCCACTTCTTCATGGCCTTACTCTAAGTTGTTGTAACTTTCTATGATGGTGTGAGGTATTTCTCTCCAAGGTTTAAATATTCACTGGTGGCATTTGAGGAACAATGGCAAGGAGTAAAAATAAGATTGCTTTGGGGATGGATACCTGCTGGTACCACTCAGATAATACTCCACAAATAGCTGCCATTTCTCAAAAATAGCTCTGCCCTGGATTCCCTCATGGCTGCTACAGACACTTTTAGAGGTTTAGAGAAATTATATAGCCATTGTTCTTGAAATTTGGAGCTGATAAAACCACCTCATATGAGGATGTGGAACTTTAGTTTCTATTGAACTTTAAAAATATCTAGTTCACATTGTCCTCACATTTGTTGGTAACTAGTAGACCTAGTATTTTTTTTAACAAGTAGCCCTCTTAGTTTGGTAGCTTCTCCATGCCACTACAGCTGCCACAGGGGTCGGGAATTCTTACATGGCATCAGGATTTTTTTTTTTTAAGACAGGGTTGCACTCTCTTACCCAGGGTCTCACTCCTTTTACAGGCCAGAGCACAGTTGCATGATCACTGCTCACTGCAGCCTTGTGGGCTCAGGTGATCCTCTCACCTCAGCCTCACAAGTAGCTGGGTCTACAGGCATCCATCCTCATGACCAGCTAATTTTTTTTCTATTTTTTTGTAGGGACAGGGTTTTGCCATGTTACCCAGCCTGGTCTTGAACTCCTGGGCTCAAGCGACTCATGCGCCTCAGCCTCCCAAAGTGCTGGGATTACAAGCAGGACATTTTATTAAAGACATTTTATTTGTACTTACTTCCACTCAGTTCAATATGCTCTGGCGGTTTTATGAGCCAGTAAACATATCTAACTCAAGGGTGGTGTCAGCAAGAAGCATAGGGTTTCCTATTCAGTCTCCAAATGAACCAATTTAGGTTTGTTACTACTAATAAGCAGTTGAGACCATCAGCATTTCATTTGTTCTCTCTGAATCTCAGATTTTTCACTTATAATATGGTATAATAATAGTAACTGGGTTGTTGAAGAAATTTAGAAATGATGGGAAAACATTAGACATAAACTAACTGTCTATCAGGTCTATCAATAGTGTACAGGTTACATTATGATACAGAGACAATGGCATACTATAAAGCCAACCAAAAAATTTGAAGAAGTTCTCTATAAACTAATAATGGAAAGATTTCCAGAACATATTGTTTGGTAGAAAAAAAGTGAGGTGCAAAACCGTATGTGCTATGCTACCTTTTGTGGAGGGGAGCAGGTGTGAGAATACAGATTTAAAATTTCCTGTGTTTTCATGTAAGAACACTGGAGGGATATAACGGACATTAATAAAAGAGGCAATCCTTGGGGGCTTCAAGGATGATACTAGTACTATGTGGACAGGGACAGAGGTAGGAACAAGATTTCTCAATTGCATGTCATTGTTTATGATTTTGACTTTTGAGCCATATGAATGCATTTTCTACAAAAATACTTTGAAAACTATAAGCATTGTGCTAGGAATAGCAAGTTATTTGTAGATGCCTAAAATCATTATGGCGTTTTGTATTGTACTTTATATATTTTGTTCCCTTTGTTTGAATGTTCCTCACTTTCTTGTCCACCTTGAAAATTCCTAAATAGTAATTCTTCAAAATTCAGCTCTAGACAGAAACCATCCTTCACTGTCTCTCCCGAATTTGTGTTTTAGAGTAGTTCTGCCTCTATCTTTACTAATTCTGATTTCTAAATTCAGTATTTTCTTTCCATTGAAAGTTACGCCTGTTCTTTGGGAAACACATCTTCACTGTCTCAGATAGAGCTGCCCACTCACAATCTCTGATGTATATTTGCAGACTTGCCTGCTTATAGCAGGATTGTACTTGGTTGTTTGTCAGTCATCTTCCCAATTGGGCAGAGCTCCTTGCAGGACAGGGCCCACATCTCTGTCATCTCTGATTCCACAGTAAACCAGATCATCAGGCTGCCCATTATGAGTAAGATTCAGGATCAGAAAGCCCAGGCATGTGTGATATAGAGAACTGCAGAGCCTCTCAAAGAGCAAAGGCTAAACATGAGCCCTGAAGGGCTTATTCTACTCTTCACAACCTATTATGGGGCTGCCATAGAATAATTGAGCGATATCCCCCAAATCTCACTTTCTGCACCATCTCTTAGGACAAGATTACTTCAAGGTGACCACCTCCCCACAACTGCCTATCAATAACCAATCTTTTACTGGTTCTAAGTGAATATTTTCTGAGTGTGGGAAGTTCCAATGCTCTACAAGCATAAAAGCCCTTGTATTCTTCAAGTGTTCAGTAAGCTTGAAGATTTTGATTCCACTTTATTACAACCCTCCTTCCCATTGTTTTGCCCCCTCCTTCCCTATTGGTTGGCATAATTTCATATGGACCAGCCTCTGGTCCACACACCCCAGGCACACTACTCCAGGACTCCTTGTTCTATCCTGAACCTCATTGTTGAGGGAAGCACCAAGCAAACGGGAAAACAAAGCTCAAACCCAGCCCTGGATCTTAGAGGTGATTTTCTGTTTTCTTTTCTTTTTTTTTTTTTTTTTTTCAGACGGAGTCTCGCTCTGTTGCCCAGGCTGGAGTGCGATGGCGCAAATCTCGGCTCACTGCAAGCTCCGCCTCCAGGGTTCACGCCATTCTCCTGCCTCAGCTGGGACTACAGGCGCCTGCCACCACGCCCAGCTAATTTTTTGTATTTTTAGTAGAGACGGGGTTTCACCGTGTTAGCCAGGATGGTCTCGATCTCCTGACCTCATGATCTGCCTGCCTCGGCCTCCCAAAGTGCTGGGATTACAGGCGTGAGCCACCGCGCCCAGCCGATTTTCTGTTTTCTAATAAAAAATGTTCCTCTTAAGATGGACAAGAGTCTCGTCTGCCTGGTTTTTATTAACAGTACACTGTGGCTGCTGTCATTGCTTTCTCATAAAGGGGAAGGGCTTCACTTGCAAACAATATAATTTAGCTGATGAGTGGGGGAAACTATGTCTACAGTGGGAACGTTCTCATCAGTTCCAAGGTGGTCTTAAGGTTTCTTAACGCATTAAAAAGTGTATCCCATGTTTATATGCTGAGGGAAACTTATAAGAAGGCAGTATTTCACTCGTGCTAGTTAATATTTACTCCAGAATTAGCCATTTAATCTCCCATTTAGACCCTGGCTTCCTACAAGATAGATGAGGGAGTCTGGGGATTCAGCTCACTCTTATAACTGTGGGGCTTTTCTTTTCTTTTTTTTTTTTTTTTTTTTTTGAGACGGAGTCTCACTCTGTCACCTAGATTGGAGTGCAATGGTGTGATCTCAACTCACTGCAAACTCCGCCTCCTGGGTTCAAGCGATTCTCTTGCCTCATCCTCCCGAGTAGCTGAGAATACAGACACATGCCACCACGCCTGGCTAATTTTTGTATTTTTAGTAGAGACGGGGCTTCGCCATGTTGGCCAGGCTGGTCTCAAACTCCTGACCTCAAATGATCTGCTCGTCTCAGCCTCCCAAAGTGTTGTGATTACAGGTGTGAGCCATCCTCGGCCAACTGTGGGACTTTTACTGTCAGCATGAAATACATGCACACGTATGCATGCATATATAGATACATATTTCTTTTTCAGAACAATATTTATTGGAGAACTTTAAAGACAGCTAGAGATCAATGGGGACTGCACCTGCACTTCACAGGAGAAAGTAGGGTTTCTAGAAAAAGACTGCAGGTTGTAAATTTTAAAGGAAATAGAAAAGGATTTATTGCTCTTTTCCTAAGGGCCGAAACCTGCTGCTGCTAATAGATGGCCTGACCTCTGAGATATAATTAATCCAAAATATTTTTCAAAGGGGCAAACATGCAAAACCTCCCCAAAGTAATCTGAATGGTTTAAATTACAAGTGTTTAAGTTTACAGTTGCAAATTAATAACTTCCTCCAGGATCAATCAGGTAGGGAGAATTATTCATAATTTACTCATGAATAGTTTCTTCTGGTCCTTGAACCAATGAAGCCTGAATTAGAGACCTCAGGGACACAGAGGTGATTACTGCTTTAGTATAGATCAGATCTGTGGAAGAATAAGAAAGGCTACCACAAATACTGAATTTAAGGGAAAAAAAAATGCCCATCCCATTCACCTCCCTTCATGTTGATTTGCTTGCTTATTGCCAGTTTAGTGATTTTTTTCAGGGATGCTCACACATGCTGATTAGACACTTTCTTGTTGTAGGCTTGGCTATCAGTTTTCTGTGTGATCTTGGGCAAGTTACTTCACCCCATAGGCCTCAGTTTATCCTCCTGTCAAAATAGGATGATGAAATAGATAGTTATGCTCATTTCCAGCTCTATCTATGACAGTGGTTACTTCTGACTGCACATTAGAATCACCTGGGAACTTGGAAAAAGTACAGATGGGGACCTACCTCAGACCAGCTACATCTGGGCACAGATATTAAATTTTTTTAAAAAAGATTTCTGTTTGATGTAATGTGCAGCTAGGACTGAAAACCACTGATTTCTGTTCTGTGCCTTTCCATCTTGGGCTAGATCTGATCCAACTTAGAAGCAGTTGCAAGGTAAGTGTCTCTGTTTCCTATTGCTGCTGTAAAAAATTACTACAAATGTACTGGCTTAAAATAATACAAATGTATTATCTGACATTTCTGGAGGTCAGAAGTCCAAAATTAGTTTCATTGCACTAAAGTCAAGGTGTGTCACCAGGACTGGTCTCTCCGAAGGCTCTGGGGTTGAGGTAGGGGAGGGGAGAA
Organism: Homo sapiens; assembly: GCF_000001405.40. Classification (NCBI taxonomy): domain Eukaryota; kingdom Metazoa; phylum Chordata; class Mammalia; order Primates; family Hominidae; genus Homo; species Homo sapiens. The sequence goes on from NC_000023.11 coordinate 64,588,391, forward strand.
TCCGTTTTCTTGCCTATTTCAGCTTCTAGTGGCTGCCTGTATTCATTGGTTTGTGATCCTTTCCTCCGTCTTCATGTGCATTGCTCTAATATCTGCTTCTGTAATCACATCACTCATTCCTTTGGCTCTGAATCCTCCTGCCTTCTTTTTATAAGGACCATTGTCATTATGTTGGGCCCATCCAGATGGTCCAGGATGGTCACCCCATCAAAAGATCCTTAATTTAATCACATCTGAAAATTTCCTTTGCCATATAAGGTAACATTCACAGGTCTCAAAGATTAGGACATGGACTTATATATGGGGGAATATTATTCAGCCTATTACAGTAATCTTTCACTTTTCCTACTGTGTATACTGAGTGATTTAAGAGACAGATAAAATGTTTGATTATAGCTGGAATTTTCTCAGTAAGAGAAGCAGAAAGTGTCTCAGAGTGGAATAAAAATAATACCTTGCACTTGTGTAATGCTTCACTTTTACATCCTTTACCTTCTTTGATCCTTAGAGTCAGCTTGGGAGGTTGCTGGGGTTAGTTGAGGCCGTAGGGAATGAGGTAAGTTATCCAAAGTAAAGTGATGGGGTAGGACTTGGTATAGGGTTGCTAAATTTAGTAAAGAAGAGTGCAGATGCTCAATTACAATTTAAATTTAGATAAACCACACATTTGTTTTACTATATATGTGTCCCGTGTAATGTTTGGAGCACACTACAAAAGTATTCATTGTTTATCTGAAATTTAAATTTAATTTGGCATGCAATTTAAATTTAATTTCCTGTAATGTCTGTTGTATTTTATCTGGCATCTCTACTTTGATATGTTCACTCCATTATATTCCAGTTGTCTCTTGTTATTCCATGGTCCCATGCCCCTGCTCCTACCATTATCAGTAATATTTTAAAACTTTTCATTATATATGCTTTTATAGTTTATGAAGCTCTTTGACATATTATTAACTTTGCTCCTCAAAATAAACCTGCTCATCCCAGAGACAAAGCAGAGTACATATTGTGAATTTTCATTTTACAGATAGAAATCAAACCCAAGAAAGATCACTGACTTGCCCACTGTCAGCTGAAACCTGAATCTTTTGCTCTTTCGTCTTATCCTGGACTTGCTCCCCTGTGATGTTCCACGTTCATCCACAGGGCCTCAGTTATTTCCCTCTTTCCCAGCTCCTTGAATTCATCCCTTCAACACTTTGAACTCATATAGACCTTGCTGCAATGTCTGTAAGATGAGCCCTTTCTGGTCTGAACTGCTGGTCTCCCAGGGTGAGGATGTCCTCATCCTATAGCTTCCTTCATGCAAGCTTCAGATTCCTGTGTGGCAATCTAGCTTTGCTGATTCCATGAACCACTATCTGCTTCTCACTTACGGAGATGGAGAAATGGTGTGCCTGAGAAGTGACTTGGTTCACTCATTCGTGCACACAGTGTGACATGAATTTCAGGAGACAAGTGAAGTAAAATGCTAAAAATTGAAGAAAGAGAATTTGGAAGACAGAACCAAACTTCAGCGCTATGAATCCTGCAATGGTCCCCAGAATTTATACTGTTTCTCCAGAAGATTTTATGCATGGGCTTTGATGGGATTGGCCACAAGGTATAGGCAGACTGGACAGCAAAATTACCCTTCCTTTTACAGGTAAGGAAGCAGGTCCAGGGAGGAGTCATAATGTGTGAGCTACAGCGCTGGAGCTAGATTTCAGTTTTTTTCAATTTCCAGTCCAGTTTACTTTCCACCCACAGAGATGGGAAACTATTTAGTATTTTTTTGTAGCAATCTCTTGCTTGAACAAGACACACTCTTGTCATTATCTTAGTGTTGTTTGTAGAAGGACTAGTCTGAGACCCACTTCTAGTAGAGGTGCCAGCAAGCTAGGCTTATTTGCAACTGTGTATGCCTCTAAACTTTTTTTTTTTTTTTGAGATGGAGTTTCGCTTTTGTCACCCAGGCTGGAGTGCAATGGTGTGATCAGCTCACTGCAACCTCCGCCCCTTGGATTCAAGTGATTCTCCTGCCTCAGCCTCCTCAGTAGCTGGGACCACAGGCGTGCGCCACTATGCCTAGCTAATTTTTTATTTTGAGTAGAGATGGGGTTTCACTGTGTTTGCCAGGTTAGCCTCAAAACCCCTGACCTCGGGTGATCTACTCACCTCGGCCTCCCAAAGTGTTGGGATTACAGGCGTGAGCCACCGCCCCTGTCCTGCCTCTTAATTTGAACTGAAAATAGTTCAGTGATCCCCTCTCTTCCTTCCCAACTGGCTGCCCCACCACCACCTCCCTCTCTACTCAGAAGAAAACAGAAAAGACTCAGGTAGGCTTGATATGCCTTCAAGTTGTTGGCATTAATTGATCCTGGCTTGAAACATTTTTATGCTAAGATACTTTCCTCCTTTATATTTTTCTGTATCCAAATGTAAGGAACAGTGCTTAGCCAAGCTGGATGGATCACTGGATGCCTATTGTACTGAGGTGCTTTAAAGAATGAGACCTCTTTTACTCCCTACCCCTTTCTACCCTCAATCAAGAAATAATGACGGGCCTTTCATTGGCACCTCTGCTAATGAAGTGAGGCCTCTGGGTCCAGGATTCTAATCTTAGTTGAACAATGAACAAAGCAATGGCTTTGGACTTACATGCAAAAGACAATCAGAGGATATAAGACAGGGTTTGATAAAGTGCTACATTGTATAGTACACGCTATGAGTGCATTGGAGATAGCCAGAATTGCTAAGGAAAAAATTATTACAACAGTTAAAATGGTAAGAAAAACTTTAGGAACATTGTTAGTAGATGTTGAGACTATCATAATATGGGAGAGATCAGGCTCAACTCCAAATGCAGCAGGGACAAGTGGAGATTTATAGCCAACAAGCAGAACCTCATTCTGCTTGTTGGGTTGGAGCAAGTGGATGGAAAGTTACTAAAAAGTCACATCAAGGGTTGGGTGTTTCTTGCTAAACTGATTTAACAGAATTCTTGCTGAAGGCAGGCCAGGGCGATCAGATATTAAGGGTGAGATATTCTCTCTGTACTGGCTTAGAAGGATTCTTGCTACCACTGGACTAGATGTGCCAAAGATAAGGCCCAAGGACAAAGCCTAGTCAAAAAGAGGACTCAGAGGAGCCTAGCTAAAGTTTGGTCAAGGAGATGGTCTTTATTGGAATCCAGTGGATACCAGGAGAACAGCAATGAACTGACTACAGCACTCAATATGGAATCTGTGGGTGTTTTATGGCAATTAATTGATTAGGCTCACATGACTGCTAGTCTCTACCAAGTTCTAAATCCTGGGGGGTAGAGGTCTTAGTGTTCTGTAAAAATCTGCAAATACCTTGGCAATAGTAATAATGTCTTATGCTGATCAGTGTATTTAACTCTTCTAATGTCCTCTTTTTAGAAGTGTACAATCTCTTGGACTTAGAAAATTTCAGAAGTGGATACACCCTTGTAAGTCACATCTAGTATAATAACTATAATTATAATAATAGCAGATAAGATTTTTTAAGGGCTTATTGCAACCTGGGCACTGCATTAAGGAGCATTACATGCAGTATTTCATTGAATCCTTACAACAAACCTACTTCCAGGCCTGACCCAGAGACCCTGGCTGAACAATGGATGAAAAAATGTACACAGACACAGGTTTTTTTCCCTGGCTGCATGGTAGGGGACCGGGCTGCTCACAGACATCGAAGAGGGTGCCATAAAGAGTCACAGTGGCCACAGCCATGACAAGCTGGCACTGCAGGCATTTATTTAGTACAGATTTAATGACAAAGGCTTTGAGTCAACACACTTGTGGGTAACTAACATGGTGGCATGGTCGTGCCCTGCCCCACGTCTTGCGCAGGGATAATTAAAGGCCAGTTTCCGAGGCCTAAGTAAACTAACTTATCTAGATCAATTTATTTACATCCTCTTGTTATCTAACCTTTGCTTTCAGGCTCTGGATAAGAGAATCTGGCTGGCTTCAGCCAAATCCTCTTTGGAAGCTTTTGTAAAATCTCCTGGCCTTCCAAGAAGGTTTGCATCTTTTTTCTATAATTTCTGCCACCACCCTGACAGATCTCCTACAACCTACAAAATGTGTACTACTATACAGTTTCACAGATGAGAAAACAGATTTAAAGAGGTAAATCAATTAGCCAAAGATCACACAATTAGTAACTGACCAAGCTAGGATTTGAACTCGTTTGTCTGAAATTAAAGTCTAAGATCTTAGCCATTACTCTCACTTTACAGGACAGAGGACTTGAGCCCTAGGGATAGGAAGTGACTTTTCAAAATCACAGAGCAAATTGGGTGATCAGATAAGGACTGTAACCCAGAAATCTTGGCTCTCAGTTCAGTGGGCCTTTATAGTATCTACCCTGTCTCACCAGTTTGCTGACAGCAAGGTAGACTTAAAAGAATGTCAGATTAAGTCCTGACTATCTCACCTACTGGCTGTGTGTGACCTGGGGTTAGTTACTTAACTTGGCTTCACCTCAATTTTCTCATTTGTAGAACAGAAGCCAGAATAACTACTCTGACATGTGAAGCTGTTATGAGAATCAAATGAGATATGGGTATGAAAATGCTTTGTAAATAACAAAAGACTCTACACTTCAGAGGGCAATTTTCCAGTCCGGAACACCTAGTGAATTCTTGATGTAATCTATTATCAATAAGTCCTCATTGGAGAACTATTGGCTAGCAATGACAACTGAATACTTGAGGCCTGACTCCAGCCCGAGTAAAAGGAACAATAATTGCTGGCTATCCATAACTTTCCAGTGGTTTAAAAGATTAATTTGAAAGAACATTGCTTTAAAGGAGGATAGGCAGAATGAAATGTTTAAGGTCTATAAAGTAGAAGACACTCCCCCAGAGAGAAGTGGTAGAATCAATGAAAACTACTATTGCTGAGACAACCCCGATGAGAAATTGCAGTGCCCACAAGCTTCATTTGGTGTTTGCAGTTGGAGAGAATCAATTTGCTAAATTGGAAATGAAATCTGAATTGAATTCAGTGACTGAAGATTAAGTTTCTTCAGCTCTTTGCATTCTTAAAGTTTCTACTAGCACACAGAAAACAGCTTGCATGCTAAATCCCCTTTCCTTCTCAAGAAGGTGAATATTTATGGTCAATACTGGAGAGAGAGAGAGAGAGAGCCCTTAATCTCCATGTGTTCCCTTTCCTCCAACAAGAGTTTAACAGGGAGAAGAGTAGAGACAGTAGGAAAGTTTGCAAAAACACATCATGATGATTTTTCAGATGCAGCCTCTTAAAGAGGATGTAAGCAAAATTTCCCCTTTTAAAGAACAAAAAGGAAAAGAAAAAACTATATGTAGCTACAAGTAAACACAGTCCCCAAAAGCTTCAGGCCCAATTTTCTATTAAGGGGCAATAAACCTAGATTCCTTAATTGTCTGGCTTATTTCCCAAGTTGTCTCTACTTTCCAAATTCATCTCTGACCAGAGACTGTATTTGCATAACTCCCAGACCATGGTGCTGGAAGAGCTGTTACAGTCGGCCAAGTCCCAGGCAATTAGACTTGGGGCATCTGTCAAAAGAATTCCTCATGTGCTTTAGGGGCACTTAGTTGACAAATTATTTTCACTTGAACTTTTCTCTTTTGATCCTCCTTAAACTTCAGAGAAGTTGGGCCAAACAGGTATTATTCATATTTCACAATTAAGGAAGTAGGTCCAGCGGAATGATTTGTCTAGTATCTCAGAGTGCTTAAGAGGCAAAGACAGTCTAGGTGTTCTGATTTCTAACTAAGGTCTTTCCAGGAAATACTATAGCTTCCTTATCCAACCCTCCTCACTGCCCCAGGATTCTCAGAGCTCTCAAGCAGTCTCTCCCTTTTCACCTATTAAATAAGGAGAGGAGGTAATGGTAGTCACTGCTGGGAAATATATATATTTTTGGAAGGACAATGCCTCACCCCAAAGGAATCAGTCGAATTATGAATTTCAGATTATTTGTAGCCAGGTGAGGGTAGAATCTGAGGAGTAGAGGACCATTTTGGCTCCAGAAAAGGTCCCATCATGTGGGCCCAGGTATGATCAGCCATGTTTATAGTAGGAAATAATAGACTGTGCAACCTCTGGCCTGGTTTTAGTGTCCAGAGAGATTGGAGAGTGTTCTGAGCTGAACCAGGACATCAAGGTTCCATTCTTGCCTTCAGTGATGATTCACTTCGGTTTATTCTGTTAGGCAATGGTTACATCCAGCAGAAGGCCTCAGAGGCCATTTCCCAGGGCCAGTGATCTGGAAAAGTCCTCAGAGACCTTTGACTCTATCTCCCTTCATTGTACAGGCAGTAAAAGAGAAGCCCACTCAGGGCACAGGCTTAGGGGCCTGAGGTGACAAAAACAATGTGAAGGTTAGAAGTAATAAGGTAAAGGAAGAATAAGGAGAGTGAGTACCTGGTATTCAACTTTGTTTGTAATAGCAAAAACGTTGGTAAGCACACAAGTCCCTAAGAACACTCAAGAATGTTTAAGACAAGTATTGCAGATGATTGAATATCTCCATCTATAAAGGGTGGCAATGTTTATTTAATGCTTAATATATGGTTACCAAATGCATGAATATGTGCACAGTGGGTGCTCAATACAGATTGTTTGATACAAACAGAGGTGGGGATAGCTAGCAACACACTTTGGTTCCTCCTAGGCTGTTAAGAGCCATAAATAATCTTAGAAATCATCCCAATCATTTTTCCATTCTCCACTTTAAACTGAGGCATAAAAAGAAGTAGTGGTTTGCCTACAATCATACAGTTAGTGGTAGAGCTAGTACTCTAGTCTTCTGACTACCAAAGCAACATTTTCCCTACCATATCACATCATTTTACAAAGTCTTGGAGAAGGAAAGTGTCCTGCCCAAAGCCACACAGCTATTCAGTCACACAGCAGTATTAAAGCCAGGACTAAATAAATATTTCGTGTTATTCCTTTTTTTTTTTTTGAGACAGGATCTTGTTCTGTTTCCCAGGCTGGAGTGTAATGGTATGATCACAGCACACTGCAGCCTTCATCTCCTGGGCTCAAGTGATCCTCCCACATCAGTCTCCCAAGTAGCTGGGACTGCCAGTGTGCACTAACGTGCCTGGCTATCTTTTTTTTTTTTATTTTTAGTAGAGGTAAAGTCTCACAATGTTGCCCAGGCTGGTCTTGAACTCCTGGGCTCAAGTGATCATCCTACCTCACTCTCCCAAAGTGCTGGGAGCACAGGCATGAGCTGTCATGCCTGGCCTTATTATCTCTCTTAATCTTTGAAGCAACCTGTGAGGTAGAGAGTACTACAGCCACAATTTTATAGATGAAAACTCATAATTCTGAGAGGCTAATTTGTCTGAAGCACAGCTGAGATTCATACTCAGATCTGACTCCAAAGCCTGTGTTTTTAACCACTGTACTCTCAATAGATACCAGGTAAATCAAGCCAGAGAAGTTAGTTCTAATGACTTTAGTGGGGCTCTAAAAAAACTGTGTAAATTTGAAAAATCAAAAATTATTAAAATACCTCCTTTGGGTGCAAATAAAAGTAATTCATTTTTTCTATTATAAAATTTGGAAAATATTAAAAACATTAAAAAATTACCATAATCCTACCACCCAGACTTACTATCTTGGTATATTGTTTTCCCCAGTCTTCTGATAGAATCAAACTTTAGATAGCCTGAATTCTATGATTCCAAAGAACTCTGTGGTCAAACAATACATTCTTTGAACTAGACCAATCTCCCCCAGTACATTTCAAAAGTTGACCAATCTCCCCCAGTACATTTCAAAAGTTGACCAATCTCCAAATTGCCCATATAGCTGACAAGTTCCTGTGGAAGTCCTCATACCTTGCTACTCTCAGATAATTAAGCATTTGTTTATCAACTGTAAGCAATCTTACCATCTAATTCAGTATTATTCAATGTATTATCCATGGAATGGTAGTCTTCTAAGATACTCTGGGGGAAGAGAGTCATGTGGTTGAATAAGATTGGAAAATACTATGTACTAGTTTCCTTGCCTGAGATTTATGATACTCAAAATTCTTCAGAAAAGAGTCATGTATAGGTACAATTTTCCAGGTTTCTTTCATCCTAGAACTCCCTTTTCTACAAAAAAAAAAAAAAAAAATCTATTAGTGTCAAGTAGTATTTTGAAAAAGGCTGATCTAGTTAAGGTGACCAACCATTCAGTTTGTGTGGGACTTAGGGGGTTTCCAGGATGTTGGACTCTCAGTGTTAAAACCATGAAAGCCCTGGGTAAACAAGGAAAAATTAGTCAGCACAGATTTCTATCTAAACTTCCTCTCCTTGAACTACAAAACACTGCTCAACAAAATAAAACAGGACACAAACAAATGGAAGAACATTCCATGCTCATGGGTAGGAAGAATAAATATCGTGAAAATGGCCACACTGTACAAGGTAATTTATAGATTCAATGCCATGCCCATCAAGCTACCAATGACTTTCTTCACAGAATTGGAAAAAAAAATTACTTTAAAGTTCATATGGAACTAAAAAAGAGCCCACATTGCCAAGTCAATCCTAAGAAAAAAGAACAAAGCTGGAGGCATCACACTACCTGACTTCAAACTATACTACAAGGCTACAGTAACCAAAACAGCATGGTACTGGTACCAAAACAGAGATATAGACCAATGGAACAGAACAGAGCCCTCAGAAATAATACCACACATCTACAACTGTCTGGTCTTTGACAAACCTGCCAAAAACGAGAAATGGGGAAAGGATTCCCTATTTAATAAATGGTGCTGGGAAAACTGGCTAGCCATATGTAGAAAGCTGAAACTGGATCCCTTCCTTACACCTTATACAAAAATTAATTCAAGATGGATTAAAGACTTAAATGTTAGACCTAAAACCGTAAAAACCCTAGAAGAAAACCTAGGCAATACCATTCAGGACATAGGCATGGGCAAGGACTTCATGACTGGAACACCAAAAGCAATGGCAACAAAAGCCAAAATTGACAAATGGGATCTAATTAAACTAAAGAGCTTCTGCACAGCAAAAGAAACTACCATCAGAGTGAACAGCCACCTACAGAATGGGAGAAAATTTTTGCAATCTACTCATCTGACAAAGGTCTAATATCCAGAATCTACAATGAACTCAAACAAATTGACAAGAAAAAAACAACTGCATCAAAAAGTGGGTAAAGGATATGAACAGACACTTCTCAAAAGAAGACATTTATGCAGCCAAAAGACACATGAAAAAAGTGCTCATCATCACTGATCATCAGAGAAATGCAAATCAAAACCACAATGAGATACCATCTCAAACCAGTTAGAATGGTGATCATTAAAACATCAGGAAACAACAGGTGCTGGAGAGGATGTGGAGAAATAGGAACACTTTTACACTGTTGGTGGGACTGTAAACTAGTTCAACCATTGTGGAAGTCAGTGTGGCGATTCCTCGAGGATCTAGAACTAGAATTACCATTTGACCCAGCCATCCCATTACCGGGTATATACCCAAAGGATTATAAATCATGCTGCTATAAAGACACACGCACACTTATGTTTATTGTGGCACTATTCAAAATAGCAAAGACTTGGATCCAAGCCAAATGTCCAACCATGATAGACTGGATTAAGAAAATGTGGCACATATACACCATGGAATACTATGCAGCCATAAAAAATGATGAGTTCATGTCCTTTGTAAATCATTCTCAGCAAACTGTTGCAAGGACAGAAAACCAAACACCGCATGTTCTCCCTCATAGGTGGGAATTGAATAATGAGAACACATGGACACAGGAAGGTGAACATCACACACCGGGGTCTGTTGTGGGGTGGGGGGATGGGGAGGGATAGCATTAGGAGATATACCTAATGTAAATGATGAGTTAATGGGTACAGCACACCAACATGGCACATGTATACATATGTAACAATCCTGCACGTTGTGCACATGTACCCTAGAACTTAAAGTATAATAATAATAAAAAAGAAATAAAAAATGAAAAAATAAACTTCCTCTCCTTATCTCCCATTTTACAGATAAAGAAATTACGATCTAGAAAGGAAAAAGTAATTTTATACACCTATCCAATGTCAAAACTGGAATTCAAACCCATTACTCATGGATCCCAAGGCAGTAATCTTTCTATACTATACTAGGGAGAAATTTATGGGAGAGTAAAATTAAGGCATCTAAGAATCTTATACGCTAATTCATGACTATTTCTTATAGGTAATAATCATACTAAATTTGAATCAGGCATTATGACCTAAAAGATGGATGTCTCATGCACTAGGCTTTTACTGAGTTCTTGACAGGAGGAAAATAGGACTGCCTGTTGTCCAAGTATGAGGGTGGTATAAAGCTAGGTAGAAGTAGTCTCTCCTTTCTGATCTTCACTGACATTTGGTCAAAAAGTCAGGAGTTTTAAGCTTGACTCCTACTTTTGCCTGGCAGTTTTGGAATGTTTTTTAGTAGGCTGACTTTTCTCTTCCCTGAGATTATGTAACTTTCCATTTACTAAAACTTCCTGCAAATTCTTCTCCCCACCTCCCTTTCAGCTGATGATCTTGCCTCATACTTCATTGAGGAAATATAAGCCATGTAAAGCAAACTCTTCTCTCCCTCCCACCACACCTTGCTATTGCCTCCTTAGCCATACTCTCTGCCTTCCTTTATGCCCCAACATAAGAAGTCAGTCTGCTCTTAGCTAAGACCACATGTGTTCTGGCTCCTATCTCTTTTTCTTCACTTTTGTATCCCTAGCACATAATACACAGTGCTAGACACATAGCCATCATGCAATAGGTATTTGACAGATGAGTGAATATGTGAATGGGTGAATAAGGCATTTGTCTCTCTGAATTTCAGTTTCTCTATCTATAAATGGAGTTCCAGAGAGGTAGCTTGGACTGAGTGAGAAAGGTTTCCCTGTTGCTTAAGAATAGCTCTGTTTTATCTGTTTTACACATCAAGATTCATATAAGGCTTCCTTTTAAGGAAAGGATTTTGTGGATTCACCCCCTAAAAAGCCTTTGAAAACCAGTAGCTAGGTTAATTCAGAGGATTCTTCTGGTTTCAAATGATGGATCTTGAAATCTGATCCATCTGATTTGGGATTCTTTCAGTCAACCAACATTTATCAAGCCTCTTTGGGTATTGAATGTGAATATAAATATATGGCAGAGGCCCTTCAGTCCTCGTTTCCAAGTCCCACACTGCCAAACCCAGACTTGTAAAGCATGAATATAAATTAAAATAATATATGCTCATATTATCATATCTAAAAGATTTGTCACTTTACAAAAAGGATTGACACCACTTTTAAATGATAAGCCTACTATTGTACTTCAAATAGATTTAACATAAATTAATTTTTACCCTATTTTTAGTTTCCTGATTATAGCTGAATGAGATCTACTTCTATCCTTTAAGATACTTGATCCTCTTGGCTTTCAAGTGTCTATACAAATTATGGAATGCTTTAATATCTCACTGGTTATCATAAATAACACCTAGCAAGTTATGGTGCATGTAAGAGATGCTGCTGAAGACTTGGTCAACACTTTTCACAACATTACGTCTTTGACTGTACTGTTCTAGCTGTTTGGAATGCCTTTCCCTCTTCCACCTCTATCCACCTGGCAATCTCTTACTCATTCTTTAAGGTTAGGTTTAAATACCATTTTTCTGAAGTGCTTCCTGAGAAGCTCTTTCTGTTTTTATCCCAAGTGGAATTAATTATTCTCTTATCTAGAGTCTTACAATATTTCAAAAACACTTCTACAGTATATACCATATTGCATTATTGAATTTGCTTATTCATTTATCTTCCCTACTATACTAAGAACTTGTTGAGGGTAGTGATTGAGTCACCAGTGTGTATGTCAGTGTTTGGTGTATGGTAGACATCGTGTTTGTTGAATGAATGACAGATCTCTCTTCATTAAGATCTCTGCTAAGTGTCTCCCTCAGTAAGGCTTTCCCTGACAAGCCTATTTAAACTAACACCTCTGGTAACTCCCTATCTGTGTCATTAACCTTTTTTCTTTTTCTTCATAGTAATAATAACTACCTAATTTTATATGTTTCCAATTTTCTTGTTACCTGTCTCCTTCCTAGATTGTAAGATCCATGAGGGCAGGGTGTCTTTTCATTCTTGAATCCCTAGTACTTGAAAAAGAGTCAGACACTCTTTTTTCATAAATGAATGAATTTCAATGCTATATCACCAAAGGATATAGCAGGTGTTCAGTGAACATACCTGAACTACCATGTAAGACTGCTATGAGGATCAAATGATTCAATATTTCAGAATTTTTGTTTGTGGATTGTAAGTACTACAGGAATGTAATTACTAATATTAATACAACCACATTTTTAAAAGCTTTATTTTTAATTAATACTTCATCATTGTACATACTTATGGGGTACAATGTGATGCACTAACACATGTATACATGTGTAATAATCAAATCAGGGTAATTAGCAAATATTTCATTGAAACATTTATCATTTATTTCTAGTGAGAACATCAAAATATTTTCCTCTAGCTATTTTGACATATACAATACATTACTGTTAACTATACTCACCCTACTGTGCAATGTAATCTTAAAATGATAAATTTCTAAACTCCACATTATGCATAAAGATTTTGTAGTACCACTATTTTTTTTTTATTTAAGTTCTAGGGTACATGTGCACAACTTGCAGGTTTGATACATAGGTATATGTGTGCCATTTGGTGTGCTGCACCCATCAACTCATCATTTACATTAGGTATTTCTCCTAATGCTATCCCTCCGCCTGCACCCCCACCCCCTGAAAGGCCCCAGTGTGTGATGTTCCCTGCCCTGTGTCCAAGTGATCTCATTGTTCAATTCCCACCTATGAGTGAGAACATGCGGTGTTTGGTTTTCTGTCCTTGTGATAGTTTGCTGAGAATGATGGTTTCCAGCTGCATCCATGTCCCTGCAAAGGACAGGAACTCATCCTTTTTTATGGCTGCATAGTATTCCATGGTGTATATATGCCACATTTTCTTTCTTTCTTTCTTTTTATTAATTATACTTTAAGTTCTAGGGTACATGTGCACAACGTGCAGGTTTGTTACATATGTATGCATGTGCCATGTTGGTTTGCTGCACCCATTAACTCATCATTTACATTAGGTATTTCTCCTAATGCTATCCCTACCCCATCCCCTGAACCCATGACAGGCCCCAGTATGTGATGTTCCCTGCCCCGTGTCCAAGTGTTCCCATTGTTCAATTCCCACCTATGAGTGAGAACATGTGGTGGTTGGTTTTCTGTCCTTGTGATAGTTTGCTCAGAATGATGGTTTCCAGCTTCATCCATGTCCCTGAAAAGGACATTAACTCAGCCTTCTTTGTGGCTGCATAATATTCCATGGTGTATATGTGCCACATTTTCTTAATCCAGTCTTCCATTGATGGATATTTGGCTTGGTTCCAAGTCTCTATTATTGTGAATAGGGCCACAATAAACATACATATGCATGTGTCTTTATAGTAGCATGGCTTATAATCCTTTGGGTATATACCCAGTAATGGGATGGCTGGGTCAAATGGCATTTCTAGTTCTAGATCCTTCAGGAATTGCCACACTGTCTTCTACAATGGTTGAACCAGTTTATAGTCCCACCAACAATGTAAAAGCATTCCTATTTCTCCACATCCTCTCCAGCACCTGTTGTTTCCTGACTTTTTAATGATCGCCATTCTAACTGGCATGAGATGCTATCTCATTGTGGTTTTGTGCCTTTCTCTGATAGCCAGTGATGATGAGCATTTTTTCACATGTCTGTTGGCTGCATAGATGTCTTCCTTTGAAAAGTTTCTGTTCATTTCCTTTGCCCACATTTTGATGGGGTTGTTTTTATCTTGTAAATTTGTTTAAGTTCTTGGTAGACTCTGGATATTAGCCTTTTGTCAGATGGGTAGATTGCAAAAATTTTCTCCCATTCTGTGTATTGCCTGTTCACTCTGATGGTAGTTTCTTTTGCTGTGCAGAAGCTGTTTAGTTTAATTACATCCCATTTGTCTATTTTGGCTTTTGTTGCCATTGCTTTTGGTGTTTTAGTCATGAAATCCTTGCCCATGTCTATCTCCTGAATGATATTGCCTAGGTTTTCTTCTAGGGTTTTTATGGTTTTAGGTCTAACATTTAAGTGTTTAATCTATCTTGAGTTAATTTTTGTGTAAGGTGTAAGGAAGGGATCCAGTTTCAGCTTTCTACATATGGCTAGCCAGTTTTCCCAGCACCATTTATTAAATAGGGAATCCTTTCCCCATTTATTGTTTTTGTCAGGTTTGTCAAAGATCAGATGGTTCTAGATGTATGGCATTATTTTGGAGGGCTCTGTTCTTTTCCATTGGTCGACCTCTCTGTTTTGGTACCAGTACCATGCTGTTTTGGTTACTGTAGCCTTGTAGTATAGTTTGAAGTCAGGTAGCATGATGCCTCCAGCTATGTTCTTTTCGCTTAGGATTGTCTTGGCAATGCGGGCTCTTTTTTGGTTCCACACGAACTTTAAAGTAGTTTTTTCCAATTCTGTGAAGAAAGTCATTGGTAGCTTGATGGGGGGATGGCATTGAATTTATAAATTACCTTGGGCAGTATGGCCATTTTCACGATATTGATTTCTCCTGTCCACGAGCATGGAATGTTCTTCTATTTCTTTGTGTCTTCTTTTATTTCATTGAGCAGTGGTTTGTAGTTCTCCTTGAAGAGGTCCTTCACATCTCTTGTAAGTTGGATTCCTAGGTATTTTATTATCTTTGAAGCAATTGTGAATGGGAGTTCACTCATGATTTGGCTCTCTCTTTTTCTATTAATAATGTATGGGAATGCTTGTGATTTTCGCACATTGATTTTGTATCCTGAGACTCTGCTAAAATTGCTTATCAGCTTCAGTCGGTTTTGGGCTGAGATAATGGGGTTTCTAAATATACAATCATGTCATCTGCAAAAAGGGACAATTTGAGTTCCTCTTTTCCTAATTGAATACCATTTATTTCTTTATCTTGCCTGACTGTCCTGGCCCAAAATTCCAACAATATGTTGAATAGGAGTGGTGAGAGAGGGCAACCCTGTCTTATGCCAGTTTTCAAAAGGAATGCTTCCAGTTTTTGCCAATTCAGTATGATATTGGCTGAGGGTTTGTCATAAACAGCTCTTATTATTTTGAGATATGTTCCATCAATACCTGGTTTATTGAGAGTTTTTAGCTTGAAGCGTTGTTGAATTTTGTTGAAGGCCTTTTCTGCATCTATTGAGATAATCATGTGGTTTTTGTCTTTGATTCTGTTCATGTGATGCATTATGATTATCGATTTGCATATGTTGAACCAGACTTGCATCCCAGGGATGAAGCTGACTTGATAATGGTGGATAAGCTTTTTGATGTGCTGCTGGATTCAGTTTGCCAGTATTTTATTGAGGATATTCACATCAATGTTCATCAGGCATATTGGTCTAAAATTTTCTTTTTTTGTTGTGTCTCTGCCAGTCTTTGTTATCAGTTTTATGTTGGCCTCATAAAATGTGTTAGGGAGGATTTTCTCTTTTTCTATAGATTGGAATAGTTTCAGAAGGAATGGTACCAGCTTCTCTATGTACCTCTGGTAGAATTTGGCTGTGAATCCATCTGGTCCTGGACTTTTTTTGGTTGGTAGGCTATGAATTATTGCCTCAATTTCAGAGCCTCTTATTGGTCTATTCAGAGATTCGACTTCTTCCTGGTTTAGTCTTGGGAGGGTGTATGTGTCCAGGAATTTATCCATTCCTTCTAGATTTTCTAGTTTCTTTGGGTAGATGTGTTTATAGTATTCTCTGATGGTAGTGTGTATTTCTGTGGGATCAGTGGTGATATCCCCTTTATCATTTTTTAGTGCATCTGTTTGATTCTTCCCTCTTTTCTTCTTTATAAGTCTTGCTAGCAGTCTATCAATTTTGTTGATCTTTTCAAAAAACCAGCTCCTAGATTCA
This sequence comes from Homo sapiens, assembly GCF_000001405.40. NCBI lineage: Eukaryota > Metazoa > Chordata > Mammalia > Primates > Hominidae > Homo > Homo sapiens. The sequence goes on from NC_000023.11 coordinate 64,604,409, forward strand.
TTAATTTTTTGAAGGTTTTTTTTGTGTCTCTATCTCTTTCAGTTCTGCTCTGATCTTAGTTATTTCTTGCCTTCTGCTAGCTTTTGAATTTGTTTGCTCTTGCTTCTCTAGTTCTTTTAATTGTGATGTTAGGGTGCTGATTTTAGATCTTTCCTCCTTTCTCTTGTGGGTATTATTGCTATAAATTTCTCTCTACACACTGCTTTAAAAGTGTCACTGAGATTCTGGTACGTTGTGTTTTTGTTCTCATTTGTTTTAAGGTACATCTTTATTTCTGCCTTCATTTCGTTATTTACCCAGTAGTCATTGAGGAGCAAGTTGTTCAGTTTCCATGTAGTTGTGTAGTTTTCAGTGAGTTTCTTAATCCTGAGTTCTAATCTGATTGCACTGTGGTCTCAGAGACAGTTTTTGTGATTTCTGTTCTTTTACATTTTCTGAGGAGTGCTTTACTTCCAATTACATGGTCAATTTTAGAATAAGTGCAACGTGGTGCTGAGAAGAATGTGCATTCCATTGATTTGGGGCGGAGAGATCTGTAGATGTCTATTGGTCTGGTTGTTGCAGAGCTGATTTCAGGTCTTGGATATCCTTGTTAACCTTCTGTCTCATTGATCTGTCTAATATTGACAGTGTTGTGTTAAAATCTCTCATTATTATTGTGTGAGAGTCTAAGTCTCTTTTTACTTCTCTAAGTATTGCTTTATGAATCTGGGTGCTCCTGTATTGGGTGCATATATATTTAGGATAGTTAGCTCTTCTTGTTGAATTGATCCCTTTACCATTATGTAATGGCCTTCTTTGTCTCTTTTGTTCTTGGTTGGTTTAAAGTCTGTTTTATCATACAGTAAGATTGCATCCCCTGCTTTTTTTTTTTTTTTTTTTTTTTTTTTTGCTTTCCATTTGCTTGATACATCTTCCTGCATCCCTTTATTTTGAGCCTATGTGCATCTTTGCATGTGAGATGGGTCTCCCGAATACAGCACAGTGGTGGGTCTTGACTCTTTATCCAATTTGCCTGTCTGTGTCTTTTAATTGTGGGATTTAGCCCACTTACATTTAAGGTTAATATTGTTATGTGTGAATTTGATCCTGTCATTATGAGGTTTGCTGGTTATTGTGCCAGTTAATTGTGCAGTTTCTTCATAGCATCGATGGACTTTACAATTTGACCTGTTTTTGAAATGGCTGGTACTGGTTGTTTCTTTCCATGTTTAGTGCTTCCTTCAGGAGCTCTTGTAAGGCAGGCCTGGTGGTGACGAAATCTCTCAGAATTTGCTTGTCTGTAAAGGATTTTATTTCTCCTTCACTTATGAAGCTTAGTTTGGCTGAATATAAAATTCTGGGTTGAAACTTCTTTTCTTTAAGAATGTTGAATATTGGCCCTCACTCTCTTCCAGCTTGCAGAGATTTTGCAGAGATATCCGCTGTTAGTCTGATGGGCTTCCCTTTGTGGGTAACTCGACCTTTCTCTCTGGCTGCCCTTAACACTTTTTGCTTCATTTCAACCTTGGAGAATCTGACAATTATGTGTCTTGGGGTTGCTCCTCTCAAGGAGTATCTTTGTGGTGTTCTCTGTATTTCCTAAATTTGAATGTTGGCCTACCTTGCTAGGTTGGGGAAGTTCTCATGGATAATATACCGAAGAGTGTTTTCCAACTTGGTTCCATTCTCCCTATCACTTTCAGGCATACCAATCAAATGTAGATTTAGTCTTTTCACATAGTCCCATATTTCTTGGAGACTTTGTTCATTTCTTTTTACTCTTTTATCTCTAACCTTGTTTTCTCACTTTATTTCATTAATTTGATCTTCAGTCACTGGTACCCTTTATTCCGCTTGATCGAATCAGCTATTGAAGCTTATGCATGCCTCACAAAGTTCTCATGCCATGGTTTTCAGCTCCATCAGGTCATTTAAGGTCTTCTCTACACTGTTTATACTAGTTAGCCATTTGTTTAATCTTTTTTCAAGGTTTTTAGCTCCCTTGCAATGGGTTTGAACACGCTCCTTTAGGTTGGAGGAGTTTGTTATTACCGACCTTCTGAGGCCTACTTCTGTCAACTTTTCAAAGTCATTCTCCATCCAGCTTTGTTCCATTGCTGGAGAGGAGCTGCAATCCTTTTGAGGAAAACAGTTAGTCTGATTTTTAGAATTTTCAGCTTTTCTGCTCTGGTTTCTCCCCATCTTTGTGGTTTTATCTACCTTTGGTCTTTGATAATGGTGAATTACAGATGGGGTTTTGGTGTGGATGTCCTTTTTGTTGATGTTGATGCTATTCCTTTCTGTTTGTTAGTTTTCCTTCTAACAGTCAGGTCCCTCAGCTGCAGATCTGTTGGAGTTTTCTGGAGTTCCACTTTGACCCTGTTTTCCTGGGTACCACCAGCAGAGGCTACAGAACAGCAAATATTGCAGAACAGCAAATATTGCTGCCTGGTCTTTCCTCTGGAAGCTTTGTCCCAGAAGGGCAGTCGCCTATATGAGGTGTCATTCAGCCCCTACTGGGTGGAGTCTCCCAGTTAGTCCACACAGGGTTCAGGGATCCACTTGAGGAGGCAGTCTGTCCATTCTCAGAGCTCAAACGCCATGCTGGGAGAACCACTGCTTTCTTCAGAGCTGTCCGACAGGGACATTTAGGTTTGCAGAAGTTGTCTGCTGCCTTTTGTTCATCTATGCCCTGCCCACAGAGGTGGAGTCTAGAGGCCATAGGCCTTGTTGAGCTGCACTGTGCTCTGCTCAGTTCGAGTTTCCTGGAGGCTTTATTTACCTACTGAAGCCTCAGCAATAGTGCACCCCTCTCCCCCAGCCAAGCTGCCATCTCACAGTTCAATCTCAGACTGCTGCGCTAGCAGTGATCAAGGCTCCATGGGTGTGGGAGCCACTGAGTCAGGCATAGGAGAGAATCACTTTGTCTGCTGGTTGCTGAGACCTTGGAAAAAGCACAGGATTTGTGTGCGAGTGTCCTGTATTTACAAGTAGTCTGTCATGGCTTCCTTTGGCTAGGAAAGGGAAATCCCCTCACCCCTTGTGCTTCCCAGGTGAGGTGATGCCCCACCCTGCTTCGCCTCACTCTCTGTGGGCTGCACCCACTGTGCAACCAGTCCTAATGAGAATAAACCAGGTACCTCAGTTGGAAATGCAGAAATCACCTGTCTTCTGCATTGATCACGCTGGGACCTGCAGACTGGAGCTGTTCCTCTTCAGACAACCACTGTTTCAAATCCCATCCCTGAAACGCAGGATTAGATGGGTTGACTGCAGAATTTTTTAAGAATATTTTAAGGACTATTTTAAGAATCATTTGATAAAATGTTTCAATGACATTTTAGAAGAAGGCACAATTCTCATAGACAGACACATCATAATTTCGCTTAAACCTGAAACAGATCCTCAAAAGAATGGGTCTTATAGTCAGTCCTTTATCATTTTTTTCCAAGATAGTTTATGTCCATATTAGCTAAGAATGGATTAATATAATTTTAGAATGTATTCATAAAGACTAAAGCAGATTTATCATAAATAGACACTTGGCAGGTAGTGGAAGGAGAATTTTTAAATGAGTGCACTACTATAAATAGTACAAATTGTCGATGTCAACAGTAACATCAAACAGGCACTGAAAAAGCTTTTGTCTGCCTTAAATGAATATTACTTTGAAAACTTTTTTTAAAAAAAGCAATTTGGATAAATTTTCCTCCAGCTAGTTAATGCTTTAAGTAAGGAATGAAACCACATAAAATTAAAGAATTTTTTTTTTAATTTTGCAGTTAAGAAAGAAATGAGTTGTCTACTCTCTGCACTCCATTTTGCTTGAAAAGGAAAACCACTGGCAATTTCTGTAAGAAAATAACTGAAAATCTCAAGTGCTTCATGCATTATTAGCCTATTTATGGATGATATAATTTACCTATTGCAAGAAATGAAGATTCACAAGTTATCCAGTTACCAACAAGTTTTAGGCTTCAAAGTGGCATAAAATCAGAATTTATAGCTGGGTATACACCAAATGATCTACTCTGTTTAGTCCCTACTAAATTTAAACGAGTTTAGGTGATGTTTTATTTATAGACCACTGGGAATAAAAATGTCCTATGTAATCTGTAATTTGATCATAAACAGTCATGCAAAATTATTCTGTGGAATTTAAAAAGACCTATTTTATTGGCCAACTCTCCAAATGTGATTGGCAAAAATTCAGATGGTTAAGACAGTTATTTTGCTTCCAAAATCAAAATCATATTTTTTGAAATCACCATTGCAACTGCTCAAATCTACCCACTAACTGGAAAAAAATGAATAGGCAATGATATTTGGGACAGCAAAATGATTAGACTATTAATAGATTCAATATGACACTACTGAAATACGAAAGCCTAGGAACCTCAGACCTTAGCGCACAAATAGGCATTATGATGGAACCTGAGACTGAACAAAGGAGATAATGTATATAACTGAAGAGCTCTAAGAATATATGACAAATCACAAAGGAAAGATGTACATGCTGGTACCTGAGCAACTTGGGCAGTGGTAGTGGATACCCACTCACTGTGGTGAAACAGAGTGGGATGATGCCAAGGTTGGGTGACAGTGGCTTGGTTACTAGGAATGGTTCTGAAAAGAAAGGCCATTCATCATAGACAGAGTATGTAAGAGTGTTCCATTGTCTCAAGCCTAGCTTTCAAAGCAGTTGTTTTCTCAGTATCCAATCAGAGATATGTGGCATGTCTGCAGGGTGTCCAGGTAGTCATGATGAGAGACCAGTCTACATATAGCAGTATTCCTATTAGTGGTCAGAGAATGGAGGCAGGGTTTGACCCTTGGAGAATGGAGGCTGCCAGTACCTGGTGGGGTATCAGGACTGAGGTGTAACTTAAGCACCAGTCTCAAGAAAGGGAGGGTTGCTAGGTACTGCAACAGGTCAGCAATGAGCAACATGAGGACTGTTGTTAATACTACTAATTCATTGCATTTAGGATTTTTGCTAAATGACTGCCAGTAACTGTTGGGGTATCAGGGATGAGGTGCAACTTAAGGACCAGTTTCAGGAAAGGGAAGATTACTAGGCAATGCAACTAGACAGCAATGTGCAACATGAGGACTATAGTTAATATTAATTAGTTCATTATATTCAAGATTTTCACTAAATGAGTAGGCTATGAGTTTCTCTTGCCACAGGGAGAAAAATGGGTAACTATGTGAGATAATGGATTTATTCATTTGCTCCATTATAGTAACCATTTTACTATATATGTATTTTATAACATCATGTTGTACATAGTAAATATACACAATCAAATTCATTTTTAAAAGGCAAATAAAATCCGGGCATGGTGGTGGACACCTGTAATCCCAGCACTTTGGGAGGCTGAGGTGGGTGGGTCACCTGAGGTCAGGAGTTCGAGACCAGCCTGACCAACATGGAGAAACCTCATCTCTACTAAAAATACAAAATTAGCCGGGTGTGGTGGCGCATTCCTGTAATCCCAGCTACTTGGGAGGCTGAGGCAGAAGAATTGCTTGAAGCCAGGAGGCAGAAGTTGAGGTGAGCTGAGATCATGCCATTGCACTCCAGCCTGGGCAACAAGAGTGAAATTCCATCTCAAAAAAAAAAAAAGAAAAAACCCAGTAAAAGTCTAGATCTTGGTTCTTTGAAAGTTCTAGGCTAACAAAAATTGTTTTATGCCACATTGCTTTTGGTTAATGACATCTATACTACAATATTTACTTTTTACTCTAGTCCTCTTTTATTAAAAAGTCTTTTTTTCTCATTAAAAATTTAAGAGTTAATACACATTTTTTATGGTTGCTTTTTTAATTTTACTATTATTATACTTTTAGTTTTAGGGTACATGTGCACAATGTGCAGGTTTGTTACATATGTATACATGTGCCATGTTGGTGTGCTGCACCCATTAACTCGTCATTTACCATTAGGTATATCTCCTAATGCTATCCCTCCCCCCTCTCCCTACCCCACAACAGTCCCCGGAGTGTGATGTTCCCCTTCCTGTGTCCATGTGTTCTCTTTGTTCAATTCCCACCTATAAGTGAGAACATACGGTGTTTGGTTTTTTGTCCTTGGGATAGTTTGCTGAGAATGATGGTTTCCAGTTTCATCCATGTCCCTACAAAGGACATGAACACTTCATTTTTTATGGCTGCATAGTATTCCACGGTGTATATGTGCTACATTTTCTGAGATACCATCTCACACCAGTTAGAATGGCGATCATTAAAAAGTCAGAAAACAACAGGTGCTGGAGAGGATGTGGAGAAATAGGGACACTTTTACACTGTTGGTGGGACTGTAAACTCGTTCAACCACTGTGGAAGTCAGTGTGGCGATTCCTCAGGGATCTAGAACTAGAAATACCATTTGACCGAGCCATCCCATTACTGGGTATATACCCAAAGGATTATAAATTATGCTGCCATAAAGACACATGCACACGTATGTTTATTGCAGCAATATTCACTATGGTTGCTTTTCTATGGATAGTAGGGTGGGTAACCACATTTGAGGATAGCTATTACTTTGGTCTCTAAGATTTATATGTTGAGGAGCTTGCATTCTTTTTATTTTTGCTATTATTATCATCATTAGAGAATATTTAAAATATGAAAATACACATTCTGTCTTAATATAAACTATTAACAAAAATGTGGCACCCCTAGGATGGTGCATTGGATGATCTTAAGCCTTTAAGCAGTCCTCTTGCCAGTGACATCAGCACAACAATCTTTTTATTTTTTAAATTATTTCTTATTTGTATAGATTTAAAAAGTACAAGTGCAGATTTGTTACATGGATAGTTGTGTAGTGGTGAAATCTAGGCTTTTAGTATAACCATCTCAGCACAACAATCTTTAGTAAGGACATTAACAAGTTTTCCATACAGCTGTCTTGCTTGTCAAAACTAAAATTCAAATGATTTGTTTGATAGAGTTATGGCATTATCGTGTATATGAAATTCAAAACAAGTTCTTCTACAGTAATGCTGTTTGACTGAACTGAGTCTGATGTTTGAAATGTCCAAGATGTTACTTCAGTGCCTCATATCTCAGAAATCAAAGGAACAGCTTGCAATATAAATGCAGCACTTAACTCATGGGCTGTTACAAAGAGGGTCAGCAAAATAGCAACATGCAGGAAAATGACGCTACAGAAAATTTTCAGAGAATTTCAAATCTGCCAAGCCCAGCTGAAGCTGTGGAAGGTTACACATCAAAATTTGGCCTACAGATTCCAGAATTTATGCAATAGATTCTATTATGGTCTCACTACCTTGAGAGTATGTTCTGTTCAAAAATCTATTAAAATGAAATCCAGGAACTGGCACCACAGAGGTAACATATCCTGTGTTGTTAAACAGTTTGAGATCTTATTATTCACACAACAGCAAAGGTCAGGAGGCATAAGGATAGTTAGAGTTCAAGGCAGGATGCCTTGAGATGTGGTCTATTAATAATAACTCAAATGTGGCCTATTAATAATCTCTATATCTTCATCTCACAAGACTGTGGGGGACACCACATATTAAGATAATAATTATCACACAATTGAGGCTGCTGGAATATAGTCTTTTCATAGAGATTTCACTGATCTCAAGAAGGAGAGATACCAAACTGCTGCCTGGGAGGAAGTGATTTACTTTAATGGCAATAGTTTCCAAATCACTGATACCATTAGAATACTCCAACTATAAGAAGCCAGTAACAGATTTCCTAAAGTATCTTTTAGGATGTAAGGGCTCCAAACCTTAAAGTTCCCACAATTACTTGTGAGTGGACCCAAGGTACCAATGATCCCTTTTATTCCCCACTGAGACAAACCAATATGTAGGCAGTTTTCTTTGCTTAGACTTGGAAGTGTTAAAACCGACCCTTGCGAAGCCACAATGTAGCAAAAGTACTATGCCAAACATTTATAGCTTGTATAAAAATTCCACATCCCCATATTGGCCACCTCAAGATGAAAACAGATAACTCCCTAAATGTTAACTGGCTTTAATCTCCTAACATTAAATATAAAAAACACATGAGAAATATAGAAATTCAAATAGAAGTAAAATAAACATGTCAAAAATCATAAACAAAAGCTATTTGTGATACAGCATGGATGACAAATGTTCTACTGTGTAAATTTTAGAATGAGGCAGACAAAAGTTGGAAGGTCAGCTTATTTTCCCCTACTTCTATTGCTTCAGCTTCATCTCCTTGGCATCCGATGTCCACAATGTCGAGTTGTCTATCAGTAATTGCATTATTAGCGTGCTATCTTTGTATGACTTAATGTATCAAGTTCAGCAATAGCTTCATTGGCAGCTGTCTTTGCAAGACAGCAGGCTTTCTCTGGGGGAGTTCAGAATCTCATAATAAAACACAGAGTAGTTAAGGGCCAGCCCCAATCTGATAGGATGTGCTCGTTGCATTTCCTTTTTGCTGATTCCAAAAGCTTCTTGGTATGCTTGTTGTGACTGATCCACAATCCCCTTCTTGTGATCACCAGCAGCAACCTCAGACAAGTAACCGTAGTAGTCTCCTTTCATTTTCAAATAGAAGACTTTGCTCTCTGCTTGTGAAGCACTGGGGATCAAGAACTTTTCCAAAAAAGGAGTAAATCATTGCAAGATATCTCCTAGCTTCATCTCAATTTTCTCTTTGTATTCTCATACTATCTACTGTTTTTATTCTCAGCACCTTCCGTCTTTTGTTCAATACTTGAGAAGATCCTCCAAGATAATCTACGGGCTTCTACAACATTTTTATAAGCAGCTCAGAGAAGGTTCCTCTCCTCATTGGACAATTCAGCTCCTTACTCAGTTACAAGACTTCATGCAGGCTGCCATGTCATCATATGGCCTGCTCGACCAGTTTGGCCTTCTGAAAGTGAGTGGTGGCCTATGAACAGGGGCTCAGCAGTCTCTTGGCGGTGTCGGCAGCAGCAGGGCTGAGACTCTGTCCCTGGGTCTCGCTGCTCACAGGCTAAAGCCACTCTGCAGACAGGGATTCCCTGCTATTTTTCATCTTTTTGATACTAGCCATTTTGACAAGTATGGGGTGATATTTCATTGTGGTTTTAGTTTGCATTTCCCTAATGATTAGTGATGTTGAGCATTGTTTTATATATCTGTTAGCCATTTGTATGTCTTGAGAAATGTCTATTCAGGTTCTCTGTCCATTTTTATTTTATTTATTTACTGATTTACTTATTTAGTTTTGAGACAGAGTGCCCCTGCGACACCCAGGCTGGAGTGCAATGGCACGATCTCAGCTCACTGCAACCTCCGCTTCCTGGGTTCAAGCAATTCTCCTGCCTCAGCCTCCCAAGTAGCTAGGAATACAGGAGCATGCCACCACACCTGGCTAATTTTTGTGTTTTAGGAGAGATGGGGTTTCACCGTATTGGCCAGGCTGGTCTCCAACTCCTGACCTCAAATGATTTGCCCTCCTCGGCCTCTCAAAGTGCTGGAATTACAGGCATGAGTCACCATGCCTGGTCTAAATTGGGTTATTTGTTCTTTTGCTATTGAGTTGTTTGAGTTCCTTATATATTTTGGAAATTCATCTCTTATAAAATGTATTACTTCCAAATATTTTCTCCTAATCTGTAGGTTGTCTATTCATTTTGTTCATTGTTTCTTTTGTTATGCAGAAGCTATTTAGTTTGATGTAATTGCATTTGACTATTTGTGCTTCTCTTGCCTAATCTTTTGGAGCCAAATCCAACAAATCATTGCCCAGATCAATGTCATTTCATTTTTCCCTGCATTTTCTTTTAGTCTTAAGTTCATTCTGAGTTGATTTTTGTATGTGATATGAGATAAGGGTCCAATTTCCTTCATTGTCTGTGCATACCTAATTTTCCCAGCATTATTTATTGAAGAGAGTACCCTTTCCCCAGTGTATGTTCTTGGCACCTTTGTCAAAAATAAGTTAACTGTAAATGTGTGGATTTATTTCAGGGTTCTCTATTCCATTCCATTGGTCTGTGTGTCTGTTTTTAGGCCACCACCACTATGCTGTTTTGGTTATTATAATGTTGTTGTATATTTTGAAGTCAGGTAGGGTGATGCCTACAGCTTTGTTATTTTTTCCTCAAGATTGCTTTGAGTATTTAGAGATTCTTGTGGTTTCATATAAATTTTCAATTTTTTTCCTATATCTGTGAAAAATATCATCGGTATTTTGATTGGGATGACATTTAACCTGTAAATTGCTTTGGGTAGCATTGTCATTTGAACAATATTAATTCTCCCAATCTATAAGCATGGCATATTTTTCCATTTTTGTGTTCTCATCTATTTCTTTCATCAAAGTCTTATAGTTTTCCTTGTATAGATCTTTCAGCTCTTTGGTTACATTGATTCCTAGGTATTTTATATATTATAATTTTTTGTAAATGAGATTGCTTTCTTGATTTTCAGATCATTTGCTATTGGTGTATATAAGTGCTACTAATATTTTTGTGTTTATTTTCATCCTGCAATTTTACTGAATTCATTTATCAATTCTAACGTTGGTGGAGCCCTTAGGTTTTTCTACATATAAGATCTTGTCATCTGGCTGGGTGTGGTGGCTCACGCCTGTGGTCCCAGCACTTTGGCAGGCCGAGGCAGGTGGATCGCGAGGTCAGGAGATCGAGACCATCCTGGCTAACAAGATGGAACCCCATCTCTACTAAGAGTGCAGAAAATTAGCTGGGCATGGTGGCTGGCGCCCGTAGTCCCAGCTACTTGGAAGGCTGAGGCAGGAGAATGGCGTGAACCCGGGAGGCGGAGCTTGCAGTGAGCAAAGATCGCGCCACTGCACTCCAGCCTGAGCAACAGAGCAAGACTCCGTCTCAAAAAAAAAAAAAAAAAAAAAAAGATCTTCTCATCTGTGAACAAGGCTAATTTGACTTCTTCCATCACAATTTGGATGTCCTTTATTTCTGTTTTTTGTTTAGTTGCCCTGGCTAAGACTTCCAGTGCTATGTTGAATACTGTTGTTGAAAGTGGGCATCCTTGTTTTGTTACAGTCCCTAGAGGAAAGGCTTCCAATTTTTCCCAATTTAGTACAGTGTTAGCCATGGGCTTGTCTTATATAGCCTTCGTTATTTTGAGGTATGTTCCTTCTATACCCGTGATTAGGGTTTTTTATCATAAAGGAATCCTGAATTTAATCAAGTTTTTGCACCTACTGAAATAATCATATAATTTTTGTTCGTAATTCTATTAACGTAATACATCATGTTTATTGATTTGTTTATAAGGAACCATCCTTGTATCCCTGGGATGAATTTCACTTGACCATGGTGAATGATCTTTTTACTGTGTTGTTGAATTTGGTTTGCTAGTATTTGATTGAGGATTTTTGTATCTATTTTCATCAGTAAATAATGCCCTGTAGTTTTTGTTTCTTGTTTCATCTGTGTCTGGTTTTGGTGTCAGGTTAATGCTGATCTCATAGAATGAGCTTGGAAGTATTCCCTCTTCTTTAATTTTTTTTGAAGAGTTTGAGTAGGATTTTTATTAATTCTTCTTGAAATGTTTGGTAGAATTCAGCAGTGAATCCACCAATTACTGGGCTTCTCTTTGATCAGAGACTTTTTATTATGACTTTGATCTCATTACTTGTTACTGGTTTACTGAGGATTACTATTTCTTCATGGTTTGATTTTGGTAGGTTGTATATATCCAGGAATGTATCCGTTTCTTTTTGGTTTTCCAATTTGTTAGTGTATAGTTAGTTTTTCATAGTAGTCTCTAACGATTTTTTTGTACTTCAGAGGTCTAAGTTGTTAGGTCAACTTTTTCATTTCTGATTTTATTTATTTGGGTCTTCTCTTTTTTTTCTTAGTCTAGCTGAAGGTTTGCTGATTTTGTTTTTCTTTTCAGAAAACCAACTTTTTGTTTTGTTAATCACCTGTATTGTGTTTTTAGTCTCAATTTCATTTATTTCTGCTCAGATCTGTATTATTTCTTTCTCCCTGCTAATTTGAGATTTGGTTTGTTCTTACTTTTCTAGTTCCTGAGGTGCAGTATGAATTTATTTGAAGAGTTTCTACTTTTTTTATATAGTCATTCATTGCTGTAAACTTTCCTCTTAATACTGCTTTTGTTGCATCTCATTGATTTCCATATGTTGTACTTCTGTTCTCATTTGTTTGAAGAAATTTTCAAGTTTCCTTCTTTTTTTTATTATTACTATACTTTAAGTTCTAGGGTACATGTGCACAATGTGCAGGTTAGTTACATATGTATACATGTGCCATGCTGGTGCGCTGCACCCACTAACTCGTCATCTAGCATTAGGTATATCTCGAATGCTATCCCTCCTCCCTCCCCCCACCCCACAACAGTCCTCAGAGTGTGATGTTCCCCTTCCTGTGTCCATGTGTTCTCATTGTTCAATTCCCACATGAGTGAGAATATGCAGTGTTTGTTTTTTTGTTCTTGAGATAGTTTACTGGGAATGATGATTTCCAATTTCATCCATGTCCCTACAAAGGACATGAACTCATCATTTTATATGGCTGCATAGTATTCCATGGTGTATATGTGCCACATTTTCTTAATCCAGTCTATCATTGTTGGACATTTGGCTTGGTTCCAAGTCTTTGCTATTGTGAATAATGCCACAATAAAAATACATGTGCATGTGTCTTTATAGCAGCATGATTCATAGTCCTTTGGGTATATACCCAGTAATGGGATGGCTGGGTCAAATGGTATTTCTAGTTCTAGATCCCTGAGGAATCACCACACTGACTTCCACAATGGTTGAACTAGTTTACAGTCCCACCAACAGTGTAAAAGTGTTCCTATTTCTCCACATCCTCTCCAGCACCTGTTGTTTCCTGACTTTTTAATGATTGCCATTCTAACTGGTATGAGATGGTATCTCAATTTGGTTTTGATTTGCATTTCTCTGATGGCCAGTGATGGTAAGAATTTTTTCATGTGTTTTTTGGCTGCATAAATGTCTTCTTTTGAGAAGTGTCTGTTCATGTCCTTCGCCCACTTTTTGATGGGGTTGTTTGTTTTTTTCTTGTAAATTTGTTTGAGTTCATTGTAGATTCTAGATATTAGCCCTTTGTCAGATGAGTAGGTTGTGAAAATTTTCTCCCATTTTATAGGTTGCCTGTTCACTCCGATGGTAGTTTCTTTTGCTGTGCAGAAGCTCTTTAGTTTAATTAGATCCCATTTGTCAATTTTGGCTTTTGTTGCCATTGCTTTTGGTGTTTTAGACATGAAGTCCTTGCCCAAGCCTATGTCCTGAATGGTATTGCCTAGGTTTTCTTCTAGGGATTTTATGGTTTTAGGTCTAACATTTAAGTCTTTAATCCATCTTGAATTGATTTTTGTATAAGGTGTAAGGAAGGGATCCAGTTTCAGCTTACTACATCTGGCTAGCCAGTTTTCCCGGCACCATTTATTAAATAGGGAATCCTTTCCCCATCGCTTGTTTTTCTCAGGTTTGTCAAAGATCAGATAGTTGTAGATATGTGGCATTATTTCTGAGGGCTCTGTTCTGTTCCTCTGATCTGTTCTGATCAGATTCTCTGATCTATATCTCTGTTTTGGTAACAGTACCATGCTGTTTTGGTTACTGTAGCCTTGTAGTATAGTTTGAAGTCAGGTAGTGTGATGCCTCCAGCTTTGTTCTTTTGGCTTAGGATTGACTTGGTGATGCGGGCTCTTTTTTGGTTCCATATGAACTTTAAAGTAGTTTTTTTCCAATTCTGTGAAGAAAGTCATTGGTAGCTTGATGGGGATGGCATTGAATCTGTAAATTACCTTGGGCAGTATGGCCATTTTCACGATATTGATTCTTCCTACCCATGAGCATGGAATGTTCTTCCATTTGTTTGTATCCTCTTTTATTTCATTGAGCAGTGGTTTGTAGTTCTCCTTGAAGAGGTCTTTCACATCCCTTGTAAGTTGGATTCCTGGGTATTTTATTCTCTTTGAAGCAATTGTGAATGGGAGTTCACTCATGATTTGGCTCTCTGTTTGTCTGTTGTTGGTATATAAGAATGCTTGTGATTTTTGCACATTGGTTTTGTATCCTGAGACTTTGCTGAAGTTGCTTATCACCTTAAGGAGATTTTGGGCTGAGACAATGGGGTTTTCTAGATATACAATCATGTTGTCTGCAAACAGGGACAATTTGACTTCCTCTTTTCCTAATTGAATACCCTTTATTTCCTTCTCCTGCCTGGTTGCCCTGGCCAGAACTTCCAACACTATGTTGAATAGGAGTGGTGAGAGAGAGCATCCCTGTGTTGTGCCAGTTTTCAAAGGGAATGCTTCCAGTTTTTGCTCATTCAGTATGATATTGTCTGTGGGTTTGTCATAGATAGCTCTTATTATTTTGAGATACGTCCCATCAATACCTAATTTATTGAGAGTTTTTAGCATGAAGTGTTGTTGAATTTTTTCAAAGGCCTTTTCTTCATCTATTGAGATAATCATGTGTTTTTTTGTCTTTGGTTCTGTTTATATGCTGGATTACATTTATTGATTTGCATATATTGAACCAGCCTTGCATCCCAGGGATGAAACACATTCAAAAGCTAGCAGAAGGCAAGAAATAACTAAAATCAGAGCAGAACTGAAGGAAATACAGACACAAAAAACCCTTCAAAAAATTAATGAATCCAGGAGCTGGTTTTTTGAAAGGATCAACAAAATTGATAGACCGCTAGCAAGACTAATAAAGAAAAAAAGAGAGAAGAATCAAATAGATGTAATAAAAAATGATAAAGGGGATATCAACACCAATCCCACAGAAATACAAACTACCATCAGAGAATACTACAAACACCTCTACGCAAATAAACTAGAAAATCTAGAAGAAATGGATAAATTCCTCCACACATACACTCTCCCAAGACTAAACCAGGAAGAATTTGAATTTCTGAATAGACCAATAACAGGATCTGAAATTGTGGCAATAATCAATACCTTACCAACCAAAAAGAGTGCAGGATGAGATGGATTCACAGCCGAATTCTACCAGAGGTACAAGGAGGAACTGGTACCATTCCTTCTGAAACTATTCCAATCAATAGAAAAAGAGGGAGTCCTCCCTAACTGATTTTACGAGGCCAGCATCATCCTGATACCAAAGGCGGGCAGAGACACAACCAAAAAAGAGAATTTTAGACCAATATCCTTGATGAACATTGTTGCAAAAATCCTCATAAAATACTGGCAAACCAAATTCAGCAGCACATCAAAAACTTTATCCACCATGATCAAATTTCCTTCTTAATTTCTTTATTGACCCTTCAGTTGTTCAGGAGCATATTGTTTAATTTACATGTGTTTGTGTATTTTCTGAGGTTTCTCTTGTTATTGATTTCTAATTTTATTCCATTGTGGTCAGAAAAGATATTTGATAGGATTTTTATTTAAAACATTGTTCAGACTTGTTTGTGGCCTAATATATGGTCTATTCTGAAGAATGTTCCATGTGCTGCTGAAAATAATGTGTATTCTGCAGCAGTTGAGTGAAATGTTTTGTAAATGTCAGTTAAGCCTATTATATCTAATGTGTAGTTTAACTCCGCTGTTTCTTTGTTACTTTTCTGTCTGGATGAAGTCTGCTTTTATGTATTGATGATCTGTCAATTACGGAGAGTGAGGTATTAAAGGTCCCTACTATTATTGTATTGTAGTCTATCTCTCTTTAGGTCTATTAATCTTTGCTTATGTACTTG
Source organism: Homo sapiens (assembly GCF_000001405.40). Classification (NCBI taxonomy): domain Eukaryota; kingdom Metazoa; phylum Chordata; class Mammalia; order Primates; family Hominidae; genus Homo; species Homo sapiens. Next base: position 64,620,115 of record NC_000023.11, read on the forward strand.
GGAACTCTGATATTGGATGCATAGATATTTATAATATTTATGTTCTTGCTGAATTGACCCCTTTATCATTATATAGTGACTTGTTTTTTTATACAGTGTTTGATTTGTAATATATTTTATCTGATATGAATATAGCTGCTACTGCTCTTTTATTGGTTTATTTTTTCTTTTTTTTTTTTTTTTTTTCTTGGAGATGGAGTTTCGCTCTTGTCACCCAGGCTGAATCTCAGCTCACTGCAACGTCTGCCTCCCAGGTTCAAGCAATTCTCCTGCATCAGCCACCCAAATAGCTTGGGATTACAGGCGTGTGCTACTGTGCCTGGGCCTTTTTTTTTTTAATTTCTAGTTGTATAAAATATCTTTTCTACTCCTTCACCTTCATTTTATGTGTTTATAGGTGAAGTGGGTTTCATGAAGGCAGGATGTAGTTGGATCTTGTATCTTTGTACACTCAACCACTCTGTGTCTTTTAATTGCAAAATGGAGACCATCACATTCATTGTTACTATTGATAAGAAAGGACTTACTACTACCATTTTGTTGCTTGTATTCTCGTTGTTTTGAGACTCCTCTCTTACTTTCATCCTTTATTTATGTCTTACTTTGCAGTTAAGTGATTATTTCTGGTAGTATGTTTTAAAGTGTTGCTTTTTATTTTTAGTGAATCTGTTATAGAGTTTTGTACTGTGAGTATCATGAAGCTTACAAGAAAAGCACCTTATAAATACAAGTTATTTAAAAGATATGACAACTAATCTTAGATCACACGGAAAAAATAGAAACAAAGGCAAAGAACACACAAAAAATCTACACTTTAACTTCATCCCTTCCACATGTTGATTTTTAATTGTCCTAATCTACCTATCTTATATTACTTATCTCTGAAGTTGCTGTAGCAATTATTATTTTTGATAGATTTTTCTTTTGTGCTTCATTTGTCTTTTGGGCTAGACTTATAAGTGGATTTGCACATCACAAATACAGTAATAGAGTATTCTGGGTTTGTCCATGTATTTAATTTTACTAATGGGTTTCATACCTTGAAAAGTTTTCTTTTGAATGTTTTTTTTTCTTTGTAAGACTGCCTCTAGCATTTCTTGCAAGATTTACCTGGTGATGTTGAATTATCTCAGATTTTCTTTGTCTGGGAAAGACTTTATCTCTTTATACCTTCATATTTAACTGATAGTTTTCTGGACTACAATACTCTTTCATGGTAATTTTTTCTCTGAGTACTTTGAAAAATTAATTCAATTCTTTGCAGGCCTGTATGGTTTCCACTGAGAAGTTTATTGCCAGATGAATTGGAGCTCCTTTAAATGTTATTTGCTTCTTTCCTCTTGCTGCTTTTAGGATCCTCTCTTTGTCCTCGATCTTTGCTGTTTTGATTATTGGAGTAGTCCTATTGAGCTGACGATGTTTGGTATTTTAAGAACTTCTTGTACCTGGATATTCATATATTTCTCAAGTTTTGGACAGTTTTCTGTTATTATCTCTTTGAATAAGCTTTCTACTCCTTGTTCTTGCTCAGTTACCTCTTGAACACCAATAATTTTTAGCTTTGATCTTTTCAGAGATTTTTATGTATCTTGTAGTGCTCTTCATTCATTTTGCTTCACCTATTATTGTGCATTTTCAAACACCTGGTCTTCAAGCTCATTGATTCTTTCCTCTTCTTCGTACATTTCCACTGTTGAGAACCTGTAAATAGTTCTCCAGTTTAGCAAAAGTATTTATCAGTTTTGAAATTTCTGTTTGATTTTTTAAAAATTACTTTAGGCCAGGCATGATTACTCATGACTATAATCCCATCACTTTGGGAGGCTGAGGCAGGAGGATTGCTTAAGCCCAGGAGTTTGAGGCTGCAGTGAACTGTGACTGCATCACTGCATTTCAGCCTGGGCAACAGCAGAAGGCCCAGTCTCTAAATTTAAGAAGAAATTACTTTAATCTCTTTGTTAAATTTATCTGATAAATTTCTAAACTAACTCCTTAACTGTGTTATCTTGGAGATCATTGTGCTGGCTGACTACTTCAGTTTCACTTATTCCAGAGTAAAAATTGTCATTTGGAGGGAGATTTTCCACCTGCTTGGTGCCTGGCAGAGTGAGTGGGAGGGTTGTCACAAACGTAGAAGTCTGATTCTCCTTCCTTATGACTACTTTATGGATTCCACTCATCAGAAACCTGTGCCATTACCACTGCAAGCAAACTGTGAATTAGACCTGGTGACAAGAGGAATCCCCTTGGCTATGTCTTCCCCTGTGGGAAAAAAAGAGAACAGAACACTCCCAGAAGCTTTTGCTGTTGAAAAACCCCATAGCTCTCAATGTCACTGAGGACACCCACAGCGTTAATCTCTAGGAACCTCTTCAATATTTGTTGACATTGATCCTAGCTACATGGAGACAACATCCCTTGGCTCCTACTGAAGCTGAAACCACCACACTCCGCCCCAGCATCACCTTCACACTCACATGTAGGTGAATGTCTTTTGCTCCCAGAACAAGCCAGTAATATATGGAAAACGTGACTGCTCCATCAAATGCACAGACAGCAATGCAAGGCAATAAGAAACATGAAAAATCAGGGAAACATAGCACCATCAAAGAAACACAATAGTTTTCTAGTAATCTACCTCCCCAAAAATAGATATGTTTGATTTTCCTGACAAAGAACTTAAAATAATTGTTTAAGGAAGATCAGTGAGCTATAAGTGAGCCCAGATAGACAAACATCAGATAAACAATAAACACGCACAGAAAACAAGAAGTTCAATAAAGAGATAGAAATGATTTAAAAAAGAAACAAACAGAAATTCTGGAGCTGAAGAATACAATGCATAAAAAATGCAATGGAGAGCATCAATAGCAGACTTGATCAAACAGAAGAATTTGTGAACTCAAAGATAGGTCATTTAAGCCCACCTAGAAGCAGCTTCTTGGTTCCTTCTCAAATCTCTGTTTGGTTTGGCCCACCTGGCTCCACTCCTGACTCTATCATGTCCATCAGGGTGACCCAGAATTCCTACAAAGCATCCAGCTCTGGCCCCTGGGCCTTCAACAGCCACTCCTACATAAGCAGGCCCAGTACCTGCATCAGCTCTTCAAGCTTTTCCTGAGTCTGTAGCAACACCAGCTTCTGTAGTGGCCTGGTTACTGGCATGGTTCTAGGTGGAGGATATGCTGGGGCCAGTGGTATAGGAGGCATTACAGCTGTCATGGTGAACCAGAGCCTGCTGAGCCCCTTTAAGTTGGATGTGGACCGCAACATCAAGGCCATGAAAACCCAGTAGAAGGAGCCCATCAAGACATTCAACAACAAGTTTGTCTCCTTCATCATCAAGGTATGGTTCCTGGAGTAGCAGGACAGGATGCTGAAGATGAAGTGAAGCCTCTTGCAGCAGCAGCAGAAGACAGATTGGAGCAACATGAACATATTCAAGAGCTTTGCAGGCAACTGGAAAGGTTGGAACAAGAGAAGCTGAAGCTGGAGGCAGAGCTTGGCAATATGCATGGGCTGGTGGAGGACTTCAGTAATGTGTATGAGGATGAGATCAACAAGTGTGCAGAGATGGAAAATGAATTTGTCCCCTTTAAGAAGAATGTGAATGAAGCTTACATGAGCAAGATAGAGCTGGAGTCTCACCTGGAAGGGCTAACTGATGAGATCAGCTTTCTCAGGCAGCTATGTAAAGAGGATCTCTGCAAGCTGCAGTCCCATATCTTTAACATATCTGTGGTTCTGTTCAGGAACAACAGCCACTCCTTGCACATGGACAGCACCATGGCCAATGGCTGTGCCCAGTATGAGAAGATTGTCAACCACAGCTGGGCCAACGCTAAAAACATGTACCAGATTAAGTATGAGAAGCTGCAGACACTGGCTGGGAAGCAGAGGGATGATTTGTGTTGAAGAAAGATGGAGTTCTCCAAAATGAACCAGAACATCAGCTGGCTCCAGGCACAGATTGAGGGTCTTAAAGGCCAGAGGGCTTCCTTGGAGGCTGCCATTGTGGATGCAAAGCAGTGTGAAGAGCTGGTCATTAAGAATGCCTACACCAAGCTGGTGAAACTGGAGGCTGTCTTGCAGTGGGCCAAGCAGGATATGGCATGGGAGCTGCATAATTATCAGGAACTGATGAGAGTCAATCAGGCCCCGGACATTGAGACTGCCACATACAGGAAGCTTCTGGAAGGTGAATAGAGCTGCCTGGAGTCTGGAATGCAGAACATTATTATCCATATGAAGACTACAAGTGGCTATTCAGGTGGTCTGAGCTCAGCTTATGAAGGCCTCACAAGCTCTGGCTTTAACAATGGCCTGGGCTCCAGCTGTGGCTTTGGCAGGGCCTCTGGCTTCTTCAGCTGTACCAGCTCCTATAGGGCCATGGTTGTGAGGAAGATCAAGACCTATGATGGGAAGCCAATGTTCGAGTCCTCTGATGCACTGCCCAAGTGAATGGCTGTAGCAGCCCCTCCCAACCTCCCCTTCCTGTGGCTGCCCCAGAGCCTGTGAGGGATGCTGCAGTACAGGGGAGCATAGGGAACAGGAGATCCATCTGAGGCTCATCCTTACCCCTCAGCCCACCCTTGTGGGCAGTTTATTGCATGGAGTACCCCCACTTGCCCATGCCCCCAACAAATTTATTTGTATTTTTCCCAAAATAAAGCCTCAGTTAGATCTGCCGAAGGAATAAAAAAAGGTCATCAAAAAGGATCCAGTGAGTGGAGAAAAAGGAATGAAGAACATCCACAGGACTTATAGACACCATTGAGAAAGCTAGCGTTTTCATTATAAGAATAAAATAGAGAAAGCTTATGTAAATAAATAATAGTTGCCAACTTTTCAAATCTCTGAAGAGATACGAACATGCAGATACATGAATCTCACAGTCTCCATTGAGATCACCCCATAGAATCCATCAAGACATATTCAAACTGTTAAAAAGAAAAGACAAGGAGCAAATTTTGAAAGCAGCAAGAGAAAATATATTCCTCACATGTAAGGACATACTTATAAGGGTATTATCAGTAGATTTCCCAAGAGAAACATTGCATGCCAGGAGAAAGGGAAATGGTATATTCAAATTGCTGAATGAAACCTCTGCCAACCAAGAATATCTAGCAAAGCTATCCTTTGCAAATGAAAAAAGAGATTAAGACTTTCCCAGATTAAAAAAAAAAAAGCTTAAAGGAGTTCATTACCACTAGACTGGCCTTAAAAGAAATGCCACAAGAAGTTCATCAACCAGAAAAAAGAGTGCTAATTAGTGACATAAAAGTGTATGAAACTATAAAATGCACTGGTAAAAGTGAGTATATGGTCAAATTCAGAATACTCTAAGATTATAATGGTGATAAGTAAATCACTTATAACTCTAGAATAAAGGTTAAAAGACAAAAATGTTAAAAATAACTACAGGCAAAATAATGTGTTAATTGAAACATTATATAAACATGAATTGTTGTACCAAAAACAAAAAAATATGGGAGGAGTAGAAGTGCAGAGCTTTTGTATCCCAATAAAGTTAAGTTGTTCTCAGCTTATAATAAATCTGCATAACTAGAAGATGTTTTACATAAGCCTTATGATAGCCTAAAGCAAAAACTTTTAGTAGATACACACACAAAATAGAAATTAAAACATACATACCATTAGAGAAAATAATCATCAAATCACAAATCAAAACAGCAAGAAACAAGGGAAGAAAGTATCTTTAAAAAGTCAGAAAACAATTAACAAAATGTCAATAATAACTTATTGCTCATCAGTAATTACTTTGACTACAAATGAATTAAATTCTCCAATGAAAACTCATAGAATGATTGAATAGCTAAAAAGAGACCTAACTATATGCTGCCTACAAGAGAATCAATTTTTTGTTTTTATTTTTAGATTCAGAGGTATATGTGCAGGTTTGTTACAAGGGAGTGTTGCACAATGGTGAGATTTAGGCTTCCAGTGTACCTATCAACCAAATAGTGAACATTGTATTCAATAGGTAATTTTTTAACCCTTACTCCACTCCCACTCTCCCACCTTGTAGAGTGTGATGGTTAATACTGAGTGACAACTTCATTGGATTGATTGATACTAAGTAATAATCCTGGGTGTGTCTGTGTGAGTGTTGCCAAAAGAGATTAACATTTGAGTCAGTGATCTGGGAAAGGCAGATCAACCCCTAATCTGGTGGGCACAATCTAACCAGCTTCCAGTGACTATAAAGCAGGCAGAAAAATGTGAAAAGGAGAGATGGGCCAAACCTCCCAGCCCACATGTTACTCCCGTGCTGGATGCTTCTTGCCCTTGAACATTGGACTCAATGTTCTTCAGTTTTGGGATTCAGACTGGCTCATCTTACTCCTCAGCTTGATGACAGCCTATTGTGGATCTTGTGATCATGTAAGTTAATGCTTAATAAATCCGTGTGTGTGTGTGTGTGTGTGTGTGTGTGTGTGTGTGTGTGTATTTCCAATTAGTTATGTCCCTCTAAGAGAGCCCTGACTAATACAGACTTTGGTACCAGGAGTAGGGATAGAGGAGCAGAATATTAAGGATAGGGTTCTTTCATTAGTTTGGGGGTTTCTGGAGTTGGCTGCCTAATGTGATTAGATCCAAAGATGCTTCTAATAGTATGGAGAACACTGATAGTCCTTGGAATAAATTGTTTGGAGAGTTATGTAAAATAAATGCATTTGACACTTCTGATTTACCACTTATGTGAGGCAAGGAGTTTAGTGACTCTGCATAATACCTTTGACCATATGTGGAGAACCAAGGAACATAATGAAGCTGATTGGTTGCTCCTAAGTTGAGTGGACAAAGTGATGAAAGAAAATGATGAACTCAGGGATTCTGTCTCCTGGCTTCAGAAGCAGATACTGAGCCTCAAATCTGCTAAGATTGCCCTGAGTGAGAGTCTTATTTCCTGTAGAAAAAGAACTGAAATTGTGGGGAAAAAAAACAAACAAACAGACATAAGCTCTTATCAAGCAAGTGGCTGACCTGCAATGAGAGGTATATGGACAGCTGTGCCAGGTGTATACTGTTAAAGTAAGGGCATTGATTGGAAAAGAATGGGACCTTGAAACTTGGAATGGGGACGTGTTGGAGGACCCTGATGAAGCTGGGGACACAGAGTTAGTAAACTCTTATGAAGCTGTTTTACCAAAAGGAAGAGTTTCCCTGTCTCTGATAGTGGCAACATTCCCTCCCTGACCCATGCTGCCATCAGCCTTTCCACGTTTGTCTGAGGAGATAAATGCTGTGCTGCCTGAGGCAACAGTGATGCCCACTTCTGAGGCAGTTGCCAGGCTAGATAATGTTGATTCTCCTCAAGGGCCACCCCCAAAACCTCTGTTTGCTTCTAGACATATAGACTAAAGTCTTGGTGGGCCCCTAGAGGTGAGGTTGAGAGTGTGACCCATAAGGAGGTGTGCTACACTCAAAAAGAACTGTTTGAGTTCTGTAATTCATATAAACAGAAATCATGAGGACAGGTATGGGTACGGGATAATGGTGGAAGGAACGTAGAGTTGGATCAGGCTGAATTTATTTATTTGGGTCCACTAAGTAGGGACTCTGCATTTAATGGGCCCACTAAGTAGGGATTCTGCATTTAATGTTGCAGCTCAGGGAGTTAAAAAAGGTTCCAATAGTTTATTTGTTTGGTTAGCTGAAATATGAATTAAAAGATGACCCACTGTGAGCAAGCTGGAAATGGCTGCTCACTTTTGGCTTAATGTAGAGGAAGGGATCCAAAGGCTTAGGGAGATTGGGCTGGTGGAGTGGATTAGTCACTTTAGTCCTACTCATCCCAGCTTGGAAGGTCCAGAAGATATACCCTTAACCAATGCCTTGCAAAATAGATTTGTGAGGGCAGCATCTGCATTTTTGAAGAGCCCTGTAATTGTTCTTCTCTGTGTGTCAGATCTAACAATGGAAACCACAGTCACTCAACTATAAAATTTAAATACAATGGGAATAATTGGATCTCGAGATGGCAGGGGCCAAGTGGCAGCACACAACTGTCAAAGGCAAGGTGAGTGTAGCTGCCATAATATATAGCAGATGCAAAGCAGCAAACAGAATAGTCTGACTCATGCAGAGCTCTGGAATTGGCTAACTACCATGTTCCTAGAAGTGAAATTGATAGAAAGCCTACTACATTCCTACATATATTATACAAACAGAAAACTCTTATGTTGAATGGATGAAAGACTAATTTAAATTATAAAAACAGACAATCATGGGCCCTAAATCAATTTCCTGACCTGAGCCAATTTACAGATCCAGAACCCCTTGAATAAAGGGGAGGCAGGGTCCCCTTGTGGAAGGATCCTACTACATTAATGACAATTTATGAAGTGAATCTTTCTCCCATCCTTCCCCAAGGATACACCTGGCCTTCCACCAGGGTAACCATGCACTGGGAAAGGTGAAATGATCAGACATTTCAGGGACTACTAAACACTGACTCTGACTGATGTTGATTCCAGGGGACCCAAAACGTCATTGTGGTCCTCCGGTTAAAATAGGGGCTTATGGAGGTCAGGTAATTAATGGCATTTTATCTCAGGTCTGACTTACAGTGGGTCCAGTGGGTTCCCAGACTCATCCTGTGGTCACTTCCCCAGTGCCAGAATGCATAATTGGCATGACATATTTAGCAGCTGGCAGAATCCCCACATTGGCTCCCTGACTGGTAGGGTGAGAGCGATAATGGTGGGAAAGGCCAAATGGAAGCCATTAGAACTGCCTCTTCCTAGAAAAATAGTAAATCAAAAACAATATCACATCCCTGGAGGGATTGCAGAGATTATTGCCACCATCAAAGACTTGACAGATGCAGGGGTTGTGATTCCCACCCCATCCCAATTCAACTCTCCCATTTAGACTGTGCCGAAGACAGATGGATCTTGGAGAATAACAGTGAATTATCGTAAGCTTAACCAAGTGGTGACTCCAATTGCAGTTGCTGTATCAGATGTGGGTTCATTGCTTGAGCAAATTAGCACGTCTCCTGGTACCTGGTATTGCAGCCATTGACTTGACAAATGCCTTTTTCTCCATTCCTGTCCATAAAGCCTGCCAGAAGTAATTTGCCTTCAGCTGGCAAGGTTAACAATATACCTTTACTGTCCTACCTCAGGGGTATATTAACTCTGGCTTTGTGTCGTAATCTTATTTGGAGAGACCTTGATCACTTTTTGCTCCCACAAGATATCACATTGGTCTATTACACTGATGACATTATGCAGATTGGATCCAGTGAGCAAGAAGTAGCAAACACACTGGACTTATTGGGGAGACATTTGTGTACTAGAGGACGGGAAATAAATCTGACTAAAATTCAGGGACCTTCTACCTCAGTAAAATTTCTAGGGGTCCAGTGGTGTGGGACCTGTTGAGATATTCCTTGTAAGGTAAAGGATAAGTTGCTGTACTGGGCCCCTCCTACAACCAAGAAAGAAGCACAACGCCTAGTGGGCCTATTTGGATTTTGGAAGCAACACTTTCCTCATTTGGGTGTGTTGCTTGGGCTGATTTATTAAGTGCCCTGAAAGTCTGCCAGTTTTGAGTGGGATCCAGAAGAGGAGAAGGCTCTGCAACATGTCCAGGCTGTTGTGCAAGCTGCTCTGCCACTTTAGCCATGTGACCCAGCATATCCAAAGCTGCTTGAAGTGTCAGTGGCAGATAGTGATGCTGCTTGGAACCTTTGGCAGGTTCCCATAGGTGAATCACAGACGAGGACTCTGGAATTTTGGAGCAAGACCCTGCCATCTTCTGCAGATAACTACTCTCCTTCTGAAAGACAGCTCTCAGCCTGTTACTGGGCTTTAGTGGAAACTGAATGTTTGACTGTGGGTCATCAAGTCACCATGTGACCTGAACTGCCTATCATGAACTGGGTGCTTTCTGACCCATCTAGCCATAAAGTGGGTCATGCAAAGAAGCATTCCATCATCAAATGAACTGGTATATATGTGATCAAGCTCAAGCAGGTCCTGGAGGCACAAGTAAGTTACATGAGGAAGTGGCTCAAATGCCCATGGTCTCCACTCCTGCGATCCAGCCTGCACCAATGGCCTCACGGGGAGTTTTCTATGATCTGTTGACAGATGAAGAGAAGACTCAGGCCTGTTTCACAGACAGTTCTGCACGATATGCAAGCACCACCCAAAAGTGGACAGCTGCAGCACTACAGCCCCTTTCCAGGACATCTCTGAAGGACAGTGGTGAAAGGGAATCTTCCTAATGGGCAGAACTTTGAGAAGAGCACCTGGTTGTGTATTTTGCATGGAAGGAGAAATGGCCAGGTGTGTGATTATATACTGACTCATGCGCTGTAGCCAACAGTTTGGCTGGATGGGCAGGGACTTGGAAGAAACATGATTGTAAAATTGGTGACAAAGAAATTTGGAGGAGAGGTATGTGGATGGTCCTCTCTGAATGGTCAAAAACTATGAAGATATTTATACCCCCTGTGAGTGTGCACCAACAGATAGCCTCAGCAGAGGAGGATTTTAATAATCAAGTGGATAGGATGACCCATTCTTTGGCTATCACTCAGCCTCTTTCCCCAGCCAACCATGTCATCGCCAAATGGGACCATGAGAAAAGTGGCCATGGGGGCAGGCGTGGAGGTTATACATGGGTTCAGAAACACGGGCTTCCACTCACCAAGGCTGATCTGGCTACAGTCAATTTTCCGGGAGCAGAAACCAACTCCAAGCCCTCGATATGGCACCATTCCCTGGGGTGATCAGCCAGCTACGTGGTGGCAGGTTGATTATATTGGACCTCTTTCATCATGGAAAGGGCAGATGTTTGTCCTCACTAGAATAGACATTTACTCCAGATATTGGTTTGCCTATCCTGATTGCAATGCTTCTGCTAAGACTACCATCCGTGGACTCACAGAATGCCTTATCCACCGTTATGATATTCCATACAGCATTGCCTCTCACCAAGGCACTCACTTTATGGCTAAAGAAGTACAGCAGTGGGCTCATGCTCATGAATTCACTGGTCTTACCATATTCCCCATCACCCTGAAGCAGCTGGATTGGTAGAATGATGGAATGGCCTTTTGAAGTCACAATTACAATGCCAACTAGGTGACAATACTTTGCAGGGCTGGGGCAAAATTCTCCAGAAGGCCTTGTATGCTCTGAATCAACATTCAGTATATGTTACTTTCTCCCATTGCCAGGATTCAAGGTTCCTGAAATCAAGGGGTGGAAGTGAAAGTGGCACAACTCAACATCACCCTTAGTGATCCACTAGCAAAAATTTTGCTTCCTCTTCCTGCAACATTACGTTCTGCTGGCCTAGAGGTCTTGGTTCCAAAGGGAGGAATGCTGCCACCAGGAGACACAACAATGATTCCATTAAACTGGAAGTTAAGTTTGCCACCTGGACACTTTGAGCTCCTCCTACCTTTAAGTCAAAAGGCTAAGAAGGGACTTATAGTGTTGGCTGGAGTGATTACCTGGACGATCAAGATGAAATCAGTCTGCTACTCCACAGTGGAAGTAAGGAAGAGCACACATGGAATACAGGAGATCCATTAGGGCGTGTCTTCATCAATACCAGCTACAACCATGTCACCAGCTGCAGAAATGAGGACGATAACTGTCATGAGTATTTCCTCCTTGTTTTGTTAAAAACATGTTTGTGCATGTACCAGTTGTACTAAGGAAATATCTTCCTTTTATTTTCTTTTCCTTTATCATGTTACATAAGATTTATTGACTTCATATAAACATTTAATTATTTATGTAATAGTATTGGTGTTGGGGATTGGTTCGTTTTCGGTTGTATGAAGCATAGTTGTATTATGTTCAGCGTAATTATGACCTCATTATTTTCTTAACTTAAAAATTATGTATGATCTCAGGAGGTATATATGGGTTCAAGTTGACAAGCGGCGTACTTGTGATGGTTAATACTGAGTGTCAACTTCATTGGATTGAAGAATACAAAGTATTAATCCTGGGTGTTCCTGTCTGGGTGTTGCCAAAAGAGATTAATGTTTGAGTCAGTGGGTTGGGGAAGGCATATCCACTCTTAATCTGGTGGCACAACCTAATCAGCTTCCAGCCAATGTAAAGCAGGCAGAAAAACGTGAAATGCAGAGATGGGCCTAGCCCCCCATCCTATAAGTTTCTCCCGTGCTGGATGCTTCCTGCTTATATATATATATATATATACACACACACACACATATATATACATATGACATATAGTCATGTATATGTATACTATATATGTATATATATGACTGTATATAGTTCTCTACATATATAGATCTATATATATAGAAATAATAAGATATATATATATCCTATACATAACTATAGGGCTAACAGGATATATATATATCCTATTAGTTTTGTCCCTCTAAGAGAACGCTGACTAATACATAGCTTTTACTGTTGATTATTTCCATCCTTATGTCCATGTGTACCCAATGCTCAGCTCCCACATAAAAATGAGAACATACAGTATTTGATTTCCTGTTTCTGAATTATTTTACTCATGATAATGGCCTCCAGCTCTATCCATGTTGCTGAAAAGAATATGATTTCCTACATTTCTATAATTTTTAATTATTTTTATAATTTTTTGAGTACCTAGTAGGTGTTTATATTTATAGGGTACATGAGATTTTTTTTCTTATGCTTTAAGTTTTAGGGTACATGTGCACAAAGTGCAGGTTAGTTATATATGTATACATATGCCATGCTGGTGTGCTGCACCCATTAACTCGTCATTTAACATTAGGTATATCTCCTAATGCTATCCCTCTCCACTCCCCCCACCCTACAACAGTCCCCAGAGTGTGATGTTCCCCTTCCTTTGTCCATGTGTTCTCATTGTTCAATTCCCACCTATGAGTGAGAATATGTGGTGTTTGGTTTTTTGTCCTTGCAATAGTTTACTGAGAATGATGATTTCCAATTTCATCCATGTCCCTACAAAGGACATGAACTCATCATTTTTTATGGCTTCATAGTATTCCGTGGTGTATATGTGCCACATTTTCTTAATCCAGTCTATCATTGTTGGACATTTGGCTTGGTTCCAAGTCTTTGCTATTGTGAATAGTGCCACAATAAACACACGTGTGCATGTGTCTTTATAGCAGCATGATTTATAATCCTGTGGGTATATACCCAGTAATGGGATGGCTGCGTCAAATGGTATTTCTAGTTCTAGATCTCTGAGGAATCGCCACACTGACTTCCACAAGGGTTGAACTAGTTTACAGTCCCACCAACGGTGTGAAAGTGTTCCTATGTCTCCACATCCTCTCCAGCACCTGTTGTTTCCTGACTTTTTAATGATTGCCACTCTAACTGGTGTGAGATGGTATCTCATTGTGGTTTTGATTTGCATTTCTCTGATGGACAGTGCTGGTGAGCATTTTTTCATGTTTTTTGGCTGCATAAATGTCTACTTTTGAGAAGTGTCTGCTCATGTCCTTCGCCCACTTTTTGATGGGGTTGTTTGTTTTTTTCTTGTAAATTTGTTTGAGTTCATTGTAGATTCTGGATATTAGCCCTTTGTCAGATGAGTAGGTTGCAAAAATTTTCTCCCATGTTGTAGGTTGCCTGTTCACTCTGATGGTAGTTTCTTTTGATGTGCAGAAACTCTTTAGTTTAATTAGATCCCATTTGTCAATTTTGGCTTTTGTTGCCATTGCTTTTGGTGTTTTAGACATGAAGTTCTTACCCATGCCTATGTCCTGAATGGTATTGCCTAGGTTTTCTTCTAGGGATTTTATGGTTTTAGGTCTAACATTTAAGTCTTTAATCCATCTTGAATTAATTTTTGTATAAGATGTAAGGAAGGGATCCAGTTTCAGCTTTCTCCATATGGCTAGCCAGTTTTCCCAGCACCTTTATTAAAAAGGGAATCCTTTCCCCATTTCTTGTTTTTGTCAGGTCTGTCAAAGATCAGATTGTTGTAAATGTGTGGTATTATTTCTGAGGGCTCTGTTCTGTTCCATTGGTCTATATCTCTGTTTTGGTAACAGTACCATGCTGTTTTGGTTACTGTAGCCTTGTAGTATAGTTTGAAGTCAGGTAGCGTGATGCTTCCAGCTTTGTTCTTTTGGCTTAGGATTGCCTTGGCAATGCGGGCTCTTTTTGGTTCTGTATGAACTTTGAAGTAGTTTTTTCCAATTCTGTGATGAAACTCATTGGTAGCTTGATGGGGATGGCATTGAATCTATAAATTATTTTGGGCAGTATGGCCATTTTCATGATATCGATTCTTCCTACCCATGAGCATGGGATAACCTTCCATTTGTTTGTATCGTCATTTATTTCATTGAGTAGTGGTTTGTAGGTCTCCTTGAAGAGGTCTTTCATGTCCTTTGTAAGTTGGATTCCTAGGTATTTTATTCTCTTTGAAGCAGTTGTGAATAGGAGTTCACTCATGATTTGGCTGTTTGTCTGTTATTGGTGTAGAAGAATGCTTGTGATTTTTACACATTGATTTTGTATCCTGAGACTTTGCTGAAGTTGCCTATCAGCTTAAGGAGATTTTGGGCTGAGATGATGGAGTTTTCTATATTTTCAATCATGTCATCTGCAAACAGGGACAATTTGACTTCCTCTTTTCCTAGTTGAATACCCTTTATTTCTTTCTCCTCCCTGATTGCCCTGCCCAGAACTTCCAACACTATGTTGAATAGGAGTGGTGGGAGAGGGCATCCCTGTGTTGTGCCAGTTTTCAAAGGGAATGCTTCTAGTTTTTGCCCATTCAGTATGATATTGGCTGTGGGTTTTTCATAGGTAGCTCATATTATTTTGAGTTACATCCCATCAACACCTAATTTATTGAGAGTTTTTAGCATGAAGGGTTGTTGGATTTTGTCAAAGGCCTTTTCTGCATCTATGGAGATAATCATGTGGTTTTTGTCATTGGTTCTGTTTACATGTCAGATTAGATTTATTGATTTGCGTATGTTGAACCAGCCTTGCATCCCAGGGATGAAGCCCACTTGATCATGGTGGATAAGCTTTTTGATGTGCTGCTGGTTTCAGTTCTGCAGTATTTTATTGAGGATTTTTGCATCGATGTTCATCAGGGTTATTGGTCTAAAATTATCTTTTTTTGTTGTGTCTCTGCCAGGCTTTGGTTGAATCTCTGAATACACCAATAACAGGCTCTGAAATTGAGGCAATAATTAACAGCTTACCAACCAATAAAAGTCCAGGACAAGATGCATTCACAGCCGAATTCTACCAGAGATACAAGGAGGAGCTGGTACCATTCCTTCTGAAACTATTCCAATCAATAGAAAGAGGGAATCCTCACTAACTCATTTTATGAGGCCAGCATCATCCTGATACTAAAGCCTGGCAGAGACACAATAAGGCCACTAACTCTTAGATTTTCCCTTTGGGGACTATTTTTTAGCTTTTGTGGGAGTGCTTTATTTTTAAAATATGTTTGTACTTTGTCTTCTCAGACTGTGTTTGTTTTCAAGTAACTTGTTTTCAAGTTCTCTAATTTTTTTGTTTGATAAATTATGCTTTTATGAGACTCCGATGTATTCTTCAGTATGTCAGTTGCATTCATCAACTCCAGAATTTCTGTTTGGTTCTTTATAATTATTTAAGTCTCCTCAGTCTACCTGACAGAATTCTGAATTCTTTCTCCGTGTTGTCTTTAATTTCCTCTAGTTTCCTCAAAACAGTTATTTTATGTTCTCTATCTGAAATGTTACATATCTTCGTCTCTCCAAGATTAGTTCTTGGTGATTTATTTAGTTTGTTTGGTGAAGTTACGTTTTCCCGGGTAGTCTAAATGCTTGTGAATGTGTGTTGGTTTCTGAGTATTGAAGGTTTAGGTATTCATTGTAGCCTTTGCTGTCTCAGATTGGTTTTTCCCAGCCTTCTTATGACGCCTTTTCAGATATTTGATGGAACTCAGGTGTTTTGATCTAAGTTTTCAGTAACTGTAGTCGTATCTGCATTTGTTAGTAACCCAAGCTCAGTAATCATGTGGCACTTGCAGACTTGTAGAGACCTACTCGGTGGTCTTGGATAGAATCCAGATTTCTCTGGATTACCAGGCAGGGGCTCTTGTTCTCTTTCCTTATGTTATCCCAAAGAAACAGAGCCTCTCTTTCTGTTCTTAGGTATCTGGAGCTATGAGAGGGGTTACACAGGTACTCCTGTGGTCAACAAATGTGTATATGTTGAGTCAGGCCTGAAGCCAGCACATTATGCAGTTTTGCTCAAGGTCTGTGGTAATCACTACCTGGCTACTGCCTGTGATTGTTCAGGTCTGTGTAGTCAGCAGGTGGTGAATCTTGCCAGGACTGAGTCCTTTCATTCATTGCAACAGGTTCCATTCTGGTGAAGGGCATGTTTATAAATGTGATCCAGGAGCTAGAGTGTGAAATGGGTTCCTCAAGACTCTGCATGATATTCTATCCTACTATAGCTGAGCTGGTTTCCAAGTTGGAAGAAAATGTTCTTTTTACTCTTCCCTCTCTTCTCCTCAGGTGGCAGGGTGGCAGAAGGAGTTTCTCCTATAATGGTTAACTTTGTTGTCTGAGGTTGGAAGAAAAGTGGTGTAAGCACTCTCTTGTCCACTCCAGCTTGTGTTTCACTGGGTTGTGTGTCCCCCAAGTCCACTCACTCTGAGGCCAACAAAGCAACATGACTTGCCCCGATATTTCAGTCCTTGTAGCCTAGACTGCCTTTCAAGTTTATTTTAAACCCCAGAGCACTATAGCCCAAAGTTGTAATGCTTTCTGGAATTCAGGTTACAACTAGTGGGATGGGTGATTCCCCTCTGGCTCTGGCTGGTTAAAACGCTCCCTTCATGGGCACCAGTTGATTTCTGCCCCATGTTGCTTTCTATTGTGACAGGAAAACACTGAGTTCCAGTGCATGGTTCCACTGTGATTCCTCTCCCTAAATTACACAGATTCTCTCTGATTGCCACATGGCCACTGTCAAGGGATGAGGGATGGATAGCATTAGCAATTCAAGATGGCCTTTTCTATCCTCTTTAGTGCCTCTTTTAGTGATACAAATTTAAAACTAGGTACTGTGATTGTTCATCTGAGTTTTGGTTTTAATAAATGTGCTGTTTTATGTGAATAGTTGCTGAATTAGTTTTTCTTGCAGGGAGGAAGATCGGTGAAAACTTCTATTAACTCATCTTGCTCCACATCCCACTGATTTAATCAGTTTTTTTTATGGCTGCATTGTATTTCATGTTGTGTGTATGCCACACTATTTTTATCCAATCATACATTGAAGAAGAGTTAGGTTGATTACATGACTATCTTATTGTGAATAACATTGTGATAAACATGAGTTCAGGTGTATTTTTTATGTAATAATTTTTTTTTCTTTTGGATAGATGTCCAGTACTGACACTGCTAGGTGAAATGGTAGTTCTATGTTTAGTTCTTTGAGACATCTCCATAATTTTCCCATAGATGTTGTATTAATTTACATTCTCACCAACAGTGTGGGAAACAAAAGGTGATCTTTTCTTTGACACAAACATCTGTTCTTTTTTGATTTTTAAATAATACCCTTTCTCTCTGATATAAGATGATATATCATTTTTCTAACTATTAGTGATGTTGAGTATTTTTAGTAGGTTTCTTGCCCACTTGTATGTCTTATTTTTTAAAAAGTCTGTTCATGTTCTTTTCCCATTTTAAAATGGGATTTGTTTTCTTCTTGTTGAGTTTTTGAAGTTCATCATAGACTCTGGATATTAGTCCTTTGTCAGAGGCATAATTTGCAAATATTTTATCCCATTTTTTACATTGTCCATTTACCCTGTTGATTATTATTTTTTGCTGTGCGGAAGCTTCTTAGTTTGGTTAAGTTCCATTTGTCTATTTTTGCTTCTTTTGTATTTTCTTTTGGGGTCACGGACATAAATTCTTTGGCTAGACCAATATCCTAAAAAGTATTTCCTAGGTTTTCTTCTAGGACTTTATAGTTTTAAGTCTTAGATTTAGGTCTTTAATTCACCTTGAGTTAACTTTTGTATATGGTGAGAGATAGTGATCTAGTTTTATTCTTCTTCATATGGCTAGAAATTTTTTCCAGCACCATTTAATAAAATATGAGTTTTTCCCGTTTAGTTTTGTCAACCTTGTCAAAGATCAGTTGGTTGTAGGTATGCAACTTTATTTCTGGGTTCTCTGTTCTTGATCTATGTGTCTATTTTTGGACCAGCACCATACGATTTAAGTCACTGTTGCTTTCTAGTATTATTTGAAGTCAGGTAATGTAATTACTCCAACTATTTTCTTTTTGCTTATGGTTGCTTTGGCTATTCAGGCTCTTTTTTGGTTTCTTATGAATTTTGTGATTGTTTCTTCTAATTCTGTAAAAAACGACATTAGTCTTTTTGATAGATATTTTGTTGAACCCGTAGATTGCTTTGGGCAGTATGGACATTTTATATTGATTCTTTCAATCCATAAGCATGAAATGTTTTTCCATTTGTTTGTGTCATCTATGGTTTCGTTCATTAGTGTTTTGTAGTTCTCCTTGTAGGAGTTTTCACCTCTGTATTAGTCCATTTTTTACACTGCTGATAAAGACCTACCTGAGACTGGTTAATTTATAAAGGAAAAAAGGGTGAAAAGGACTTTTCTGCATGGCTGGGGAGGCCTCATAATCATGGTGGAATGCAAGGAGGGGTAAGTCACATTTTACATGAATGGCAGCAGGTAAAAAGAGCTTGTGCAGGGAAACTCCTTCTTATAAAACCATCAGGTCTCCTGAGATGTTATTCACTATCATGAGAACAGCATGGGAAAGACCTGTCCCTATGATTCAATTACCTGTCACTGGATCCCTCCCACAATACATGGGAATTCAAGATGAGATTTTGGTGGGGACACAGCCAAACCATATCAACCTCTTTGGTTAAATATATTCCTACCTATTTTATTCTTTTGTGTGGCTCTCATAAATAGGTTTGAGTTCTTCATTATTTCTCAGCCTGTATACTGTTGGTGTATGAAAATTCTATTTTTTTTACATTGATTGTGTGTCCTAAAACTTTATTGAGGTCAGTCATCCAGTCTAGGAGTGTTTTGAAAAAGTCTGTAGAATTTTCTAGGTATAAGATCATGCCATAAGCAAACAGAGCTAATTTGACTTTCTTTTTTCTTTTTTCTTTTTTTCAATTTGGATGACTTTTATTTTTTTCTCTTGCTTGAGATTTTGAGTTCCATGTTGAAAAGGAGTGGTGAATGTCTTTTGAGGCATGTTCCTTCAATGTCTAGTTTATTAAGGGTTTTTTATCATGAGGGAATGTTGGAATTTATTAAATACTTTTAGTGTATCTTTTTAGATGCTCATAATGTTTTTCTTTCTAATTCTTTTTATGTGGTGAATCACTTTCATTGATTTGCAAATGTGCAAATGTATTTTCATTCCTGGAATAAATTACCCTTCATCATGATAAATTATCTTTTTGATGTGCTGATGGATGGTTTGCTAATATTTTGTTTAGGATTTTTTGTTCACATTCATCAAAGCTATTATCCTGTAGCTTCCTTTCTTTGTGATGTCCTTGCATGATTTTTGTATCAGGTTGATACAGTTTTGAAGAATGGATTAGTGGGGAATGTCTCCTCCTTGATTATTTGAAATAGTTTTAGTAAGATTGGTACTCGCTTTTCTTTATATCTGGTAAAATTTGCCTGTAAATTTATCTGGCCATGGGCTTATTTTATGTTGTAAGATTTTTTAAAATTACCAATTCACATTCAATACTTATTGGTTTGTTCATGATTTCTATTTCTTCCTGATTCAGTCTTGGGAGGTTGTATGTTTCCAAAAATTTATCTATTTCCCCTGGGTTTTCTAGTTTGTGCACAGAGATGTTTACAGTAATCTCTGATGATCTTTTGTATTTATGTGATATCTGTTGTCATGTCACCTTTATTGTATCTAATTGTGCTTTATAAAATTTTCTTACTCTTTTTTCTTGGTTAAACTAGCTAACAGTCTATTGATTTTGTTTATCCTCTAAAAATCTAATTGTTTTTAATCCATTTTTTTGGTCTTAATTTTATTTAGTTCTGTTCTTATATTTTTTTTATTTTTTCCTTTATGTTAGCTTTTGTTTTGACTTGTTCTTGCTTTTATAGTTCTTTGAGGTGTAGTGTTAGGTTGTTAATGTGAGATCTTTCTATCTTTTTGATGTAAGCATTTAATACTATAAAATTTCCTCTTAGTACTGCTTTCACTATATCCCAGACATCTTGGTATATTGTATTTGTAATTTATTTGTTTCAAAAAATTTTTTTGATTCCTACCTTAATTTCATTGTTTTCTCAAAAGTCATTCAAGAGGAATTTGTCTAGTTTCTATGTACTTGTTTCATTCTGAGAGTTTCTTTTGGTATTGATTTCTATTTTTATTTTACTGTTTTCTGAGACAATATTTGGCTTTATTTTTTAATTGTTAGAGACTTACTCTGTGGACAAACATATGGTCAATATTACAGAATATTCTATGCAGAGTTGAGAAAAATGAACATTCAACAATTGTAGGGAAGAATGTTCTATACATGTCTATTAAGGACATTGGTGTAGAGTCCAGTTCAAGTCAAGAGTTTTTTGGTTGACTTTCTGCCTATCTTCTTTGTCTTTTTGAACCTGTTTAATCTGATATAAGCATGGCCACTGCCGCTTGCTTTTGTTTTTCATTTTGCTTTGAGTCTGTGGGCAACTTTATCCGTATGGTGGATCTTTTGTAGGCAAGAGAAGGTTGAATTTTTTTAAATCCAAATTACTAGTCTATATATTTTAAATGGAGCATTTAGGCCATTTACGTTCATGGTTAATATTGATTTGTGAGATCTTGTTCCTGTCACAGTTTTGTTAGGTAATTGCTTTAGAGTCTCAATTGTGTAATTGCTCACTAGAACGTGTGAGCTTTCTAGTTACATATATTTTTTATGATAGTAAATATTGTCCTTTTGTTTCCATGTTTGGAATTCTTTTGAGCAGTTCCTGTAGTATCAGTTTGGTGGTGACAAATTCCCTTAGTGTTTGGTGGTCTGGGAAATACTTTATTTCTCCTTCATTTATGAAACATAGTTTGGCAGGATATAAAATTTTTGGCTAATGTTTCTATTTCTTTTTTTAAAAGACAATCGAGATGGGGTCTTTCTGTGTTGCTCAGGCTGGTCTTAACTCCCAGGTTCAAGTGATCCTCCTACCATGGCCTCCCAATATGCTAAGATTACAGGCATGAGCCACCATGCCTAGCCTCTTTTTTCTTCAAAGAGGCTACAAATAGGCTCCCAATCTCTTCTGGCTTATAACATTTCTACTGAGAAATCTGCTGTTAGTCTGATAGAATTTGCTTTATAAGTAATTTGGCACTTCTCTCTAGCTCCTTTGAGCATTTGTTCTTGCATGACGACCTTGGAAAGTTTGATGACTCTATTTTTTGGTGATGCTCATCTTGTATAGTGTCTTCTGGATGTTCTCTGAATCTCTTGTATCTTGAGGTCTATGTCTCTAGAAAAAATGGAAAAATTTCCCTAAATTTTTTCTTTAAATATGCTTTCCAATATTCTTAGTTTTTATTCTCCCTCAGGGATGTATAGATATCATAGGTTTGGTTAATTTAAATAATCTCATATTTCTCAAGGGCTTTATTCAGGTTTTAAAATTATTTTTTCTTTTCCTTTTTTGTCTAGCTGAGTTAATTCAAAAGATCAGTCTCCGAGCTCTAAAATTTTTTCTTCTGCTTGGTTTATTCTGTTGCTAAAGCTTTCAACTGTGTTTTAAAATTTTTTCAGTAAATATTCTATTTCCAGAAATTCTGCTCAGTAAAAAAAAACTCTCCTAAATTATTATTTCTTGTTTATTTGTATTGGTGTTAAATTTTCTTTTGTTATTAAGCCTTCTTACTCTCCATTTATTCATTTATTGAAGTCATTGCACTTCCTTATGCACTATTTTTTGAATTCTTTATCTGTCATTTCAAAATTTTTGTTTAGGATTCATTGCTAGAGAACTAGTGTGATAATTTGGGGATGTCGTAACTCTCTGTTTCTTCATGTTGCAGGATTTCTTGTACCGGTTTTTTCTTACCTATAGAAAGTTCAGTTCTTATTTTTGTATTTACTTTTCTGAGGGTGGAATTGTTTTATTTCCCCCTTGAGAATGTGACTGTTGTCCATTTTAGGTACCATCTTTTAGGTTTTCTTATATGTGCTTTTATTAGGCCAAGGCTCTGTATGAATTCCTTGGTTATGGATAGACTTAATGTTGTAGTGGTGGTCTCTCAAATGACAGTTGTGTGTAGATTTTAGTAGTGGTGTGTTGTGTGTGGTTAGGCTCACTGTCTCCTACAGAGATGGGAAGATATAGGTCTTAGGAGGCTTATATTATTTCCCATTGCCTTGTGTTTCTGTCAGCAGGAATTATATTGGATTGTGCAGTTCATTTTGCAGGCCTGACATTTTTAAGTATGACCCAGCTGAGCTCTGCACAATGATGTCAGCAGTTGTGAAGGGCCGCGCAGTTTGATTCTCTGGCCAGTAGGTGGCATTTGAATGTGAGAAGTAATTTCAGTAATGGCAGTGGGATTTTTACTTGGGCCTTGCTGATTGTAGAAGTACTGAAATGTTCCTGGCTATGAGTGGTCAGTAGCCCTCTCAAGACTTTGTTCCATGCTCTTCTTCCATGGTGGCTGGAGAGGGCAGAGCTGGGTGGAGTTAGGTTAAGTGAGCCCACAACAAGGCTCTCTAAGGTGGGTGCAAGAACTGACCATGGTTGGGGTCTATAGGCAACTCACAGGCAGTTTGGACAACACATCAGGGAGGGTTGGAATTATGTTCCTTCCATCACAGAGCCTACTCAGGAAAAAGTGGCAGCTTTGGGCTTTTAGCCCATTGGTCTACAATAGGACCTCTTCAGCATCCACACTCCTGACTCAGCAGGTGTTCCTCCAGCATCTGACAACAGGCCTGACTCATTATGCTATTGCCAAGCCATCCATGCCAAGACTGATGAGCCTTTTTACACATTCGAGACTGTGAGACTCCTTGTAGCAGAAACCTTGGCTATCTGGTCATAATCTTCCCAGTTCAGCCCTGCAAAGTGAAAGGCACCCAGCTCTTACACAGCCACACTCTTCTGAGCCACACTCTTCTCTGTTATCAGAAGGTGAGAGCTCCTCCTTCACTTAAAATCAGTCGACAAATCTTATTTCAATACCCCTGGGCAGTATGCTTGACCACTGGGGAACTGTGACCAGGCCATTGGATTTGTCCTCTTGCCCTTCAGAGTCAAGCATTAGCTGTAATGTGGGGGTAAACTGCTCCCAGCATACCAAAAAACCACTCAGGCAGGGCAATGGAGACTGTGCTGTGAATACTCCTATGTGGAAACAGCCAGGCAAGCAGCCTTGCAAGTAACCAACAGTTATGGGGGTACAAGATTCAGATGCATTTCAGTCCTATGTCAATGACAGTGGGGACTATCTTGGACATGTGAGTGTGCATGGGCTCTTTCTCCCTACTTGTCACATAGTAGGAGCTGTAGCTGCTTAGGGCAGGATACACAGTCTTGAGAGTTAGGCCTCCAGAGTTTCATTTTGCTGGTTTTGCTCAGCACATTGAAGTCTTTTGGGCTCCATATGTGTTCAGGCAATGCCTTTCTGTGTTCCTCACACAGCTTCCCTGCTAGTTCAAAGTTTTGTGGGGCTGATGGAAACTCCTACAGGTAGCATACCAGAAGTTCATGGTAAAAATGTGGTGTCCCAGGTTTCTTTACTCATCCTAGTTTTGGGTCTGGTCCAGGTCTTGGGGCCATTTTTCCTGGCAACACCAAGCTGGCAGCCCCACTTCCTTTATCTTCAATTACAGCATCTTCCAAAATTCCACCAAAAAGTTAGAACTAGTAAATAAATTCAGTAAAGTTGCAGGATGCAAATCAACATACAAAAATTAGTAGCATTTCTACATAGAAATGACAACTTAGCTGAAAAAATAATCAGAAAAATCCCACATATAATAGCATCAAAATTTTAAAATACAAAGGGATAAATTTTATTGAGGAGGTGAGATTTAAACAATGAAAACATAAAATGTTGAAAAATGAAAGAAGAAACAAATAAGTGGAAAAATATGAAAAATATTATATGCTCATGGATTGAAAGAATTAATATTGTTAATGTGTCCATACTACCCAAAGCTATATAGAAATTCAATGCAATTCTCACCAAAATTCTGGCAAAATTCTTCACAGAAACAGAAAAAAAAAATCCTAACGTTCACATGGAACCACAAAAGACCCCAAATAGTCAAAGTAATATGGAGAAAAAAAAAAGTTGGAGTGAGTATGCTTCCTGGATTAAAATTATATTACAAAGCTGTAGTAATTGAAACAGTGTAGTACTGGCATAAAAACAAAAACATGTAGAAATGAAACAGAATATGAAGCTAAGAAATAAATCTAAACTTAATACAGCCAATAATTTTTGGGAAGGGCACTAAGAATATAATGAGAAAAAAATGACCTCTTCAATAAATTGTGCTGAGAAAACAACACTTCCACATGCAAAAATAAAACAAAATAAAAGTTGATAAAAGGCATAAAGGCAATACCTGAAATCACAAAGTTTCTAGAAAGAAACATAGGAGAAATGCTCCCTAACATTGGTCATAACAATGAGTTTGTTGATATTACACTGGCTGCAAAAAAGAAAAAATAAATAAATGGTACTACATCAAACTAAAATGCTACTGCACTGCAAAGGATACAATCAATAAAATGAAAAGACAACCTATACATTGGGAAAACATTTGCAAACCACTTGTCTGATAAGGGATTAATAGCCAAAATTTATAAAGAACTCTTCCAATATAATAGCAGAAAAACAAATAACCCAAATAAAGCAAGGACAAATGACCTAAACTGACATTATTTTTTCAAAGAAAATATAAAAACGTTCAGCAGCTATATAAGAAGTTGCTCAACATCCCTAATCACTAGTTACATGCAAGTTAAAAACATTGCAATATCACTTCACACCTGACAGAATGGCTATTATTGAAAAGTCAAGAGATAACAAATGTTGGCAATGGTGTGGAGAAAAGGAAACCCCACTATACTGTTTGTGGAAATTTAAATTGGTGCAGTCATTACGGAAAACAGTATGGAGGCCCCTGAAAAATGTTAAAATAGAAATATCATATAATCCAGCAATATTTCTGGTTGTATTTCTACAGGAGTTGAAGTAATTAACTTTTGTGAGAAGTATCTGCGCTCCCATGTTTACTGTGGCATTATTCACAATAGCCAAAATATGGAAACACCTAATCATCTGTTGTTGGTGGATGAATTGATAAACCCAATGAGGTATATATACAAAATAAAATACTATTCACCCTTAAATATGAAGAAAATCCTGTCACTTGCAAGACATGGATAAGTCTGTAGGATATTATGTTAAGTAAAATAAACCAGAAAGAGAAGAAAAAATATCTCATTATGTCACACACAGATAAAATTTAAAAGAAAAACAACAAACAGACAAAGATAGAGAATAAAACAGTGGTTATCAAGGGGCTGGTAAAGAAGGAAATGGGGAGATGTAAGGGAAAAAATTCTAAAGTGCAGACATGTAGGATCAACAAGTCCAGAGATCTAATGTACATTACGAGGAATATAGTTAGCAAACTTTTATTGTGTTCTATAAAAAAAAAATAATGAGTTGTCTAAAAAAATCAAGAAAACCATCTTATATGGTTTGGTTCTGTGTCCCCACCGAAATGTTACATTGAATTATAGTTTCCAATGTTTGGGGACCTGGTAGCAGGTGATTGGATCAAAGGGGATAGATTTTTCCCTTGCTGTTCTGGTGACAGTGAGTTCTCACAAGATATGATGATTTAAAAGTCTGTGGCAATTCCCCCTTTTTTCTCTCTCTCTCTCCCTCTCTTTTCTGTTGCCATGTTACATGCTTGATTTCCCTTCATCTTCTGCTATTATTGTAAGTTTCCTGAGGCCTCCCAAGCCATGCCTCCTGTACAGCCTGCAGAACTATGAGTCAATTAAACATCTTTTCTTTATAAACTACCCAGTATCATTGGTCCTTTATAGCAATGTAAGAATAGAAAAATACAAAAAAAAATGGTGTCAGAGAAGTGAGGCATTTCTATAAAGATACCTGAAAATGTGGAAGCAGCTTTGGAACTAGGTAATAAGCAGAAGTAGGAACAGTTTTGAGGGCTCAGAAGAAGACAGGAAGATTGGGAAAAGTTTTAAACTTCCTAGATACTTGTTGAATTATTGACCAAAATGTTGATAGTAATATGGGCAATGGATTCCAGGAAGAAGTGGTGTCAGATGGAGATGAGAAACTTATTGGGAACTAGAGTAAGGGTCACTCTTGCTATGCTTTACCAAAGAGACTGGCAGCATTGTGCCCCTTTTCTAGAGATCTGTGGAGCTTTGAACTTGCAAGAAATGAATTAGTGTATCTGGCAGGAAAAAAACTCTAAGCAACAAATCATACAAGTTATAACCTGGCTGCTTCTCACAGCCTACGTCACATGCATGGGCAAATAAATGATGTAAAACTGGAACTTAAAGAGTAAGTATAGTGTAAAAGTTTGGAAAATTTGCAGCCTGACTATGTGTGGGGAAGAAACATTTTCCAAGGAGAAATTCAAACTGGCTGCAGAAATTTGCATAAGTAAAGGGGAGACAAATGCTAATAGCCAAGACAATGGTGAAAATGCCTCCAATGTATTTTAGAGATCTTAGCAGCTGCCTCTCTTTTCACAGGCCTGGGTTTATGGGGAAGAATGGTTTCATGTGCCAGGCCCAGGGCCCTGCTGTTCTGTGCAGCCTTGGGACATAACACCCTGTGTCCCAGCCACTCCAGATTTAGCCATGGCTAAAAGGGACCAACGTACAGCTTGGGCCATTGTTTCAGGGGGCATAAGCCCCAATGCTTGGCAACACCCATGTGATGTTGGGCCTGTAGGTGCACAGAAGGCATGATTTGAGGTTTGGGAGCCTCCACCTAGATTTCAAATGATGTATAGAAATGCCTGGATATCAAGGCAGAAGTCTTCTGCAGAGACAGAGCCTTAATGGAGAGCCTCTACTAGCAAAGTGCAGAGGGGAAATGTGGGGTTGGAGACCCCACTCAGAGTACCTATGGGGGCACTGCCTGTTGGAGCAGTGAGGAGAGGGCCATCGTTCTCCAGCCTCCAGAATGGTAGATTCATCAACAGCTTGCACCATGAACCTGGAAAAGCTGCAGGCACTCAACGCCAGCCTGAGAAAGCAGCCACGGGGGCTTTACCATGCAGAGACACAGGGCCAAAGCTGCCAAAGGCCTTGGGAGCTCAACCCTCGTATCATTGTGGCCTGGATGTGAGACATGGAATCAAAGGAAATTATTCTGGAGCATTAAGATTTAGTGACTGCCCTGCTTGGTTTTAGACTTGCATAGGGCCTATAGCCTCTTTGTTTTGGCCAATTTATGCCATTTGGAATGAGAATATTTACCCAATGCCTGAACCCTTATTGTATGTTGGAAGTAACTAACTTGTTTTTGATTTTACAGGCTCATAGGCAGAACGAACTTGCCTTGTCTCAGATGAGACTTTGGACATGAATTTTTGAGTTAATGCTGGAATGAGTTAATACTTTGGGGAGTGTCAGGAAGGCATGACTGTGTTTTGAAATGTGAGGAGGACATGATGTTTGAGAGGGGCCAAGCGTGGGATAATATGGTTTTGCTCTGTGTCCCCACCCAAATCTCATGTCAAATTGTAATTTCCAATGGTGGGTGTGGGACCTGGTGAGAGGTGATTAAATCATGGGGGTGGATTTTTCTATTGCTGTTCTGGTGATAGTGAGTGAGTTCTCATGATATCTGATAGTTTAAATATCTGTGGTACTTCCCCATCCACCACTCTGTTGTCACCATGTGGCAATGTGCTTGCTTCCCCTTCACCTTCTGCCATGATTGTAAATTTCCTGAGGCCTCCTCAGCCATGTCTCCTGTATAGCCTGCAGAACTGTGAGGCAATTAAGCCTCTTTTCTTTATAAACTACTCAGTCTCAGGTAGTTTGTTATACTAATGTGAGAACAGACTAATACACCATTCCATTATTATAGCAACAAAAAATAAAATAAACTTAACAAAGAAAGTAAACAATTTGTGTACTGAAAACTATATAATATTGATAAAATAAATTGAAGAAGACACAAATAAATGGAAAAATATCTTGTGTTCATGAATTGGAAAAATCAGTATTGTTCAAATGTACATACTCTCCAAAGTGATATACAGATCCAATTCAGTCTTGCCCAAAATTCCAATGGCATGTTTCACAAAAATAGAAAAGTAAATTCTACAATCCTTATGGAACCATAAAAATCCCTGCATAGCCAAAGCAATACAGAAAGAAAAACGAAGTTGGAAATATCATGCTACCTGACTTAGAAGTATACTACAAAACTATAGTAATCAAAATGGTATGTTACTGTCATGAAAACAGACACATTGACAAATGAAACAGAATAGAACCCCTAGAAATAAATCCAAGCATATATGGTAAACTAAGTTTTGATAGTGACATCAAGAATACACAACGGAGAAAAAATAGTCCTTCTAGTACATTGTTTTGAAAAAACTGCTTACAAAAAAGTAATAGAATAAAATTCGCCCTAACTTCACCTCATACAAAAATCAATTCAAAATATATTAGAGGCCTAAACATAAAATCTAAAATAGTAAGACTCCTAAAAAATAGGAAACAGCTCTGACAAAATTTTTTGGCAAGAATTTTTTTAATACACAAATAAAAGCACAGACAACAAAAGGAAAAATAAACAATGGAGACTACTTCAAACTAAGACACTTCCAACCAACAAAGAAAGCAATCAATATAATGAAAAGGAAGTCTACGAATTGGGAGAAAACATTTGTGAACCATATGTCTGATAAGAGGAAAAGACGAAGTCAATTTGTCCCTGTTTGCAGATGTATATCTAGAAAACCCCATTGTCTCAGCCCAAAATCTCCTTAAGCTGATAAGCAACTTCAGCAAAGTCTCAGGATACAAAATCAATGTACAAAAATCACAAGCATTCTTATACACCAACAACAGACAAACAGAGAGCCAAATCATGAGTGAACTCCCATTCACAATTGCTTCAAAGAGAATAAAATACCTAGGAATCCAACTTACAAGGGATGTGAAGGACCTCTTCAAGGAGAACTACAAACCACTGCTCAACGAAATAAAAGAGCATACAAACAAATGGAAGAACATTCCATGCTCATGGGTAGGAAGAATCAATATCGTGAAAATGGCCATACTGCCCAAGGTAATTTACAGATTCAATGCCATCCCCATCAAGCTACCAATGACTTTCTTCACAGAATTGGAAAAAACTACTTTAAAGTTCATATGGAACCAAAAAAGAGCCCGCATTGCCAAGTCAATCTTAAGCCAAAAGAACAAAGCTGGAGGCATCACACTACCTGACTTCAAACTATACTACAAGGCTACAGTAACCAAAACAGCATGGTACTGGTACCAAAACAGAGATATAGATCAATGGAACAGAACAGAGCCCTCAGAAATAATGTCGCATATCTACAACTATCTGATCTTTGACAAACCTGAGAAAAACAAGCAATGGGGAAAGGATTCCCTATTTAATAAATGGTGCTGGGAAAACTGGCTAGCCATATGTAGAAAGCTGAAACTGGGTCCCTTCCTTACACCTTATACAAAAATCAATTCAAGATGGATTAAAGACTTAAACGTTAGACCTAAAACCATAAAAACCCTAGAAGAAAACCTAGGCATTACTATTCAGGACATAGGCATGGGCAAGGACTTCATGTCCAAAACACCAAAAGCAATGGCAACAAAAGACAAAATTGACAAATGGGATCTAATTCAACTAAAGAGCTTCTGCATAGCAAAAGAAACTACCATCAGAGTGAACAGGCAACCTACAAAATGGGAGAAAATTTTCTCAACCTACTCATCTGACAAAGGGCTAATATCCAGAATCTACAAAGAACTCAAACAAATTTACAAGAAAAAAACAAACAACCCCATCAAAAAGTGGGCGAAGGACATGAACAGACACTTCTCAAAAGAAGACATTTATGCAGCCAAAAAACACATGAAAAAATGCTCACCATCACTGTGCATCAGAGAAATGCAAATCAAAACCACAATGAGATACCATCTCACACCAGTTAGAATGATGATCATTAAAAATCAGGAAACAGCAGGTGCTGGAGAGGATGTGGACAAATAGGAACACTTTTACACTGTTGGTGGGACTGTAAACTAGTTCAACCATTGTGGAAGTCAGTGTGGCAATTCCTCAGGGATCTAGAATTAGAAATACCATTTGACCCAGCCATCCCAATCCTGGGTATATACCCAAATGACTATAAATCATGCTGCTATAAAGACACATGCACACGTATGTTTGTTGTGACATTATTCACAATAGCAAAGACTTGGAACCAACCCAAATGTCCAACAATGATAGACTGGATTAAGAAAATGTGGCACATATACACCATGGAATACTATGCAGCCATAAAAAATGATGAGTTCATGTCCTTTGTAGGGACATGGATGAAGCTGGAAACCATCATTCTCAGCAAACTATCACAAGGACAAAAAACCAAACACTGCATGTTCTCACTCATAGGTGGGAATTGAACAATGAGAACACATGGACACAGGAAGGGGAACATCACACACCGGGGTCTGTTGTGGGGTGGGGGTAGGGGGGAGGGATAGCATTAGGAGATATACCTAATGCTAAATGACGAGTTAATGCGTGCAGCACACCAACATGGCACATGTATATATATGTAACAAACCTGCACATTGTGCACATGTACCCTAAAACTTAAAGTATAATAATAATAATAAAGAAAAAGAACTTCAAAATGCCTAAGCCACACACGCCTAAGCTGCAGCAGTCAAGCATTCCTACAAGACTTCCTCCATCAGGATCTTGCTTCAAGTGCCAGAAATCTGGCCACTGGGCCAAGGAATGCCCGTAGCCCGGGATTCCTCCCAAGCCATGTCCCATCTGTGCAAGGACCCACTGGAAGGCAGACTGCCCAGCTCACCTGGTAGCCACTCCTAGAGCCCCTAGAGCTCTAGCCCAGGGCTCTCTGACTGACTCCTTCCCAGATCTGCTTGGCTTAGCAACTGAAGATTGACGCGCCTGATCACCTTGGAAGCCCCCTGGACCATCACAGATGCCGAGCTTCAGGTAACTCTCACATTGGAGGGTAAGTCCATCCCCTGTCTAATCGATACGGGGGCTACCCACTCCATGTTGCCTTCTTTTCAAGGGCCTGTTTCCCTCGCCCCGATAACTGTTGTGGGTATTGAAGGCCAAGCTTCAAAACCCCTGAAAACTCCCCCACTCTGGTGCCAACTTGGACAACACTCTTTTATGCACTCTTTTTTAGTTATCCCCACCTGCCCAGTTCCCTTATTAGGCTGAGATATTTTAACCAAATTATCTGCTTCCCTGACTATTCCTGGACTACAGCCACATCTCATTGCCACCCTTCTCCCCAACCCAAAGCCTCCTTTGCATCTTCCTCTCGTATCCCCCAACCTTAACCCACAAGTATGGGACATCTCTACTCCTTCCCTGGCAACCGATCACATGCTCATTACCATCCCATTAAAACCTAACCACCCTTACCCAGCTCGATGCCAATATCCCATCCCACAGCACGCTTTAAAAGTATTAAAGCCTGTTATCACTCTCCTGCTACAGCATGGGCTTCTAAAACCTATAAACTCTCCTTACAATTCCCCCATTTTACCTGTCCAAAAACCAGACAAGTCTTATGATTAGTTCAGGATCTGCACCTTATCAACAAAATTGTTTTGCCTATCCACCCTGTGGTGCCCAACCCGTACACTCTTTTGTCCTCAATACCTTCCTCCACAACTCACTATTCCATTCTTGATCTTAAAGATGCTTTTTTCACTATTCCCCTGCACCCCTCATCCCAGTCTCTCTTTGCTTTCACCTGGACTGACCCTGATACCCATCAGTCCCAGCAGCTTACCTGGGCAAGGTTTCAGGGACAGCCCTCATTGCTTCAGCCAAGCTCTTTCTCATGATTTACTTTCTTTCCACCCCTCCACTTCTCACCTTATTCAATATATTGATGACCTTCTTCTTCGTGGCCCCTCCTTTGAATCTTCTCAACAAGACACACTTCTGCTCCTTCAGCATTTATTCTCCAAAGGATATCGAGTATCCCCCTCCAAGCTCAAATTTCTTCTCCTTCCTTTACCTACCTTAGCATAATTCTTCATAAAAACACACATGCTCTCCCTGCTGATCGTGTCCGACTGATCTCTCAAACCCCAACCCCTTCTACAAAACAACAACTCCCTTCCTTCTTGGGCATGGTTGGATACTTTCACCTTTGGATACCTGGTTTTGCCATCCTAACAAAACCATTATGTAAACTCACAAAAGGAAACCTAGTGGACCCCATAGAGCCTAAATCCTTTCCCCACTCCTCTTTCCATTCCTTGAAGACAGCTTTAGAGACTGCCCCCACTCTAGCTCTCCCTAATTCATCCCAACCCTTTTCATTACACACAGCCAAAGTGCAGGGCTGTGCAGTCGGAATTCTTACACAAGGACCAGGATCGCGTCCTCTAGCCTTTTTGTCCAAACAACTTGACCTTACTGTTTTAGGCTGGCCATCATGTCTCTGTGCAGTGGCTGCTGCCACCCTAATAGTTTTAGAGGCCCTCAAAATCACAAACTATGCTCAACTCACTCTCTACAGCTCTCATAATTTCCAAAATCTATTTTCTTCCTCACACCTGACACATATACTTTCTGCTCCCTGGCTCCTTCAGCTATACTCACTCTTTGTTGAGTCTCCCACAATTACCATTGTTCCTGGCCCAGACTTCAATCCAGCCTCCCACATTATTCCGGATACCACACCTGACCCTCATGACTGCATCTCTCTGATCCACCTGACGTTCACCCCATTTCCCCACATTTCCTTCTTCCCTGTTTCACACCCTGATCACACTTGGTTTATTGATGGCAGTTCCACCAGGCCTAATCGCCACTCACCAGCAAAGGCAGGCTATGTTATAGTATCTTCCATATCTATCATTGAGGCTACCGCTCTTCCCCCTTCCACTACCTCTCAGCAAGCCGAACTAGTTGCCTTAACTCAAACCCTCACTCTTGCAAAAGGACTACGCATCAATATCTATACTGATTCTAAATATGCCTTTCATATTCTGCACCACCATGTGGTCATTATGGGCTGAAAGAGGTTTCCTCACTACACAAGCGTCCTCCATCATTAATGCCTCTTTAATAAAAACTCTGCTCAAGGCCGCTTTACTTACAAAGGAAGCTGGGTCATTCACTGCAAGGGGAATCAAAAGGCGTCAGATGCCATTGCTCTAGGCAACGCTTATGCTGATAAAGTGGCTAGACAAGCAGCTAGCTTTCCAACTTCTGTCTCTCACAGCAACGCTTATGCTGATAAGGTGGCTAGACAAGCAGCTAGCTCTACAACTTCTGTCCCTCACGGCCAGTTTTTCTCCTCCACATCGGTCACTCTCACCTACTCCCCCGCTGAAACTTCCACCTATCAATCTCTTCCCACACAAGGCAAATGGTTCTTAGACCAAGGAAAATATCTCCTTCCAGCCTCACAGGCCCATTCTATTCTGTCATCATTTCATAACCTCTTCCATGTGGGTTACAAGCCACTAGCCCGTCTCTTAGGACCTCTCATTTCCTTTCCATCATGGAAATCTATCCTCAAGGAGATCACTTCTCAGTGTTCCATCTGCTATTCTACTACCCCTCAGGGATTGTTCAGGCCTCCTCCCTTTCCTACACATCAAGCTCGGGGATTTGCCCCTGCCCAGGACTGGCAAATTGACTTTACTCACATGCCTGGAGTCAGAAAACTAAAATATCTCTTAGTCTGGGTAGACACTTTCACTGGTGGATAGAGGCCTTTCCCACAGGGTCTGAGAAGGCCACCGTGGTCATTTCTTCCCTTCTGTCAGACATAATTCCTCAGTTTGGCCTTCCCACCTCTATACAGTCTGATAACAGACCAGCCTTTACTAGTCAAATCACCCAAGCAGTTTCTTGGGCTCTTGGTATTCAGTGGAACCTTCATATCCCTTACCATCCTCAATCTTCAGGAAAGGTAGAACAGACGAATGGTCTTTTAAAGACACACCTCACCAAACTCAGCCTCCAACTTAAAAAGGATTGGACAGTAGTTTTACCTCTTGCCCTTCTCAGAATTAGAGCCTGCCCTCGAGATGCTACAGGGTACAGTCCATTTGAACTTTTATATGGACGCACTTTCTTGCTTGGCCCCAACCTCAT
The DNA here is from genome assembly GCF_000001405.40 of Homo sapiens. Classification (NCBI taxonomy): domain Eukaryota; kingdom Metazoa; phylum Chordata; class Mammalia; order Primates; family Hominidae; genus Homo; species Homo sapiens. The sequence goes on from NC_000023.11 coordinate 64,654,584, forward strand.
CCCAGACACCAGCCCTGTAGGTGACTATCTTCCAGTCCTCCAACAGGCTAGACAGGAAATTCGCCAGGCTGCTAATCTTCTCTTGCCTACTCCAGATCCCCAGCCATATGAAGACACCCTAGCTGGACGATCAGTTCTTGTTAAGAATCTGACCCCTCAAACTCTACAACCTCAATGGACTGGACCCTACTTAGTCATCTATAGTACCCCGACTGCCATCCACCTGCAGGATCCTCCCCACTGGGTTCACCGTTCCAGAATAAAGCTGTGTCCATTGGACAGCCAGCCTAATCCCTTCTCTTCCTCCTGGAAGTCGCAAGTACTCTCCCCTACTTCCCTTAAACTCACTCGTATTTCTGAAGAACAGTAATAACCCTTACGAGCCTAATACATCCCTTCATTCTATTAGGTCTGTTCGTCCTTACCCTACTTTTTGCAATAGGGCTTTACGAAGTCACCCCCACCACTTAGGCCGAGCCCCAAAAAACTTGTCATCCCTACTATTTTCTGTCTAGTCATACTCCTATTCTCCATTCTCAACTACTTATAAATGTCCTACTCTTGTTTACACTGCTGGTTTACACTGTTTCTTCAAGCCATCACAGCTGATATCTCTTGGTGCTATCCCCAAACCACCACTCTCAATTCCCTCTTAGAGTGGATAGATGATCTTTGCTGGCAGGGCACCCTCCAATACTTCCACCTTGATGAAGTTCTATTCTTTACTTTTATACTCACTCATTCACATTCCCATTCTTATGCCACCCTCTACCTCTCCCCAGCTATCTCCACGACACTATCAACCTTACCCATTCTCTCCTAGCTGCTTCTAATCCCTCCTTAGTGAACAACTCCTGGCTTTGCATTTCCCTTTATTCCAGTGCCTACACAGCTGTCCCCGCCTTACAGACAGACTGGGCAATGTCTCCTGTCTCCTTACACCTCCAAACTTCCTTTAACAGCCCTCACCTTTACCCTCCTGAAGAACTCATTTACTTTCTAGACAGGTCCAGCAAGACTTCCCCAGACAATTCACATCAGCAAGCTGCCGCCCTCCTCCGCACTTATTTAAAAAAACCTTTCTCCTTATATTAACTCTACTCCCCCTATATTTGGACCTCTCACAACACAAACTACTATTCCTGTGGCTGCTCCTTTAGGTATCTCTTGGCAAAGACCCACTGGAATTCCCCTAGATAATTTTTCACCTTCTTGATGTTCCTTTACTCTTCATCTCCAAAGTCCAACTACACACATCACTGAAACAACTGGAGTCTTCCAGCTCCATATTACAGACAAGCCCTCTATCAATACTGACAAACTTAAAAATGTTAGCAGTAATTATTGCTTAGGAAAACATTTACCCTGTATTTCACTCCATCCTTGGCTACCTTCCCCTTGCTCATCAGACTCTCCTCGTAGGCCCTCTTCTTGTTTACTTATATCCAGCCCCGAAAATAACAGTGAAAGGTTGTTCATAGATACTCAACGTTTTCTCATACACCATGAAAATCGAACCTCCCCCTCCACACAGTTACCCCATCAGTCCCCATTACAACCTCTGACGGCTGCCGCCCTAGCTGCATCCCTAGGAGTCTGGGTACAAGACACCCCTTTCAGCACTCCTTCTCACCTTTTTACTTTGCATCTCCAGTTTTGCCTTGCACAAGGTCTTTTCTTCCTCTGTGGATCCTCTACCTACATGTGTCTACCTGCTAATTGGACAGGCACATGCACACTAGTTTTCCTTACCCCCAAAATTCAATTTGCAAATGGGGCTGAGGAGCTCCCTGTTCCCCTCATGACACTGACACAACAAAAAAGAGTTATTCCACTAATTCCATTGTTGGTCGGTTTAGGACTTTCTGCCTCCACTATTGCTCTCGGTACTGGAATAGCAGGCATTTCAACCTCTCTCACGACCTTCTGTAGCCTGTCTAATGACTTCTCTGCTAGCATCGCAGACATATCACAAGCTTTATCAGTCCTCCAGGCCCAAGTTGACTCTTTAGCTGCAGTTGTCCTCCAAAACCGCTGAGGCCTTGACTTACTCACTGCTGAAAAACAAGGACTCTGTATATTCTTAAATGAAGAGTGTTGTTTTTACCTAAATCAATCTGGCCTGGTGTATGACAACATAAAAAAACTCAAGGATAGAGCCCAAAAACTTGCCAACCAAGCAAGTAATTATGCTGAATCCCCTTGAGCACTCTCTAATTGGATGTCCTGGATCCTCCCAATTTTTAGTCCTTTAATACCCGTTTTTCTCCTTCTTTTGTTCGGACCTTGTATCTTCCGTTTAGTTTCTCAATTCATCCAAAACCGTATCCAGGCCATCACCAATCATTCTATATGACAAATGTTTCTTCTAACAACCCCACAATACCACCCCTTACCACAAGATCTCCCTTCAGCTTAATTTCTCCCACTCTAGGTTCCCACGCTGCCCCTAATCCCGCTTGAAGCAGCCCTGAGAAACATCGCCCATTCTCCCTCTCCATACCACCACCCAAAAATTTTCGCCAACCCAACACTTCAACACTGTTTTGTTTTATTTTTCTTATTAATATAAGAAGGCAGGAAAGTCAGGCCTCTGAGCCCAAGCCAAGCCATCGCATCCCCTGTGACTTGCACGGATATGCCCAGATGGCCTGAAGTAACTGAAGAATCACAAAAGAAGTGAAAATGCCCTGCCCCTCCTTAACTGATGACATTCCACCACAAAAGAAGTGTAAATGGCCGGTCCTTGCCTTAACTGATGACATTCCACCACAAAAGAAGTGAAAATAGCCGGTTCTTGCCTTAAGTGATGACATTACCTTGTGAAAGTCCTTTTCCTGTCTCATCCTGGCTCATAAAACTCCCCCACTGAGCACCTTGCGACCCCACTCCTGCCTGCCAGAGAACAAACCCCCTTTGACTGTAATTTTCCTTTACCTACCCAAATCTTATAAAACCACCCCACCTCTATCTCCCTTCGCTGACTCTCTTTTCGGACTCAGCCCGCCTGCACCCAGGTGATTAAAAGCTTTATTGCTCACACAAAGCCTGTTTGGCAGTCTCTTTGCACAGATGCGCATGAAAATTTGCATATGTTGAACAAGCCTTTTATTGCAGGGATGAAGCCAACTTGATCGTGGTGGATAAGCTTTTTGATGTGCTGCTGGATTTTGTTTGCCAATATTTTACTGAGGATTTTGGCATCAATGTTCATCAGGGATATTGGCCTGAAATTTTCTTTTTTTATTGTGTCTCTGCCAGGTTTCGGTGTCAGGAAGATGCTTGTCTCATAAAATGAGTTAGGGAGGATTCTCTCTCTGTTGTTTGGAATAGTTTTAGAAGGAATAGTATCAGCTCCTCTTTGTGCCTCTGGTAGAATTTGGCTGTGATTCCATCTGATCCTGGACTTTTTTTGGTTGGTAGGCTATTAATTACTGCCTCAATTTCAGAACCTTTATGGGCCTATTTAGGGATTTGACTTCTTTCTGGTTTAGGCTTGGAAGGGTGTGTGTGTCCAGCAATATATCCATTTCATCTAGATTTTCTAGTTTATTTGTGTAGAGCTGTTTACAGTATTCTCTGATGGTAGTTTGTATTTCTGTGGAATCAGTAGTTATATTCTCTATATCATTTTTTATTGCTTCTGTTTGATTCTTCTCTCTTTTCTTTTGTATTAGACTGGATAGCAGTCTATCTATTTTGTTGATCTTTTCTTTTTTTTCTTTTAACATATTTATTAGAGAAAGCTAAGTTTCATTTTTTTCTTTTTTTTTCTTTTTTTTAAATTTTATTATTATTATACTTTAAGTTTTAGGGTACATGTGCACATTGTGCAGGTTAGTTACATGTGTATACATGTGCCATGCTGGTGTGCTGCACCCATTAACTCGTCATTTAGCATTAGGTATATCTCCTAATGCTATCCCTCCCCCTCCCCCCATGCCACAACAGTCCCCAGAGTGTGATGATCCCCTTCCTGTGTCCATGTGTTCTCATTGTTCAATTCCCACCTATGAGTGAGAACATGCGGTGTTTGTTTTTTTGTCCTTGCGATAGTTTACTGAGAATGATGATTTCCAATTTCATCCATGTCCCTACAAAGGACATGAACTTATCATTTTTTATGGCTGCATAGTATTCCATGGTGTATATGTGCCACATTTTCTTAATCTAGTCTATCATTGTTGGACATTTGGATTGGTTCCAAGCCTTTGCTATTGTGAATAGTGCCGCAATAAACATACATGTGCATGTGTCTTTATAGCAGCATGATTTATAGTCCTTTGGGTATATACCCAGTAATGGGATGGCTGGGTCAAATGGTATTTCTAGTTCTAGATCCCTGAGGAATCGCCACACTGACTTCCACAATGGTTGAACTAGTTTACAGTCCCACCAACAGTGTAAAAGTGTGCCTATTTCTCCACATCCTCTCCAGCACCTGTTGTTTCCTGACTTTTTAATGATTGCCATTCTAACTGGTGTGAGATGGTATCTCATTGTGGTTTTGATTTGCATTTCTCTGATGGCCAGTGATGGTAAGCATTTTTTTCATGTGTATTTTGTTGATCTTTTCTAAAAACCACCTCCTGGATTCACTGATTTTTTGGAGTTTTTGTATCTCTATTTCCTTCAGTTCTGCTCTGATGTTAGTTATTTCTTGTCTTCTGCTACCTTTTCAATTTGTTTTCTCTTACTTCTCCAGTTCTTTTAACTGTGAGGTTAGGATGTTGATTTTAGATCTTTCCTGCTTTCTCTTGTGGGCATCTAGTGCTATAAATTTCCCTCTATGTACTGCTTTACATGTGTCCCAGAGATTCTGGTACATTGTGTCTTTGTTCTCATTCGTTTCAAAGAAATTCTTTATTTCTGCCTTCATTTCATTATTTACCCAGTAGTCATTCAGGAGCAGGTTGTGCAGTTTCCATGTAGTTGTGTGGTTTTGAGTTAGTTTCTTAATCCTGAGTTCTAATATGATTGCACTGTGGTCTGAGAGACAGTTTATTATGATTCCTATTCTTCTGCATTTGCTAAGGAGTGTTTTACTTCCAATTATGAGGTCATTTTTAGAATAAGTGCAGTGAGGTACTGAGAAGAATGTATATTCTGTTGATTTGGGGTGGAGAGTTCCATAGATGTCTATTACAACTGCTTGGTCCAGAGCTGAGTTTAATCCTAAATATTCTTGTTAATTATCTGTCTCATTGATCTGTCTAATATTTACAATGGGGTGTTAAAGTCTCCCATTATTATTGTGTGGGAGTCTAAGTTTCTTTGTAAATCTCTAAGAACTTGCTTCATGAATCTGGGTGCTCCTGTATTGTGTGCATATATATTTAAGATAGTTAGCTCTTCTTGCTGCATTGATCCCTTTACCATTATGTAATGCCCTTTTTTGTCTCTTTTGATCTTTGTTGGTTTAAAGTCCATTTTATCAGAGATTGGAATTGCAACTCCTGCCTTTTTTTGTTTTCCATTTGCTTGGTAAATATTCCTCCATCCCTTTATTTTGAGCCTATGTATGTCCTTACATGTGAGATGGGCCTCCTGAATACAGCACACTAGTGGGTCTTGACTTTTTATCCAATTTGCCAGTCTGTGTCTTTTAATTGGGGGCATTTAGCCCATTTACGTTTAATATTGTTATGTGTGAATTTGATCCTGTCATTATGATGTTAGTTATTTTGCCCATCAGTTGATGCAGTTTCTTCATAGCATTGATGGTCTTTACAATTTGGCATGTTTTTGGAGTGGCTGGTACCGGTTGTTCCTTTCCATGTTTAGTGCTTCCTTCTGGGACTCTGGTAAGGTAGGTATGGTCGTGACAAAATCTCTCAGCATTTGCTTCTCTGTAAGGGATTTTATTTCTCCTTCACTTATTAAGCTTACGTTGGCTGGATATGAAATTCTGGGTTAAATTTTTTTTTCTTTAAGAATGTTGAATATTGTCCCCCACTGTCTTCTGGCTTGTAGTGTTTCTGCCAAGAGATCTGATGTTAGTCTGATGGGCTTCCCTTTGTAGGTAACCCGACCTTTCTCTCTGGCTGTCCTTGGCATTTTTTCCTTCATTTCAACCTTGGTGAATCTGACGATTATGTATCTTGGGGTTTCTCTTCTCGAGGAGTATCTTTGTGTTGTCCTCTACATTTCCTGAATTTGAATGTTGTCCTGTCTTGCTAGGTTGGGGAAGTTCCCCTGGATAATATCCTGAAAAGTGTTTTCCAACTTGGTTCCATTCTCCCCATCACTTTCATGTACACAAATCAAACGTAGATTTGGTCTTTTCACATAGTCCCATATTTCTTGGAGGCTTTGTTTGTTCCTTGTCATTCCTTTTTCTCTAATCTTGTCTGCTCGCTTTATTTCATTAAGTTGATCTTCAATCTCTGATATCCTTTCTTCCACTCGATTGATTCAACTATTGATACTTGTGTATGCTTCACAAAGTTCTTGTGCTATGTTTTTCAGTTCCATCAGGTCATTTATGTTGTTCTCTAAACTGGTTATTCTAATTAGCAATTCATCTAATCTTTTTTCAAGGTTCTTAGCTTCCTTGCATTGGGTTAGAACATGCTCCTTTAGCTCAGAGGAGTTTGTTATTACCCACCTTCCGAAGCCTAATTCTGTGAATTCATCAAACTCATTCTCCATCCTATTTTGTTCCCTTGCTAGTAAGAAGTTATAATCCCTTGGAGGAGAATATGTGTTCTGGTTTCTGGAATTTTCAGACTTTTTGTGCTGGTTTCTCCCCATCTTTGTGGATTTACCTACCTTTTGTCTTTGATGTTGGTGACCTTTGTATGGGGTCTCTGAGTGGATGTGTTCTTTCTTTGTGTTTGTTAATTTTTCTTCTAACAGTCATGCCCCTCTGCTGCCAGTCTGCTGGAGTTTGCTGGAGGTCCCCTCAAGACCCTGTTTTCTTGGAGTTTTGCAGCCACCAGTGGAGGCTGCAGAATAGCAAAGATTGCTGCCTGTTCTTTCCTCTGAAACTTCATCCCAGTGGGGCACCTGACTTATGCCAACCAGAACTCTCCTGTATGAGGTGTCTGCCAGCCCCTACTGGGAGATGTCTCCCAGTCAGGATGCCTGGGGGTCAGGGGCCAACTTGAGGAGGCAGTCTGACCCTTAGAAGAGCTCGAGTACAGTGCTAGGAGGTCTGCTGCTCTCTTCAGAGCCATCAGGCAGGGACATTTTAGTCTGCTGAAACTGCACCCATAGCCACCCCTTCCCCAGGTGCTCTGTCCCAGGGAGATGGGGGTTTTATCTATAAGTCCCTGACTGGGGCTGCTGCCTTTTTTTCAGAGATGCCCTGCCCAGAGAAGAGAAATCGGGCAGTCTGGCCACAGCAGCCTTGTTGAGCTGCTGCGGGCTCTGACAAGTTCAAACTTCCCAGCTGATTTGTTTACACTGTGAAGGGAAATCAACCTACTAAAGCCTCAGCAATGGCAGATGCCCCTCCCTCCACCAGGCTCAATCCAAGCCAGACTATTTGTCATCCTGGCTTCAGCCCTCTTTCCAGAGGAGTGAACAGTTCTGTCTCATTGGCATTACAGGCGCCACTGGGATATGGGGGGAAAAAACTCCCGCAGCTAGTTTGGTGTCTGCACAAATGGCTGCCCAGTTTTGTGCTTGAAACACAGGGCCCTGGTGGGGTAGGCACCAGAGGTAATCTCCTGGTCAGCAGGTTGTGAAGACCACAGGAAAAGCACAGTATCTGGGCTGGAGTGAAGAGTTGCCCAGGCTCAGTCCCTCATGGCTTTCACTGGGTAGGGGATAAAATTCCCTGAACCCTTGCACTTCCTAGGTGAGGTTACTCCCCACCCTGCTTTGCACTTCCCAGGTGAGGCGACTCCCCACCCTGCTTTGGCTTTCCCTCCATGGGCTGCAACCACTGTCCAACCAGTCCCAATGAGATGAACCTGGTACCTCAGCTAGAAATGCAGAAATCACCCCCCCCTTACACATCAATCTCACTGGGAGCTGCATACTGGAGTTGTTCCTATTTGGCCATCTTGCCAGCAATCCCCCTAAGTATTATTTAGCTTTTAAAACAGGGATCCTGCCATTTGTGACAACATGGATAAACCCAGAAGACAAGATTAGGCTAAAAAAATTAACCCAGATAGAGAAAGAAAAATATCACATATTCTAATTTATATGTGTGATCCTTAAAAAAGACATAGGGCAGGGCCAAGATGGCAGACTAGAAGCAGCTCATGTGTACTGCTCTCATGGAGAGGAAACAATGGCTAGCGAACACTGCCCCTGCAGGTTGATCTTCTGGGAAGACCCATCAGCATCCATCAAGGCAGGAAAAGAGCACAAAAAGTAGAGAGGAGAAAAGCTGGACACCAGCTTGTCTCAGCTCAGAGCAGAGCCAGAAAAATCTCTCTAACAGGGAAAAAGGTGGGTAAGAGTTCCTAAGGGATTCACACTCTCCACAAGAACCTTTGCAAGACTAGGAATAGGAGAATCCCCACCTCCCATGCACCCCTCCCCCAACTGTGCTTCTAGACTTAGAGAGCCACCCTGTGGAAGCAACTCTGAAGTCCAAGTGATATCTATAAGCCTTGGGCCATGGAGGTGACAAGCCCTGGTCCCGTAACCCCAATAGAGGCTGCAGTTATGGTATCTGGGAGCAGAAAGATTGTTCTACCCACCATTGCCAGTTGAGACCCAGCATCAGCTTCTGATCCAGCAGTCCTGCTTTGGCCCAAATTTGGCTGACTACCCCACCTACCCCCACCACTCATAGCCAGGTAGACAATGCTTGCTAGAACTTCCAGCCCAGTGGTCCCACTTTTGGGTGAATTCAGCTGGAGGGCACAGCCTCCTGATGTCCCAGGAAACACCCAGAGGGCAGAGTACATAACCTTACCCACCTCTGCCACTGATAGCCAAAAGGACTATGTTTACTAGAGCTTCTGCCCCAGCTGTCCCACTTCTTTGTAAACTCAGCTGGAGGGCACAGCTTTCTGTTCTCTGGGAAATACCCAGATGACAGAACACGTGACCCCATATGCCCCACTACTGGTAGCCAGGTGAGCAACATCTGTTAAAACTTGCAGCCCAGCAGCCCCACTTCTGTGTGAGCTCAGCTAGAGGACACAGCTTTCTGTTGTCCCAAGAAACACCCAGATGGTAGAGCACATGAATCCATCCACACCCACCACTGGTGGCCAAGTGGGAAATACTTACTAGAGCTTCTGGACCAGTGGCCCCACTTCTGCGTGAACTCAGCCAGAAGGCTCAGCTTCCTGTTGTCCAGGAAACATCCAGACAGCTGAATGCAAGACCCCACCCACCTCCACCACTGGCAGCCAGGTAACTCTTGGTAGAACTTCCAGCTCAGCAGCTTTGCTTCTGTGTAAACTCAACCAGCATGTGCAGCCTCCTGTTGTCTCAAGAAGCACCCAGATGGCAGGGACAGTGACCCCACTAAGCCCTACTACTCATAGCCAGGCGGGAAATGCTGGTTAGAGCTTCAACCCAGTGGTCCAGCTTCTGTGGAAACTTGGCTGAAGGGTACCGCCTCCTGATGTCCCAGGAAACACTGAGATGGCAGGGCATGTGATATGGTTTGGCTGCATCTCCACCCAAATCTCATCTTGAATTCCCACTTGTTGTGAGAGGGACAGGATGGGAGGTAATTGAATCATGTGGGCAAGTCTTTTCTGTGCTGTTCTCATGATAGTAAATAAGTCTCACAAAATCTGGCCACTGATGGCCAGGCAGGCAACACCTGCTAGGGCTTCTGGCCCAGTGGTCCTGCATCTATGGGAACTTAGCTGATGAACACAACCTCCTGATGTTCCAGGAAGCACCTAGACAGCAGGGTGGGCATCCTCACCCACACTTGCCGCTGGTAGCCCGGTGAGCCATGCCTGCTAGAGCTTCCAGCCCATTGGTCCTATTTCTGCCTGAATTTGCCAAGGGGCACAGCGTTCTGTTGCCCTAGAAACACCTAGACAACAGGGTGGGCAACTACACTCAACCCTGCCTCCCATAGCCAGATGGGACACACCCACTGGGGCTTCCACCTAGTGGTCTCACTTCTCCCTAAACTCTGCAGACAGGGGCAACCCCATGTTTCCCCAGAAAGCACATGAACCGCAGATTAGGTCTTCTGGGAAGGATACTTTTGGCGGCTAGGTACAATCTCTGCCTGAGGGAGACCTGTGGACCAGAACACCCAACAAAAGAAATGCAGGTAAAGACATAGTAATTGGAGGGGGCTCCTCGAAGAACCAGGAGCAGACTAGAATTGAAGCCAGTGAACCAAACCCACCTTATACCATAATCAAACCCTATGGGTATCAAAGAAGGAAAAAGCAGAACAAAATCTGTCCAAAAAAACAGCAACTTTAAAGATTGAAGGAACATCAGCCCACCCAAATGACAAAGAACTAACACAAGAACTCTGGCAGCTCAAAAAGTCAGAGTGCCTTCTTTCATCCAAATTACCACACTAGTTCCCAAGCTAGGGTTCTTTATGAGGCTAAAATGGCTGAAATGACAGAAATAGAATTCAGAATATAGTTAGAAATGAAGATCACTGAAATTCAGGAGAACATTGAAACCCAATTGAAGGAAGCTACAAATCACAGTAAAAAGAACAGGAGTTGATAGACAAAATGGCTATAATAAAAAACAACCAAATTGATCTTATAGGGCTGAAAACACACTATAAGAATTGCATAGGCCAGGCGCGGTGGTTCACGCCTGCAATCTCAGCACTTTGGGAGGCCAAGGCAAGCAGATCATGAGGTCAGGAGATCAAGACCATCCTAGCTAACATGGTGAAACCCCATCTATACTAAAAATACAAAAAATTAGCCAGGCGTGGTGGCGGGCACCTGTAGTCCCAGCTACCTGGGAGGTGGAGCTTGCAGTGAGCCAAGATCGCACCACTGCACTCCAGCCTGGGTGACAGTGTGAGACTCTGTCTCAAAAAAAAAAAAAAAAAAAAAAAGAATTGCATACTGCAAGCACCAGTATTAACAGTAGAATTGACCAAGCTGAGGGAAAAAAATCTCAGAGCTCGAAGACTGGCTCTCTGAAATAATTCAGTCAGACAAAAATAAAGAAAAAAGAATGAACAAAACATCTGAGAAATACGAAATTATGTAAAGAGACAAAATATATGACCCATTGGTATCCCTGGATAAGATGAGGAGAAAGTAAGCAACTTGGAAAGTGTATTAGGGATATTGTCCATGAGAATTTTCCCAACATTGCTAGAGAGGTCAGTATTCAAGTCCAGGAAATGAGGAGTACCTCTGTGAGATAATACTCAAGAAGGCCATTCCCAAAACACATAATCATCAGAATCTTCAAAGTAAAAATGAAAGAAAAAATATTAAATGCAGCTAAAGGGAAGGGGAAGGTCACCTATAAAGGGGAGCCCATCAGACTAACAGCATATCTTTTACTAAAAACCCCAACATGTCAAAAGAGATTGAGGACCTATATTCAGCATTCTTTTTTTTTAATTTTATTATTATTATATTTTAAGTTTTAGGGTACATGTGCACAATGTGCAGGTTTGTTACATATGTATACATGTGCCATGTTGGTGTGCTGCACCCATTAACTCTTCATTTAGCATTAGGTATATCTCCTAATGCTTTCCCTCCCCCATCCCAAGAAGAAAATTTGCAAGCAAGAGTTTTATGTCTAGCCAAACTAAGCTTCACAAGTGAAGGAACAATAAAATCCTCATCAGACAAGCAAATGCTAAGGAAATTTTTTACCACCAGATCTGCCTTACACGAAGTCCTAAAAGGACCACTACATAAGAAAAGAAAAGACCATTACCAAACACTACAAAAACACACTGAACTACACAGATCGGTGACACTATAAAGCAACCACACAAACAAGTCTGCAAAATAACGAGCTAACAACAAGATGACAGGATCAAATCTGCAAATATCAATACTGACCTTGAACGAAAATGAGGTAAATGTCCCAATTAAAAGACACAGAGGGGCAAGCTGGAAAAGAAGCAAGACCCAATGGTATACTGTCTTCAGGAGACCCATCTCACATGCAATGACATCCATAGTCTGAAAATAAATGGATGGGGAAATATCTATCAAGCAAATGGAAAACAGAAACAAGCAGGAGTTGCAATCTTAATTTCAGACAAAGTGGACTTTAAACCAACAAAGGTAAAAAAAAATAAATAAATAAAGAAAAACATTATATAATGGTAAACGGTTCAATTTAAAAAGAAGACCTAACTATCCAAAATATATATGCACCCAACACAGGAGCACTCTGATTCATAAAGCAAGTTCTAAGAGGCTTAGATTCCCACACAATAATAGTAGGAGAACTCAACACTCTACAGACAATATTAGATCACTGAGGCAGAAAATTAACAAAAATATTCAGGACCTGAACTCAACACTTGACTGAATAGACCTAATATGAATCTACAGAACTGCCCACTCAAAAACAAGAGAATATACATTCTTCTCATTAACGCATGGCATGTACTCCAAAGTTGACCACACAATTGGACATAAAATAGTACTAAGCAAATTAAAAAAAAATCATACCAACCACACACTAGGGCTACAGCACAATAAAGATAGAAATCAATACTAAGGACTTTTCTGCATCTATTGAGATAATCATGTGGTTTTTGTCTTTGGTTCTGTTTATATGCTGGATTACATTTATTGATTTGCGTATATTGAACCAGCCTTGCATCCCAGGGATGAAGCCCACTCGATCATGGTGGATAAGCTTTTTGATGTGCTGCTGGATTCGGTTTGCCAGTATTTTATTGAAGATTTTTGCATCAATGTTCATCAAGGATATTGGTCTAAAATTCCCTTTTTTGGTTGTGTCTCTGCCCGGCTTTGGTATCAGGATGATCCTGGCCTCATAAAACCAGTTAGGGAGGATTCCCTCTTTCTCTATTGATTGGAATAGTTTCAGAAGGAATGGTACCAGTTCCTCCTTGTGCCTCTGGTAGAATTCGGCTGTGAATTCATCCGGTCCTGCACTCTTTTTGGTTGGTAAGCTATTGATTATTGTGACAATTTCAGATCCTGTTATTGGTCTATTCAGAGATTCAACTTCTTCCTGGTTTAGTCTTGGGAGTGTGTATGTGTCAAGGAATTTTTCCATTTCTTTTAGATTTTCTAGTTTATTTGCGTAGAGGTGTTTGTATTTCTGTGGGATCAGTGTTGATATCCCCTTTATCATTTTTTATTGCGTCTATTTGATTCTTTTCTCTTTTTTTCTTTATTAGTCTTGCTACCGGTCTATCAATTTTGTTGATCCTTTCAAAAAACCAGCTCCTGGATTCATTAATTTTTTGAAGGGTTTTGTGTGTCTCTGTTTCCTTCAGTTCTGCTCCGATTTTAGTTATTTCTTGCCTTCTGCTAGTTTTTGAATGTGTTTGCTCTTGCTTTCCTAGTTCTTTTAATTGTGATGTTAGGGTGTCAATTTTGGATCTTTTCTGCTTTCTCTTGTGGGCATTTAGTGCTATAAATTTCCCTCTACACACTGCTTTGAATGTGTCCCAGAGATTCTGGTATGTTTTGTCTTTGTTCTCATTGATTTCAAAGAACATCTTTAAACTCTCAATAAATTAGGTATTGATGGGACGTATTTCAAAATAATAAGAGCTATCTATGACAAATCCACAGCCAATATCATACTGAATGGGCAAAAACTGGAAGCATTCCCTTTGAAAACTGGCACAAGACAGGGATGCCATCTCTCACCACTCCTATTCAACATAGTGATGGAAGTTCTGGCCAGGGCAATTAGGCAGGGGAAGGAAATAAAGGTTATTCAATTAGGAAAAGAGGGAGTCAAATTGTCCCTGTTTCCAGAAGACATGATTGTATATCTAGAAAACTCCATTGTCTCAGCCCAAAATATCCTTAGGCTGATAAGCAAGTTCAACAAATCTCAGGATACAAAATCAATGTACAAAAATCACAAGCATTCTTATACACCAATAACAGACAGAGAGCCAAATCATGAGTGAATTCCCATTCACAATTGCTTCAAAGAGAATAAAATACCTAGGAATCCAACTTACAAGGGACGTGAAGGACCTCTTCAAGAAGAACTACAAACCACTGCTCAATGAAATAAAAGAGGATACAAAGAAATGGAAGAACATTCCATGCTCATGGGTAGGAAGAATCAATATCGTGAAAATGGCCATACTGCCCAAGGTAATTTATAGATTCAATGCCATCCCCATCAAGCTACCAATGACTTTCTTCACAGAATTGGAAAAAAACTACTTTAAAGTTCATATGGAACCCAAAAAGAGCCCGCATTGCCAAGACAATCCTAAGCCAAAAGAACAAAGCTGGAGGCATCACGCTACCTGACTTCAAACTATACTACAAGGCTACAGTAACCAAAACAGCATGGTACTGGTACCAAAACAGAGGTATAGATAAATGGAACAGAACAGAGCCCTCAGAAATAATGCTGCATATCTACAACTATCTGATCTTTGACAAACCTGAGAAACAGAAGCAATGGGGAAAGGATTCCCTATTTAATAAATGGTGCTGGGAAAACTGGCTAACCATATGTAGAAAGCTGAAACTGGATCCCTTCCTTACACCTTATACAAAAATCAATTCAAGATGGATTAAAGACTTAAACGATAGACCTAAAACCATAAAAACCCTAGAAGAAAACCTAGGCATTAACATTCAGGACATAGGCATGGGCAAGGACTTCATGTCTAAAACACCAAAAGCAATGGCAACAAAAGACAAAATTGACAAATGGGATCTAATTAAACTAAAGAGCTTCTGCACAGCAAGAGAAACTACCATCAGAGTGAACAGGCAACCTATAAAATGGGAGAAAATATTCGCAGCCTACTCATCTGATAAAGGGCTAATATCCAGAATCTACAATGGACTCAAACAAATTTACAAGAAAAAAACAAACAACCCCATCAAAAAGTGGGTGAAGGACATGAACAGACACTTCTCAAAAGAAGACATTTATGCAGCCAAAAAACACCTGAAAAAATGCTCACCATCACTGGCCATCAGAGAAATACAAATCAAAACCACAATGAGATACCATCTCACACCAGTTAGAATGGCAATCATTAAAAAGTCAGGAAACAACAGGTGCTGGAGAGGATGTGGAGAAATAGGAACACTTTTACACTGTTGGTGGGACTGTAAACTAGTTCAACCATTGTGGAAGTCAGTGTGGCGATTCCTCAGGGATCTAGAGCTAGAAATACCATTTGACCCAGCCATCCCATTACTGGGTATATACCCAAAGGACTATAAATCATGCTGCTATAAAGACACATGCACATGTATGTTTATTGTGGCACTATTCACAATAGCAAAGACTTGGAACCAATCCAAATGTCCAACAATGATAGACTGGATTAAGAAAATGTGGTACATATACACCATGGAATACTATGCAGCCATAAAAATGATGAGTTCATTTCCTTTGTAGGGACATGGATGAAATTGGAAATCATCATTCTCAGTAAACTATCGCAAGGACAAAAAAACAAACACCGCATGTTCTCACTCATAGGTGGGAATTGAACAATGAGAACACATGGACACAGGAAGGGGAACATCACACTCTGGGGACTGTTGTGGGGTGGGGGGATGGGGGAGGGATAGCATTAGGAGATATACCTAATGCTAAATGACGAGTTAATGGGTGCAGCACACCAGCATGGCACATGTATACACATGTAACTAACCTGCACAATGTGCACATGTACCCTAAAACTTAAAGTATAATAATAAAAAAAAAGAAATCAGTACTAAGAACATCACTCAAAACCATACAATTAAATGGAAATTAAACAACCTCCTCCTGAATATCTTTTAGGGAATTAATTAAATTTAGGCAAGAATCAGGAAATTCTTAGAAACTGAGCACAAAGAAACAACATACCAGTATCTCTAGGACACAGCTAAGGCAGTGTTAAGAGGGAAGTTTATAGCACTAAACACTCATATAAAGAGTTGCAAATATCTCCAATCAACAACTTAACATCACAACTAGAAGAACTAGAAAAGCAAGAGCAAACCAGCCCCGAAGCTAGCAGAAGAAAAGAAGTAACCAAGATCAGAGCTGAGTTGAAGGAAGTGGAGACACAAAAAAATCATACAAACTATCAATTAATTTAGTATTTTATTATTTGAAAACATTAATAAGACAGACCACTACCTAAATTAATAAAAAATAGACAAAGATCCTAATAAACATAATTAAAAATGAAAAAGGGGACATAACGACTGGCTCCACAGAAATATAAAAAACATCCAGACTACTATGAACCTCTCTATGCAGACAAACTGAAAATCTAGAAGAAATAAATACATTTGTAGACACGTACAACCTCTCAAGACTGAACCAGGAAGAAATAGAGTCCCTGAAACACCAATAATGGTTCTGAAATTAAATCAGTAATAAAAAGTCTACCAAGCAGAATAAGTCCAGGACCAGAGAGATTCACAGGTGAATTTTATCAGCTATACAAAGAAGAGCTGGTACTATTCTCATGGAAACTAATCCAAAAATTCTAGGAGGAGGATGTCCTCCTCACCTCATTCTGTGAGGCAACAAGCATCACTCTGGTAGCAAAACGTTGCAGAGACACACTAACAAAAGAAAACTTCAGGCTGATATCCTTGATGAACATAGATGCAAAAATCGTCAACAAAATACTAGCAAACTGAGTCCAGCAACACATTGCAAAGCTAATCCACTATGATCCAGTTGGTTTTATCCCTGGAATGCAAGGTTTGCTCAACATACACAATTGATAAATGTAATTTATTAAATAAACAGAGCTAAAAAATCAAATGACATGATCATCTCTATAAATGCAGACAAGCTTTCAACAAAATTCAACATCCCATCATATTGAAAAGATTCAATAAACTAGGCATTGAAAAAACATACCTCAAAACAATAAGATCCATCTGTGACAAATGTACAGCTAACATCAAACTGAATGTGCAAAAGCTGGAAGCATTCCTCTTGAAAACTGGCACAAGAAAATGATACCTTCTCTCACCACTCATATTCAAAATATTATTGGAAACCCTGGCCAAAGAAATCAGGAAAGAGAAAGAAATAAAAGGCATCCAAATAAAGATAGGAAGTCAAATTATTGCTGTTTGTGGATTACATAATTCTATATCTAGAAAACTCCGTAGTCTCTGCCCAAAAACTCTAGATCTGACAAACAAATCCAACAAAGCTTCAGGATACACGATGAATGTACAAAAGTTATTAGCGTTTCTATACAACAACATCCAACCTGAGTGTCAAATCAAGAATACAATCTCATTCACCATTCCCACAAAAAGAATAAAATACCTAGGAATACAACTAATAAAAGAGGTGAAAGATCTCTACAAGGGGAATTACAAAACAGTGCTCAATATAATCAGAGATGACACAAACAAATGAAAAAACATTTTATGCTCATGGATGGAAAGAATCAATATCATTAAAATAGCTATACTCTCCAAAGCATGTATAGATTCCATGCTATCCCTATCAAAATACCAATTACATTCTTCACAGAACTAGAAAAACAATTTAAAAATTCATATGGAATCAAAAAAGAGCCTGAATATCCAAGGCAATCCTAAGAAAAAAGAACAAAATGGGAGGCATCACCTTATCTGACTTCAAACTATAGGGCCACAGTAGCCAAAACAGCACGGTACTGGTAACTAAAAAACAGACACATAGACTAATGAAGCAGAATAGAAAGTTCAGAAATAAGGCTGAACACCTACAAGTATCTGATCTTTGACAAAACAGACAATAACAAGCAGTGGGGAAAGGACTCTTTTTCAATAAATGGTGCTAGGATAACTGGTTAGCCATATGAAGAAGATTGGAAATGGACCCTTACCTTACACCACTATTCAAAAATCAATTCAAGATTAATTAAATACTTAAATGTAAAACCTAAAGCTATAATAACTCTGGAAAATAATGGAGGACATACAATTCTGGACATAAAACTTGGCAACAATTACATGAAGAAGTGAAAAGAAATTGCAACAAGAGCAGAAATTGACAAATGGATCTAGTTAAACTACAGAGCTTCTGCACAGCAAAAGAAACTATCAACAGAGTAGTCAGACAACCTACAGAATGAGAGAATGTATGTATTTGACAAAGGTCTAATATACAGAATCTATAATCAACTTAAACACATCTACAAGGAAAGATGAAACAACTTTGTTAAAAAGTGGGCAATGGACACAAGCAGACATTTTTTCAAAAGAAGATATACACATGGCCAACAAGCATATGAAAAAAATGCTCAACATCACTAGTCATTAGATAATATCAAATCAAAACCACAATGAGATACCATCTCACACCAGTCAGAATGGCTATTGTTAAAAAGTCTAAATCAATATTATCTAGTGAGGTTGTAGAGAATAGGGAATACT
Source organism: Homo sapiens (assembly GCF_000001405.40). NCBI lineage: Eukaryota > Metazoa > Chordata > Mammalia > Primates > Hominidae > Homo > Homo sapiens. The sequence continues at coordinate 64,673,051 of NC_000023.11, forward strand.
TATACATTGCTGGTGGGAGTGTATATTAGCTCAGCCATTGTTGAAAGCAGTGCGATGATTCATTAAAGAACTTAAAACATAATTACCATTCAACTTAACAATCTCATTGTTCAAGTTATACCCATAGGAATATAAATCATTCTACCATAAAGATACAGGCACATGTATGTTCATCAGAGCACTATTCATGATAGCAAAGACATGGAATCAACCTAAATGCCTACCAATGGTAGACTGTATAGAGAAAATGTGGTACAGGCACATTATGGAATATATACAGCCATTAAAATAAAGCTCTTGAAAACTTGCACAAGACAACGCTGCCTTCTCTCACCACGTGTAATCAAAATAATATTGGAAGCCCTGGCCAGAGCAAGAAACTAGAGAGAAAGAAACAAGATCATGTCCTTTGCAGCAACATGAATAAAGCTTGAGGCCATTATTCTTAGTAAATGTATGCTGGAACAGAAAACTAAATACCACATGTTGTCACTTGCAGAATGGAGCTGGAGGCCGTTATCCATAACAAATTATGCAGGAACAGAAAACCAAATACCACATATTCTAACTTATAAATGAGAGCTAAATAATGAAAACACATAGACATTAGGAGGGGAACAACAGGCACCAGGGCCTACTTGAGGGTTGAGGGTGGGTGGAGGGAGAGGATCAGAAAAAAATGCCTATTGAGCACTATGTTCATTACCTGAATGGCAAAAAATTTGTACACCCAACCCTCATGACATGCAATTTACCTATATAAAAAATTTTAACATGTGCCCCTGAACATAAAATAAATGTTTTTTTTAAGAAACAGAATACATAGCAACAGATAGCAGAACAGTGGTAGTTACCAGTGGTGTGTGGGGGTGTGAGGAAGATAGGAGGATAGAGACCAAAGGTACAAAGTTATAGTTGGGTAGAATGAGTAGGTCTAGAGATATAATGTACAGCTTGTGAGTTATAGTCAGTAATATTGTATTGTACACTGGAAATTTACTAGCAGAGTAGATTTTGGTTACTGTTACCAAGAAAAAGAAGAGGAAAAGTAACTATGTGATGTAACAGATACATTAATTTACTTGGCTGCGGTAAATAATCTACTCTACAGTAAATATATACTCTACTATATATATCAAAACATCATGTTGTACACCTTAAATTTATCCATACAATAATAAAAATAATTGTACAAAATAATCTAAGAGTGCTATTTTAACATAAAAAAACCTTAGTAGAAGGAAAACTGAAAAATTCAGAAATATGTGGAAATTAAATAGCACAATTGGCCAAAGAAGAAATCAAAAAGGAAATTAGAGATGATCTTGAGAAAAAAAATAAAAATACAACATGCTGAAACCTATAGGATGCAACAAAAGCAATCCAGTACTAAGAAGGAAGTTTATAGTGATAAATGTATACTTTGAGAAAAGAAAGATCTCAAGTGAGCAACCTAATTTTACTACAAGGAACTAGAAAAAGAACAACGTAAACCCAAATTTAGCAGAAGGAATAACAATAATAAAGATCAGAGCAGAATTATACAAAGAATAAAAAACAGTAGAAATATTTCAAAACTGAGGTTTTTTTGAAAAGACAAAATTGATTTTCAGCTAGGCTTAATAAGAAAAAAGAGAAAAATCAATAAAATCAGAAATGAAAGAAGAAAACATTACAACTGACATCACAGAAATAAAAAAGATCATAAGAAAATCACAAGAAAAATTATATGCCAACAAATTGGCTAACTTAGAAAAACAGATAAATTCCTGAAACCATAAAACTTACCAAGATTGAATCATGAAGAAACAGAAAATTTAGAAAGAAAAATAACGAGCAAGGACATTGAATAGGTAATAAAATGTCTCAAAAAAAAAAAAAAAGAAAGAAAAAAACAACCCAGGACCAGATGGCTTCACGTGTCTACCAACATTTAAAGAATTATTACCAATCCTAAAACTCTTCCAAAAACCTGAAAAGAAGAAAAACTTATTTTATAATGCCAGTAATTATCCTGATACCAAATCCAAAGAAAGACACACAAGAAAACAAACTACAGGCCAATATCTCTGATGAACATAGTTGCAAAAATCCTCAACAATATACTTGCAAACTGAATTCAACAGCACATTAGAAGGCTCATACAGCATGACAAAGTGAGATTTATTCCTGAAATGCAAGAATGTTTCAACATGAGGAAATAAATTAATGTGGTACACCACATTAACAGAATAAACAATAAAAACATATGATAATCTCAATAGATGAAGAATAGCCATTTGCCAAAATTTACCATCCTTTCATGATAAAAACTCTCAACATACTTTACCAGGCTAGTGTGGTGGCTCAGGCCTGAAATCCCAGCACTTTGGGAGGCTGAGGCAGAAGGATTGTTTGAGGCTAGAATTTTGAAACCAGTCTAGGCAACATAATGAGACCCATCTCTACAAAAAACAATAAATTTTGCTGGGTGTGATAGCACATGCCTGTAGTCCCAGCTACACAGGAGGCTGAGGTGGGAGGATCACTTGAGTTTGCCAGGTTGAGGTTGCAGTGAGCAGTCATTCTGCCACTGCACCCCAGCCTGTGCAACAGAGTGAGACCCTGTCTCAAAAAAAAAAAAAAAAAGCGAAAGTACCTCAACATAATAAAGGTTATATATGCGAAGTCTATAGCTAACATTATACCCAACCTTGAAAATCTGAAAGCTTTTCCTCTCCTCCAAGATTAAGATTGAGGCAAGTATGCCCACTCCTGCCACTTCTATTCAACATAGTAGTGGAAGTCCTAGACAAAGCAAGTCTGCAAATAAATAAATAAAAACAAAGAAATAAAAGACATACAAATCAGAAAGGAGGAGTTAAAACCATCCCTGTTTGAAGATGACATTATTTTGTGTATAGAAAGCTCTGAATACTTCATTTAAATACTGTTAGAACTAATAAATGAATTCAGTAAAGTTGTAGGATACCAAATCAACATACAAAAACAAGTTGTGTTTTTATAGACCAACAATGAAATATCTATAAAAGAAATGTTTAAAAATCCCATTTACAATAACACCTAAAGAATAAAATAGGAATAAACTTGACTAAGGAGGGAAAAGACTTGTACATTGATAACTTTAAAACATTAACAGATAAAATTAAAGATGACGCAAACAAATGGAAAGACCTCTGGTGTTTATGGATTGAAAGATTTAATATTATTAAAATGTCCGTAATACTCAATGCAATTCCAGTGGCATTTTTACATTTTAAACATCCCAGTGGCTACAAAATAAAAAAAAAATTAAATTCATGTGAAACTATGAAGGACCTCAAAAAGCCAAATCAAGCTTGGGGAAGAACACAGCTGGAGACATCACACTGCTTTAAAAATATATTACAAAGGTGCAATAATTAAGCTGTATGGTAGTAGCATAAAGTCAGACATAAAGACCAATAAAATAGAATACAAGGCTCAGAAATAAATCCTTGCATATATATGTTTAACTAATCTTCTGCAAGGATGCCATGAATACACAGCATGGATGAGATAGTCTCTTCAACATATATTTCTGGGAAAACTAGATATCCATATGCAAAATCTAACCCTTATCTCACAACATATACAGAAAATCCAAATGGATTAATGCTTTACATCTAGGACCTGTAACTATAAAACTGCTAGAAAAAAAAACATACAATAAAAGCTTTATGACATTGGTCTTGGCAGTGCTTTCATGGACATGATACCAAAAGCAAAGGAAAGAGAAGCAAAAATAAGTAAGTGGGACTACATCAAACTCAGAAGCTTTGATACAGCAAAAGAAACAACCAACAGAGTGAAAAAGCAAACTACAGAATGGGAGACCACACTTACATATTTCTGGGGATCTTGAAGAATATCATATATCTGAAAAGGAGGTTAATCTCCAAAATGTGTAAGGAACTCCAACAACTCAACAGCAATGAGCTGATAACCTTATTTTAAAAATAAGCTATAGTAATGGATAGTCATACAGATATTTCTCCAAAGAAGATATATAAATAGCCAATAGGTGTATGAAAAGATGCTCAATGTCATTAATCATCAGGGAAGTGAAAATCAAAACCCCAATGAGATTATTATTTCACACCTATTAGAATTGGATATTGTTTAAAAAACTATACAAAAACCCACAAGTGTCATCGAGGATGTGGAAAAAATTGGAACCCTTGTATAGCAATGGGGAGCATGTAAATTGGTTCAGCCACTATGAAAAACAATATGAAAGTTCTTTAAAAAGTTAAAAATAAAATTATCATGTGATCCAGCAATCCCCTATCTGGGTATTTATTTCACAAAGTTGAAATAAGCATCTCAAACAGACAGTAGTACTCCTGTGTTTATTGATTTTAGCACTATTTACAATAGCCAATATGTGGAAACAAATGTCCATCAATGGGTGAATTGATGAAGAATATATGGTATATACATACAATGAAATATTATTGGTGTTTTAAAGACAATTCTGGGGCACGGCATGGTAGCTCATGCCTGTAATCCCAGCACTCTAAGAGGCTGAGGCAGGAGGATTATTTGAGGCTGGGAGTTCAAGACAAGCCTGGGCAACATAGCAAGACCCTATCTCAATATTTTTATTTAAAAAAATTATCTGGTGTTTGCCTGTTGTCCTAGCTACTTGGCATGCTGACATGGGAGGATCGCTTGAGCCCTGGAGTCTGAGGCTACAGTGTACTATTACTGTGCCACTGCACTCCAACTCCAGCCTGGGCAATGGAGCAAGATCCTTCCTCTTAAAAAAAAAGAAGAAAATTCTGAAATATGCTACAATCTGATTAAAGCTGAGGACATTAGATGAAATAAGCCAGGCACAGGACAAATACTGCATGATTTCACTTATATGAAATATCTAAAACAGTCGTACTCATATTCTATGAGTTCACAGAGTGGAATGGTAGAATAGTCAAACTCATAGAATCAGAAAGTGGTTGCCAGGGGCTGCAGGGAGGGGAAAATGAGCAGTTACTAAACAATAAGGATAAAATTTCAGTTATGAAAGATAAATAAGTTCTAGCGATCTTCTGTACAACATTGTGCCTAGAGTTAAGAATACAGTAGTATACACTCGAACATTTTTAAGTTGGTAGATCTTACAATTTGACCCTCTTACCAAAATAAAATAAAATAAAAATTCAGAGAACAACACACACACTACAGGATAGTGTGTGTGTTAACTAGATGTTAACTAGATAAGTGGTCAAGTTCATTAATACCTCACCTGATACAATACAGATATTTAATAAATGGGTGATATTATTACTAGCTTCTAAATAAAAATAGAATAAATGAATGAATGAATGTTTGTGAGTCCAAGTAAGATGGAAAAGACAGCTATAATCTTGTCTAAACTAGCACATCATTTAAATATTTTTCTAGCCATGAAAGTTTATTTTGTCTTTTTTTTTTTTTTTTTTTTTTTTTTTCAGACAGGCCCTCGCTTTGTCACTCAGGCTGGATGGAATTCAGTGGTACGATCTTGGCTCACTGCAGCCTCAACTTCACATGCTCAAGCTATCCTCCCTCCTTAGCCCATGAAATAGCTGGGACTACAGGTGTGCACCACCACACCAGGCTAATTTTTGTATTTTTTGTAGAGATGGGGTTTCACCATGTTGCAAAGCCTGTTCTCAAACTCCAGGACTGAAGCAAACTGCCCACCTTGGTCCCCCAAAGTATTGGGAGTACAAGCATGAGGCACAGTGCCAGGTGCCTTTTTTTTTTTTTTTTTTTTTTTTTTTTTTTTTGCCAGAGTCTTGTTCTGGCATTCAGATTGGAGTGCAGTTGTGTAGTCTTAGCTCACTGAAGTCTTGAACTTCTGGGTTCAAGCAATTCTCCCACCTCAGTCTCCCAAAGAGCTGGGACTACAGGTGCAGCTACCATGGCTGGCTAATTTTTTAAATTTTTTTCTGTAGAAATGGGATCTTGCTTTGTTTCCCAGGCTGATCTTGAACTCCTGGTCTCAAGCGATCTTCCTGCTTCAGTCACACAAAATGCTGAGATTACAGGCATAAGCCACTGTGCTTGGCCTTGTTTAATTTTTTAAAGAGAATATATAGGTGTCTAAGTTTTGGGACGCTGTGGGAGGAAGATTGTAAAGTAGCTATGCTATCATGGCATTAGAGTTAAAAATGAGGCAGGAGGGCGTCAAGCACAGAGAACATGGCTAGAAAACTTAATGGCAAGGAAGGTGATGAAAATGGAGGCTGTTTTATAAAGTACATCTGCCTGGAGATTAGATACATTAGCCAAAGTTTTAAGGTGCAAGAGATATCAAACCAAATCAAATTTTGGACTCCCAGTCATAATACATGTAATATTATTTCATTTTCTCACTATTCGAGATAGCCTGAGCTCCTGAAGGATGTGTGTGTGTGTGTGTGCACGTGTGTGCGTGCGTGTGAGAGAGAGAGAGAGAGAGAAAGAGAGAGAGAGAAAGTGTTTCTTCTTTTCTTCTATGGAAGAAGTTTACTTCATAAAATACCTGCAGGCTACTTTTCAGTGTTTTCTTCTTCCTTGCCTGGTAGGGCCCTCTAGTACTCATTCCATCACTAGAACAAGACTTTAAATGCTCCAGCTTTGGAATAAGCACCAGTTTTATCCGCCCACCATTTTCTGGATGCCTAGTGTGTCAGACACAGGTTCTGGGCAAAATGCTGGGTATACAAAGATAGCTTCTCTGCTTCACTTTCCTCCTTTGAAAAAATGGTGTAATAATTGAGTATACTTCATAGGACTGTTATGAGTCTTAATGATTTAATAGGTTTAAACACGAAATGGAATCTGCACATAGTTTAGTGTTGCTACTGTCATTAATATGAATAAGATATGGTCCTTGTTCTTAAGTCTAATACTGTGGGACTTTAGGCAAGTCTCATAGTCTCTCTACATACTTTGCAGAGTGTGTATTTTAAAAGATAAAAACTCTGACATACTTAATACAATAAGTGGCAAAAAGTAGAGACTCAATTTATGTTCCTTCTTTTCCTCCATCCCAGGAACACTGTAACATCAAATCTGTCACATTAATTCACTTACCTCTAGAGTGAGGTTTAATGAGGTCTTGTTCTATCATTAACTACAATGTTCCAGTTTAGAACTTTGATTTGGCTAACATCTTTCTAAACCCATAGTCAGCCTTCCCTCTCCCTCACCAGCACCCCATCCCCGCAAACAAGTTTATTCATTCTTTTTGATCCCTCAAATACTGTAAGTTCCTTTGAGAGTAAGAACCACAACATTCATTTATACATCACCCACAACATTCATTTATACATTGCCCACAACACTCAGTGTAAAACTGAACACAAATTAGGGACTCCATAAATGCTTGTGAAACTAAACAACTGATAATCAAAAATCTTTCATTATATGCCTTCTAGGAGTTATGCAGTATAACTGAAAATATTTCCAGTATCCTCCAATCTAGCAACATGCTTTTTTCCTGAACAACTGATGATCAAAAATCTTTCATTATATGCCTTCTAGGAATTATGCAATATAACTGAAAATATTTCCAGTATCCTCCAATCTAGCAACATGCTTTTTTCCTGAACAACTGATGATCAAAAATATTTCATTATATGCCTTCTAGGAATTATGCAATATAACTGAAAATTTTTCCAGTATCCTCCAATCTAGCAGCATGCTTTTTTCCTGTCTCCTTCACCCCTCTTAAGCTAAATTTCTTTGGCTTCAAGCTTAGAGATGTTTCTTTTCTGAATAGGAGGTTAAAATGGACAGGTTTAAAAAAACTTTGTGCCTTGTATCCTTTTCCTTACAGGAACAGCACAGATGAAAACAACCAATCCTTTCCCAGACATTCAGACAGTAAGAGGGGGGACTTAATTTCAGCTGGTAATAAATTCTGGTGTTTAATAATTAACTCAGATAACAGCTCAAATAAACATGGAGAGTCACACTGAATATGTCTTCTCACTTTCTCTCTCTTTTCCTCTCCCCATTTATTTGACATTTATGCTCTGAATTGCTATGTGAGTGTACTTGGAGACCTATTAAAACAGATATTTTTGTAAGTCATGTGGCATTAAATGAGGGCCATTTAAATTGATTGTCCAGATTATAATCCAAACCATTTCATCAAATACTATTACACGTCACTATATGCTTTCAGACATTCTGAATCAAAAGACATACTGATGCACCAACGCGTGCATACATGCCTTCATTTATTATTCACCCATTCATTTCTTTATTCATGCAAACATTTATGAGCACCTGGGGCTAGACTATGTGTAATTTTGCAAGGAGATAAGGATGAGCAAGATACAGCCTCTGCTTTTGTGTAACAGTCAGACATGAAAATGGACAACTATAAAGTCAGCAGAATATGAACAGATATACTTAGAAGGGTGGTAAGGTCTACTGAGAATAGGGCAATGAACTGTCCCTAGGGATGGACACAGGAATGACTTTACAGAGCCCGGTACTGAAGACAAAGTATAAATTTATCTGATAAGGGTAGGAAAGAGAAAATTCATTCCAAACAGAGGAAATATCATGTGTAAAAGCACCAAGAATAAAAATGCATAAACTATTTAAGGACCTAGATGTACCCAAACAGGTATAAATTAGCAAGTGGTAGGAAATGAGATTGGAATGGTTGGCAGGAGCCAGATTATTGTACATAATGAAGAGTTTTAGATTATATACTTTAGGCCAGTGTTCCCTAACCTTTTTGGCAGCAGAGACTAGTTTTGTGGAATACAGTTTTTCCACAGACCAGGGAGAGGATGGATATGGGATAAAACTGTTCCATCTCAGATCATCAGGCATTAGATTATCATAAGAAGTTCATAACCTAGATCCCTGGTATGCAATGTTCACAATAGGGTTTGTGCTTCTATGAGAATCTAATGCTTGTAGCTGATCTGACCGGGGCGCAGCTCAGGTGGTAATGCTCCCTTGCCCACTGCTCACCTCCTGCTGTGCAGCCTGGTTCTTAGCAGGCCACAGACCAGTACCATGTTGGTGACAGCATGGAGGAGGACTTGGGAGGGAAAACAGAACTAGGGAGGCAGAGAGACCAGTTGAGAGACTACGTTACTAGTCCTGGTAAAATATAATAATAAGGGCCTGAAATAGACTGGTGGCAGTGGGGATAAAGAATGAGAGAAATCGAAGAGGCAATTAGGCGTAGAACAGAGGTGATGTGGTAACTAATTGAAGATGGAGGCAGTAGGAAGAAGGAGATGGAGTAATCAAGGACAAGTAAGTTTTTTGGGTACAGAGTGGTGCTATTCCCAGAGCAGGGGACACAGGAGGAAGGGGGGATCACAGAGAGAGAATGATTTCTGCAAACACGGTGAGTATGAAGTTCTTAAGACCCAGCCAGGTGGAGATGTGCAGTCAGCAGTTTGAAATGTGGATCTGAATACAGGAAAAGAGGTGAGTATATATTTTGGAGCAATTAGTATGTTGGGAGTAGCTACCTAAATCCTGGACATTCAATACATGCAGAAATGGAAAAAAAGGAGGATGGAATAGTGGGAAAGAACAACATTGAAGGGGTCAGTAAAGAAGAAATGATCTAGAAGAAATAGTATCACAGAAGCCAAGGGTGGGGTAGGGGTGGTGTTACTTGTGGCTATCATTATTACTGGTGTTGTTTACCTTTGTTGAGGATCTGATTGACAAGGTTATATTTGTACTAAGAAAATAAATTCAAATCATGGACTATTTCAATGTCACACATGCTAAATCTTAAATTGGCTACCAAAGTCTCATTGGGACCACTATACAGGTAACGTAGTCAGTACAGGTAGAGTGCTGAGTTTAGTTCTGGGTCCTTTACATTAGAGAGGAAAATTCAAATAGAAGTACATTTATTGGGAGACATCCTAGAGGATAAAAGATCTAACAGAGGCAACAATTAAAGAAACTAGCCATGCTTAGCATAGTGAAGAGAATACGCTAGAGAAGGTGATCACTGCCTTCAAATATCTGAAAGGCTAACATATAGTTGGGGAATTCATCTTCTCTCTGTTGTTCTACAAAACAGACCTAGAAACAATTAGAATCTGACTTTAGTGGAATACAAAGAACTGCCTAGCAACAGGAATTGCTCATTAACGTAACTGGCCTCATTTTACTAGAAATAGTGAACTCCCTATCCTGGTGGTATTTAAGCAAAGCCTATGTGGCAAAATATCGGGAATACTGTACAGAAGTCTTCTGCACTGACTGGGAGGTTAAAATAGATCTTCAAGGCCACTTTAAAGGTTTTTTTTTATTATTATTTCATGTGGAGCTGTGTGGTAACAAGTGAGGCTATAGCTTTCAATGCCTGTTAGGTTTTTTTGTTTTGTTTTGTTTTTTGTTTTTTTTTTTTTTTTTAGAGTCAACAGTCTCAATTCCTTTCACTACAGTATGGGTTTCTACTTATCCCTGGTATTGGTCCACTTTATTTCTTTATTGTTATAATATTCATTAACTTACATTTGTCGAGCACCTATTCTACCAGTAAAAGGTAGCACTGGTCCTAAAGAAATTTGAAAGAAAGATTAATATCAGAAAATCAATCAATAGGCATCTGATTCTACTTTCCAGCCTTTGGATATTAGTTTCTTGGTGTCTCTGGGTCTTGAGTGCAGAAACTCTGAGTTAAAGGTTGTAGGCATATGTTGGGTTCTGAGAAGTATATGGAAATCATTGAGGCAGGGAAAGGTATATCTTGGCTGGAGGTAGGAATTTGGAAACAGATTGGGGGACACTGAAAATGCTATGTTAAAAAAGATTTTAAAAGTGAGTGAAGGATGAAAGAGGGAGGTTATGATAAGCAGAGGAGCCCTTTCTTTAAAAAGTCCAAGTATCTCTCAGTGAATCACTTTCATTTTTTATTATTTAGGATTAATTTTACTTTTCGCTTTTTCTTCCTGACTTAAGGCTGCTATGTCACCAAAAATGAGTATTACATATGCTATGGTTTACATATGGTTTGTTTGTCCCTACAAAAACTCATGTTGAAATTTGTTCCCCAGTATGGCAGTGTTCGGTAGTAGGAACTAATGGGAAGTGTTTGGGTCATGGGACGCTGTTCTCACTGGTGGCTTGGTGTCATTCTTGCAGTAGTGAGTTCTTTTTCTGGCAAGATTGGATTAGTTCTTGAGAGAATCAATTAGTTCCCATAAGAATGGATTTTTATAAAGGATACTACTCAGAGTTTGTCTCTTCTCATGTGTCTTCTTCTCCTTTGACTTTATACACTGTTGAGTCCCAATTAGGGAAAAGGATTCAGGGTGGTGGGAGCAGAGGAAAGCCGAAAGAGAGACCAGATAAGCTATAAGTCTGCTTTTCTGCATGGTCCAGGACACGTAGCCCTCCTGTGTAAATGACTCACAATTTTCCTGTGCTCAACTATCAACAGACCTTCAGCTGACACAAAAAATACAAGTTAGCTCACTGCAACCTTGGCATTATCAGTACTGCACAAAGCCCTCTTCAGCTCATAGCACAGCACCATTCTATAAAATCCCCTGCAAGCCTTTGTCTGTTTGCAGTCAGTTCCTCTCATGCTGATCTTCCTATTGCTTTCTTGCAAAGTATTTTCATACTTTTTCTAATAAATCTGCCTTCTTTTACTCAGAGCTGTCTTAGTAAATTCTTCTTACCACTGTGCGAATGGCCTCAGATAGTCGCTGCTCACCCACAACATACACCATGTTATGATGCAGCATGAAAGCCCTCTCCAGAAGCTAAGACTCTCTGGGAGTCACAATGAAACAAATTTGTGTCTTTTTTTCCACAGCAGCTTTTCAGAAGTCTAAAGGGACAGTGCTCTCCTTCAAACCTCTCTCAGCTTCTTTTACGTCTAGATTCTGGTGACTCATCTGTCCCCACTTTATTTCTTTGGCCCTTCACAGCTGGGTTAACCGGTAGGTTCTATCTGTTCCATTCCCATTCTGTATCAATCTTGACCCTACCTTGAAGTGACATTCAGGTTGGTTAACAGTATCAGTCACACAATCCAGTGGGTCTTGAGGTTAAGTCTCATAGACCAGATATAGGACCTATAGATTCACCCCGACTGCAGGACTCCCACATGTCCCTATACTTCTACCCATGACTCCTTTGTTGAGGGAATGATTGTATCCTGCTTTATCTTGCAATGCTTGGGAATATATAATTCTCAGGTACACTACCCAATAGAACAAGTATCTACATATGTATAGTGTCCTAAGTTCTCCTAAGGAAAAAAGTTCCAAGGAGACAAGAATGGGTAATTCTGATAAATTCTGGCAAATACTTAGAAAATTCAGAAGTATTGACAAGCTTATTTTCATTCTATATCCCACAGTCTAAATGAAGTAGGGGTTGTGCCCAACTAACAAATGATTTATGTACCAAAAGTGTGATTTTTGTATCAGTTTTTGGAATTTGATGATGCATTTCCATAGAATTTTTATAAAGTTCTACTCATCCTTTAGAATCTATTTTACATGTTAATGAACCTCAGAGCTGTTCTTGATCCCACCAGACAAACTAGATCTTTTTACTTACATAACATTTTGTGACATTTAACATATACCTCTATTATTTATCACATTTCATTGTAATTTCTTGTTTATAGATCTGTCCTTTCCTTTTGAAGATAAATTCTTAAAGGAAGAAACTGTCCGTTTTTTTGCACCTGTAGCACATGGTATACTGTCTGCTCACCAATATAATGTCAAATTAATATACAAATAGCTTAATGTGCCCACATAATATTTGTTCTGTAATTTCCTAAATAAAGGAATCTGGGTAAGTTACTTACACTTTTGAAGTTGAACTTCCTAGACTATGAACTAAAGGTAAAAACTATTTCCATGGGGTCTCTGTGAGAATGTTCAGTGAGATACCCCAAATGAAAGTTCATGAAACAGGGTACAATCTCAATTAATGTTTGTTGTATTAGAGTGATGGGAATCAATGTTATATATGATGGTCTTTTCTCAGGTACAGAGGTAATATAAAAAGAGAGAAGGAAATTAAAATTTGACTACAGGACATCTGCAAGTTATATTTTATGTTAATTTGGAATATTATTATATCAATCAGTGATTTAATACAAAGAGAGACCTGAAATGCTAAGATTAGATAGCCAGAAGACCAAGATCAGGGAGAAAAGAAAGAGAAAAATAGCTGAGAAGTAGGAAAGAAGCAAAAAAGCTGTAGAGACTATAAGAGCAGAGTTATAGGAGGACAGGGTGATTATTTTGTGTCAAATTCTGCTGATGAGCATATAAGGAGGAATATTGAGAAATGGTCACTGAAAATGGCAAGAAAATCACCAAGTATAATCTTCAATGTACATATTTTTTAAAGTCTCCTTCAAAAAACAACCAACATAAGCTAGGTGCCCACACTAACTGGAAGTGGTTTCTTCCAAGAGATCTCATTTTTTGTACTTTTCTTTGAATCCTCTTAGTAAACAGTTGGAGAAGTGTCCAAGGACAATCTTATTGGAGCAAGATGGTAATCTAGAGGGTCTTCTGGATGATATAGGTACTCTAGGATGCCTCAGCTGTTCCGGGACTACAACTGTCTCATGGAAGGACCAAAACACAGGGAAGCAGTTTGATAGTTAAAATATAGTTTATAGATGACAGCATGTCCTTTGTAGGAACATGGATTGAGCTGGAGGCCATTATTATTAGCAAGCTAATGCAGGAACAGAAAACCAAATACCTCATGTTCTCACTTATAAGTGGGAGCTAAATGATGAGGACACATGGATACATAGAGCGGAACAACACACTGGGGTCTATCAGAGTCAGAGGGTGGAGGGTGGGAGGAGGAAAAGTATCAGAAAAAATAACTAATGAGTACTAGATTTAATACTGGGTTGACAAAAATAATCTGTACAATAAACTTCCATGACACAAGTTTACCTAGATAACAAACCTGCACCTGTACCCCTGAACTTAAAATAAAAGTTAAATAAAAAATAATAAAAGTAAGCCCTTATTTGTAAAAATTTAAAAAGAAATATAATCTCCAGGTATATTTCCTGCTCTTAAAAATATTTAATTAATAAAGTAATTAATTCATTTTTTTTTAAAGTTGATGGGTAAACAAGAAAGTGTCTCCAGAAACCACAGAGCCTACTGAGGCACCTCCTAACCCCAAAACAACAACAACAACAAAAAGGGCAATAAAACAATCACAACAAGAATATAATTACAATCACATCAGATAGGGAAACATTATTAAATCTAGAATTCAGCCAGCAATCAGGATGAGCCTGGTGGCCCAATTACCGTCTAAACAAGAGCTGTTATGTATTGTTAAATGGACTCTCCAGATAAATATTTTTTTTTTACTCCAGGCTTTTGCAGCATCAAAGAACATTAAACATGAGAGAGATGTGTTATAAACAAAAAATTTGAGGAAAGCAAAAGTAGCTTGAACCATGCTAGTGAAATCCTAGAGGCTCAAAAGATGTAACTTTGTGTGTATGCGTGGTGTGTGTGTGTGTGTGTGTGCATGTTTTAATTAAACACTGTTTGTTTCTCCTCACCTCCCAAATGGAGCTATGAAATACTAAGCATGCATTTCTTGCCTCCTAAAATCAGTGGATAAGTCTTGTAAAGCTCAACATAGCTCAAGATAAGCAGAGCAGAATTTCTCTGTGAGTTTTCCCTTTTCCTGCAGTTTCGGCCTACTCTATTAACATTTCTTGGATGTCAACAAAGGTTCATTGCTTGACCAAATTTTTGTCAGTCTCTTGAACTTTTTTCTATACCTATCTGTGTACTTGCTTGTGAAATCTAGTTTTAGGAAGAATCCTGCTGTCAGCTTAGCAAGAACTCTCCACCCTTGATATCTGATCACCCTTAATATGTGATCGAGTTTCTCATTCTCTATTATGCCCCAGGTGATATCTGCTCACCTTGGCCTGTCTTCAGAATGAGTTCTGTCAAGCTGATTTAGCCAGAATGCCTCATACCCCTGACGTTTCCTCGTGATTTTCCATTTGCTGACCCTCACCCTGCTCCTTGGCTGTAAATCTCTGCTTGCCCATGGTGTATTTTGAATTGAGCCCAGTTCTGTACTGAAGTCTCTTTTTACCTACTGCAATAGCCCTGAATAAAATCTGTTTTTACCACTTTACTCTCCAGCTCTGTCTTTTTTTTTTTTTTTTTTTTTTTTTTTTTGATAGTGGCTCTCAGTGTGTTCAGATTCTAGGTGCCCAGTGAGGCCACCCAATTTCACAAGATAAAAAAGTACTGTGAGTTTTTTTCTGGAAATAATTAAATAAAAAAATGAATGGTCCACGTTTCCTTTCCTTTAATTTCCTAGTGGGTTACTTAATGTGTTCTAAGGTGAGAATAAGAGGCAGAGAGGATGACGACAAAGCAGACCAATGTAACCCAGTCACTGGATATTCAACTCTGTATCACTGGGGGGTAACTCTGTAAGTACTTCTCTTTTTTTTTGCAGTTATTTTAATTCAGGTTTTATTAATGTTGTTTCCGAATATTTTTTCTCAGTGATCCTTGTTCTGATGAATATTACATTTCATCCTTAGTTTTGCTCATTTGATTTTTGCTTTGGTGTTTTAAGAACTTTTATTCATTTATCAAATCCTTTGCCATGAATGAGAGCACCAAATAACATATCAATCCCCAACTACCTGATTCGTTTATAGCAGTAAAAAAGTCAGTAAAAGGTTTGTACAATCCAACTACTAAACCACCAAGATCCCCCCCTTCAAGATAGAGTGAGCCAAAGCTTCCTTAGTATCATCTATAAGCCAATGTATTTTCACTATACCATTAAGATGAAAATAATGAAGAGCACTTGACACAATTTTCTTGCTCTTTCCATCTAAAAATGTGGGTTTCTTGTGGTGTGGCTAATTTTTAAAAAACCAAAAACTGGAGGGAAAATTTGTCAGTGAATGATTAGCTCACATGTTTTTTCTACTCATGATTAATCAGTCTTCCCTTTTCCGTAGACTTTAGGCAACCATAAAAAGCCAGGAAAACAATGTGCATAATAAAAAAATAAAAATAAATATCTGAAAGCCTACTGTAGTAGGCATTTAACACATTTCACTTAATCCTCACAATGTTGTGAAAGAATTATTATAATCATTTTAGAAATAAAGAATCAGGCTCAGGAGGGTGAAATGACTGGTGCCTAAAGTCATGCAGGTGACTGAGCTGGGATTTAAGTACAAGCCTATGCTCTATTATGCTGCTTTGGCTCCCCAAAGCCCTTCAACTTGAGATTCTTACTGTTACAGTTTCATCTTCTACTTCCAAATTTACACTTTTAAGTCTGCAAAGCTACTGAATAATAAAAGAACCTAAAATTATTCTCAATTCACTTGGCAAAATGGGAGATGTACTAGAGTACTAGAAAATTCTTCTAGCCTGGGCAATATAGTGAGACCCCACCTGTAAAAAACAAACAAACAAAAAAAAACAAAGGAAAAAAAAAAAAACTAGCCGGGCATGGTGGTGCATTTGCCTGTAGTCCTGGCTACTTGGTAGGCTGAGGTGAGAGGATCACTTGAGCCCGGTAGGTAGAGACATCTCTAGGTAATCATAACATTCCATACCTAAAATTATTAATTTTAATTAATGTGAATTTGAACTGGTAATGATAGCTAGCAATAAAAAAAATTTTTAAAAAGATGCACAGAGAATAATTATAATCAGCTCATTTTCTTATTGTAACCACCTGTCAATCTCATAGAAATGAAGGCCAAAAAAGACAACTTCCTATTGTGAACCCTGATTGTTCATTAAATTTACAATATACACTTAGCGAAATGCCAAAAGATGTTCTGGTTTTAAAAGCTTACCACCAGTCTTTTGATTGCATTTTATTTCTTTAGTTTTTCTTTTTTAGTTTATATATATATATATATTTATCATACTTTAAGTTCTAAGTTACATGGGCACAACGTACAGGTTTGTTACATATGTATACATGTGCCATGTTGGTGTGCTGCACCCATTGACTCGTCGTTTACATTAGGTATATCTCCTAATGCTATCCTTCCCCCCTCTCCCCACCCCACAACAGGCCCCGGTGTGTGATGTTCCCCTTCCTGTGTCCAAGTGTTCTCATTGTTCAATTCCCACCTATGAGTGAGAACATGCAGTGTCTGGTTTTTTGTCCTTGCAATAGTTTGCTGAGAATGATGGTTTCCAGCTTCATCCATTTCCCTACAAAGGACATGAACTCATCCTTTTTTTATGGCTGCATAGTATTCCATGGTGCATATGTGCCACATTTTCTTAATCCAGTCTATCATTGTTGGACATTTGGGTTGGTTCCAAGTCTTTGCTATTGTGAGTAGTGCTGCAATAAACATACATGTGCATGTGTCTTTATAGCAGCATGATTTATATTCCTTTGGTTATATACCCAGTAATGGGATGGATGGGTCAAATGGTATTTCTAGTTCTACATCCCTGAAGAATCACCACACTGTTTTCCACAATGGTTGAACTAGTTTCCAGTCCCAACAACAGTGTAAAAGTGTTCCTATTTCTCCACATCCTCTCAGCACCTGTCGTTTCCTGACTTTTTAATGATCATCATTCTAACTGGTGTGAGATGATATCTCACTGTGGTTTTGATTTGCATTTCTCTGATGGCCAGTGATGATGAGCATTTTTTCATGTGTCTGTTGGCTGCATAAATGTCTTCTTTTGAGAAGTGTCTGTTCATATCCTTTGCCCACTTTCTGATGGGTTTGTTTTTTTTTCTTGTAAATTTGTTTGAATTCTTTGTAGATTCTGGATATTAGCCCTTAGTCAGATGAGTAGATTGCAAAAATTTTCTCCCATTCTGCAGGTTGCCTGTTCACTCTGATGGTAGTTTCTTTTGCTGTGCAGAAGCTCTTGAGTTTAACTAGATCCCATTTATCAATTTTGGCTTTTGTTGCCATTGCTTTTGGTGTTTTAGACATGAAGTCCTTGCCCATGCCTATGACCTGAATGGTACTGCCTAGGTTTTCTTCTAGGGTTTTTATGGTTTAGGTCTAATCTTTAAGTGTTTAATCCATCTTGAATTAATTTTTGTATAAGGTGTAAGGAAGGGATCCAGTTTCAGCTTTCTACATATGGCTAGCCAGTTTTCCCAGCACCATTTATTAAATAAGGAATCCTTTCCCCATTTCTCGTTTTTGTGAGGTTTGTCAAAGACCAGATAGTTGTAGATGTGTGGTATTATTTCTGAGGGCTCTGTTCTGTTCCATTGGTCTATCTCTCTGGGTTTTTACCAGTACCATGCTGTTTTGGTTACTGTAGCCTTGTAGTACAGTTTGAAGTCAGGTATCATGATGCTGCCAGCTTTGTTCTTTTGGCTTAGGATTGACTTGGTGATGCGGGCTCTTTTTTGTTTCCATATGAACTTTAAAGTAGTTTTTTCCAATTCTGTGAAGAAAGTCATTGGTAGCTTGATGGGGATGGCATTGAATCTATAAATTACCTTGGGCAGTATGGCCATTTTCACGATATTGATTCTTCCTATCCATGAGCATGGAATGTTCTTCCATTTGTTTATGTCCTCTTTTATTTCATTGAGCAGTGATTTGTAGTTCTCCTTGAAGAGGTCCTTCACATCCCTTGTAAGTTGGATTCCTAGGTATTTTATTACCTTTGAAGCAATTGTGAATGGGAGTTCACTCATGATTTGGATCTCTGTTTGCCTGTTATTGGTGTATAAGAATGCATGTGATTTTTGCACTTTGATTTTCTATCCTGAGACTTTGCTGAAGTTGCTTATCAGCTTAAGGAGATTTTGGGCTGAGACAATGGGGTTTTCTAGATATACAATCATGTCATCTGCAAACAGGGACAATTTGACTTCCTCTTTTCCTAATTGAATACCCTTTATTTCTTTCTCCTGCCTAATTGCCCTAGCCAGAACTTCCAACACTATTTTGAATAGGAGTGGTGAGAGATGACATCCCTGTCTTGTGCCAGTTTTCAAAGGGAATGCTTCCAGTTTTTGCCCATTCAGTATGATATTGGCTGTGGGTTTGTCATAGATAGCTCTTATTATTTTTAGATATGTCCCATCAATACATAGTTTATTGAAAGTTTTTAGGATGAAGGGCTGTTAAATTTTGTTGAAGGCCTTTTCTGTATCTATTGAGATAATCATGTGTTTTTCGTCTTTTGTTCTGTTTATATGCTGGATTACATTTATTGATTTGCATATATTGAAGCAGCCTTGCATCCCAGGGATGAAGCCCACTTGATCATAGTGGATAAGCTTTTTGATATGCTGCTGGATTCGGTTTTCCAATATTTTGTTGAGGATTTTGGCATCGATGTATATCAGGGATATTGGTCTAAAATTCCCTTTTTTTGTTGTGTCTCTGCCAGGCTTTGGTATCAGGATGATGCTGGCCTCATAAAATGAGTTAGGGAAGATTCCTTCTTTTTCTATTGGTTTGGAATAGTTTCAGAAGGAACGGTACCAGCTCCTCCTTGTACCTCTGGTAGAATTCGGCTATTAATTCATCTGGTCCTGGACTTTTTTTGGTTGGTAAGCTATTAATTATTGCCTCAATTTCAGAGCCTGTTATTGGTCTATTAAGAGATTCAAATTCTTCCTGGTTTAGTCTTGGGAGGGTACATGTTTTGAGGAATTTATCCATTTCTTCTAGATTTTCTAGTTTATTTGCATAGAGGTGTTTATAGTGTTCTCTGATGGTAGTTTGTATTTCCATGAGATCGGTGGTGATATCCCCTTTATCATCTTTGATTGCATCTATTTGATTCTTCTCTCTTTTCTTCTTTATTAATCTTTCTAGTTGTCTATCAATTCTGTTGATGTTTTCAAAAAACCAGCTCCTGGATTCATTGATTTTTTGAAGGGTTTTTTTGTGTCTCCATTTCCTTCAGTTTTGCTCTGATCTTAGTTATTTCTTGCCTTCTGCTAGCTTTTGAATTTGTTTGCTCTTGCTTCTCTAGTTCTTTTAATTGTGATGTTATGGTGTCTGTTTTAGATCTTTCCTGCCTTCTCTTGTGGGCATTTAGTGCTATAAATTTCCCTCTACACACTACTTTAAATGTACCAGAGATTCTGGTATGTTGTGTCTTTGTTCTCGTTGGTTTCAAAGAACATCTTTATTTCTGCCTTCATTTCCTTATGTACCCAGTAGTCACTCAGGAGCAGGTTGTTCAATTTCCATGTAGTTGAGCAGTTTTGAGTGAGTTTCTTAATCCTGAGATCTAGTTTGATTGTACTGTGGTCTGAGAGACAGTTTGTTATAATTTCTGTTCTTTTACATTTGCTGAGGAATGCTTTCCAACTATGTGGTCAATGTTGGCATAGGTGCAGTGTGGTGCTGAGAAGAGTGTATATTCTGTTGATTTGGGGTGGAGAGTTCTGTAGATGTCTAATAGGTCTGCTTGTTGCAGAGCTGAGTTCAATTCCTAGATATCCTTTTTAACTTTCTGTCTCATTGATCTGTCTAATGTTGACAGTGGAGTGTTAAAGTCTCCCATTATTATTGTGTGGGAGTCTAAGTCTCTTTGTAGGTCTCTAAGGAATTGCTTTACGAATCTGGATGCTCCTGTATTGGGTGCATATATATTTAGGATAGTTAGCTCTTCTTGTTGAATTGATCCCTTTACCATTATGTAATGACCTTCTTTGTCTCTTTTGATCCTTGCGGGTTTAAAGTCTGTTTTATCAGAGACTAGGATTGCAACCCCTGCCTTTTTTGTTTTCCATTTGCTTGGTAGGTCTTCCTCTATCCCTTTATTTTGCGCCTTTGTGTGTCTCTGCACGTGAAATGGGTTTCCTGAATACAGCACACTGATGGGTCTTGACTCTTTATCCAATTTGCCAATCTGTGTCTTTTAATTGGAGCATTTAGCCCATTTACATTTAAGGTTAATATTGTTATGTGTGAATTTGATCCTGTCATTATGATGTTAGCTGGTTATGTTGCTCATTAGTTGATGCAGTTTCTTCCCAGCATCGACGGTCTTTACAATTTGACATGTTTTTGCAGTGGCTGGTACCAATTGTTTCTTTCCTGGCAGGCCTGGTGGGGACAAAATCTCTCATTATTTGCTTGTCTGTAAAGGATTTTATTTCTCCTTCACTTATGAAGCTTAGTTTGCCTGAATGTGAAATTCTGGGTTGATAATTATTTTCTTTAAGAATGTTGAATATTGGCCCCCACTCTCTTCTGGCTTGTAGAGTTTCTGCCGAGAGATCAGCTGTTACTCTGATGGGCTTCCCTTTGTGGGTAACCTGACCTTTCTCTCTGGCTGCCCTTAACATTTTTTCCTTCATTTCAACTTTGGTGAATCTGACAATTATGTGTCTTGGAGTTGCTCTTCTCGAAGAGTATCTTTGTGGCATTCTCTGTATTTCCTGAATTTGATTGTTGGCCTGCCTTGGTAGGTTGGGGAAGTTCTCCTGGATAATATCCTGCAGAGTGTTTTCCAACTTGGTTCCACTCTCCCTGTCACTTTTAGGTACACCAATCAGATGTAGATTTGGTCTTTTCACATAGTCCCACATTTCTCGGAGGCTTTGTTCATTTCTTTTTATTCTTTTTTCTCTAAACTTCTCTTCTCACTTCATTTCACTCATTTGATCTTCAATCACTGATACTCTTTCTTCCAGTTGATTGAATCAGCTACTGAAGTTTGTGCATTCATCATGTAGTTCTCGTGCCATGGTTTTCAGCTCCATCAGGTCCTTTAAGGACTTCTCTGCATTGGTTATTCTAGTTAGCCATTCATCTAATCCTTTTTCAAGGTTCATTCTCTGTTCAGCTTTGTTCCATTGCTGGTGAGGAGCTGCGTTCCTTTGGAGGAGGAGAGGTGCTCTGATTGTTAGTATTTTCAGTTTTTCTTTTCTGTTTTTTCCCCATCTTTGTGGTTTTATCTACCTTTGGTTTTTGATAATGGTGATGTACCGATGAGGTTTTGGTGTGGATGTCCTTTATGTTTGTTAGTTTTCCTTTTAACAGTCAGGATCCTCAGCTGCAGTTCTGTTGGAATTTGCTGGAGGTCCACTCCAGACCCTGTTTGCCTGGGTATCAGCAGCGGAGTCTGCAGAACAGCAAATATTGCTGAACAGCAAATGTTGCTGTCTGATCTTTCCTCTGGCAGTTTCATCTCAGAGGGGTACCTGGCTGTTTGAGGTGTCAGTCTACCCCTACTGGGGTGTGCCTCCCACATAGTCTACTTGGGGGTCAGGGGCCCACTTGAGGAGGCAGTCTGTCTATTCTCAGATCTCAAACTCCATGCTAGGAGAACCACTACTCTCTTCAAGTCTGTCAGACAGGGACATTTAAGTCTGCAGGTTTCTGCTGCCTTTTGTTCGGCTATGCCCTGTCCCCAGAGGTGGAGTCTACAGAGGCTGGCAGGCCTCCTTGAGCTGCGGTGGGCTCCACCCACTTCGAGCTTCCTGGCTGCTTTGTTTACCTACTCAAGCCTCAACAATGGTGTGCACCCCTCCCCCAGCCTTGCTGCCACCTTGCAATTCGGTCTCAGACTGCTGTGTTAGCAATGAGCGAGGCTCCATGGGCATGGGACCCTCTGAGCCAGGCGTGGGATATAATCTCCTGGTGTGCCATTTGCTAAGACCATTGGAAAAGCACAGTATTAGGGTGGGAGTGACCCAATTCTCCGGCTGCCATCTGTCACAAATTTGCTTGGCTATTAAAGGGAATTACATGACCCCTTGTGCTTTCCAGGTGAGGTGATGCCTCGCCCTGCTTTGGCTCATGCTTGGTGTACTGTACCCACTGTCCTGCACCCACTGTCTGACAAGCCCCAGTGAGATGAACCTGGTACCTCAGTTGGAAATGCAGAAATCACCCATCTTCTGCGTCGCTCATGCTGGGAGCTGTAGGCTGGAGCTCTTCCTATTCGGCCATCTTGGAACCCCCCTGTCTTGATTGCATTTTAAAAGTGCTTATTTACTTGTTTTTTAAGAGTCTAAATCTGATGAAGATGGTAGGGTCTACAAGGAGATGGCTTTGTTGATACGTTTGTGTGCTGTCTTAGAATTATCTATAATGTATAAAAGGATAACATTTTACCACTCCACTGAATGAGGTCATAGAGTTCCAGTGGAAATAGATTTATTTTATGAGTAGTAACTTAAACCTAAACCTATACAATCTGGACATCCAACAACATCTGATTGTCTGCTGGAAACTTATTTGCATGCCCATTAATCTTAAAAGTTGGATGTTAATATCTAGTTGTTCTTTATATTCTCACTGAAATTTAGTCAATAGTTTAGAGATTATTTTCCTTGGGTCCAGTCTTAAAATGACCAGATTTTCATACTTCAGAAGCAGAAAAGGTGAGATTTGATTGTTAAGTCCTATTCCAACATTAAAATATCCATAATTGACTGCCTCCCTAGAGTTTGACTGATGTATCATTCATTCATTAAGTCATTTTTTGGACAAATCTTTTACAGAAAGCCAGCTATAAGACTGAAAAAAAAAACAAACACGTAAGCCCATTAACTCTAGGAGGTTAATACATAAAAGCTGAGCTAGATGTTTACACAAATGTGAACTAACAGATACAAAAAATAGGAAATAAAGCTTGTCAATATAACAGAGGTAGTGATTTTTGAGTACCAACTAAAAAAAAAATTCTCAGGCACAGTGGTGAGCGCCTGTAGACCTAGCTACTTGGCAGGCTGAGGCAGAATTGCTTGATCCCAGGAGTTGGAGGTCAGCCTGGGCAACACAGAAAAAAAAATTGCTAAAAGTAGTGAATGCTTATGTTTAGTGTTCTTATCACAAAAAATAACAAAAATAGATCAAGAGGAAGCTTAGAAAATGTCAGCATAACTATTAATAAATGAAAGGAGAAATCATGGGAACCTAACACTTTTGTCTTGATCATCACCTCCCATCATCTAATAAAGGATTATAAGGCAAAATTGACAAAGGATAAGAGGAGTAAGGGCTGGTGGAATAAGAAGTTGTAGGTAAATTATCTGAATACAGCCATCTGGGTCATTAGCTGTTAGTGCTGACTCAATTTGCCAGAAATGATTATATGACAGGGAGGCTGAAAATTATTCGAAGATAGCTCAGAGCAAAGACAGCCCAAGGCTTTTTGGTCATTCTTGCTTGAAAGGGTCCTGGGTATCTCAAATTTCCTCATGTTCCTTTCCTTCCAAGTCTCACCTAGACCTTTAGCCCCTGCAACTGAGGATGAGAAAGGGTGGGTATGAGACAATGATGTGAGCATAAAGCCTATCTAGTTGCATTACAATTACAAAAGATGACTAAAAGGAAAGAAAACAAAAGGTAAAGTCCTGAAAATCTATGTGTATAAAATACATCCAAATGATCTAAATGTATACAAGAATAAATTTACAAGAATATGAAGAAGCTTTATCCTCTAAGTACCTAAAATTTGAACCAATCCCTACCATCTCCTTTTTCCACAAAATACAATATACTATACAATTCCTGTTATAGGGACCACTAGGAAGGAACATGTAGTTTAAAACACATAGTTAAAAAAATTTTGGATTCAAGTTCATCAGAGTACCAATTTTCCTAACCATGTTTCCATAAAGGCCATCGGAAGATGTCACACTATTCAAATGCCCAATGATAAGACTTCTGATGAGACCAAACAGGTCACATTAAATCAATAGAATATCTTAGAAATAAAACCAATATGACTAAATCCAAAACATATCACATGAAGTACCACATGTGCAATACAAACCTACTTTAATAAATAAAAGAAACACAGGTAGCTGCACTCAGGGAGAACATTCAGTTCCTGATGGCCTCTTAGTCTTCTCTGAGACTCCACTGCCACTTCTACCTGGGCAAGTCTAATGGTGCAGCCATGAAGTTTTTAACCATCTTGTCTCATTAATGCCGTGGTGCCAGACTGCACCACAACACCAGCTGGCACATGACAGAGGATTCATGCTCATGGGAATCATATTTGTCACCAATGGGTGTCAGCTTCTCAAGGCCATGCTTGGCAAACACACTTTTCAGCTTTGCTTCTAAAAGTGACAACCGTTGGAAGACCTTCTCCAGAGTGAGCTTCTGGTCCCCAGGCTCTGATTCTTCAGAAATGCACTCTGTAGTCTTCTCCAAAATGTCAGCCACCTCCACCAAGTCCTTACAGAAACTCTGGATTCCAAATATCTTGGCGTCTTCCACACATCTCCGGGTTCACCTCCTTATGTTTTCACAATCAGCTATAGCTCTCCGGTATCTCACCATTAAATCCTGGACTTCCTTCTCCAGTTTAACAACTTTTACCCTTAAGGCTTGTTCAGCAAGAGAGGGCCCAAGGTCATCAGGAAGGTCCTCGGAATGGCAGTCCTCACCAGCGGTTCCCTGGGTGGCAGTGCTGAATGGAAGTGGGCATCCCTTGCTCTCCCATGAGGCACTCTAAGCCAGTAGGTGCTACACCCGCTGGCAGCCCGCCCACGTTGACCACATGGCCATGTTCCCGACTTGGGCTGATGGAAGCAGCACAGGCGCACTTGCTCAATATTTCTTTTTTTAGTTATAATTTTTTTTTTGAGATGGGGTGTTGCTCTTGTTGCCCAGGCTGGAGTGCAATAGCGCAATCTCGGCTCACTGTAACCTCCACCTCCCAGGTTCAAGCCATTCTCCTGCCTCAGCCTCCTGAATAGCTGGGATTGCAGGTGCCTGCCACCACGCCTGGCTAATTTTTTGTATTATTAGTAGAATTGGGGTTTCCTCATGTTGGCCAGGCTGGTCTTGAACTCCTGACCTCAATTGATCCACCTGCCTTGGCCTCCCAAAGTGCTGGGAATACAGGCTTAGCCACCACCTGGCCTATTTTTAATTTTCGTGGGTACATAGTAGGTGTATATAATTATAGGTTACATGAAATATTTTGATACAGGTATGCCATGCATAATAATCACATCAGGGTGATCACCTCAAACATTTATCCTTTGTGTTATAAACAATCCAACTATACTCTTTTAGTTATTTCAAAATGTACAATTAACTTATTTTTTACTATAGTCATACTGTTGTGCTAGCAAATACTAGGTCTTATTCTATTTTTTGTACCCATTAACCATCCCCATTTCCCTCCCACCACTACTATTCTTTCCAGCCTCTGGTAACAATCCTTCTACCATCTATCTCCATGAGTACAATTGTTTTATTTTTACATTTATTTTTGATTTTTTTTTCTTTAAGTTCTGGAGTACATGTGCAGGATGTGCAGGTTTGTTACATAGGTAAGCATGTGCCATAGTGGCTTTCTGCACCTATCAACCCATCACCTAGGTATTAATGCCAGCAGGCATCAGCTTTTTTCCTTAATGCTCTCCCCCATCCCCAACAGGCCCCAGTAAGTGTTGTTCCCCTTTCTGTGTACATGTGTTCTCATTGTTCACCTCCCACTTATAAGTGTGAACATGCCGTGTTTGGTTTTCTGTTTCTGCATTAGTTTGCTGAGGATAATGGCTTCCAGCTTCATCCATCTTTCTGCAAAGGACATGATCTAGTTCCTTTTTATGGCTGCATAGTATTCCATGGTGTATATGTACCACATTTTCTTTATCCAGCCCATCATTGATGGGCATTTGGGTTGATTCCATGTCTTTTCTATTGTGAGTAATGCTTCAGTGAACATATGCATGCATGTATCTTTATAATAGAATGATTTATATTCCTTCGGATATACACCCAGGAATGGGATTGCTGGGTCAAATGGTATTTCTGGTTCTAAATCTTTGAGAAATCACCCTATTACCTTCCACAATGGTTGAACTAATTTACATTCCCACCAACAGTGTAAAAGTGTTCTTATTCCTTTGCAACCTTGCTAGCATCTGTTGTTTGTTGACTTTTTAATAATTGACATTCTGACTGGCATGAGATGGTATCTCATTGTGTTTTTTGTTTGCATTTCTCTAATGATCAGTGATGTTGAACTATTCTTCATGGGTTTGTTGGCTGCATGTATGTCTCTTTTTTTCAGAAGTGTCTCTTCATGTCCTTTTGCTCCTTTTTAATGGAGTTGTATTTTTTAAATGGTAAATTTCCTTGTAAATTCCAGATAATAGACCTTTGTCAGATGGGTAGATTGCAACAGTTTCCCCCCATTCTATAGATTGTCTCTTCTCTCTGGTAATAGTTTTGTTTGCTGTGTAGAAGCTCTTTAGTTTTATTAGATCCCATTTGTCAATTTTTGATTTTGTTGCAATTGCTTTCGATAATTTCATCATAAATTCTTTGCACATGCCTATATCCTGAATGACACAGCCTAGATTTTCTTCTAGGGTTTTTATGGTTTTGGGTTTTACATTTAAGTCTTTAATCCATCTTGAGTTAATTTTTGTGTAAGTTGTAAGAAAGGGATCCTGTTTCAATTTTCTGCCTATTGCTAGCCAGTTCTCCCAGCACCATTTATTAAATAGGGAATCCTTTCCCCATTGCTTGTTTTTTGGGGGTTTGTCAAAGATCAGATGGTTGTAGATGTGCTGTTTTATTTCTGAGTTATATATTCTCTTCCATTGGTCTATGTGCCTGTTTCTGTACAAGTACCATGCTGTTTTGTTTATTGTGGCCTTGTAGTATAGTTTGAAGTAGGGTAGTGTGATGCCTCCAGCTTTGTTCTTTTTGCTTAGAATTGTCTTTAAAATAGTTTTTTTTTCTAATTCTATGAAGAATGTCAGTGGTAGGTCAATTGGAATACCATTGAATCCATAAATTGCTTTGGGCACTATGGCCATGTTCATGATATTGATTCTTCCTATACATGTGCATGGAATGTTTTTCCATCTGCTTGTGTCCTCTCTGATTTCCTTGAGCAGTGGTTTGTAGTACTCCTTGAAGAGACCCTTCACTTCTCTTTTTAGCTGCATTTCTAGGTATTTTACTCTCTTTGTGGCAATTGTGAATTGGAGCTCATTTATGATTTGGGTCTCTGCTCATTTGTTGTTGGTGTATAGGAATGCTTGTGATTTCTGCACATTGATTTTGTATCCTGAGACTTTGCTAGACTTGCTCATCAGCTTAAGAAGCTTTTGGACTGAGATGACGGGGTCACAACAAAGACAATTTGACTTCCTCTTATCCTAACTGAATACCCTTTATTTCTTTCTCTTGCCTGAGTGTCCTGGCCAGAACTTCCATCACTATGTTAAATAAGAGGGGTGAGGGAGGGCTTCTTCGTCTTGTGCCAGTTTTCAAGGAGAATGCCTCTGACTTTTGCAAATTTAGTATGATATTGGCTGTGGATTTGTCATAAATAACTCATTATTTAGAGGTATGTTCCATCAAGACATAGTTTATTGAGAGTTCTAAACATGAAGAGATGTTGAATTTCATCAAATTCAAGGCCTTTTCTGCATCTATTGAGATAATCATGTGGTTTTTCTCTTTAGTTCTATTTTTGTGATGAATTACATTTATTGATTTTTGTATGTTGAACCAGCCTTGCATCCCATGGATGAAGCCAACTTGATCATGGTGCATAAGATTTTTGATGTGCTGCTGGATTCGGTTTGCCAGTATTTTATTGAGGATATTTGCATCAATGTTCATCAGGAATATTGGCCTGAAGTGTTTTGTTGTTGTTGTTGTATCTCTGCCAATTTTTTGTATCAGGATGATGCTGGCCTCATAAAATGAGTTAGAGAGGAGTCCCTCCTTTTCAATTGTTTGTAATAGTTTCAGAAGAAATGGTACAAACTCCTCTTTGTATCTCTGGTAGAATTCAGCTGAAATTCATCTGGACGTGGTTTTTTGTTTTTGTTTTTGTTTTCTTTTTGGTAGGCTATTTATTACTGCCTGAATTTCAGAACTTGTTATTGGTCTATTCAGGGATTCAACTTCTTTCTGGTTGAGACTTTAGAGGGTGTAGGTGTCCAGGAATTTATCAATTTCTTCTAGATTTTCTAGTTTATTTGCATAGAAGTGTTCATAGTATTCTCTGATGGTTGTTTGTATTTCTTTGGGTACAGTGGTGGTATCCCGTTTAACATTTCTGATTGTGTTTATTTGAAACTTCTTTATTTTCTTCTTTATTAATCTTACTAGTGGTCTATTTTATTGACTTTTTCAAATAAACAGTTCCTGAATTTGTTGATTTTTTGAAGGGTTTTTTTGTGTCTCTATCTCCTTCAGTTCCACTCTAAGCTTAGTTATTTCCTGTCTTTTGCTAGCTCTGGAGTTTGTTTCCTCTTGGTTCTCTAGTTCTTTTAGTTGTGATGTTAGGGTGTAGACTTGAGATCTTTCTAGTTTTTCGATGTGGGCATTTAGTGCTATAAATTTCCCTCATAATACTGCTTTAGGTGTGTCCCAGAGATTCTGGTACATTGTCTCTTTTTCTCATTGTTTTCAAATAACTTCTTGATTTCTACCTTAATTTCATTATTTACCCAGGAGTCATTCAGGAGTATGTTGTTCAATATCCATGTAGTTGTGTGTTTCAGTGGGCTTTTTAACATTGAGTTCTCATTTGATTGTGCTGTGGTCTGAGAGACTGTTTGTTATGATTTCAGGTTTTTTGCATTTCCTGAGGAGTGTTTTACTTCCAATTATGTGATCAATTTTAGAGTAACTGTCATGTGGCACCAAAAAATGTATATTCTGTTGTTTTTGGGTGGAGAGTTCTGTAGATATCTATCAGGTCCACTTTGTCTAGGGCTGAGTTCAAATCCTGAATATCTTTTCTAATTTTCTGTCCTCATGATGTGTCTAGTACTGACAGTGGGGTATTAAAGTCTCCCACTATTATTGTGTGGGGGTCTAAGTCTCTGTGTAGGTCTCTAAGAACTTGTTTTATGAATCTGGGTGCTCTTGTATTAGGTGTGCATATATTTAATGTAGTTGGCTTATTTTTTTGAATTGAACCTTTTAACATTATGTAATGCCCTTATTTGTCTTTTTTGACCTTTGTTGGTTTAAAATCTATTTTGTCAGAAACTGCTATTGCAACATCTGCTTTTTTCTGCTTTCCCTTTGCTTGGTACATTTTCCTCCATCCCTTTACTCTGAGTCTATGTGTGTCTTTGCACATGAGATGTGTCTCTTGAATACAGCACACCAATGGGTTTTGTCTTTGTATCCAGCTTGCCATTCTGTGTCTTTTAATTGGGGCATTTAGCCCATTTACATTTAAGGTTAATCTTGTTATGTGTGAATTTGAACCTCTCATCATTATGCTCACTGGTTAATTTTGCAGACTTGTTAATGTTGTTGCTTTATAGTGTCATTGGTCTGTGGATTTCAATGTGTTTTTGTAGAGGCTGGTAATGGTTTTTCCTATCCATGTTTAGTGCTTCCTTCTGGAAGGCCGGGTGGTGGCAAAATCCCTCAGGATTTGCTTGTCTGAAAAAGTTTTTATTTCTCCTTCGCTTATGAATCTTAATTTGGCCAAATGTAAAATTCTGGGTTGGAATTTCTTTTCTTTACACATTTTGAATATTAGCCCCCAATCTCTTCTGGGTTGCAGAGTTTCTGCTAAGAGTTCAGCTGTTAATCTGATGGGCTTCCCTTTGTAGGTGACCTGGCCTTTCACTCTTTCTGCCCTTAACATTTTTTTCCCTTATTTTTACCTTAGAGAATCGGATGATTATTTGTCTTGGGGTAGGTCTTTTCATGAAGTATCTTATTAGGGTTCTTTGGATTTCCTGAATTTGGATATTGGCCTGTCTTGCTAGGTTGGGGAAGTTCTCCTGGATGACATAATTAAGTGTGTTTTCCAACTTTTCTCCATCCTCCTCATCTCTTTCAGGTACTCCAGTTAGTCATAGGTTCAGTCTTTTTACATAGTCCCATAATTCTCAGAGATTTTGTTTGTTCCTTTTCATTCTTTTTTCTCAAATCTTGTCTGCCTGCCTTATTTCAGCAAGATAGTCTTTATGCTTTGATATTCTCTCTTCTGCTTGGTCTATTTGGCTATTAATACTTGTTTTTGCCTCATTAAGTTCTTGTGTTATGTTATTCCGCTCCATCAGGTCATTTATGTTTCTCTCTGGGCTGGTTTTTCTGGTTAACAGCTCCTGTAATATTTTTTCATGGTTCTTAGCTTCTTTGCATTGGGTAAGAACTTAATCCTTTAGCTCAATGAAATTCATTATTACCCACTTTCTAAAGCCCACTTCTATCAGTTCATCCATCTCAGCTTCAGCCTCATTCTGTGCCCTTGCTGGAGAAGTGTTGCAATTATTTGGAGGAGAAGAGGCATTCTGGCTTTGGGGATTTTCAGCCTTTTTGCTTTGGTTTTTCCTCATCTTTATTGTTTTCCTTATCTTCATTGATTTTTCCTCATCCACCTCTGATCTTTGAGGCTGATGACCTTTGGATGGGTTTTTGTGGGGTCTTTTTTGTTGATGTTGTTGTTGTTGCTTTTTGTTTGTGTTTGTTTGTTTGTTTGTTTTTTCCAAAAGTCAGGCCCTTCTTCTGTAGGTCTGCTGCAATTTGCTGGGGTCCACTCTAGTCCCTGTTCGCCTCCTATCACCAGTGAAGTTTGCAGAACAGCAAAGATTGCTTCCTGCTCCTTCCTCCAGAAGATTTTTCCCACAGAAGCACCAACCTGATACCAGCCAGAGCTCTCCTGTCTGAGGTGTCTGCTGACCCCTGTTGGGAGGTCTCATCCAGACAGGAGGCACTGGGTCAGGGACCCTCTTAAGGAGGCAGTCTGTCCCTTAGCAGGGCTGGTGTGTTGTTGAAATGGGAAAAGTTTCCTTATCCCCCTCGCAGGACATGCAATGGGGGTGTGGCTCACTCCTTCGTTGCCCCAGTGCTCAAACCCCAAGGGAAATCATGCAGATGGGCAAGTTGTGGGACTCTGACCTGACAGCAGTGTCTAGGGGTGAATGTTTACAGCTCCTGAGGCCCCGGTGGGTGTGTGTTATTGTGTACTCTTTCAGTTTAGCCATCTGCAGGTAGCTTGTGTTAGTTGGCTCAATTAGACCCTCTGCCTTATCACAAGGACAGAGGGTTTTCTGTATCCAGGGGTTTCTTGCCTTGGTGTACCAGAAGAATCAGATCACATGTGGGCTTGGAGAATGAGTGCAAGATTTTATTGAGTGGAAGTAGCTCTCAGCAGATTGGGGAGCCAGAAGCGAATGGAGTGGGAAGGTAGTTTTCCCCTGGAGACAGACCACTTAGCAGCTGGGCTCCTTTCCAACCACCCCAGAAAAACTCCACATAGTTCTGCTGGTTGATGCCTGCTGGCCTGCCAGTGTCTGTCAGTGTGCTCTTACACCGACATGCTCCTCCTAACATTCTCTCAACATCCACCTGCTAGTGTTTTCTCCCAGCGATGTGTTCTTCTCAACATCTAGTGTGCATGTCCACTAGGGTCTCAGAGTTTTTATAGGCATAGGATGGGGGTGTGGTGGGCCAGGGTGTTCTTGGGAAATGCAACATTTGGGCATAAAAAACAGAAATGCTTGTCCTCACCTAGGTCTGTGAGCACAGGCCTGGGGGGTGAAGCCCTAGCCAGGGACCAGACACTTCCCTTTCCAGGACTTCCCTGCCCCACTCCCATATCACTGTGTTGGGGGAATCCCCCTCATTGGGATCAACTGATCTTTTCAGAGCCAGCAGGAAGGAAAAATTAAGTCTGCTGAACCTGGGACTGTGGCCAACCCTCCCCCAAGGTGCTCTATCCTAGGGAGATGAGAGTTCTGTTTATAAGTCCTTGACTGGAGCTGGTGGACTTCCTGCAGGGATGCCCTGCCTGGTGAGGAGAGATCTAAAGGAGGAGTTTGGCCACAGCTGCTTTGCTGTAATGTGGGGAATTCCACCCAGTCCAAACCTCCAAGTCTCCTTAGCACTGTCAGAGGAAAAGCACCTACTAAAGCCACAGTAATGGCAGTCACCCCTCCCTCCTCAGAACTTGGTCATCCCAGGCAAACTCCAGACTACTGTGCTGGCAATGGGGATTTCAAGCCACTGGTTCTTAGCTTGCTGGGCTCCGTGTGAGTGGGACTCGCTGAGTGAGACTGCTTGGCTCCCCGGCTTCAGCCCCCCTTCCACTGGAGTAAATGGTTATCCTGTCTCCCTAGAGTTCCAGGTGCCACTGGAGTATGTAAAAATTCCTGCAGCTCAGTGTCTTCCTGAACAGCCACCCAGTTTCATGCTTGAGACTCAGGGCCTGGTGGTATAGGCCTGATCTGAAGACTGCAAAACTCCATGGGAAAAGTGTAGTACCCCTGGTGGGTAGCACAGTCTCTCATGTCTTCCCTTGGCTAGGGGAGGAAGGTCCCCCACTCCGTGCACTTCCCAGGTGAAGTGTCACCCCACCCTGCTTCTGCTCACTCTCCGTGGATCACATCCACTGCCTAGCCGGTGTCAATGAGATGAACTGGGTACCTCAGTTGGAAACGCAGAAATTACCCACTTTCTGCATTGGTCTCACTGGGAGCTGCAGACCAGAGCTGTTACTATTCCAATTGTTTTAACTTTTCACCCCCACCAGTAAGCAAGAATATGCAAAGTTTGTCTTTCTGTGCCTGGCTTATTTCACTTAACATAATAGCATTCAATCCCATCCATGTTGCTGCTAATGACAGAATCTCATTCTTTTTTATGACTGATTAGTACTCCATTATTTATATGTACCAAATTTTCTTTATGCATTCATCTTTTGATGGACATTTAGGTTGCCTCCAAATCTTGTCTATTGTAAACAGTGCTGCAATAAACATAAGAGTTTAGATATCTCTTCCATTTACTGATTTCCTTTCTTTTGGGTATATATCTAGAAGTGGAATTGCTGGGTTGTGTGTTAGCTCTCTTTTTAGTTTTTTGAGAAACCTCCAAAATGTTCTCTATAGTGGTTGTACTAATCTACATTATCATCAACAGTGTATGAGAGTT
Organism: Homo sapiens; assembly: GCF_000001405.40. Taxonomy (NCBI): domain Eukaryota; kingdom Metazoa; phylum Chordata; class Mammalia; order Primates; family Hominidae; genus Homo; species Homo sapiens. Next base: position 64,706,925 of record NC_000023.11, read on the forward strand.
CCCTTTTCTTCACATTCTCACCAGCATTTGTTATTGCCTGACTTTTGGAGAAAAGTAATTTTAACGGGGATAAGATGGCATCTAATTGTAGTTTTGATATGCATTTCTCTGATGATTAATGATGTTCAGCACCTTTTCATATACTTGTTTGTCATTTGTATGTCTTCCTTTGCAAAGTTTCTATTCAGATATTTTGCCCATTTTTGTAATTATTTCTCTAGTTGCAAACACCTAGCTTTAAAAACGTGTCTTGCATATCCACAGCTGTTTCTATACTGCTTTCCCCTCCAATCCCCAATGGGATAACTACATGTTACTTTACCATTCCATACTCACTTTGAATAGCAACCAAACCATTTTGGGATGATGATACTTTGAAACAACAAAGCAACATTGCTGACAGTCTTTCTACATTGATTTCCTTTTAGAAGAATATTGTTTGCTTGTTTAACGAATGTATGAACATGTTAAACTTTCTTTGTCTTTTATGGCTGACAGCTCAGGATAATTCCTCAGACAATTTTTTAAATGAACACCCTCTTGAAACATTTGGTCTCTTCTTTTTATCAACCACTGCTCAGTGATCTTTGGGAACACTCTCAATCCTTTTCTTGATTTTGATCCCTACCTTTTTTTCTATCTGTGAGCCCCTAATAACCCCAATGAAGGCCAGAAAGCAAGGGAAGGGTAGTACTAGTGATGCAAAATCCTGAGATTTTTAAGTGAAATAAGCAATTTAAAAAACACTATATCATAAAACTTGACAGGCAGGTGGCATGCACCTGTAGTTCCAGTCACTCAGCTGTTGTAGGCATGTGGACTACTTGAACCCAGGAGTTTGAGGCTGCCATGAGCTATAATCACACCACTTCACTCCATCCTAGATGACAGAGTAAGACCTTTTTCCTAAAAAATAAAAAATAAAGCTCTGAAGCCTTTGAAAGTGTCTATGGAGCCCATTCAGAATCTTTATGAAATTCTATCAAATTCTGCAAATTCCTGTGTTTAAATTTGCTATTACCTCAAGTACTAGTATTCAAAACAGGGAATTTTTCTTATTCAATTTTATTGCTTTTCCATTTTAACAACTAAAATTACAATAATATTTTATACTATTTATTGCAAATATATGTTATTTCAGTTGCATAACAAGATGAAATATACATTTGTGGTCTAATAGACATAATCACCACTTATAGTATTGCCTCTGTGAAAAACTACATTTTGAGTTCCAACACCAAAACTTACAAGTGAACTTTTGGAATGTGATAACTTTGAAAATTGGTGACTAACTATATATTTAGGTGTAACCTCTCATCTGCACTACAGTATCATATTTCCAACCGCCTTCAGGACATCTCTATTTCTATATGAAGCTGTCACTAAGTTCAACATGTCTAAAATCAAATTCATTACATTCTCTAACTGTTCCTTTACTCCCCCTTCCCTTATATATCAAGCTTCAAGCCTCAATTGCTCAGTAAAGTATTTTTGTTTGTTGTTTTTGTCTTGTTTTTAAACTGTTTTGACTTACTCATGCCAATACTGAGATTTCCTTTCTCTGAACTCATATGACATCTTGATCCTCCAGTCATGCCAGCCTTGGGGGACAATCAAGGCTTGGCAAAAGATGCATTGGCATTTTCTTGGAGCCTCCATTAGAGAAGTAAGCAAGGAAACATGCAGTCACTTAATTATGTTCAGTACCAGGTCAGATACATAGAAAAGTAATATTAATATTTGCCTTCAAACGGTACGGTCTGGGGTAGGGAAAAGAGACAAGAGAAAAACAAGTAATTAACAAACAATGCAGTAACTGTTGTAAAAAAGTAAGTGAAAAGTGCTCTGTGTTACAGGACAGGAGGTGATACATTTTGCTTACTAAGATGGAGGTGAGAAAAATCTTCACAGAGAAGATGACAACTGACATACACTGTGAAGGATTAATAAGCACTTGTTGGTTGGAGAAAAAAGAAAAATCATATCACATGATAGAAAATAGCATCTATAAAAGTGAAGAGAAATTAAAGAGGATGGCACATTTGGAGAATGGCAATAATTATGGTGTGACTGACTTGGGGTGGAAAGTAGAGCAGGAAAGAAACAGAGTTGAAGTGAGGAGTAGGCTGGGCTCCCTCAATGTGAGTATTCTAGGAAGTACTGAATAAACTTTATTCTAAGGTATAGTGGAACCACAAGGAAGGTTTCTGAATTGAGGAGTGATATTATCATGTGTGGGCTTGAAACATTATCTCATTGGTAAACTGGAGAGATTAAAGCAGACTAACGCTAATTCATCCAGTAAATATTCATTGCACCAGCAGTATGAGTCAGGCATTATGCTAGAACTGGAAATATAATACTAAACAAAATCAGGCATGCTCCGTGCCATTCTGGAGTTTACCAGTCTAATGGGAAAGACAGGCAGGGGAACTGAATGGATACATCACAAAAAAATACATACAAGTGGCTAATAGATACATTTAAAAATGTTCTACATCACTAATCATTAGAAAGAAGTAAATTAAAACCACAATGAGATATCACCTCAAACCTGTTAAAAATGGCTATAATTAAAAAAACAAAAGATAACAAGTGCAGGTGAAGATGTTGAGAAAAAGGTATATTTGTACACTGTTGAGGGGAATATAAATTAGAACAAATGAGACAAGATAGTTCCCTTGACCCCTCCATGGGACTCTTGAAGGGATGGTTGCTTACTCAGTCCACAGTGCTCAATCTCCTTGTGGGCAGGACAGCATACAGGTGAGGGGGTGGGGTGCAGGAGCTTGGGTGGGTTCCTTTGAGCACCGGTAGGAACAAACACTGAACTGGTCCCCAGCAGCATCTAGGGATTGCCTGTGAGCCCTGGAACTCCGGAGGATGTGTTTTACAGTGAGCACCTTTAGCTTTGATATCCATGGATGGCTTAAATGTTAAACAGCTCAGTGAAGAGTCAGTGTGACAGCCTCTTGCACCTGAACCTGGGTTCTTGTCTGGCATCCAGAAGGACTGAGGTTGCATGAACAAATTGGAGGGTGGTGAATGTGGAGAATTTTACTGATTGGTGGAAGTGGCTCTCAGTGAGAAGGGGAGCTGGAAGGGGGATGGAGCAGGAAGGTAATTTTTCCCTGGACTTTGACTGTCCCTGCCAAACTCTTCTCCAAAATTCCATTGTCAAGTCCCTCTGAAGTCAAGCTGCTTCTCTTTGATGTCCAGCTGCTGCTTCTCCTCTCTCCTTCTCTGCTGCTTCACTCTGCTCCTCTGCCAGTGGAGCTTGGGTTTTTTATGGGTACAGGATAGCGAGTGTGGTGGCCCAGGGTGGTTTTTGAAAAGGCAAGATTTGTGTGGGAAAACGGAAATGTGAACTTCTCATTTAGGGCTATCGGTCCAGGCTTTAGGGTGGAACCCTTGCCAGGGACCCTGCCCTTTTCTACCTAGTATTTCCTGCCCTCCTGTTCATATCACAACCATAAAAAAATGGTATGGAAGTTCCTCAATAAATTGAAAATAGAATTACGATATGACTCAGCAACTCCACTTCTGTGTATATATCCTAAAAACTTGAAATCAGTATGTCAAAGAACTATTAATACTCTCATGTCCATTGCAGCACTATCTTTAATAGCCAAGTTATGGAATAAACATATGCATCCATCAAGGTACAAGTGGATAGAGAAAATGTAACATATTTACAAAATGTGTTCCTATTTGGCCTTAAGAAAAAAGAAACTCAGTCATTTGCCACAAAATGAATGGAATTGTAGAACATTATACCAAGTGAAATAAGCCAAACACAGAAAGACAAATACGGCTTTTTCTTACATATATGTGAAATCTAAAACAATCTCACTTACCCAAGCAAAGAGTAGAATGGTGGTTACCAGATGCTGGGAAATAGGAAGATGATGGTCAGAGGGTACAAAAGCCTCAGTTAGATGGAAGGAATAAGTTTTGAATATAGCTAAAAGTACATTGCTAATGTTATCACAAAAATGTTAAATATTTGAGGTGACAGATATGTTAATTAGATTAATTGTATATTTCCCCATTGTATTAAAAAATTATAACACCATTTTGCACCCCATAAATATATAAAACTATAATTTGTCAATATTGAGTAAGTTTTTAAAAAAATGCTCTTTAAAGCACTCATAGAAAACATCTTCTGGGGAACTTGGAATTAAGTCAGAGTTTTGCTCCCTTTAGGGAATGAACAATGTGAAGGTACCCCTGAGGTAATGAATGACCAATCCAAATGTGATGCAAAAAATGACAAATGCAGGACTGTTGTTTTATGTATTTGCTTGGTTTTGCGTGTGTGTGTGCTAATTAAACCATAAACTTGGGAGTAGTTGGCTTTGGTAATTCATCCAAAGCCATAGATTGATAAATTTGAAATAGAGAACTCACGGAAGGATGTTACAAAAGTAAGAGACAGCAACAAGTGGACCACAATGCCTGTGTAATCACTTCACCGATTTGTGTAAATTACGTCCAGGCGGAAATGTAGTAACTGCACTCTGTAACATGAAACATTAGTGTTTTGATATATGGATAATAGCAAGAAATCTCTGTGTTTACAGTTAATAAGTGGATCAACAACACTTCATTGTTACACACTATATACCCAACACTGTGTTAAGGACTGAGAGGAATATAATGAAATATTATAGTTTGCTCGCATCCTATTTAGAGAGTTTAGAGAGAAAATAAATACACCTGAAATATTTAGAGAGCAATTAAGTGCTAAAGTAGGTGATAATGACTATAAATTTCATAAGATCTTAAAGAAGCAGGAGCTGCGGTATTATGAAATAGCTTCCTAGACATGGTGAGATTTGAGCTACATCTTAAAACATGGCTAAGGCTAAAAGCAGAGAACAAGAGAGAAAAAGATGAATCAAGAACTCAGGAGGTAAAATTAACACAGTAAGGGGAAATAAAAGGGAGGTCAGAAAATGAATGATGTCACTAGATAAATGAGAGCCAAATTGTAGAGGGCGAATCCACAGAAGTTATCATGGTATAGTAGGAAGACAACTAATATAGAAGTTCTGGATTTGGGTCCCAGTTACACATCCCCTAACTTTGTGACCTTGAACCAGTAAACTCACTTCTGTGGGCCTCAAATTACTTATAGCTAAAATGAGGAGATTGGACCAATGCAGCTTTAATTGGTCTCAAATCCACATGAATATTTATAGCACTTTGTGAAAAAGTATAGCTACTGGAAGAGGACCCAGGCATAAAAAGATGGTGGTACATGGTGCCCTTAGGGAAGATGAGGGGTCGGATTCCTCTTTCCTTAAATCCTTACAAGTCTTCCTTAATGTTCATCAATCTAAAAGCCCTTGCTTATCAGGCAATAAAAGATAGTAATATATATAACTGACAAATATTCTTCCATGTGGACCTCTGGGTATGGTTGTTTTAAAAAAATGTGATAAAATATTTTACCCATAGAGGCAGTGTAAAGAATAATGTATCAAACACCTGTGTATTCACCATCCAGTTTTTAAAAATAAGGGATTACAAATATAATTGAAATCTCATTTATCTCCCTGATTGCATTATTCCTACATCTCAGAGGTAATGATTATATATTTTTTCTTTTATTATTATACTTTAAGTTTTAGGGTACATGTGCACATTGTGCAGGTTAGTTACATATGTATACATGTGCCACGCTGGTGCGCTGCACCCACTAACTCGTCATCTAGCATTAGTTATATCTCCCAGTGCTATCCCTTCCCCCTCCCCCTGCCCCACAACAGTCCCCAGAGTGTGATGTTCCCCTTCCTGTGTCCATATTTTACATTTGATGTTTATTATTTCCATGCCTGTTTTTAAATTTTTATTACATGTATAAATATCTACAAAATGGCAGTATTTTTCATGGAGTTAAACTTGCTTATAAATGTCTCCATATACACATATAATTCTGCAATTTATTTACTCCACTTTTAGTTTTTATTTATGTCAATATATGTAGTTATTTATTCATTTCCATTGAAATATAGTATCTGTATTACTTACTATACCATAGTTTATCCATTTTTCTGCTGATGACCATTTAGACAGTTTTTAATTTTTCACTATTACAAACAATGCTACAATGAACAAACTTGCCCATGTCATGTATACACATGTTTAAGAGTTTATCTGGGGTATATATCCCAAAGTGTAATTTCTGGGTTGTAGAATGTGTGCATATACAACTTTTCTAGATATTTCCAAATCGCCTCTTAAGTCTTCATTCCCACCAATAGTGTATAAGATATTCCATTTATCTGTCCCTGACAGATTATTGTACAGTCACACAGTTCTTAAAACTTCCATGTCTCAGAGGGCTTTCAGGCTGGTGAAAAAGAATACATCTACATGCCAGAGGGATGGATCTGGGGAAAAAAAGCCTCTGTATTTAGAATTCTTCCAGATATCTCCATATAGCTGTTCATTTCACCTGAGGTAAGTCTCAAGGCTGTGAAGCAGCCTTGTGCTTCCCCAGAATGTGATCCAGCCTAGCACACCACCCCCAGGGGAGCAGCACCCAAGCAGATCCACTGGTTAACCAGCCCTGCTCTTTCTTGGAGCAGGCACCAGGCAGGCACACAACCCCCAGGAAAACATATCCCAAGTAGGCACATCAACTACACAAAATCCTATCACCTGAGCCATCAAAGCACATGAAGACATTGCTGATGTTGACTATAGCTGAATAAACTGCAGGGAGGCTACCCTCCTGCACCCACCCAGACCAAAATGAATGTACCCTATCCAACCAACACCCTAGACACACCTGCAGGAGAAAGTCTTTTTATATGAATACCTTACAAAATCATAGGAGGTGACCATTCCACCAGATGGACAGATATTAATGAAAAGAATACAAAGTACATGAAAGAGCAGAAAAATATAATACTACCAATAAACACAATAATTCTTTAGTAACTGACCTCAAAGAAATAGAAATTAATAATAGCCCGAAAAGAATTCAGAATAATAATCTTAGACTGGGCACAGTGACTCATACCTGTAATCCCAGCACTTTGGGAGGCCGAGGTGGGCAGATCACTTGAGGCCAGGAGTTCAAGACCAGGCTGGCCAACACGGTGAAACCCCGTCTCTACTAAAAATATAAAAATTAGCTGGGTGTAGTGGCCCACATCTGTAATCCCAGCTACTTGGGTGGCTGAGGCACAAGAATTGCTTGAACCCAGGAAGTAGAGATTGTAGTGAGCCATGATCACACCACTGTATTCCAGCCTGGGTGAAAAAGTGAGACTCTGTCTCAATAGAAAAAATATTGAGAAAACACAGCAAGATACAAGATAATACAGTTAGACAATTCAATAAAATCAGGAAAATAATTTAGTATCTGAATAAGAAATTCAACAGAGATAGATATTATCAAAAGAACTGAACAGAAATCTTGGAGCTGAATGATTTAATGAATGAGAGATTTAACAACATACTAGATCCACCAGAAAAAATAATTTCTAAACTGGAACACTAGGTCTTCTTAAAATAACCCTGTCGGAAAAGAAAAGAATTAAAAATAATGGAGAAGGCCTCTAAGACTTATGAAACATTATTCAGCAACCAAATTTTCACCTTATGGAAGTTTCCAAAGGAGAAGGGATATGAAAATGGATATAATAAAATAATTGTAGAAGAGTCCCAAATTTTGGGAAGATATGAAATTCAGATCCTGAAAGTCCCCAAACTGTGTAAACTCAAAAAGGTCCTTTCCAAGGTACATTATAGTCAAACTGTCAAAAGTAAATTACAAAAATAATTCTAAAAACCTTAAGATAAAAGCATCAAGTCATATATAAGGAAATCTCCATCAGACTAACAGCATTTTTTTACCTTACATGCCAGTAGAGAATGAGATTGTATATTTAAAGCTCTAAAAGAAAAAGAAGTCAACGAAGAATACTATACCCAGCAAAGCTACTGTTAAGAAATGAAGGAGAAATAGAGTGTTTCCCACACAAGCAAAAACTGAGGGAATTCATCACCACTAGCTTGCCTTTATAAAGAATGCTAAAGGGAGTCCTACATCTGAAAGCAAAAGGATGATAACTACCATCATAAAAACATCAAAAATTATAAAATTTATTTGTAGAGCAGATGCACAAATGAGAAAGGAATCAAACCCAGTCACTACAGAAAACCACCAAGCCTCAAAGGTAAACAATAAAAATAAGAGGGTGGGAGAAAAGTAGAAAAGATAGCTATTGGGTACTGAGCTTAATACCTGTGTGATGAAATAAACTGTACAACAAACCCCTATAACATGAATTTGCATATGTAGAAACCCTTCACATTTACCCCCAAGCCTAAAATAAAAGTTAAAAAAAATAAAAAATAGAAAAAGAAAGAAACAAAGTATATACAAAAAACCAGAAACAACAAAATGACAAGGGTAAGTTCTCACCTATCAATAGTAACTATGAATGTAATCGGATTAAATTTCTCATTTAAAAGATATAGACTGGCTGAATGGATTTAAAATATGTCCCAAATATATAATGCCTACAAGAACCTCACTTCACCTGTAAAGACACAAACAGACTAAAAAGTGAAAGGATAGAAAAAAAATATTTTATGCAAATGAAAACCAAGGGCATGAAGCAATAGCTACACTTAGATAAAATAGATGGTAAGTCAAAACCTGTAGACAGAGACAAAGAAGGTCACTATATAATAAAGGGATCAATTCAGAAAGAGGAAGTAACAATATATGTAGACCCAATACTGTAGCAAGTAGATATATAAACAAGCATTATTAGAAATAAAGTGAGATAGACTCCAATACAACAATAATTGGGAACTTCAACACCCCACTTTCAGCATTAGATCTCATATAGATAGAAAATCAAAAAAGAAACATCATATTTAAACTGCATTATACATCAAATTGATGTAACCACCATTTACAGAACAATTCATTCAATAGTTGCAGTGTATACATTTTTCTCATCAGCACATGAAACATTCTGCAGAATAGACCACATTGTAGGTCCCCAAACAAGCTTCCACAAATTTTGAAAAAACAAAATTATGTCAAGTGTCTTGTCTGACCACAATAGAATAAAACCAGAAATCAATAACAGGGAGAACTTTGGAAACTGTACAAACAGGTAGAAACTAAACAACATACTCCCAAATAGCGACTGGGTCAAGGAAGAAATGGAGAAAGAGATTTTAAGTTTCTTGAATTAATTGAAACTAGAAACACAGCATATAAAAAACTATGGGATACAGTAAAAAGAGTATTAAGAGAGAAATGTATAGCAATAAATGCCTACATCATAAAAGTTGAAAGATTCAAACAATCTAACAATGTACCTCAAGGAAGTAGAAGAGCAAGAAAAAACTAAACCCAAAAACTAATAAAAGGAAAGAAATAAAAATAAAGCAGACATAAATTAAATAGAAACTAAAATATACAAAAGATTAATAAAACAAAATGTTGGTCTTTTGAAAAACTTAAAAAAAATTAGGTAGACTAACTAAAATAAAAAGAGGGAAGACCCAAATAAATAAAATGAGAAATGAAAAGGGAGACATTACAAATTATACCACATAAATAAAAATGATCAGTGGAGGTTATAATGAACAGCTATGTGCCAACAAATTGAAAACCTAGAGAAAATTATCAAATTCCTGGACAAACAAAACCTACGAAGAGTGAACAAGGAAGAAATAGAACATCTGAAAACACCAATAGTAAATAATTCAATTGAATTAGTAATAAAATGTTTCCCAAAAAGAATAGCACAGGACCAGATAGCTTCACTGCTGAATTCTACCAAACATTTAAAGAAGAGCTAAAACCAATTCTTTTCAAACAATTTCAAAAAAATGGAAGGGAATAATTATTCCAATCTCACTTAAGAGGCCAGCATTACTCTGATACCAAAATCAGACAAGGACAAAATAACAGAAGAAAACTACAACAAATATCCTTGATGATACATGCAAAAATAATAAAAAATACTAGCAAACCAAATTCATAGCACATCAAAAAGATTATACTCTATGATAAAGTGGAATTCAACCCAGAGATGCAAGAATTGTTTAACATATGCAAATCAATAAAAATGACACATCACATCAACAGACGAAAAAAGGCATATGATCATCTCAATAGACACAGAAAAGCATTTGATAAAATTTAACATCTACACATGATAAAGAAAAAAGCTCTCAACAAATTACATATCGAATGATTATGCCTAAACACAATAAAAGCCGTATATATAACCAACCCACAATCAACATCATACTGAGTGGGGAAAAGTTGAAACTTTCTCTGAAAAAACTGAAATTAAACAAGGATGCTCACTTTCACTGCTCTAATTCAACATAATATTGGAAGATATAGCCACAGCAATTAGGCAAGAGCAAACAATAAAACACATCTAAATTGGAAAGGAATAAATTAAATTGTTCTTGTTTGCAGATGACATTATGTTATATATAGAAAAATCTGAAGCTTCTACCAATAAACTCTAGAACTGATGAACAAATTTAGTAAAGTTGCAGGATATAAAATCAACATGCAAAATTCAGTAGCATTTCTACACACCAATAATAAACTAGCTGAAAAAGAAATCAAGAAAGCAATTCCATTTATAATAGCAACAAAAAATAACTAGGAATAAATGGAATAAATTTAAACAAGAGTGTGAAAATCTCTATAATGAAAACTATAAGACACAGATGAAAAAAATTGAAGAATATACAGACAAAAAACCCTGAAAAAACATGTTATGTTTCTGGATTGGAGAAACAAATATTGTTAAACTGACCGTACTATCCAAAGTAATCTACAGATTCAATGAAATTATTTTCAAAATATCAATGATATTCTTCAGAGAAATACAATAAAGAATCCTAAAATGTGTATGAAACTGCTATAACCCTGAATAGCCAAAGCAATTCTGAGCAAAAAGAACAAATCTGGAGGTATCACACTATCTGACTTCAAAATATAGTATAAATCTACAGCAATAAAGACAACATGGTACGGGCATAAAAAAGACACACAGCCTAATGGAACAGAATAGGGAACCCCTAAATAAATCCACATATTTACAGCCAACTGATTTCTGACAAAGTTGCCAAGAATATACACTAAGAAAAGAACACGCTCTTCAATAAATAGTGCTGGGAAAACTGGATAACCATGTGCAGAAGAATAAAACTAGATTGCTATCTCTCACCATATACAAAAAAAAACTCAAAATGAATTAAAAATTTAAATGTAAGATCCCAAACTTTAAAACTACTAGAAAAAAATATGGTAAATGATTCACTACATTGATCTGGGAAAAGATTTTATGGTTGAAACCTCAAAAGCACAGGAAACAAAAACAAAAATAGACAAATGGAATTATAGCAAACTCAAAAGCTTCTGCATAGCAAAAGGAACAATCAACAGAATGAATAGACAACCTGAAGAATTGGAGAAAATATTTTCAATCTATTCACCTGATAAGGGATTAATATACAAAATATACAAGGAACTCAATTCAACAGTAAGAAACAATCTTAGTAAAATATAGGCATAGACTTCTTTGAATAGACATTTCTCAAAAGAAGACATGCAAATGACCAACAAATATATGAAAAGCTGCTCAGCATCACTAATCATCAGAAAAATGCAAATCAAAACCACAGTGAGATATCACCTCACCTCTTTTTAAATGTCTTGTATCAAATAGACAAAAAATAACAAATGCTGATGATAATGCAAAGGAAAGGAAACTCTTGTACACTGTGGATGAGACTGTAAGTTAATACAGCCATTATGGAAAACAACATGGAGATTCTGAGTTAAAAATATAACTACCATGCAATCCAGAAATCCCACCTCTGGTTATATATCCAAAGGAAAGGAAATCAGTATGTCCAGAAGATAACTGCACTTTCATGTTTATTGCAGCACTATTCAGAATACCCAAAATATGGAATCCAACTAAGTGTCCATCAACAGATAAATGGATAAAAAATTTGTATATATAAACAATGAAATGCTATTCAGCCATAATAAAGAATGGAATTCTGTTATTTGCAGCAACATGGATAAGACTGGAGGACATTATGTTAAATGAAATAAGTCAGGTATGGAAAGCTAAATATCACATGTTCTCACTTATGCATGGAAGCTGAAAAAAGTTGTTATAAAAAATGGAGAGTAGAATAGTTGTTACTAGAGGCTGAGAAGAGGAGGGAAGAGAGGGATAGAAAAAGATTAGTTAATAGATACAAAATTACAGCTAGATAGGGGGAATAAGCTCCAGTATTTTATAGCGCTGTAGGGTAACTATAGCAAATAATAATTTATTGTATTTTTTAAAATTTCAAGAAGAGAGAATTTTGAATGTTACTAACAGAAATAAATGATAAGGATTTGAGGTAATGGATATGCTAATTGTTCTCCTTTATTACACATTGTACACATGTATCAAAATCACACTGTACCCCCAAAATATAATTACAATAAAATAATAATAAATACAAATATTACATGTCAAAGAAAAAAATATATTTTATATAGTCAAAAGTTTCAAATTTAATTTTCAAATTAAAAATAGAAAATCAAGACATACAACTGTATACTCAAATTCTAGCATACAAATATGTACTAATTCTATTTCTTTCATTGAATCTGTACATTTTATTTTCAATTCCAAAAATTGCTCCTCCTTCACTATTCTTATAAGATCATGGGGAACCAGGATTATCAACAGGGTTGGGAGACCGTCCTGATTGGATTTTACTTATAGGATCAGCAGAGCCACAATCCTCAAACTGCAATCTGAGCCAATTTCCTCCATTATTCTTAGTTCTCCTCTCCTTCCTTCCAATACTACCACCTTCTTTCCATCCTGACTGCTGTCACCTATAAATATCTAAATCACTGTCTCACATGTGCTGTCATATTTGGAGTCTGGTTCAAAATCTGCCACTTTATTCCCAGGAGATGCTGGGATATATATATATCTTTTATTTTCCCTCAATCACTACCTATTCTCTTAGGCTATCCAGATTCCAATTTTGCTTTATTTTCTTCCCTACCCAGCCCAGACCTCAGGGGCAAAAACTTCAATTGCATTCTCACAGGCACCATCCATTCCTTCAGTCCCTTAACCTTGTAGTGTAAATTCCCAACCTTGAAAACAAAAAACTAACAAACAAGCAAAACCACTTGTTCATTTTCTATACTCTGCTCCAGCTCCCAGGCTATACTCATATTCCATTACATTAGCTCCAGTCTCACCTAGGCCTTCAGTGATGTTCAAAATCTTTCACTAAGCACCTTTCCTTTTCTCTACAGCAACTTTTCTGAAATGTCATCATCCATACCCCTCTACCCTTTTCACTCTAAGGAAATTACTTAATTTTCTACTTAACAGAAAAAGATAGGCTTCAATTCCCATAACTTTGTTCTCTAGCATCTTCAAAATCATGTATATCTCCAACGATATTTATCTCTTTATATAAATTTACTTTTAATTTTTATCAAAATTGTATGAGAACACAAAGAGACAAATAATTTTACAAGGCTCGTTAAGAAAACAACCGTCCCTTACTTGTCTCCACATGAGCCATTTCCCACTCCCTGGAAACAGTCACTTTCAGCTTTCTTAGATGATTCTTTTGTAAACATATCTCCATCTCTCTAAGTAAGAAAGAAGTGATTGCTCATTTATTTTTTATATGTAGGCATTATCTATTGAATTCCCTCCAACAAAGATGAGGATTTTTCTCTTTCACAATCCCCATTCTCCACCCTCAATCACACACTAGTAGCTTCCTAATAGCATAGGACTAAATTGTAATTTTGGTAATATAAATATGCAATGTTTACACTATTATGTTCAGGTAAAGCTATTCACAAACTGAACCACAGAGTAAACTATGATTACTTGTCTTTTACTGTGTAACTCTAATTTTCTCGAAGTAAATAACTATCTCATTTATTAGTTTTCTATGTGCTTATTACTACTTCAACCCAAGTTGTTCACCATTGGTCTCAATCCTTCAAGAAATTCAGACATATCAAGTATTTAACAAATTTATTTTCTTGAGGAAAACTCTCCAAAGAGTTCCAGTTTGAATTAGTTGTCTTTTATTCCTATTGTAAATATTTTCTCCCATTTGTGGGTTATCATTTCATTTTTAAGGTATCTTTGAAGCACAAAAGCTTTAATTTTTTAAAGTCCAGTTTACCTAAGTTTTCTTTCTTTGCTTGTGTTTTGGGGATCATATCTGAGGAATCATTGTCTAACCCAAAGTCACAAAGTTTTACAACTATGTAAAGTTTTATATTTTCAGCTCTCACATTTAGCTCTCTGATCAATCTTGGGTTAATTTTCATACTTTGTGTGAGGTACAGATCTGACTTCATTTCTTTGCACGGACTATCAAGTTTTCCCAGCGTCATTTGTAGGAACGACTGTTATCCCTTTTTTCCTCAGTTGAATTTCTTGGCTTCCTTGTTAAAAATCAATTGACCCTAAATGTAAGGATTTATATGTGGACTCTCAACCCTTTTTGCTTATAAAGTGAGACTTTATTAATATCTTTATATTAAAGTGTCAAATAGACATAATGCAAAATATCATAAAACATGAGGATACTATACTGCCAAGTAACTTCAGTTTTAATCTGTCTAGTGAGGCTAGACTGTGAACTGCTCCAGGAAAGGCTTATCTGCTTATTTTTTATTCATTTGTGTTCCCCCATGCTAGCACAGTACCTGGCGTCCAGCTCATAAAGAACAGTTAAATGAACACAATCTAATTCAAACAATACAGTTCTGGGGTTTTATGTCTTTTGCAGTGGCTATCTTTAAGGTTATACTTGTAAATAGTTTTGTTTATCTTGGATTTATCACGTCTTTCTTTTCCTCCTTTAGAAAGGGGAAGAGAGGTAAGGGATCTTAGTAGCTGATAAGCAAAAAGGGCAGAAGTGAGGAAAACAAAGGTGAGCAATAGGACAAGAGTTCCATATTAAAGAATGGGCATCTTTATGTTCAGGATATGGAAATGTTTTATTTATCAGTTAAAGCATTTCTTTGACAGTGACGGAAACCGATTTTGAGTAACTTAGCAAAACAGGGATTCAACTTAAGGTTCATGGGTGCTCCCTGGATCAAAATGAGGCTGGGAGGCTAGTCTTGGTTACAGGTACCAAGGGGGCTACCATGGAGCAGGAAGCAGGGCAGCCTGGTCAGGATGCTCCTCACAGTTTTTGTTGTTGTTGTTTTACAATGAGGCTGGGTGCTAAAAGGAAGGGGACGTGGATCCTGGTATGCCAAAGGGGATATGTGTCCACCATTGGTACCACTGAATGATTAGCTAGAGAGGATTGTGAAGGTCATCTAGTCCCCGCTTCTTGCATCACAGAAGTGGACTCTAAATTCTATTTCTTACATCTATGTGTCTATCCCTATGCCAGTGCCATGAACTCTTAAGTACTGTAGCTTTGCAGCAAGATTAGAAATGAAGAATATGAGTCCTCTAACTTTGTCCTTTTCCAAGATTGTTTCAGGTGTTCAGGATCTCTTGTATTTCCATATGAATTTTAGAACTGTCTTGTCAATCTATTTAAAAAAGGCAGTTGGGATTTTTATAGGGATTGCATTGAATCAGTAGATCAAAATTTGGAGAGTATTGTCATCTTAACAATTTTATATTTTTCCATTCATGAATACAGGATGTCTTTCCATTTATGCAGGATTTTTCATTTCTGATTTTGGTAATTTAAGTCTTCTTTAATTTCTCTAATAATGCTTTGTAATTTTTTGTTTATACCTTGCACTTCTTTTGTTAAATTTATTCCTCAGAATGTTATTATTTTTGATGCTATTGATACTATTTGATAATATTGTAAATGGAATTGTTTTCTTTCCATTAGTTTCATGTATATGTGAAACTAATAATAGTACATGACTATTTATGAGCTATATATAATATAGACATATAAAACTAATAATAATATATTACTATATATGAAGCTAATAATAATATATGACTTTCCATTAGTTTCCATTATTTGTATATAAATACATATATGAAACTTTCCTTTAGTTTATATACCTGTATGAAACTTTCCATTAGTTTCATATATATATATACATTTTTATATAGTTTCATTTCAAACATGAACTATAAAACTATCAAAACTATATATAGTTTATCAAATATAAAAAACTATATATAGTTTTATTTTTGTATTGTTCATTGCTAGCGCATGAGTGTAACTAAATTTTGAATATTTATCTTTTATACTGCTTGCTCAGGTAGTTTATTAGCTCTAATAATTTTGTGTATGGATTCCTTAGGGTTTCCAAAATGCAAATCATGTCATTTGTGAATGAATGTACTTTTACTTACTCCTTTCAAGCCTGGAGGCTTTGTATTTGCCAAATTTCCTTCGCTGTAGCCTCTAGTACACTTTTGAACAGAAGTGATGAGAGAAGACATCCTTGTCTTGTTCTTGATCTTAGGAGTACACTTTCAATCTTTCACTATTAAGTATGATAGTAGATGTGGGTTTTTCATAGGTGTGCCTCAGCAAATTGAGGATGTTCTCTTTTATAATTAGTTGTTAAGTGTTATTTTCATGAAATGGTGTTAGATTTTGTCAAATGACTTTTCTGCATCTGATGAGATGGTCAGTATATTATTCTATTAATAGAGTGTATTACATAGATTGATTTTTGTATGCTAAATTAACATTGCATTCCTGGGATAAATCCTACTTAATTATGGTGTATGATCCTTTTTATATACTGCTAAATTCAGTTGCTTATATATTGTTAATGCTTTTTGCATTAGTATTTATAAGGGATATTGGTCCGTAGTTTCCTTTAGATGTTTTTGCCTGGCTTTGTTCTCTGTGTAATGTAGTGCCCTCATAGAATGAATTGAAAAGTGTTTCCTCTTTTTATACTTTTGGAAGAGTTTGTGAAACATTTGGTAGAATTCACCAGAGAAACTATATGGCACTGGGTTTTTATTTTGGAAAAAAATATTACCACAACTCAGTCCCTTTATTTTATTTTATTTTATTATTATTATTATTATTATTATTATTATTATTTGAGACGGAGTCTCGCTCTGTCACCCAGGCTGGAGTGCAGTGGCGTTATCTCGGCTCACTGCAAGCTCCGCCTCCCGTGTTCACGCCATTCTCCTGCCTCAGCCTCCCAAGTAGATGGGACTACAGGCCCACCACCACGCCCCGCTAATTTTGTGTATTTTTAGTAGAGACAGGGTTTCACCGTGTTAGCCAGGATGGTCTCGACCTCCTGACCTCGTGATACGCCAGCCTCGGCCTCCCAAAGTGCTGGGATTACAGGTGTGAGCCACCACGCCCGGGCTCAGTCTCTTTATTTTTAAGAGATATTCACATTTTCTGTTTATTCTTGACTCAGTTTTGGTAGTTTCTGTACATCTAGGAGTTTGACCATTTTGTCTGGATTACCTAATTTGTTGGAATGAATTGTTTATAGTATTTCATTAAAAGCATTTTTTGTGCATATGGTTCATAGTAATGTCTCATTTTTTATTCCTGATGTTGGTAATTCAAGTCTTCTCTCTTCTCTTTCAAGATTTATCAATTGTGTTGATCTTTCAAAGAACCAGCTTTTGGTTTCATTGATGTTCTCTATAGTTTTTAAATTCTCTATTT
Source organism: Homo sapiens (assembly GCF_000001405.40). Classification (NCBI taxonomy): domain Eukaryota; kingdom Metazoa; phylum Chordata; class Mammalia; order Primates; family Hominidae; genus Homo; species Homo sapiens. The sequence goes on from NC_000023.11 coordinate 64,724,646, forward strand.
CATGAATTTCTGCTCTAATCTTTATAATTTCCTTCTCTGCTTGAATTATTTCGCTCTTCCTAGTGTCTTAAGGTGGAAGGTTATTGACTTCAGATTTTTTTTTTCATTTCTAATATGGGCATTTATAGCTATAAATTTACTTCTAAGCATTGCTTTACTTGCATCCTATAAGTTTTGGCATGTTGTATTTTCATTATTATTCACTTTAAAGTGTTTTCTAATTTCTGATTGATTTTTTTCTTTGAATCTTTGCTAAAAGAATGCTGTTGAATTTTCACTTTTTTTTTGAGTTTCCCAAATTTTATTCTGTTATGTATTTTATTTGATTGTGTTTGGGTAGGAGAACGTACAGTGAACTACATTTCTATATAGCAGCAACAAACAGTTGTGAAATATAATTTAAAAAGACACTACTCTTAATAGCAATAGAAATATAGAGTATCTAAATCTAATAAAATATGTGCAATATCTTTCTGTATAAATTATAAAACTTTACTAAGAGGCATTAAAGAACACCTAAATAAATGGACAGATATAAAAAGCTCATGGACTAGAATATTGAATATTACAAAGATATTGATTTTTTTTCCCCAATTCATCTATAGATCTATAAAATTCAAAGTGGAGTCAAATCCCAGTAAAGATTTAAAAAACATTTTCCATGGAACTTGATGAGCTGATTCTAAAGTTTATATAGAACAACAAAGATTAAATAGTAGCCGAAATACTCTTGAAGAACTGCCTAGTCAGGGGACTAGATCTAGTGTGTATCAGTACGTTATAAAACTATAATAATTCCACCAGTGTAGACTTGGTCCTGGTATAGACAAATGAATGAGGGAATCAAATAGAAAGCCAGAAATAAACCCTTGCATATATGAAGCTGATATGTGTTGGAGCAGACATTGCTGATCAGCAGGAAAAAGATGGGATACTTGTAGATAGTGCTGGGATTATAAAATTATTGTTAAGTACATGGTCATCACTAATCAATCATAAATAAATAAGTGTAGAAATAATGTGTATGTTGATTAGCTTGACTTAGAAATTCCACAATGCATACATGTATCAAAACATAATGTTGCACATCATAAATATAAAAAATGTTTTCAATTTTAAAAGGATGTGATAGTTCATATCTAAAAAGGGATATCTTTCTCCATATATCAAAAATCAATTCCAGATGGATCAAGGTCTGAAATAGAAAAAGCAAAACTTTGAAATGTTTAAAAAAATATATTAATAAAAATATTTTTATGACTGCAGGGTATAGAAGCATTTCTTCCTTTTTAAAATTTTTTTTATTATACTTTAAGTTTTAGGGTACATGTGCACAATGTGCAGGTTTGTTAAAAATTTTATAAAATGCTATATTTTATGAGTGGCAGCTTCCATCTCCCCACCCAAATCATGCACAGATATACATATCTTGTCTTTAACACATTTCCAAAAGGGAGCACTTATCAAGATGTCATCCATCTCCAAACATCTGACTCACATAGAAGAGAATAGAGGTGTTTATTTCATAGACCAAGCTATCAAAACATTCCTTTCACTATTTCTGCTCAACCTAAAAGATGCAGCCTGGAATTATTTTAAGATGTTTATGTTATTTGTAATATTATGGGAAAGTAAATTACTAACATTCACAAGGTTATAAGCTGCAAAATAACTACTTTGTTTTTTAAAAGAAAATTAGAATCTCATTAAGGATATATTAGCATCATTAACAGAAAAAAATCATTTACAATAACTTAAAAACCAGTCATGTAGGAAAATAATGTGGTAATCAACCACTACTAGAGAAAATAGGTCCTCTTATTTGATTTTACTTGAACTTTGAGATTCTCTACCCTGAATGGATGATGAAGCATTCAGGTAAAAATAAGAAGTTATGTGTGAGTTTTCAAGGGTTACTGCCTCAAAGGAGGTACAGAAGTAGCCCCAGTCCTACAGTTTATTCCAACATTGAGATCTTCCTAGAAAGTTCAGCACAGTTTCATTTTGCGGAGATTTGACAATTCATCAGCCTCAGTATTCACATCTTATAAAACATCTTCCACATTAAAAAAGACTTTGTCCCATACAAATAAGTTTTTCATCGCTTCTCCAACTTCTTGTACTTGGCTTCCAGTTTTAAAAAAATGCATTTAACTTTTAAGCTGTCTGCTCAAGAGCTGCTACCTGCTCTTCAATGACATTGATCTGATCCAGATAAGGCTGCAGTCCAGCATACTACTGAACTTAAACTTAAGTCCTTTAAGTATCTACTAATGTTTATAGAAATATCTTTTATTTCAAGATACTTCAAGCTGAGTAGTTTATTCATTTTCTGGGAGCTTATAGTCTTCATTGGTGGTCGTCAATTCTCCAGTAAGATAAATGTCCATTTTGGAGAACATGTCCCAGCACAGCTCAGTGATCTCAGCTTCAGCAGGTTCCTTTGTTTCCTCAGCTGTTTTCATGGTGGCAATGTCTCAAGTGAGTTTCTCACATCAGGTCGCTAGGACACTTCAGGCACCATCATGTCAGGTTTTGCCCTGCTCGAGAAGTTTTTCTTTCCTTTTTCCATTTTTTATTTATTTTCTTTTCATTTTTTTTTCATTTTTTATTTATTTTCTTTTCATTTTTTTTCATTATTTTATTTTGTGTTCCAGGATATGTGTGCAGGATGTGCAGGTTCATTACACAGGTAAAAATGTACCATGATAGTTTGCTGCACCTGTCAACTCATCACCAAGGTATCAAGTCCAGCACACATTAGCTATTTTTTCTAATGCTCTCCGTCCCCATGCCTGCCTTCCACTGACAGTGTGTGCTGTTTCCCTCCCTGTGTCCATGCGTTCTCATTGTTCAGCTCACATTTATAGGTGAGAACATGTGGTGTTTGGTTTACTGTCCCTGCATTAGTTTGCTGAGAATAATGGCTTCCAGCTCCATCCATGTCTCTGCAAAGGACATAATCTCATTTCATTTTATGGGTGCATAGTATTCCATGGTATATATATAACACATTTTCTTTATCCAGTCTATCATTGATGAGCGTTTGGGTTAATTCTATGTTTTTGCTATTGTGAAAAGTGCTGCGATGAACATACGTGTGCATGTATCTTTATAATAGAATGATATATTCCTTTGGGTATATACCCAGTAATAAAATTGCTGGGTCAAATGAAATGGTATTTCTGCCTCTAGGCTTTGAGGAATTGACACACCGTCTTCCACAATGGTTGAACTAATTTACATTCTCACCAACAGTGAAAAAGTGTTTTGATTTCTCCACAGCCTCGCCCATGTCTATTGTTTCTTGACTTTTACTAATCATCTTTCTGACTGGCATGAGGTGGCATCTCATTGTGGTTTTGTATTTGCATTTCTCTAATGATCAGTGATGTTGAACTTTTTTTCATATGTTTGTTGCCTACATAAATGTCTTCTTTAGAGAAGTGTCTGTTCATGTCCTTTGCCCACTTTTTGATAGGGTTGTTTTATTTTGTATGGTAAATTTGTTTAAGTTCCTTGGAGATTCCGAATATCATACCTTTGTCAGATGGATAGATTGCCAAAATTTTCTCCCATTCTGTAGGTTGCCTGTTCACTCTGATGATAGTTTCTTTTGCTGCGCAGAAGCTCTTTAGTTTAATTAGATCCCATTTGCCAGTTTTTTGTTTGTTGCAATTGCTTTTGATGTTTTCATCATAAAATGTTTGCCCATGCCTATGTCCTAAATGATATTGCCTAGATTTTCTTCTAGGGTTTTTAGAGTTTGGGGTTTCACACTTAAGACTTTAATCCATGTTGAGATCATTTTTGTATAAGGTGTAAGAAAGGGGTCCAGTTTTAATTTTCTGCATATGGCTAGCCAGTTCTTCTAGCACCATTTAATAAATAGGGAATCCTTTTTCATTGGTTGTTTTTGTCAGATTTGCCAAAAATCAAATGGTTATAGATGTGTGGTCTTATTTCTGAGATTTCTGTTCTGTTCCATAGGTCTATGTGTCTGTTTTTGTACCAGTACCATTACCGTAGCCTTGTAGTACAGTTTGAAGTTGAGTAGTATGATGCCTCCAGCTTTGTTATTTTTGCTTAGGATCATTTTGGCTATATGGGCTCTCCTTTGGTTTCATATGAATTTTAATGTAATTTTTTCTAATTCTGTGAAGAATGTCAATGGTATTTTAATGGGAATAGCATTGAATCTGTAAATTATTTTGGGCAGTATGGCCATTTTCACAATATTGATTCTTCCTGTCTATGAGCATGGAATGTTTCTCCGTTTGTTTGTGTCCTCTCTCATTTCCTTGAGAAGTGGTTTGTAGTTCTCTTTTAAGAGGTCCTTCACTTGCCTTGTTAGCTATATTCCTAGGTATGTTATTCTCTTTGTCGCAATAGTGAATGGGAATTCATTCACGATTTGGCTCTCTGTTTGTCTATTGATGGTGATAGGAATGCTTCTGATTTTTGCACATTGATTTGAATCCTGAGATTTTGCTGAAGTTTCCTATCATCTTAGGAAGTTTTTAATCTGAGAAAATGGAATTTTCTAGATATAGGAACATGTCATCTGCAAAAAGAGACAATTTGACTTCCTCTCTTCTTATTTGAATATGCTTTATTTCTTTCTGTTGCCTGATTGCCTTCGCCAGAACTTCCAATACTATGTTGAATAGGCATGGTGAGAGAGGTCACCCTTGTCTTATTTCATTTTTTAAGCGAAATGCTTCCAGCTTTTGCCTGATCAGTATGATATTGGCTGTAGTTTTGTCATAAATTATTCTAATTATTTTGACATATGTTTCATCAATACCTAGCTTATTGAGAGTTTTCAACATGAAAGGATGTTGAATTGTACTGAAGGCCTTTTTCTGCATCTATTGAGATAATCATGTGGTTTTTGTCTTTAGTTCTGTTTATGTTATTAATTATACTTATTGATTTGCATTTTTTTGGAACCAGTCGTGCATCTGGGACACAAAGATGACTTCACTGTGGTGTGTAAGCTTTTTGATGTGCTTCTGAATTTGGTTTGCCAGTATTTTATTGAGAATTTTTGCATCATGTTCATCAGGGATATTGGCCTAAATTTTCTTTTTTCTTGTATCTCTGTCGGGTTTTGGTATCAGCATGATGCTGGCCTCATAAAAAGAGTTAGGGAGGAGTCCCTCATTTTCAGTTGCTTGAAATAGTTTCAGAAGAAATAGTACAAGCTCATCTTTGTACCTCTTGTAGAATTCAGCTGTAAATTTATCTGTTCCTGGGCTTTTATTAGTTGGTAGGCTATTTATTACTGTCTCAATTTCAGAACTTGTTATTGGTCTATTCAGGGATTCAACTTCTTCCTGGTTCAGTCTTGAGAGGATGTATGTGTCCAGGAATTTATCCATTTCTTCTAGATTTTCTAGTAAATTTGCATAGTGTTGTTTGTAGTACTCTCTGATGGCTGCTTATATTTCTTTGGGGTCAGTAGTGATATCCCCTTTATCATTTTTCGTTGTTTCTATTTTATTCTTCTCTCTTTTATTCTTTATTAGTCTAGCTAGTGGTCTATTTTATTACTTTTTCAAAAAAAAGACAGCTTCAGGATTCGGTGATTTTTTGAAGGGTTTTATGTGTCTCTGTCTCCTTCAGTTCTACTATGATCTTGGTTATTCCTTGTCTTCTATAGCCTTGGGGTTTGTTTGTTCTCAGTTCTCTAGTTCTTTTAGCTGTGATGTTAGAATGTATATTTGAGATCATTCTAACTTTTTGATGTGAGCATTTAGTGTTATAAATTTCCCTCTTAACACTGCTTTGGCTGTGTCCTAGAGATTCTGGTACTTTGTCTCTTTGTTCTCATTGGTTTCAAAAAACTTCTTGATTTCTGACTTAATTTCATTACTTACCCTGGAGTCATTCAGAGCAGGTTGTTCAATTTTCAGGCAGTAGTGTGATTTTGAGTGGGGTTTCTAATATTGAGTTCTAATTTGATTGCACTGTGGTCTGAGAGACTGTTTGTTATGATTTCAGTTTGGCAGCATTTGCTGAAGAGCATTTTACTTCCAATTATGTGATCAATTTTAGAGTAAGTGCCATTTGATGTCAAGATGAATGTATACTCTATTGTTTTTGGGTGGAGAGTTCTGTATATATTTATTACATCCACTTGACCAAGAGCTGAGTTCTTGTCGTGAATATTCTTGTTAATTTTCTGCCTCAATGAACTGTCTAATATTGACAGTGCGGTGTTAAATCTCCCATTATTATTGTGTGGAAGTCTAAGCCTCTTTGTGGGTCTATAAGAACTTGTTTTAAGAACCTGGGTGCTTCCATATTGGGTGTATATATATTTAGGATAGTTAGCTTTTCTTGTCAAATTGACTCCTTTACCATAATGTAATGCCCTTCTTTGTCTTTTTTGATCTTTGTTGATTTACAGTCTGTTTTGTCATAAACTAGGATTGCAACCCCTGTTTTTTTCTGCTTTCCATTTGCTGTTATATTTTTCTTTTTCCCTTTCTGTTGAGCTTATTTGTGTCTTTGCACATGAGATGGGTCTCTTGAATACAGCACACCAATAGGTCTCCAATCTATTCAGTTTGCTATTCTGTGTCGTTTAATTGGGGCATTTAGCCCACATACATTTAAGGTTAATATTGTTATGTGTGAATTTGATTATGTCACCATGATGCTAGCTGGTTATTTTGCAGGCTTGTTGATTTAATGCTTTGTAGTGTCATTGGTCTGTGTACTTCAGTGTTTTTTTTTTTTTTTTTTTTGTGACTGGCAAAGGATTTTCCTTTTTATAGTTAGTACTGGCAAAGGATTTTCCTTTTTATAGTTAGTGTTTCCTTCAGCAACTCTTGCAAGGCAGGCCTGGTGGTGACAAATTCCCTCAGCATTTGGTTGTCTGAAAAGAATTTTATTTCTCCTTTGCTTATGAAGCTTAGTTTGGCCAGATATGAAATTCTGGTTTGAAAATTATTTTCTTTAAGAATGTTGAATATTGGCCCCCAATCTCTTCTGGCTTGTAGAATTTCCACGAAGAGGTCTCCTGTTATTCTGATGGGCTTCCATTTGTAGGTGACTGGCCTTTCTTTGTGGCTGCCCTTAACAATGTCTTTCTTCATTTCAAACTTGGATAGTATCATGATTATGTGTCTTGGAGTTGCTCTTCTCATAGAGTATCTTACTGGGGTTCTATGGATTTCCTGAATTTTAACGTTGGCCTATCTTGCTAGGCTGGGGAAGATGATATCCTGAAATATGTTTTGGATGATATCCTGAAGTAGGTTTTTTAACTTGGTTTCATTCTCCCTGTTTCTTTCCAGCATCCCAATCAGTCACAGGTTCAGTCTTTTTACATAATCCCATAGTTCTAGGAGGTTTTGATTGTTCCTTTTCATTCTTTTTTCTCTAGTCTTGTCTGCCTGTCTTAATTTCAGCAAGAATGTCTTCAAGCTCTGAAATTCTTTCCTCCACTTGGTCTACTTGTCTATTGATACCTGCAGTTGCATTGTAAAGTTCTCTTGTTTTGTTTTTCAGCTTCATCTGGTCATTTTTGTACCTCTCCCAACTGGTTATTCTAGTTAACAACCCCTTTAGTATTTTATTATGGTTTTTAGCTTCTTTGCATTGGGCTAGAACATGTTCCTTTAGCTCAGTGAAGTTTGTTATTACCCACCTTCTGAAGCCTGCTTCCGTCAGTTCATCCATCTCAGCCTCAGCTCAGTCCTGTGCCCTTCCTGGAGTGGTGTTGTGATCATCTGAAGGAGAAGAGGCACTCTGGCAATTATAGTTTTCAGCATTTTTTCATTTATTCTTTCTCATCTTCATAACTTTATCTACCTTCAATCTTTGAAACTGCCGACCTTTGGATGGGGTTTTATGGGGACTTTTTGTTGATGCTGTTGTTGTTGCTTTCTGTTTGTTTATCTTTTAATAGGCCTCTTTTCTGTAGAGCTGCTGCAGGGTGTGCTGGGGGACCACTTTACACCCTATTAACCTGGGTCCCTCCTGTATCTGGTGATGTCACCAGTGGAGGCTACAAAAGAGCAAAGATGGCTGCCTGCTTCTTTCTCTGGGAGCTCTGTCTCAGAGGGGCACCAAACTGATGCCAGCAGGAATGTTTGTGTATTAGGTGTCTGGTGACCCCTCTTGGGGGATCTCACTGAGTCAGGAGGTATGGTATCAGGGACCCACTTAGTGAAGCACTCTGGCTATCCATTGGTGGAGGGGTTGTGTTGCACTAGGGGGAATTCCACTTGTCTGGACTGCCCAGATTTCTCAGAGCCAGCAGGGGAAAAGACTAAGTCTGCTGATTCATGGAGATTATGGCCACACCTCCCTCTAGGGGTTCTATTCCAGGGAGATCAGAGTTTTGTCTGTAAACTCCTGGCTGGAGTTGCTAAAATTCCCACAGGGAGGCCCTGCCTGCTGAGGAGGGATGGGTCCAAGTTCACCCTAAGAAGGCAGTCTGGCCACAATCTGCCACAGCCACTGTGCTGCACTGTGGGAATTCCTCCAGGGTCCAAACTGCCCAGTGTCCCCAGCACCAGCAGGGGAAAACCACAGACGAGCTGAGCTGCAGTGATGGCTGCTGCCACTCCCCTTGGGAGCTCAGTCATCTTAGGAAGTAGGCAGCTGCAGTGATGGTGGCTGCCCCTCCCTTCAGAAACTCAGTTGTCTTAGGCAGCAGGCAGCCACAGTGATGGCAGCCACACCTCAACTAAGGAGCTCAATCATTTTAGGCAGCTGGCAGCTTCAGTGATGGTGGCTTCTTCTCCCCCCAGGAACTTGGTAGTCTTAGGCAGTCTCCAGTAGAGCAGCTGCTGAGAATCTGCATAGCTCTGTGCTTAAGGCCCAAGGCCCTGGTGGTATGGGCTCACAAGGGGATCTCCTGATCCATGGTGTGTACAGATCCGTGGAAAACATGTGGCTTCCTGGGCAAGGTAGCACAATCACTCAGTGCCTCCCTTGGCAGGGGTGGGTCCTTCCCTTGCCCCGTGCAGTTCCCAGGTGGGCCATCAATCCACCCTGCTTTTTATCACTCTCTGTGGGTCATGCCCACCACCTAATCAGTCTCAATAAGAGAACCTAGATACCTCAGTTGCCAGTGCAGGATTCACTTGCCACTTTTGTTCTTCTTGGTGGGAGCCTTCGACCACAGCTGTTTTTAGTCAGCCATCTTGGCCTCTTCCACGAGAAGCTTTTCTTAAACAAGACACTAAACATCCAAACCATAATGAAAAAGAGTAACACGTTCAACTATGTTAAAATAAGAATTTATTGCCATCTAAAAATCACCATAAAAAGAATGGAAATAAGTAAGTTACAACTGGGAGAATAATATGCAATGTATCCAGCCAGAATACTGGTAACCAGAAATACAACACATTTCTAGAAGGCAATAAGAAAAAGACAAACACAATAGAAAAATCGACAGAAAGCATGAATATGCCCTTGACAGAAGAGAAAATAAAAATGATACATAAATATATACAAATATACACAATCTCATTGGTTATGAGGAACATGAAAAATGAGTTCCTGAGATAATCTTTTACCAAAACCAGATGGGAAAAAAATCAAAAGTTTTGTAAACCAAGTTTTGGTGAAGATATAGAACAATGGGAACTCTCACACATTGCTGAAGAGAATTTAAATTGGTAACCACTTCCAAAACTTACTATTTGTATCACCCAGCATAGTCAAGCATTTGCATACTCTTTCATCCAACAATTCCCCTTAAATGAATTCTTGCATATTTGCTCCCAGGAAACATTTACAGGAATGTTTCAGCAGCACTGTTTATAATATTAAATATATGCAAACAACCCAAATGTCTATCAACAGTAGAATGGATAAATAAATTAATGTATAAATAAAGACAGAAAAGTACACAGGCTGAAAAAATAAATAAACTATAGCTGTATTGAGTGATATGTATGAGTCTCCAGAAAATAATGTTGAGTGAAAAAAGCATCTAAAAACCACATACAGTATGGTTTCATGTATTGTAAGTTAAAAAAAAAAAGAAGATATATACACACAGTGGTCAAACTATAAAGAAAAAAAGGTATAATTAATACAAAACTTAAGATAGTGTTTATTACCATTGGCAAGAAAGGGCAGTGCATTCTGGGTGGGTTATACAGAGGACTTGTGCACTACTAGCCATATTCTATTTCTTGCCCTAGGTAGTAAGTATACAGATGTTAATTTTATTATTCTTTAAACTGTACATATATTATAGATAATTTTATGATGTATGCATAATTCACAATAAAAATGGAAAAAGGTATACTACAGAATTAAGGTATTGAAATACTGTATCAGAAAAAACTGAACAAATGAATAATACATAGTAAAATTAAAAGCGGATGAGTAACACTGTATTAAATGTTGATAGACATAAAGCCAATAATTCGGAGTCCATTAATAGTGTAAAATTAAAATTTAAAAACATCATTTTTATTAAAACATACTTTTCTCCTTACTTAAAAATGAATTGTAACAGTAATAAGAAAATGGCAGAGCTAACACTTACATTAATATTTCTAGTGATCCTTCAGCCACTCTACTAGTAAAAGCAAGCAAATTAAAAAAGTACTGATCCAATCAGATTTCATAAATTTGGACATAAATTTCAAAATTATCAAGACAGGTGTACGAACAGTAAAAATTAATATCTAAACACCCATTAACAGTAAACTGTGTATTTGTTCTCACACTGCTATAAAAAATACCTGAGATTGGTAAATTTATAAAGAAAATAGGTTTAATTGGGCTCAGGGTTCCACAGGCTGTACAGGAAGCATGGCAGCATTCGCTTCTGGGGAGGCCTCAGGGAACTCTTATTCATGGCGGAGGACAAAGTGGGAGCAAGCATTTTACATGGCAGGAGCAGAACCGAGAGGTGGGAGGTGCTACACACTTTTAAACAACCAGATCTCATGATAACTCGCTCACTCATTGACGCAAGAACAGCACCAAGGGGGTGGTGCTAACCCATTCATGAGGACTCCGCCCCCAAGATCCAATCTCCCACCAGGCCTCACCTTCAACACTGGGGGTTACAGTTCGACAAAAGTTTTGGTTTTGGTGGGGACACAGATCCAAAATGTATCACGTTGTCTTTAGTCTTTGTAAAATAAATACTAAACTGCTGAAACAAATTGAATATATTATCAGAGCTTTGGATTATCATACCAAATGTTATACCAAGATCTAAAAAAATCATATTTTATTTTACCATCAATAAACACAAATTTAAAATTTCAATAATATCATTTTCATCATCCTGTCATTAAAAATGTCATCTTTTGTGTACATTATTATAATGTTTATAATGTTCATACCATGATATATAATTTATAAATGAATAAATATGTATGAGGATGCCTTCTCAAAAAGGATTCACTGAAAGGGATGCATATTGCAGCATCAACAAGCATGATGACCACCACTGTAGGTCAGCATTAAGGTACTAAAAGTGATGTAAACTCTCAGTGTGTCATGGTTAGTTGTGAGGAGCTTGACAAATAATTCTATTTATTTATTTATTAAATTTTACATTTAATTTTGAGTTTATTATTTTAAATGTCATAAATCTGAATGATGAAGCACCATTTTTTGTTCAGTTTTGAAGAAGCTTTAAATTCAAGTTCAGATGCAAGTATTTATGCATTTTATTTTAAATCTTTCTTTAGAACTATTACTGTTTTGTATTATTGTAGTTACATTGTAGTCTCAAAAATGAAATAAAACAGATGTAACATTTATAATTGTTTGAATTTCAAGGTAAATAGGGCTCAGTGAAAATTTTCTACATTCATGACTGCATTGGCTGCTGTGAGTGGCAGGCTCCAATTCTTACTAACTCATTTATCTCACAATTTGAAAAATATTTTTATGTATTTACTTATTTTTTAATTAAATAAAAATTGTATCAATGTATGGTGTACAACATATTTTGAACTATGTATACAATGTGGAATGCCTAAATTGAGTTAATCAACATAAGAATTACCTCATCTAATTATATGTTTGGTGAGAACACTTAATATCTACTCTCTTACCAATTTCCAGGTATACGATACTTTGTTATTAACTATAGTGATTATATTGTGCAACAAACCACTTGAACTTATTTCTTTGTATCTTTTGACTAACATTTCCCCTTCAACAAGCCACTGGTAACTACCATTCTACCCTCTGCTTCTATGGGTTTTACTATTTTAGATTCTACATATAAGGAAAATCATGTGGTATTAATCATTCTGTGCCTGTGCCTGTCTTGTTTCACTTTACATAATGTCCTCCAGGTTCATTCATATTCTCACAAGTGACAGTATTATCTTCTCTTTAAAGGCCGAATAGTATTCCAATTTGTATATCTACCACGTTTTCTTTATTCATTTATCTGTTGATGGCCAGTTAGGTTGTTTCCATATCTTGGCTACCTTGAATACAGCTGCAGTGAACACGGGAGTGCAGATATCTCTCCAACAAATTGATTTCATTTCCTTTGGCTTTATAATGAAAAGTGAGGTTTCTGAATCATACAGTAATCCTGTTTTAAATTTTTTGAGGAACATCCATACTGTTTTCCATATTGTGTTAGTCAGGGTTTTCTAGAGGGACAGAACTGAATAGAATACTAGAATATTCTAATATATATTAGAATATTAGATTAAAATTATATTACAATATTAGAATAGAATTATTTTAGAAATATATTAAAATATTCTAATATATATTCTAATAGTATATATAGTCTACTATATATATTCTACTATATATATATATATATATTCTATTCCATTAGAGCCAATCCAAGTTCCAAAACTGAAGAACTTGTAGTCTGGTATTGAGGGCAGGAAACATCCAGCATGGGAGAAAGATTGAGGCTGGGAGGCTAGGCCAGTCTCTCTTTTTACATTTTTCTGCCTGTTTATATTCTAGCTGGGTTGGCAGCTGATTAGATTGTTCCCACCCAGATTAAGGGTAGGTCTGCCTTTCCCAGCCCAATGACTCAAATGTTATTCTCCTTTGGCAGCACCCTCACAGATACACTCAGGATCTATACTTTGTATCCTTCAATCCAATCAAGTTGACAGTATTAACCATCACAAGTCCACCCCTTGTCAACTTAAACCCATACATATCTCCTGAGATCATATATAACCTTGAAATAAAGACAATGATAAGGACATGCTTATGTCTAACATAATACAACTATCCTTCATACAACCAGAAACTCACCAATCCCCAACCCAAATACTATTACATAAAGTTAACAATACTTACATGCTGATGTGAAGTCAATAAATTTTATGTCAGATGATAAAGGAGAAAGGAAATAAAGTGAAGATATTCTCTTAGTACAAGTGTATATATGCACAAACATGTTTTAACAAAAGAAGGAGGAAATACTCAAGACAATTACAGTCTTTGTTTCAGCAGCTGCTCAAGTGGTCTTAGCTGTTATTGATGACTACCTTCTTCTACTACCCATTTCTGTATTCCCTTTGCCTTCAGCAAGCACCTCAGCAGGTCGTGGGTTTTTTTCTTGCTGGAGTGACCCAAACCTTCATTCCTGAAGGGTCTGGGTCATTTGTAGTCCTGCCTGGACTAGGCTGTTGTAGTTTCCCATTGACCTTAATCACAGGACATGGTAATACTAAGAAACACTCTAATGAATCTCCTGTATTCCATGCATACTCTCCCTTACCTCCATTGTAAGGTAGTAGACTGATTTCATATGGATAATCTGGGTCAGTCATGCCAGCAAACACTGTAATTCCCTTCTTAGCCTTTTGATTTAAAAGTAGGAGGAGCCCAAAGTGTCCAGGTGGCAATCTTAACTTGCAGTTTAATGGAATCATTGTGTCTCCTGGTGGCGGCATTTCTCCCCCTGGAACAAAGACCTCTAGGCCACCAGAACGTAGTGTCACAGGAACAGGAAGCAAAAATTTTGCTAGTGGATCACTAGGGGTGATGGTGAGTGGTGCCACTTCCACTTCCACCGCTTGATTCCTGGAGATGCAAATCTTGGCTATGGGAGAAATAGTGCCATATATTGGATGCTGATTCAGAGCATACATGGCATTCTGGAGAATTTTGCCCCAGCCCTGCAAAGTATTGTCACCTAGTTGACATTGTAATTGTGACTTCAAAAGGCCATTCTACTGTTCTATCAATCCAGCTGCTTCAGGATGATGGGGAACATGGTAAGACCAGCGAATTCCATGAGCATGAGCCCACTGCCATACTTCTTTAGCTGTAAAGTGAGTGCCTTGGTCAGAGACAATGGCAATGCTGTGTGGAATACCATGACGTTGGACAAGCATTCCGTGAGTCCTTGGATGGTAGTCTTGACAGAAGCATGGCATGCAGGATAGATTAACTCACATCTGGAGTAAGTGTCCATTCCAGTGAGGAGAAACCTCTGCCTTTCCATCATGGAAAATGTTCAATATAATCAACATGCCACTAGGTACCTGGCTGATCACCCTGCGGAATGGTGCCATATCGAGGGCTCAGTGTTGGTCTCTGCTGCCAGAAAATTAGTCACTCAGCAGTGGTCATAGCCAGGTCAGCCCTGGTGAGTGGAAGTCCATGTTGCTGAACCCATGCATAACCTCCATCTCTGCCACCATGGCCACTTTGTTCATGGATCCCTTGGGCGATGACAGGGGTGGCTGGGGAAAGAGGCTTGGTGATGTCTGCTGAATGTGACATCCTATCCACTTGATTATTCAAATCCTCCTCTGCTGAGGTCACCCGATGGTGAGCACTCACATTAGCAGAAATATTTTCACAGTCTTTGATCACTCAGAGAGGTCCATCCACAGACGTCTTCCCCAAACTATTTTGTCACTAATTTTCCAATCATGCTTCTTCCAAGTCCCTGATAATCCAGCCAAACCATTGGTTACCGCCCATGAATCAGTATATAATCATACATCTGGCCATTTCTCCTTCCGTGCAAAGTGCACAACAAGGTGCTCTGCTTGAATTCTGCCCACTGGGAAGATTTCCCTTCACTACTGTCCTTCAGGGATGTCCTAGAAAGGGGCTGTAGTGCTGCAGCTGTTCAGTTTCAGGTGGTGCCTGCATATCGTGCAGGACCATCTGTGAACCAGGCCCTAGTCTTCTCTTTGCCTGTCAACTGATCATAGGAAACTCCGCATGAGGCCATTGGTACAGGCTAGGGGAGAGAAGGCAGGGTGGCAGGAATGGAGACCATGGGCATTTGAACCACTTCCTCATGTAACTTACTTGTGCCTTCAGGACATGCTCAAACTGGGTCTCGTATATAACACTTCCATTTGATGCTGGAATGCTGCTATGTATGACCCACTTTATGGCTAGATGGGTCATAAAGCACCCAATTTATGATAGGCAGTTCAGGTTGCACAGTGACTTGATGACTCATAGTCAAACGTTCAGTTTCCACTAAAGCCCAGTAACAGGCCAAAAGCTGTCCCTCAAAAGGAGAGTAGTTATTTGCAGAAGAAGGCAGGGCCATGCTCCAAAATCCTAGAACCCTCCGTGGTGACTCACTTATACGGGCCTGCCAAAGTCCCCAAGCAACATCCTTATCTGCCACTGACAACTCAAGCACCATCGAATCTGCTGGGTCACATGGCCTAAGTGGCAGAGCAGCTTGCACAGCAGCCTGGACCTGTTAAGGAACCTTCTCCTGTTCTGGACCCCACTCAAAACTGGCAGCCTTTCGGGTCACTTGACATATGGGCCAAAGTAACACACCCAAATGAGGAATGTGTTGCCTCCAAAATCCAAATAGGTGCACTAGGCATTGTGCCTTTTTTTTTCCTGTGGAGGGGACAAATGCAGCAACTTATCTTTCACCTTAGAATGAATATCTCAACAGGCCCCACACCACTGGAACCCTAGAAATTTTACTGAGGTAGAAGGTCCCCTGAATTTGATTCAGGTATTTTTCCCATCCTCTGGCATGCGATGTCTCGACAATAAGTCTAGTATGTTTGCTACTTCTTGCTCACTGGATCCAGTTGGCATAATGTAATAGACCAATGTGATATTTTGTGGAAATGAAAAGCAATCAAGGTCTCTCTGAATAAGATTATGACACAAAGCCAGAGAGTTGAAATATATCTGAGGTAGGAAAGTAACGGTATATTGCTGGCCTTGCCAGCTGAAGGCAAATTGCTTCTGGTGGGCCTTATAAAGAGGAATGGAGAAAAAGGCATTTGCCAAGTCAATGGCTACATACCAGGTACCAGGAGATGTGTTAATTTGTTCAAGCAATGAATCCACATCTGGTACAGCAGCTGCAATTGGTTAAGCTTATGATAATCCAAAGCTTATGATAATCCACTGTCATTCTCCAAGATCCATCTGTCTTCTGCACAGGCCAAATGGGAGAGTTGAACAAGGATGTGGTGAGAATCACTGCCCCTGCCTCTTTCAAGTCCTTGATGGTGGAACTAATCTCTGCAATCCCTCCAGGGACGCAATATTCTTTTTGATTTACTATTTTTCTAGGTAGAGACAGCACTTATGGCTTCCATTTGGCTTTTCCCACCATAATATCCCTCACCCTACCAATCATGGAGCCATGTGGGGATTCCGCCAGCTGCTAAGTAGGTCTATGCCAATTATGCATTGTGGCACTAGGAAAATGACCACGGGATGAATCTGGGGACCCACTGGACCAACTATAAGTAGGACCTGAGCTAAAACTCCTTTAATTACCTGACCTCCATAAGTCCCTACTTTAACTGGAGGACCACGATGACGTTTTAGGTCCCCTGGAATCAATGTCAGCTCAGAGCCAGTAATGAGTAGTCCCCAAAATGTCCTATCATTTCACTTTCCCTAATGCACAGTTACCCTGGTGAAAGGCCAGGGGTCTCCTTGGGGAAGGATAGAAGAAAGATTCACTGCGTACATTGTTGGTAATGTAGTGGGGTCCTTCCTCAAGGGGACCCAGCCTGTTTTTCATTCAAGGCATTCTGGGTCTGTAAACTGGCTCAAGTCTAAAAATTGATTGAGGGTCCATGATTGTCTGTTTTTATAATTCAAATTAGTCTTTTGTCCATTTGACCTAGAAGTTTTCTGCTTGTATAAATTAAGTAGGAATGCAGTAGGCTTCCTATCAATTATACTTCTAGGAACACCATGATTAATGAGCCTATGCCAGAGCTCTACATGAATCAGACTACTCTTATTACTGCTTTGCCTCTGCTGTCCATTACAGTAGCTTTGTCCACCTTGCCTTTGATGGTTGAGTGCCACCACTTGGTGCCTGCCACCTTGGGACTCAATTATTCCCGTTGGATTTAAATTTTGTAGCTCAGTGACTGAAGTTCCAACTGTTAGATCTGACATACAGAAAAGAGTAATTACAGGGCTCTTCAAAGATGCAGGTGCCTCCCTCACAAATCTATTTCACAAGGCATTGGTCAAGCGTACATCTTCTGGACCTTCCCAGCTGAAATAAGTGGGTCTAAAGTGACTAATCCACTCCACCATCATTATCTCCCTAAGCCTTTTGATCCCTTCCTCTACATTAAACCAAGGGAGATCAGGCATTTCCAGCTTGCTCACAGTGGGCCATCTTGTAATCCATATTTCAGCTAACCCAGCAAATAAATTATTAGAACTTTTTAACTCCCCGAGCTGCAACATTAAATGCAGAGTGCCTACTTAGTTGGCACAAATAAATAAATTCAGCCTGATTCAACTCTATGTTCCTTTGACCATTATCCCACACCCTTAATACCAATTCCCATGACTGTGCTCCAGATTTCTGTTTATATAAATTAGAAAACTCAAGCAGTTCTTTTTGAGTGCAGCACACCTCCTCATGGGTCGCACTGTCAACCTCGCCTCTGGGGGCCCACGGGAACTTGAGTCTAGTTATAGGTCTAGAAGCAAATAGAGGTGTTGGTGGTGGCTTCTGAGCAGAATGAAAATTATCTTGCCTGGCAACTGCCTCAAGGCAGGCCATCACTGTTGCCTCAGGCAGCACAGGGTTTATCTCCTCAGACAAAAATGGAAAAGCTGACTGCAGTATGGATTGGGGAGGGGATGTTTCCACTACTGGGGATGAGAAAGCTGTTTTTTTTTTTTTTTTCTGGCAAAAAAGATTCATCAGAATTAACAAACTCAGTGTCCTCAGCTTCATCAGGGTCCTCCCACCTGTCTTCATTGGAAGTTGCAAGGGCCCATTCTTTTCCAATCAATGCCCTCACTTTAACAGTAGACACCTGGCAAGGTTGTGCATGCACGTTTCATTTCAGGTCAGCCATTCACATAAGAGCTTGTGTCTGCTTTTCTACAGTTTCAGCTATTTCTCTACAGGAGATAAGACTCTCACTCAGGGCAATCTTAGCAGATTTGAAGTTCAGTACCTACTTCTGAAGCCAGGAGATAGAATCTCTGAATATATCATGCATCATTTTCTTTCATCAGTTCATTCACCAAACTTAGAAGAAACCAACCAGCTTCATTATGTTTCTTGGTTCTCCCCATATGGTCAAAGGTAGTATCTATAGAGTCACTAAATTCCTTGCTTCTCACGAGCAATGAATCGGGTATCAAATGCATTTTTTTTGCATAAATCTCTAAAAAGTTCATGCCAAGGACTATCAGTGTTCTCCCTATTATTAGAAGTAGAGTCCTTAGCATTTTGGGGTCTAATCATAATAAGCAACCATCTCCAGGAAACCCAAAACCAATGAATTATCCCCATCCTTAATATTCTGTTCCTCTAGAACGAATCCTGGTACAAAAGTCTGTATTAGGGTTCTCTAGAGGGACAGAACTAATGGAATATATATATATATTAAGTATTAATTATTACTTAATTATTACTTAATTAATTAATTAATACTTAATTAATAATTAAGTGTTAACTCACCCTATCACAAGGTCTCACAATAGGCTGGGAACTTGGAGTCCAGTGTTCAAGGGCAGGAAGCATTCAGCATGGGAGAAAGATGTAGGCTGGGAGGCCTGGCCAGTCTCTGTTTTCAAATTTTTCTGCCGGCTTATGTTCTAGCCATGCTGACACCTGATTAGATTTTGCCC
This sequence comes from Homo sapiens, assembly GCF_000001405.40. Taxonomy (NCBI): domain Eukaryota; kingdom Metazoa; phylum Chordata; class Mammalia; order Primates; family Hominidae; genus Homo; species Homo sapiens. The sequence continues at coordinate 64,743,708 of NC_000023.11, forward strand.
ACCTAGATTAAGGGTTGGTCTGCCTTTCCCAGCCTACTGACTCAAATATTAATCTTCTTTGGCAATACCTTCACAGACACACCCAGGGACAGTACTTTGTATTCTTCAATCCAATCAAGTTGACACTCAGTATTAACCATCACACATATGAATGTACAAATTTACATTTCTGTCAACAGTTTGCAACAGTTTTCTTCTCTGCACGTCTTCTCCAACACTTGCTCTCTTTCATTTTGATAGCCATTCTTGCAGCTTTTAAGTCATATGTCATTATGGTTATAATATGTACTTCTCTGATTATTAATGATGTTGAGTTTTTTTATATGTTTATTGGGCATTTGTATGCCTTCTTTTGTGAAATGTCTGTTCAGGTCCTTTGCCCATTTTATAATTGAGTTATTTGTTTTCTAAGTATTAATTTATTTGAGTTCCTTGTATAGATTGCATATTAAACCCTGATCAGATGTATGGTTTGCAAGTATTTTCTCTCATTCTGTCAGTTGCCTCTTCACTCTGTTGATTGTTCCCTTGACATTACAGGAGCTTTTTGGTTTGATGTACTCTCATTTGTCTATTTTTGCTTTTTTGCCTTTGCTTTTGGGGTAATATATAAAAATATCATTGCCCAGACCAATGTTATAGAGATTTTCCTGTGGATTATCTTCTAGTAGTTTTATGGTTTTAGTTCTTACACTTAGGTCTTTAATACATTTTGAATTATTTTATTTGATTTCTATTTATTTTTATTTGTAATTTTTAAAAATTTCAATAGTTTGGGGGTGCAGGTGGCTTTTGGTTACATGGATAAGTTCTTTAGTGGTGGTTTTTGAGATGTTAGTGCACGCATCACCCAAGCAGTGTACACTGTACCCAATATGTAATATTCTATCCCTCACCCCACTCCCAACCTTCCCCTACCTGAATCCCCAAAGTCCATTATATCAGTCATGCCTTATGCATACTCATAGATTAGCTCCCACTTATAAGTGACAACCAATGATATTTGGTTTTCCATTCCTGAGTTACTTTAATTAGAATTAAAACCTCCAGCTTATTCATGTTGCTGCAAAAGACATTATTTTATTTCTTTCTATGGTTGAGTAGTATTCTATAGTGTATATGAACCACATTTCTTATCCAGTCATTTGTTGAATGGCATTTAGATTGATCTCATATTTTGGCAACTGGAAATTGTGCTGCTATAAACATGTGTGTGCATATGTCTTTTTCATGTAATGACTTCTTTTCCTTTGGGTAGATACACAGTAGTGGGATTGCTGAATCAAATGGTAGTTCTACTTTTACTTCTTTAAGGAATCTTTATACTATTTTCCACAGTAGTTATATTAATTTACATTACCACCAGCAGTGTAAAAGTGTTCCCTTTTCACCACATCGATGCTAACATCTATTATTTTTGACTTTTTAATTAAGGCCATTCTTGCAGGAGTAAGGTGGTATCTCATTCTGGTTTTATTTTGCATTTCCCTGATGATTAGTAATTTGGGGCATTTTATACGTTTGTTGGCTGTTTGTATATCTTCTTTTGAGTATTGTCTATTCATGTCCTTTGCTATTTTTTGATGGGATTTTTTTTCTTGCTGATTTGTTTGAGTTCCTTGTAAATTCTGGGTACTATTCTTTTGTTAGATGCATAGTTTGAGAATATTTTCTCCCATTCTGTGAGTTCTCTCTTTACTCTAGTGATTATTTCTTTTGCTATGCAGAAGACTTTTAGTTTAATCAGGTCCCATCTATTTATTTTTGGATTTGTTGCATTTGCTTTTGGAGACTTAGTAATGAATTATTTGCCTAACCTAATGTCCAGAAAAGTTTTTCCTATGTTATCTTCTAGAATTTTTATGGTTTTAGGTCTTAGATGTAATTTTTTTTATTTATCTTGAGTTGATTTTTGTATAAGGTGAAAGATGTGCATCCAGTTTCATTCTTCTACATATGGCTTGTCAGTTTTCCCAGAACCATTTATTGAATAAAGTGTTCTTTCTCAAATTTATATTTTTGTATGCTTTGTCAAAGATTATTTGGCTGTAAATATTTGGATTTTTTTCCAGGTTCTTTATCCTGTTCCATTGGTCTATGTTCCTATTTTTATAACAGTACCATGTTGTTTTGGTAACTGTAGCCTTGTATAATTTGAAGTCAGGTGATGTGATGCCTCCAGATTTGTTCTTTTTGTTTAGTATTGCTTCAGCTATGTGAGCTCTTTTTTGGTTCCATACGAATTTTAGGATTCTCTTACTACTTCTGTGAAGAATGATGATGGTATTTTGATGGGAATTGCATTGAATCTGTGGATTGCTTTTAGCACTACGGTCATTTTCACATTATTGATTCTACCCATCCATGAGCATGGGATGTGATTCCATTTGTTTGTGTCACCTGTGATTTCTTTCAGCAGTGTTTTGTAGTTTTCCTTGTAGAAATCTTCCATCTTCTTGGTTATGTATATTCCTAAGTATTTTTCTGTAGCTGTTATAAAAAAGGTTAAGTTTTGGATTTGATTCTCAGCTTGGTTGTTGTTGGTGCTTAGCAGTGCTGCTGATTTGTCCACATTGATTTTGTAACCTGAAAATCTACTGAATTCATTTATCAGATCTAGAAATTTTTGGATGAGTCTTTAGGATTTTCTAGGTATACAATTATATCATCAGTGAACAATGACAGTTTGACTTCCTCTTTTCTAAGTTGCATACCCTTTAATTCCTTTTTTTTTTTTTGTCTGATTGCTCTGGCTAGGACTTCCTGTACTATGTTGAATAGAAGTGGTGAAAGTTGACATCCTTGTGTTTTCCAGTTATCAGCAGAATGCTTTCAACTTTTCCCCATTCAGTATAATGTTGGCTGTGGGTTTGTCATATATGGCTTTTATTACTTTGAGGTAAGTCCACTGCATGCCTATTTTGTTGAGGGTTTTTATCATAAAGGGATACTGGATTTTATCAAATGCTTTTTGTCTGTCTATAGATATAATTATATGGTTTTTGTTTGCAATTCTATTACTAATGTGATGTATTACATTTATTGATTTGCACATGTTAAACCATTTCTGCATCCCTGGAATGATACTTACTTAATCATGATATTTTAGATGTGCTGTTGAGTTCGGTTAGTGTATTAGTCCATTCTCACACTGCTATAAGTAGATACCTGAGATTGGGTAATTTATAAAGAAAAAAGTATAATTGGCCCAAAGTTCCACAGGCTGTACAGGAAGCATGATGCTGCCATCTGCTTAAATTCTGGGGAGGCCTCAGGAAACTTAAAATCTTGGCAGAACAGGTGAATCAGGGCATCTTACATAGTAGATAAGGGGCAAGAGAGAGTGAAGGGGGAGGGGCCCCACACTTTTAGACAACCAGATCTCATGAGTACTCTATCACAAGAACAGCGCCGAAGGGGAAAATCAGCCCCCATGATCCAAACACCTTCACCAGAGCCCACCTCCAACTCTGGATGTTACAATGCAATATAAGATTTGAGAAGGAACAGAAATCCAAATCATATCAGTTAGCTAGTACTTTGTTGAGGATTTTTACATCTATGTTAATCAGAGATATTGGTCTCTCATTTTCTTTTTATTTTGTTATGTCCCTTCCTGGTTTTGGTATTAGGGTTACTGGCTTCATAGAATGATTTAAAGAGAAGTCCTTATTTCTATATCTTTTGGAATGGTTTCAGTAGGATTGGTACCAATTCATCAAATATCTGATAGTATTCAGCTGTGAATCACTCTGGTCCTGGACTTTTTTGTTGTTGGCAATTATTTATTACTGATTCAATCTCACTGCCTGTTATTGGTCTGTTCAGGGTTTCTATTTTTTCTTGATTTAATTTAGCAGTGCTGTATGTTTCCAGGAATTTATCTATTTTCTCTAGATTTTCTAGTTTGTGCACAGAAAGATGTTCATAGTACCCTGAAATAATATTTTGTATTTCTGTGGTATTCTTTGTAATACCTCCAGTTTCATCTCTAATTGAGCTCATTTTGATCTTGTCTCTTCTTATATTGGTTTATCTTGCTAATGGCTCATCAATTTTGTTTGTTTTTCCAAAGAACAAGATGTTGTTTTATTTATCTGTTGTATTGTTTATTTCGTTTCAATTTCATTTATTACTGCTTTGATTTTTGTTATTTCTTTTCTTCAGCTGGCTTTGGGTTTAGTTTGTTCTCGTTTCTATAGTTCCTTGAGGTGTATCATTAGGTTGTCAATTTGTGCTTTTACAAACTTTTTGATGTAGCCATTTAATGCTATAAACTCTTAGCACTGCTTTTGCTTTATTCCAGAGTTTTTGGTAAGTTTTGTCACTATTATCTTTTATATTCAACCCAAAAATCATTCCAGAGCAGATTATTTAATTTCCATTTATTGGTATAGTTTTGAGTGTTCCTTTTGGAGTTGATTTTCAGTTTTATTCCACTGTGGATGGAGAAAATATTTTAGATTTTCTTAAATTTATATAGATGTGTTTTGTGGCCTACTATACAGTCTATCTTGAAAAATGTTTCATGTGTTGATGAAAAGAATGCATATTCTGCAATTGTTGGGAAGAATGTTCTGTAAACATCTGTTAAATCCATTTGCTCTAGGGTATGGCTTAAGTCCATTTTTTTGTTGTCGTGGCCTTTCTGTCATGATTATCTATATAGTGCTATCAGTACATTTTCAGTTCCCCACTATTATTGGGTTGCTGTCTATCACATATTTTAAGTCTAGTAGTAATTATTTTATAAATCTGGGAGCTTCAGTGTTAGCTTTATATAAATTTAGGGTTGTAATATCTTCTCATTGGACTAATCTTTTTATCATTATATAATGTATTTTTTTTACTGCTGTTGCTTTAATGTCTATTTTATCTTATATAAAAATAGCTACTCCTGCTTGTTTTGGTTTGTATGTAATATATTTGTATGTAATATATTTTTCCACCCCTTTCCTGTAAATTGATATGAGTCCTCACATGTTAGATGAGTCTCTTGAAGACAGCAGATATTTGGTTAGTGAATTTTTTTTTTTTATTCATTCTGCCATTCTGTACTTTTTAAGTGGAGCATTTAGGCCATTTACATTTAATGTTAATACTGAGATGTGGGGTACTGTTCTATTTATCATGTTAGTTGTTACCTAGCTACTTTTTTTCATTGTGTTATTGTTTTATAGGCCCTGTAAGATTTATACTTTATCTCCTGACCAACATGGTGAAACCCCATCTCTACTAAAAGTAAACAAAAAATTAGCCTTGCATGGTGGTGATCACCTCTAATCCCAGCTGCTTGGGAGGCTGAGTCAGGACAATCACTTGAACCTGGGAGGCAGAGGCTGTAGTGAGCCAAGATCATGTCATTGCACTCCAGCCTGGGCAACAATAATAAAACTCCATCTCAAAAAAAGAAAAAACTAGATTTATGCTTTATTAAGGTACCACTTTGGTGCATATAAACCTTTTGTCTCAAAATTTAGAACTCCTTTTAACATTTCCTGTTGTGCTGGTTTGGTAGTGGTGAATTTTCTCAGCATTTGTTTGTCTGAAAAAGACTTTATGTCTCCTTCATTTATGAAACTTAATTTGGCTGGATATACAAATCTTGACAGAATCATTTTCTTTTGGGAGGCTGAAGATAGGACTCTGATCTATTCTGGCTTCTAAAGTTTCTGTTGAGAAATCTGCTATTAGTTTGATAGATTTCACTTTAGAGGTTACCTGATGTTTTTGTCCCATAGCTCTTAAAATTATTTACTTTGTGTTGACTTCAGATAGCCTGATGACTATGTGCCTTGGTAATGATCTTTTTGGAATAGATTTCCCAGGGGTGCCTTGAATTTCTTGTATTTCATATCTGGATCTCTAGCAAGGCCAGGAAACTTTTTTTTCAATTATTTCTTTAATTTTTCAAGCACTTAAACTTCTCTTCTTCCTCAGGAACACCAATCATTCTAAGGTTTGGCCATTTAACATAATCCCATATTTCTTGAAGACTTGGTTTGTTTCTTTCGAATCTATTTTTTAACATTGATTAGAAGTTCTGACTGTTGTTTTCTTTATGATACATATCTCTCTGGTAAATTTTTTATTGTATTCTAATTTTTAAAATTTCTTTATGTTGGTTTTTGCCTTCCTCTAGTGGCTCCCTGAATAGCTTTATAATCAACCTTCTGAATTATTTATCTGATATTTCTTGGTTTGGATTAATTACTGTGGAGCTAGTGTAATCTTTTTGGGGTTTTATAGAACCCTGGTTTCTCACATTACCAGATTTACTTTTCTAGTTTCTTCTCATTTGTGTAGAATATTTCTTCAAATTGTTTTCGAATTTATTTTTGATTTGACCATATTTTATTTTTTTCCTCTTAAGGATCTGATTTTAGTGTTTGTAGTTTATCACAGCCTGATTTGTTTCTTGGTGCCATTAAGTGTGAATACTCTGTATGCATTTCTTAGTTATAGAGGGTCTTTGTGCACTGGCTTTCCCAGATGCTGGTTGTAGTAGTTACGTACTTGGTGTGTGGGCAAGTTCATTGTCTCCTATGGAGTTGGAATGGCAAGAATGTTCTAAAGCCTATCTCATTCTCCTATAGTGCACACAATTTTAAGTTATTTTCCCAGTATTTTATTTACTGAGTTGAAGATTCAAGATTCAGGTCAGTAGGGGAAGGATCCCTGGGTAGGCAATGGTTGTAGCTAAAGCAGGTAAGTTGATGTTGTACCCAATGGTTTTAAGCATTTGTAGACCTTGGTTTCAGTCCAAGCTTTGTCCCTACCTAATTTTGTGATTTTAAAAACGCTATATCACTTATCCATCTTTTAGTTTCATTACAGGTAAATGAGAAAATTGGTTTACATAATACTTGAGGTCTCTTCCGAGTGTAAAATTCTTTGATTTCATATTCATGCGCAAATCATCCAGTCTTGGATATGGAATAGGGAATTAGGCCCGAAGTTGTTTATTTTTAAGAAAGTTCACTTCCCTCCCACTTTCAAAGCATCAATGAGGAGAAAATCTTTTTAAAATGTTACTTATTTTATTTCATCCATATCTAATTACAAGGGCTAGTATTAAATTTTTAGGTTGCTGCACAACATCTGATTTATAGTAAGGCAGGTGTCAGCTTACTATTCTCCATAGCATAAAACTACAGGATAGTAGGAGAAACCAAGCAAACTTTTTGGGAGTGCAAATTAAGGCCTGACTTCAAAACTTCCACTTACATAAACAGAACTACCACTGCATGTGAAAAACTCTTATTTTTTTAATTATATGGTTGTATATGAAATACGATTCAGTGTGAGGCAGAAATGCAGTTAACTTTGGAGTAAATGTTCAGTCTAATGCAAAACAGATGATAGGTGTGAGTACTACTTAAACTCCTGATTCAAAGACATTAATATATTAATTAGGGAATAATTGCTGTATACACCAGACTAATACTATTTCTCAAGAGCACATCAACAAGTTTAGCAAACAGTGGCTTCTTGCTCTTAATCATCAATGCTCAAACACCCAGGAATCAAGCAGGACGTGGTTATGTTGATGCAGTAGGTGCTAAGAGAACTAAAAAGTCAAACAGCGAAATTTATCTTCATTCTACCAAATATATAAGTCGCTAGTCAATCAAGTGTCCAGAAATTTCAATCTCTAATGCTGTTATTTAAAATGAGAATCATCATAGGTACCAAAATAAGAAAAAATAAATAAAACCTATTATTTGATGAGCATAATAGGATTACTAGAATCAATAATAACTTAATTGCATGTTTTAGAGTTACTTAAATAATTTAACTTCATTGTAACACACAATAAATACTTTAGGAATGGATGGATACCTCATTCTCCATGATGTGTTTATTTGACTTTGCAAACTTGTATCAAAACATCTTATGCACGTTGTAAATATATACACTATATACACCTACTGTGTACCCACAAAAATTTTTAAAATATTAGGAATAATAAAATAAAATGAGAATAAAACATTTAAAAGAAGGGTTGACTGATACAGTTATACAGCTATCTATTCTAATAACTTATGTTCCCAAGTACTTTAAAAATTCCTTTGAGTCATTAGTATATAAGAGAGACAGGATCTAACTCTTTTCAAACTCACTAAATACAGAACAAAAGCAATGAGATTTACTTGTGAGGAAGAAGAATTGAGGAATAAAAATGATTCTACTCTGAACAGGTGAATTATGTAGATCATCTGTAGATTAAAAATAAAGGTGAACTACAATACCCTTGTCTGGAATCAACACATTACATTACTCTAATTAGATAATTCCCAAGATCTGTTGCAGATTAAGCAATTTATGATTAAAACTTGATGAAGAATAAGTGTCCCCTAGAAGGTTTCCCTAGGTCTTTTGTATTTTACTAACTTTCTTACAATTTCCAATACAAAGAATAGGAAGCTTACTCAGAACTCATTTTAACAAGATCAAAAACTAGGTATTAAACTAGCAAGAAAGCTTGCTCATTTGACCATCTAGCAGATTCCTTTTTCCAAAGTAATCATGTGATCTTGTGTAAAATCTTAACCTAGACTTCAGTTTCTTTCTCTGAAAAAAAGCAATGGGAGAGTGAACTATATTATTTTTAACAATTCTTCCAATTTTATATTGTATGACTACAACTAAGGGAGACACAAAAGGAAATAATTGGTTAGACTTTAAGAGATAAGCCTTAAAAAGTCATTTTAAAAAGCTATTGGAAGCAAAGTGGGAGGGAAAAATTGAGATCAGTCAGGTGGATTCTGAGAAATAAAATTGTGAAGGAAAACTACCAGAGAATTGGGAGAATCACTAGCTTGCAATATGTGTTTTCCAAACTCTCAGATTGCTTTCCTCATGCTGATCCCACAGATACACATTTCACAAACCCACAAAGCTCATCAAGCCCAGCTAGAAAGTGATTCTTGCTTACGGCTTTATATAAAAGCATAGTAAATGGTGCATTTTTTGGATAACATTACATAGTAAATTTTAACTAATTAGGTGTAATTGAAGATGAAGTAGGGGTGTGAAAGGAGAGGGCAGTTTGAACTAACATTTAGATGTCTAAATTACTGACCAGATTTAAAATATGGAAGTCTATTACTTTCAAGAGGATGTAAAAACTTTCATTAAGTTCACAAAGCTCTTTTTTATCAATCAAAATAAGTTGTGTCTGTCAGGTGCTACCTCTTCATTGTGAAGCCTTCTCTGATATCCCCCAGTCAGAAAGAAACATTTCTTTTTTTATTCTTTCACAGTGTATACCTATCCTCTATTAAGTACTTATGACATTCTATAGTATGGTACTGGAAAGTATTGACACTTGTGTCTCACTCACTAGATTGTAAATCCACTCTGTAGACTCTCTGGGTCAAGCAAAGTACCTTGTGAATATTGAGTATTAATTAGCAGATGTTAAATTGAATCAATTGGTAGAAATAAATCAGCTGATGCATGTTTACAAGAATAGACAATCAAGAGAATTAAGTGAGCAAGTTAATTCTATGTAACGATCCCAGCAGCTTTTAACATGGTCAAGGATGCCTAAAAACAGCTTATTCTCTTAGCTTTTATCTGTTCCATTCTGTACACCTCTGCCAATCTTGTTCATATAATAAATTTTCAGTATGAAGAGAAAGTTTGTCAAGAAAAGATACACTTTTCCAGAACCTCTGTCCATAATCATAAGTTTTGAATGAGCTCAAATTGAAGATTACACTATATAATGTAGATAGTCTCAGAATAAGCCATGTAATAACTAATATTTCCCTCATATGCTCTCAAGAAATGTAGAGTGCTTTGAAAACCTGTAGCTATTTCTTTAATGTTTAATGCTTTTTTTATGGTTTCCTAAGACACAGTTAGTTTCAATAACCGTATTGATTTTATAATAATACTAATAACACCACACAGATTCACAGCCGAATTCTACTAGATGTTCAAAGAAGATCTAGTATCATTCCTACTGAAACTATTCTAAAAAGTTGCTTTTATTACTTGCTTTTAATCTTTTGGGTATCCATTTTATGATATTAGATTTAAGCTAACCATGAGGCTTGCAAATACAATCTTACAACTCATTCAGCTGTAAGCTGATAACAACTTAATACTGTTTGCATAAAGAAGCAAAGAACAAAAATAAAAACTAATAAAAATTCTATACCTTAACCTTTCCCTCTGCTTTTTCACTTTTTGTTGTTTCTCTTTCTATCTTATTGTACTGTCTGTTCCTTGAAAAGTTGTTGTAGTTATTAATTTTAATTGGTTTATCCTTTAATCCTAATTGAGAGTAGTTTACACAGTATAGTTACAGTTTCATAATATTCTGTTTTTCTGTCTTCTTACTATTACCAGTGAGTTTTGTATCTTCATATAAATATCTTTTTTTTCTCATTAGCATCCTTTTCTTTTTTTCTTTCTGATTGAAGTACTCCCTTTAGCATTTCTTCTGTTCTTTTTTTTTTTTTTTTTTTTGAGATGGAGTCTTGCTCTGTCACCCAGGCTGGAGTGCAGTGGCACGACCTCATCTCACTGCAACTTCTGCCTCCTGGACTCAAGCCATTCTCCTGTCTCAGCCTCCCCAGTAGCTGTGATTACAGGTGTGCACCATCATTCCCAGCTAATTTTTGTACTTTTAGTAGAGACGGGGTTTCACCATGTTGGCCAGGCTAGTCTCGAATTCTTGACCTCATAATCCACCCAACTCAGCCTCCCAAAGTGCTGGGATTACAGCTGTGAGCCACAGCGCCCAGCATTTCTTGTAGGACACATCTGGTGTTGATGAAATCTCTCACCTTTGTTTGTCTGGGAAAGTCTTTATTTGTCCTTCATATTTGAAGAATATTTTCACGGGATATCCTATTCTAGAGTAAAAGATTTTTCCTTCAGCACTTTAAATATGTCATACCATTCTTTCTTGGCCTATAAGGTTTCCACTGAAAATCTGCTGCCAGATGTATTGAAGATCCATTTTATGTTATTTGTTTCTTTTCTTTTGCTGATTTTAGGATCCTTTTTTTTATCCTTGACATTTTGGAGTATGATTGTTAAATGCCTTGAAGTAGTCTTCTTTGTGTTAAGTCTTCTTGGTTTTCTTTAACCTTCTTGTGCTTGGATATTGATATATTTCTCTAAGTTTGGGATGTTCTCTTTTATTATCCCTTCGAATAAACTTTCTGCTTCTTTATCTTTCTCTACCTACTCTTTTAGGCCAATGACATTTAGATTTGCCTTTTTGAGGCTAGTTTCTAGATCTTGTAGGCATAGTTCATTTAATTGTTTTTGTCTCTCCTGACTGTGTATTGTTAAATAGCCTACCTTCAAACTCACTAATTCTTTCTTCTGATGAGGCTGATGCATTTTTCAGTATGTGAATTGCATCTTTCAGCTTAAGAATTTCTGCTTGATTCTTTTTGGTTATTTCGATCTCTATTAAATTTATCTAATAGAAGTCTGAAGTCCTTCTCCTTGTTTTCTTGAATTGCTTTGAGATTCCTCTAAACAGCTATTTTGAATTCTCTGTATGAAAGTTCACATATCTCTGTTTCTCCAAGATTGATTTCTGATGCCTAGTTAGTTTGTTCGTTTGTTTGGTGAGGTTGTGTTCCTGAATGGTCTTGATGCTTGAAGATGTTTATCACCATCCAGACATTAAAGAGTTAGGTATTTTTTGTAGTCTTCACAGTCTGGGCCTCTTTGTACCTGTCTTTCTTGGAAGTATTTCCACATATTTGAAAAGACTTGGGTGTTGTGTTCTTAGCCATATCTGCATTAGGGGGCACCCCAAGCCCAGTGACACTGTGGTTCTTGCAGACTCTTAGAGGTGACACCTTGATGATCTTAAGATCTAGAATAATTCTCTGCATTACCAGGCAGATACTCCTGTTTTATTTCCTTACTTTCTCCCAAACAAACAGTCTCTGCCTCTGTGCTGAGACACCTGAAGTTGGAGAATGGGAGACATAAGCACCCCTGTTACCACACCACTGGGACTGTGCTGGTTTTTACTTAAAGCCAGTACAGCCCTAGGTCTCACCCAAGGCCTGCTGTAACCATTACCTGGCTACCACTTATGCTTATTCAAGACCCTAGGACTATGCAATCAGCAGATGCTGAGGCAAGCAGAACTTATGTCTTTTACACCAAGGCAGTAAGTTTACCTGGGCCCTGGATATGTCCAGAGATGCCATCCAAGAGCTGGGTCTTGGAGTCAGAAACCTTAGAAATCTGTTTGGTGCTCTATTTTACTGTTTATGAGCTGACACCCAAACCACAAAATAAAGTCCTCACTTTCTTCTCTCCTTTCTCCAGGCAGTAGAGTCTCTTTTCATGTTCTTCAGCCAACAGGCCCAAGGAGAGTACTGCCAGGCTACTGCCAATGTTCACTCAAGTCTCAAGGGCTGTTCAGTCAACTTGGGGTGAATACTGATAGGCCTGCAGCTCACACTTCATGGCAGTGGCTTTTCTTCTGTTCAAGGGCAGTTCCAGAAACGCTGTCCTTAAGCCAATATATGGATTGAGCTCACCAAGAGCCCACTTGGTGGCTTAGGTGGTACCTAAGATGCAAGACAAAGGCCTCTTTACTTTTCCCTCTGCTTTTCTTAAGCAGAAGGAGTCTTTCACTGTAGCCACTACAGCTGGAAATGTGCTGGATCTCACCCGGAGCCAGCATAACTCAGATTCTCACCTAAGACCCGTGGCATACTACTTGAGTATTAGTGCTGGTTATTCAGGACCCAAGGGCTTTTTAGTCAACAGGTGATGAGTCCTGCTAAAAACTGGATTCTTCCCTTCAAGACATTGCTTTCTCTTCTAGCTCAAGTTGTGTCCAGAAATGTCATCTGGAAGCTGCAGCCTGGTATGGGGGCTTCACAACTCTGACTGTTACCCTGTCCTACTGTGGCTGAGCTGGTATTCAAAATAAAAGACAAAGTCCTCTTTACTCTTCCCTCTCCTCTACTCGAGCAGAAGGAAGGGATCTCTTTTGGTGCCATGAGATGTGCTGCCTGGGGTTCAAGAGGTGGCACAAGCCCTCCCTTAGCTGCCCTATCTGGTGTCTCAATAGTTCACATGCCTCTCAAGTATACTGGCTCTTAAGCACTGTTCAGCACTAGGACTTGTCTAGGATTTGCAGTTCTTGTGGCCCAGTCTGCCTTTCAAGTTTATTTGGAATCCCAGAGCACATTATCCCACAGTGGTAAGGCTTGCTGGAGCTCAAATTCTGACCACTGGGATGGCCAATACTCCTCTGCCTAGAGCTGGTCTAAATGCTCCCTCCATGGGCAAGCATCAGCTGAATTCAGCCTGCTTTTGTTTTTTGCTGTGACAGAGCAGCACTGAATTTAATGCAAAGTCTCACAAGCACTGTGTTCTCCCTCTACCAAGCTCACAGATTCACTCTCCACGCCTGAATTTTGGTTCTTATGAAGGTGCTTTTTTGTACTGAGAATTATTAAATTTGGTGTTCTTGTGGGAGGGCATGATCAGAGGATCTTTCTATTGCTCTGTTCCTTCCCATTTTTTTGAATTGTTACATAGTATTCTACAAAGAAGATAGTCTATTATTTATTTAGCTAGTTTTATATTCATGAACATTTAAGTTGTTGCCAATCTTTTACTTTTTCAACCAGAGCTATCATAAGCACCTTTGTACCTTTCTCACTGTGTACATGCATATGTTTTTCTTCTGAAAAGATGTCCATAAATGGAATTTCTGCATTGAAAACTTGTGCATTTTTCCTTGCAATAGGTACTTTCAAAATGCCCTTCACTAAAATTGTACTAACTTACACTGTCATCAATAGCCAATGATAGTACCAGTTTTTTAAAGTGAGGCAATATTGAGTTTGTTAACTTGTGTATAGGCAGTGATATGGTTTGGCTTTGTCCCCACCCTAATCTCATCTTGAATTGTAGCTCCCATAATTCCCATGTGTTGTGGGAGGGACCCAGTAGGAGATAATTGAATCATGGAACAGTTTCCTCCATACTGTTCTCAGGGTAGTGAATAAGTCTCATAAGATCTGATGGATTTATAAGGACAAACCCCTTTCACTTGGCCCTCATTCTTTCTTGCCTGCTGCCATGTAAGATGTGCCTTTTGCCTTCCACCATGATTGTGAAGCCTCCCCAACCACATGGAACTCTGGGTCCATTAAACCTATTTTTTCTTTATAAATTTCTTAGTCTCAGGTATGTACCTCTCAGAAGTACTGAAATTTAGTTTCTCTGTATCTCCACTGCTGAAATTCCTAGGCTTGAAGAAATGAGAATGAACACAGTCCTAAAAAAAAGTAAAATTTTACTCTTATGTAAATAATATTGTAGAGTTCATATATGAGAACCTTTTTAAATTTGCTCATGCCTATAATTGCAACACTTTGGAAGACTGAGGCGAGTGGATCAATTGTGGTCAGGAGTTTGAGAGCCAGGCTAACATGGTGAAACTATGTCTCTACTAAAGATACAAAAATTAGCCAAGCATAGTGGTGAATGCCAGTAATCCCAGTTACTTGGCAGGCTGAGGCAGGAGAATACCTTGAACATGGCAGAGGTTGCAGTGAGCTGAAATCGCGCCACTGCCCTTTGGCCTGAGTGACAGAGTGAGACTCTGGCTCGATAAATAAATAAATAAATAAAAATTTGTCTGTATTGTTTTACTCAGTGTGGTAAAGTTCTATAGGTTTTGACAAATGCATAAGGTCATCTATCTACCATTATAGTACAATACAGAAGAGTTTCACCACCCTAAACATACTTTATTCTTCATTATTTATCACTCACTCCTGGCAATCACTATTTTTTTCCCCAGACAAGGGAGTACAGTTTTGAACTTCTGGGCTCACCAAACCTCTCACCTTGTTTTCCCAAAGTGCTGGATTACTTTTAGCTTGTTGTTATATATTTTCAGTTTTATAAAAAAGTTGCATAAATTGTTTAAAAATCCCATATGACCCTTAACCCCTATCTTCCAAATGTGAGCATTTTACCATCTTTATTATTAATTCTCCACTCCTCCACATACACATACATCTTTCTTTTGAAATATGTGAAACTTGTAGACATGAGTTTTTTCCCCTAAATCCTCCAGTGAATATTTCCTGAAAACAAGGGTATTCTAAGAGAACTATTGTTTAAATGACTTATAGCATTTAATAAATTACATAGCAGTTAAAACAAATGAAATAGATCTGTGTGTGGTGGCTTTCATGGCCAACTGCAAAAAAAAATTGTAAAATAGTATTATACCATTTTTTAAAATCATGATTTACAAAAAAACGTTTATTTTTCTGGAGAACAGAATTATGAATGATTTTTACTTTTTACAAAATCTATGTCTGAAACTGTTGAATTTGTTTTTTTAAATTATTAAACTTTATGTTCTAGGATACATGTGGAGAACATGCAGGTTTGTTACATAGGTATATACGTGCCATGGTGGTTTGCTGTACCCATCAATTCATCATCTAAATTAGGTATTTCACCTAATGCTATCCCTTCCCTACACCCCCAACCCCCAACAGCCCCAGTGTGTGATGTTCCCCTCCTTGTGTCCATGTGTTCCCATTGTTCAACTCCCACTTATGAGTGAGAACATGTGGTGTTTGGTTTTCTGTTCCTGTGTTAGTTTGCTGAGACTGATGGTTTTCAGCTTCATCCATGTACCTGCAAAGGACATGAACTCATCCTTTTTTATGGTTGCATCATATTCTATGGTGTGTATGTGCCACATTTTCTTTATCCAGTCTATCATTGATGGGCATTTAGGTTGGTTCTAAGTCTTTGCTATTGTGAACAGTGTGACAATAAACATACCTGTGCATGTGTCTTTATAGTAGGATGATTTATAATCCTTTGGGTGTATACCCAGTAAATTGCTGGGTCAAATGGTATTCTAGTTCTAGATACCTGAGAAATTGCCACACTGTCTTCCACAATGGTTGAACTAATTTATACTCCCATCAACCGTGTAAAAGAGTTCCTATTTCTCCACATCCTCTCCAGCATCTGTTGTTTCCTGACTTTTTAATCTTCGCCTTTCTAACTGGCATGAGATGGTATCTCATTGTGGTTTTGATTTGCATTTCTCTAATGACCAGTGATGATGAGCTTTTTTGCATATATTTGTTGGCCACATAAATGTCTTCTTTTGAGATATGCCTGTTTATATCCTTCACCCACTTTTTGGTGAAGTTGCTTGTTTTCTTCTTGTAAATGTGTTTAAGTTCCTTGTAGATTCTGAATATTAGCCCTTTGTCAGATGGGTAGATTGCAAAGATTTTCTCCCATTCTGTAGGTTGCCTGTTTATTCTGATGATAGTTTCTTTTTGCTGTGCAGAAGCTCTTTAGTTTAATTAGATCTTATTTGTCAATTTTGGCTTTCATTGCCATTGCTTTTGTTATTTTAGTCATGAAGTCTTTGCCCATGTCTATTTCCTGAATGGTAATGCCTAGGTTTTCTTCTAGGGTTTTTATGGTTTTAGGTCTTAGGTTTAAGTCTTTAATTCATCTTGAGTTAATTTTTGTATAAGGTGTATGGAAGGGGTCCAGTTTCAGTTTTCTGCATGTGGCTAGCCAGTTGTCCCAGCACCATTTATTAAATACGGAATTTTTTCCCCATTGCTTGTTTTTGTCAGGTTTGTCAAAGATCAGATAGTTGTAAATGTGTGGCATTATTTCTGAGGCCTCTGTTCTGTTCCATTGGTCTATATCTCTGTTTTGTTACCAGTACCATGCTGTTTCGGTTACCGTAGCCTTGTGGTATACTTTGAAGTCAGGTAGCGTGATGCCTCTAACTTTGTTCTTTTTGTTCAGGATTGTCTTGGCTATGTAGGCTCTTTTTTGGTTCCATATGAAATTTAAAGTAGTTTTTTCTAATTCTGTGAAGAAAGTCAATGGTAGCTTGATGGGGAGAGCATTAAATCTATAAATTACTTTAGGAAGTATGGCCATTTTCACAACCTTGAGCAGTGGTTTGTAGTTCTCCCTGAAGAGGTCCTTAACATCCCTTGAAAGTTGTATTCCTAGGTATTTTATTCTCTTTGTAGCAAGTGTGAATGAGAGTTCACTCATGATTTGGCTCTCTGTTTGTCTGTTATTGGTGTATAAGAATGCTTGTGATTTTTGCACATTGATTTTGTATCATGAGACTTTGCTGAAGTTGCTTATGAGCTTAAGGAGATTTTGGGCTGAGATTTTGGGGTTTTCTATATAGACACTCATGTCATCTGCAAACAGAGACAATTTGACTTCCTCTCTTCCTATTAGAATCTTTTATTTCTTTCTCTTGCCTGATTGCCCTGGCCAGAACTTGCAATACTATGTTGAATAGGAGGGATGAGAGAGGTCATCTTTGTCTTGTGCTGGTTTTCAAAGGGAATGCTTCCAGCTGTTGCCCATTCAGTATGATATCGGCTGTGGGTTTGTCATAAATAGCTCTAATTATTTTGAGATATGTTCTATCAATACCTGGTTTATTGAGAGTTTTTAGCAAGAAGGGGTGTTGAATTCTGTTGAAGGCCTTTCCTCCATCTATTGAGATAATCATGTAGTTTTTGTCATTGGCACTGTTTATGTGATGGATTACATTTATTGATTTGCATGTGTTGAATCAGCCTTGCAACCAAGGGATGAAGCCAACTTGAGCGTGGTGGATAAGTTTTGTGATGTGCTGCTGCATTCAGTTTGCTAGTATTTTATTGAGGATTTTCGCACTGATGTTCTTCAGGGATATTGGCCTGAAGTTTTTGGGTTTTGTTGTTATTGTTGTTGTTGTTGTTGTTCTTGTTGTTCTTGTTGTTTCTCTGCCAGGTTTTGGAATCAAGATGATCCTGGCCTAATAAAATGAGTTAGGGAGAATTCCCTCCTTTTCTATTGTTTGGAATAGTTGCAGAAGGAATGGTACCAGCTCTTTTTTGTAACTCTGGTAGAATTTGGCTCTGAATTCATCTGATCCTAGGCTTTTTTAGGTTGGTGGGCTATTAATTACTACCTCAATTTCAGAACTTTTTATTGGTCTATTCAGGGATTCAACTTCTTCCTGGGTTAGTCTTTGGAGGGTGTATGTGTCCAGGAATATATCCATTTCTTCTAGATTTTCTAGTTTATTTGAATAGAGGTGTTTATAGTATTCTCTGATGGTAGTTTGTATTTCTGTCGGGTCAGTGGTGATATCCCCTTTATCGTTTTTTATTGTGTCTATTTTATTCTTCTCTCTTTTCTTCTTTATTAGTCTCACTAGTGGTCTATTTTGTTAATCTTTTCAAAAAACCAGCTCCTGGATTCATTGATTATTTGAAGGGATTTTCGTGTCTCTGTCTTCTTCAGTTCTGCTCTGATGTTAGTTATTTCTTGATTTCTGCTAGCTTTTGAATTTGTTTGTTCTTGCTTCTCTAGTTTTTTAAATTGTGATGTTAGGGTGTTGATTTTAGATCTTTCCCACTTTCTCCTGTGGGCATTTAGTGCTATAAATTTCCCTCTTAACACTGCTTTAGCTGTGTCCCAGAGATTCTGGTACGTTGTGTCTTTGTTCGCATTGGTTTTAAATAATTTATTTATTTCTGCTTAATTTTTTTATGTACCCAGTAGTCATTTAGGAGCAGGCTTTTCAATTTGCATGTAATTGTGAAGTTTTGAGTGAGTTTCTTAATTCTGAGTTCTGACTTGATTGCACTGTGGTCTGAGAGATCGTTTGTTATGATTTCTGTTATTTTGCATTTGCTGAGGAGTGTTTTCCTTCCAATTATGTGGTTAATTTTAGAATCAGTGTGATGTGGTGGTGAGAAAAATGTATATTCTGTTGATTTGGGGTGGAGAGTTCTGTAGATGTCTATTAGCTTCACTTGGTCCAGAGCTGAGTTCAAGTCCTGAATATCCTTGTTAATTTTGTGTCTCGTTGATCTGTCTAATATTGACAGTAAGGCATAAAAATTTCCCACTGTTGTTGTGTGGGAGTCTAAGTCTCTTTTCAGGTGTCAAAGAACTTGGTTTATGAATCTGGGTGCTTTTGTATTGGGTGCATATATATTTAGGAGAGTTAGCTCTTCTTGTTGCATTGATCCCTTTACCATTATGTAACGCCCTTCTTTGTCTTTTTTGATCTTTGTTGGTTTAAAGTTTGTTTTATCAGAGACTAGGATTGCAACCTCTGCTTTTTTTTTCTTTCCATTTGCTTGGTAAATCTTCTTCCCTCCCTTTATTTTGAGCCTATGTATGTCTTTGCACATGAGATGGGTCTCCTGAATACAACACACTGATGGCTCTTGACTCTTTATCCAATTTTCCAGTCTGTGTCTTTTAATTGAGGCATTTAGCCCACTTACATTTAAGGTTAATATTGTTACATGTGAATTTGATCCTGTCATTATGATGCTAGCGGGTTATTTTTCCCCTTAGTTGATGCAGTTTCTTCATAGTGTTGATGGTCTTTACAATTTGGTATATTTTTGCAGTGGCTGGTATCATAGTTTTTTCTTTTTTTCCATGTTTAGTGCTTCCTTCAGGAGCTCTTGGTGACAGAAACCCTCATCATTTGCTTGTCTGTAAAGGATTTTATTTCTCCTTCACTTATGAAGCTTAGTTTGGCTGAATATTAAATTCTGGGTTGAAATTTTTTTTTAAGAATGTTGAATATTGGCCCCACTCTCTTCTGGCTTATAGGGTTTCTGCAGAGAGATCTGCTGTTAGTCTCATGGGCACCCCTTCATGGGTAACCCGACCTTTCTCTCTGGCTAACCTTAACATGTTTTCCTTCATTTCAACCTTGGTGAATCTGACGATTGTGTCTTGGAGTTGCTTTTCTCGAGGAATATCTCTGTGGTGTTCTCTTTATTTCCTGAATGTAAATATTGGCCTGTCTTCTGGGTTGAAGAAGTTCTCATGGATAATATCCTGAAGAGTGATTTCCAGCTTGGCTCCATTCTCCTCATCACTTTCAGATACACCAATCAAACATAGGTTTTGTCTTTCCAAATAGTCCCATATTTCTTGGAGGCTTTCTTCATTCCTTTTTATTCTTTTATCTCTAATGTTGTCTTCAGGCTTCATTTCATTAAGTTTATCTTAAATCTCTGATATCCTTTCTTCCACTTGATCTATTATGCTATTGGTAGAAACTGTTGAATTCTTATAACAAACATGTATTGCCTTTTTAATAAAGTGAAACAATAATAAAATTTGAAAATATTTCTTTGATAAAAATGACAATACTGTTTTTCCACAAATTGTTTTCACTAATTGGAAATAAGCATACTCTTTTCAATAAAGGAAGCTGAAAAACATTTACTAAAAAGCATTTTATTATAAGTTGTTTCTAGATACTTTACTCTTGATGATTGTAATTAAATTTTACTTTATTTTATAATTATAGTTGCTTCTTTATTTAGACTAACATTTCCCCAATTAGTATAGGTAAAGAAGTTTGGGTCATACAATGTGCCTTCTATCATCACCAAGCTATTTCTCTAACATTATCTTATTACACTGACAATTTTTACATATTGAGAAAGCTTAAGCACAAAATAAAGTTTTGATTGAGAACTAATGTAGACCTGAAAACAACTTCCAGAAGATGGGCTGATAACAACTACTACTACTAACATTTATATATTACTCTTTTAGTTTACTAAATAGACAAACAAGCAAACTAAGGCTTGGAGAGATTGAATTACTATTAAAGGGGGGATCAGATACCTAAGGTTTTATTACTATGTAAACTCTTTTCAACTTGACAGAGGAAGGTGGAGAGACTTCTTGGTGGTAGAAAGCAGCACCTGGCATTTTCCTGGCTCCACTCAGTTCTTATTGGTAGAAGATGACTAGCTTCTGCTGTTGCTGCTGTGTCTCTGCCACTCTAGAGAGAGGCACCAGGGCATGAAAAGAGCTTGTAGATCTTTAGAGTCAGCAGGATGGTACTGCTGTTTCCCAGTAGTGTGTTATAGTGATGAGCTATACAGGCTCCTAGGCAAAATCTCAAAAACATTTTATTTGGAACTTGACAGATTCTGAAAATTTATGTGGAAGAATAAAGACCTAAGAATGTCTTAGGCAATTCTGAGAAAAGAACAAGGAGAAGGGATCTTGTCCTAGCTAATATACAAAAACTTATAATGAAGTTCTGGCAATTGAAATATTGTGATATTATCATAGACATACCCAAATAAATCAGTGGAATGAAAAAGAGAGACTAGAAGCAGATCCACACATATATAAGAACATACAATATGGGAGAGGTGTTGTTATATAAATAAGTGTACAAAAATTGTTTCAAGATAATTGACTATTCTTGCAGGCAAAAGATAATTAAATAATATGCACAAACATACATTTCGGATAGATTGAATATTTGAGTCCATTTATTAATTTATTTAACACATACGTATTATGTACCTACATGTGCCATAAACTGTTCTAGGTACTGAGGAATTAGTGAAATAAACAAAGTCACCAGCTTAATAAAGTTTGAAGAAGACAGACAAAAAATACGACAAGTAAATTTAATATATATAAAATGATATGGAAAACAAAGCTATAAAGGGATTAGTGAGTACCAGAGTGAAGGTGGGAGCATATTAAACAGTGTTCCTAGCATCATTGTCAATAACAGTGACAAACTAGGACCAATCTAACTCTTCATCAATAGGGGAATATAGTAGTAGTGATATCGCCAATCAACAGAATACTACACAGCAGGTAAAAGTGAATGAACTCTAACTCTTTGTATCAACGGATGTAAAACATTGAATTAAAAAGCAAGTATTAATAGAACAATGTTTACAGCATAATATCATTCATGTAATTTTAACAACAAAACAATTCTACATGCTACATTTGAATATATAACTATCTATAAATTATAGAAACATTGCGTGAAAGGATACATATTAAATCCAGGATAATGTCCACTTCTATGGAGTGAGTTATTCAAGAACGAGAATGGAGATGGAAAAAAAGACTTTTATAATAATGTCCACTTTTATTTACAAACAAAAAGACAGTCTCTTGAGTCAAACCAAGGTTCAAGTTCAGATTTGTACTTTACAGCTCTCTAATCTTACACAATTTACTAATGTTCCTATGCTTTGTTCCCTCATTTGTAAAATAGGGATATTGATAATACATATCTCTGAACCATATTGAGGTGATTAAAAGAAACACTGATTTTAAAACATCCCGCATGATAAACTGTGTGCATTTTAATTATTTATTATAATTACCTTCGGCAAATTCCTGAGACACAGATTCACAAACTGTAAATGAGGGATGATGACACCACACAGATTGTTATGAGAATTAGATGACATAAAGGATGTAAATTGCCTTATAAACTTTATACATGTTCTAGCAATGTTATTATTATTATTACATGATTGACATAACTTCTGTCTCAAGTATAGCCCTGATTTTATCTTCAAGGTCTAATGCAGACAAATCTGATGCAATTATTAAGACAGAACTACTGACAAATCTCTGAAACAAATGTGACTGTTCTTTGAAGGCAGATGTAATAGGGTGTCTAAACAATAGATTGAGTCTGGTTCATGTAACTTTGGAAATAGCCACTCATCTACTGAACCAGTAAAGTAAATGACTTATGCTAGGAGTAGGAAAAAGCTGATGTCATTCATTTCGCTACCACTATAAAACAAGATGTAATAGAACAACCTCTTGATGGTATTGGTTAAATTTTTATATTTGGGGAAAGTGAAATGGTCCTTCTCAATGTGATTTCATATGGCAAATGTCTCTTTGTATTCTGTTAACTAAAATGTAAGAACACAGAGATCTTCTACTTTAGTATTATGATTATTACCCTTCCTAAAATCAATAAACACTTTGTGACCAACGGATTGATGACCGTGAGTGGGGGATATTATTAATTACACAAGAATCCAATACTTCACTCTCTTCCTCTGTCTTTGTGATCTCACGAAATCTTAAACTTTAATTGTATCCTGTTGAGATCCCAGGCAGAGCATAAAAAGAACAGGTAATATCTAACTGTAGAATGATATCTTCATAAGCTAAAATGAAACAGAAAACACTACAGAATTGCCTAATACTAAGAGTCATTACTTACAGCAACAATGAAACCCCAGTCCCTTTTGGAAATATGACACTCCTCCTGAGATTCTTAGCATTCTGCTTCACTTGCTTATTCAGATCATTTTTTAGAATGAAGAGTCTATGAGAATGAATAAGTGCCTGCCTCTGTAAATGGGGCCAGTATTTTAGCCACTCAGGACACTGGTTTAGCAGAGGCTGGATACTCAACTAAAGCTGGAAGCCTGTAGGAAAGAGGCTATAGATTCAGAGCATTTTATTTTTAGAAGAGTTAAGAGCAGAAGTAGGGGAGAGAATAGAACTTTGGAATAGAAAGGGTGTGTCATCTCAAAGCAATACTAAAGGGATGAATGAGGAATGGCAGAAAAGTGATGAAAGAGGAGGTTAAAACTGAGACTTTGAGATAATGAAAGCCCTTTTTAGAAGGAAAGTAGTAAAGTTTAAAAAAAATCTGGGCCCGGGAGCGTTGGCTCACACCTGTAATCCCAGCACTTTGGGAGGCCGAGATGGGTGCATCACAAGGTCAAGAGATCGAGACCATCCTGGCCAATACGGTGAAACCCCGTTTCTACTAAAAATACAAAAACTAGCTGGGCATGGTGACATGTACCTGTAGTTCCAGCTACTCGGGAGGCTAAGGCAGGAGGATCACTTGAACCCAGGAGGCAGAGGTTGCAGTGAGCAGAGATTGTGCCACTACACTCCAGCCTGGATGACAGAGGAAGACTCTGTCAAAATAAATAAATAAAATCCCCTGGGCCAGGTGCAGTGGCTCACACCTGTAACCCCAGCACTTTGGGAGGCCGAGGTGGGTGGATCACTTGAGGTCAGGAGTTCGAGACCAGCCTGGCCAACATGGTGAAACCCTATTTCTAATAAAAATACAAAAATTAGCTGGGTGTGGTGGCATGCACCTGTAATCCCAGTTACTCGGGAGGCAAAGACAGGAGAACTGCTTGAGCCTGGGAGGCAGAGGTTGCAGTGAGCCAAGATTGAGCCACTGCCCTCAAGCCCAGGCCACAGAGCAAGACTCCATCTCAAAACAAACAAACAAACCAACAAGCAAAAAAACTGGATTCCTTGAAATTTCAGAATGCAATATAATCACTCAATTTTGTTTATATTTTATTAGCTCCAAATTTTCTGATGGTGACTGATATGATTTGGATGTCCCGCCCAAATTTTATGTTAAATTGTAATCCCCAGTGTTGGAGGTGGGGCTTGGTAGGAGGTGTTTGGATCCTGGGAACAGATCCCCTGTGAATGACTTGGGCTGTTCCTTGGTGATAAATCAGCCCTAGCTCTGAATTCTCACAAGATCTGGTCATTTTAAAGTGTGTGGCACCTTCCCTCCACTCTCTCTCCATCTCTCTCTCTCATTCCTGTTCTCACCATGTAATGTGCCTGCCCCACACCCCTTTGCCTTGCATCACGGTTGGAAGCTTCTTGAGGCATTCTCAGAAGCAGATGCCACTATGTTTCCTGTAGATTCTGCAGAACTGTGAGCCAATTAAGCCTCTTTACTTACAAATTAGTCAGTCTTAGGTATTTCTTTATAGCAATGCAAGAACAACCTTATATAATGACCCCGAGTTATTTATAAATTTCAGAAATAAGCAAACTGATTATCTGTATATATACATATACATATTGTTGCCACAAGTGGAAGTTACCAGTAGAGAAATTATGAGTCAATAACAAATTTCCAATAACATGTGAGAGACTCAAATAAAAAGCATACATCTGACAATAATGTGTTACAGAATTTAGAGGGTTTCAAAAAGCCATTCAACAGCCTTGAAGAGTTAGAAGACATGAAGTCCTCGAATTAAGAGCAAAACATCACAGAGAGAGACAGCTAAACTAAGTCCTAGCTCTTCCCCTTTGTAACTTTGTCACCTTGGGCAAATCACTTATTTTTTCTGGGTTTCAGTTTCCTGATTTGTAAAATGAGTGGATTTGATCCTACTGCTCTTCAAGTCTTACATGTACCCTAGAACTTAAAGTATAATTAAAAAAAGAGAAAATAAACATATTCATTCAATGCACAATGAAAAAAAAAGAAGAACAAAAAGAGGCTTTGAGATCAATCAGATACAAGATCACTTTTTGTATTTCTAATCTCATAAGATTTAAAAATGGCCATGGCTTAAATAGACTAATTTATACACTGAATGCATTTGAGCCCCTGCCATAGGGTAAATCCTAACCATCCTGGAAGTGGTGAAAATGAACAAAGAGCTAAGCATATAAAATCCATTCAGCCAATGGAAGCTGCTATTGTTATTACGATTTACTTCTTTCTTTCTATTAACTCCTACATACAGGTTTTAATCAAAATTAAGAAAGTACTTTCTAAAACTTAGAAATTTTCATTTGGGGAGTGAGCTTCTTGTCAACCCGCACAAAGTGTGAGCTTCTTGTCATCAAGACATAGAAGTCAAAGGAGACCCTTACATTGGGTTGAGGTTATAAATTAAAAGACCAATAATGTACTTTTGACTTAATAAGCCGTTAACATTTTGAAAATCAAGTTTAGCTACATCATCGCTCTTTCCCTTTCCAGTAATCAAAATGAATACTTTCTAGCTCTTGTATAGAACTGATTGGGGAACACGGAAGGAAACCACCTTAGATCTGCATATGCTGCAGGACGTGAATACTCAGTTGTGTTCCTCATTGTCTTAAAATTTATTTTGTCAGATTGTAAAATGGCAGTGAGAGCAAGATAATATGTGAGAGATTGAGCAAACTAACTCAAAAGGTAGAATTCAAAAAAATGTTGACATGAAACATCATATCACCTTAATGTTATTCCTTTGAAGTGATCATATTCTTAAACTATTGCTTTTTCAGCTGCCTCTCTCGTTTTTTGTCACCCTTGTTTAATATTAATCTAATATCTACAATGTGCTAAGCTCTGAATAAAAGTATGAAAAAGCTAGAGCTCTGTGTTAAAAAACAAGATGGGCAAAAATAGGCCAGCCATTTGTTAAGTATGGCGTGGGATAAGATTCACATCCATTTTGAATGTCTATTGTCTTATAAAGTGGCACAAATACTATTACCTAACTCACAGGGCTACTATGAGAATGAAGTAAGATAATGAGTATGAAACACTTAGCAGCTTCTGACACATAGGGCTTGGTAAAAGTGAGCCATTAATGTTTTTTTCTTTGTTTGTTTTGTTTTGTTTTTTTTTTCAGTTAGAAGGACCAAAGGTTTTGTTCATTTATTTATTTATTTATCTGTTGTTAATTCTTTTTTTTTAATATACTTTAAGTTCTTGGGTACATGTGCACAACCTGCAGGTTTGTTACATATGTATACATGGGCCATGTTGGTTTGCTGCACCCATCAACTCGTCATTTACATTAGGTATTTCTCCTAATGCTATCCATCCCCCGGCCCCCAGCCCCCAATGGGCCCCGGTGTGTGATGTTCCCCATCCTGTGTCCCAGTGTTCTCATAGTTCAATTCCCAACTGTGAGTGACAACATGCGGTGTTCGGTTTTCTGTCCTTGTTATAGTTTGCTGAGAATGATGGTTTCCAGCTTCATCCATGTCCCTGCAAAGGACAAGAACTTGTCCTTTTCTATGGCTGCATAGTATTCTCTGGTGTATATGTGCCATATTTTCTTAATCCAGTCTATCACTTACAGACATTTGGGTTGGTTCCAAGTCTTTTCTATTGTGAATAGTGCCACAATAAACATACATATGCATGTGTCTTTATAGCAGCACAATTTATAATCCTTTGCATATATACCCAGTAATGGGATCACTGGGTCAAATGGTATTTCTAATTCTAGATCCTTGAGGAATTGCCATACTCTTCCACAATGGTGGAACTAATTTACAGTCCCATCAACTGTGTAAAAGTGTTCCTATTTCTCCACATCCTCACCAGCAACTGTTGTTTCCTGACTTTTTAATGATCACCATTCTAACTGGTGTGAGATGATGTCTCATTGCGGTTTTGATTTTCATTTCTCTGATGACCAGTGATGATGAGCATTTTTTCATGTGTCTGTTGGCTGCATAAATGTCTTCTTTTGTGAAGTGTCTCTTCATATCCTTTGCCCACTTTTTGATGGGGTTGTTTTTTTCTTCTAAATTTGTTTGAGTTTTTTGTAGATTCTGGATATTAGCCCTTCATCAGATGGGTAGATGGCAAAAATTTTCTCCTATTTTGTAGATTTCCTGTACATTCTGATGGTAATTTCTTTTGCCGTGCAGGAGCTCTTTAGTTTAATTAGATCCCATTTGTCAATTTTGGCTTTTGTTCTCATTGCTTTTGGTGGTTTAATCATGAAGTCCTTGCCTATGCCTATGTCCTGAATGGTATTGCCTAGGTATTCTTGTAGAGTTTTTATGGTTTTAGGTCTAACATTTAAGTCTTTAATCCACCTTGAATTAATTTTTGTATAAGGTGTAAGGAAAGGATCCAGTTTCAGCTTTCTACATATGGCTAGCCAGTTTTCCCAGCACCATTTATTAAATAGGCAATCCTTTCCCTGTTTCTTGTTTTTGTCAGGTTTGTCAAAGATCAGATGATTGTAGATGTGTGGTGTTATTTCTGAGCCCTTGTTTTGTTCCAGTGGTCTATATCTCTGTTTTGGTACCAGTACCATGCTGTTTTGGTTACTGTAGCCTTGTAGTATAGTTTGAAGTCAGGTAGCGTGATGCCTCCAGCTTTGCTCTTTTTCCTTGGGATTGTCTTGGCAATGCGGGCTCTTTTTTGGTTCCATATAAAATTTAAAGTAGTTTTTTTCCAATTCTGTGAAGAAAGTCATTGGTAGCTTGATGGGGATGGCATTGAATCTATAAATTACTTTCAGCAGTATGGACATTTTCATGATGTTGATTCTTCCTATCCGTGAGCGTGGAATGTTCTTCTATTTCTTTGTGTCCTATTTTATTTCACTGAGCAGTGGTTTGTAGTCCTCCTTGAAGAGGTCCTTCACATCCCTTGTACGTTGGATTCCTAGGTATTTTATTCTCTTTGTAGCAATTGTGAATGGGAGTTCACTCATGATTTGGCTCTCTGTTTGCCTGTTATTGGTGTGTAGGAATACTTGTGATTTTTGCACATTGATTTTGTATCCTGAGACTTTGCTGAAGTTGCTTATCAGCTTAAGGAGATTTGGGGCTGAGACGATGGGGTTTTCTAAATATACAATCATGTCATCTGCAAACAGAGACAATTTGACTTCCTCTTTTCCTAATTAAATACTCTTTATTTCTTTCTCTTGCCTGATTGCCCTGTCCAGAACATCCAACACTATGTTGAATACGAGTGGTGAGAGAGGGCATCCTTGTCTAGTGTTGGTTTTCAAAGGGAATGCTTCCAGTTTTTGCCCATTCAGCATGATATTGGCTGTGGGTTTGTCATAAATAGCTCTTCTTATTTTGAGATACATTCCATCAAACCTAGTTTATTGAGAGTTTTTAGCATGAAGGGCTGTTGAATTTTGTCGAAGGCCTATTCTGCATCTATTGAGATAATCATGTAGTTTTTGTCATTGGTTCTGTTTATGTGGTGGATTACATTTATTCATTTGCATATGTTGAACCAGCCTTGCATCCCAGGTATGAAGCCAACTCGATCATGGTGTATAAGCTTTTTGATGTGTTGTTGGATTCAGTTTGCCAGAATTTTGTTGAGGATTTTCACATTGATGTTCATCAAGGATGTTGGTCTAAAATTTTCTTTTTTTGTTGTGTCTCTGCCAGGTTTTGGTATCAGGATGATGCTGGCTTCATAAAATGAGTTAGGGAGGATTCCTTCTTTTTCTATTGATCGGAATAATTTCAGAAGGAATGGTACCAGCTCCTCTTTGTACCTCTGGTAGAATTCAGCTGTGAATCCATCTGGTCCTGGGCTTTTTTTGCTTGGTAGGCTATTAATTATTGCCTCAATTTCAGAACCTGTTATTGGTCTATTCAGAGATTCAACTTCTTCCTGGTTTATTCTTGGGAGGGGTTGGGTGTCCAGGAATTTATCCATTTCTTCTAGATTTTCTAGTTTATTTGCATAGAGTTGTTTACAGTATTCTCTGATGGTAGTTTTTATTTCTGTGGGATCAGTGGTGATAGCCCTTTTATCATTTTCATTGCATCTACTTGATTGCTCTCTCTTTTTTATTAGTCTTGTTAGCGGTCTATCAATTTTGTTGACCTTTTCAAAACACCAGCTCCTGGATTCATTTATTTTTGAAGGTTTTCTTGTGTCTTTATCTCCTTCAATTCTGCTCTGATCTTAGTTATTTCTTGCCTTCTGCCTTCTGCTAGTTTTTGAATGTGTTTGCTCTTGCTTCTCTAGTTCTTTTAATTGTGATGTTAGCTTGTCAATTTTACATCTTTCCTTCTGTCTCTTGTGGGCATTTAGTGTTGTAAATTTCCCTCTACACACTGCTTTAAATGTGTCCCATAGATTCTGGTATGTTGTGTCTTTGTTCTCATTGGTTTCAAAGAAAATCTTTATTTCTGCCTTCATTTCGTTATTTACCCATTAGTCATTTAGGAGCAGGTTGTTCAGTTTCCATGTAGTTGTGTGGTTTTGAGTGAGTTTCTTAATCCTGAGTTCTAATTTGATTGCACTGTGTTCTGAGAGACAGTTTGTTGTGATTTCTGTTCTTTCACATTTTCTGAGGAGTGCTTTACTTCCAATTATGTGGTCAATTTTAGATTAAGTGCGAGATGGTGCTGAGAAGAATGAATATTTTGTTGATTTGTGGTAGAGAGTTCTGTAGATGTCTATTATGCCTGCTTGGTCCAGAGCTGAGTTTAAGTCCTGCATGTCTTGTTAACCTTCTGTCTTGTTGATCCGTCTAATATTGACAATGGGGTGTTAAAGTCTCCCATTATTATTGTGTGGGAGTCTAAGTCTCTTTGTAAGTCTTTAAGGACTTGCTTTATGAATCTGGGTGCTCCTGTATTGGGTGCATATGTATTTAGGATAGTTAGCTTTTCTTGCTGCATTGATCCCTTTACCATTATGTAATGACCTTCTTTGTCTCTTCTGAACTTTATTAGTTTAAAGTCAGCTTTGTCAGAGACTAGGATTGCAACCCCTGCTTCTTTTTGCTTTCCATTTGCTTGTTAGATCTTCCTCCATCCCTTTATTTTGAGCCTATGTGTGTCTCTGCATGTGAGATGGGTTTCCTGAATACAGCACACTGATGGGTCTTGACTCTTTATCCAATTTGCCAGTCTATGTCTTTTAATTGGGGCATTTAGCCCATTTACATTTAAGGTTAATATTGTTATGTGTGAATTTGATCCTGTCATTATTATTTTAGCTAGTTATTTTGCCCGTTAATTGATGCAGTTTTTTCATAGCATCTATGGTCTTTACAATTTGGCATGTTTTGGCAGTGGCTGGTACCGGTTGTTCCTTTCCATGTTTAGTGCTTCCTTCAGGAGCTCTTGTAAGGCAGGCCTGGTGGTGACAAAATCTCTCAGCATTTGCTTGTCTGTAAAGGATTTTATTTCTCCTTCACTTATGAAGCTTAGTTTGGCTGGATATGAAATTCTGGTTTGAAAATTATTTTCTTTAATAATGTTGAATATTGGCCTTCACTCTCTTCTGGCTTGTAAGGTTCCTGCTGAGAGATCTGCTGTTAGTCTGATGGGCTTCCCTTTGTGGGTAACCCGACCTTTCTCTCTGGCTTCCCTTAACCTTTTTTGCTTTATTTCAACCTTGGTGGATCTGACAATTATGTGTCTTGGGGTTGCTCTTCTCGAGGAGTATCTTTGTGGTGTTCTCTGCATTTCCTGTATTTGAATGTTGTATATTTTCACATATACCCCATAATTTGTGCAGATAAAAAAAATTAATGGCTTGTGATCCAAGATGGTCAAATAGGAAGAGCTCTGGTCTGCAGCTCCCAGTGTGACTCACACAGAAGACGGATGATTTCTGCATTTGCAACTGAGGTAACTGGTTCATCTCATTGTGAATGGTTAGACAGTGTGTGCAGTCCATGGAGTGCAAGCCGAAGCAGGGCAGGATGTCACCTCACTTGGAAAGTGCAAGGGGTCAGTGGATTTCCCTTTCCTAGCCAAGGAAAGCCATGACACACTGTTCCTGGAAAAAGGGGACACTCCTGTCCAAATACTGTGGTTTTCCCAGTGTCTTAGCAACTGGCATACAAGGAGATTCTCTCCTGTCCCTGGATCTGCAGGTCCCATGCCCTTGGAGCCTTGCTCACTGCTAGAGCAGCAGTCTGAGATCAAACTGTGAGGTAGCAGCCTGGCTGGGGGAGGGGCATCCGCTATTGGTAAGGCTTGAGTTGATAAACAAAGCAGCTGGGAAGCTCAAACTGAGCTCTGAGAATGGACAGACTGCCTCCTCAAGTGGGTCCCTGACCCCCGTGTAGCCTAACTGGGAGGCACCTCCCAGTAGGGGCCAACAGAAACCTCATACCAGCAGGTGCCCCTCTGGGAAGAAGCTTCCAGAGGAAAGATCAGGCAGCAATATTTGCTGTTCTGCAATATTTGCTGTTCTGTAGCCTCCGCTGGTGATACCCAGGAAAACAGGGTCTAAGGTGGAACTCCAGCAAACTCCAACAGATCTGCAGCTAAGGGACCTGACTGTTAGAAGGAAAACTAAAAAACAGAGAGGAATAACATCAACATCAACAAAAAAGACAACCACATCCACACCAAAACCCCATCTATAATTCACCATCATCAAAGACCAAAGTTAGATAAAACCACAAAGATGAGGAGAAACCAGAGCAGAAAAGCTGAAAATTCTAAAAATCAGAGTGACTCTTTCCCTCAAAAGGATTGCAGCTCCTCACCAACAATGGAACAAAGCTGGACAGAGAATCACTTTGACAAGTTGACAGAAGTAAGCTTCAGAAGGTCAGTAATAACAAACTTCTCTGAGCTAAAGGAGCATGTTCTAACCCATCCCAAGGAAGTTAAAAACCTTGAAAAAAGATTAGACGAAAGGCTAACTAGAATAAACAGTGTACAGAAGACCTCAAATGACCTGATGGAGCTGAAAACCATGGCACGAGAACTTCATGATGCATGCACAAGCTTCAATAGCTGACTCGATCAAGTGGAAGAAAGGGTATCAGTGATTGAAGATCAAATTAATAAAATAAAGTGAGAAGAAAAGTTTAGAGAAAAAAGAGTAAAAAGGAATGAACAAAGCCACCAAGAAATATGGGACTATGTGAAAGGAACAAATCTACGTTTCATTGGTGTACCTGAAAGTCATGGGGAGTCAAGTCAGGGTATCTAGGCTGTCCATTACCTGCATACAATGTTATTAACTAGTCACTCTACTCTGCTATCAGACATCAAATTTGTTCCTTCTATATAACTGAAATTCTGGGTTGAAAATTAAACATTTAAAGATGTTCTTTGAAACCAGTGAGAACAAAGACACAACGTACCAGAATCTCTGGAACACATTTAAAGCAGTGTGTAGAGGGAAATTTATAGCACTAAATGACCACAAGAGAAAGCAGGAAAGATCTTTATTTCTGCCTTCATTTCTTCATTTACCCAGTAGTCATTCAGGAGCAGGTTGTTCAGTTTCCATGTAGTTGTGTGGTTTTGAGTGAGTTTCTTAATCCTGGTTTTAATTTGATTGCACTGTGGTCTGAGAGGCAGTTTGTTGTGATTTTTGTTCATTCACGTTTTCTGAGGAGTGCTTTACTTCCAATTATGTGGTCAATTTTAGAATAAGTGCATGATGGTGCTGAGAAGAATGTATATTATGTTGATTTGGGGTGGAGAGTTCTGTAGATGTCTATTAGGTCTGCTTGGTCCAGAGCTGAGTTCAAGTCCTGGATATCCTTGTTAACCTTCTGTCTCGTTGATCTGTCTAATGTTGTCAGTGAGGTGTTAAAGTCTCCCATTTTTATTGTGTGGGAGTCTAAGTCTCTTTGAAGGTCTCTAAGGACTGCTTTATGAATCTGGGTGCTCCTGTATTGGGTGCATATATATTTAGGATACTTAGCTCTTCTTGTTGCATTGATCCCTTTACCATTATGTAATGGCCTTCTTTGTCTCTTTTGATCTTTGTTGGTTTAAAGTCTGTTTTATCAGAGACTAGGATTGCAACCCCTGCTTCTTTTTGCTTTCCATTTGCTTGGTAAATCCTCCTCCATCCCTTTATTTTGAGCTTATGTGTGTCTCTGCACATGAGATGTGTCTCCTGAATACAGCACACTGATGGGTCTTGACTCTTTATCCAATTTGCCAGTCTATGTCTTTTAATTAGGGCATTTAGGCCATTAACATTTAAGGTTAATACTGTTATGTGTGAATTTGATCCTGTCATTATTATGTTAGCTGGTTATTTTGCCCATTGATTGATGCAGTTTTTTTTCATAGCATCTATGGTCTTTAAAATTTGGCATGTTTTTGCAGTGGCTGGTACCGGTTGTTCCTTTCCATGTTTAGTGTCTCCTTCAGGAGCTCTTGTAAGTCAGGCCTGGTGGTGACAGAATCTCTCAGCATTTGCTTGTCTGTAAAGGATTTTATTTCTCCTTCACGTATGAAACTTAGTTTGGCTGGTTATGTTTGTACGCTTTAACCCACTTATCTTTATCCACCCACATCCCCCACACTCACCCTTCCCAGTATCTGTTATCTATCTTTCCATGCTCTACTTTGATAACTTGATGCTATGAAACTTTTTTAGCTCCCATGTATAGCAAGAATATGTGATATTTGTCTTTTTATGCCTGGCTTATTTAATTTAACATAATAACCTCCAGTTCCATCTATTTTGCTGCAAATGATATGATTTCATTTTTTTAGCCAAATAGTATTCCATTGTGTATATATACACCACATTTTCTTTATCTGTTTATTTGTAGATGGACACTTAGTTTGATTTTATATATTTACTATTGTGAATAGTGCTGCAATAAACATGAGGGTTGAGATATCTTTTTGATATACTGGTTTTTCTTTCTCTGGGTAGATACCTAGTAGCGAGATTGCTAGATAGAATAGTAGTTTTATTTTTAGGTTTTGGATGAGCCACGGTAGTATTTTTCATAGGGCTTTACTAGTTTGCATTCCACCAATCAGTGTATGAGAGTTTATCTGCATACTCATCAAGATTTTTTTTTGTTGTCTTTTTTAACAATAGCTATACTGGCTTAGGTAAGGTAGTATCTCATTGTGGTTTGGTTATGCATTTCTCTGATGATTCGTGATGTTGAGCATTTTTATACACATATTGGCCATTTGTGTATCTTCTTTGGAGACATGTCCATTCATATTATTTGCCCACTTTTTAATGGGATTTTTTTTTCCCGTTGAGTTCAGTTGCTTGTATATTTTGGATATTAGTACCTTGTTACATGAATAGCTTGCAAATATTTTCTGCAACTCAATAAAATCTCGTCAATCTATTATTTTGCTGTATAGAAGCTTTTTTTGTTTAAGTCCCATTTGTCTATGTCTGTTTTTGTTGTCTGTGCTTTTGAGGTCTTAGTCATAAATCATTTGCCTAGACCAATGTCCAGGAGAGATTTTCCTATATTTTCTTCTAGTAGCTACATAATCTTGGGGCTCATGTTTAAGTCTCTAATTCATCTTGTGTTGATTCTTGTCTATGGTGAGAGATAAGGATCCACTTTCATTCCTCATCATGTGGCTATCCAATGTTCCAAGTACCATTTATTAGAAAGAGTGCCCTTTCCTCAAAATAACTTTGTTTGGCTGGACAAAGATTGGTTGATTATAAACATGTGGCTTTATTTCTGGGTCTTCTACTCTTTTTAATTGGTCTATGTGTCACTTTTATCTGACATCATGCTGTTTTGGTTACTATAGCCTTGAAATATATATTGAAGTCAGTTAATATGATGCCTTTAGTTTTGCTCTTTTACTCAGGATTGCTTTGGCTATCTGAGCTTTTTTTTGGTATCATATGAGTTTTATAATTGTTTTTTCTAATTCTGTAAAGTAAAATGTTGTATTATCATAGGAATTGCACTGAATCTGTATATAGATTTGGGCAATATGGTCATTTTAATGATATTAATTCTTTTCATCAATGAGTATGGGATGTTTCTCCATTCACTCGTGTCATCTTATGTTTCTTTCATCAGTATTTTATAGTTTTCCTTGCAGAAATCTTTTGTTATATTTATTGCTAGAAATTTTATTTTTTCATCTATTGTAAATAAGACAGCTTTATTATTTATTTCTTAGCTGGATCATTATTGGTGTTTATAAATACTACTGATTCTTGTATGTCAATATTGTATCCTACAACTTTAGTGACTTCATTTATTAATATTAAGAGTTTTAGTAGAGTCTTTAGGCTTTTCTAGACATAAGATTATATCATCAGCAAAGAGGAACAATTTGACTTCTTTTTCAATTCAAATGCATTTTATTTTGTTCTCTTGCCTGAATTCTCTCTCTGGCTACAACTTCCAGTACTAAGTTGAATAAGAGTGGTGAAGTTACGAAACCTTATTTTGTTTAAATTCTTAAAGGAAAGGCTTTTCCCCATTCAGTATGATGTTAGCTGTCTGCCTGTCATAAATAACCTTTATCATGTTGAGGTATGTTTCTTCTATGCCTAGTTTGTTGAGAGTTTTGATAGTGAAGGGATGTTGGATTTTATCAAATGCTTTTTCCATGTCTATTGAGATAAATTTATGGTTTTTGTTCATTCTGTTGATACTACCTATCACTTTTATTGATTTGCATACGTGGAACCATCCTTGCATCTGATATAAATCCAATCTGATTATGGTGTATTATCTTTTCCAAGTGTTGTTGGATTGGTTTACTCGTATTCAGTGGAGAATTTTTGTTATATGTTTATCATGGATACTGGCATGTAGTTTTCTTCTTTTGTTGTATTTTTGTTTTGGTAAAAGTGTTATGATGGTATTGTAGAATAAATTAGGGAGAACTTTCTCCTCTTCAATTTTTTTGGAAGAGTTTCAGGTAGTAGTTCTTCATTTTGTGTTTGCTACTCGGGTTTTCTTTTTTTTTTTTTTTTCTGATTGAGTTTTCATAGCTTGCATGTTTCCAGGAATTTGTCCATTTCCTCTAGCTTTTCCAGGTTGCCAGCATATAATTCTTCATAATAGCCCCTGATGATCTTTTGTGTTTCTGTGGAATGAGTTTCAATGTCTCCTTTTTCATTTCTGATTTTGTTTGAGTCTTCTTTCTTTTTTTTTTTGTTAGTCTAGCTAGTATTTTGTTAGTATTGCTTATCTTTTTGAAGAACCAACTTTTATTTCATTTATCATTTGTTTTTTTTTGGTCTCTATTTTATTTAGTTCTACTCTGATCTTTTCTTTAGTATGCTGATTTGGGGTTTGGTTTATTCTTGCTTGTCTAGTTCCTTGAGGAACATTGTTAGATTGTTAATTATAATCATTCTACTTTTCTGATGTAGGCATTTATTGCTATAAACCTCCTTGTTAGCACTGCTTCTGCTGTATCCCATAGGTTTTGGAATATTGTGTTTCTATTTCTTTTTTTGGAGCAATGTCTGATTTCCATCTTAATATCTACATTGACCCAGTAGTCATTCAGGAACATATTGTTTAATTTCCAATCACTGAAATTGTTTTCAAAGTTTCTCTTGATATTGATTTCAATGTGGCCTGATAAGATATTTGATATAATTTTGGTTTTTTAAACTTATTGAGACTTGTTTTGTTGCCTAAAATATGGCCTTTCCTAGAATTGAAAAGATATATATTCTGTATTTGTTGGATAAAATGTTCTGTAAATGTCTGTTAGGCCTGATTGACCTAAAGTCTAGTTTAAATTCAATGTTCCTGTGTTGGTTTTCTGTCTAGATGATCTTTCTAATGCTGAAAATATGATGTTGAGGTCACCCACTTATTGTATTGCCCTCTATCTCTCTATATAGATCTAGTAATATTTGCCTTATGAATATGGGTGCTCCAGTGTTGGGTGCATATAAATTTAGAATTTTTATATCTTCTTTCCGGATTGGTCTCCTTATATTATGATTTTCTTTGTCTCTCTTTTTTTTAAACTGCTTCCTACTTTAAGCCTGTTTAATCTGATACATATATAGCTAGTCCTGGTCACTTTTGGTTTCTGTTTGCATGAAATATCTTTTCCATCCCTCTACTCTCAGTTTATATCTGTCTTTACTAGTAAGGTGAGTTTCTGGAAAACAGCTTATAGTTGGATTTTTAACTTTATTTAACCATCTTATGTCTTTTAAGTGGATAGCTAAATCCATTTATGTTCAAGATTATTAATATTTGAGGCTTTGTTCATGTCAGGCTGCTTATTATTTTCTAGTTGTTTTATATAATATTTGTTCTTCTTTTTTTTATTTTTCTTTGTCGTGGGTTTTTTTTTTTTCTGTAGTGGTATAATTTGAGTCCCTTTACTTCATCCTTTGAGTGATTGCCTTACCAGTAAGTTTTATAGTTTTGTGTATTTGCATTATGGTATGCCGCGTCCATCCTGCAGACCCTGGCTAAGTGATAGATGAAAGGAGTACTCAGACACAGGTATAAAGTGTAAGAGCCGCTAGTGGGCTGCTGGTACTAGGGTCCAAAGAGAGAGAGCCGTCTTGATGAACTGGAGCTCTTTGCTCTTATTCAATACAGACATAATGCTGAAAACCTGAAGCCAACAATCTGTGTGTAATTAACATTATTTTTCCCCCTTGCAGGGAGCAGTCTCCTGCACAGATGATAAAAGGTCAGTTTCTGTACAACATAAGTAAACAAGCCTATTTAGATAAACTTCCTTACATTTCCTTGTACCTACTCCTCACCCTCTGCCTCAGGGTAAGAGAACAGCTGCCTTCAGCTTATTCTCCCCCGAAGCTTTG
Source organism: Homo sapiens (assembly GCF_000001405.40). NCBI lineage: Eukaryota > Metazoa > Chordata > Mammalia > Primates > Hominidae > Homo > Homo sapiens. The sequence continues at coordinate 64,781,608 of NC_000023.11, forward strand.
CAGAGCCTTCAGACCTTTCAAAAGGCCTGATTCTCTCCCTATAGCTTCTTCCACCACTCTGACCGATCCCGCACAACTTCCCCTTTTCTGTTTTTTTGCATCTGGTCTTGTTGATTGAAGGGTACAGATGGGTGCAGCAACAGGTTTGTCAGGCATAGCAGTTATAGCTCGTTTTCCAGCTTTGCATCCTCAAATTAGTAAATAACATGAGATAAATGTGAGTATAATTAATTATATTCTTTTCCAATCAAGGAGTGACATGTAGTGTTACTTGGCACCTCAGTCCACCGTGTGTCATTATTAAGGAACCCCACTGGGGGTATGTCAAGTGCTCCCAGCCAATCTGTCGCATTGTTAGAGGATGGGGAGGGGGTGTCTGCCCAAGTAAGAGGGCGGAAGAAAGGTGGATCCAGAAGCTTGGCCCAATAGAGAGTAGCAAGTATGGATTGCAGGCAGATTGAGAAAATAAAAAAGGTTAATTAATCTACAAGAGTTGAAATGTACAACAGAAAGCATAGCAATGAACAAATTACCTGGAGTGAATGGTGTCTTTTTCTGGAGCAGGATTCACTCAGGCTCCTGAGTTGTCTTCTTCACCATCCCCCCAGGTAATGTCCAGAGTCTGTGTTGTCCGAGGAAGCTGCATTGTCTGGGGCTGCAGGTCCTGCAGTATCATTTCCTTCATTTCTGGTACCAGGTTGGGTCCTAGCCACACTGTGGTATGGTTTGATGCATCGTGCTGGAATCCGAAGAGGACCTGAGGGGATGTGAACACAAGCATATCCTCTTCCACATGTTAACAAATTATTTGGACCACACCATAGATTACTATTTACATCTTTCTGTAAAACTGAGGTTTTTATGTCTTGAGGGGCTTTTGGAAAATGCTTTTCCGTGGCTGATTAACACTTGTCATCTAAGTTTTAAAAATTAAGGATAAATAAGGCTTGTGCCAATTGTGTTGCAGGGTCCTTACTCATATTCCCCCTTTTTTTGTATTCTGAGCATATTTTTAAAGGTGGAGTGGACACAGACACGTTCTACCATGGCCTGTCCTTGGGGGTTATATGGGATTCCTGTGGAATGTTGGATGTTCCACATGTGACAAAATTGTTGAAATTGTGAGCTGATATAAGCTGGGCTATTATCAGTTTTAATTTGTGTGGGCCACCCTCGAAACAGAAAAGTTAAGAGAAGATGTTTAATGACATATCGGGTGGAATCTCCAAGAACATTAGTGCTAATTAAGTGGGAATTGGTATCAATGGAAACATGTACATATCTTAGTTTTCCAACTGCAGGGATGTGTGTAACATCTGTTTGCCATAACTGATTAGGTTCTAGTCCTCTAGGGTTAATGCCTATTGAAAAAAGGGACGTGCCTGTGAGCTGGCAATCTGAGCATTGTAAAATAATTTGTTTAGCTAGTCTTTGGGTAAGTTGAAATTGTTCAGTTAAATTTCTCCAATTTTGGTGAAAAAATTGATGTGATTGGGTGGCTTGGTCAAGTGGTGACGTCATAACCTGCAGGTCTGCTTGATCATTGCCATAAGCCAGTGGGCCAGGCAGTGAGCTGTGGGCTCAAATGTGTGTAAAAAAAATAGGATGTGTTCGTTGACCTAGCGATTGCTGAAGTCGAACAAAAAGTGCACACAGGGTGGGCTCAAGAGTGGACATGATGAGGGCTGTCTCAAGGTTCTGCAATAAATAAATGGAGTAAGCAGAGTCACTGACAATATTGATAGGCTGAGCAGAAAATGTTTTTAGGGCCAATATTAGGGGTCCAACCTCAGCTCTCTGAGTGTTAGTAAATCCACATTGAGTGAGAGAGCTAGGCAGTTCCCACAAAAAAGCTGCTTTTCCATTTTTACCAGAGCCATCCGTGAAAAGCATTAAAGCATTAGGTATGAGGGAGTGAACTACCTTTGTAGGCATAACTACAGGAGTATGAGATAAGAACTGGAGTAGATTGTCAGCGGGAAGGGCATGTACTATATGGCCCACATAATCAACGAGTGCTATCTGAAGGTCTAGAGATATACTCCTGAGATAAGAACTGGAGTAGACTGTCAGCAGGAAGGGCATGTACTATATGGCCCACATAATCAGTGAGTGCTATCTGAAGGTCTAGAGATAGAGGCAGGACTGTGTTAAACTGTTTTTCACTTAAGGGTATTCTTATGACATTAGGGTCATAACCTAGCAATTGATTGCATCATCTGTGGCCTCTATAGATGACTTTACTAACTAGCTGGACATAAGGAGATAATGTTTTAGTCCCAGTATGTGAGCAAAGCACCCATTCTAGGAAGAACAGCTCTGGGACCATCTGTCCTACTAGTCCTGTTGGGGAATGTTTAGTAGGGAAAACAAACAATTGGACTAAATATCATAGGTCTATGTGATCTAGTTGCCTCTGAAAAATGGCTTCCTCTATTTCCTCAATTTCCCTTTTTGCAGCAGGGTTTAAATACCTAGAGGAGTCTAGGGCTGCATTGCCCTTTAGGATAGAAAACAGGTTCTGTAATTTGACAGTAGTTGTGCCCAAGGTGGGGTGAAGCCAGTTAATATCATCCAGTAATTTTTGATAAACATTTAAGGTAAGTTGTCAGTGTTCAATTTAACCTTTTGAGGTCTCATTGACCGAGAAGTTTGTATGCATCCAAGATATTTCCAAAGAGAGGACATCTGTACTTTTTCAGGTGCTGTGATTAAACCTCTTAACTGTGTATTCTTTTTGACAGAGGCATATAAATTTAAAAGTATCAGCTCTGTTGGGGCTGCCAGTAAGATATCATCCATAAAATGGATGATCTTGCAATTAGGAAATGCTTTCCTACTGGGGAGCAAAGCTTGAGTTACATGATACTGACACATGGTAGGACTATTTAGCATTCCATGAGGAAGTACTTTCCAATGAAATTGGTAAGCTGGCCTTTCATTATTGGTAGCTGGTATTGTAAATGTAAGTTTTTCTCTGTCCTGTTTTGCAAGAGGAATAGCATAAAAACAAGTATTTTAAGTCAATAATGACTATAGGCCAATCTCAAGGAATCGCCACAGGGGAAGGGAGCCCCTGTTGAAGGGGCCCCATAGGTTGCAAATTAGCATTGATAGCACATACGTCATGCAAAATTCTCCATTTACCAGACTTTTTGGGAATAACAAAAATGGGTGAATTCCAAGGGCTGGTTGATGGTTCTATATGGCCAGCTTTTAATTGTTCCTCAACTAATTCATGGGCTCTTTATAATTTCTCTTTCTTTAAAGGCTACTGTTTTACCCAAATAGGATTTCGAGAGAGCCATGTCAGGGGTAGGGGAGGAATTACAACAGTGGTCATAATTAGAAAGGGGTCTGCAGAGTGACCCACCCAATGGGCTAATAAGTCCTGTCCCCAAAGATTACCAGAGATGGGCATGATTAGAGATTGTATCACTGCTCTCCTCCCTTCTGAATAGCTATATGTTAGGGGGCACATGCTCTGCTTAGCTGTGTGTGCTTCCCCAATGCCAACAATGTTTTGTTTCTGTGTGACCCATATGTTTTGCCCTGCCAATTGATTCTGGTTGGCTTGTTTGCACAACTCATCATATTTTGCCTTCCAGAAGAGGTACTGACTGGGCTCTAAAGTTGTTTTAGCTAGCACTGACCAGTCCCATGGGGTCATACGGAAGTTGTCTGCTATGATCTCAATTAATCCTTTCATAAGTGGGCTAGCGACTTTGTTTTCTCTAATGCTTTTTGTTATCACTTCATAAGTGTCTAAAGTAATGGGTTCATATACCCAATTGCCTTGTTGATCTTGCATCATCGGGCAGACCAAGAGCTCCCCTTCTAATGCCACTTGCCTAAGACAGGATCCCATAACTGCAGTGTATCCCTTGTCTTTCTTTTTTTTTTTTTTGGAGACGGAGTCTCGCTCTGTCGCCCAGGCCTGACTGCGGACTGCAGTGGCGCAATCTCGGCTCACTGCAAGCTCCGCTTCCCGGGTTCACACCATTCTCCTGCCTCAGCCTCCCCAGTAGCTGGGACTACAGGCGCCCGCCACCGCGCCCGGCTAATTTTTTGTATTTTTGGTAGAGACAGGGTTTCACCTTGTTAGCCAGGATGGTCTCGATCTCCTGACCTCATGATCCACCCGCCTCGGCCTCCCAAAGTGCTGGGATTACAGGCGTGAGCCACCGCGCCCGGCCCCCCTTGTCTTTCTTCCAATTTATTGGGGGAGGGGGCTCAGGGACAAACTCCATTTCCTCTTTTGTATCTTTACCCGGTAATGGCGGGGCTGAGGGTGGAGGAGGAGGCAGTAAGGTAGGTGACGGTTCCTCCTCCCTTCCCTTTTTATGCTCTTCTGTGTAGAGTGGGGCCAAAGCAGCTCTGACTAAGGCCCATAATGTTAAAGATGTTACTGGGACCTCTTGCCCTTGCGCATGATGTTGTTTAAGATTTCTCCCCACTTGTTCCCAGAACTCTAGTTCTAGCATGCCTTCTTCCAGGAACCATGGGTTAAGGGAAACAACAATTTGTATTAGGTCCCTTAATTGAGTCTCTGAAACTGAGGCTCTGCTAGCTTTAAGTAGCTGTTTCAATACTTTTATATACTGTTGCTGTTGAGCTGTAACTGTTGTCCCATGATGAACCCTAGCTTGAAAATTCCCTCGGTCTTGCAAATCCCAGGTGGGCACCAATGACTTACTGACTGTGGAGTCTCTTCACCTTCATTTTTGAGGGTTCCATCACAATCCGTTGCAGCATTCTTCACACGGGGCACCATGTGCCAGGTCTGTCCCACAGACCCTGGCTGAGTGATGGATGAAAGGAGTACTCAGATACAGGTATACAGTGTAAGAGCTGCTAGGGGACTGCTGGCACTAGGGGCCAAAGAGAGAGAGAGCAGTCTCGATAAGCTGAAGCTCTTTGCTTTTATTCAGTACAGACATAATGCTGAAAGCCTGGAGATAACACAATCTGTGGGTAATTAACACTGTTTTTCCTCCTTGCAGGGAGCAGTCTTTTGCACGGTCGGTTTGTGGACAACATAAGTAAACAAGCCTATTTAGATAAACTTCTTTATGTTCCCTTGTACCTACTCCTTGCTCTCTGCCTCAGGGTAAGAGAACAGCTGCCTTCAGCTTATTCTCCCCCGAAACTTTGCAGAGCCCTCTGACCTTTCAAAAGACCTGCTTCTCTCCTTATAGCTTCTTCCACGACTCTGACTGATCCCCGAAATGGTATATATTCTTTTTTTGCTTCCATGTGTAGGATTCGCCTAATCACTTCCTGTAGGACTGTTCTTGTGGGGAATCCATCGATTCCCTCAATTTTTGCTTGCCTGGGAAATACTTTATTTCTCTTTCATTTATGAAGTATAACCTTTCTGGGTATAGTATTCTTGGGAGACCTTTTTTCCTTTCCTCATCCCATTCGCCTCTGGCCTGTAAGGTTTCTGCTGAGAAATTTGCTGTTAGTCTGATGGGTTTTTTTCATAGGTGACTAGGCACTTTTGCTGTTTTTAGGATTTGGACTTTATTTTTGACTTTAGACAGTTTGCCCATAATGCATCATGGAGAAGAACTCCTCACATTTTATCCTCCTGGGGGGTCCTTGAACCTCCTCTATCTAGTTGACTAAATCTCTTCCTAGATTTGGAAAGTTTTTGTCTATTACTTTATTAAATAGGTTTTGTAACGTTTTAGTACTGTCTTTGCCCTGAGGGATACTGATAATTCAAATATTCACTTGCTTTATGTTGTCCCAAATGTCACAAAAGTTTTGATCATCTTTTTATCCTTTTTTCTTTATTTTTTTCTGACTGAACTATTTCAAAATACCTGTGTTCATGTTTGGAGATTCTCTGCTTGATGTAGTCCATTGTTGAAGCTTTCAAATGTATTTTGTATTTCCTTCAATGAAATCTTCAGTTCCAGAATTTCTATTTGGTTCATTTTTAAAATATATATCTCTTTGGTAAATTTCTCATTTATATCCTGAATTGCTTTTTTTTAAATTTCTTTGCATTATTTTTCAGAATTCTTTCATGTCTCACTGAGAATTTTTAAAATCAATATTCTTAAAGTTCTTGTAACATTTTAATGCAACATAAGTTTTGGAGAGTACATTATGTGTGTGATTTATGTAAGAAAGACAATATCAAACAGTGAGCTAATACCCCCCCAAAATTTTTTTAAATAATAAAGTTTATTTACCTGTAACCAATTAGAAATTTAGATATGTTTGCAATAAAATATTTTAAAAATAAGATAATAATAAGAAATGTATATTGATAGTTTTATTCAAATATTAAACCACATTTAGCGTTTTGGAACATTTGTCTTCATTGTTATAAATATTTATACCATATATAAAATATTATATGGATTTTTACTTAACATTGGCTTACTAAAATCCGTTGATTTTACTGCTATGATTTGCACTACTACCTTGTTAGAAAGGGCAGATTAGCAATTGGTATTGCCATTAGAGAGTTGATGAAACTGAGGCTCTGTGAGGTTAAGCTGAAGGTCACACAATTTGGAAGTGTCAGAGCTCTAATCCTAATAATATTTCCACTTTATCATTTGGCCTTGAATCCCCAGGAACTGGGACTTGTGTTTGTAACCCCAATCATTTAGCTGGATTCTCAGCTGGTCAAATTGCTCAGTGGGTATTCCCTGGCAGGAAAGCAAAAGCCTCTCTTTAGGCCTTCCTCTCATCAGAATATGGGTACCCCTTGAGACTCAATCTTTCAAAGAGATAGAGTCATGAGACCAGATAGAGGCTAGAAGAGAGACAGAGAATGGTCAGTGTGAGCAAGCCCTTTCCAAAGTATTCACTGGAGACCCTGGATTCCCCAAATCTAGCATGAGAACAGAAAAAAGGATAGGGAAACACACACACACACACACACCATCAGAAGCTGCTGAAGCTAAAGATAAGTACCCTGCATGCAGAGTTCACTCCCAACTTACTGCTACTAATTTATTTTCTCCCTTGGAAGTTTCCAGAAACAAAAGTAACAGTGGAGCTTTAGAGAGCCCTCATGCCTAATTTCTGTAGGCGTAGAAATACTATATTCTCTCGGCCCAAAGAAAATATGTACAAATTTAATGGTGCAGAGGTTTGTTAAGTCTTCTTGGAGCCATAGACCTAAGAGACAGCAAACTTTCCCTTGGAAGTGGGCGTTTGGGAATCCACGCAGTGACTATGCCTTTAACCTCCCTGGGCAGGAGTTTCTAGCATATAATCTATGTAGCTCTAGGACCTAACATATGATGGCCATATTGCAGGCACCCAAGGAATGAGGAACACAAAAGAAATCTTCATACCACCTATCTGATCCATTTCCTATATGTCTTCTACATGCATCTTCCCTAACTCTGCTTATATTATGGTTCTTCCCTATTCAAGCATAGTTCATTGCAGCGGAGTGCAGTTATCAATATTTAGGAAACAACAGAATTCCCTGACAGCGTGCTTAGTAAAATTGTAGATTTTAACCCTTGACCTATATGGTTTTCTTTTAATAGGTCTTGGTGGGGGGAGACTCATACATTTTTAGGTGGTTCTAATGCAGGTTCTAATTGCTATCCTTGAAAAAAAATAACAAAATTGGCTTACTAAATAAAATTTAGTCTTCTTAGTTTGGCATTCAAAGTCCTTCCTGACCTCTTTCCAACTACTTAGTATCTCCCAACAATTTTATCATACATTTGAGCTACTCAATTTTCTCCACTTCAGTCTCGACACTTTCTTGTCTCTATGCTATTACGTGTGCTATTGCCTCTAAGTGTAATGTCCTCCACATGTTACCCCTACTTAGCTGCTTACTCAAATCCTACTTATTTTTAAATCACCAGCTCAAATGCCATTTAAAACTTTCTAATGATCACTCCACCTGGAAGTGGATCTTTCCTACATCTGTGCCCCAATAGCACTTTATGCCTATCTGGGAACACAGTTCACTTTCTTCCTTCTATCATGACACATATCATGTCATAGCTAGCTCACTTACTAGTCTGTGGCCTAACCTGATGTTTTCCCTAATGTACCCTGATGCATCCCGAAGACAATAATGAATACTCCTAGGAATGTCATTAGGCCATACAGTACCTTTGGGCAAATTAAAAAATACTTTTTTCCTCTTGGGGGGGCACAGCCTAGTTGTAGGACACACAGTTTGGCTAGTGGAGTGCAGACTGGATTTCAGTCTTCATTTACTCCTTTAACCTGTACACAATGGTATGGAGCAGTCATGAATACCCTTGAAAGTCAGAGTAACTCTAAGTATCTAAGAAAATTGATTAAAAAGCTAAGAAAATGGCTCACAAAGAATGTAGCAGGATTATTAAAAAGTTCAGCAAAGATTTATTGAACTCCAGATCTGTGCCAGGATTCAGGGCTACAGCAGAACACGAGAGATATATAGCCACTACATTTAAGGTCCTCAGTCTCATGCCAGGCTCAGGAGTGCTGGCAATGGTGTTTCTGACAGTTTTACCTTCTGACATTTTAAGGGAAGCATCTTACCAAGCCTCTGGTTTCTATCCATTCTGATATGACTTCTTATGATACCCCAGACCCAGGACCCTTTCCTTCTCAAAGCAACAACACTCATTTTTCTGTAATCCTGAACATGAGTCATTGGCAATTATCTATAGGCATACTTCATTGTATTATGCTTTTCTTTATTGCACTTTGCAGACTTTGCATTTTTTACATATTGAAGATATGTGGCAACCCTGTGTTGAGTAAGTCTATTGCACCATTTTTTTAAACACCGTGCACTCACTTTGTGTCTCTGTGTCACAGTTTGGTCATGTTTGCAATATACCAAACTTTTCCATTCTTATTATATATGTTATGGTGATTTGTGATCAGTGATCTTTAATGTTGCTTTTGTAATTATTTTGAGGTGCCACAAACTGCATCCATATATAACAGCAAGCTTAATCAGTAAATGCGTATGTTCTGACTGCTGCACAAACTGGCCATTTCCTCAATCTTTCTTCCTCTTCTTGGGCCTTCCTATTGCCTGAAACACAACAATATTGAAATTAGGCCAATTAACAATCCTACAATGGCCTCTAAGTGTTCAAGTAAAAAGGAAAGTCACACATTTCTCACTTTAAATCAAAGGCTATGAATGATTAAGCTTAGTGATTAATGCATGTTGAAAATTTAGGTAGGCTGAAAGCTAGGCCTCTTGCACTAAACAGTTAGCCAGGCTGTAAATGCAAAGGAAAAGTTCTTAAAGAAAATTAATTGTGCTACACCAATGAATATGCAAATTATAAAGAAATGTAAAACACCCTTATAGGGATAAAGCTTTAGGGGTCTGGGTAGATAATCAAACCAACCACAACATTCCCTTAAGCCAAAGCCTAGTCCAGAGCAAGGCCCTAACTCTCTTCAATTCTGTGAAAGGTGAGAGAGGTGAAGAAGCTTCAGAAAAACAAAATTGGAAGCTAGCAAACGTTGGTTCATAAAATTTAAGAAAAAAAAGCTATCTTTATAACATAAAAATTACAAGGTGAGGCAGAAAGTGCTGTTGGAGAAGCTGCAGCAAGTTATCCAAAATATCTAGCTAAGATAATTGGTAAGGGTGGCTACACTAAGCAACGAATTTCCAATGTAGACAAAACAGCCTTCTATTGGAAAAGGCTACCACCTATGACTTTTATAGCTAGAGAAGACAACTCAATGTCTGGTTTCAAAGCTTCAAAAGACATACTGATTCACTTATTAGGGGCTAACACAGCTGGTGACTAAGTTGAAGCCAATGTTTGTTTATCACTTCCAAAATCTTATGTACTTTTAAAAATTTTGCTAATTCTACTCTACCTATGCTTTCTAAATGGAAAAACAAAGCCTAGATGATAGCACATTTGTTTACAGCAGGGCTTACTGAATATTTTAAGCCCACTGTTGAGACCTACCACTCAGAAAAAAAAAAATTCTTTCAAAATCTCAATTATCATTGGCAATGCACGTAGTCACTCGAGAGCTCTGGTAGAGACGTACAAGGAGATTATTAGTGTTTCATGCCTGCTAACATAAATCCTTTCTGCAGCTCATGAATCAGACTAATTTCTACATTCAAGTCTTATTATTTAAGAAATACATTTCATAAGGCAATAACTGTCATAGTGATTCCTCTGAGGGATCTGGGAAAAGTACGTTGAAAACCTTCTGGAAAGGAATCACCATTCTAGATGCCATTAAGAACATTGATGCTTCAATGGAGGAGTTCAAAATATCAACATTAACAGAGATTTGGAAGAAGTTGATTCAAACTCTCATAGATAATTTTGAGGGGTTCACAACTTCAGTGAAGGAAGTCACTGCAGATGTGGAAGATGTGACTGAATTACTGCAATTTCATGATAAAATCTTAATAAATTAGTAGTTGCTTCTTCTGGATGAGCAAAGATAGTGGTTTCTTGAGATGAAATCTACTAGTGAAGATTATGTGAATATTATTGAAATGAAAACAAATATTTAGAATATTTATAATATTACACAAACATACATAAATACTAATACATAAACATACATAAATATACATAAATACATAAATATATGTATTTAGAATATTACATAAACTTAGTTGACAAAGCAGTGAAAAGGTATGGGAAAATTGATTCCTATTTTGAAAAAAGTTTTTTCCAACACAGTAAATTAGAGGCTTTTATCATGGCGCAGCCACTTGAAAATAGTAAAAAGTGCATAAAGATCAATTCTGTGAGCTTTAATTTAAGAAGAAAAACAGGAATCTACCAGAATTGTGAATGACACTCCTGATCCTGGAAAGAAGATCATAAGAAAACAGCTCCTTTGATGGCATCCAACTGATAAAATTGCATGAAGCCCCAGTACATGAGAGAGGCAAAAAGCCTCCCTCTGTGATTTACCTTTCCCCTGGAGATCTGAGCAAACCAGGACAAGGGAAGCCCTTTATTTCTTTCAGCCTTGGAACTAATTTCAGGAGAGGCTTGAAAGTGCTCAGAGGGAAAGACACTGAGAAAAGCTGCAGGTATCCTCCCAGACCTGGGACTAAGAGCAGGATGTCACTTTTAATCCAGGCACATACAAAGTCAGTTATTCTTTGGTGACCCAACAGCATGGCTGTGCCAGCATTTTAGTTTCAGGCCAAAGATTGGAGTAGGGTAGGGGCTTTCCCAGACAGAATTGTGGAAAGCACCTAAGCATTAGGTGCCAGAAATGCTCTACCCCATTGCAGAAGGTGAGAATGTGCTCTTCCCCATCCTGTCTCCCTGGGAGCCACTAAAGTCAGGGTTTCTTTTGGGCAAGAATACTTGCAGCAAGGGCCAACTTGGTAACCTGGTAAGGTTGGTGTGTCACTGATAGATGTCCCAGCCTGTTTCCCTGAGATGGTGGTGTAGTGCAACCCCCTCCATTCTATCACCAGGCAGAACTCCAACCATTTGGAACACCCATTTGCCTGAAACAGCAGCTCAAGTTGCCCCATTCTTCCTGGGCATACATTGTGGTGCAGGAGTGCCCTCTTCAGTTCACACCCAGCAGATGTCCAGGTATTTGGAGCACCTACTTGCCTGAATCAGCAGTCTGAGTCACCCCACCCTTATTGTGCAGAGACTGTGGTGAATTGGGGCCCTCTCTGCTTCACATCCAGGTAGATCTACAGGTAGTCAGAGCACCTGTTTGTGTGGATCAGCAGCCTGAGTTACTCATCCTTCCTGCACAGAGGCTGTGGTGGAACAGGGCCCTCTCCACTCCATGCCCAAGCAGATCTCCAGGCATTTGAAGGACCTGCTCACCTGAATTAGTAGCCTGAGTAGCCCTATCCTTTCTGCGAAGAGATCATGGTGAAGTGGGGCTGTCCACACTTCACATCGAGGTATATCTTGCATTCAAAACAGCTGCTTGCCTGGATTAGCAGCCTGAACCATCCAACCCTTCCTAAACAGAGATTCTGGTGCATTTGGGCATTCTATACTACACACCCAGGCAGATCTGAAAGCAGCTGGAACACCCACTCTCCTGGATTAGGACTTTAGGCCACCCCCCATAAAGAGTACTTGGGACCAAGGAGGTTTACTAGCTCCACTTCCACATTTGGGCACACATCTGGGCACTTGGTTATCCACATTAGGCACACATCTGGGCAAACTGGATTATCCCTTGGTGCTGGTGCTTGTGCCTGCCATTGAGAGGCCTGTGAGTAGGCCTGCCTACTCTGGACCCACCCATCTTGGTACTGCTTGGAGCTGAGCAGGGAGCTCAGATCACTGTACACTCCATGGATCAGCCCATTGCCTGAGTCAACATATAACTTCTCCCAGTAAGCAAAAATCATGTATATTCCCAGCCACAATGGCCACAGCTGGCTCTTATCAATAAGTGCTATCTATTGGCTTGTATGGTGAATCATAAAGCCCAATATAAAACTTGCCAAGAGAAGTACATAAGGCTACAGAAGCAAAGCCAAAAGACCCTACCCAGCCTTCTATACAGTCATATCCCTTACAGAGTAACAGAAAGGAAAGGAAAATGCAAAATGACAATATTATTGAGAAGGAAAGAAAAAAGTCTCTAACCAGGAAAATAATTACAAAAATTAAAAGTGTCAGTGTCTCCAGATGAAAAGAAACCAGCACAGAGATTATGTCATCATGAAAAATCTATGTGTAATGACTCCACTAAATGAGAACATTAGTTCTCCACAAATGGTTTCTAACCAAAATGGAAACTCAAAAATGACAAAGAATTCAAAGAATTCAAATGGAGTGTAATGACTCCACTAAATGATAACATTAGTTCTCCACAAATGGTTTCTAACCAAAATGGAAACTCAGAAGTGACAAAGAATTCAAAACATGGAATAAAAGGAAGCTCAATGAGATCCAAAAGAAGATTGAAAATCAACACAAAAAACCTTCTAAATCAATCCAGAAAATGAAGGAAAAGATAAACATTGCAAAAGGAAATAAATTAGAGCTTCTGAAACTGAAAAACTTACTTAAGAAATTTCAAAAACCAATTGAAAGCTTCATCAATAGACTGGACCAAGCAGAAGAAAGAATTTCAGAGTTTGATGACCATTCTTTTGAACTAAACCAGTCAGACAAAAATAAAGAAAATTGAATTAAAAAACAATAAAGAAAATCTTTGAGAAGTATGAGATTGTGTAAAGTTACCAAACTACAAATTATTGGCACTCTTGAGAGAGAAGAGAAAGTAAACAACTTGGAAAACATGTATGAAATAATAATTTTTTTAAAAATCCACTAACCTTGCTAGACAGGTACAAATCCAGATACAAGAGATCTGGAGAACACCTTATGAGATACTATACAAACAAAACATTACCAAGGCATATAGTCACCAGACTGTTCAAGGTCAACACTAAAGAAAAATCTTAAAGACACCTAGAGGAAAAGGTCACATCATGTGCAAAAGGAACCCCATCAGGCTAAGAGCAAATTTCTCAGCAGGAAGATTAAAAGCTGGGGGCTTAGTTTCAGCATTCTTCAGGAAATAAATTCCAACCAAGAATTTTTTGTCCCACTGAACTAAGCTTCAGAAGTGAAGGAGAAATGAAATATTTTCCAAGTAAGCAAGGTGTAAAGGAATTTATTAGCACCAGATCAGGCTTACAAGAGATCCTTAAGGGAGATCTAAACATGGAAATAAAAGAACAATACCTGCTTCCACAAAAACACACTTCAGTACATAGGCCACTCACCCTATAAAGCAATCACACAACAGAAACTACACAGCAACCAGCTAACAACTTCATAGTAGGATAAAAACCGCACATATCAATATTAATGTTGAATGTTAATGATGTTAATGCCCCACCTACAAGCCATGAGTGGCAAGTATGAAAAAACAACAACAATAACAAAAAAAAGAGACCCACCTTACATGTAATGACAGCCTTAGGCTCAAAGTAAAGGGTTGGAGAAAGATCTATCACACAAATAAAAAACAAAAAAACAGGGGCTACTATTCTTATATCAGATAAAACAGTCTTTAAGCCAACAACAGTAAAAAAGAAGAAAGAAGGGCATCACATACTTATAGAGGATTCAATTCAACAAGACTTAACTATACTAACTAGATAGGTATCCAACATTGCAATACCCATATTCATAAAACAAGTACTTCCAGACCTACAATAAAGCATAGGCAGCCACACAATTATAGTGGAGAGCTTCAACACCCTACTGACAGCGTTAGACAGATCATCAAGGCAGACAACTAATAAAGAAGTTCTGGAATTAAATTCAACACTTGACCAAAATTGAACCTAATAGACATCCACAAAATGTTCCACCCATTAACAACAAAATATACATTCTTCTCATCTGCACACAGAATATACTCCAAGATCAATTACATGGTCAGCCATAAAGCAAGTCTCAGTACATTTAAAAAAAATTTAAGTCATACCAAATATACTCTTGGACCATGGTGCAATAAAAGTACAAATCAATACCAATAAAATCTCTCAAAACTACACAATTACATGGAAATTGAAAAACTTGCTTCTGAATGGCTTTTTGGTAAAAAAATGAAATTAATGCAGACATCAAAAATTATTTGAAATTAATGAAAACAGAGACACAACACATCAAAATCTCTGGGATACAGCAAAAGCAGTGCTAACAGAAAAGTTTGTAGCACTATACACCTATCTCAAAAAGTTAGGAGATCTCAAATTAATGATATAATATCATATCTAGAGGAACTAGAAGAATAGAGACAAATTAATACCAAAGCTAGGAGAAAAAAAGAAATAAGTAAAATGGAAGCAGAAGCAAATGAAGTTGAGACTCAAATATTCATGCAAAGAATCAAAAAAAAAAAAACCGAAAGTTGGTTTTTGTAAGGATAAACAAGATCAATAGGCCAGTAGCTAGATTAACAAAGAAAAAAATGGGAGAAGATTCAAATAACCACAATCTGAAACAACAAAGGTGACATCACAACCAATCCCACAATAATGCAAAAGATTTTCAGACACTATTGTGAACGCCTCTGTGCACACAAACTAGAAAATCTAGGGGAAATGGATGAATTCCTGGAAATATACAACCTCACAAGATTGAATCAGGAAAAAATTGGAACTCTGAACAAAACAATATCAAGTTCTGAAATTGAATCAGTAATAACCTACCAACCAAAAAAGGCCACAGACTAGATGAATTGACAGAAAAATTCTACCATATATTCAAAGAAGAGCTGGTACCAACTCTACTAAAACTATTTCAAAAAATCAAAGAGGAACTCCTGTCTAACTCATTTTAACAAGCCAGCATCAATGTCATATGAAAACCTGGCAAAGGCACAACCGAAAAAAAAAAAAAAATTAGAGACCAATACCCCTGATGAACATAGCCACAGAAGTCCTCAATAAAATACAAACTAAAACCAGCAGCACATGAAAAAGGTAATTCACCATAAAGAAGTAGGCTTCATTCTTGAGATTCAAGGTTGGTTCAAAATATGCAAATCAATAAATGTGACTCAAAACATAAACAGAATTAAAAACAAAAACAATAAATTCAACATCCCTTCAAGACAGAAAATCTGCAACAAACTAGGCATTGAAAGTACATATCTAACAAAGAGGAGCTGATATCATTTCTTCTGAAACGATTCCGAACACTTGAAAAGGAGGGACTCCTCTCTAACTCATTTGATGAAGCCAGTATCATCCTGATACCAAAACCGGGCAGAGACACAACAAAAAAGAGAAAACTTCATGCAAATATCCCTGATGAACGTCCATGAGAAAATGCTCAATAAAATACTGGCAAGCCGAATCCAGCAGCATATCAAAAAACTTATCCACCACGATCAAGTCGGCTTCATTCCTGGGATGCAAGGCTGTTCAACATACACAAATTGATAAACATAATCCATCACAAAAACAGAACCAAAGACAAAAAACACATGATTATCTCAATAGATGCAGAAAAGGTCTTTGATAAAATTCAACATCGCTTCATGCTAAAAACTCTCAATAAACTAGTTATTTATGGAACATATCTCAAAATAATAAGATAAATTTATGGCAAACCCACAGCCAATATCATATTGAATGGGCAAAAGCTGGAAGCATTCCCTTTGAAAACAGGTACAAGACAAGGATGCCCTCTCTCACCACTACTGTTCGACATAGTATTGGAAGTTCTGGTTAGGGCAATCAGGCAAGAGAAAGAAAGAAATGGTATGGAAATAGGAAGAGAGGAAGTCAAATTGTTTTTGTTTGCAGACGACATGATTGTATATTTAGAAAAACCCATTATCTCAGTCCAAAAACTCTTTAAGCCTATAACCAATTTTAGTGAAATCTCAGGATGCAAAATCAATGTGCAAAAATTGCAAGCATTCCTTTACACCAACAATAGACAAGCAGACAGCCAAATCATGAATGAACTCCCATTCACAATTGCTATGAAGAAAATAAAATACCTACAAATACAGCTAACAAAGGATGTGAATGATCTCTTCAAGAAGAGCTACAAACCACTGCTCAAGGAAATCAGAAAGCACACACACAAAAAAATGGAAAAACATTTCATCCTCATGACAAAAATGAGCAATGGGTAAAGGATCTTCTATTCAATAAATGGTGCTGGGAAAACCGGCTAGCCATATCCAGAAAACAGAAACTGGACCGCTTTCTTATATCATATACAAAAATCAACCCAAGATGGATTAAACACTTAAACGTAAAATCCAAAACCATAAAAACCCTAGAAGAAACCTAGGCAATACCATTCAGGACATAGGCATGGGAAAAGACTTCATGATGAAAATGCCAAAAACAATTGCAACAAAAGCCAAAATTGACAAATGGGATCTAATTAAATTTTAGACCTAAGTTTTAGGTCTTACGTTTAAGTGTCTAATCCATCTTGAGTTAATTTTTGCATGAAGTGTAAGGAAGAGGTCCAGTTTCTGTTTTCTGCATATGGCTAGCCAGTTTTTCCAGCACCATTTTTTAAATAGGGAATCCTTTCCCCATTGCTTGTTTTTGTCAGGTTTGTCCAAGATCAGATGCTTGTAGATGTGTGGTGTTATATCTGAGGCCTCTGTTATATTCCATTGGTCTATATATCTGTTTTGGTACCAGTAAAAAGGCTGTTTTGAATACTGTAGCTTTGTAGTATAGTTTGAAGTCAGGTACAGTGATGCCTTCAGTTTTGTTCTTTTTGCTTAGAATTGGCTGGGCTATATGGGCTCTTTTTGTTTCCATATAAAATTTAAAGTAGTTTTTTCTAATAATATGAAGAAAGTCAATGGTAGCTTAATGAGAATAGCATTGAATCTGTAAAATACTTTGGGCAAGATGGCCATTTTCACAATATTGGTTCTACCTATCTATGAGCATGGAATTTTTTTCCATTTGTTTGTGTCCTCTCTTATTTTCTTGAGAAGTGGTTTGTAGTTCTTTTTGAAGACCTCCTTCTTGTCCATTGTAAGTTGTATTCCTAGGTATTTTATTCTCTTTGTAGCAATTGTGAATGGGAGTTCACTCATGATTTGGCTCTCTGTTTGTGCATTACTGTTGTATAGGAATGCTTGTGATTTTTGCATGTTGATTTTCTATACTGGGACTTTGCTGAAGTTGCTTATAGGCTTAAGGAGTTTTTGGGCTGAGATGATGGGGTTTTCTAAATATTGAATCATG
Source organism: Homo sapiens (assembly GCF_000001405.40). Classification (NCBI taxonomy): domain Eukaryota; kingdom Metazoa; phylum Chordata; class Mammalia; order Primates; family Hominidae; genus Homo; species Homo sapiens. Next base: position 64,799,294 of record NC_000023.11, read on the forward strand.
TCAACTGCAAACAGAGACAATTTGACATCCTCTCTTCCTATTTGAATATATTTTATTTCTTTCTCCTGCCCGATGGCCCTGGTCAGAACTTTTAATACTTTGTTGAATAAAAGTGGGAGAGAGGGCATCCTTGTCTTGTGCTGGTTTTCAAGGGGAATGCTTTCAGATTTTGCCCATTCAGTATGGTATTGACTATAAATAGCTCTCATTATTTTGAGATATGTTTCATCAATACCTAGTTTATTGGCAGTTTTTAGCATGAAGGTTGTTGAATTTTATTGAAGACCATTTCTGCATCTATTGAGATAATCGTGTGATTTTAGCCATTGGTTCTGTTTTTCTGTGATGTATTATGTTTATTGATTTGCGTATGTTGAAACATCCTTGCATCCCAGGGATGAAGCCAACTTGATCATGGTGGATAATCTTTTTGATGTGCTGCTGGATTCAGTTTGCCAGTATTTTATTGAGGATTTTCGCATTGTTGTTCTTCAGAGATGTTGACCTGAAATTTTTGTTGTTGTTGTTGTGTATATGCCAGGTTTTCATATCAGGATGATGCTGGCCTAACAAAATGAGTTAGGGAGGAGTATTTTTTATTCTGAAGGTTGGAATAGTTTCAGAAGGAATGGTACAAGCTCCTCTTTGTGCCTCTGGTAGAATTTGGCTGTGAATCCATCTGATACTGGGCTTTTTTTGGTTAGTAGGCTATTAATTACTGCCTCAATTATACAACTTTTTATTGGTCTTTTCAGGGATTCAAATTCTTCCTGGTTTAGTCTTGGGAAGGTGTATGTGTCCAGGAATTTATCCATTTCTTCTAGATTTTCTAGTTTATTTGCATAGAGGTGTTTATAGTGTTCTCCAATGGTAGTTTTTATTTCTGTGGGATCAGTGGTGATGTGCCCTTTATTATTTTTTATTGTGCTTTTTTTTCTTCTCTCTTTTCTTCTTTATTAGTCTAGCTAGCAGTCTATCAATTTGGTTAGTATTTTCAAAAAAACAACTTCTGGATTCAGTGATTTTTTTTTTTTTTTTTTTTTGAGACAAAGTCTCGCTCTGTCACCCAGGCTGGTACAGTGGTGGGATCTCAGTTCACTGCAAGCTCTGCCTCCTGGGTTCACGCCATTCTCCTGCCTCAGCCTCCCAAGTAGTTGGGACTAGAGGTGCCTGCCACCATGCCTGGTTATTTATTTTTTTTTTTTGGTATTTTTAGTAGAGACAAGGTTTCACCGTGTTCGCCTGGATGTCAGTGATTTTTTTGAAGGGTTTTTCGTTTCTCTATCCCATTCAGTTCTGCCCTAATTTAGTTATTTCTTGTCTTCTGCTATATTTTGAAATTTTTTGCTCTTGCTTCTCTAGTTCTTTCAATTGTGATGTTAGTGCATTGATTTTAGGTCATTCCCACTTTCTGATGTGGGCACTTAGTGCTATAAGTTTCCCTCTTAACACTGTTTTAGCTGTGTCCCAGAGATTCTAGTATGTTCTCTATTAGTTCTCATTGGTTTCAAAGAACTTCTTTATTTCTGCCTTAATTTCGTTATTTACCCAGTATCCACGCAGGAGTAGGTTTTTCAGTTTTCATGTAATTGTGCTATTTTGAGTGAGTTTCTTAATTCAGAGTTCTCATTTGATTGCACTGTGGACTGAGAGACTGCTTGTTATAATTTCCATCCTTTTGCATTTGCTGAGGGGTGTTTTACTTCCAATTATGTGGTTGATTTTAGAATAAGTGCTATGTGTGCTGAGAAGAATGTATATTCTGTTGATTTGGGGTGGAGAGTTCCGTAGATGTCTATTAGGTCTGCTTGGTCCAGAGCTGAGTTCAAGTCCTGAATATCCTGGTTAATTTCCTGTCTCATTGATCTGTCTAATATAGACAATGTAGTGTAAAAGTCTCCCACTGTTATGGTGTGAGAGTCTGGGTCTCTTTGTAGGTCCCTAAGAACTTGTTTTATGAATCTGGATGCTCCTGGATTGGGTGTACATGTATTTAGAATAGTTAGCACTTCTTGTTAAATTAGCCCCTTTACCATTATGTAATGTCCTTCTTTGTCTTTTTTGACCTTTGTTGGCTTCAAGTCTGTTTTATCAGAGACTAGGATTGCAACCTTTGCTTTTTTTTTTTTTTTTTGCTTTCCATTTTCTTGGTATTGCTGAAAGAGGCACTGAAGAGATAGAAAAAAGCCCTGAATCACCAATCCTACCCTTTTCCTACCCCCAGCAGCAGCAGCATGGTGTAGAGAGCATCTCTGGGCACTGGGAGAGGAAGAACACTGCAATTCTGAGGCCTTGAACTCAGTGCTGTCCTGTTAAGACAGAAAGAGAAACTAGACCAAACTCAGCTGAGGCCCGCCCACAGAGGGAGCATTTAAATTAACCCCAGCCAGAGAGGAATCACTGATCCCAGTGATCTGAACCTGAGTAGCTGCAAACCTCATCAACAAGGGCCAAAGTTCTCTTGGTCTCTAAGCAAATGCAAAAGGCAGTCTAGGCCATAAAGGCTTCAATTCGTCAGCAGTTCTAGAGGCTGAACTAGGTCCAGAGAGAGTGGACTGCTGTGGAGGGTGCCATGTGACATACTGAGAAACCAGCTGGGGCAGTCAAAGGAGTACTAGCATACCCCCTCCCATAGCCCCAGTCTGCAAAGTTCAAGGCGCCAAAAGAGACCTCTTCCTTCCACTTGATGAAAGAGTGGAAAATACTTTGTCTTACATCTTAAGTACCAGCTCAGCCACAGCAGAAAAAGGCAACAGTCAATGTTGTGAGGCCCCTGTTCCAGGGCCTAGCTCCAAGACAACATTCCTAGACACCTTCTGGGCCAGAAGGGAAGTCACTGTCTTGAAGGAAAGGACTTAGTACAGACAACATTCATTACCTGCTACCTGAAGAGCCCTTGGGCCCTAAAAAACCAGCAATAATACCCAGCTACTACATCAAGAGACTGGATAAGCCTCTGAGACTTCCTGGCTTCAGGTGAGACTCAGCATATTACCAGCTGTGGTGGCTATGGGGCAAAATTTATTCTGCTTGAGAAAAGCAGAGGAAAAAGTAAAAGGGACTTTGTCTTGCACCTTAGGTACCAACACCACCACAGGGGGATAGAGCACCAAGTGGGCTCCTGAGGTCCCCAATTTCAGGACTTGACTCCTCCTGGATGGCATTTCTGGACCTGCCCTAGGTCAGAAGGGTAAGTCCCAGGCAAGGCAGCATTCACCACAAGCTGACTTAAGAGACCTTGGGCCTTAGGGCGATATCAGTGGTCATCTGACAGTACTCCTCGTGGCCAGAAGTTGTGGTGACTACAAGGTGAGGCTTCTCTGTCTTTGGAAAGGGAAGGAAAGAGTGGGAAGAACCATGTCTTGTGGTTTGAGTGACAGCTCAGCTGCAATACAATACAATGCAAGGTAGACTTCTAAGGTTTTTGACTGACTCCTGGATGGCACTTCTGGACACATGTTTGGTTTAGGGGAATTCACCAACCTGGAGGGAAGAATACAGGCCTAGCTGGCTTTGCCATCTGCTAATTGTAGAGCCCTAAGGCCTTAAGTGAACATAAGCAGTAGCCAGGGAGTTGTTATAGCAGACCTTGCATGAGACACAGTTCTGTGCTGGCTTCAGGTCTGACCCAGTGCAGTCATAGTGGTAATAGCCACCAGGTTGTTTGTGTCACTCTGCCACCAGCTTTAGGTGGCTCAAAACAGAAAAAGAGACTGTATGTTTGGGAGAAAGTAAGGGGAGAGAACAAGAGTTTCTGCCTGACAACCCAGAAAATTCTCTTGGATCTTGTCCGAGACCATCAAGGCAGTACCTCTATGAGTCTGTAAGAACCACAGAATTACTGTGCCTGGGGTGTCCACTATAGCAGAAACACCTAAGAAGACAGCAATCAAGTTCTTTCAAATAGCTGGAAAGCCTTCTCAAGATGTATGGCTACAAATAAATCCAGACAGTGAAGGCTACAATAAATACCCAACTCTTCAATGCCCAGACACCAAAGTGCAACTGCTAGCATCAACATCATCCAGGAAAACATGACCTCAAACAATGAAGTAAATAAGCCACCAGGGACCAATCCTGGCAAAACAGAGATATGTGACTTTTCACACAGAGAATTCAAAATAGCTGTGTTGAAGAAACTAAAAAAAATTCAAGATAACACAAAGAAGAAATTCAAAAGTTTCTTAGATAAATTTAACAAAGAGATTCAAATAAGTATTAAAAATCGAGCAGAAATTCTGGAGCTAAAAAATGCATACTGAAGAATACATTAGAGTTCTTTAATGGAAAAATGGATCAAGCAGAAGACAGAATTAATGAGCTTGAAGATAGGCTATTTGAAAATACACAATCAGAGGAGACAAAATAAAAAAAAAAATGAAGCACACCTACAGGATCCAGAAAACAGCCTCAAAAGGGCAAATCTAAGATTTATTGGACTTAATGTGGAGGTAGAGAAAGAGATGGGGTAGAAAATTTATTCAAAAGGATAATAACAGAGAAATTTCCAAACCTAGAGAAAGATATCAACATTCAATTACAAGATGGTTACAGGAAATGAAGCCGATTTAAGATTTAAGTGATTAAAAGACTACCTCTAGAGATGTAGACCAATGGAACAAAACAGAGCCCTCAGAAATAATGCCGCATATCTACAACTATCTGATCTTTGACAAACCTGACAAAAACAAGCAATAGGGAAAGGATTCCCTATTTAATAAATGGTGCTGGCAAAACTGGCTAGCCATATGTAGAAAGCTGAAACTGGATCCCTTCCTTACACCTTATACAAAAATTAATTCAAGATGGATTAAAGACTTACATGTTAGACCTAAAACCATAAAAACCCTAGAAGAAAACCTAGGCAATACCATTCAGGACATAGGCATGGGCAAGGACTTCATGTCTAAAACACCAAAAACAGTGGCAACAAAAGCCAAAATTGACAAATGGGATCTAATTAAACTAAAGAGCTTCTACACAGCAAAAGAAACTACCATCAGAGTGAACAGGCAACCTACAGAATGGGAGAAAATTTTTGCAACCTACTCATCTGACAAATGGCTAATATCCAGAATCTACAATGAACTCAGACAAATTTATAAGAAAAAAACAAACAACCCCATCAAAAAGTGGGTGAAGGATATGAACAGACACTTCTCAAAAGAAGACATTTATGCAGCCAAAAGACACATGAGAACATGCTCATCATCACTGGCCATCAGAGAAATGCAAATCAAAACCACAATGAGATGCCATCTCACACCAGTTAAAATGGCGATCATTAAAAAGTCAGGAAACAACAGGTGCTGGAGAGGATGTGGAGAAATAGGAACACTTTTACACGGTTGATGGGACTGTAAACTAGTTCAACCATTGTGGAAGTCAGTGTGGCGATTCCTCAGGGATCTAGAACTAGAAATATCATTTGACCCAGCCATCCCATTACTGGGTATATACCCAAAGGACTATAAATCATGCTGCTATAAAGACACATGCACACGTATGTTTATTGCGGCACTATTCACAATAGCAAAGACTTGGAACCAACCCAAATGTCCAACAGTGATAGACTGGATTAAGAAAATGTGGCACATATACACCATGGAATACTATGCAGCCATAAAAAAGGATGAGTTCATGTCCTTTGCAGGGACATGGATGAAGCTGGAAACCATCTTTCTCAGCAAACTATCACAAGGACAAAAAACCGAACACCGCATGTTCTCACTCATAGGTGGGAATTGAACTATGAGTACACATGGACACAGGAAGAGGAACATCACACACTGGGGCCTGTTGTCGGGTGGGGGGAGGGTGGAGGGATAACATTAGTAGATATACCTAATGTAAATGAGGAGTTAATCGGTGCAGCACACCAACATGGCACATGTATACATATGTAACAAACCTGCACGTTGTGCACATGTATCCTAAAACTTAAAGTATAATAATAATTTAAAAAAAAAGAAGGAGTTCTACAGTGGGTAAATTGCTATCAAACAGCACCACATGCTACATAGAAAAATTTTGTGAAAGGAAGAGCCAATTAATGTGGCAAACTTCATTGTTACATTAAGAAATTGCCACAACCATCTCAACCTTCAGCATACACCACCTTGATCAGTCAGCAGCCATCATCATTGAGCAAAGCCTCCACCAGTAAAAAGATTACAACTCCTCGAGGGCTCAGATGATCATATGCATTTTTTGCAATAAACTATTTTTGATAAGATACATACATTTTTTAGACATAATGCTATTGCACACAGTAGATTTCAGTATAGTATAAATAAAACTTTTATATGCACTGAGATACCAATAAATTTTAATGACCCACTTTATTGCTATATTCACTTTATTGCAGTGGTCTGAAACCAAATCTGTAATATTTGTGAGTTATACCTTCAAATCCATCTGCTCTCTGCATCTGTAGCCTTTAAGTTGACCCCTCCTGTCATTAGAGGTAGAGAAGAGTCTCAAAAGTGAGGGTCATATGGTTGAGTTTTGTGGTTCTCAAGAGTGAGAGTCATGAGGTTCAGCTTTGATCATTAAATTACAAGCTGCTACACTAGCTATACCATATCTGGCTTGAGAAGTAAAGTGGTTTGTGATTCATCGTGACTGTACAAAGACTCTTGGCAAGTGTCAGTGGTTTCTTGCTCTTTGCATTATGGAAGACAGGCTGGGCCAGGAAAAATCTGGAGGCTTTTCTCTGGAAGGATGTTCACTCTACTATGGAGTTTTGTCAGCTTCCCTGCCACAAAGTGAAAACATAATGTTCCATATTCTGCAGATATCTTAGGACGCAGACTTATAAGACTTGTTTGACTACAATAGAGAAGGACGAAAAGAAAGGTGCTGGGATGTAGAACTAGATCCCTTCTTTCAAAGAGATAGGTATCTGAAGGAAGTTCAGTCTGGCAGGCAATGAATTGGATTCTAAGGAATACAACCAGAATAGGTGACAGATAAGCCAGATTCATGGCATTTGGGTCTGAGATAAGGTGGTTAGCAGAGCGTAGTGTTAAAAAATTGGGACAGGAAGCTACACACAGAAAATCATTCATTCATTAGGAAAATCATCATTGAGCATCTACTATTTGCTAAGAATTATTCTAGACTGGTATACAGCCTTGAACAGAACAGAAAAAAATTATCTCCTTATGGAACTTACACGCTGGTGGGAGAAAGATATATAGTAAACTTAAACAAATAAGTAAATTATATTATATATCTGATGATGATAAATGTTGTGGAAAAATAAGTCAGAAAAAAGGAGATGAAAAAAGACAGAGAAGGCTTCAATGAGAAGGTCTCACCTAAAAAAGGTGAGAGAGTAAGCCATGAACATATCTAGGAGAGGACTGTTCCAAGGAAGACAGCAAATGCAAAGATATAAACGTGCTTAGAATTTTGAGGAGTAGCAAAAAAAAAAAAAAAAAAAAAAAAAAAAGTCAGTGAATCCGGAATAAAATGGATGAAGAGGAGAGTAGTAGAAGAGGTCAGAGGGGTGACAAGTAGAAAGGGTTTTGCAGATCATATAAGACTTTATAGACCATTTTAAGGACTTTGGCTTTTACTCCAAAATGGAAATTTAAATGGTTTTAAACAGGTAATGACATAATATGTTTTAAGTTTTAATGACATCACTCTTGCTACTATGTGGAGAATACACTTAATGGAGACAAAAGTGGAAGCAAGGAGATCAACTAGGATACTATTGCAGTGGTCTAAGCAAGAGATGATGGTGACCTGGACTAGCATAGCAGCATAGAAGACATGAGAAGTGGTGGGATTGTGAATACATTTTAAAAGTAGAGCTTACAGCTTACATCTTACACTGTTCAGAAAATGGAAAGACAAGCTACAGACTGGGAGAAAATATTGCACAGCACATATATGATAAAGGACTTGTATCCAGAATATATAACTGAATACAACTAAACAATAAAAACCCCAATTTTTAAGTAGGCAAAATATTTAAACAGGCCTTCACTTAAGATTTATGGGGGGCAGGGCCAAGGTGGATAACTAGAAGCAGTGGCAGTTGGAGGCTTCCAACAAAAAGATCCAAAACAGTGTGTGAATACTGCACCAGCAACTGAGGTATCCAGGTTTTGTCATTAGAACTGACTAGGTGGCTGTCATGACCCATGGAGAGGAAAGAAAAGCTGTGTAGTGCAGCAGACCACCTGAGAGCCACACAGGGCAGGAGAGTCCTCACCCCAGCCAAGGGAGGTGGTGAGTGGGCGTGCTACCCAGCCTGGGAAACCATGCTTTTTCCACAGAATTATGCAACCCACAGATTGGAAGATTCCACTCAGGAGCCCATGCCACTGGGACCTTGGGTCTCAACTACAGAGCTGCACAGATTCTCAACACCCACTAGGCTGGAATCAGCCTAAGTCTGTCAAGTTCCTGGGGGAAGTGGTGGCCATCACCACTGCTGTGGCTGCCTGCAGTCTAAGCCATATTAGCTCCGTGGGGGAGGGACAGCAGCCAACTCTGAGGCTGCAGGGCCTCCAGCAGGAATTCCAACTCCAGCCAGGGGCTCAGGGACAGAACTCTAATCTCCCAGGGCATGAACCCTTAGGTGGAGGGGTGGCCATAGTCCCTTTGGACCAGCAGACTTGGTCTTTCCTTCTGCTAGCTCTGAGAAATCCAGGAACTCCAGAGGAGTGGGTTTCCCCCAGCGCAGCAGAGCCCCTCCACCAAGAGACAGCCAAAGTGCCTCGTTAAATGGGTCCTGCTTCCCTGGCTACCCAACTGGGTGAGACCTCCCAACAGGGGTTGTCAGACATCCTTTACAGGAACGTTTCTACCAACATAAGTTCAGTGACCCTTGAGGTCAGAGATCACAGAGGGAGGAGCAGGCACCCACCTTTGCTATTCTCCAGCCTTCTCAAGTGACATCTCCAAGCATGGGAGCAAACCGGATGAATAGGGCCTGAAGTGAATCCCCAGAAATCCAAGGCAGTTCTACAGAAGAGGAACTTGACTATTGGGAAAAAAAAAAAAGAAAAAAGAAAACATAAAACAAACATACAAAAACAGAAAAGCAACAACAACAGAATCAACAACAACAAAAAATCCCCATAAGCAACTCCCTCCAAGATGGCCAAATAGGAACAGCCCCAGTCTACAGCTCCCATCATGAGTGATGCAGAAGATGGGAGATTTCTGCATTTCCAACTGAGGTACAAGGTTCATCTCACTGGGGCTTGTTGGACAGTGGGTGCAATCCACAGACTGTGAGCTGAAGCAGGTCAGGGCATCACCTCACCCAGGAATCACAATGGGTCGGGGAATTCCCTTCCCAGTCAAGGGAAGCCATGACTGATGGTACCTGGAAAATTGGGACACTACCACCCTAATACTGTGCTTTTCCAATCGTCTTAGCAAACGGCACACCAGGAGATTATATCTCACACCTGGCTTGGAGGGTTCCACGCCCACGGAGCCTGGCTCACTGCTAGCACAGAAGTCTGAGATCAAACTGCAAGGTGGCAGCAAGGCTGAGAGAGGGGTGTCTGCCATTGCTGAGGCTTTAGTAGGTAAACAAAGCAGCTGGGAAGCTCGAACTGGGTGGAGCCCACTGCAGCTTAAGGAGGGCTGCCTGCCTCTGTAGACTCCACATCTTGGGGCAGGGCATAGCTGAACAAAGGGCAGCAGAAACTTCTGCAGACTTAAACATCCCTGTCTGACAGCTTTGAAAAGAGTAGTGGTTCTCCCAGCACGGAGTTTGAGATCTGAGAATGGACAGACTGCCTCCTCAAGTGAGTCTCTGACCCCTGAGTAGCCTAACTTGGAGACACCTCCCAGTAGGGGCCAACTGACACCTCATACAGCTAGGTGCCCCTCTGAGACGAAGCTTCCAGAGGAAGGATCAGGCAGCAACATTTACCATTGTGCAATATTTGCTATTCTGCAGCCTCCACTGGTGATACCCAGGCAAACAGCATCTGGAGTGGAACTCCAGCAAAGTCCAACAGACCTGCAGCTGAGGGTCCTGACTGTTAGAAGGAAAACTGACAAACAGAAATTACATCACACGAAAACCCCATCTGTACGTCACCATCATTAAAGACCAAAGGTAGATAAAACCACAAAGATAAGGAGAAACTAGAGCAGAAAAGCTGAAAATTCTAAAAATCAGAGTGCCTCTTCTCCTCCAAAGGAACACAGCTCCTCACCAGCAATGGATCAAAGATGGATGGAGAACGACTTTGATGGGTTGACAGAAGAAGGGTTCAGATGATCAGTAATAACAAACTTCTCTGGGCTAAAGGAGGATGTTCCGACCCATTGCAAAGAAGCTAAAAACGTTGAAAAAAGATTAGACAAATGGCTACCTACAATAAACAGCATAGAGAAGACCTTAAATGACCTAATGGAGCTGAAAACCATGGCATGAGAACTATGTGATGCATGCACAAGCTTGAGTAGCTGATTCAATCAAGTGGAAGAAAGGGTATGAGTGATTGGAGTTCAAATGAATGAAAAGAAGTAAGAAAAGAAGTTTAGAGAAAAAAGAGTAAAAAGAAATGAACAAAGCCTCAAAGAAATATGGGATTATGTGAAAAGACCAAATCTATGTCTGATTGGTGTACCTGAAATGGACAGGGAGAATGGAACCAAGTTGGAAAACACTCTGCAGGATATTATCCAGGAGAACTTCCCCAACCTAGCGACGGAGGCCAACACTCAAATTCAGGAAATTCGGAGAATGCCACAAAGATACTCCTCGAGAAGAGCAACTCCAAGGCACGTAATTGTCAGATTCACCAAAGTTGAAATGAAGAAAAAATGTTAAGGGCAGCCAGAGAAAAAGATCAGGCTACCCACAAAGGGAAGCCCATCAGATTAACAGCAGACCTCTCGGCAGAAACTCTACAAGCCAAAAGAGAGTTGGGGCCAATATTCAACATCCTTAAAGAAAAGAATTTTCAACCCAGAATTTTATATCCACCCAAACTAAGCTTCGTAAGTGAAGGAGAAATAAAATACTTTACAGACAAGCAAAGGCTAAGAGATTTTGTCACCACCAGGCCTGCCTTACAAGAGCTCCTGAAGGAAGCACTAAACATGGAAAGGAACAACCAGTACTAGCCACTGCCAAAAAATGCCAAATTGTAAAGACCGTCGATGCTAGGATGAAACTGCATCAACTAACAAGCAAAATAACCAGCTAACATCATAATGACAGGATTAAATTCATATATAACAATATTAACCTTAAATGTAAATGGGCTAAATGCTCCAATTAAAAGACACAGACTGGCAAATTGGATAAAGAGTCAAGACCCATCAGTGTGCTGTATTCAGCAAACCCATCTCACGTGCAGAGACATGCATAGGCTCAAAATAAACGGACGGAGGAAGATCTACAAAACAAAAAAAAAGCAGGGGTTGCAATCCTACTCTCTCATAAAACAGACTTTAAAACAACAAAGATTAAAAGAGACAAAGAAGGCCATTACATAATGCTAAAGGGATCAATTCAACAAGAAGAGCTAACTATCCTAAATATATATGCAACCAATTCAGGAGCAACCAGATTCATAAAGCAAGCCCTTAGAGACCTAAAAAGAGACTTAGACTCCCACACAATAATAATGGGAGACTTTAACAACCCACTGTCAACATTAGACAGATCAATGAGAAAGAAAGTTAACAAGGAGATCCAGGAATTGAACTCAGCTTTGTACCAAGCAGACCTAATAGACATCTACAGAACTCTCCACCCCAAATCAACAGAACATACATTCTTCTCAGCACCACATTGCACTTATTCCAAAATTGACCACATAGTTGGAAGTAAAGCACTCCTCAGCAAATGTAAAAGAACAGAAATTATAACAAACTGTCTCTCAGACCACAGTGCAATCAAACTAGAGCTCAGGATTAAGAAACTCACTCAAAACTGCTCAACTACATGGAAAATGAAAAACCTGCTCCTGAATGACTACTGGGTACATAACGAAATGAAGGAAGAAATAAAGATGTTCTTTGAAACCAATGAGAAAAAAGACACAACATACCAGAACCTCTGGGACACATTTAAAGCAGTGTGTAGAGGGAAATTTATAGCACTAAATGCCCACAAGAGAAAGCAGGAAAGATCTAAAATTGACACCCTAACATCACAATTAAAAGAACCAGAGAAGTAAGACCAAACACATTCAAAAACTAACAGAAGGCAAGAAGTAACTGAGATCAGAGCAGAACTGAAGGAGATAGAGACACAAAAAACCCTTCAAAAAAATCAATGAATCCAGGAGCTGGTTATTTGAAAAGATCAACAAAATTGATAGACCACTAGCAAGACTAATAAAGAAGAAAAGAGAGAAGAATCAAATAGATGCAATAAAAAATGATAAAGGGGATATTCCCACTGATCCCACAGAAATACAAACTACCATCAGAGAATACTTTAAACACCTCTACACAAATAAACTAGAAAATCTAGAAGAAATGGATAAATTCCTCGACACATACACCCTCCCAAGACTAAATTAGGAAGAAGTTGAATCCCTGAATAGACCAATAACAGGCTCTGAAATTGCGACAATAATTAATAGACTACCAACCAAAAAAAGTCCAGGACCACATGGATTCACAACCAAATTCTACCAGAGGTACAAGGGGGAGCTGGTATCACTCCTTCTGAAATTATTCCAATCAATAGAAAAAGAGGGAATCCTCCCTAACTCATTTTATGAGGCCAGCATCATCCTGATAACAAAGCCTGGCAGAGACACAACAAAAAAAGAGAATTTTAGACCAATATCCCTGATTAACATTGATGCAAAAATCCTCAAAAAAATACTGGCAAACCGAATCCAGCAGCACATCAAAAACTTGTCCACCATGATGAAGTGGGCTTCATCCCTGGGATGCAAGGCTGGTTCAACATATACAAATCAATAAACATAATCCAGCATATAAACAGAACCAAAGACGAAAACCACAGGATTATTTCAATAGAAGCAGAAAAGGCCTTCGAAAAAATTCAACAGACCTTCATTCTAAAAACTCAATAAACTAGGTATTGAAGGGACGTTTCTCAACATAATAAGAGCTATTTATGACAAACCCACAGCCAATATCATACCGAATGGGCAAAAACTGAAAGTATTCCCTTTGAAAACTGGCACAAGACAGGGATGCCCTCCCTCACTACTCCTATTCAACATAGTGTTGGAAGTTCTGGCCAGGGCAATCAGGCAGGAGAAAGAAATAAAGGGTATTTAATTAGGAAAAGAGGAAGTCAAATTGTCCCTGTTTGCAGATGACATGATTGTATATCTAGAAAACCCCATCGTCTCAGCCCAAAATATCTTTAAGCTGATAAGCAACTTCAGCAAATTGTCAGGATATAAAATCAATGTGCAAAAATCACAAGTATTCCTATACACCAATAACAGACAAACAGAGAGCCAAATCATGAGTGAATTCCCATTCACAATTGCTTCAAAGAGAATAAAAAATCTAGGAATCCATCTTACAAGGGATGTGAAGGACCTCTTCAAGGAGAACTACAAAGCACTGCTGAATGAAATAAAAGAGGACAGAAACAGATAGAAATACATTACATGTTCATGGATAGGAAGAATCAATATCAAGAAAATGGCCATACTGCTCAAGGTAATTTATAGATTCAATGCCATCCCCATCAAGTTACCAATGACTTTCTTCACAGAATTGGAAAAAAAACTACTTTAAAGTTCATATGGAACCAAAAAAGAGCCCACATTGCCAAGACAATTCTAAGCCAAAAGAACAAAGCTGGAGGCATCATGCTACCTGACTTCAAACTATACTGCAAGGCTACAGTAACCAAAACAGCATGGTACTGGTACCAAAACAGAGATATAGACCAATGGAACAGAACGGAGCCCTCAGAAATAATACCACACATCTACAACCATCTGATCTTTGACAAACATGACAAAAACAAGCAATGAGGAAAGGATTCCCTATTTAATAAATGGTGGTGGGAAAACAGGCTAGACATATGTAGAAAGCTGAAACTGGATCCCTTTCTTACAACTAATACAAAAATTAATTCAAGATGGATTAAAGACTTAAATCTTAGACCTAAATCCATAAAAACCCTAGAAGAAAACCTAGGCAATACCATTCAGGACATAGGCATGGGCAAGGACTTCATGTCTAAAACACCAAAAGCAATGGCAACAAAGGCCAAAATTGACAAATGGGATCTAATTAAACTCAAGAGCTTCTGCACAGCAAAAGAAACTACCATCAGAGTGAACAGGCAACCTACAGAATGGGAGAAAATTTTTACAATCTGCCCATCTGACAAAGGGCTAATATCCAGAATCTACAAAGAACTTTAAAAAATTTACAAGAAAAAATCAAACAACCCCTTCAAAAAGTGGTCAAAGGATATGAACAGACACTTCTCAAAAGAAGACATTTATGTAGCCAACAGACACATGAAAAAATGCTCATCATCACTGGCCATCAGAGAAATGGAAATCAAAACCACAATGAGATACCATCTCACACCAGTTAGAATGATGATCATTAAAAAGTCAGGAAACAACAGATGCTGGAGAGGATGTGGAGAAATAGGAGCACTTTTACACTGTTGGTGGGACTGTAAACTAGTTCAACCATTTTGGAACACAGTGTGGCAATTCCTCAAGGATCTAAAACTAGAAATACCATTTGACCCAGCCATCCCATTACTGCATATATACCTAAAGGACTATAAATCATGCTGCTATAAAGACACATGCACATGTATGTTTATTGTGGCACTATTCACAATAGTACAGGCTTGGAACCAACCCAAATGTCCATCAATTGTAGACTGGATTTAGAAAATGTGGCATATACACACCATGGAATACCATGCAGCCATATAAAAGGATGAGTTCATGTCCTTTGTAGGGACATGGATGAAGCTGGAAACCATCATTCTCAACAAACTATCACAAGGACAGAAAACCAAACACCATATGTTCTCACTCATAGGTGGGAATTGAACAATGAGAACACTTGGACACAGGGTGGGGAGCATCACACACCAAGGCCTGTCATGGGGTGGGGTGAGGGGGCAGGGATAGCATTAGGAGATATACCTAATGTAAATGATGAGTTAATGGGTGCAGCACACCAACATGGCACATGTATACATATGTAACAAACCTGCACGTTGTGCACATGTACCCTAGAACTTAAAGTATAAAAAAAAGAAAAAAAATACCATATTTTGTTTCCTAATAATAAACATTTATTGAATTCTTTAAAAAATAAAATAAATAAAATAAAATAAATCCCCATAAAAACCTCATCCAAAGATCAAAACTAGACAAACTCATGAAGATGAGAAAGAATCAACAAGAGCAACAACAACAATAAAAACCGCTGAAAACCCTAAGAGATAAGAATGCCTCTTCGTTTCCAAATGATCACAACACCTTTTCAGCAAGGGCACAGAACTGGACATCGGATAAGTTGGACAAATTGACACAATTAGGTTTCAGAAGGTCTGTAATAACAAACTTCATTGAGGAAAAGGAGCATGTTCTACCTAATGCGAAAAAGCTATGAACATTGATCAAATATTAGAGGAGCTGCTCACTGTAAAACCAGTTAATGGGTGCAGGACACCAACATGGCACATGTATACATATGTAACAAACCTGCACGTTGTGCACATGTATCCTAAAACTTAAAGTATAATAATAATAATATAAAAAAAGAAAACCAGTTTAGAGAGGAATATAAATGACCTGATGAAGCTGAAAAATGCAGCATGAGAACTTCGTGAAGCATATGCAAGTATCAGTAGCCAAATCGATCAAGCAGAAGAAAGAATATCAGAGACGGAAGACTACCTTGCTGAAATAAGGCAGACAGACAAGATTAGAGAAAAAATAATTTAAAAGGACAACAAAACCTCTGAGAAATACAGGACTGTGTAGAAAGAGAAAACCCACAACTGATTAGAGTAACTGAAAGAGACAGGGAAAATGGAACCAAGTTGGAAAACACACTTCAGGATATTATCCAGGAGAACTTCCCCTACCTAGGAAGACAGGCCAACATTCAAATTTAGGAAATACAGAGAATCCCACTAAGATACTCCATGAGAAGGTCAATCACAAGACACATAATCATGAGATACTCCAAGGCCGTTATTATGGAAAAAATGTTAAGGGCAGCCAGAGATAAAGGTCAGGTCACCTACAAAGGGAAGCCCATCAGACTAACAGCAAATCTCTCAACAGAAACCCTACAAGTCCAAAGAGAGTGGGAGCCAAGATTTGACATTCTTAAAGAAAATAAGTTTGAACCCAGAATTTTATATCTGGCCAAACTAAGCTTCATAAGCAAAGAAGAAATAAAGTCCTTTCTAGACAAGCAAATGCTGAGGGAATTCATCACCACCAGGCCTACCTTGCAAGAGCTCCTGAAGGAAGCACTAAATATGGAAAGGAAAACTGGTACCAGCCACTCCAAAAACACACCAAAATATAAATACCAATGATACTATGAAGAAAAGGCATCAACTAATGTGCAAAATAGCCAATTAGCATCATGCTGACAGGATCAAATTCACACATAACAATATTAACATTAATGTAAGTTGACTAAATATCCCAATTAAAAGACACAAACTGTCAAACTGGATAAAGAGTCAAGACCCATCAGTGTGCTGTATTAAAGAGACCCATCTCAAATGCAAAGACACACATAGGCTCAAAGTAAAATGATGGAGTAAAATTTACCAAGCAAATGGAAAGCAGAATGTAGCAGGGATTGCAATTCTAGTCTTGGACAAAACAGACTTTAAACTAACAAAGATCAAAGAAGACAAAGAAGGACATTACAAAATTGTAAAGAAATTAATTCAACAAGAAGAGCTAACTATCCTAAATATATATGCACCCAATACAGCACTCAGGTTCATGAAACAAGTCCTTAGAGACCTACGAAGAGACTTAGACTCCCACACTATAATAGTGGGAAAATTTAACACCCCCTGTCAGACAGATCAACAAGACAGTAAATTAACAAGGGTATTCAGGACTTGAACTCAGCTCTGGATCAAGTGAACCTAACAGTTATCTACAGAACTCTCCACCACAAAACAACAGAACATACATTCTTCTCAATGCCATATGACACTTACTCTAAAATCAATCACACAATTGGAAGAAAAATACTCCTCAGCAAATGCAAAAAAAAATGAAATCATAACAGTCTCTCAGACCACAGTGCAATCAAATTAGAACTCAGGATTAAGAAATTCATTCAAAACCACACAACTACACGGAAATTGAATAACCTGTTTCTTAATTGTTTCTGGATAGATAATGAAATTAAGGCAGGAATCAAAAAGTTCTTTTAAATCAATGAGAACAAGAAGACAAAGTACCAGAATCTCTGGGATGCAGCTAAAGCGGTGTTAAAAGGAAATTTTATGACACTAAATGCCCACATCAAAAAGCTAGAATAGTCTCAAACTGGAAGCTTAACATCACAACTAAAAGAACTAGAAAAGCAAGGCAAAAAAATCTAAAGGCCAGCAGATGACAAGAAACAACTAAGAGCAGTGCGGAACTGAAAAAGAGAGAGACATGAAAAACCCTCCAAAAAATCAATTAACCCAGAAACTGTTTTTTTAAAAAAATTAAGAAAATAGATAGACTGCTATCTAGACTAACAAAAAAGAAAAGAGAGAAGAATCAAATAGACACAATATAAATAATAAAGGGAATATCACCACTGACCCTACAGAAATACAAACTACCATCAGAGAATACTATAAACACTTCTAAGCAAATAAACTAGAAAATCTAGAAGAAATGGATAAATTCCTGGACACATACACTCTCCCAAGACTAAACCAGGAAGAAGTTGAATCCCTGAAGAGACCAATAACCAGTTCTGAAATTCAGGCAGTAATAAATAGCCTACCAACCAAAAAAGCTCAGGACAAGATGGATTCACAGCCAAATTCCACTAGAAGCACAAAGAGGAGCTGGTACCATTCCTTCTGAAACTATTCCAAGCAATTGAAAAACATAGAATTCTCCTCCCAAGCTCATTTTATGAGGCCAGCATCATTCTGATAGAAAAACTGGGCAGACACACAAACACACACACACACACACACACACACACACACACACACACACACACAAACTTCAGGACAATATCACTGATGAACATAGATACAGAAATCCTCAATAAAATACTGGGAAACTGAATCCGGCAGCACATCAAAAAACTTCTCCACCATGAACAAGTCAGCTTCATCCCTGGGATGCAAGGCTGGTTTAACAAATACAAATCAATAAACATAATCCATCACATAAACAGAACTGATAACAAAAACCACATGATTATCTCAATAGATGCAGAAAAGGACTGCGATTAAATTCAACATCACTTATGTTAAAAACTCTCAATAAACTAGGTATTGATGGAACATATTTCAAAATAATAAGAGCCATTACTGACAAACTGATAGCCAATATCATACTGAATGGGCAAAAGCTGGAGGCATTCTCTTCGTAAACTGGCACAAGACAAGGATGCTCTCTCTCACCACTCATATTCAACATATTTTTAGGAGTTCTGGCCAGGGCAATCAGGCAAGAGAAAGAAATAAAGGTTATTCAAATAAAAAGAGAGGAAGTCAATGCCTTCTGTTTGAAGATGGCATGATTCTATATTTAGAAAACCCCATCATCTCAGCCCAAAAACTCTTTAAGCTGATAAGCAACTTCAGCAAAGTCTCGGGATCCAAAATCAGTGTGCAAAAATCACAAGAATTCCTATACACAAACAATAGACAAGCAGACAGCCAAATCATGAATGAACTCCCACTCACAGTTGCTACAAAGAGAATAAAACACCTTGGAATACAATTTACAAGGGATATGAAGGACCTCTTCAAGGAGAACTACAAAAGCCTACTCAAGGAAATAAGAGGGGACACAAACAAATGGCAAAACATTTCATCCTCATGGATAGAAAGAATCAATATCATGAAAATGGCCATACTGCCCAAAGTAACTTATAGATTCAATGATATTCCCATCAACCTACCATTGGCATTCTTCACAGAATTAGAAAGAAACTACCTTAAAATTCATATGGAACCAAAAAAGAGCCCACAAAGCCAAGATAATCCTAAGCAAAACGAATAATGCTGGAGGCATCACACTACCAGACTTCAAACTATGCTACAAGGCTACAGTAACCAAAACAACATGGTAATGGTACCAAAACAGATATATAGACCAATGGAACATAAGAGAGACTTCAGAAATAAGACCACACATCTACAACCATCTGATCTTTGACAAAGCTGACAAAGACAAACAATGCAGAAAGGATTTCATATTTAATAAATAATGCTAAAAAAAAACTGGCTAGTCATATGCAGAAAATTGAAAATGGACCTCTTCCTTACACCTTATACAAAAAAATAATTCGAGATGGATTAAAGACTTAAATGTAAAACCCAAAACCATAAAAACCCTAGAAGAAAGCATAGGCGATACCATTCAGGACATAGGCATGGGCAAAGATTTTATGATGAAATAACCAAAAACAATTGCAACAAAAACTAAAATTGACAAATGGGATCTAATTAAACAAAGAGGTTCTACACAGCAAAAGAAACTGCTATCAGAGCAAGCGAAAAGGCAACCTACAGAATAGGAGAAATTTTTGCAATTTACCCATCTGACAAAGGTCTAATATCCAGAATTTACAAGAAATTTAAACAAATTTACAAACAAACAACCCCATCAATAAGTGGGCAAGGAAATAAACAGACACTTCTCAAAAGAAAACATTTATGGGGCAAAGAAACATATGAAAAAAAGCTCAACATCACTAATTATTAGAGAAATGCAAATTAAAACCACAATGAAATACCATCTCACGCTAGTCAGAATGGCGATTATTAAAAAGTCAATAAACAACAGATGCTAGCAAGGCTGTGAATAAATAAGAACACTTTTACATTGTTGGTGGGAATGTAAATTAGTTCAACCATTGTGGGAGACAGTGTGGCGATTCCTCAAGGATCTAGAACCAGAAATATCATTTGAACCAGGAATCTCATTATTGGGTATATACCCAAAGGAATATAAATCATTCTATTATAAAGATACATGCACAAGTATGTTTATTGCAGCACTATTCACAATAGCAAAAACAAGGAACCAACCCAAGTGCCCATCAATGATAGAATGGATTTTAAAAATGTGGTACATATATAACATGGAATACTATACAGTCACAAAAAGGAGTGAGATCATGTCATTTGCAGGGACATGAATGAAGCTGGAAGCCACCATCTTCAGCAAACTAACACAGGAACAGAAAACCAAACACTGCATGTTCTCACTCATAAGTGAGAGTAGAACAATGAGAACACATGGACACAGGTCGTGGAATAACACACACCAGGGCCTATTGGGAAGGGTGAGGCAAGGGAGAGCATCAGGACAAATAGTCCATTGTCAATTCATATGGGGCTTAAAACCTAGGTGACAGGTTGATAGTTACAGTAAACCACCATGGCACATGTTTACCTATGTAACAAACCTGTACATTCTGCACATGTATCCCATAACTTAAAGTAAAAAATATATATTATATATATATTACATATTATATATATTATATATATATTACATATTATATATATTATATATTATATATTAGAAAATATAAATATATATTTATATATACAAATAAAAAATTATGAATAACAAATAATGACATGAAAGGGTCTTCAGCATTATCAGGGAAAAGACAAATTGAAATCACAGTGAGATACAACTTTACACCCATTAGAAAATTCTTTTTAAAAAACTTGGAAATTCCAAGTGCTGATGAGGAAGATAAAACACCTATGCATAGGTGAAAGGAATCCAAAGTGCTACAGCCACAGCATACACCAGCCATATGATCCAACAATCCCACTCTTAGATATTTACCCAAGAGAAATAACAACATATGTCCTCATTAAATCCTGAGGATATTTATCTCATATTCAGTCATAATAACCAATCTGGAAACAATACAAATGTCTATCACTTGGTGAATGAAAAAATTGTGGTACGCCCATACCATGGGATACTACTCTGCAATAAAAAAAGAAAAACTACTGATGCATGTAACAACATTGGTGAATCTCAAAAGCATTGTGCTAAATGAAAGAAACCAGAACTAAATGTATGATTGCATTTATCTGATATTCTGAAAAAGACAAAATTGTACAGACAGAAAACAGGAATAGTGGTTTCCAGGGGCTGGGATTCAGAGAAGTTGATTGCAAAAGGACCCAAGGTTACTTTTTTGAATTTGATACATCTGTTCCATATTTTGATTGGGGTGGTAATTACATGAATCGAAGAATTTGTCAAAATTCATGGAATTGTACATCTAAAAGGGTGAATTTTATTATATGTAAATTATACTTCATTAAGTCTGACTTTTACAAACAGTAAATAGGATTTGCTGATAGATTTGGTATGGGGTATGAGAGAAACAGAGGAATGAAGTGTGAGTACAGGGTTTTTAACCTGGACTTGGAAGGATTAGGCTGCCACTTCTAAGATGTTGGAGACTGGAAGAAAGTAGTTTGAGGGATACAATCAGAAGTTGAATTTGCATGTGTTAAAATTAAGTTACTCTAGGACATTCAGTAGATGTGATGGAAGGGCAGTTGCATATATATGTTTGGCATTTGGGAGAGAGTTTTTGGCTGGGGAGAGAAATTTGAGAGACAGAAGTAAATAGCATTTAAAACCATAATACTGGATACGATCATCAAGAGAACATGGATAGAGAAGAAAAGAGGTGCAAGAATGAGCCCTGGGGGCCTCCAATATTTGGAAGTCAAGGTAATAAGAAAGAACCAGCAAAGGAGACTGAGAAGGAGCAGCCATGACAGGGAGGAGAAAAAGCAGGAGAATATGGTATCTTGGAACCTGAGTCAGGAAAGAATTCTAAGGAGGACGGAGTGATCAGCCATGTCAAATGACATTGAGAGGTTGAGTAAATGAAGCCTGAGAACTGACTCTCAAATATCAGGGTACCAGATAAACCCAGGTAAGTAGGGATACACGTAGTTAACCAATCCTGGTCTCTAAGACGGGAACTGAGGAAAACCTAAAGCCCAGTTACAGGACTGTTGTTGATGACCAGGGGCTTGATTCTTACTTCCCTGGTTGCTTTAATCTCTAAGAATTACTCTCATCACTTAGGCCCTGCCCAAACTCTAGGTTAAAGTCTACTGGCTCCAAGATCATGTAGCAATAGCTGGAAGCAGATCAGAATGGGACCTTTTGTTTAGTGCACCTGCCCTGATGTATTATAAGATTGTGTCTTGTGACATTAGAAATTCTCTAGACCTACGGCTTTGGAAACCCCAAAGTGATAATTATCAAAATTTGGAAAGATGTGGGTATGGCATGCTAAACTTCCCTGAGAACAAGGGTTTCGGGTAGTCGGTTGAATTGTTACATTTTCTCCCAGTGGGTTGATGAAGGCACAAGACTCTGCCTAAAAATTCAGGTATTAGACTGGGCGCGGTGGCTCACGCCTATAATCCCAGCACTTTGGGAGGCCAAGGTGGGTGGATCACGAGGTCAGAAGATAGAGACCATCCTGGCTAACATGGTGAAACCCCGTCTCTACTAAAATACAAAAAAATTAGCTGGGAATTAGCTGGGTGTGGCGGTGTGCACCCATAGTCCCAGCTACTCAGGAGGCTGAGGCAGGAGAATCGCTTGAACCCGGAAGGCGGGGGTTGCAGTGAGCAGAGATAGTGCCACTGCACTCCAGCCTGGTGACAGAGTGAGAAAAAATAATAATAATAAATAAATAATAAAAATAAGTAAATATATAAATAAATAAATAACACGTATTGAAGTCTTAAGTTCCAGTATCTCAGATTGTGACTGTGTTTGAAAATAGGGTCTTTAAAGAGGTAAATAGATTAAAATAAGATAATTAGGGTGGGCCCTAATCTAATTTGACTGATTTCCTTATTCAAAGAGGAAATTTGGACACAGATATGTACAAAAGGAAGAAAATACAAAGACACATGGAAAAAGTGGACATCTACAAATCAAAGAAAGAGGCCTGGAAGAGACCACAGCCCTCAGAAGAAATCATCACTGTGAACACTTCTTTCTCAGACTTCTAGCCTCTACAACTGTGAGAAATTAAATTTCTATTGTTTAAGTCACCCAGTCTGTGGTACTTTTTTATGGCAGCCCTAGCAAACAAACACACTTATGTATCCATCCCCATGTAATACTTGGCTCTGATTCACAGCCTGAACAGTTAGAGTGAAAAGACAATGATGAAATTTCTTTCCCAGAGCACTTGAAGAAAAGCATGCACCTTGGCAAAGATGTCAACACATTGAGTCTGATGAATTAGTCTGCTCTAGCCCATGGGTTCATGGATTCTGAGATACCTTTCTCCTTATAGATGGATTGAGGTTTTCTCAGGACTCTAAACAGCATGCCCTCTAGCTAGTCAGTGCAAGCAAATTTCCCCTGATTATTAGGAACCTCCTGACATCCAGCAAGATCACCTCAGCAGGGCATGATAAGCCAATTGCCTTCTCCAAGTGTTTTAAGCTTTTTGAAGAAAAAAATGTATATCCAATGGGATAATGGATTGATTAAAATTACAGAGGCCTGGAGGAAAAGATGAGCTCCTTCAAAATCCCCCCTTAACACTAGTGAGAAGAACAACAAAGCCAGAGAAACTTGGACTTTACAAGGACTCACAGAAGCCCAGTCTCTTTGTTTTACAGATGAGGAGACTGAGGCCCAGAGAAGGGAAGGGATGAACCAAGGTCCAATAGAGAGTTAATGTCAAAGTTGGGGCTAAAATCATAGTACTTGACTCTCAGTCCACTCAGTGCTTGTTCCACTGTCCTACCCACATCAAGCAAGGCTTCCCTACCTGAACTCAACTTCAACTTTCCTTTCTAAGGGCAACAATAATCATAGTTAACCTATATTAAGTTCTTAATATTTGGTAGGCTCTGTGCTAAGATGGATTTGCATTGTATTGTCTCAGTACCCTATGATAGCAGATAAAATTGACACTGTTTTCCAGATGAGAATAAATGCAGTTTGCACAGGTTAAGAAATTTGACTAGTGTGTTTTGACTAGAAGGTAGCAATACCAGAATTTTAACCTATAAAATCTGCATCCAGTGTCTACACATTGATCACCTATGCTTCACCTGCCTTTCGTCATGTAAGGAGCTTTTGTTTTTATCAGGAGCTACTAAAGGACATCAAAACCCTGCCACAAGCCCTGTTTAAAAGGGCAAATGGAATAGACATACTTTTCCTATACTTTTTGCTAAGTACAACAAAACACTGGATGTAACATTTTTAAAACCATAAGAAGACTCTGATGTGTAGAAAGAAGACAGATGGGCTAGGGGCTTTGGGACCTGAAGAACTACATGGTTGGTAAATTCCCTGAGTTTTCTTTTCATATATCCCAGAACGGATACTGGAGAAGCCAATAACCCAAAAACACCAATGGGCACAGACTAAAAAGAAAAGCCTGCTCTTTGCAGCCAAAGGACCAGGAAAGGGGCAGGCTAATAAGGCAAACAACTTTTAGATAATAATTGTTCTACTCCAAGCAAACATCACAGAAGAAAACTAGGGCCTCACACCACCCTCACGAAGAAAGGCCCAAATGAAGAGCCTAGACTTCCACCCTTACCAGGCTGTAGTGAGGAGTCCAAACCAACCCACTAGAGAGTTGTCAGAGAAGGATTAGTAGGGGTGTCATAATTGTCATCACTGCTCAGCAGTAATGAGCCCATCTGCCATGCTGTCATTGGAGACTACAGGTGGAACATGGACTTCCATTCGTATCTGGTAGTAACAAGAAAACCCTCATTGGGGTCAGAGGAGGCCTAGTGGAGGGTCATATCTAAAATTAGTAGCATTTCTATGCACCAATAATAAACTAGCTAAAAAATTAATTAAGAAGGCAGTCCTATTAACAATAGCTACCAATAAATAAATAAATAAAATACCTAGGAATAAATTTAACCAAAGAGCTGAAAGCCCTCTACAGGAAAAACTACAGAACACTGATGAAAAAAATTGTTGAAGAGGACACAAACAAATAAAAAGAAATCCCATGTTCATGGATTGGTAGAATTAATATAATTAAAATGACCGTACTCCCTAAGGCAATATGCAGATTTAATGAAATCTCTATCAAGATGCCAATTTCAGCCATGCACAGTGGTTCATGCCTGTGAACACTTTGAGAGACTGATGTAAGAGGATTGCTTGAGGACTGGAGTTCAAACCTGAACAATATAAAATACCCCATCTCTAAAAATAAAAATGATACAGTGCAGTGCCAGTGTTGAGAAGACTCTCACATATATAATTATTCTGATTTCTAGTTGCTTCATGCATAAGTCCATAGTTTCAGAGGACCCAGAGGACCATGACTGTTTGCCTTCTGCTAGTCCTTCTCAATTATGGACATTTGTCTCTTCATTTCTAAAATAATGAAGACAGATTTGATTAGTGGCTTTGAGATAATGTTCTGAGGAACCCAAGGAGTTCCAGGGAGGCTCATCAAGGGTCACTCTGGTAAATTCAGGTGAGGATTGGATTTGTAGAGAGATTAAGAACTCTGGAGGCCCACTTTCACTTCCACTTGCACTTCTGCCATAAGAGTTATGACTTGTTCTATTTCTATATTTGGTCTCCGTAAAAAAATTACATTTGAAGGAAGGGAGCTTCTCTTCATTCACCTACAGGAACCAGCACACTGCTGGATATATGGTAGTTGCTTTATACAATTTTTTAGTCTGCTTGAATGATGGAAGTTTGTAAAGAGAGGGAATTTAGTA
This sequence comes from Homo sapiens, assembly GCF_000001405.40. NCBI lineage: Eukaryota > Metazoa > Chordata > Mammalia > Primates > Hominidae > Homo > Homo sapiens. Next base: position 64,825,227 of record NC_000023.11, read on the forward strand.
TTGTGAGTGTATCTAAGCATGTGACTGGCATGATGCTCTGTGTCTAGATAAGAGAGAGTTAGGGCCTTTTATTTAGATTTAATCTTAGCTCAAACTTCTCAGTTGCTGGACAGAGAGTGAAAGGATGGGAATTAGCTGTTAAGCACAAAGAACATGATAAAAGCAATCCATCTCAAATCTAATAAGTCCTCATTTATTTTTTTCATCATTAGGCCCCTTCTCATTCCTCCTGGATTCCTTAATCAACCAACTTATTAAAAACCCATTCCCTCTACACAAGCCTTTTGACAACTCATTTATTTTTCTGGGAAAATACAAGCACGCTTAGAATTTGGTTTCAGAAGGAACTGTGGGTTTAGTTTTAACTCAGGTTGCAGTAAAAGACTTCATGACTAAAACACCAAAAGCAATGGCAACAAAACCCAAAATTGACAAATGGGATCTAAATAAACTAAAGAGCTTCTGCTCAGCAAAAGAAACTATCGTCAGAGTGAACAGGCAACCTACAGAATAGGAGAAAAGTTTTGCAATCTATCCATCTGAGAGAAAGCTAATATCCAGAATCTACAAGGAATTTAAACACATTTACAAGAAAAAAAACAATTCTATCAAAAAGTGGGTGAATGATATGAATAGACGCTTCGCAAAAGAAGACATTTATGCAGCAAACAAACATATGAGAAAAAGCTCATTATCACTGGTCATTACAGAAATGCAAATCAAAACCACAATGAGATACCATCTCACGCCAGTTAGAATGGTGATCATTAAAAAGTCTGGAAACAAGAGATGCTGGTGAGGATGTGGAGAAATAGGAAGGCTTTTACACTGTTGGTGGGAGTGTAAATTAGTTCAACCATTGTGGAAGACAGTGTGGTGATTCTTCAAGGATCTAGAACTAGAAATACCATTTGACCCAGCAATCTCATTATTGGGTGTATACCCAAAGGATTACAAGTCATTCTACTATAAAGACACATGCACATGTATGTTTATTGCAGCACTATTCACAATAGCAAATATTTGGAACCAACCCAAAAGCCCATCAATGATAGACTGGATAAAGAAAATGTGGCACATATACACCATGAAATACTATGCAGTCATAAAAAAGGATGAGTTCATGTCCTTTGCAGGGACATGGATGAAGCCAGAAACCATCATTCTCAGCAAACTAACACAGGAAGAGAAAACCAAATACTACATATTGTCACTCATCAGTGGGAGTTGAGCAATGAGAACACATGGAAAAAGGGAGGGGAACATCACACATTGGGGCCTGCCAGGGACTGGGGGAAAGAGGAAGGAGAGCATTAGGACAAATACCTAATGCATGCAGGGCTTAAAACCTAGATGACGGGTTGATAGATGCAGCAAACCACTATGGCACATATTGCAGGATCTGGCCAGCAGCCTGCAATGCAACGGCAATAGTTTCAGGGGGTCTTCCTACAGGCACATGTATACCTATGTAACAAATATGCACGTTTAGCCCATGTATCCCAGAACTTAAAGTAAAAATATAAAAAAGAAGCCATTGCAGGATATTTATTGAGTTGTAATTCACATACCATAGAAACCATCTATTTCAAGTGTAAAATTCAATTATTTTTTAAAAAAGTTTACAGAGTTGTACAACTATCAACATGATACTATTTTAAAACACTTCCATCATCCCCAAATGAGCTCTAATGCTCAGTTTCAGTCAATCTCTGTTCCCACACACGGCTCCAGGAAAACAATCATATACTTTCTGTCTTTACAGATTTGCTTTTGCTGGTCATTGCATATAAATCGAGTTATATAAATGTGATCTTTTGGGTCCAGTTTTTCTGTTGCTTAATATATTGTTTTGGAGATGCATCCACCTTTTAGCATGTATCAGAATTTTGCCCCTTTCGTTAAAACAAATAATATGCCATTGAATGGATATGCCACATTTTGGTTATTTATTCATTAGTTCACAATGATTTCTGTTCTTTCCACATTTTTGGCATTTATGAATAATGCTGCTCTAAACATTTGTATACAGGTCTTTGTGTGGAAATATGTCTTCATTTCTCCTTCTTAGATTCCCAGGAATAAAATTTCTGTTTCATATGATAAATGCATACATAACTTTTTAATATATTTAAAACATGTTTTCCAAAGAGTTTGCCCAATTTTCATCTCCAGAAGCAGTATATGAGGCTTCCAGTTTCTCTACATCCTCAACAATACTTGGTAGTGTCTGTCTCAAAAAGGCATTATAGCCATCCTAGTGGTATTAAGTAGTATCTCATTTCAGTTTTAACTTAGATTTTCTTAATGATTAACCCTGTCAAGCATCTCTTCATGACTTTATTTTTCACCCATATACCTGCTTTGTTGATGTATATATTCAAACTTTGCCTGTTTTACAGTTTGGTTGTTTAGTTACTGCTTGTGAATTTTGAGTGTTCTTTGTATTTTCTAAATACAAGTTCTTCATCAGACACTTTGCAAACACAGTCTCCCGGTCTGGAACTTATATTTTTATTCCTCTAACTGTCTATTGAATTGCAAAAGTTTTTAATATTGATTTTGTAATATCCAATTCATCAGTATTTTCTTTCTTTTTTTATTATACTTTAAGTTTTAGGGTACATGTGCACAACGTGCAGGTTTGTTACATATGTATACATGTGCCATGTTGGTGTGCTGCACCCATTAACTCGTCATTTACATTACGTATATCTCCTAATGCTATCCCTCCGCCCTCCCCCCACCCCACAACAGTCCCCGGTGTGTGATGTTCCCCTTCCTGTGTCCATGTGTTCTCATTGTTCAATTCCCACCTATGAGTGAGAACATGCGGTGTTTGGTTTTTTGTCCTTGCGACGGTTTGCTGAGAATGATGGTTTCCAGCTTCATCCATGTCCTCATCCTTTTTATGGCTGCATAGTATTCCATGGTGTATATGTGCCACATTTTCTTAATCCAGTCTATCATTGTTGGACATTTGGCTTGGTTCCAAGTCTTTGCTATTGTGAATAGTGCTGCAATAAACATACGTGTGCATGTGTCTTTATAGCAGCATGATTTATAATCCTTTGGGTATATACCCAGTAATGGGATTGCTGGGTCATATGATATTTCTAGTTCTAGATCCCTGAGGAATTGCCACACTGACTTCCACAATGGTTGAACTACTTTACAGTCCCACCAACAGTGTGAAAGTGTTCCTATTTCTCCACATCCTCTCCAGCACCTGTTGTTCCCTGACTTTTTAATGATCGCCATTCTAACTCATCAGTATTTTCTTTTATGGATAATGACTTTTTGTACAATATAAAAAATTATTTGCCTAAGCCATAGTCACAAACATTTTCTCCTAAAATTTCTTCCAGAAAGTTATTTTTAAATTTTACATTTAGATCTATGATCCAGTTTTACTTAAATCATGTATGTGGTACCAGATATGAGTTAAAGATTTGTTTTGCATATGGATGTCCAGTTGTTTCAGAACTATTTGTTTGAAAAACTATCCTTTCTCCACAGCATTGCCTTTGCACCTTTATCAAAGATCAGTTGTCTATATATTTGTATGTTTATTTCTGAACTTTCTGCTTCATTAATTTATTTGTCTATCTTTATGCCAATACTTTGCTGCTTTTATTACTGTACCTTTATAATAATTCCTATAACCAGGTAGTATAAGTTTTCCAACTTTGTTATTCTTCTTCAGGTTTAATTTTGGCTATTCTGGGCCCTTTGCATTTCTATATGAATTTTAGATTCCACTTGTCAATTTCCACAAAAAAAAATGTTTGGATTTTGATAGGATTCCATTGGATTTGTAAATTAATTTGTTGGATTTCACCAGTGTGAAAACAAATGTCTTATTTCTGTTCTAGGACCGAATCCAAGATACCACATTGCATTTTTATAATTTAATTTTATCACCTTTTTTGATTTATTAACTATGACTCTCTTTTGTTATTTTAGTGGTTGCTTTAGGTTTTATAATATAGATCTTTAGCTTATCATAATCTAACTTCAATTGAGCTTACTACCGCACATATACTGTAAAAAACTTGCAGCACTATATTTCTCCCTTTCTGTCCTCTATGCTATTACATTATTGTACATTTTGATTTAAAGTGTTGATTACCTTTTTAACTATTTTAAATAATAAGTAGTTTTTAAATGCTACTTAATAAACGTAGTTACCATTTTCGGTGCTTTTTGTTCCTTTGCTTAAATATATTTTTTCCTCTGCTGTCATTTTTCTTCTGCTTGAAGGACTTCCGTTAAAATTTCTTACAATGCAGGTTTTATGATGGTATATTATTTTATCTTTCCTCTGTCTGCAAAAGTAAAAGGGTAACCAAACACTGCTTCTGATATAGGAAAGTGAATTTTGTATTTAAAATGATTGCCAAAGGAACATAAAATTGTAAGAATTCATTATATAGGGAGGCAAAGGGAAAGGGTGTAATTAAGGTACAAGAATCAAAGGACACTGGTGCAAGTTCAGAAAGAAAGGAGCAAACTGTAGAGAGGACTTAAGTCCAGGATTTAGGATAAACACTCGAAGAGCCTGGTCTTTGTCTTCAGGTCTCTAAAGTCTAATCATTCATTCTATGAGAACCCAAGAGTGGAAGACATAGGGAACCAATTTCAGCTTTCTACTCTCAGAGGTATCCATGAATGAAATTAGATTCCTCTGGAGAGATATGAGTTCCCTGTCACTGGAGAAATCTAAAAACTTCACAACTAGTGACAGTATGATGTCATGGAAAACAAAACATGAATACTGGTGCAGAAATGGACTGTGTACCCTTGCACAAATCCCTCCACCTCTCTAAGTTTCAGTTTCCACATTTGCTGAATTGGAGTTTTTTTGAGGTCCATGTGGTATAATGTGTGCAAAGAGCCTAGCCAAGAGTCTGGAACACCGGAAGCACATCATTCATGGCCACTCTTGTTCTTCAGCAGAGATACAGAATAAATTGAGGCATAATCAGTGTCTAAGAGAGAAGTGATTACATCCAGCTGAGAGTGGGGAGGTTGGTGTCTTGGTCCTTTTGGGCTGCTATAACAAAATACAGATGTTTCTTGACTTATGATGGGTTATGTCCTGTTAAATTTGTTGTAAGTTGAAAATATCCTAAGTCAAAAATGCATTTACATATAACATTCTGAACATCATAGGTTAGCCTAGCCTACCTTAAACATGCTTAGAACACTCACATGCTCCCACAGTTGGGCAAAATTTTCTAATACATAGCTGATTTTAGAATAAAATGTTGAATATCTTATGTAATTTATTGAATTCTATACTGAAAGTGTATTACTTTTACACTATCATAAAGTTGAAAAATCTTAAATAAAACCTTCATAAGTCATACATTCAATAGCATGTTAACAACATAAATTTATTTCTTACAGTTTTGGAGCCAGAGAAGTCCAAGATCAAGACACCCACAGATTCAGTGTCTGGTGAGTGCCTATTTCTCACAGACAGCACCTTCTTGCTGTGTTCTCAAATTGTGGAAGAGTTTATGTAGTTCTCTGAGGTCTCTTTTTCAAGGGGGCACCAATTTCATTCATGAGGGTGGAGCTCTCATGACGTAGTCACTTCCTAAAGGCCCCATCTTTCAACACCATCAGAGTGGTAACTATGTTTTTATAAAAAATATATATTTTTAGTGAATTTACTGTCTTCACTTATGACGTAACACTCACTGAGAACATTCAAAGGTGAGGACAGAGATTTTTATTTATTTTTAATTAACAAATAATTCTGTATATTTATGTGTTACAATGTAATGCTTTAATCCATGTACACATTGTACAAAGACTAAATCCAGCTAATTAACATATCCATCACATCACCAACTTATGGTGTTTTTGTGCTGAGAACATTAAAAATCTGTTCTTTTTAGCAGTTCTGAAATATACAACACCTTATTATTAACTGTGGTCCCCACGCAGTGCAATACATCACTAAAACTTATTTCTCCATTCTGACTGAAATTTGGTGCCCTTTGATCATTGTGTCCCATTTGTCTTTTTCTCCCTGTCCCCACTGCTCTGGTAACCTTTCTACTCTCTGTTTCTATGAGATTGACTGTTTTCAGATTCTACATGTAAGTAAAATCGTACAATATTTTGTTTTCCATGCCTGGCTTATTTTGCTTAGAATAATATTCTCCAAGTTCACCCATGTTGTTGCAAATAATAGAATTTCCTTCCATTTTAAAGCTGAATAGTATTCCATTGTTAATATATACCACATTTTCTCTATTCATTCATCTATTCCTAGACACTTACATTACTTCCATATATTGGGTGTAGTGAATAATACTGCAATAAACATGGGAGTTCAGACATCTCTTTGCCATACCAATTTCAATTCCTTTGGATATATACTCAGAAGTGGGATTGCTGGGTCATATGATAGTTCTATTTTTAGTTTATTTAGGAATCTCCAAAGTGTTTTCCATAATGGTTGTACTAATTTTTAGTTTATTTAGGAATCTCCAAAGTGCTTTCCATAGATATTTCTATTTTTAGTTTATTTAGGAATCTCCAAAGTGCTTTCCATAATGGTTGTACTAATTTACATTTTCAACAACAGTGTACCAGGGTCTTTTTTTCTCCATGTTTTTGCCAGCACATACTATCTTTCATCTTTCTCATAGTAGCCATTCTAACAGGTATGAGGTGATATCTCATTGTGGTTTTAATTTGCATTTCCCAGATGATTAGTGGTGTTGAGCATATTTTCATTTATATGTTGGCCATTTGTATGTCTTCTTTTGTAAAATGTCTTTTCACCTCCTTGGCCCATTTCTAAATTGGGTTATGTGCTTTCTTGATATTGAGTTGCTTGAGTTCTGTATACATAGAATTGTAATGCTATATATATTGCACTGTATATAGCATATACAGCATATATTTATATATATATTGCACTATACATAGCATGTACAGCATATAAATATATATATATATATATAGCATACATATCTTTTAAGAAGTACTACATTACTAAAGGTGTTTTTTAAATTTAACTTTTATTTTAATTTTGGGGTATATGCACAGGTTTGTTATATAGGTAAACTTGTGTCATGGGGGTTTGTTGTACAGAATATTTCATACCCAGGTATTAATCCTAGTACCCATTAGTTATTTATCTTCTGATCCTCTCCCTCCTCCAACCCTCCACCCTCTGATAGGCCTCAATGTGTATGTTTCTCCCCTCTATGTGTCCATGCATTCTCATCATTTAGCTCTCAATTATAAGTGAGAACATGCAGTATTTGATTTTCTGTTCTTGCATTAGTTTGCTAACGGTAATGCCCTCAAGTTTCATCCATGTCCCAGCAAAATACATGATCTCATTCATTTTTATGTCTGCATAGTATTCCATGGTGTATATGTGCCACATTTTCTTTCTTCAGTCTACCATTGATGGGCATGTAGGTTGATTCCATGCCTTTGCTGTCATGAATAGTGCTGCAATGATCATATGCATGCATGTCTTTATGAAAGAACTATTTATATTCCTTTGAGTGTATATCCAGTAATGGGACTGCTGTGTTGCATGATATTTCTTTTTTTAGGTATTTGAGGAATCACCACACTGTCTCCCACAATAGCTGAACTAATTTACACTCCCACCAATAGTGTATAAGCATTTGTTTTTCTCTACAACCTCACCAGCATCTGTTATTTTTTGACTTGTAAAAAATAGTCATTCTGACTGGTTTGAGATGGTATCTCATTGTGGTTTTCATTTGTATTTCTCTAATGATCAGTGATGTTTAGCTTTTTTTTCTCAAGTGATTGTTGGCCACATGTATGTCTTCTTTTGAGAACTATCTGGTCATGTCCTTTGCCCACTTTTAAATGGGGTTGTTCAGATTTTTGTGGTAAATATGTTTAAGTTCTGTGTAGATGCTGGATATTAGACCTTTCTCAGTAGCATAGTTTGCAAAAATTTTCTCCCATAATGTAGGCTTTCTGATCAATCTGTTTCTTTGGCTGTGCAGAAGCTGTTTAATTAGTGTCAATTTTTGCTTTTGTTGGAATTTCTTTGGTGTCTTCATCATGAAATCTTAGGTTGTCTTCCAGGGCTTTTATAGTTTTGGGTTTTACATTTAAGTCTATAATCCATCTTGAGTTAATTTTTGTATACGATGTAAGGAAAAAGTCCAGTTTCAATCTTCTACATATGGCTAGCCAGTTCTCCCAGCACCATTTATTGAATAGGGAATTCTTTCCCCGTTACTTGTTTTTTTCAGCTTTTCAAAGTTCAGATAGTTGTAGCTGTGCGGCTTTAATTCTGGGTTCTCTGTTCTGTTCCATTGGTCTATGTGTCTGTTTTTGTACGAGTACCATGCTGTTTTGCTTGCTGTAGCCCTGTAGTTTGAAGTTGTGTAGCATGATGCCTCCAGTGTTGCCCTTTTTGCATAGGAGTTCCTTGATTATTCAGGCTTCTTTTGGTTCCATATGAGATTTAAAATAGTTTTTTACTAGTACTGTAAAGAATGTGATTGGCAGTTTAGTAGAAATAGCATTGAATCTATAAATTTCTTTAGTCAGTATGGCCATATTAATAATATTGATTCTTCCTATCCATGCACATGGAATGTTTTTCTATTTGCCCCATCTCTGATTTATTTGAGCAGGGTTTTCTAGTTCTACTTGTAAAGATCTTTCACCTCCCTGGTTAGCTGTTTTCCTAGGTATTATATTCTTTCTGTGGCAATTTTGAATGAGACTGTTTCCTGATTTGGCTCTTGGCTTGACTGTTGTTGATGTATATAAGTGCTAGTAAAAGTTTTACGTTGATTTTCTATCATGAGATTTTGCTGAAGTCTTTTTTTATCATTATACTTTAAGTTCTGGGGTGCATGTGCAGAACATGCAGGTTTGTTACATTGTTATACATATGCCATGGTGGTTTGCTGCACCCATCAACCCATCATCGACATTAGGTATTTCTCCTAATGCTACCCTTCCCCTAGCCCCCACCCCTTGACAGACCCCAGTATGTGATGTTCCCCTCCTTGTGTACTGTGTTCTCATTGTTCAACTCCCACTTATGAGTGAGAACATGCAGTGCTTGGTTTTCTGTTCTTGTGTCAGTTTGCTGAGAATGATGGTTTTCAGCTTCATCCATGTCCCTGCAAAGGACATGAACTCATCCTTTTTATGGTTGCATAGTATTCCATGGTGTATAAGTACCACATTTTCTTTATCCAGTCTGTAAATTATGGGCATTTGGATTGGTTCCAAGTCTTTGTTATTGTAAACAGTGCTGTAATAAACATACATGTGCGTGTGTCTTTATATTAGAATGATTTATAATCCTTTGGGTATATACCCAGTAATAAGATTGCTGGGTCAAATGGTATTTCTGGTTCTAGATCCATGAGGAATCACCACACTGTATTCCACAATGGTTGAACTAATTTACACTCCCACCAAAAGTGTTCCTATTTCTCCACATCCTCTCCAGCATCAGTTTCCTGACATTTTAATGACTGCCATTCTAACTGGCATCAGATGGTATCTCATATGGTTTTGATTTGTATTTCTCTAATGACCAGTGATGACGAGCTTTTTTTCATATGTTTTTTGCCTACAAAAATATCTTCTTTTGAGAACTGTCTGTTCATATCCTTTGCCCACTTTTTGATGGGGTTGCTTATTTTTTTCTTGTAAATCTGTTTAAGTTCTTTGTAGATTCTGGATATTAAGCCTTTGTCAGATAGATAGACTGTAAAAATATTCTCACATTCCGTAGGTTGCCTGTTCACTCTGATGATAGTTTCTTTTGCTGTGCAGAAGTTCTTTAGTTTAATCAGATGCCATTTGTCAATTTTGGTTTTTGTTGCCATTGCTTTTGGTGTTTCTGTCATGAAGTCTTTGACCAGGCCTATGTCGTGAATGGTATTGCCTAGGTTTTCTTCTATGGTTTTTATGGTTTTAGGTCTTATATTTAAGTCTTTAATCCATCTTGAGTTAATTTTTGTATAAATGGCAAACTGAATCCAGCAGCACATCAAACATCTTATCCACCACAATCAATTAAGCTTTATTCCTAAGATGCATGGTTGGTTCCACATATGCAAATCAATAAATGTATTAATCATATCAGCAGAATTAAAGACAAAAAGCCCATGATTATCTCAAAGATGCAGAAAAGGCTTTTGATAAAATTCAACACACTTTCACGTTAAAAACTCTCAATAAACAAGTTATTGAAGGAACATTCCTTAAAATAATAAGAGCCATCTAAGACAAACCCACAGCCAACATCATACTGAATGGGCAAAATCTGGAAGCATTACTCTTGAAAAGGTTGAGGACTTTTGCATCAGTGTTCATCAAAGATATTGGCCAGAAATTTTTTTTATTGTTTTGTCTCTGCCAGAGTTTGGTATCAGGATATGCTGATATCATGGAATGAGTTACAGGGGAGTCCCTTCTCTTCAATTTTTTGGAATAGTGTCAGAAGAAATGGTACCTGCTCTTCTACATTTGGTAGAATTCAGCTGTGAAACTATCTGGTCTTGGACTCTTTTTGGTCGGTAGGCTATACAATCAAATTTCAAAGCTTGTTACTGGTTTGTTTAGGGATTCAATTTCTTCCTGATTTAGTCTTGAACCTCATATATTTTTTATATAATCCCCTCATCAGATATATGGATTGCAAGTATTTTCTCCCAATCTCTGTGATGTCTCCTGACTCTGTTAATTATTTTATTTTCTTCTCTGAAATATTGGTGTAATCCAATTTGTCAATTTTTGCTTTTCCTGCCTCTGCTTTTGGAGTCCTATTCAAGAAATCATTGCCCAGACCAGACCAATGTTGTGGTGCTTTGATCTTTGCCTTATTCTAGTAGTTTTACAGTTTCAAGATTTTGTTGAAGTCTTTAATCTATTTTGTGTTCATTTCTCTATAAAGTGTAAGACAGGGATTCAACTTTATTCTTCTGCGTGTGGATATTTAAGTTTTTCTAAAATCATTTTTATTTAAGACTGTCCTTTTTCCACTGGATGTTCTTGGCATCTTTGTCAAAAATCAACTGACTGTAAATACTTGGGTTTATTTCTTGGCTTTCTATACTTTTTTATTGGTTGGTGTGTCTGGCTTTATGCCAGTACCATGCTATTTTGAGTACAAAAAGTTTATATTTTGAAATCAGAGAGTGTGATGCTTTCAGCTTTATTTTTTCTCTTCAAGATTGCTTTGGCTATTTAGGCTATTTTGTGATTTCATATGAATTTGAGAATAGTATTTTTTTTATTTCTGTGAGAAATGACGTTGGAATTTTGAAAGGGATTCCATTGAATCTGTATGTAGCTTTCAGTAGTATGGACATTTAAACAATATTTATTCTTCCAATCCATGAGCACAGTTTATCTTTACATTTATTTGGGTCTTCTTCTATTTCTTTCTTTGATGTGTTATAGTTTCTAATGTACAGATCATTCACCTGTTTGCTTAAATTTACTCGAAGTTGTTTTATTTTTTGATGTCATTGTAAATGGAATTGCATTTTTAAAGTTCTTCTCAAATACTTTGCTGTTGGTGTGTACAAATGCTACTGGTTTTTTAATATTTATTTTGTATTCTGTAATTTTATTAAACTTATTTAACAGTTCTTGGTAAAGTCTTTAGGGTTTTCATTATATAAAACTATGTCATTAGCAAGCACAGAACATTTTACATTTTTTTTTTTAATGGAGTGTCACTCTGTTACCCAGGCTGGAGTGCAGTGGTGCAATCTCGGCTCACTGCAACCTTCCCCTCCTGGGCTTAAGTTATTTTCCTGCCACAGCCTCCCAAGTAACTGGGATTACAGGTGCTCGCCACCACGCCTAGCTAATCTTTGTACTTTTAGTAGAGACGGGGTTTCTCCATTTTGGCCAGGATCGTCTTGAACTCCCAAACTGAAGTGATTCGTCTTCCTCGGCCTGCCAAAGTGTTGAGATTACAGGCATGAGCCACAGTGCCTGGCCTTATTTCCCTTTCTATCTGGATACCTTTTTATTTCTTTTTCTTGTCTATTTGCTCTCCATAAAACTTCCAGTAATATGTTGAATATATTTGGCTTCTTGTCTTTTTCCTGATCTTAAAGGGAAAGCTTTCCCTTTTTAATCATTGAGTATGACATTAGCTGTGGGCTTGTTATATATGGCCTTTATTGTGTTGAGGTACATTCCTTCTATACCCATTGAGAGTTTTCTTCATGACAGGATGTTGGATTTTTGTCAAAAGCTATATCTGCATATATTGAGATTATCATGTGGTTTCATCCTTCATTCTGTTAATGTGATGTATCACATTGATTGATTGCATATGTTGAAGCATCCTTGCATCCCTAGAATAATTCCCACTTGATTATGATGAATAATTTTTTAATGTGCTGTTGAATTTAGTTTGCTAATATTTTCTTGAGCATTTTGCATCTAAATTCATCAGAGATATTGGCCTGTAGTTTTCTTTTCTTGTAGTGTCATAGTCTGGCTTGAGTATTAGCATGATGCTGGCCTTGTAGAATGAATTTGAAAGTATTTTTTCTTCATTTTTCTGAAGGAGTTGGAGAAAGATAGATATTAGTTATTCTTTAAATGCTTGTTTCTAGAAATTTTCTTTCTTTCTTCTAGGTTATGTTAAAAAATAAAGTTCATATTTTTCATTTTTATATTTTAATTTTATTTTTCCACACTTTTAAGTCCTCTCATATACTACATTTTCTTTATCCATTCATTCATTGATGGACACTTAGATTGATTTTTTTATCTTGGCAATTGTGAATAGTGCTGAAATAAACATAGGAGTGCAGGTTTCCCCTTGATATACTTATTTACTTTCCTTTGGATAAATAACCAATACTGGGATTTCTGAATTATATGATAATTCTATTTTTACTTTTTTATAGAAATCTCCATACTGCTTTCCATAAAGACTGTACTAATTTATATTTTTCCCAGCGGTGTAGATACAGTTCCCTTTTCTCCACATCCACCAAATCCTGAGGTTTTTTTTTGTCTTTTTGATAATAGCCATTTTTTTAAAAAATTATTTATTGGGGTGCAGGTGGTATTTGGTTACATGAGTAAGTTCTTTAGTGGAGACTTGTGAGAACCTGGTGCACCCATTGCCCAAGCAGTATACTCTGCACCATATTTGTTGTCTTTTATCCCTCGCCCCCTCCCACTCTTCCCCGCAAGTCCCCAAAGTCCATTGTATCATTCTTATGCCTTTGCATCCTCATAGCTTAGCACCCATATATCAGTGAGAATATACGATGTTTGATTTTCCATTCCTGAGTTACTTCACTTAGAATAATAGTCTCTAATCTCATCCAGGTCTTTGCAAATGCTAGTAATTCATTCCTTTTTATGGCTGAGTAGTATTCCATCATATATATATATATATATCTATATCATATATATATATATCTCATATATATATCATATATATATCTCATATATATATCATATATATCATATATATCTCATATATATCATATATATATCATATATATATCATATATATATCTCATATATATGATATACATATATCTCACATATAGATCTCATATATATATCTCATATATATACATGTATATATATAGACATGTATGTATATATACATGTATGTGTACATATATATACATGTATGTGTACATATATATACATGTATGTGTACATATATATATACATGTATGTGTACATATATATATATATACACACATATATATATATATATCTCAGAGATTTTTCTTCTCCACTGGTTGATTGATGGGCATTTGGGTTGGTTCCACCATTTTGCTATTGTAAATTGTGCTGCTATAAACACGCATGTCCAAGTATCTTTTTCGAATAATGACTTCTTTTCCTTTGGGTAGATACTCAGTGGTGGGATTGCTGGATCAAATGGTAGTTCTACTTTTAGCTATTTAAGGAATCTCCATACTCTTTTCCATAGCAGCTGTACTAGTTTACATTCTCACCAGCAGTGTAAAAGTGTTGCCTGATGGCCGCATCCATGCCAACATCTACAGTTTTTTTAATTCTTTGATTGTGGCCATTCTTACAGGAGTACAGTGGTATCGCATTGTGGTTTTGATTTGCATTTCTCTGATTATTAGTGATGTTGAGCATTTTTTCATATGTTTGTTGGCCATTTTTATATCTTCTTTTGTGAATTCTTTATTCATGTCCTTAGCCCACTTTTTGATGAGATTGGTTTTTTTTCTTACTGATTTGTTTGAGTTCATTGTAGACTCTGGATATTAGCTCTTTGTCACATGTATAGATTATGAAGATTTTTGCTCATTCTGTGGGTTGTCTGTTTACTCTGCTGACTGTTGCTTTTGCCATGCAAAAGCTCTTTAGTTTAATTAGGTCCCGGCTATTTATCTTTGTTTTTATTACAATGGCTTTTGGGTTTTTGGTCATGAAATCTTTGCTAAGCCAATGTCAAGGAGGGTTTTTCCAATGTTATCATCTAGAATTTTTATATTTCAGTTCTTAGGTTTAATTCCTTAATCCATCTTGAGTTGGTTTTTGTATAAGGTGAGAGATGAGGATCCAGTTTCATTCTCCTACATGTGGCTAGCCAATTATCCTAGCACCATTTGTTCAAAAGGGTGTCCTTTCCCCACTTTATGTTTTTGTTTACTTTGTTGAATATCTACTGGCTGTAAGTATTTGGATTTATTTCTGTGTTCTCTATTCCATTCCATTGGTTATGTGACTATTTTTATAGCAGTGCCAAGCTGTTTTGGTTACTATGGCCTTATAGTATAGTTTGGAATCAGGTAGTGTGATGCCTCCAGGTTTGTTCTTTTTGCTTAGTCTCACTTTGGCTATGTGGGCTCTTTTTTGGTTCCATGTGAATTTTAGAATTTTTTTTTCTAACTCTGTGAGGAATGATGGTGATATTTTGATGGGGATTGTGTTGAATTTGTAGATTGCTTTTGGCAGTACGGTCATTTTCACAATATTGATTCTACCCATCCATGAGTATGGGATGTGTTTTCATTTGTTTGTGTCATCTATGATTTCTTTTAGAAGTGTTTAGTAGTTTTCCTTGTAGAGGTCTTTCAACTCCTTTGTTAGGTATATTCCTAATTATTTTAATTCTTTTTGCAGCTGTTGTAAAAGGGGTTGAATTCTTGATTTGTTTCTCTGCTTGGTAAGTGTCGGTGTATAGAAGACCCACTGATTTGTGTATACTGATCTCGTATCCAGAAACTTTGCTGAATTCTTTTATCAGTTCTAAGAGCTTTCTGGAGGAGTCCTTAGGGTTTTCAAGGTAAAACTATCATATCGTCAGCAAACAGAAACAGTTTGACTTCCTCTTTACCGATTTGGATGCCCTATATCTCTTTCTCTTGTCTGATTGCTCTGGAAAAGACTTCCAGTACTAAGTTGAAGAGGAGTGGTAAGAGTGGGCATTTTTATCTTGTTCCCATTCTCAGGGGGGAATGCTTTGAATTTTTCCCCATTCAGTATTATGTTGGTTGTGGGTTTGTCATAGA
The DNA here is from genome assembly GCF_000001405.40 of Homo sapiens. Classification (NCBI taxonomy): domain Eukaryota; kingdom Metazoa; phylum Chordata; class Mammalia; order Primates; family Hominidae; genus Homo; species Homo sapiens. The sequence continues at coordinate 64,840,763 of NC_000023.11, forward strand.
TGGCTTTTATTGCATTAAGGTATGTCCCTAGTAAGCCAATTTTGCTGAGGGTTTTGATCATAAAGGATGCTGGATTTTGTCAAATGCTTTTTCTGCATCTATTGGGATGATCATGTGACTTTGGTTTTTATTTCTGTTTATGTGGTGAATCACATTGATTGACTTGTGTATGTTAAACTATGCCTGCATCCCTGGTATGAAACCCACTTGATCATGGTGGATTATCTTTTTGATACGTTGTTGGATTCAGTTAGCTAGTATTTTGTTAAGGATTTTAGAGTCTATGTTCATCAAAGATATCGATCTGTAGTTTTCTTTTTTGGTTGTATCTTTTCCTGGTTTGGGCATTAGGGTGATAGTGCCTTCATAGAATAAATTAGGGAGGATTCCTTCTTTCTCTTTCTTGTGGAATAGTGTCAAAAGTATTTGTACCAATCCTTCTTCTTTAAATGTCTGGTAAAATTTTGCTGGGAATCCTTCTGGTCCTCGAATTTTTTGTTGGTAATTTATAAATTAGCATTTAAATCTCACTGCTTGTTATTGATCTGCTCAGGGTATCTACATTTTCCTGATTTAAGCTAGCAGGGTTGTATCTTTCTAGGAATTTATCCAAATCTTCTAGGTTTTCTAGTTTATGTAAATAAAGGTGTTTATAGTAGCCTTGAATGAGCTCTTGTATTTCACTGGTGTCACTTGTAGTATCTCCTGTTTTGTTTCTCAGTGAGGTTATTTGGATTTTCTCTCTTATTTCCTTGGTTAATTTTGCTAATAGTCTATCAATCTTATTTATCTTCTCAAAGAACCAGCTCTTTCATTTATCTTTTGTAATTTTTGTTTTGTTTTGTTTCAATTTCCTTTAGTTCTTCTCTGATCTTGGTTATTTCCTTTCTTCTGCTGGGTTTCTGTTTGGTTTGTTCTTTTTTCTCTGTTTCCTTGGGATGTGACCTTAGATTGCCTGTTTGTGCTCTTTCAAACTTTTTGATGTAGGCAATTAGGGCTATGAACTTTTGTCTTAGCACTGCCTTAGCTGTATCCCACAGGTTTTGATAGGTTATGCCATTATTGTCATTCAGTTTGAAGAATTTTTTTAAATTTCCATCTTGATTTCATTTTTGACCCAGTGCTCATTCAAGAGCAGGTTATTTAATTTCCATGTATTTGCACGGTTTTGAGGGTTCCTTTCGAAGTTGATTCACACTTTTATTCCACTGTGATCTGAGAGATTACTTGACATAATTTCAATTTTCTTAAATGTATTGAGGTTTATTTTACAGCCTATTTTATGGTCTATCTTGGAGAAAGTTCCATGAGCTGTTGAATAAAATGTGTATTCTGTGCTTGTGGATGAAGTGTTCTGTATGTATCTGTTAAGTGCATTTGTTCCAAGGTATAGTTTAAATCCATTGTTTCTTTGTTGACTTTCTGTCTTGATGACCTATCTAGTGCTTTCGATGTAGTATTAAATCCCCCCATTATAATTGTGTTGCCATGTATCTAATTTCTTAGGTACAATAGTAATTGTTTTATAAATTTAGGAGCTCCAGTGTTAGGTACATATTTGTTTAGGATTGTAATATTGTCCAGTTGGACAAGTCCTCTTACGATTGTATAATGTCCCTCTTTGTCTCTTTTAGCCTCTGTTGCTTTAAAGTTTGTTTTGTCTGATATAAAAATAGCTACCTCTGCTCGCTTTTGGTGTCCATTTGCATAAAATGCCTTTTTCCACCCACTTACTGTTAGAGATCCAAGCTACCCCTCCTCTTCGTCCATGACCTTTGCAATGCAGTCCTTTGTGACCACCTACAAACACCCCTTCCCCTTTTTCTACAGCCACTTTTGCAAGGCTTTCAGTAGAACTGGTAAACAGTTCCAGGATGTGGTTAAGACATCTGCCCACCTTGCCTAGCCAAGCTTGCCTAGCTGAGCAGACAAAAACATTTCCAGGAAATGGATGAAACACCTGCAACCCTACTCAGTTTCCCCCACCCCACCCTAGCCTCTTGCCTTATAAAACCCCACAACAGCCTGTAAGTGGGGCTGCCTCCTCTGTTTACAGTGGAGCAGCCCGACAGGTTAATAAAAACTTGCTTGCCCGACTCTGGGGTCTACTCGTTCCTTCTCTTGGCTAACCCTACATTTTGGTGCCAAAACCCGGGAAGGGGTAGGCTCTGGCCGGGTGTCCCTAGAGCATACTCTCTATCTCCTTTTCCCTCCCCCTTTCACCCCCTCACTCCTCCTGGGCTCACTCATTGGGATGCGCTAGAGCCTTGGTTCCCTTCCTTATTTTCCAGCCACTCTCCCCTTCCTGAACCTGCCAAAGACCTGGAGGATTTATTGGACACTCCCATTGTTGGCAACTTCATTCATCACTAGAGTCTACACAGGGGTGAGTAAGAGAGACTCTTGCCATTTACCTGGGACACTTGACCATCTCTGTCTTCCTGAAAAACCCAGTGCTGGGCCAAGGGCTCCCTCCAGCCTCTAGGCCTATGGCTCCTCCATTTGAGTGACACCTGACTCAGTAGTTGCCTTCTGTATACTAAACAAGGCCTGCAGGACTGGGGACACTCTCTCCCACTGTCCTTGCCACTGGCAGTCTCTTCTTCCTCTGCCCCATCCTCCATTCACTATGGGAGCCTCTCAGTCTACTCTGTCTAAAACTACCCCTCTGGGGTGCCTCTTGCACAACCTTAACACTCTCAGGCTTCATTCAGAGCTTCATCCCAAGAGGCTTATTTTCTACTGTAATGTGGCTTGGCCACAATGTAAATTAGACAATGGCTCCCAGTGGCCTAAAAATAGTACTTTCGTTTTCAATATATTCAGGGACTTAGACAATTTTTGCCATTGCAGTGGGAAATGGTCTGAAATTCCTTATGTTCAGGCTTTCTTCACCTTCCATAACTGCCCTTCCCTTTGCCAATCCTGCTCCACTTTCCAAATCCTACTCACCCATTCTAAACCTGACTTGCTCTCAGCATACCCCCCTTCTGTACCAACTGACGACTCCTTCTTTGACCCTGCAGACTTTTTCATTCCCTGGCCTCATCCTGTTCCTCCTCCAGAACATCGTGACCCTCCACCATACACTCCTGCCCCAGCATTGACCCTCTTACCCCCTCTCTCTAACCACCCCACTTCTGATTCTGAGTCCTGTCTCTACCCCTTATCCACTCTCAGACCCAACATGCCCAACAACCAGATCCCATACTTCCCCTCCAGGAGGTTGCAGGGGCTGAAGAAATTGTCCATGTCCATGTTCCTTTCTCTCTTACCGATCTTTCCCAAATTGATGTGTCTCAAGTCCTTCTCCTCCAATCCCAATACTTATATCAAAGAGTTGAAAAGTCTCACCCATTCCTATGAACTTATTTGGCATGATCTCTATATCATTCTCTCTTCTACCTTCCTTCCAGAAGAAAAGGAGAGTGTGGCTCATGGCCCAAGCACACGCTAATTACCTCTATCAGCAAGATCCTTCTAAGCCAGTAGGGGCCACGGCAGTCCCCTGAGAAGAGCCCCCCTGGGAATACCAACCCACAGACCCTAGCTGGGCATCCTGTAACCATATGATTACTTGCTTCATCGCAGGCCTTAACAAAGCTGCCCATAAAGCTGTAAATTTTGAAAAAGTCAAAGAGATTTCCCAGAGGGCAGATGAAAGTCCTGCTGAATTTCTCTCCCGCCTTACAGAGGCTCTCCAAAAATACACCCGTGTATTCCTACTTCCCGAGAAGAGACTATAGTACTTAATACCCATTATATCTCCCAATCAGCTCCCGACATCTGGCACAAACTCTAAAAGCTAAAGAAGGCCCTCAAACCCCACAACGAGACCTTCTCAACCTGGTTTTCAAAGTCTTCAATAATAGGGATGAGCAGGAAAAAATAAATAAGGCCCAATGAGATTGTGCCAAATACCAGCTACTAGCCATGGCTATTTGCCAACCTGGCAATAGCACCCAAGGGCACAAAGGACCCGATAGCAGTCTTCCTCCTGCTTTAAGAGTGGCAAAGAAGGCCACTGGGCATGGGCATGTCCTAACCCATGAGTACCGAAAAGCTCCTGCCCAGTCTGCCAAGAAACAGGCCACTGGAAATCTGACTGCCCTCTTAACCCGCAAACAGAAAAGCCTGGCCCCCCGAGCCACTGTCCCCTCATCAAGCTGAAGAGTAGATAATCACTCATACTCCTGCAACTCCTTGGCCTGGCCACTGAAGACTGACGGGGCCCATGGCCCCAGCACCCTCTGCCATCACTGCATTGGAGCCCAGGGTAACTCTACTAGAGGCAGGTAAGCGGATCTCTTTTTTAATCAATACTGGGGCCACCTATTCAGATTTACCTGAATTTGTAGGACCAACTCATCCCTCTCAAGTCTCAGTTGTGGGAGTTGATGGACTTGTCTCCAATCCCCATGCCACCAGACCCCTGTACTGCTCCCTGTTTAATACCATTTTCTCACATTCTTTCCTTATCATGCCTCACTGCCCTACCCCCATTCTAGGCTGAAGCCTCTTAGCCAAATTTAAGGCTTTTATCACCTTTTCCTGCCTCCCTCAACCAGAGTCTCTCCTGCTCCTTTCTGCTAGTCCGACACCTGACCTCTCTCCCCAGTACCCACTCCCTGCCTCTCTTGTTAACCCAGTAGTGTGGGACAGCACCACCCATCCCTAGCTGCTCACCATGATCCCATCAAAATCCACTTAAAAGACCTCTCCAAATTTCACAACCTACCCCAATACCCCATCTCTCTCACCCACCAAAAAGGCCTGCAGCCCATTATAAACAAACTCTGCTCATGCGGTCTCCTTAGACCCACTCAGTCTCCATATAAAACCCCCATCCTCCCTGTTAAGGAATCAGATGGCTTGTACTGACTTGTCCAGGATCTCCAAGCCATCAACCAGGCTGTCCTCCCTATTCATCCCATAGTCCCTAATCCCTATACACTTCTCTCTCTCATCCCCTCTAATACCACCCACTACATTGCAATTGACTTAAAGGATGCCTTCTTTACCATTCCCCTACACCCTGATTCCCAAAATCTCTTTGCCTTTGCCTGGACTAATCCTGACACCTTTTAATCACAACTCACATGGACTGTCCTCCCTCAAGGCTTCAGGGACAGCCCTCACTTATTTGGACAAGCTCTAGCCCAAGACCTCACCTCCTTAGACCTTTCCCCCAGCTGTCTCCTTCAATGCGTAGATGATCTTCTTCTCTGCAGCCCCTCCCTAAAAGACTCTCAAACTCACACAATTACCCTTCTAAAGTTTCTTGCTAGAAAAGGATATAGGGTCTCCCCCTCCAAAGCCCAACTGTCCACCCAACAGTAATATACTTAGGAGTCCAACTCTCCCCCAGGGCCCAAGCCATGACCCCAGCACAGGCAGCCTTAATAAACAGCTTGCCTCCGCCTTCCTCAAAAAATGAAATTATCTCTTTCTTAGGACTGGCAGGTTTCTTTAGGAACTTTGCCCTCCTGGCTCTCTCAATGAACCTCTAAGCCCCACACATAACATACTTCCCAGTCTCCAAAAATTCCAAACTGCTCTTGTCACTGAACCTGCCCTGTCCTTACCCAATGTCTCCCAACCCTTCATTCTCTACACTGCTGAAAGCCAAGGGACAGCCCTTGGTGTCTTATGACAACAGAAAGGGGATCCTCCTTCCTTTGCCCCTGTAGCCTACTCTCTAAACAATTAGACAACACTGTCAAAGGGTGTCCAACCTGTCTTAGAGCATTAGCAGCCGTGGCTGTTTTAGCTCTGGAAAGAAAAAACTAACATCAAGCCAAAGCACCACCATCCACAGCCCTCACAATTTACAGGATCTCTTCTCCTGGGCTTTCAGCTCCCTCTCTCCTCCCCAAAATCAGTCACTTCATGCCCTTTTTATTGAAAATCCCAAATTCAGTCTTGCCAAAAATACTACCCTCAACCCAGCATCCTTATTCCCTGTATCTTCTTCCCCTCCTACTCATTCTTGCACTGATATCTTGGACCACCTACAGCCACATTTCCCAAACTTTTCCTCTGAGCCTTTCACCATCCCCAATGACCAACTATTAATAAATGGCTCCTCTTCTGGACCCACCAACTCCCTCAAAATTGCTGGATATGCAGTTGTTTCCTTTGACTGAGTAATTGAAGCCAAGCACCTACACCGAAGAACCTCCTCTCAAAAAACAGAACTCATAGCTCTCACCAGGGCCCTAAACCTTCCAAAGGCAAATGAGTCAACATTTATACAGACTCCAAATATGCCTACCACATTCTTCATTCCCATGCTGCCATCTAGCAAGAAAGACGATTCCTTACTGCCAAAGGAACCCCCATCACTAACAGCCCCCTTATTTATCAACTCCTTCAGGCCACCCACCTCCCAACTAAAGCAAGAGTTATACACTGTAGAGGACATCAAACAGGATCAGATGAATCTCAAGAGGGAACAGAAAAGCTGATGAGGCAGCAAAGGAAGCCTCCCTCTTGTCTGCCCCTGCCCCTCTCCTCCTCATTACTCCAGCAATTCAACCTAAGTACTCTCCCACCAAAAATACTTTGCTACTACAGGAGGGAGACTCCCTTCAAGGGGACTGGGTAATCAAAAATAAAAAGCTCACCCTTCCCAAAGAGCAAACCAAAGAAATTCTAACTTCTCTTCAGCAATCCTTCCATATTGGTGCATGCCCCCTCTACCTACTCCTTCATCCTTATTTCTCCTCCCCCAACTTATTCACCTCACTAAAAAACGTAACCTCCAACTGTCATATATGCTTTGTTACTTCCTCCCAAAAGGCCCTCTGCTCTCCCTCCAACCCCATGCATCAGCTACGAGGAACACTTCCAGGGGAAGATTGGCAAGTGCACTTAACCCACATGCCTCCCATCAAAAAAACAGAATTTCTTCTGACCCTTGTAGACACCTTCTCTGGGTGGGTAGAGGCATTTCCTACGTCTTCAGAAAAAGCTGCAGTAGTCTCCCAAATTCTTATAACAGAAATCATCCCTAGATTTGGCCTCCCCCACTCCATACAATTAGACAATGGCCCTAGCTTCATCTCCCAAATCACCCAACAGACTTCTTAGTCCCTCGGTGTCCAGTGGCACCTCCATATACCCTACCGATCCCAGTCATCAGGGAAAGTTGAAAGGGCAAATGGAATTCTCAAAACATGGTTAACTAAACTCAGTCTTAAAGTCCAAAAACCCTGGACTTCTCTTTTGCCCATAGCTCTAGCCCACATTAGAGCCAGTCCAAGAGCACCCTCCTTCCTCAGCCCATTCGAATTAATGTATGGGCATCCCTTCCTCCTACAAAACAGGCCCCCATCTGATTCTCAGTTAGTAGAATACCTCCCCACACTCTCCCTCATCTGCCATCTCCTCCGTGAACAAGTGGACCAAGCTCTCGCAAAACCCCATGAACGCCCCACCAACCAGACTCTCCTACCAGGAGAACACATTTTCCTAAAGACCCTCAACCCAACTAGTCTCAAGCTCAAGTGGGAAGGTCCATCCCAAGTTACTGTCACAATTCCCACTGCAGTCAAACTCTCAGGACATACCTCTTGGTACCATCTTTCCAGATTATAGAGGGCTCCTGCACCTGACCCACCCACAGCCAATCCACCAATTGTCGTCCACAAATATCTCAGCACCCCCATCGGATGAACCCAGCTTCGCCTTACTCATATTTCAGAAGAACCACTTTCCACCTGAAGCTATAAAAGATAAGTAACACCCAACTTAATCTTCAACATCTCCTCTACCTCTACCCGACCATCCATAATGGAAGTCTTTCACTATGCCACCATCGCAATAAGCAGCATTCTAACCATACTCTTTGCAGTTGGATTATATACTGTAGCACCTTAATAGGCAAAAATCCCAGTCACTCTAACCTCTTGCCTATCCATTATCCTCATAACTGGAGTCACAGTTTATAATAATCACCACTCTTAAATGCCCTGTCCATGCCTACATTGCCACTTCACCCTCTTCCTCACCTCTGTTTGCCAAGATAGTTTTTGGTTTTATCCCCAAGCTCCCACTTTCAACTCTCTTTTACAGTGGATAGATGATCTTCTCTTCCAAGGTGCCTTGTGCGATTTTTCTCCAGATGAAATGCACTTCTTTACTTTCCTACTTCCCTTTGCCTGTCTACCCCTTCTACTCCTCCACACTCTAGCTCTCGTTCCCCCACCAATGCCTAACTAACCTCACAAAACCCTAAATCTTACACTCTTAAACAGGCCATTCCTACCCTAGCCAGTGACTGCTGGTTCTGCTTCTATCTATCAACTACAGCTTACACCGCAATTCCTGCTTCAACCCATGGCTGGGTTTTTACTCAAGTAACTTTCCACCCCCATTATGAACTGGGCAGTCTCTACCAATACCCAGATTTACAGTCCTTAATACATCTCTCCAATTCCTATTCTGAAACAAACCTCTCACCACAATAGGGCAGGCAGTTCTGCTAATGTGCCCCTATTTCAATTATCTAGCCCCTTATACCAACCATACCAAGCCAATCCTCAGAACCATAATCACTAACATTTTCTTAACTTCTCAAGCCCCTCTATGCATCCAGCGCCATCACCCCTCAGGTCACCTCTTAGGGCACCTGCCTTCAAATCACTGGAATTTCACTGTGCAACTCCAAGGCCCAATTGACCATATTAGCCTTCCCATCTTTAGGGTCACCATGTACTTTCCTGCCCCCTCCAAAAAAATTAATATCACTCTACTATAAAACATAAATTCAGGTTACTGCAATGGAAGACACCTACCCTGCCTATCCCTTCAACCCTGGACTCCATCTCCCTGTGAGGTTCACCGCCCCCCACCACAAACAAATGTCTCCTAATTCCTCTATTAAACAATAACCACAGCCTTCTGATAGACAAAAAATGGTTTCTCCTCCACTTGGAAAACATAAATTCAGGTTCAACCCAACTGTCTCCCAATACCCCCTTACAGCCACTCAACACAGCTGCCTTAGCAAGCACCCTAGGAGCATGGATATACAAAGACCACAAGCTTACACATCTTTTTAACATACACAACCAATTTTACTTACCTAGCCAAGGCATATTCTTCCTGTGCGGTACCTCCACCTACCTCTGCTACCCTATCAACTGGACTGGTACCTGTACTCTGGTTTTTCTAAGCCCAAAAATCGACATTGTCCCAGGAAACAAAACCTACCTATCCCTGTAAAAACTCAAGTGTGCCAATGCAGGGCCGTTCAGTTAATACCCATCCTAGTACGACTAGGAATGACTACTGCAGTTGGAACCGGAGTGGTCGGGCTTTCTACTTCCCTCATGTACTATTGCTCCCTCTCACAAGATCTTACAAACAGTTTGGAAGACTTACCTAATACTGTTTCAACCCTCCAATCACAGATAGACTCCTTAGCAGCAGTTGTCCTTCAAAATCGCAGAGGCCTTGGTTTGCTCACTGCTGAAAAAGGAGGGCTCTGCATCTTTTTAGATGAACAGTGCTGCTTTTATCCCAATAAATCAGGCCTAGTTCAAGATGCAGTAAAAAAACTCAAAGATTGAGCCCAAAAAATAAAAGAAAACACATCTGCTACCTGGTCCCTCTGGTCCTCATGGTCCCTCAGCTCCTGGGTTCCCTGGCGACTACCCCTCCTTGGCCCAGCTATAACCATCTTTCTTCTGTTAGCTTTTGGACCCTGCTTCATGTGTCTCCTTATCCAGTTTTTACAGGACCACATCAAAACCTTCACCCATGGAACAGTGCGAGGTATACTGCTGCTTCAAGCATACCAGCGGCTTCAAGAACAACCATCCCAAGCCCCCCAAGCCTTTCCCCTTGCACACCGCCCCTCTACAGCTAGAAGCAGTCAGATGATAAAGTCACTCCTCTTCCTTTATCACCTATTAAAGGCTGGAATGTTAGAGAGCCAAGCTACCCCTCCTCCTCCTCCATGACCTTTGCAATACGGTCCTTTGTGACCACCTACAAACACCTCCCCACTTTTTCTACAGCCACTTCTGCAAGACTTTCAGTAGAACTGGTAAACAGTTCCAGGATGTGGTTAAGACATCTGCCCACCTTGCCTAGCCAAGCTTGCCTAGCCAAGCAGGCAAAAACATTTCCAGGAAATGGTTGAAACACCTGCAACTCTACTCAGTTTCCCCCACCCCAACCTAGCACCTTGCCCTATAAAACCCCACAGCAGCCTGTAAGCGGGGCTACCTCCTCCACAGTGGAGCAGCCCAGCAGGTTAATAAAAACTTGCTTGCCTGACTTTGGGGTCTCCTTGTTCCTTCTCTTGGCTAACCTTACGCTTACTTTAAGTTTACATGAGTCCTTGTGTGTTAAATGAGTCTCCTGAAGGCAGCAGATGGTTGGTGAGTTCTTACCCATTCTGCAGTTCTGTGTCTTTTAAGTGAAGCATTTAGGCCATTTACATTCTATGTTAGTATAGAAATGTGAGGTACTGTTGCATGCTCTTTGTTGCCTGCATACTTTGTTTTTTGTTTTTGCTTTTTAACTTGTATTTTTGTTTTATAGGTGCTGTGTGCTTTATGCTTTAAAGATACAATAATTTTGGAAAACAATGTGTGGGTAGAACATCTGTCTGTTAATTGCACACAAAACCACTTTTAATGGGTACAAAGTTAAATTCGGAGGAATAAGTTCTAGCTGAAGTATTATTGGCTCCAAATGATGCTTTGAGGACCTCCAAAGGTAAAAGTACTAATCCATTTGGCCGTTTATTGAGAGAGAGAGAGTAGGGTGACTATAGTTAATGTATTGAATGTTCTTGCTACAAATAAATGATAAATGTTTGAGCTGATGGGTGTGCTAATTACACTGATTTAATCGATACCCATTGTATGTGAAACAGTATATACACCATATTTACAATTATGTATCAGTTTAACATTTAAAAAAACATTTCTAATATAAGTATCTCTCAAACTGTGGATTAACTTCTTGATTTATATTTAAATATGAATCTTGAGGAAAATAGTGAAAATAACCATCTTGATTTAGTGTATTTCTCCCATATGTGAATTGTATATACTTAGGTGAGGACAATAAAATCAACTGAGCTGTAAGCTTAGAATAGGACTGAGGGGTAATTTTGCACAGCAACTTTACTAATGGTACATTGTTGCCTCAAAACTCTCTCTCTCTCTCTGTCTCTCAATGAATGGCCAAAGGGATTAGTGGTTTACCTTTGGAGGTCCTCAAAGCGTTATTTGGAGTTGATAATACTTCAGCTACAACCAAGCAGAATCTCTTTTTTTTTGGAGGACCTCGAAGCATTATTTGGAGCTGATAATACTTCAACTTCAATTTGGAGTTGATAATACTTCAGCTAGAATCTAGTAGAATCTGTTTTTCCTTTGGAGGTCCTCAAAGCATTATTTGGAGTTCATAATACTGAAGCTAGAACCAAGCAGAATCTGTTTTCTTCTGAGGAGTATCAGTAGCATAAATGTGATTAGGAACAAAGTACACTTGATATATGTATGCAATGACTGCTATTTATACAAAATTTAAATCTGCAAATGGATTCAACATGTTTATGGGTTATTAAAATTGACTAATTTCTTAGGTTCTTCATAGTACACATGTTGAAAATAAATGATTGATTAAGAAAAAAAAAAGATATTCTGTTTTGATGTGTTTCCAGGATTTGTTTCAAGATTTAGAGCTCCTTTTGGTAGTGGTGGTGGCTTGGAAACGGTGAATTCGCTCAGCATTTGTTTGTCTGAAATACAACTGTATCTTTCCTTCATATATGTTGCTTAGTTTTGCTGGGTACAAAATTCTTGGCTGAAGATTGTTTTGTTTGAGGAGGTTGAAGATAGGGACCCAATCCCTTGTAGCTTGTAGGGTTTCTGCTGAAAAGTCTGCTGTTAATCTGATTCGTTTTCCTTTATATATTACCTGGTGATTCTGTCTCGCAGCTCTTAAGATTCTTTCCTTCAACTTAACTTTGGATAACCTGGTGACAATATGCCTAGGTGAAGATCTTTTTGCAATGAATTTCCCAGATGTTCTTTTTGCTTCTTCTATTTGCATGTCTAGGTCTCTAAAAAGCCTGGGGAAATTTTCCTTGATTATTTTCCCAAATATGTCTTCCAAGCTTTTAGAATTGTCTTCTTCCTCAGGAACACCAATTATTCTTAAGTTTGGTCATTTAACATAATCCCAAACTTCTTGGAGGCTTTGTTTATATTTTCTTATTCTTTGTTTTTTGTCTTTCTTAGGTTGGGTTAGTTCAAAGACCTTGTCTTCAATCTCTGAATTTCTTTCTTCTTCATGTTCAAATCTATTGCTGAGACTTTCCACAGCATTTCACATTTCTAAGAGTGTGTCCAAAGTCTCCTGAATTTTTTATTGTTTTTTTCTTTAAGCTATCTGTTTTATTGAATATTTCTCCCTTCACTTCTTGTATCATATTTTGGATTTCCTTGCATTGGGCTTCACCTTTCTCTGGTCCCTCCCTGATTAGCTTAATAACTAACCTCCTGAATTCTTTTTCAGGTAACTCAGGGATTTCTTCTTGGTTTGGATCAATTGCTGGTGAACCAGTGTGATTTTTGGGGGGTGTTGACAAGTCTTGTTTTGTCATATTACCAGGGTTGGTTTTCAGGTTCCTTCCCATTTAGGTAGGCTCTGTCAGAGGGAAGGTCTAGGAATGAAGGTTGTTGTTCATATTTTTTTGTCCCATGGGCTGTTCCCTTGATGTAATATTCATCCCCTTTTCCTGTGGTTGTGGCTTCCTGTGAGCCAAACTGCAGTGATTGTTGTCTCTCTTCTGGGTTTAGTCACTCAGAAAGTCTACCCAGCTCCTGGCTGCTGCTGGGGGTTTCTGCATAGAGTCCTGTGATGTGAACCATCTATGGGTCTCTCAACCATGGATACCATCACCTGTTCTGGTGGAGGTGGCAGAGTGTGCAATGGACTTCATGAGGGTTCTTAGCTTTGGTGGTTTAATGCTTTATTTTTGTGCTGGTTGAACTCCTGCCAGGAGATGGTGTTTTCCAGAAAGCAGCAGCTGTAGCAACTGGCAGTGGGTAGGACCCTAGAACTCCAAAGATTATATGTCCTTTGTCTTCCACTACCAGGGTGGGTAGGGAAGGACCATCAGGTGGGGGCGGGGCTGGGTGTGTCTCAACTCAGGCTCCTTGGGAACGTCTTGCTGCAGCTGCTGTGCAGGATGGGATGAGATTCCCAGGTCACTGGAGTTGTGTACCTAGGAGGATTATGGCTCTCTGCTGAGTCATGCAGGTTGTCAGGGAAGTGGGAAAAGCCAGCAGTCATAGGCCTCACCCAGCTCCCATGCAAACCAAAGGGCTGGTTTCACTCCCACTGTGCCACCTGCAACAGCCCCAAGTCTGTTTCCAGATGGAGGGCAGGCTTGAAAACTTACCTGAGGCTCTCCACCTCCCAGCTGTGAAAGAAAAGGATTTTAGTTCTTTCCCTACCTGTGAAGTCTGCAAGATGGATTCACACCCTCCCCCAAGTTCTGGCCAGGAGGCTTCTGGCCCCACTAAAATTTTTTAAGAGTTCAGCTGGAAAAGTCCTTCTCCCCAGTGGGGTTCTACCCCCTGCTCCTCTGGCCTCCCTCCTGATGGATCCCTGTGGTGCCAGGCAGGAATGGGCTGCTTGGGGATTCAGTGAGTTCCCAGGGCCTCCCTGCCACCTCCTTCACCCCTGTATTTCACTGGGCTCGGGTCTCCAACTTGACTTAGCTCCAGATAAAGCTGGGAATGTCTCCCACAAACAGACATTCAGCTTCTCCAGTGGAGGTGTGTGTTCAGGAAAGCTGAGGATCTCCCTTTTCCACTTCAGCAGTTGGGGCACTCATGGTATTTGGGGTGTCTCCCCGGTCCTGCAGGAGAAGGCTGCTTCCTTCAGAAGGTCTGTAAGTCCTCTCAGATTGCTGGTTTGTTCTTGCAGTCAATCTGGAGCTAAAATTCACAATGCAAGCCTCTGCAATGCTGCTCTATCCAGAGCTACAGTCTAATCCTACCTCCTGTCTGCCATGATCCGCAGCTTTCTGATAATAGTCATTTTAACTGGGCTGGAAATGATATCTCATTGTTATTTTAATTTGTGTTTCACTGATGTTTACTCATGTTGAGCATTTTTTCATATACCTGTTAGCCATCTATATGTCTCCTTTTGAGAAATGTCTATTTGGATATTTTGCCCTTCTTTTAAAGGGATTATTTGTGTGTGTTTGTTTTTTGCTGTTGAGTTGAGTTCTTCACATATTCTGGATCATTAAGTTTGCAAATGTTTTCTCCCATACTGCATGATGTCTGTCTCTTCACTCTGTTCATTGTTTCCTTTGTTATGCAGTGGCTGTTTTATTCTTTATCTGCTATCTAGACTCCCAGACATTGGCTTGTTATAGACTAGAACCACAGGGAGCTGTTTGAAAATTGTGCAGCCAAATCTTTTACAGGGGGAAATTAGAAGTTGGGCTAATCCTGGGGGCTACAGCTGCTGAGAGTGCTCATGTGGTTCAAAACTCCCCTTTGTTCTTTGTGCTTGAGGGGAATGCTCCAATGACCTTTCCCTGCCATTCCTCAAGCAAGCTGATTTTAAGAGCCAATCCCTCCATCAGGGACTATAAATATTGGACACTATATGTGTGGTACAAACCCCTTACCCTTCAAGAAAAAGCTGGGAGCTGAGATTTCCTTCCTGATGGCGAAGTGGTGTGCTTAAGGTGGGGTTAACGCATGAGTGTATCTCCACTTTTCCTGTCTGTTTTGATGTGGATAATTTATCAATTGTCAAATTTGTAGGAGTTTTTCAACTGGATTTTGGCTTTCTCTTGGAGAAAATTGATCCATGTATAGATATCTACTAGGCATGTCTATGGGAGAGGGGACTGTCAGGATCCTCCTATTCCATCATCTTGCTGACATCACTCCTGGTGATTAGGTTTTAAAATATGAAATTCGGGGGCAGGGTTGAGACAGAAACATTCAGACCATAGCATTTAGATTAAGTGACCTTTGGGGTTCTTCTTGCCCAGAGGATCTATGACTCTAGGATCTGAGGCTTCAAGCCTGGGAAATGAGGAAAATGATATCTGATTTGGAGCTGGTAAAGGAAGTGAAAGTCCAATTGCTAACATGTGATCATCATTTCCAATGGTTCTGATCAGGTATTTTACACTGTTAGATGGAAAAATAGATTCTGAGAAACCTTCCTCCTGAGCCTCATGTGCCACCAATATTAAACTTGTTAACTGAACACTTTTTATAGCCCAGCACACTACGCAGACACTGGCCTAGTCACTAGGCTTTTCCCCAGGCTCCAGGAGCATCAGCAGAAACCACTTGTGGTCCCAGGAAATTTGGTTTTGTAACAAGCCCAGAGCACCCAGTTTTCTTTCTTGGAGGCAGCATTGAGCATGGCCATAGGCTGACTTTCTTGTGACTCAATGGGTATTTTTGCCATGCATTACCCTCTATGCCAAGCACTACCTGGCACAGGTATTAAGAGGGATACTTTTAAGTAGGTCTCTCCCTCCTCTCCTCAATTTGACTTATCTATCAGGCAAAGAATACATCTAGTAGACACCCATTGGGTATCCACTCTGTGCCACCCTCCGTACTAGGCACTAGGGTTAGAGAGATTAACTAGCTATTATTTTTATCTCCAACTTACACGTAAGAAAATGAAATTAGAAGGAGTCCCTTCTCTATCTCCACTAACACTTCTGGTACCACTCTCCTCCATCCACCTACTCTTTCTCACCATGATCCAGCCGCAGTGGCCTACTTCTTTTTCCCCTAACAGCTCAACCACCTTCCCATTTCAAGGCCTTTTTAATAGAAGTTCCCTCTTTCTGAAGTACTCTTTCCTTGCCTCTTTGCATACTTGGCTTCCTCTTACCCTTTAGGTCTCAGCTGAGACACTTTTCCTGAATACCCTATGTTAAGTCGCCATCCCCCTTTCAGTTACACTGTACTATGTTATTCCATTTCCCCCCCAGAAAATTACCTAACATAAGTGTTTGTTTATTTATTTATTACTTGTTTCTTGTATGCCCCTCCACCAACTGCCCACTAGAATGTAAGCTCCTTAGGGGGTAGAGCCTTTGTCTGACTTGTTCACTGTTCCATCCTCAGCGCCTCACACAGAGCTTGGCAGAAAAAAGTACTTGCTAATACTTGTTGACTGATGGTCTTTACCGTGGTAAAATTGTGAGGTTATTTATCTAATCACTATTAGCACAGTGCCTGGCACTTAGCTGGTGCTTAGTTAATGTTTGTTGAATGAATGAATGAATAAATTTGAACTTGTGCAGAAATGCTCAGCTACTAAGAGGGAGATCTAGGACTTTCTGGAGTCCCGTAAACTTTGAGGTCTTTCCATTTTACTCCCTCCTATCCAACTCCTCAACCTCTGGTAGCATCTTTGCCCGTTGAGTTGAATAAACAGCCTTTCTGCCAACTGTGGAGGTCGCAACTTACCTCTCATTTTTTCTATCAGCATGTGATTAGTATCACTAATCATCAGTAATAAGTCTGCATTGACCACAAACATATTAAAAACCACCCCTTATCCTATGAGGCAGGTTATAGCTCAGCCCCTCCCTGCCCCCAAATATACACGGTTGAGAAAGCAGCTTATGATCTCAGGGCCAGGGGCTAAGTTGAGAAAGAGGCAAGCCAGAGAACACCTCCTTCATTTCCTGATTTGTTGAGCCTCTGTGTTAGTCAGGGTTCTCTAGAAGGATAGAACTAATGAACAGATGTATATATAAAGGAGAGTCTATTAAGGAATATTGACTCACACGATCACAAGGTGAGGTCCCACAATAGGCTGTCTGCAAGCTGAGGAGCAAGGAAGCCAGTCCAAATTCCAAAGCTGAAGAACTTGGAGTTTGATGTTCAAGGGCAGGAAACATCCAGCACAGGAGAAAGATGTAGCCTGGGAGGTTAAGCCAGTGTAGTCTTTTAATGTTCTTCTGCCTGCTTTTATTCTGGCCATGCTGGCAGCTGATTATATTGTGCCCACCCAGATTGAGGGTGGGTCTGCCTTTCCCAGTCCACTGACTTAAATGTTAATCTCCTTTGGCAACACCCTCACAGATACACCCATGATCAATACTTTGCATCATTCAATCCAATCAAGTTGACACTCAATATTAACCATCATATCCTCTATTTGAATGCCACCAACAGAGGGAGGTTTCACAAAGCCACACTCTCGGCCCCTGTTACCGAACCTTTGGCTGTTCCTTTGGGATGTTGAATAAACAACTGACTGATTTCATTCAGCTCTTTGGTCTTAGGCAGACACAGCTAGTGATTCTCCAGGCTGAAAGCTTGGGCTCACATTGGCCTTTTAAGTCCATCCTCAGCCTCTTTCATGGTCTAGGAACTGTTCAAGCAATGGCACCATTTTATGCCAAGTGCATACCTCTGGCATGTTGTCTCTTTCCCTACACAACTGCAATTTCTGATACAAAAGCAATTAACTTATTTAATGAAGAAATCTTCAGTTATTGCCAATATGTTAACAAAGGACTTGCTGATTTGTATTTTGACAATTCTTTTTTAGTTGTCTAACCCACCTCCTGGCCCAGACATGATATCATGTTGATTGTGGTGTGTACCTTCAGGAAAATGATGTGTTTTCACCTTGCCTCCACCCTACTCTCCAACCTGCAAACAGACATAAATATTTTTCTCACCACAAGGATTTCTAGTCTCTAAGGATTGCCCAGCTATTCAGACAGAAACCAACTTTTATTCCCCCTCAGGTGTTTTTGAAAAGAGTTTTTCCATTCAAAGGCCATCAAGTGGAACCATAAACAATAATTAATAAACAGAAATACTTTTTTGAAATGAGTGACAACCTGGGGCCCTGTCCACTTGGGCCATCACCGTGACCTTGATGGCTGTACTCAAGGATACCCAAAGAAACCATCGGGGGATCTTTAGAGCAGTTTAAAAACCTCTGGCCTGGAGAAAAAAATCCTTAATGTTGGATGCCTAGCTGATAACATGACCAGTCCACTCAGGTCACTGCCACAAAATGTGTAACTTCCAACTGCAACAATTTATTGAACACTTAGTATGTGCCAGGCCCTGTGTTGAGTGTTCTCCATGATTTTCATTCAGTACCCACCACAATCATATGAGGTGTGTACCCCTATTATCTCCACTAAGGAAACATGTTTGCTATGTCTTCCTCAAGCTCTGAGCCACTGTAAAACTGCATTTTTCAAATAGCAGCTTACAATTTAACAGATCATCCAACTATTTTATTTTTTTTCTTAGTATTATTTTATTTTATTTTATTTTTTAAATTAATTTTAATTTTTATTTTAAGTTCTGGGGTACATGTGTAGGATGTGCAGGTTCATTACATAGGTAAACATGTACCATGATGGTTTGCTACATTTATCAACCCATCACCTAGGTTTTAAGCCCAGCATGCATTAGCTATTTCTCCTGCTCTCCCTCCTCCCAGCCTCCACCCTCTGATAGGCCTCAATGTGTGCGTTGCTCTGCTCTATGTGTCCATGTGTTATCATTTAGCTCTCACTTATAAGTGAGAATATGCGGTGTTTGGTTTTCTGTTCCTGGTTATTTTGCTGAGGATAATGGCTTCCAGCTCCATCCATGTCCCTGCAAAGGACATGATCTTATTCCTTTTTATGGCTGCATAGTATTCCATGGTGTATATGCACCACATTTTCTTTATCCAGTCTATCACTCATGGACATTTGGGTTGATTCCATGTCTTTGCTATTGTGAATGGTGCTGCAAGGAACATACACATGTATGTATCTTTGTAATAGAATGATTTATATTCATTTGGGTATGTAAGTGGAATTGCTGAATTGAATGGTATTTCCTGTTCTAGATCTTTGAGGAATCACCACACAGTCTTCCACAATAGTTGAACTAATTTGCATTCCCCCCAACAGTGTAAAAGCATTACTATTTCTTCACAACCTCACCAGCATCTGTTGTTTCTTGACTTTTTAATAATCACCACTCTGACTGGCATGAGATGGTATCTCATTGTGTTTTTGATTTGCATTTCTCTAATAATCAGTAATGTTGAGCTTTCTTTCATATGTTTGTTGCCACATGAATGTCTTTTTTTTTTTTTTGAGAAGTGTACGTTCATGTCCTTTGCCCACTTTTTGATGGAGATCTTTGCTTTTTTTCTCATAAATTTGTTTACACTCTTGTAGATTCT
Organism: Homo sapiens; assembly: GCF_000001405.40. Lineage (NCBI taxonomy): Eukaryota > Metazoa > Chordata > Mammalia > Primates > Hominidae > Homo > Homo sapiens. Next base: position 64,860,008 of record NC_000023.11, read on the forward strand.
GGTTATTACACCTTGTCAGATGGATAGATTGCAAAACTTATTTCCCACTCTGTAGGTTGCCTCTTCACTCTGATGATCGTTTCTTTTGCTGTGCAGAAGCTCTTTAGTTTAATTTGATCCCATTTGTCAATGTTTGCTTTTGTTGCAATTGTTTTTGGTGATTTCATCATAAAATCTTGGCCTGTGCCCGTGTCCTGAATGGCATTGTCCAGATTTTCTTCTATGGTTTTTATAGTTTTGGGTTTTACATTTAAGTTTTTAATCCAATTTGAGTTAATTTTTGTATAAGGTGTAAGAAAGGGGTCCAGTTTCAATATTCTGCATATGGCTGGCCAGTTCTCCCAACGCTGTTTATTAAATAAGGAATCATTTCCCCATTGCTTTTTTTTGTCAGGTTTGTCGAAGATCAGATGGCTGTAGCTGTGCAGTCTTATTTCTGAGTTCTCCATTCTGTTCCATTGGTCTATGTGTCTGTTTTGACCAGTACCATGCTGTATTGGTTACTGTAGCCTTGTAGTGTAGTTTGAAGCCTGGTAGCATGATGCCTCCAGCTTTGTTCTTTTAGCTTAGGATTGTCTTTGCTATGTTGGCTGTTTTTTTGTTCCATATAAATTTTAAAATAGTTTCCTCTAAATCTGTGAAGAAAGTCAATGTTCGTTTAATGGGAGTATCATTGAATCTATAAATTACTTTGGGCAGTATGACCATTTTCACGATATTGATTCTTCCTATTCATGATCATGGAATTTTTTTCCATTTTTTGTGTCCTCTCTTATTTCTTTGAGCAGTGGTTTGTAGTTCTACTTGAAGAAGTCCTTAACTCCCATTTTCAGCTGTGTTCCTAGGTATTTCATTCTCTTTGTAGCAATTGTGAATGGGAGTTCATTCATGATTTGGCTCTCTGCTTGCCTGTTGTTGGTGTATAGAAAGGCTTGTGACTTTTGCACATTGATTTTGTCTCTGAAGACTTTGCTGAAGTTGCTTATCAGCTAAAGAAGCTTTTGGACAGAGACGATGGTGTTTTCTAGATGTAGGATTATGTCATCTTCAAACAGACAATTTGACTTCGTCTCTTCCTATTTGAATACCTTTATTTCTTTCTCTTGCCTGATTGCCCTGGGAAGAACTTTCAATACTATGTGGAACAGGAGTAGTAAGAGAGAGCCTCCTTGTCTTGTGCTGATATTCAAGGGGAATGCTTCCAGCTTTTGCCCATTAAGCATGATATTAGCTGTTGGTCTGTCATAAATGGCTCTTATTTTGAGTATGTTTCTTCAATACCTAGTTTATTGAGAGTTTTTAACATAAAGAGATGTTGAATTTTATTGAAGGCCTTTTCTGTGTCTATTAAGATAATCATATGGTTTTTGTCTTTAGATCTGTTTGTGTGATGAATTATATTTATTGATGTGCCTATGTTGAACCTGCCTTGTATCCCAGGGATTAAGCCAACTTGATTTTGTTGGATAAGCTTTTTGATATGCTGCTCTATTTGATTTGCCAGTATGTTATTGAGAATTTTTGCATCGATGTTCATCAGGGACATTGGCCTGAAGTTTTCTGTAGTTGTTTTATCTCTGCCAGATTTTGGTATCAGGATGATACTGGCCTCATAGAATGACTTTTGGAGGAGTCTCTCCTTTTCTATTGTTTGAAATAGTTTCAGAAGAAAAGGTGTCAGCTCTTCTTCGTATTTTTGGTAGAATTCAGCTGTAAATCCAACTGGTCCTGAGCTTTTTTTAGTTGGTAGGTTATTTATTACTGACTCAATTTCAGAACTTGTTATTGGTCTATTCAGGAATTCACTTCTTCCTGTTTCAGTCTTGAGAGGGTGAATGTTTCCAGGAATTTATCCATTTCTTCTAAATTTCCTACTTTATTTGCATAGGGGTGTTTGTAGTATTCTCTGATGGTTGTTTGTATTTCTGTGAGGTCAGTGGTAATATTCCCCTTATCATTTTGTATTGTTTCTATTTAATTCTTCTCTCTTTTCTTTTTTTTAATTAATCAGGCTAGCAGTCTATCTATTTTAATTTTTCAAAAAAACAGCTTCTGGATTCATTGATTTCTCAAAGGGTTTTTTGTGCCTCTATCTCCTTCAGTTACTCTCTGATCTTGTTTTTTTTTTTTCTTCTGCTAACTTTGGGGTTTGTTTGCTCTTTGTTCTCCAGTTCTTCTAGTTATGATGTTAGTGTGTCAATTTGAGATCTTTCTAGCTTTTTTATGTAGGCATTTAGTGCTATATATTTTCCTTTTAACAATGCTTTGGCTGTGTCCCCAAGATTCTGGAATGTTGTCTGTTTGTTCTCATTGGTTTAAAAAAAAAATTCTTGAATTCTGCCTTAATTTTATTACACACCCAAGAGTCATTCAGGAGCAAGTTGTTCAATTTCCATGTATTTGTGTGGTTTCTAGTGAGTTTTTTAATGTTGAGTTTTAATTTGATTGTGCTATGTTGGGTACATATATGTTTAGGATAGCTAGCTCTTCTTGTTGAATTGACCCCTTTACCATTATGTAATGTTCTTCTTTGTCTTTTTTATCTTGGTCGGTTTCAAGTCTCTTTTGTCAGAAACTAGTATTGCAATCCCTGGTCTTTTCTGTTTTCCATTTGATTGGTAAGTTTTTCTCTGTCCTTTTGTTTTGAATCTATGTGTGTCTTTGCATGTGAGGTGGGTCTCCTGAATACAGCAAACTGATGGATCTTGACTCTTTATCCAGTTTGCCATTCTGTTTCTTTTAATTGGGGCATTTAGCCCATTTACATTTAAGGTTAATATAGTTATGTGTGAATTTAATCCTGTCATCATGATGCTAGCTGGTTATTTTGCAGATTTGTTTATGTAGTTGCTTCATAGTGTAACTGGTCTGTGTACTTCAATGTGTTTTTGCAGTGGCTTCTAAGCATTTTTCCTTTCCATATTTAGTGCTTCCTTCAGGAGTTCTTGCAAGGCAGGCCTAGTGGTGGCCAATTTCCTCAGCAATTGCTTGTCTGAAAATGATTTTATTTCTTCTTCACTTATGAAGCTTTGTTTGGCCAGATATATTAATGTAATTTAATTTTAAGTTCTGGGATACATGTACAGGATGTGCAGGTTTGTTACATAGGTAAACGTGTGCCATGGCTGCACCTATCAATCCATCACCTAAGCATTAAGCCCAGGATGCATTAGCTATTTTTCCTGGTGCTGTCCCTCTCCCCACCTCCCCCACAGCAGGCCCTAGTGTGTTTTGTTCCCATCCATGTGTCCATGTGTTTTCACTGTTCCCACTTATCAATGAGAACATGTGTTGTTTGGTTTTCTGTTCCTGCATTAGTTTGCTAAGGATAATGGCTTCCAGCTCCATCCATGTTCCTGCAAAGGACATGATCTCATTCCTTTTTATGGCTGCATAGTATTCCATGGTGTACATGTACCACATTTTCTTCATCCAGCCTATCAACTTAAATGATGGCATTTAAGTTGATTCCATGTCTTTGCCATTGTGAATAGCATGCAAACATTTTCATGAATCATAACCACATTTTAGAACAGAATAGAAAATACCAGAGTACATAAAATTAAGTGAGTTTTTTCCCTTTGTTTCAACTATAAATGTGTGTGCAGAGGGGTTTAGGTGCGTATACACATAGTTGCCAGGTAAAATGTTTTTCTTGCTGTGAGTCACTCAGCTCCTGTCTTAGGCTTCTTTCTGGTACACCAGGGACTAGGTAAAGAACTTGTTACACTTAGTGCTGGTTCCAAAGAAAGTCATGGATATTGGTAATTGAGAGATGAGATCAGCCCAGACTCCACTTACCAAGCTATCTCTTCTTACCCAGGCCTATGTCTTCCCTAAAGAGCAATCTTCTAATCTTTACAATTTTTCTGATCTTTCTAATTTCCAAAAGGGCCATGTGGGCTAGTGGCACTCCAGTTGACCCAAGAGAAGGAACATGGGTAAATTGAGGAGGTACTAGATTTCCAGTGGCCCATCCCTCAGTCAGCTCCAGGACCTGGTCCACCGGGAGAAGTCCAGACTAAAAGCACAAGTCTGGGATCCTGCATCCCACCTCAGAAAGGTTGTCAGGTTGTTATAAAAAGGTACTAGAGAATAAGTACTGTTCCTCTCAGCCACCTTCCTTTCCTCCACCCATTCTTCCTCACCTCTCAGTCCTGACACAGGAATTGGCTCTTGTTCTCAGTCTAGCCCCTTCTGCCAATTTCTTCTCTGCTTTGGTGCTGCTGTTTATATTGGTAAATATAAAGTTCACCAATACATTGATTTTGAAGAGAACAGACTTTATACTTGTACATGCAAACTGTAAATTTTAACAGTTAAAACATCTATTTAGTGTTTAGTAAAGATTTCTAATAGAAAAGAAGACAATGGCAATTATTCCTTGTCCTTCCCCATATTCTATGTTTGAGTGTGAGTGTGTGGGGGTTGTTCTAAGAGGTTGTGCAGAGAGAGAGAGATCAATTTATTGTTTTTGCACCTCCATCTGAATTTTATGCATGCTGTAGTAACAATCAAGCTGTGTTGCTCTGGAGAGATTTTACAGTTTTTCTATGAACATAAGGTTTTCTGGCTTGTAATTTAGTTCTTCACATTTTACACTTGTTTTTATAATGCTTTGTAAATGACCTTGCTATAAACATTTGCTTTTGAGACTCCTATTATGACTTCCAAATATTTAAAAAATATTACAAGTGAATATGTGAAAAGAGCTAGCTAAGTTATGGCAATGGAAGAGAATATGAACATGCATCATATTTATTTACCAATCTATCTATGAAAAGAGTACAACATTGTGAAGGTAGGTTTCAGAAGTGACTAAATCAACCCTTAAAACAATCAAAAGGAAAAATATTGTAAGGGCAAAGATTTTATACATTGTTAATCTCTTATTTTTATGTTCTGTAAAGTTAAAAAAAAGTTTTACCAGTGTGTGTGTGTGTGTGTGTGTGTGTGTGTGTGTAATCTTTTCAGCCAAATGAGACCATTAAACCTTTCTATACTTTGCTCTTTTAACAGATATATTCTGTTAGCAATATATCTTGCTGATCACTGCATTATCAAAAGGCACGAAGCTTACTCCTGGCTTTTAATTACTCCATAGATTCCATTGTCCCTGTTTCCCTGTGTGGTCTTCTGATATAGGATCAGTAGGAGCCATTTGATTGTACATCCTCCTGGCAACAAATGAGGTGGGAATCCTGTTTCCCAAGACTATTGGCTTCTGGGACTTATGTCAAACCACCCAGAGTAGAAGTTTACACACACACTGGTCAAAAATTTGTATAAGTGGGGCGCCACCATTTTAATACTTTTCTTCTAGTATCAAGGTAGGAAGAGGTTGTGTGTGTGTGTGTGTGTGTGTGTGTGTGTGTGTGTGTACAGGTGCAAGCACATGCATATATGTCTGTGTGATGGAGAGACTATTTAAAAACCAGAACAGCATAGACACTGACCAGTCAGAACAGATACTTGCCATGAAAAACTCATTTGGCAGTACCAGACAGATAACAGCCCATGTATGTATGTATGTATATATGTGTATATACATACGGTAGATATATATATATATGTAACTTTGTATTTATTTGTGTCTATGCATGTTTATGTATGTGAATTACTGCATACCTCTCTATGCATGTGCTTGTGCCTGAATGTGCAATACTGTTTGTTGGGAATCTGTGTGTGTATACGTGTGGGTCTTGGTGCTTACATTGGTGTATTCCATATCTACATGTACATATGTCTTCTTGAAGTGCCTTTGTATTGGGCTTTGTATGCTTTTATCTATGTCTGACTGTAATTGTATGTGGGATACATCTGTGTTGGAGGATAACATCACTGTCTCTAGGAAGATAGCAAGAAGAAATTATTCCACTAGTTCTAATTCCTTATCTGCAGTTACCTCCCAATGGATTTTTTTTTCTTCTATTGTTGTCCCCTACAGTCCGTTCTTAGAACAGTTAAAGTTATCCTGTTAACTCCACTCATGTTACTCTCTTACTCAAACCTCTCCAATGACTCTCATATCATTCAGAATAGAAATAATGTAAAAGCAAAGTTATTTCAATGTGTGTTTACTGAATATAAAAGGCACACTCCCTTCTTAGAGCTTTTACACTTGCTGTTCTCTCTGCCAGTAATACTTTTCTTCCAGCTTCCAGCTTACTTCATTTACATCTCTGCTCTTCATTTAGGTCTCCCTCTCCTCAGAGGGGCCTTTTCTGACTTTCCTAATATACCACTTCTCAGTCACTTTATCTCTTCGTCCAGCTCTACTTTTCTTCACAGAACAACATGATTATACTGACATTATATATTTAATTGTTAATTCTTTGTCACCCCCTCTATAATGAAGGCATCAAAAAGACAAGGATTTTGTCTGCTTTGTTTACTGCTGCTTTCCCAGTACCTAGAACATGTGTTTGGCATGTGATGAGTACTCAGTCAATATTTCTTGATTGATTTAAATAGAAAAGACACAGAAAGGACCTGATCTGAATAAATAAGTCTGTAAAATAAGGATAATAACACCTCCCATGCTGTTGTGCTTTTTTTAAAATTAAATGAAATGGAGTGCTTAAAAAAACACCACAGTGCCTGGTCCATAGTAGGAGTTTAATAATTTTTTAAGCAAAATCTCAAAGTCCTCAGAAGTCAAACCTTATTGACAGAAGGCAGTGTCTTCTGGAGGGCAGGGAGGGCTCTGGGAGCAGGTGGTGAGGGGGAGTTAAAGCTGCTCCCAATCTATACTTGTGAACATAGAGAGGTGGTCTGGGAACAATTTAGGGTTTCCTGAGTTTCAGCCATGGCACCTCAGGATCAGTATGGCAAGGTAGAACTTGTTCGATTCTTTCCTTCATTCTCTCTTTGCAACCCCACCTCTACTAACCCACCTCCTCCAGCTTGGAACATAGCAGCAGTAAGACCCAATGGGAATAGCAAAGAGGAGCCGCATTTAATTGACTCCTTTTCAGCCTCTGCCTGATTTCCGTTGAGCTCCAGAAGGCTCTCAGGTGAAATGGCGCTCATCTTTCTTTCTCTGATTAATTTAAACAGAAGCCACTGGAAAGCTTTAACTACTGCTGGTCAAACCTCAGGCAGGGTCAGGGCAGGGATTTTCTCCTGGGCCTGTTGCCCCAGTTGTCTCAGCTCCTCAGTGCACATGACTCTTCAGTTCCACCACCCATTTTTTTGCCTTTCCCTTATTTGTGTTTTTTTTTAATTTTCTTAAAATTTTTAGCCAGTAAAATTTAGCAGTAGCAGGTTGTATACAATATACTTTTCATTTATTTAGATATAATTTTCATACCACATACTTAGCCCTTTTTAAGTGTAAAATTACATGTGGTTTAGTATATTCACACAGTTAGTGGTATTCACATTACCACTAAGTGTAGAAACTTCTTATCACTACAAAAAGAAACCATGTACATATGAGTAATCACTTCCAATTCTCCATCCATCCAGCTTCTATCAACCACTAGTCTATTTTTCTGTCTCTATGGATTTGCCTATTCTGAACATTTCATATAAGTGGAATTATACAATATGTGGTCTTTGCTGACTGGCTACTTTCACTTAGCATGATGTTTTCAAGGCTTTCCATGTTGTAGCATGTATTAATATTTCATTTCTTTTATTGCTTAATAATATTTCATTGCATGAATATTATTCCATTATATGGATATGCATTTTATCTATGCATTCATTAGTTGATGGATTTGGGAGTTATTTATACTTTTTAACCTTTATGAACAATTGTGTCAATATATATTTTTATTCCTTTTAGATATATACCTATGAGTAGAATTGCTAGATCACATGGTAACGTTATGTTTAATATTTTGAGAAACAGCCAAACCACTTTCCAAAGTGGCTGAACCATTTTATATCCTTATCAGCAATGTATTTAAGTTTTCATAAGAATTTGTTAATTTCATTCAGGTTATCTAATTTGTTGGCATACAGGTTATCCTAGTGTTCCCCCATAATATTTTTTATTTTTGTAAGGTTGATAGTAACGTTTCCTCTTTAATTCTCAACTTTAGTAATTTGAGTCTTTTCACTTTCTTTCTTGGTAATTCTAGTTAAGGCTTGTGGTTTGTCAATTTTGCTGATCTTGTCAAAGAACCAGCATTTGGTTTTGTTGATTTTCTTATTAATTTTCTATTCTCTATATCATTTGTTTCTGGTTTAATCTACTTTTTCTTTCCTTCTCTTGCTTTTGGTTTAGTTTATTCTTTTTTCAGCTTCTAAGATGGAAGGTTAAATTGTTGGTCTGAACTGTTTGTTCTTCTTTTAAGTAGACACAGCTATAAATTTCCTTCTAAGCACTGCTTCACTTCATCCCATAAGTTTTGGTGTGCTGTGTTTTCATCTTCACTTCAACTCTTCAACTCAAAGCATTTTTTTTTTACTGTCTTTTGTGATTTTTTCTTTGACTTACTGACTAGTCAGAGGTGTGTTGTTTAATTTCAACATATTTGAGATTCTCCTAAATTTCCTTCTCCTATTGATTTTTAACTAAAATTTATTGTGGCCAGAGAATATATTTTGTATGATTTCAATTCATTTAAATTATTGAGGCTTTTGTGGCTTAACATGTGGAACACATGTTCCATGGGCACTTGAGAAGAATGTGTATTTTGGTGATATTAGATAAACAGTACTATATATTTCTGCTAGGTCTAGATGGTTTATAGTGTTGTTCAAGTCTTCTATTTCCTTGTTGACCTTCTACCTAATTGTTCCATTATTGTAAGTGATATACTGCAGTCTTCAACTATTGTTCACTTTTCCTTTCAATTCTGTCCTCATGTACTTTTAGGCTGTTTTCATGTACATGTGTATTTGTCATTGTTATATCTTCTTGATGGATTGATCATTTTATTATCAAACAATGTCCAGTTTTTGTCTCTAAGGTCTATTTTGTTTGCTATTAGTACAGCATTCCTGCTCTCTTTTGGTAACTATCTGCATGGCATATCTCTTTTCTATCCTCTTACTTTCAACTTATTTGTGTCTTTGAATCTAAAGTGTGTTTTTTAGAGACAACATATAGTTGCATTATGTTTCTTATTCATTATCTACCAATCTCTGCCTTTTGTCATAGGTTTCAGTACATTTACATTCATATAAGTAATAATAAGGTAATTTTTATGTCTGCCATTTTGCTATTTTTTTATGTCTTCCATCTTTTGTTGTTCGTCTGTTCTTTCATTACTGTTTTATTGTGTTAAGTATATATTTTCTAGTGTACCATGTTAATACCCTGTTGTTTCTTTTACTCTATTTCTGAGTCATTTTCTTAGTATTTCCTGTGAAGATTACAATTAATATCTTGACTTAATGCAATCAAAATTGAATTAATACCAACCACATTTCAATTGAACATAAAAACGTTGCTCCAATATAGGTCAATTCTCTGCCTTCTCCTTTAAGCTATTATTGTCATATATATTACATTTTTTTAAATTATAGTTTTAATTTTTATCAATATAGTTTTACAATAAGTGCTTTACACAGTTGTCTTCTATGTTATGTTGGACAAAAAAGAGTTACAAAGAAAAGTATATTTTCTTACTGTATTTTATATATACACCTAAGTAGTTACCTTTGTTGGTAATCTTTATAGCTTCTTGTGGATTTAAGTTATTGTCTAGTGTCTTTATATTTCAGCCTAAAGAATGTATTTATTTATTTACTTATTTATTTATTTTGGTAGTGTGGGTCTGAGTGAAAAAATTGTCTCAGTTTTTGTTTATCTAGGAATGTTGTCATTTCACCTTTGTTTGAAAGATTTTTTTCTGGATATAGAATTCTTTATTGATAAATATTGCCTTTCAGCACTATGAATATGTCAATCCACTGTCTTCTAGTCTCAATGGTTTCTGATGAGAAGTCAACAGTTAATTTTATTGAGAATCCTTTTTATGTAATGAGTTGCTTTCCTCTTGCTGTTTTAAAGATGCTCTCTTTATCTTTATCTTTTGACACTTTTAATATGATGTGTCTAAGTCTGAATCCCTTGGTATTTGTGCTACTTGAAGTTTGTTGATTTTAGATTTACAGATATTTTTCATCAAATTTGGAAAGTTTTTGGCTATCATTCTTCAAATATTCTCTCTGTCTTTTTCTCCATTCTCTTCTTCTGGGACTCCTCTAATAAATATATTTGCATACTGTCCCATACGTGTTTAGTGCTTTGTTCATTTTCTTTCATTCTTTTCTCTTTCTGTTTCTCTGCCTGCATAATTTCAATTGATTTATTCTATTGGTTTCCTACAAATGTTGTAAAAAAATTACAACAAACTTGATGGCTTAAATAACAGAAATTTATTTTCTCACTGTACTGGAGGTCACAAGTCTGAAATCATGGTGTTTGCAGAGCCATGTTTCTTCTAGATGCTCTATGGGAGAATCTATTTCTTGAATATTCTAGCTTCTGGTGGCTACTGACATTCTTTAGCTTGAGGCTGCCTCACTTTAATCTCTGCCTCCATCTTCACATCACCTTCTCACGTGTGTGGTTTTGTGTGTGTGTGTGTGTGTGTGTGTGTGTGTGTGTGTGTGTGTGTGTGTTTTGAATCTCTCTCATAATAATCCTTGTGATGGCATTTAGGGCACATCAGAATAATCTTCTCATCTCAAAATCGTGTACTTAATTACATCAGAAAAGACTTATTTTCCAAATAATGTAATATTTACAGCTTCCAGAGATTAGGACATGGGCATATTTTGGAAGCCATTGTCAGTCTTTAATGCCTATATTCAAGTTCACGGATTCTTTTTCTGCCAGATTGTCAGCTACTGAGCCCCTCTATGGAATTTTTTATTTCATTTATTGCACTTTTCAATTCCAGAATATCTATTTGATGCTTTAAAAAATTTCTGTCCCTTTCTTGATATTCTCTCTTTAATGATATATCGTTTTGGTAATTTTCTTTCATTGTTTAGATGAGGTTTTCTGTAATACTATGAACATATTTGTAGCAGGTGATTTAAAGTCTTCATTTACTGCATCCAGTATCTGGGCTTTCTCAAGGGCAGTTTCTAATGATTTCTTTTTCCCTGTGTATGGCTTATACTTTTTCTGTTTCTTTGACTATTTCATATTTTTTGTTAAAAACTGGACATTTTACATTAAATAATGTGGCAACTCTGGAAATCAGAATTTCCCTGCCGCTGCTGCTATATTGTTTTGTTTTTGTTGATGATGATGATAATAATGTTGCTGTTGTTGCTCTTTGCTTCATGAATTTTACTAATTATGTAAAGTCTTCATTCCCTGTCAAGTGCAGCCACTGCAATCTTTCTCATTTAGCTTAATGGTTAGCTTAAACCAATAAGCCTGTCAGCCTTTGCTGAAGAGTTCTGTGTAAGCTTTGGGGCATACCTTCAATATTCTGGCAGGCAGTTGACAATTCAGCCTTAGCTTTCATTTCTTTCTTGTGCAGACCCTCGTGGCCAACCAGAGGTGATACATTAGGGCCTTCTCAGGTCTTTCCTTTGCAGACACACAGCCCTGAATATGTTTATAGTCTTCTAGATTCAGAAGACTGTGTTGGAGTTTTTTAAAGCCTGCCATGACTAATTCATTCTGTAGATTTTCTTAAGTATTTAAACTAGCCTCTCATCTGACCCAAATAGTATTACTGCTTCAGGCAGCTGCAATATTAAACAATTGCCACTGATTGATTTCAGTGAAAACCTTGGGAATAGAGCTTTTCCTCCTGAGACTGAGCTCTAAATAAGGTCAAATAATGACAAGCCCTATGAATGGGGTTTTGCTAGAGAACTTCCTGACAGGTAAACTGGTGACAATTTTTTGGAGACAGGATTTTTGTTTTTAGGAAGTCCAAACCCAGTTGGCTAGACCACTTATTTTCCCAGCTATCATGGTTGCCAAGCTGCTGGTTTTCAAGGCTACCATGGGGAGCATGATGTGGCTTGTATACCCTGGCAAGGGGATAGAGCTGTTCAAAGAAGGGTTTTTTTAAAGGCTTATTTATTAAAGGACCTCAATCCATGAAAGGGTGAACAAAACATCACCAAGGATTATGGAATAGCAAGGCTATAATTGAGTTCTCTTTCTCCAATATGATCAGCTAACTGTACTAGTCCATCAAGAACAAATTGCAATAAATAAACTGCCAGAGCTGCACATGGCATCTATATATACAAGAGGGCTCATGCAACAACCCTCTTTTGTTCAAGAAAGGCCCACAGAAATGGAACTTTCCATTGAAAATACAACCTAATTCTCTCTTTCACCAAGTCCACTCAACACTGTATAAAAACCATGAAATCATGTTTGCTTTGTGTGTGTGTGTGTGTGTGTGTGTGTGTGTGTGTGTGTGTGTGTATGTGTGTGTCAGTGAAATTTTGGGATTAAATAATCTTTGGGTAAATATGTAATTTTGTTTCCTTAAGAAATTCAGCTTATACTTTTTTGTTGCCATTTGACAAAATAAAAGATAATATTCAATTGTTGTATGGCACAAGTGGGTGGTGTAAGTGGTAGCCAAGGGCAGCAAGAGCTGTCTTCAGATATGGAAGGCTGCCACAGAGAATAAATTGCTGATGACTTCTAAATAGATTCAGGGACACCATAAGGAAGACATAACAAACTCAAAGCAAGCTACCAGAGGAAGATTTCAGTTTAGCTTAAAAACGTAGCTTTCTCCCACACTGAACTACCCATTGTTGTAATGTGGTATGGAAGAAAGTGAGGGCCCCTTCTCAGAGCTTCTGCATGGGGGTTGTATGTGGGTTTTGAAAGCAAGAAAGAAGAATTTTCTTCTGAGTCTAAGGTTATGGGTTCCTATGTGCACTGAGCACTTAAAAATACCCAGGAGTATATTTTCCTCTCACATTTAAGTTTTCAATTTGCTTCCTAGAATCTTTTGGAGGGAAGTGGCAGTGAATGTGGAGTAGAGATATAAATAAAAGTTACTCCTTAGAGACTGTTTTCTACTTATGACATGATTTCTTTGGAATCCTTTTGACTGAGTACCCAGTCTAATTGAGGCCTGTCTCTATGACACTGAAAACAGCAACAACCAAAACAACAAAGCTTCATTTTTATTTCCCTCAACTTCTTCACATTCTTGAGATTTTGAATGCATCAACCCCATCTTATTCCAGATATCACAAGATCTTTTTAGACTCTGTCAAAATGAACCCACCCTTTTCAATCCTTTTCAGCCTGGCTTTCCAAGCCATCTGAAATCAGGCCCAGCCCACCTATCCAATTATATTTCTTTTTTTATCTGTCAACATATTTTAATTTACTCACTATCAAAATATGCATGACACAATAGCACAGTAAACTATATGTTTATTATATTATGTAAATTTATAAATCACTTATTATAAGTTGTTTGCTAATGATAATTGTCAGCTGTGTGCAATGGCTTGTGCCTATAATCCTAGCTACTAAGGAAGCTAAGATAAAATACAGACCTTTCATTAGCCTTAGGCCATTCTCTTCACTCTCCTTGACACAACATTTATAGCATGAAAAAAAACAAAGCATTAAGCAAATTAAATTAAGTTCAATGTGTGTGTATAGTAGTGTAGAAAAGGAGAAAGAGTACAGAGCCTGGAATCTGACTGCCTGGGCTCAAATCCCAGTACTGTCATTCACTAGTGGTGTGACGTTATGCAATTACTTAATCTCTGAGGTTTAGTCTTTTGTCAGTAAAGTAGAGATAGTAATGCCTAACTAGAACGGTTTTTGTAACAGAAATCTCATCTGTCTTCGCTCTAGAAGTCAGATAGAACTGAAATGCCAATAGGATGGTCCCTTCAATTCCACAGGAGCAGAAGCCTGTTTGCACGTGAAACCAAGGTGACTTCTGGAAGAACAGTTACCCTAAAGGATGGGAAAATCAAGAATAATGACTCAGTATTTGGAGGAAGGATTCTAATTACAGTATAGGGTCTGCCGCTCATATTTGCCTTGTCCCTGAGGTCTCATTTCTAACACCTAGAAAGAAGAGGCTTAGAGATTTCATCAGCTTGTTTGCCTGTGTTGAGTGAAACTAGTAAACGAAGGTCTACTTTTCCCTTTAAAGTGCAAGTAATCGAAACAGCAAACAAAACAAGAGACAGAGAAAAGTGGGGTTAAATGACTAATGCCATGTGGTAACTAGAAAGAACATATTACAAAAATATCTGTGTGAACCTACTGAGAGCTCCAAGATCTTTTTTTTTTTTTTTTTTTTTTTTTGAGACAGAGTCTCACTCTGTCACCCAGGCTGGAGTGCAATGGCACGATCTCAGCTCACTGCAATCTCTGCCTCCCAGGAGAACTCCAAGATCGTTTTAAGAGGCATTTTAAGGGGCTAGATTTTCCACTTAAGGCATCTGAATACAGCTAGAAAAAAGAGTTTTGTTTTTAATTGTAGTCCAGTTTTCTCCCAAGCTGGTGTGACCAGGGAGAAACATGGAAGATATGAAGATTTAGTGAGACAGCACTTAACAAAGTTTCTACCTAGAACCTATCCCTTGAAAAATGTTCTTTCTTTTCCAAGTATGAGCAATTAGGGGTAGGCTTTGCTTCAATGAGAGCTTGTCTGCTTAAGGAGTACATGAAGATGTATCTTGCTCTTCAAGTCAGCCCAAGGCATGCTGCCCCCAATTATTTTCAATGAAAAGAAACTGGCTTATAAAATTCATTCATGGCTTTGGGTGAGGCCCAGTGTCATGTGGGCTACAGGGCTGACCCAATGCAGTCCAAGTGGTGCTGGCCACATGTCTGCATGCATCACCACACCCCCAGTTCCAGGTGGCTTAGCACAGAGATAAAGAGATCCCATTTGTTTGGAAGACAGTAAGGGAAAAAAAGAGTCTCTGCCTGGTAATACAGAGAATTCTGCTGGATCTTATCCAAGACCAACACAAAGTTACCTCTACAAGTCTGCAAAAACCATAGCATTATTGGGGTTTGGACCCAAGACACTTTATATACCTGGAAAGCTTTCCCAAGAAGAATGGGTACAAACAAGCTCAGACTGTGAGGACTACAATAAACACCTAACTCTTCAATGCCCAGACACCAGTGAAAATCCACAAGTATCAAGACCGTACAGGAATACATGACCTCATGAAGCAAACTAAACAAGACACAAGGGACCAATACTGTGAAGTTTCACATAGATAACTCAAACTAGCTGTTTTGAGGAAACTCAAAGAAATTCAATGTAACACAGAGAAGGAATTCAGAATTCTATCAGATAAATTTAACAAAGACATTGAAATAACTAAAGAGAATCAAGCAGAAATTCTGGAGTTAAAAAATGCAGCTGACATTCTGAAGAATGCACCAGAGTCTCTTTCTTAATAGCAGAATTGATCAACCAGAAGAAAAAGCTAGTGAGCTCGAAGACATGCTATTTGAAAATACACAGTCAGAAGAGACAAAAGAATAAAAAAGAATGAAGCATGCCAACAAAATCTAAAAAGTAGGATCAAAATGGAAAATCTAAGAGTTATTGACCTTAAAGAGGAGGTAGAGAAAGAGACAGGGGTAGAAAGTTTATTCAAAGGGACAATATCAGAAAACATCCCAAATGTAGAGAAAAATTCAACATTCAAACACAAGAAGGTTATAGACTGCTGAGCAGACTTAAGCCAAAGAAAACTACCTCAATGCATTTAGTAATCAAACTCACAAAGGTCAAGGATAAAGAGAGGATTCTAAAATCAGCAAGATAAAAGAAAAAAATAACATACAACGGAGCTCCAATACATCTGGCAACAGACTTTTCAGTAGAAAACTTACAGAGCAAGAGAGAGTGGCATGACATATTTGAAATGCAGAAGAAAAAAATCTTTTATCCTATAATAGTATATCTAAAAACATCCTTCAAGCATGAAGAAGAAATAAATAACTTCTCAGACAAATAAAATTGAGAGATTTCATCAACACCAACCTGTCCTCCAAGAAATGCTGAAGGGGGTTCTTTGATCTGAAAGATAGAGACGTTAATGAGCAAGAAGAAATCATCAAAAGGTACACAACTCACTGGTAATAGTAAGCACACAGAAAAACATAGAATATTATAACACTGTAAATGTGCTGTGTAAACTACTCTTTTCTTAACTAGAAAGAATAAATGATGAACCAATCAAAAATAAAAACTATAAAAAATTTTCATGACATAGTACAATAAGACATAATGAGAAACAATCAAAAGTTTAAAAAATGGAGGAATGAAGTTAAAGCATAGAGATTTTATTAGTTTTATTTTTGTGTGTTTTCTTGTTTATGCAATCTGTGTTAGGTTGTCAGCAGTTTGAAATAATAGATTATAAGATAGTATTTAAAAGTCTCATGATAACCTCAAATTGAAAAGCATACCATTGATATACAAAAAATTAAAAGAAAGAAACTAAAGCATACCACCAGAGAAAACCATCTTCGCTAAAAGGAAGACAGGAAAGCAGGAAAGAAGGAAAAGAAAACCACAAAAGAAGCAGAAAACAAATATCCAATGGAGTGAAATATCTCTACAATGAAAATTATAAAACATTGATGCATGTAAATGAACAGGGCATAAGCAATGGAAAAATATCCCATGTTCATGGATAGGGATAATCAATATTGTGACAAGGAGTATTCTACCCAAAGCAATCTACAGATTCAGTGCAATCTCTGTCAAGATACCAATAACATTCCTCACAGAAATAGAAAAAACAATCCTAAAATTTATATGGGACCATAAAAGACCCAGCATAGCCAAAGCTATACTGAGCAAGATGAACAAAACAGGAGGAATCACATTACTTGACTTCAAATTATACTACAGAGATATAGTAATCAAAACAACGTGGTACTCACATAAAAACAGACATATAGACCATTGAAACAGAATAGAGAACCCAGAAGCAAATCCAAACATCTACAGAGAGCTCATTTTTCACAAAGGTGCCAAGAACATAAATTGGGGAAAAGAGAGTCTCTTCAATAAATGATGCTTGGAAAACTGGATATTCATGTGCAGCAGGATGAAACTAGACCTCTATGTCTTACTACGTACAAAAATAAAACCCAAATAGATGCAAGACTTAAATCTAAGACCTAAAACTATGAAACCACTACAAGGAAACATTGGGGAAATTCTCCAAGACATTGGTCTGGGCAAAACTTTCTTGTGTCGTATTCCACAAGCACAGGAAACCAAAGCAAAAATGGACAAATAGAATCACATGAAGTTAAAAAGCTTCTGCAAGCCATAAAAAATGATGAGTTCATGTCCTTTGTAGGGACGTGGATGAAACTGGAAATCATCATTCTCAGCAAACTATCGCAAGGACAAAAAACCAAACACCACATGTTCTCACTCATAGGTGGGAATTGAACACATAGGTTCTCATTAGAACACATGGACACAGGAAGGGGAACATCACACTCCAGGGACTGTTGTGGGGTGGGGGGAGGGGGAAGGGATAGCATTAGGAGATATACCTAATGCTAAATGACGAGTTAATGGGTGCAGCACACCAACATGGCACATGTATACATATGTAACAAACCTGCACATTGTGCACATGTACCCTAAAACTTAAAGTATAATAATAAAAAAAAGCTTCTGCACAACAAGGGAAACAATAAACAACACTAAGAGACAACCCGCAGAATGTGAGAAAATATTTGCAAACTACCCATCTGACAAGGGATTAATAACCAGAATATATAAGGAGCTCAAACAACTCTATAGGAAAATATCTAATAATCTGATCATAAAATGGGCAAAAAGATAGAATAGACATTTCTCAAAAGAAGATATACAATGGCAAACAGGCACATGAAAGGGTGCTCAACATCACTGATCATCAGAGAAATGCAAATCAGAACTACAATGACAGATCATCTCAGACCAGTTAAAATGGCTTATATCCAATAGAAAGGCAATAACACATGCTGGAGAGGTTGTGGAGAAAAGGGAACCCTTGCACACTGTTGGTAGGAAAGTAAATTACTACAGCCACTATGGAGAGCAGTTTGGAGGTTTCTCAAAAAACTAAAAATTAAACTACCATAAGATCCAGCAATCCTACTGCCATATGTATACTCAAAAGAAAGAAAATCACTATATCAAAGAGATAGCTGCACTCCCATGTTTGTAGCAGCACTATTCACAATAGTGCAGATATGGAATCAACTTCTGTGTCCAGCAACAGATAAATGTATAAAGAAAATGCAGTACCTACACACAATGGAATATTATTCAACCCTAAAAAGAATGAAATTCTGCCATTTGTAACAACATGGATGGAACTGGAGGACATTATGTTAAGTGAAATAAACTAGGCACAGAAAGACAAACATCACATATTCTCACTTATTTGTGGGATCTAAATATCAAAACAATAGAACTCATGGAGATAGAGAGTAGAGGGATGGTGACCAGAGTTTGGAAAGGATAATTGAGTGTGGGGGCAGGTGGGGACGCTACACTAAAAATATAAAGAATGAATAAGACCAAGTATTTGCTAGCACAACAGGGTGACTATAGTCTATAATAATTTAATTCTACATTTGAAAATAATCAAAACAGTATAATTGGATTATTTGTAACACAAAGGATAAATGCTTGAGGAAATAGATACCCAATTTTCCTTGATGTGACTCTTACTCATTGCAATGCCTGTACTAAAACATCTCAGGGTGTGGGGAGCAGTTCCAAGATAGCCGAATAGTAACAGCTCCAGTCTACAGCTCCCAGAATGAGTGAGGAAGAAGACGGGTGATTTCTGCATTTCCAGCTGAGGTACCAGGTTCATCTCACTGGGGCTTGTCAGACAGTGGGTGCAGGACAGTGGGTGCACCCCACTGAGCATGAGCTGAAGCAGAGCGAGGCATCATCTCACCCGGAAGTGCAAGGGGTCCGGGAATTCCCTTTCCTAGCCAAGGGAAGCTGTGACAGACGGCACCTGGAAAATTGGGTCACTCCCACTCCAATACTGAACTTTTCCAATGGTCTTAGCAAACGGCACACCCGGAGATTATATTCCACGCCTGGCTCACAGGGTCCTATGCCCACGGAGCCTCGCTCATTGCTAGCACAGCAGTCGGAGATCAAACTGCAAGGTGGCAGCGAGGCTGGGGGAGGGGCGCCCAACATTGCCAAGGCTTGAGTAGGTAAACAAAGCAGCCAGAAAGCTCGAACTGGGTGGAGCCAAACGCAGCTCAAGAAGGCCTGCCTGCCTCTGTAGACTCAACCTCTGGGGTCAGGGCATAGCTGAACAAAATGCAGCAGAATCCTCTGCATACTTAAATGTCCCTGTCTGACAGCTTTGAAGAGAGTAGTGGTTCTCCCAGCACGGAGTTTGAGATCTGAGAACGGACAGACTGCCTCCTCAAGTGGGTCCCTGACCCCCAAGTAGCCTAACTTGGAGGCACCCCTCAGTCAGGGCAGGCTGACTCCTCACACAGCCGGGTACCCCTCTGAGATGAAGCTTCCAGAGGAACAATCAGGCAGCAACATTTGCAGTTCAGCAATATTCGCTGCTCTGCAGCCTCCACTGCTGATACCCAGGCAGACAGGGTCTGGAGCAAACTCCAGCAAACTCCAACAGACCTGCAGCTGAGGGTCCTGACTGTTAGAAGGAAAACTAACAAACAGAAAGGACATCCACACCAAAACCCCATCTGTATGTCAGCATCATCAAAGACTGAAGGTAGATAAAACCACAAAGATGGGGGAAAAAACAGAGCAGGAAAGCAGAAAATTCTAAAAATCAGAGCGCCTCTCCCCATCCAAAGGAATGCAGCACCTCACCAGCGATAGTGGAACAAAGCTGGATGGAGAATGACTTTGATGAGTGGAGAGAAGAAGACTTCAGACGATCAAACTTCTCTGAGCCAAAGGAGGAATTTCGAACCCATGGCAAAGAAGTTAAAAACCTTGAAAAAAGATTAGCCAAATGGCTAACTAGAATAACCAGTGTAGAGAAGTCCTTAAATGACCTCATGGAGCTGAAAACCATGGCATGAGAACTATGTGACGCATGCACCAGCTTCAGTAGTCAATTCGATCAACTGGAAGAAAGGGTATCAGTGATTGAAGATCAAATGAATGAAATGAAGTGAGAAGAGAAGTTTAGAGAAAAAAAGAGTAAAAAGAAATGAACAAAGCCTCCAAGAAATATGGGACTATGTGAAAAGACCAAATCTATCTCTGATTGGAGTACCTGAAAGTGATGGGGGGAAAGGAACCAAGTTGGAAAACATGCTTCAGGATATTGTCCAGGAGAACTTCCCCAACCTAGCAAGGCAGGCCAACATTCAAATTCAGGAAATACAGAGAACACCACAAAGATATTCCTCGAGAAGAGCAACTCCAAGACACATAATTGTTAGATTCATCAAAGTTAAAATGAAGTAAAAAATCTTAAGGGCAGCCAGAGAGAAAGATGGGGTTACCCCAAAGCAAAGTGCATCAGAATAACAGCAGATCTCTCGACAGAAAATCTACAAGCCAGAAGAGAGTGGGGGCCAATATTCAACATTCTTAAAGAAAAGAATTTTCAACCCAGAATTTCATATCCAGCCAAATTAAGCTTCATAAGTGAAGGAGAAATAAAATTTTTACAGACAAGCAAATGCTGAGAGATTTTGTCACCACCAGGCCTGCCCTAAAAGAGCTCCTGAAGGAAGCACTAAACATGGAAAGGAACAACTGGTGCCAGCCACTGCAAAAACATGCCAAATTGTAAAGACCATTCATGCTAGGAAGAAACTGCATCAACTAATGAGCAAAATAACCAGCTAACATCATAATGATAGGATCAAATTCACACATAACAATATTAACCTTAAATGTAAATGGGCTAAATACTCCAATTAAAAGACACAGACTGGCAAATTGGATAAAGAGACAAGACCCATCAGTGTGCTGTATTCAGGAGACCCTTCTCACATGCACAGACACACATAGGCTCAAAATAAAGGGATGGAGGAAGATCTACCAAGCAAATGGAAAACAAAAAAAGGCAGGGGTTGCAATCCTAGTCTCTGATAAAACAGGTTTTAAACCAACAAAGATTAAAATACACAAAGAAGGCCATTACATAATGGTAAAGAGATCAATTCAACAAGAAGAGCTAACTATCCTAAATAAATATGCACCCAATACTGGAGCACCCAGATTCATAAAGCAAGTCCGTAGAGACCTACAAGGAGACTTAGACTCCCACACAATAATAATGGGAGACTTAACACCCCACTGTCAACATAAGACAGATTAATGAGACAGAAAATTAACAAGGAAATCCAGGAAGTGAACTCAGCTCACTACCAAGCACACCTAATAGACATCTACAGAACTCTCCACCCCAAATCACTCAAAACCACTCAACTACATGGAAACTGAACAAACTGCTCCTGAATGACTACTGGGTACATAACGAAACAAAGTCAGAAATAAAGATATTCTTTGAAACCAATGAGAACAAAGACACAACATACCAGAATCTCTGGGACACATTCAAAGCAGTGAGTAGAGGGAAATTTATAGTACTAAATGGCCAGAAAAGAAAGCAGAAAAGATATAAAATTGACACCTTAATATCACAATTAAAAGAACTAGAGAAGCAAGAGCAAACACATTCAAAAGCTAGCAGAAGGCAAGAAATAACTAAGATCAGAGCAGAACTGAAGGAGATAGAGACACAAAAAAACCCTTCAAAAAATCAATGAATCCAGGAGCTGGTTTTTCGAAAACATCAACAAAATTGATAGACCACTAGCAAGACTAATAAAGAAGAAAAGAGAGAAGAATCAAATAGATGCAATAAAAAATGATAAAGGGGATATTGCCACTGATCCCACAGAAATACACACTGCCATCAGAGAATACTGTAAACACCTCTACGCAAATACACTAGAAAATCTAGAAGAAATAGATAAATTCCTCAACAATACACCCTCCAAAGACTAAACCAGGAAGAAGTTGAATCCGTGAATAGACTAATAACAGGCTCTGAAATTGAGGCAATAATTAATAGCCTACCAACCAAAAAAGTCCAGGACCAGACGGATTCACAGCCGAATTCTACCAGAGGTACAAGGAGGAACTGGTACCACTCCTTCTGAAACTATTCCAATAAATAGAAAAAGAGGGAATCCTCCCTAACTCATTTTATGAGGCCAGCATCATCCTGATACCAAAGCCTGGCAGAGACAAAACAAGAAAAGAGAATTTTAGACCAATATCCCCGATGAACATCGATGGAAAAATCCTCAGTAAAATACTGGCAAACCGAATCCAGCAGCACATCAAAAAGCTTCATCCCTGGGATCCAGTGGGCTTCATCCCTGGGATGCAAATCTCGTTCAACATACACAAATCAATAAATGTAATCCAGCATATAAACAGAACGAAAGACAACAACCACTTGATTATAAATAGATGCAGAAAAGCCTTTGACAAAACTCAACAGCCCTTCATGCTAAAAACTCTCAAACAGTTAGGTATTGATGGGATTTATCTCAAAATAATAAGAGCTATTTATGACAAACCCACAGCCAATATCATACTGAATGGGCAAAAACTGGAAGCATTCCCTTTGAAAACTGGCATAAGACAGGATGCCCTCTCTCACCACTCCTATTCAACATACTGTTGGAAGTTCTAACCAGGGCAATCAGGCAGGAGAAAGAAATAAAGGGTATTCAATTAGGAAAAGAGGAAGTCAAATTGTCCCTGTTTGCAGATGACATGATTGTATATCTAGAAAACCCCATCATCTCAGCCAAAAATCTCCTTAAGCTGATAAGCAACTTCAGCAGAGTCTCAGGATACAAAATTAATGTGCAAAAATCACATGCATTCTTATACACCAATAACAGACAAACAGAGAGCCAAATCATGAGTGAACTCCCATTCACAATTGCTTCAAAGAGAATAAAATACCTAGGAATCCAACTTACAAGGGAAGTGAAGGACCTCTTCAAGGAGAACTACAAACCACTGCTCAATGAAATAAAAGAGGATACAAACAAATGGAAGAACATTCCATGCTCATGGATAGGAAGAATCAATATCGTGAAAATGGCCATACTGCCCATAGTAATTTATAGATTCAATGCCATCCCCATCAAGCTACCAATGACTTTCTTCACAGAATTGGAAAAAACTACTTTAAAGTTCATATGGAACCAAAAAAGAGCCTGCATTGCCAAGTCAATCATAGGCCAAAAGAACAAAGCTGGAGGCATCACACTACCTGACTTCAAACTATACTACAAGTCTACAGTAACCAAAACAGCATGGTACTGGTACCAAAACAGAGATATAGACCAATGGAACAGAACAGAGCCCTCAGAAATGATGCCACACATCTACAACCATCTGATCTTTGACAAACCTGACAAAAACAAACAATGGGGAAAGGATTCCCTATTTAATAAATGGTGCTGGCAAAACTGACTAGCCATATGTAGAAAGCTGAAACTGGATCCCTTCCTTACACCTTATACGAAAATTAATTCAAGATGGATTAAAGACTTAAATGTTAGACCTGAAACCGTAAAAACCCTAGAAGAAAACCTAGGGAATACCATTCAGGACATAGGCATGGGCAAGGACTTCATGTCTAAGAACACCAAAAGCAATGGCAACAAAAGCCAAAATTGACAAATGGGATCTAATTAAACTAAAGAGCTTCTGCACAGCAAAAGAAACCACCATCCGAGTGAACAGGCAACCTACAGAATGGGAGAAAATTTTTGTAATCTACTCATCTGACAAAAGGCTAATATCCAGAATCTACAAAGAACTTAAAAAAATTTACACGAAAAAAAAAAAGAAACAAAAGAAACAACCCCATCAAGTGGGCAAAGGATATGAACAGACACTTCTCAAAAGAAGACATTTATGCAGCCAACAGACACATGAAAAAATGCTCATCATCACTGGCCATCAGGGAAATGCAAATCAAAACCACTATGAGATACCATCTCACACCAGTTAGAATGGTGATCATTAAAAAGTCAGGAAACAACAGGTGCTGGACAGGATGTGGAGAAATAGGAACACTTTTACACTGTTGGTGGGACTGTAAACTAGTTCAACCATTGTGGAAGACAGTGTGGCAATTCCTCAGGGATCTTGAACTAGAAATACTATTTGGCCCAGGCATCCCATTACTGGGTATATACCCAAAGGATTATAAATCATGCTGCTATAAAGACACATGCACACGTATATTTCTTGCAGCTCTATTCAGAATAGCAAAGACTTGGAACCAATCCCAATGTAGATCCATGATAGACTGGATTAAGAAAATGTGGCACATATACACCATGGTATACCATGCAGCCATAAAAATGATGAGTTCATGTCCTTTGTAGGGACATGGATGAAGCTGGAAACCATCATTCTCAGCAAACTATCGCAGGGACAAAAAACCAAACACCACATGTTCTCACTCATAGGTGGGAATTGAACAATGAGAACACTTTGACACAGGACGGGGAACATCACACACCAGGGTCTGTCATGGGGTGGGGGAAGGAGGGAGGGATAGCATTAGGAGATATACTTAATGTAAATGATGAGTTAATGGGTGCAGCACACCAACATGGCACATGTATACATATGTGACAAACCTGTACATTGTGCACATGTTCCCTAGAACTTAAAGTACAATAAAAAATAAAAATAAAATGCTATGTGATTTGGAAAAGAAAACAAAAACAATAGCTGATGAGCTAAAAAAAATTGCAAAAAAAAGCAAACTCATTATGTTTTAAGAAAGTTTACAAATTTGACTTGGGCTGCATTCAAAACCATCTGGGGTCATATATGCCCTGCAGGCCATGGGTTTGACAAGCTTAGTCTAAGGCTGGGGAAAAAGCACATTTTCGAGAAAATAAAAGTCAGAATTTTTTTTATTTTGGGGACAAGGTTTCACTCTGTCACCTGGGCTGGAGTGCAGTGACACAATCACGGCTCACTACAGACTCGACCTCCCTGTACTCAGGTGATCCTCCTGCTTCAGCCTCCTAAGTGGCT
The DNA here is from genome assembly GCF_000001405.40 of Homo sapiens. Classification (NCBI taxonomy): domain Eukaryota; kingdom Metazoa; phylum Chordata; class Mammalia; order Primates; family Hominidae; genus Homo; species Homo sapiens. The sequence goes on from NC_000023.11 coordinate 64,885,039, forward strand.
GGGACTACAGGCTTGCACCATCAGGCCTGGCTAATTTTTGTATTTTTTGTAGTGATGAAGTCTCACTGTGTTGCCCAGGCTGGTCTTGAACTCCTGACCTCAGGCTATCTGCCCACCTCAGCCTCCCTAGGTGCTGGGATTGCAGGCATGAGCCACTGCACCCTGCTGAAAATCAGAAAATTTTGATCCACACTGGGGATGGGGAGTAACTGGTTAGAAACTGAGTGAACAACAAGGAGGACGGACTAGTCTAGACAGAAACTTAAGAGAGAGAGAGAGAGAGGCCATATGCAGTGGCTCATGACTGTGGTCCCAGCACTTTGGGAGGCTAAGGTGGGCGAATCACCTGAGCCCGGGATTTCGAGACTAGCCTGGGCGGCATAGGGAGACACTGTCTCTACAAAGACAAAAACAAACAAACAAACAAAAAATTAAAAATAGCCAAGTGTGGTGGGGCACCCCTGTGGTCCCAGCTGCTCAGGAGGCTGAGGCAGAAGGACTGCTTGAGCCTAGGAGATCGTGGTTACAGTGAGCTATGATCGTGTCACTGCACTCCAGCCTGGGTGACAGAACGAGACCCTGTTTCAAAGCAAAAGACAAAACAAAACAAAACCCAACCAACAAAACAAAACAAAAACAAAAAGAGGAGAGAGTCTTTATGATGGTGCTACAGAAGAGCCCTGCTATGAGGAAGGTAGGGCACATTTCAGGAGTCCCTTATGGTCTTCTTTAGATTTCTAAATTTTCTATTTTTATCTGGTCTTCCCATCTTCCATTCACTCGTCCTCAACCTGGGTTTAGAGGACTGGCCCTGCCTAGGAGTGTTTGTAAATGCCTAGGGGAGTTGTGGTTGTCACAACTGGGGCTCTACTGCCTTGTAAGGGGCAGGGCCAGGGATGCTAAGAAGCCTGAAGCTCTTGGTCTTGCAGGTGAAAAAATTGCCTGTCCCAAAGACCAAGATACCAGATTGAGGAACACCAGTCCCTGCACTACCTCACCTAGCCTCTAGGGGTGTTCTTCTCCCCTGCAGAGCTGGCCTGAGTTTGGCCTGACTCTGCCATCCCCTATCAGACTCAGCCTGATTTGGAATTTTCAAATGGAAATTTCTAAAGAAACTAAGAATACAGATGGGAAATTATCAAAGAAAGCAACAAACCATAAAAACAGAGGAGCATCAACAGATTTCTGAGGCTAAGGAAGCTCAAGTCTATTTAGCCTAATCATTTTTTTTTAACTCACAATTTTCCTGATTGAAACAATTTACTAGGTGCAGAGGCCTCATTTCTTTCCTTATGCTAAGGACACTACAGCCAGTCATAGCTCAGGCTGGCCCTGATGCTGGCCTGGTAGTATGTTTAAGCTTTCTAGAGGCCAGTCTCTGGATCTTTTTCTGGGTGTGACCCAGAAAGACCATGGGCTCAAGTCACTCCAGTCTCAAGCTGCTTTGGCCTTCTGGCCTCTCCTCAGTTTTTGACCCCTTGCACTGGCCCCACACATCAGGTCTTTCTGAGCAAGGTGTGGCCTTCTCTTTTGCATTTAGAGTAAGGGTCAAGTAATGCTAGAAGCTGTGATGGAGTTCTCATCAACGCTCATGGTTCCAGACAAGAACAGTTGCTTTTTCACTCACTTACAGCCTAAAACCAATGGTACCAATTGGTGGCAGGTCTCCTCCAAGTGGTAATTCTGAACTCTAGGCTCCTTTCATCTGGTGGCTTCTCCATCTTCATCGTGTGGGTTCTCCGCATGGAGCCTGCAGAAGAGGAGAGGGCATGGAGGATTGCCTGCACGTGGTTTTCATGAGCCAAGCCTAGAATTACCACACATGACTTGTGCTCATATTTTACTGGCAGGAATGGAGACACATGCCCCCACCCCTCAGCTGCAGGAGATGCTGGGAAATGTAACCTAGCTGTGTGTTCAGGAAGATGAAGAATTGGGTTTGATGACCAGTCAGCAGTACATACCTCCATCTCCCCAGAAATGGGCTTCTAGAAGTCCTATTTTCCTTTTTCTCTACAATTTTTTGGCAGGTCTAAAGCAATATACTGGTCATGAATAAGTGGCTGGGTCCTCAAAAAGTTAAACATAGGATTATCATATAATCCTACAATGCTACTCCTAGGCTTATACACAAAGGAAATTTAAAGCAGGTACTCAACCAAATACATGAACACACATGTTCATAGTAGCACTATTCACCCTAGCCAAATACTTATTGATGGAATGAATGGATAACCAAACTGTAGTACAGATATACAAAGGAATATTATTCAGCCATAGAAAAGAATTAAGTAGTGATACATACTACAATGTGGATGATTATGCTAAGTGAAAGAAGCCAGACAAAAAGTCACATGTTGCATGGTTCCATTTGTATGAAACGTCCGGAATAGTGAAACCCATACAGATGGAAAAAAGACTGGTGGTTGCCCAGAACTGCGGAGTAACTGCTTAATGGAGACTGTTTGGGGATGATGAAAATGTTTTAGAACTGGCTGAAGATGGTTTTTGCACAACGTTGTGAATGTACTAAATGCCACTGAATTGTTCACTGAAAATGGTTAATTTCATGTTATGTAAATTTTACCTCATTTAAAAAAATGTTTAAATGATTCTAAAAGAAAGAAAAAATGGATGGATTTTTTGCTTTGGTTTTGTTTTTAACGAAGCCTAGTTTTTACGCATTATTTGTTGTTAATTTTTCTGGTCTGCATCACATAAGATGTATCTTAGCAATTGAGCTGCTCCAGCAACTTAACTCCATCCTGTACGCTTTCTAAAGACATTGGAGAAGCAACTAATTTTTCCTTAACTCTACAGACTCTCTCGTTGCGTTTGGTTTCTGATAATATAAAATGCATTTCTGATACCTAGAAAAAAAAAGCATCTCATGTATCCTATAGATATGTACACCTACTATATACCCAAAGAAATTAAAAATTCAAAGAAAACCCAGCCTGGTATAATAACATGGGGTAAGAATTAAAAATGCGAATTGGCATTATTTTCCCTGTAACCTAGAAGGAAGGAAGATTATGGAGAATAAAAATATGGGTATAAAAAGACCAGGACCTGTACTCCCTCCAGTTCTAGAGGAGCGGTAGGACTTGTGCTCAAGATATGATGGTAGGGAAGTTGGGGCCAGCAAACACTGCTCTGTGCCTTTATACTCCAGACACTATCACAGCCTGGCCTAGCTAGTATCATCAGATTTTGAACTTCATAGCAAAAATTATTCTTGGAAATAACTAAGATCAGAGCAGCACATCAAGAAGCTTATCCACCAGGATCAAGTGGGCTTCATCCCTGGGATGCAAGGCTGGTTCAACATATGCAAAACAATAAATGTAATCCAGCATATAAACAGAACCAGCGACAAAAACCATATGATTATCTCAATAGATGCAGAAAAGGCCTTTGACAAAATTCAACAATGCTCCATGCTAAAAACTCTCAATAAGTTAGGTATTGATGGGATGTATCTCAAAATAATAAGAGCTATCTATGACAAATGCACAGCCAATATCATACTGAATGGGCAAAAACTGGAAGCATTAACTTTGAAAACTGGCACAAGACAGGGATGCCCTCTCTCACCACTCCTATTCGATGTAGTGCTGGAAGTTCTGGCCAGGGCAATCAGACAGGAGAAGGAAATAAAGGGTATTCAATTAGGAAAAGAGGAAGTCAAATTGTCCCTGTTTGCAGATGACATGATTGTATATCTAGAAAACCCCATCGTCTCAGCCCAAAATCTCCTTAAGCTGATAGGCAACTTCAGCAAAGTCTCAGGATACAAAACCAATGTGCAAAAATCACATGCATTCTTATACACCAATAAAAGACAAACAGAGAGCCAAATCATGAGTGAACTCCCATTCATAATTGCTTCAAAGAGAATAAAATACCCAGGAATCCAACTTACAAGGGAAGTGAAGGACCTCTTCAAGGAGAACTACAAACCACTGCTCAATGAAATAAAAGAGGATACAAACAAATGGAAGAACATTCCATGCTCATGGGTAGGAAGAATCAATATCATGAAAATGGCCATACTGCCCAAGGTAATTTGTAGGTTCAATGCCATCCCCATCAAACTACCAATGACTTTCTTCACAGAATTGGAAAAAACTACTTTAAAGTTCATATGCAACCAAAAAAGAGCCCACATTGCCAAGTCAATCCTAAGCCAAAAGAACAAAGCTGGACGCATCACACTACCTGATTTCAAACTATACTACAAGTCTACAGTAAACAAAACAGCATGATACTTGTACCAAAACAGAGATACAGACCAATGGAACAGAACAGAGCCCTCAGAAATAATGCTGCATATCTACAACTATCTGATCTTTGACAAACCTGACAAAAACAAACAATGGGGAAAGGATTCCCTGTTTAATAAATGGTGCTGGCAAAACTGACTAGCCATATGTAGAAAGCTGAAACTGGATCCCTTCCTTACACCTTATACAAAAATTAATTCAAGATGGATTAAAGACTTAAATGTCAGACCTAAAACCATAAAAACCCTAGAAGAAAACCTAGGCAATACCATTCAGGACATAGGCATGGGCAAGGACTTCATGTCTAAAACACAAAAGCAATGGCAACAAAAGCCAAAATTGACAAATGGGATCTAATTAAACTAAAGAGCTTCTGCACAGCAAAGGAAACCACCATCAGAGTGAACAGGCAACCTACAGAATGGGAGAAAATTTTTGCAATCTACTCATCTGACAAAGGGCTAATATCCAGAATCTACAATGAACTCAAACAAATTTACAAGAAAAAAACAAACTACCCCATCAAAAAGTGGGCGAAGGATATGAACAGACACTTCTCAAAAGAAGACATTTATGCAGCCAAAAGACACATGAAAAAATGCTCATCATCACTGGCCATCAGAGAAATGCAAATCAAAACCACAATGAGATACCATCTCACACCAGTTAGAATGGTGATCATTAAAATGTCAGGGAACAACATGTGCTGGAGAGGAAGTGGAGAAATAGGAACACTTTTACACTGTTGGTGGGGCTGTAAACTAGTTCAACCATTGTGGAAGTCAGTGTGGCGATTCCTCAGGGATCTTGAACTAGAAATACCATTTGACTCAGCCATCCCATTACTGGGTATATACCCAAAAGATTATAAATCATGCTGTTATAAAGACACATGCACACATATGTTTATTGTGGCACTATTCAGAATAGCAAAGACTTGGAACCAACCCAAATGTCCAACAATGATAGACTGGATTAAGAAAATGTGGCACATATATACTGTGGAATACTATGCAGCCATAAAAAGTGATGAGTTCATGTCCTTTGTAGGGACATGGATGAAGCTGGAAATCATCATTCTCAGCAAACTATCGCAAGGACAAAAAACCAAACACCGCATGTTCTCACTCATAGGTGGGAATTGAACAATGAGAACACATGGACACAGGAAGGGGAACATCACACACCGGGGCCTGTTGTGGGGTGGGGGGAGTGGGGAGGGATAGCATTAGGAGATATACCTAATGCTAAATGACGAGTTAATGGGTGCAGCACACCAACATGGCACATGTATACATATGTAACTAACCTGCACGTTGTGCACATGTACCCTAAAACTTAAAGTATAAAAAAATATTATTATTGGAGACAATCTGCTTTGGAGGTTGCCAAGGTGAGCTAGGCAGCAGAGTCACCTGAAGAGTTTTAAAAATTCAGATTCCTGGGCTTCACCTTGGAGCTATTGAGTCAGGATCTCCTGGAGGCAGAGCCTGAGCATCTATATATTTTTAAAAATCCAGATTAATTTTTAATAAACATTTTCAAGCATAAACACAAGTGGAAAAATAGTATGAAATTTTTTTATCTTCCCGTTACCCAGTTTCAACATTTATCTGCACATGGCCACTGCATTCCCCCTTCACTAATTCATCTTTTCATTAGTTTATTTTATAGCAAATCCCAAACATCATCTCATTTCATCCCCAAATATTTCAGTACATATTTGTAAAAGACAAGGATTCTTTTTTCCCCAACATTACCACAATATTATCACAGATTAAGAAGTTAACAGTAATTTCTTAATATCATCAAATATCCACTTAGTATTCAAATTTCTCTGATTTTCTTATATTTACAGTTGGTTTGTTTGAATTGGGATCCAATCCAAAATCCAGAGATAACATTTAGTTGATTTGTATGTTAACTCTCTTTTAACCTGTAAATTACTAGTGGTGGGCAGAGTAATTACCCTCTCTGCAAAGATTCCCACATTCTAATCTCTGAAAGCTTTGAATATGTCAGGTTACATGACAAAGAGAAATTAAGGTTGTAGACAGAATTAAGTTTCCTAATCAGCTGGTATTAAGGAGATTACCCTGGGTTATCTGAGTAGGCACAATGTCATCAAAAGACTTCTGAAAAGTGGAAAAAGGAAGCAGAAAAGAATGACATCCTGGAATGGTTACCCCAACACTGTCTCCTGCACCCTCTGGTTCAGAGTCCAGGATCATAGCTCTTATGAGAAAAGACACACACACACGGGCGTGCACACATACACACACACCCGTGTGCACACATACACACACACCCATATACACACATATAACTAATATAAATAGAGTTCATTATAGTTTACAAAAGCACTTTACCATCCACTAAGCCATTCAAGCCTCCCTGAAACCCTGGGAAGTGTGATAAATAAAGACTATTATCCTCATTTTACATACGAGCAACAGAGAGGCTCAAAGAGATAAATTCGCTTAACCCAAGTCACAAGGATGTCAGATCTGTCTGACCCCAGACATTTTGCGGTTTGATTTTCCACTCATGTATTTCCTATGCCCCTCATGTGCCCACATACAGGCCCAAGCCCACCCAAGTTCCTGAGCCAATCCCCAATCAGGGCAGTAACTCAGTCAGCAGCTTTTGCCCACCAAGAAATCAGACTTGAAATTAGTATGTATTGCCAATCAGAGTGCTGCCCAGGGCACTATGGAATAACAGCCACCATTTATTGAATGCCTGCCAAACATTTTTTCTAAGAACTTAGATGGATTTCTTACAACACTACCTTTTATAGCTTACAGAAGGAAATGAGGTTTAAAAGATTATTGACTTGCCCATTGTCACACAACCAATATGTGGAAGATCCAAGTTTCAAACTCAGATCAGCATAAATGCAAACTGTTCTTCACCTATACCTCCTATGCTGCCTTACCACATGTGATTCTAAGCACCACATGGCCTCAAAGTGACAACCCTCAGTCCTCTTCACTGAGGGAGCAGGAGAAAAGGTAACTAGCAGCTAACCGGGAAATGCTAGAGGTCCAAATGGGTTTGGGGACCATGAATGCTAAATGGGGCCAGGTAACATGGGGCTGGAAAGTGATTCCAGCAGCATTGACTGTCCAGGACAACAGCAGCAGTGATCTTTGACTTGGATTTCTCTGGGCAGCATAGAGGAAGGATGGGGACAAGGAGAACTGTTGGTATTGCCAAGTGAAATGTTGAAGCAATGGACCGGGGGTCCAAGCTGTGGAAAAATGTCAGGATGGAATGGATGGACCAGGAGAGGGTCCCAGGCCTGAGGCCTCTGTGAGGTCCAGGAGAAGGTGAGAAGGAGGGACTGTGGGAGAAAAGAGTAAGACTAGAAAATGTGACAGGGTTCTGTTGGGCAGAGAGGAGACATGAAATCATAAAATTTCAGTGGTAGAGCCCTTTTGGGTGTGGACAGATCTGGGTATTAGGGGTTGAAATGGAACAGAGATGAAGGTTTAACAGGCTTTTATTTGGAACGGAAGGAACCAATGCCTTCTCTTAAGAGATGGGTTTTGGCCAGTGAAGACCGTCCTGTCCCTGGGAGTGATTCAGTATCAGGCTTCTTAGATGGCATATGGTGCTGAATCTCTCCCAAAACAGGGTTGACCTGTCCTATAGTGCTGAACTCCTTTATGCCAAACTCTCTACCACAGTTAATTGGCATTTGAGTCCCTTACATGGCATGGAATGCAGCAACAATGGCCAGAGGCTTTGTTTGATCATGTTGTGGACAGGGCCATTTCTGGATGCCCCCAGAAAAGTGAGGAGCCAGTAGGTAGACATCTGTCTTTTTAGATGAATCAGGACATAAGTAGCGTCAAAAACTCGGAATAACATGGAATTCAGGAGGAGACCTCAGTTCTAGCCCTGCCTCGGTAATAGACTGATTTGTTACTTTGTGCTAGTTTCTTCTCCTGTCTGGAGATATATATATCATATATATATGATATATATATCATATATATGATATATATATCATATATATCATATATATCATATATATATCATATATATCATATATATCTCATATATATGATATATATATCATATATAGCATATATATCATATATATATCATATATATATCATATATATATCATATATATCATATATATCATATATATCATATATATCATATATAGCATATATATATCATATATATCATATATAGCATATATATATCATATATATGATATATATATCATATATAGTATATATATCATATATATGATATATATATCATATATAGCATATATATAGCATATATATAATATTTAATATATATAATAAGATATATATATGATATATATATATTCGAAATGGAGTCTCACTCTGTCACCCAGGCTGGAGTGCAGTGGTGCCATCTCGGCTCACTGCAACCTCCACCTCCCGGGTTGAAGTGATTCTTCTGCCTCAGCCTCCAGGGTAACTGGGACTACAGGCGTGCACCACCACGCCCAGCTAATTTTTGTATTTTTTTTTTAGTAGAGACAGGGTTTCACCATGTTGGCCAGGCTAGTTTTGAACTCCTAACCTCAGGTGATCCAGTCGCCTTGACCTCCCAAAGTGCTAGGATTACAGACGTGAGCCACCGTGCCTGGCCAAGCCATATTTTTAAAGTGAGTTGACACCCTACCAGAGTAGCATAGGCAGAAGGAAGGAAGACTTTTTTTTTTTTTGAGACAGATTCTTGCTGTGTTGCCTAGGCTAGAGTGCAGTGGCGTGATCTCGGCTCACTGCAAGCTCTGCCTCCCGGGTTCACGCCATTCTCCTGCCTCAGCCTCCCCAGTAGCTGGGACTACAGGCGCCCGCCACCACGCCCGGCTAATTTTTTGGGTTTTTTTTGTTTTGTTTTGTTTTTTGAGACGGAGTCTTGCTCTGTCGCCCATGCTGGAGTGCAGTGGCGCGATCTCGGCTCACTGCAAGCTCCACCTCCCGGGTTCACGCCATTCTCCTGCCTCAGCCTCCCGAGTAGCTGGGACTACAGGCGCCTGCCACCACGCCGGGCTAATTTTTTGTATTTTTAGTAGAGACGGGGTTTCACCGTGTTAGCCAGGATGGTCTCGATCTCCTGACCTCGTGATCCTCCCGCCTCGCCCTCTCACAGTGCTGGGATTACAGGCGTGAGCCACCGCGCTCTGCCGACATTTCTATCTTGGAAACGCATAGCAGCCATTTGTTTTTTTCGGGGAACTCCTGGGCTGGTTCTTCATTTTGCCCAGGTGTTACTAAATATCAACTGCTATTTCTTCCACCTTCTGAATGGAACCGAGATGCCTCCTGGTGGGCAGTGTAGTTACACGTACATGGTCAGGGTGCTGAAGAATGCCTGGAGTCAGAGTTGGGAGTAGGACCCAGAAACCAAGGATGGTGTTTCAGTGGCCTTAGAGATGGTGCGCTATGGAATTGAAGGCAGGACAAAGACCAGGACTACTGTGAGTTGGGGAAGAGAAAAAAGCAGGCATAACTGCTACTGCCCTGTGGGAGAGGTTCTGTAACAGGTGCACTCTATCACCAGCAGGAGGCAGCATCTGCCCAGATGGCAGAATGAGTGTGTCAGGGCCAGACCTCCAACTGTCCACAGCCCCTGAGCATGGATTAGAAATAATAGTTGACAGCTGTTCTTAACAGAAAAATAATAGACTCACAGCACAGCTGGGCACACAGGTGCAGTAAGGTGACCAAGCATCCCAGTTTGCCCAGGACTGAGGGGTTTCCCAAGATGTAGGACTTTACATTTTAAAACCAGGACAGTCCTGGGAAAACTGGGACAATTGGTCACCCTAAGTGGGAGTGCAGAGAGGCACTTTCTATGCCTCTCTCCATTACTCACATGCTCTCCCTGGTGCTCTTCAAATTCCTTGGAAGTAAGTGAGCGCTATGCTGATTATATGAAGTCAAATTATAAAGTGTATTGAACGCTGGAAAGTAAACCAAGGTTTTGGGGCAACGAAGTAACATTGCCAGATAGATATTATCTTTCCCCGATATTTCATCTTGAAGGTACTATGAAATATTATTAAATTACAATGAAATACAGAAAATTTTATAGTTAGCAGCCATATATTCCCACCTAGATCCTACAATTAGCATTTTGCTGGACTTATTTTTACCACATATCTATCCTTCTATTCATCCATCAATCCACCTAAATTTTGATGCATTTCAAAATAGTTGCACACATCATCAGTTCACTCCATCTTTAAATATGCTTATTAGTAAAATTGATATGTATATTAATGTATAGCATTAATATTGCTTACAGATTTTTTCTTTTGAGGTAAAATTTACATACAATTAAATATACAGAACTTAAGTGTATCTCTAAAAGAGCGATACACTTATGTAATCCTAACTCTATGAATATATAGAACTACCACTGTGCCGGAAAGAGTTAACTTAGTCGTCTCGACTGTTATCCTTCAAAAGAACTGTTCACAAGGTAGGCACTTGGCTGGCATCTGGGAAGTTGAATTTTAGGACAGTTCCCACCATTCTATGGTAAGGATGGCTCATTGTTTCTAACTCCATGCAAATAATATGGTTTATGCTTCACATCGGCTTTCCTTTGGGGAGTGTGGAATTTTGACACATGCTAGGCAGAGCCCTCAATTAAAAAAAAATCAGCACACTGAGTCTCCAGTGACCTTCCTGGTAGACAATATTTTACAGTGTTGTCACAGCTAATTGCTGGTGGAATTAAGTGCATCCTGTGTGATTCCACTAAGAAATGACTCTTGGAAGCCTATACCTGGTTTCCTCTGACTTTACCCCATCTCCCTTTTATTTGGCTGCTCTTGCTTTGTATCCTTTAACTGTAATAAATCATGAACATGGACTGGAATAAATCATGATGCTGAAACCTGTGAGTCCTCCTATAAAATCTTCTAACATGGAAGTGGTCTTGAGAACTTCCATCAAAACCACCATCCCAGAAACTTTCCTCATTCCCCTTCTGTAATAATCCTAACCCTCCATCCTTCAGAAACATTGTTCAATTTCTTTCCCTATAAATTCATTTTGCCTCTTCTAGAACTTCTTATAAATGGACTCATACAGGATTTACCCTTGTGTCTGACTTCTTTCAGTCAGCATAATGTTTTTTTTAAGATCCATGTGTTGTCCAATATATCAAGAATTTGCTTCTTTTCTTGCTAAATAGTACTCTATTATATAAATGTGTCATAGTTTGTTTATCTATTTTTTTAATTTCAATAGTTTTTGGGGAACACGATTTTGACTTTTGGTTACATGGATAAGTTCTTTAATGGTGATTTCTGAGATTTTGGTACACCCATCACCTGAGCAGTGTACACTGTACTCAGTGTGTAGTCTTTTATCCCTCACCCCAGTCCTGCCCTTCCACTCGAGTCCCCAAAGTCCATTATATCATTCTTATGCCTTTGCATCCTCATAAGTTAACTCCCACTTATAAGTGAAAACGTAAGATATTTGGTTTTCCATTCCTGAGTTACGTTACTTGGAATAATGGTCTCCAACTGCATCCAGGTTGCTGTGAATGCCATTATTTCATTCCTTCTTATGGCTGAGCAGCAGGCAAAAGAGAGAGTGTGCAGGGGAACACCCCTTTATGAAACCATTAGGTCTTGTTAGACTTACTATCACAAGAACAGCACGGAAAAGACCTACCCCCATGATTCAATTACCTACCACCGGGTCCCCCCAAAACATGTGGGAATTATGGGAGATACAATTCAAAATGAGATTTGGGTGGGGACACAGCCAAACTGTATCATTCTGTCCCCGACTTCAAATCTCACGCTCTCACATTTCAAAACCAATCATGCCTTCCCAACAGTCCCCCAAAGTCTTAACTCATTTCAGCATTAACTCAAACATGCATAGTCTAAAGTCTTATCTGAGACAAGGCAGGTGCCTTCTGCCTATGAGCCTGTAAAATCAAAAGCAAGTTAGTTACTTCCCAGATACAATGGAGACATTGAGTAAATACGCTCATTTCAAATGGGAGAAATTGGCCAAAATGAAGGGGCTACAGACCTCATGCAACTCTGAAATTCAGTGGGGTAGTCAAATCTTAAAGCTCCAAAATGACCTTTGAATCCAGGGCATCCAGGGCATGCTGATGCAAGAGGTGGGCTCCCATGGTCTTGTGCGTCTACACCCCTGTGGCATTGCAGAGTACAACCCCCCATCCTGGCTGCTTTTACGAGCTGGCGTTGCGTGTCTGTGACTTTTCCAGGCACACGGTGCAGGCTGTCGGTGAATCTACCACTCTGGGGTCTGAAGGACAGTGGCCCTCTTCTCACAGCTCCACTTGGTACTGCCCCAGAGGGGACCCTGTGTGGGGGCTCCCACCTCACATTTCCTTTCTGCACTGCCCTAGCAGAGGTTCTCCATGAGGGCCATGCCACTGCATCACACCTCTGCCTAGACATCCAGGCATTTCCACACATCCTCTGACATCTAGGCATAGGTTCCCAAACCTCAATTTTTGACTTTTGTGCACCTGCAGGTCCAACACCACATGTAAGCTGCCAAGGCTTGAGGCTTGCACCCTCTGAGCAATAGCCTGAGCTCTACATTTGTCCCTATTAGCCACAACTAGGACACAGAGCACCGCATCCTGAGACTACATGAAGGAGCAAGGCCCTGGTCCTGGCTCAGTAAACCATTTTTTCCTCTTAGGTCTCCAGGCCTTTGATGGGAGGGGTTGCTTTGAAGGTCTCTGACGTGCCCTGGAGACATTTTTCCCATTGTCCTGGTGATTAACTTTTGGCTCCTCCTTACTTATGCAAATTTCTGCAGCTGGCTTTCATTTCTCCCCAGAAAAATGAAGTTTCCTCTTCTATTGCATTGTCAGGTTGCAAGTTTCCCAAACTTTTATGCTGTGCTTCCTCTTGAATGCTCTGCCACTTAGAAATTTGTTCTGCCAGATATCCTAAATCATCTCTCTATTTCAAAGTTCCACAGATCTCTAGGGCTGGGGCAAAGTGCTGCCAGCCTCCTTGCATAGAAGAGTGACCTTTACTCCTGTTCCCAACAAGTTCCTCATCTCCATCTGAAACCACATCATCCTGGACTTTATTGTACATATCACTATCAGCATTGTGGTCAAAGCCATTCAACAAGTCTCCAGTAAGTTCCAAACTTTCCCACATCTTCCTATCTTCTTCTGAGCCCTTGAAACTGTTTCAATCTCTGCCTGTTACCTAGTTCCAAAGTTGCTTCTACATTTTCTGGTATGTTTACAGCAGCATCCCACTACCCAGTGCCAATTTACTGCATTTTTCTGTTCTCATGCTGCTAAGAAAGACGTACCTGAGACTGGTTAATTTATAAAGGAAAGAGGTTTAATTGACTCACAGTTCCACATGGCTGGGGAGGCCTCAAAATCATGGCAGAAGGTGAATGAGGAACAAAGATATGTCTTACATGGTGGTAGGCATGAGAGAGGGTGTGCAGGGGAACTCCCCTTTATAAAACCATCAGATCTCATGAGACTTATTCGCTATCATGAGAACAGCACAGGAAAGACCCATCCCCATGATTCAATTACCTCCTGCCAAGTCCCTATCGTGACATGTGGGAATCATGAGAGCTACAATTCCAGATGAGATATGGGTGGGGACACAGTCAAACCATATCAAATAGTGATGCTATTTTGATGGAAATTCCATTGACTCTGTAGATCGCTTTTGGCAGTATGGTCATTTTCACAATATTGATTCTACTCATCCATGAGCATGGGATGTGTTTCCATTTGTCTGTGTCATCTATGATTTCTTTTAGCAGTGTTTTGTAGTTTTTCTTGTAGAGATCTTTCACCTCCTTGGTTAGGTATATTTCTAAGTATTTTATTTTTTGCAACTGTTGTAAAAGGGATTGACTTCTTGATTTGTTTATCAGCTTGGTCACTGGGGCTGTACAGTAGTGCTATTGATTTTTGTACATTGGTTTTGTATCCTGAAACTTTACTGAATTCATTTATCAGGTCTAGGAGGTTTTTAGATGAGTCTTTAGGGTTTTTTAGGTATATGATCATATTATCAGTGAACAGTGACAATTTGACTTTCTCTTTGCTGATTTGGATGCCCTTTATTTATTTTCTTTTCTTTTTCTTTCTTTCTTTTCTTCTTTTTTTTTTTTTTTTTTTTTTTTTTGAGACAGAGTCTCACTATGTCACGCAGGCTGGAGTGCAGTGGTGTGATCTTAGCTCACTGCAGCCTCCATCTCCCAGGTTCAAGCGATTCTCCTACCTCAGCCTCCCAATTAGTTGGGATTACAGGCATGTGTCACCACACCCAGCTATTTTTTTTGTATTCTTAGTAAAGATGGAGTTTCTCCATGTTGGCCAGGCTGATCTCGAGCTCCTGACCTCAAATGATCCACCTGTCTTGGCCTCCCAAGGTGCTGGGATTGCAGTCATGAGCAACCATGCATGGCCTGGATGTCCTTTATTTCCTCCTCTTTGATTGCTTTGGCTAGGATCTCCAATACTATGTAAATAGAGGTGGTGAAAGTGGGGATTCTTGTCTTGTTCCAGTTCTCAGAGGGAATAATTTCAACTTTTCACCATTGAGTATAAAGTTGGCTGTGAGTTTGTCATAGACGGCTTTTATTACATTGAGGTATGTCCTTTCTATGCAAATATTGTTGAGGGTTTTCATAATAAAGGGATGCTGGATTTTGTCAAATGCTTTGTCTGCATCTATTGAAATAATCATATAATTTTTGTTGATAATTCTCTTTATGTGATGTATCACATTTATTGACTTGCATATGTTAAACCATCACTGCATCACTGGGATAAAACCCACTTGATCGTGGTATATTATCTTTTTGATATGCTGTTGAATTTGATTAGCTAGTATTTTGTTGAGGATTTTTAAATCTATGTTCATCAGGGATATAGCTGTGTAGTTTTCTTTTTTGGTTTAATTCTTTCCTAGTTTTGATATTAGGTTGATACTGGCTTCATAGAATGATTTACAGAGGATTCCTTCTTTCTCTATCTTTTGGAATACTGAAAGTATTCCAAAAAAAGTCCTGGGCTTTTTGTCATTGTTGTTTTTGGCAATTTTTTTAAACTACTGTTTTAATCTGGCTACTTCTTGTTGGTCTGTTCGGAGTTTCTATTTCTTCCTGATTTAATCTAGGAGGGCTGTATGTTTCCAGAAATATGTCCATCTCTTCTAGATTTTCTAGTTTGTGTATGTAAAGGTGTTCATAATAGACTTGAATGATCTTTTGTATCTCTGTGGTATTGGTTGTAATGTCTTCCATTTAATTTCTAATTGAGCTTACTTGGATCTTTTCTTTTCTTGGTTAATCTCACTGATGGTCTATCACGTTTGTTTATCTTCTCAAAAAACCAGCTTTCTGTTTTATTATCTTTTGTATTTTTTGTTTATTTGTTTCAATTTCATTGACTATGCTCTGATCTTTGTTATTTCTTTTCTTCTGCTGGGGTTTGGTTTGGTTTGTTCTTATTTCTCTGGTTCCTTGAGGTGTGACATTGGGCTGTCCATTAGTAATCTTCCAAACTTTTTGATCTAGGCATTTAATACTATGAACTTTCCTCTAAGCATCATTTTTGCTGAATCCCTGAGGTTTTGATCAATTGTGTCAGTTATTCTGCTCAAATAATTTTTTAATTTCCATTTTGATTTCATTGTACACTCAAAGCTCATTCAAGAGCAGATTATTTAATTTCCCCATGTATTTGTATAGTTTTGTGGGTTCCTTTTGTAGTTAATTTCCCGTTTTATTTCACTGTGATCAAAGAGGATACTTGATACTTGATATAATTTTCTTAAGTTTATTGAGACTTGTTTTGTGACCTATCATATGGTCTACCTTGGAGAATCTCCCATGTGCTGAAGAAAATACTGTATACTCTGCAGTTGTTGGATAAAATGCTCTGTAAATATCTGTTAAGTCCATTTGTTCTAGGGTATAGTTTAAGTCCATTTTTTCTTTGTTGACTTTGTGCATTGATAACCTGTCTAGTGCTGTCAGTGGAGTGAAGTCCCTGCCATTATATTGTTGCCATCTATCTCATTTCTTAGGTCTAATAGTAATTGTTTTATAAATTTGGGATATCCAGTGTTAGGTGCATATATATTTAGGATTGTGATATTTTCCTGTTGGACTAATCCTTTTATCATTTATTGTCCTTTTTTTTTTTTTTTTTTTTTTTTTTTTTTTTTTTTTTTTTTTTTTACTATTGTTGCATCAGAGTCTCCTTTGTCTGATATAAGAATAGCTACTCTTGCTCAGTTTTGGTTTCCATTTGGGTAGAATATCTTTTCCTTTCCCTTTACCTTAAGTTTATGAGTCCTTATGTGTTACGTGAGTCTCTTGAAGACAGCAGATACTTGGTTGGTGGATTTTTTTATCCATTCTGCCATTCTGTATTGTTGCCTTAATACTTTGGTTTATTTTGCATTGTGATATTGTTTTGTAGGTCCTGTGAGATTTATGCTTTAAGGAGGTTCTATTTTGGTGTATATCAAGATTTTGTTTCCACATTTAGGACTCCTTCTAGCATTTCTTGTAGTATTGGCTTAGTAATGGTGACTCTCTCAGCATTTCTTGGTCTGAAAAATACTTTATCTCTTCTTCATGTATGAAGCTTAATTTTGCTGAATACAAAATTTTTGACTGGCAATTATTTTGTTTCAGGAGGCTAAAAATGGGACCCCAATCTCTTCTGGTTTATAAGGTTTCTGCCAAGAAACCTGCTGTTAAACTGATAGGTTTTGCTTTATAGGTTATCTGATGCTTTTGTCTGACAGCTCTTAAGATTCTTACCTTTGTCTTGACTTCAGATAATCTGATGGCTATGCACCTAGGTGATGATCTTTCTGCAATGAATTTCCCAGGAGTTATTTCAGTTTCTTGTATTTGATGTCTAGGTCTCTAGCAAGGCCAAATAAGTTTCCTCAATTATTCCCTCAAATAAGTTTTCAAAACTTTTAGATTTCTCTTCTTCTTCAGGAACATCAATTATTCTTAGGTTTGGCCACTTTACATAATCCCAAATTTCTTGGATACTTTATTCATTTTTTTACTTCTCTTTGTCTGTTTGGGTTCAAATAGCCTTGTCTTTGAGCTCTGTCTTTCTTCTACTTGTTCTACTTGTTCTAGTCTATTGTTGAAACTTTCACTGCATTTTTTATTTCTCTATGTATGTCTTTCATTTCCAGACACTCTGATTGTTTTTTCTTTATGATATATATTTATCTGGAAAATTTTTCATCCAGATCCTGTTTTTTTTTTAAATTTCTTTAACTTTTTTCACCTTTCTCTGGTATCTCCTTGAATAGTTTAATAATCAACCTTCTGAATTCTTTATCTGGCAATTTAGAGACTTATTTTTACTTTGGATCCATTGCTGGGGAGCTTGTGTGATCATTTGGGAGTGTTATAGAACCCTGTTTTGTCATATTAAGAGAATTACTTTTCTGGGTTCCTTCTCATTTGGGTAGACTATTTCAGTGGAGAGGTCTGAAACTCAAGGTCATCTTAGATTCTCTTGTCTATCAGGTGATCCCTTGATGTGGTGCTCTCCCCCTTCCCCTAGAGATGATCCTTCCTGAGAACCAGACTGCAGCGAACATTATTGCTCTTCTGGGTCTACCCACCCAGTGGGGCTGCCAGGCTCCAGGCTGGTGCTGGGGAATGTCTGCAAAGAGTCCTGTGATGTTACCCATCTTCAGGTCTCCCAGCCATGGATATCAGCACCTGCACTAGTAGAGCTGGCAGGGAATTGAAGTTAGACTCTGTAAGAGTCCTTGGTTGTAGATATGTTTATTGTACTGGCTATCTCCAATGCTGGTTATGCCAGCAGTACAGTTGTCCTCTGGACACACTCAGGACCTCTGGTTAGCCAGGACGTTGCAGGAAGTAGAATTAGGTATTATCTTATCCTTCCTGGGATCAGGGTTATTCTGTCATGAGTTGCTGTAATGATCTGAGTTGGTTGGCTTCCAGCCAGGCAATGGCACTTTCAAGAGACCACCAGAGTTTCTATCCGTTGTGTTTGGCTATCAGGGCGGGCCGAGAAATACCATCAAGTGGGGACAGGGTTAGGTGGGTTTGGGTTCAGACTCTCCTTGGGCAGGGCTTGCCATGGCCACTGTGGGGGATATGGGAGGTGGTTCTCGGGCTCAATGGGGTTATGTTCCAGAGGAGATCTTGGCTGCCTCTGCTGTTTCATATAGTGTGCCAGGGAAGTGGGAAATAGACAGTAGCAAGAGGCTTCATCCAGCTCCCATGCAGTTGGCAAGGCTGGTCTCACTCCCTCAGTGCCCTGCTCAGACCTTGCTCCAGGCCGTAAAGTTCCCTGCTGGGAAAGCAAGCCTGGCTTTTGGACCTAGCCCCTCCATATCTCCCCCCTCTGCCAGCACAGGCTCCAGGCCTGGATTTCCCTCCCCTATACTGGCCAATATAACCAACTTCTATGTGGGGTGATTTCTAGGGAGAAAAACTCTAGCTCCTAGCAACTGATTATATTGTGGAAGTCACAGTTCCCAATTAGCAAAGTACCTCTTTATAACTACTCATTTGACCCCAGGGAAAAAAACAGCATCACTCAGGGGCTGGGATTCAGGTCTAGATTCCTGAAGCATTGACAAGCCTGCACCAAACCTCCAAATGCTACAGTCCAGAAATGCTCTAGTCATTAATTTTATCTTCATCCCTTGCTAAACATGAGGAGGAAGACTCTGGGCCTCAGGTTCTGAATTAAACCTTCTCCCTCATTGTGGCAATCATTTTTTGTTCTCTTCATTCCCCCAGGAGCCCTTTTTCTCCCTTCTGAATTTTGGCTAAATCTTTTCCTCTCACACAATCCCTAATGCATTGTCTTAGTTAAGACACTTTTGCCTTTACTATTGCAGTAGCCTCCTAGATGATCTCTCTGCCTTTGTCTCTCCCTCACATCCACCTTCCATGTTGCTATGTAAAACTATTCTGAAGAAAAGGCCAAACTGTTTCGCCCAGCATGAGAACTGTATGTTTCTCTGCATCTCAGCCTTTGGGTTTTGTTTCTCCCTTAGCTTAGAAAACCCTTTCTTCTTTGGTTCCACCTGTCCAAATTTTCCCCAGCTTTCACAGTGCTTTCTGCATGGATTTATCTTTAATTTCCCAGCCTTTCTGCAAAAGCTGAAAACAAGCTCTCCATGTGAAGAGTTCTGTGCCATTCTCTTGGGAAATCATGGGCTTATTTCCTACCTAGTAGTAAAGTGGTTAACAACAAAAACTCTGAGGTTGAACAGACTCAAATTTAAATACTAATTCTACCACTTATTAGCTGTTGTATTAGGCAAATTAATTAAGCAATTGAGCCTCACTTTTCTTAATAATTAAAATGGGGAGGACAACACAAAAAATTTCTGCCTCCATAAAGCTTTTGTGAAGATTCCATGAGAAAATGCAGGTAAAATATTAAGCATTATTTTTGGCGCACAGCAAGTGCTCAATAAATGCCCATTGTCATTATTCTCCTATTTGTCTAGAGCTCAGGTGGGAAATCTGCATACAGATATGCAGGTGATTGTTGTAGAGGGGCTGTTGAAATCAGGAGGTGGATGATATCTCTCAAAGAATTTGTTGTAACACGCAAAAAGAAGAAAGCTGAGGTTGACACCTCAAGGTAGATCAGCTTCCAGAAAGCAGTCAGAGGTACAAGAGTCTACAAAGAAGAACACAAAAGATTGGCCATGGTAGGAGAAAGAACCTATACAGAGCATTACAAGAAGCCAGGGAGTGTCATCAGTGCAAGAAGAGTTAATCATACAGTAGGCAAAGAAAGGTCAAGTAGGATCAACTCAAGTCCATTGACTTTCACAATGTGAAAGTGATTTGAGATTTCTCAGAGCTTCTTCATGGATTGGAAAACAGAGGTAAACTATAGTGATGGAGATGTGTATAAAGAAGTGGAGACAGTTGGCACAGACTATCTAGAAGTCTATGTAGAAGTTTGTATAAAATACAGAAGGAGAGAGGGTGGGATATGAGAAACATAAAGTCTTATGAGGGGTGTCTCTTTTTCTTTCCTTCCGTTATTTATTTCTTTCCTTTTTTTTCTAAAAGATGAGCACTAATTGAGCTTGTTCATAATCCAGGGTAAAGGTTGGGATTGGGGGAAAGAGGATGGATATGTCATGGAATTAGTAGGGCTTGCATGAGCAGTAAAAGGTGGGTCCACAAAAAGATGGAGGGATTGGCTTTGGCTGGTCCAGAGATGAGAGGGAAGAGTATGTATGGATACAGGAAAATGTGTCTCATATGTCTTTGACTCTCCAAAACTTAGCAATGCAGGGAGTGATATGCACTTGACATGCAGTAGTCCTCTAGGAAATGGCAGAGTGACAAAGTACTAAAGAAAGTTGTGGAGAGACAAGCTGCCAGAATAGGAATTCTTATTTATCACAAGAATTTCCCAATGCACAGATGATAAAACCTGATATTGGGGCTGAGGAATGAGGGACATAAGGGGGCAAAAAGCCAGAGGGTGAAGAGAGTTGTGTGTATAGTATGCTTGTATGTACACGTATCAGAATTAGCAATGCATTGGAATGCCATTTACTATAACCTGGAAAACAGTAATTAAGTTGAATTAGGGTTAGTCCTGCTTTCCTTAAAGTCATCTCTTTCTTGTCATTGCTTAGTACCAAGGCGGCTGGAAGTAAGTCTGGGATTGGACAATTAATGGCGCCCCTTCCTACTGCCCTCTGTCTATTGTCTTCTACAATTGCAGTCTAATTTAGGTGAAATCTGCCTGGCAGTGTCCTAGGGGAAGCAGTGGTTGGATGACCTGTGCCAGTTCTCATTTTCCTATCTCCAGCTTCAATTAGAGACCCAAATTGAGAGACAGATGAGAAACTATTTTTTTTAGGAATAAAGGAGCTTCTCTGTAATATGCTCCTGAAAGGCTGTGTTCTCAGTCTCAGAATCTCAGTACCTACTGGTAGAGGAGAGTGGTCTAGGCAGTTGGGGATACAGAATCCGTTCTCTGGGAGCTCAGGTTTAGTGGAGGATGAAGGCAGACAAGCAGGGGAATCACTAATATATGTGCCTGTCAAGAGGGCAAATGCTAGCTTGAACACTGGGTAGGGAGAATTAACCACCAGTGGCTTCTTATTGTAGTGTGTGACTTTGTCTCATCAATTTCCCTCCTATCCTCATTGACTCTGAGCCAAGACAAGATTCCAGCCTTCAAACTCCAAGTCTAGAGGAAGGGAATGAAATGTTTTTGAGGACCTAATTTGTATCAGGTACTCTTCCAGGCACTTTTGGGATACAGTAGGATCAGACACACCCAAATATAAAGACATTTGACCTCTCCTAACCTCAATATTTTTGTGTCTAAGTTGATGACACTGAGTGTTGGTAGGAATATTTGATTTGTTTAGTTATTTATCAAACACTCAAATAATGCTTTTTATGTTCACTTTATAAATATTAACTCATTTATTCTCCATAACAATCCAATAAGGTAGATTCTACTATTATCTCCATTTTACAGATTGGGGTACTGAGATTTCAGGAAGTTAGTGAGTTCACCAAAGGTCACATAGTTAGCAAATGGAATTTGCTGAGATTTGAATCCAGACTATCCGGCTTTAGTATCCATGCTCTTAGCGATTATACTATGCTGCACCCCATATATAATTAAGTATGTGAAAGCACTTAGGACAAAATCCGCCACATTATGGGTATCCATTGAATGATGATTCTCTCCATCACTCTTAAAAATTTCACTGCAACCCCACACAGTAGGTATTATCTAAATTTTACCAATGAGAAAAATGGGAGATCAGAGAAGTTTAATAACCTGCTCAAGAATGCACTGCTACTAAATAGAAGATGTGGGATTTGAACACAGAAACAATTGGCTCCTGAGTCAGTGTCATTTCCCTGTACTGTGCAATATGGAAATCACTGAAGTGCATGAGATCCTAGACTACTGATGGGGAGTACTTGTTTAAGGATGGACTTCCCTTCCCAGCCACAAGCAGAACAGAATGTAGTAAAAAAGGGGAATTTTACTTAGTTTTCAGGAAGGGTCTGCGTCCTTTACAACCATTACACAGGTTAAATGGCTGGTGGCAGGTGAGCCTCAGAGTCTTCTCAATCTTCAGGAAAGTCACCATGACTCCTAGCTGTCTGCTTGCCCATTATGGGAGACCCTATACAAGGACAACCCCTCACTTATTGAACCCTCCGATTTTGCACATTTGGAATTCTGAGTAAGTCATCATCATCATCATCATCATCATCCTTGGCTTCTCAGGAAGCTAATCATCATTACTAACATCTTCCTCACAACTACTACTAATTGAATACTTTTCAGGTACTCTTCTAGGCGCTTAACAAGTATTAGCTCACTGAATCTTCATGACAAAGCTATAAGAAAAGGACTATTTGAGGCCCGGAGAGGTTAAGTAACCAGCCTAACAATATATGGACTTGAATTAATAGCCTTCCCCATGTTCGGCTTGGGAGATGTTGATCATTGTAAAGATACTGATAGTTGCTTTGGGAAAGCTGAGAGCATAATGATAACAGGAAACTGGACAGCAGGACTGTTAAAATCACCTGACCTTTCCCTGTGGAGTGAGGTCCTACCTTTAGTGTAAGAGTCAGCCAGCAAAGCCACTGTAGCCAGACTGCCTCTCTAAATTCCTCCTCTCTGGGCAGGGCATCTCTAGAAAAAAAGCAGCAGCCCCAGTCAGGGGCTTATAGATAAAACCCCCATCTCCCTGGGACAGAGCACCTGGGGGAAGGGGCAGCTGTGGGCGCAGGCTTCAGCAGATTTAAACGTTCCTGCCTGCTGGCTCTGAAGAAAGCAGTGGTTTCCCCGGAACAGTGCTTGAGCTCTGCTAAGGGACAGACTCCCTCCTCAAGTGAGTCCCTGACTCCTGTGCCTCCTGACAGAGAGACACCTCCCAGCAGGGGTCGACAGACACCTCATACAGGAGAGCTCCAGCTGGCATGTGGCAGGTGCGCCTCTGGGACAAAGCTTCCAGAAAAAGGAACAGACAGCAATCCTTCCTGTTCAGCAGTGTATGCTGGTGATACCCAGGCAAACAGGGTCTGGAGTGGACCTCCAGAAAACTCCAACAGACCTGAACAGAAAGGCATGACTCTTTGAAGAAAAACTAACAAACAAACAACAAAAAAAAGAGCATCAACATCAACAAAAAGGAGGTCCACACAGAAACCCCATGCGAAGGTCACCCATATCAAAGTCCAAAGGTAGATAAATCCACGAAGATGGGGAAAACCCAGTGCAAAAAGCTGAAAATTTCAAAAACCAGAACACCTCTTCTCCTCCAAAGGATCACAACTCCTTGCAAGCAAGGGAACAAAACTGGATAAAGAATGAGTTGATGAATTGACAGAAATAGGCTTCAGAAGGCGGGTAATAACAACGTCCTCTGAGATAAAGGAGCATGTTCTAACCAATGCAAGGAAGCTAAGAACCTTGAAAAAAAATTAGAGGATTTGCTAACTAGAATAACCAGTTTAGAGAAGAACATAAATGACCTGATGGAGCTGAAAAACACAGCACAAGAACTTCATGAAGCATACAGAAATATCAATAGATGAATTGATCAAGTGGAAGAAAGGATATCAGAGAGTGAAGATCAGCTTAATGAAATAAAGCATGAAGACAAGATTAGCGAAAAAAGAATGAAGAGGAATGAACAAAGCCTCCAAGAATTACGGGACTATGGAAAAAGACCAAACCTACGTGTGATTGGCCTACCTGAAAATGACGGGAGAATGGAACCAGGTTGGAAAACACTCTTCAGGATATTATCCAGGAGAACTTCCCCATGCTAGCAAGACAGGCCAACATTCAAATTCAGGAAATACAGAGGACAATTCAAAGATATTCCTCAAGAAGAGCAACCCCAAGACATACAATAGTCAGATTCACCAAGGTTGCATGAAGAAAAAATGTTAAGGGCAGCCAGAGAGAAAGGTTGGGTTAACCACAAAGGGAAACCCATCAGACTAACAGTGGACCTCTCTGCAGAAACCCTACAAGCCAGAAGAGAGTGGGAGCCAATATTCAACAACCTTAAAGAAAAGAATTTTCCACCCTGAATTTCATATCCAGCGAAACTAAGCTTCATAAGCAAAGGAAAAATAAAATCCTTTACAGACAAGCAAATGCTGAGAGATTTTGTCACTACCAGGCCTGCCTTAAAAGAGATCCTGAAGGAGCACTAAACATGGAAAGGAACAACTAGTACCAGCCACTGCAAAAAGATACCAAATTGTAAAGACCATCGACACTATGAAGAAAGAGCATCACTAACGGGCAATACCAGCTAGCAACTTAATGACAGAATCAAATTCACACATAACAATATAAACCTTAAATGTAAATGAGCTAAATGCCCCAATTAAAAGACACAGACAGGCAAATTTGATAAAGAGACATGACCCATTGCTGTGCTGTATTCACCAGACCCATCTCACATGCAAAGACACACATAGGCCAAAATAAAGGGATGGACAAATATTTACCAACCAAAGGGAGAGCAAAAAATAAATAAATAAATAAAGCAGGGGTTGAAATCCTAGTCTCTGTTAAAACAGACTTGAAACCAACAAAGACCAAAAGAGACAAAGAAGGGCATTACATAATGGTAAAGGGATCAATGCAACAAGAAGAGCTAACTATTCTAAATATAATATGTGCACCCAATAGAGGAGCACCTAGATTCATAAAGCAAGTTCTTAGAGACCTGCAATAAAACAGACTCCCACACAATAATAGTGGGAGACTTTAACACCCCACTGTCAATGAGACAGATCAAAAAAACAGAGAATTAACAAGGATATTCAGGACTTGTACTCAGCTCTGGACAAAGCGAACCTAATAGACATCTACAGAACTCTCCACCCCAAATCAACAGAATATACATTCTTCTCAACACCTCATCACACTTATTCTAAAATTGACCACATAGTTTGAAGTAGAACACTCCTCAGCAAATGCAAAAGAATGGAAATCATAAGAAACAGTATTTCAGACCACAGTGCAATCAAATTGGAACTCAGAATTAAGCAACTCACTCAAAACCACACAACAACGTGGAAACTGAACAACCTGCTCCTGAATGACTACTGGGTAAATAACTAAATTAAGGCAGAAATAAATAAGTTCTTTGAAACCAATGAGAACAAACACACAAAGTACCAGAATCTCTGGGATACAGCTAAAGCATTGTTTAGAGGGAAATTTATAGCACTAAGTGCTTACAAGACAAAGGAGGAAAGATCTAAAATTGATACCCTAACATCACAAATAAAAGAACTAGAGAAGCAAAAGGAAACAAATTCAAAAGCTAGCAGAAGACACGAGCTAACTAAGATCAGAGCAGAAATGAAGAAGACAGAGACACGAAAAACCCTTCAAAAAATCAAAGAAGACAGGAGTTGGTTTTTTGAAAACATCAACAAAATATATAGATGATGAGCCAGACTAATGAAGAAGAAAAGAGAGAAGAATCAAATAGACACAATAGAAAATGATAAAGGGGATATCACCACTGATACCACAGAAATACAAACCACCATCGGACAATACTATAAACACTTCTACACAAATAAACTAGAAAATCTAGAAGAAATGGATAAATTCCTCAACACATACACCATCCCAGCTCTAAACCAACAAGAAGTAGAATCCCTGAATATACCAAAAATAAGATCTGAAATAGAGGCAGTAATTAATAGTCTAGCAAGCAAAAAAAGTCCAGGACCAGAGGGATTCACAGCTGAATTGTACAAGAGGTACAAAGAGAAGCGGGTACCAATACTTCTGAAACTATTCCAAACAATAGAAAAAGAGGGACTCCTCCCTAACTCATTTTATGAGGCCAGAATCATCCTGATACCAAAACTTGGCAGAGACACACACAAAAAAGAAAATTTCAGCCCAATATCCCTGAGGAACATCGATGCCAAAATCCTCAATAAAATACTGTCAAACCGAATCCAGCAGCACATCAAGAAGCTTATCCAACACCATCAAGTCAGCTTCGTAACTGGGATCCAAGACTGGTTTAACATATCCAAATCAATAAACGTAATCAATCACATAAACAGAACCAATGACAAAAACCACAGGATTATCTCAATAGATGCAGAAAAGGCATTTGATAAAATTCAACACCCCTTCATGCTAAAAACTCTCAGTAAACTAGGTATTGATGGAACGTATCTCAAAATAATAAGAGCAATTTATGACAAACCCACAGCCAATATCGTACTGAATGGGTAAAAACTGAAAGCATTCCTTTTGAAAACTGGCACAAGGCAAGGATGCCCTCTCTCACCAATCTTATTCAACATAATATTGGAAGTCCTGCCCAGGGCATTCAGGCAAGAGAAAGAAATAAAGGGTATTCAAATAGGAAGAGAGGAATTCAAATTGTCTCTGTTTGAAGATGACATGATTGTATATTTAGAAAACTGCATCGCTTCAGCGCAAAATCTCCTTAAGCTGATAAGAAACTTCAGCAAAATCTCAGGATACAAAATCAATGTGCAAAAATCAGAAGCATCCCTATGCATCAAAAATAGACACACAGAGAGCCAAATCATGAATGAACTCCCATTCACAATTGCTACAAAGAGAATAAAGTACCTAGGAATACAACTTACAAGGGATATGAAGAACCTCTTCAAGGAGTACTACAAACCACTGCTAAAGGAAATAAGAGAAGACACAAACAAATGGAAAAACATTCCATGCTCATGGATAGGAAGAATCAATATTGTGAAAATGGCCATACTGTCCAAAGTAATTCATAGATTCAATGCTATCCCCATCAAGCTAACATTAACTTAGTTCACAGAATTAGAAAAAAACTACTTTAAATTTTGTATGGAACCAAAAAAGAGCCTGCATAGCCAAGACAATCCCAAAGAAAAAGAACAAAGCTGGAGGCATCATGCTACCTGACTTCAAACTATACTACAAGGCTACAGTAATCAAAGCAGCATGGTACTGTTACTAAAACAGATATATAGACCAATGCAACAGAACAGAGGCCTCAGAAATAGCACCACACATCTACAACAATCTGATCTTTCAGAAACCTGATAAAAAGAAGTAATGGGGAATTTAATAATTGTTGTTGGAAAAACTGGCTAGCCATATGTAGAAAGCTGAAACTGGATCCCTTCCTTACACCTTATACAAAAATTAACCCAAGATGGATTAAAGACTTAAATGGAAGACCTAAAACCATAAAAACCATAGAAGAAAACCTAGGCATACCATTCAGGACATAAGCATGGACAAAGACTGCATGACTAAAAGACCAAAAGCAATGGCAAAAAAAAAAAAAAAAAAAAAACAAAATAAAATTGACAAATGGGATCTAATTAAACTAAGGAGCTTTGGCACAGCAAAATAAACTATCATCAGAGTAAACAGTCAACCTACAGAATGGGAGAATATTTTTGCAATCTATCCATCTCACAAAGGGCTAATATCCAGAATTTACAAAGAAGTTAAATAAATTTACAAGAAAAAAACAACCCCATTAAAAAGTGGGCAAAGGATATGAACAGACATTTCTCAAAAGAAGACATTTATGCAGTCAACAAACATATGAAGAAGAGCTCATCATCACTGGTCATTAGAGAAATGCAAATCAAAACCACAATGAGATGCTATCTCGTGCCAGTTAGAATGGTGATCATTAACAAAATCAGGAAACAACAGATGCTGGAGAGGATGTGGAGAGACAGGAATGCTTTTACCCTGTTGGTGGGAGTGTAAATTAGTTCAACCACTGTGGAAGACAGTGTAGCGATTCCTCAAGGATCTACAACTAGAAATACCTTTTGACCCAGCAATCCCATGACTGGGTATATACCCAAAGGATTATAAATTATTCTACTATAAAGACACACTCACACATATGTTTATTGCAATACTCTTCACAATAGCAAGACTTTGAACCAACCCAAATGCCCATCAATGATAGACTGGATAAAGAAAATGTGGCATATATACACCATGGAATACTCTGCAGCCATAAAAAAGGATGAGTTCATGTCCTTTGCAGGGACACAGATGAAGCTGGAAACCATCATTCTCAGCAAACTAACGGAAGAACAGAAAACCAAACACCACTTGTTCTCACTCATAAGTGGGAGCTGAACAATGAGAACACATGGACACAGAGAGGAAAACATCACAAACCAGGGCCTGTCAGGGGGTGGGGGGCTAGGGGAGCTATAGCATTAGGAGAAATACCTAATGTAGATCATGGGTTGATGGGTCCAGCAAGCCACCATGGCATGTGTATTCCTATGTAACAAACCTGCATGTTCTGCACATGTGCCCCAGAACTTAAAGTATATATATATAAATAAATAAAGGCAGCCAACTCTGGCACAAAACATGCATACAATTAATCCCTGCTGTGTGCAGCATATAGAGAATGCTACAGCCTAAGTGATTCCCAGATTGGAAGGCCTAGGTTCTAGTTATGGCTTTGCTCATAACTTGCTATGTAATCTTTATTGGGCAAGTTGGTTCCCTTATCCTCATCTGTAAAATGTGTATGTTAATAATACATTCTTTACCAACAGAACAAGGTGAGCATGAAATGGAAATGTTGAAGAAAGTGCTTTCAATGTAAAGCAAATATAAAGGATACCTTGTCTTACTTCTGTTACTCTTCTTACTCACCCTCCTCTTCCTTCTTCTCTCTCTCTCTCCCAAGCCCCTTGTCTTCTTTTTCACTATATTTTTGATCCTTTTCTTCCTTTCTTTATTCTCCATTAACCAGTCTTGGGTTCACCTGCAGCACTGCACTTAGGCAAAGGAAACACAGATTTTCGAGGTTGACAGACTTGAGTCTGACCTGGCTTTGCCCCTTCCTACTTGTTTGTTAAGCAACAACTTTACCTTTTTTGAGCCACAGTTATATCACCTGTAAAAAGGGATGCATATTACATTGGTACCAAAGTAAATGTGGTGTCTACCATTGAAAGTAGTGGCAAAAACCACAACTTTTGCATCAATCTAATAACACCTTCCTTAAAATACTGTTGTCAGAAAATGTGGTAGATTGTCTGTAAATATGGCTGGCAACAATTCCTCCCATCTCTGACATGCATGCAGCTCCTCCCCTCAAGACATGGAGTATATATATTTCCCTTACCCTTTAAACCTGAGCTGGCCCTGTGACTCACTTTGACCAATAGAGTGCAGAGGCAGTATTGCTATGTGACTTCTGGTTTTATGCCACAAAAGGCCTTGCTGTTTATGTGTGTTATATGTGTCCATTTTTACAGATGATAAAACTGAGGCTCAAAAAGGTAAAGTAATTGCCCAGCAAGTAGGAAGGGGCAAAGCCAGCTCAGACTCAAGTCTGTCTACCTCAAAAGTCTGTGTTTCTTTTGCCTAAGTGCAGTGGAGCAGGTGAACCCAAGACTTGCTCAAGGGAGAATAAAGAATTAAGAGAAGGAACAAAAATATAATGAAAAAAATAATACAAGGGGGTTAGGAGAGACACAGAAGAAGGAAGAGAAGGGTAAGTCAGTCTGCTTTGGTTTTCACTCTCTTGGATGCCACTTGCCAGGTAAAAAAGTCTGATTATTGAAGTGAAATGCCAAATGGAGAAAGGCCCTGGAGGATAAAAGACTACAAAGGCTGGAGTTGGTATTAAGACATCCAGCCCACTCCTGTTCCAGCCACCTCAGGTGAGGTGCCAGATGAGAGTGCAGCCATCTTGGATCTTACAGCCTTAGCCAAGCTGTCTGAGGCAAAACCACATAGAACAGAAATTAGCCATTCCCAGCAAGTTCTGCTCAAACTGCAGAGTCATGAGCAAATAAATGATGGTTGTTTTAAGCCATTAAGTGTTTGTGTGGTTTGTTTCACGGCAATAGATAAATGAACCAGAAAGACTACATGAGATAGTAGTGACCCACCAAGTGGCTGGCAGGTGTAGGTGCTCAACACATGATTACTCTCTTCCCCTTCAAAAGCATCCCTAGGAAATGGCTTTCCTGGCTGTTGGTGCTCAGAGTTCAAAACCTGTTACCATCACTACAACATAATTGACAGACCTGACCTCCATTGTGCCAAGGATGCAGAGCTATGGCCATGCCTCCTGTACTTTACAGGGACTCACTAAGGCCTATACAGGTTAAGGTGTACTCCAAGTTGCACAGATGACTGTCCTCCCTTTGCCCAGAGTGAGCCTGAGCCACTTCAAAAGCACGTCTGTAGCTATACAAAACCTGGGGTGATATCAGGGAAGATGAGTAGTATAATTTTTGACTAGTGTTCCAATCTACCTAAACCCAGAGGCACAGTGAATAAAAGGATGTTAATACTTATGAGTGCTTACTATGTGCCTCACATTGTTCACAATCCCATGAAATAAGTGCTAATATTTTCCCCATTTTCCAGATGAGGACACTGAGGCACAGAGAGGTTTTATTTAGCTGTTGAATTCCCTGACAAGCACAGAGACAGATTAGTGTACAGGATATTATTTAGAGAGCCCTTGGCCTTTATATCCCTGAATCAGTCATTTGACACCCAGTTCTTGATTTCAGTTCCAAAGTTATTTCAACCACTCTCATCATCAAGCCATTCTGAAAGGGAGAAAGGTTTTCTTAAAAATGATCATGGAGAAGAAGTAGAAAAAAATGAGCTCTGGAGTTGGACAAAGCTGGCTCCAAATCCTGCAATTTCCTCTTACTAGCTGTTTAACTCTGAAAAAGCTTTTAAGTTTTTGGAGGTTCAGTATCCCTTTTTTTTTAAAATGGTGATAAGAATACTTAGCTTGTAAGGTATTTTGGAAGTCAAATACAATCATTTATATTAAGCAACTTGCATAGGTACCTGGCACAGAGTAGGTGCTAAATAAATGGAAATTATTGTGATAATTAGGTAAATTATTGTCCTTGGTGCCTGGCTTTCTCATTTGTAAGGTGGAATGAATAAGAGCAAACAAGAGCTACCCAGAAAGGTAAATGACATTACATCTTTTGTATTATCCAATACACAGTAGATACTCAGAATTTACTCCAATGAATGCATGTTAAAAGGATTTGTACAGACACAACACTCTTACTTTCAAAGAGCAGAGGAACATTTTATATAGTGAACACATACACACTGTGGCAATGTAAAACTACTTAAGGAAGGAAAAATATCCCCCTCCCCAGCCAGGTACTGAGACCTGGGGCTAAAATTTTTTGTCAGTCAGCCCCCATCCCCATCCCTTATCTTCGAGTGACCTTACCAGGAAACCTGGCTTTGGTGGAAAGGAGAGCTGTGGGGCTTGGGGAGCCTGATGCCTTTTCTTTTGGGAGGAAAGGCCACCTGCACAATCCACAGGACAGGAGTGGCCAGCAGCTATCCTGAGCTGAGGCTCCAGAAGAGTTCAGATCCAAGAGAGCAAGGGATGAATGGAAGGAAAGTCCCACCCACCTTCATGTGTAAAGTGATTGGCATTTACTCAAATCTAAATCTACTCCTCTCCTCCCTGCAATATACCATTGAGCATGTGCCAGAGTAATGGTTCTGAACAAAAGCCAACACAGATGTCAGCCTGGGGGCACTCTCAGCCTAAGGAAGCCCCTACAGCCGAGCCCTCAGCCCTAATGACTTAGGCAGTAGGTTAGGCAGGAGATGTAGAGTTGGTCTGGCTCACTGATTTCACTGTGGAAATCTTCTACTAGAATTTGCAAAGACTAGATATTGGGGAAAGGTTCATTGATCTTAAGATCCCAAGACACACAGCCTAGTACCTAAGAATTTTAGTATATGTGGGAGACAGAAGTGGAGAAAGCTAAAGAATTACAGCCATGCCTCCCAAATGATTATGAAAAGGAGGGCTTGTCCAAGCTACCTCTGGGCCTTAAGGATGAGATGAGGGTAGGAGTAGGGGGATACATGCACCCAGCCTGTTGGAGAATCCAACATGAAGACTATTGTCCCTTGAGAACCTAAGGCAAAAGTACAAGGAGGGGAAATACTGGGTCCTTTACCTGAAACAAGATATGGGCCTCCCCTGCCCCTCAGACCCTACAGCTCCTTAGGCTCCAGGCCTCAGGCACAAGAGATAGAGAATCATATCTGAGCCTTTTGCCCTTCCCTTAGCTCCAAACAAGGGCAGGGGTTGAAATGTGAGTGGGAGAGAAGGGATCATCAGACACACTGTTTAGCACCTGAACCACATCTCTTCCTAAACCAGAAATCCCAAGAGCAGAAAGAAATAGGAGCAAAGTGAGAGAGGGGTTGTGCTTCCATCACATTAAATAGGAGACTTCGTGGGGTTGGGCAAGGGTTGTTTCACATCAGGACATCAATGACTCTGGTCAAGGTGAGGGGTTATAATTAGCAAAGCTTCATGTGCTCTCCCTTTCTTTATTCATCCTGCTTCCGTTTCGGCTTTTTGGGGTTCCGGGACCGACTCTTGGCCTTGCAAAGAGGGCATATAGGTGCATTCCGGTGAATTTGCTGGTGACATGACAAGCAGGCCTGGTGAGGGACACAGGAAAAAGAAAGTTAGTAGTCAGATTCTTCCAGGCAACAACTTAGACTTCTGATTCCCCAGGGGCCCAGAAAGCAAAGTGATTTCCCATCAGAAGAGAGCAATAATCAGTGAGTAGACTCAAGTATTCTTGGATGCCATGGAAGATGGGAAGGAAGGACATAACCCAGTTCAGAGAATGGTGTTGAGAAAAAGTATACAAAACTAGAAAGTAAGGCAAAATGAGAACTACACATCTTTTCGTCATTATAATGAAGCATTGTCTAACAGGCCCACTTAAGGACTATTTAATTTTCTAGAACAGGGGTCAACAAACATTTTCTGTAAAGGCCAGGACAGCAAATACTTTAGACTTTTTACATCATATAAACTTGCTGCAACTACTCAATTCTGTTTTGCATGAAAGAAGTGATAGACAATAGCTTGCATGCATGTTGTTTGCAATAGCTTGCAAACACAGACATGCATGTGGGCCAATAAAACTTTAACGAAAACAGGGAACAGATTAGATTTGACCTGTAGGCTGTAATTTGATGACCCCTGCTCTAGAAGAATGTCTCTTTGTTTGACTATTTACCAATTGATTAGGACCCAGGCTCTGTGATGTTACACTGATAAGCTGCAAATGGCTTTTGCCCAGTAGAGATGCAAATTACTTCTGTTTGGAAGAAAAAGTAACTATAAAGTTACAGTTTTATTGTCCTGTGGGATGTAAACCAGTTTTGCATCTAACTTTGCAAATTTGTTTCAGCCTTCCTCTCCTTTCTTGACTATATAGATATTTGTTCCAAATGCTCCTGGAACCAGCTTTATAATCCTGCTGGTTCCCTCATTTATGATACATGCTCATTACATCTTTGTGTAAGAGTCATTTCTAACTTTTAGAATTGCACTCTAGCAGGGCCTGAAAATCTCCCTGCATTCTAACACCTCTGGGAACATGGGGCAACAAAACCTGTGCTGTGTGTGTCCAACACAGCACACCCATGTCACCCCTTCCACTGTGTCACAAGCAAAGGCCATTAAAAGAAGGCCCAGCATAAATAAAGCCAAAGACCCAGAACTAGCCTTCCACGGCCCTTCCATGGGAGGATACTTTGCTTCCTCCACAACCATTACCCAGCTCACTTACCTTCATAGGTGGGGGCTGCTGCCTGAAGGTGGCCGTCTGCCGAGTATCCTGCTTCCTAGCCACTTGGAGCTGTTGGGCGGCAGCGGCTGCAGCGGCCAGGGACTCAGGGATGGGGGGCTCCTGAGGTTCTGTCTGCCATTCTGCTTTCTGCTTCTCAAAGTAACTTTGGAGATGAGAGACACTGGCTAGATCATTCTGAAAGCAATGAGAACCTTGCTCCTCTTAAAGACTCCATGCCATACAACCAAGGGTTGAGCTGTGGCTCATTCTAGAAGGTCCCCACACCTTCCCAAGCACAAGGCTATTGTCCCTGGGTACTAGGCCCAATGTCTGATGAGAAGGGTAATCCTCTTTGTCCTTAGCTCTGATAGGCCAAGAAGACCAAGAAATCTTAGGGCTAGCAAGATCCTTAAAGGGTATTCAGTCCTATCTGCTATCTCATGCTCTTTTGAGTATTCCTATTAAGTGTCCTAAGGCCTCTGGTGACATATCTCTAAGAGTAGGAAGCTCACAAACTCCACAGACACCTTGCTCTACCTTTAGGAAATGATTTCCTCTACCAGGTCAAATTCTGTCTCTCTGCAAGGCAAGCCTAGTTCTTAACTCTGAGCCAGGAGATGAAGTAAGTCCCAGGCCACTTCCTGAAGACCAGGAAAGCTCAGTCTTTTTTGTTTTTAGAGGTTTCTAGATATCGCCTTCTAGACCCTGACTTGGGAAATGATCTCTTAAGAGTTATAGACATAGTCTTGTATTGTCAATATCACACAAAGAATTTAAAAAGCCACCTAGTAGTTGTTCTAATTCATCTAGTAATTCATCCAGTTTAATAATCCTCCTTCTGTTTTAACAAGCTGGCACAGAGACTTGCCCAAGATCACACAGTGAGTAAGCCACTGAAAGGCCTGGGACTAAAACTAGGCACTCTGACTTTCAGGCTAGGCTTTGTGTATGTATACCTGCCCGTGTGTGTGTAGGTATGTAAGTATGTATGTGGGTCGGAGGGAGGGTATGTTGTAGGGACTGGGGGCAGGTAGCTTACTCCAAGGAAAGCTTCTCCTCTTCTTCACACAAGTCAGGGAGCCTCTGCAGGCCCAGAGTCATGCGCAGGGCATCCACATGTTCTTTCAGTGGCTTATACTCATCATGCAGCCTCCTTGTAGACTCTAGCAGCTTGTTTAGGTCATTCTCAGATTGTTTGATAGTGTTTTCCATCTGGAACATAGAGTGGGATAGGCACAGAGAAAAGATCCTAAGGTTCTCAGAGAGGATCTATAGCTGAGTGAATAATAGCACAAGCTCCAGAACTTGTTCAGTCTATATTCAAGTCCTTGATCTCCCATGCCCTCTCCATGTAACTCTGGTCAAGTCTCAGTTTCTTCATCGGTATAATGGTGATATTCTAGTGCTTAACTCATGCAATCTTGGTGAAGATGTAATGATAGGATTCATATAAAGCACTCAGTAAATGGGCTAAATTAATATTTACTGCTAAATAAATGGTATTGTTCAAATATAGTATCTTAGAGCTGGAATGTCCTTCAGAGCTCATTTAGTCCACCTTACTCCCATTTTATAGAAAACTGAGGCTCAAAGAGAAAAAGGGACTTTCCTGGGGAAATACTTCTTAGTATCAAATCCTGCATAAAGACTTAGGGCTTCCGCCTCCCAGGCCAGCAGTCTTTTCTCCTAGATCAGTGATTCTCAAAATGTGGCCAAGGGATCAGCAGCATCAGCATCACCTGGGAACTCAGAAATGCATATTCTTAGGTTCACCTCAGACATACAAAATCAGAAAATCAGGGGTGGAGTCTAGCAATATGTGTCTTAGGCTCTCAAAGTGGCTTTGATGCATGCTCAAGTTTGAGATCCACTGGCTTATATTCTTAGCCCTTCTGGCAAATATCTTCCTCATTTAACTGGCCCTGTATCATTGGTTAGCTGGCAGCCAAACTGTCAACACTTTATGAGATCTAGAATTCTGCGATCTCTAACACAGAAAATCCCAATTGCTTACTGTCCAAACCTCATTCATATTTCCTTTATGATCCTAGGTCTGACAACATCAGAAAATGAGTATTGCCACAGAAATGAGTTTTCCAGAAATATAAACTTAGTTCCTTTGAAAGTAAATTTTAAAAATATATTCTTCATGGTTATGGGTGATAAGGGTTTGAAAAGACCTTACTGGTCAGCACTGCCAACCTCCTTCCTTGTGAAGGAATCATCAGTACAGTAGCTCATACAAGTGTCCATTAAGATGCTGCTTGAATAATTCCAAAGAGGGGAGCTTACCACCTTAGCAGACAGTTCATATTCTGTGTTCCAAGAGTTTCCAAAGGATATATCAATGAGGAAGCTCCACTTTGGTAGCAGGCAGAAATGATTTGTTTGGTCTGACTGAAAGCTTGGAGTGCTTTAAACTACATTCCAGAGGCAGCTGCCTGCTCTGCTTTTCCCCAAGGCTAGCTCTCAACTCCCAGAATCCCAGAATGAGAGCACATCAAATCAGTACATTTAGAGGGTACTGAGTCCCCCTTATAGTGCAGAGAGGGAAAATGAGGCCCAGAGAGAAGGGACTTGTCCAGTGATATATAGTCAGTTAGTGACAGAGCCAGGGCTGGATCTCAGAACTCCTGAATTCTTCTGCTCTACCACAGCCTGCACTGATGCCTGCTCCCCGAGCTAGGCCTAAGCCACATCTCAAGGAAAGGCCCTATCATTCACCACTACCTCTTTCTCAAAGGCTTTAGAGATAGGCTCCAGGCAGCCACGTACCACATTGATGTCAGCGTGGATCAGTCGGAGTTCCTCCACATGGGCCATCTTCTCCTGTAGCA
This sequence comes from Homo sapiens, assembly GCF_000001405.40. Lineage (NCBI taxonomy): Eukaryota > Metazoa > Chordata > Mammalia > Primates > Hominidae > Homo > Homo sapiens. The sequence continues at coordinate 64,921,879 of NC_000023.11, forward strand.
GAAGGTCCATCTCCTGCTTGTATTCCTTCAGGTGCCTTTCCTCTGACTCAAGTGCCTCAAACTCAGCCTTCAAACGAGCCTTGATCTTCTCCATCTGCAGGGTCTTGTTCCTGCAATTTGCAAAAAGCAGGAAACAGGCCAGCAAAAGAAGGGAGAAAATAGAAATGGAGCCAGGACTTTTTTTCTAAGCCATCTTTACAAGCTTCCCCCTCTCCAGGCAGAGCCAACCTGAGGCCATCTCAAAAAAGAAGGCCAGGTGCAATGGCTCATGCCAGTAATCTCAGCAATTTGGAAGACAGAGGCAGGAGGATCACTTGAGCCCAGGAGTTTGAAACCAGCATGGGCAACATAGTGAGACCTTATATCTACAAAAAAAAAAAAGAAAAAGAAAAAAGAAAAAAAAAAGAAAAAGAAAAAGAAAAAGAAAGAAAGAAAGAAAGAATTAGCCACACATGGTGGTACATGCCAGTAGTCTCAACTACTCAGGAGGATAAGGCAGGAGGATTGCTTAAGCTATGATTGCACTACTGCACTCCAACCTAGGTGACAGAGCAAGACCTTGTCTCAAGAAAAAGTTAGGAGATGTTTCCCTCTAAAAGCTCAGTGGGTCTCGAATGGGGTTAATTTTGTTCCCTTATGGGGCATTTGCAAATATGGAGTGTTTTGGCTGTTAGATTGACTCAAGGAAATGTGTTACTGGCATTTAGTGGACATGGGCCAGAGATGCTAAATAGCCTCTCAATGCCCAGGAAAGTCCTGAACACAAAGAACTCCCACCCAAGAAACCAAAAATGATCTCTTGAGAAACTCTAAGTAAGCACTGTCCAATAAACTTACTACAGTGATGGAAATGTTTTGTATCTGTGCTGTCCAGTATAATAGCCACTATGCACATATGGCTACTGAGCACTTGTGATGTGGCCAGTGCTACTGAGGAACTGAGTTTTGAATTTTATTTAATCAAACTTAAAATTTAAACAGCCACGTGTGGCTACTGGCTGTCATATTAGACAGCACAACTCTAGAGGGTGTGTTTATCAGTTCCAGAAAAGGAAGGGGAAAGGATATTATGGGTAATTTCTTTCTTAGAAAAAGAAAAACCTGGTTTTGGTCATTAAATCCCAATTGTATACCGTGTGGCTCAGGAATCCTATACTTGGGAATATATTTTAAGGAGGTAATTCAAGGAAGCAAAAAGTTAATACACAGAGGTGTACTTTCTGGGCTTTCAGCAAAATTAGGATATTTGACAGCCACTGAAGACTTGTGACATAGAAAATGTTGAAGATAAGATACTCGCTGAAAAAGTGTACACACTAAGATTACAATTTCAAAACATACATGGATGTGACTAAATAAGAAAAAGATTTGGAAGAAACACAGTTTCAAGGGCCTTTAATAACATAATTTGAAGCCTGCCTCTGGGAAAGGGCTACAAAGTTTTGAAAGGGGTACCCTCTAAGGCATGTTGTTGTCTTCCCACTGGCTCCCTACCATGCTTCTCAGGATCTGCCTAGCCATTATCCCCTTACTCAGATTTGTAGTCTCCTTTCTTCTCCCTCAGTAGCTGATCTTCCCCTCTGCCCCAGTCTATCCTATGGGTGATCCAACTCCACACACTGGACTCTGGCTTCTGCCATCAGCCTGCTTGTCTTCAGTCTCTCTTTTCTTGACATTGCCTGTGCCTCTTGCCTCAAGAGGTAGCCTTCAATGGCACAGAACTACAGAAAGAACTGTTAGGTGGGTAGGATGGTGGGAGAAGTTTCTCTTTCTATACTAAGAAAACATCTTTTCATGTTATTGTATTTTTTTTTTTTTTGTAACCTTAGAAATGGGTTAAAAGGTGGGTGTTATCCCATTTGTAGAGAAGGGAATTGAGTGAGGTTCAGGGTGGTAACTTGCCCAGTACCACAGAGCTAGTAAATTGGATGTTGGGATTTGAACCAGGGCTCTCTAACACCAAAGCCTACATACCATCCATACCATCCACTACTCTATATTGCCTTTGAACAGGGTTACCAGGCTGAAGGGCATAAAAACATCAAGGGTTCTTGTTATAGCTCATCAACTGTCTTGCAGAGGGAAGATACTGATTTGTATTGGTTAATTACTTATTTGCTTATATCCCCATCTATCTAGACTTCTATTCTCCTCCTTTTCTAGGTTACGTGAAGATAAACCTGAACTTTGCCTGCTCCTGTAACCATTTTACCGATGGGAAAACTAAGATTCAGAGTAGTATAGTGTCTCACCCTAAGTGTCATACAACCAGTTAGGGCAGTGCTGGGCCAAGAACCTATTTCTGCAGACAAAGTCATATCATAAAAGAAGCATGCGCTTTAGACTCAGACTTCAATTATAAATCCTGGTTCTGCCTCTGATTAACTATTTGCTTTTGGACAATAATAACAACTGTATTTTAACTATATTTATTGAGCACTTACTATGTATTAATTATAGAGGGTTTCAATATATATTCAGTCAATAATTATTTATTGAATACTTATCATGTGCCAGGCATTCATTGTACTAGGTACTAGGGATAGAGCAGAGAACAAGACAGTATATAGACAGCAAGTTTCATCTAATGAAGAAAATCGATCCTGAACACAAGGTTGTATGTAAAATCATATTAGTGGTAGGGAGGAGATGCAGAATGTGATAGAAGGATACAACAAAGGGACCTAACATAGTCTGAGGGACACTATAGGGTAAAGGGGACAGTCAGAGGAGGCTTCCCTGAGAACTGAGGATGTGAAATCTAAGCTGAGACCTGAAGAATCAATAGGAGTTCGCTGGTGAGTGCAGGTGGGCACACAGGAGAACAGTCCAGACAAAAAGAATAGCATGAGTAATGGCCCCACAGAAGAAGAATATGGCACATTAAAGGAACTGAGTGAAGAGCAGTGTGGCTGGAGCACCTACTGCAAGAGGGAGAGGGGCCTAGATAAAACTAGGGAGGTTGACAGGCCCTAAAACATAGCTTGGAGAATGGGACGAGTTGGGACTTTTATCCTCAGTGGAAGGGGAATTTTATAATTTTAAGCACCGGAAGAGTGACGTTATCTGATCATCTCACTTCACTTCCCTCAGCCTTGGCTTCCTCATCAGTAACACAGGAATAATAATAGCATCTACTTTACACATTATGTGGTGAGGATTAAATGAGCTAAGACATGTAAAGTCACCAAGCAGAGTATGTGGCACATGGTGGGCAGTCAACAAATGATAGGGTCCTTCTTTCTCCACTCTGCCCAACTCTTCCACCATGGATATCTCCTTCACCAGAGTGGTTTCCACTACAGCAAATAGGGTTTGTGTGTGTGCACATGCATGAGTGGCCAGGTATATTGCTGGTTACTGAGATTAAAATAATAATCATTAGTGGGAGAATGGGAAGGGAATAAAGGTTGAAAAATTACCTATTGGGTACAATGTTCACTATTTGGGTGATGGGTACACTAGAAGCCCAAACCTCAATATTATGCAACATATTCATATAACAAATGTACACATGTAGTCCCTGAATCTAAAATTAAAACATATATTAGCTAAAGCCACATAAAAATGTCAACATAAATAACAGCATTTTATGAAGCTGACCCAAGCCTTCCCAATTTGTAATTAATTCGATTAAGATGAAAGTAACTACCACTAACTGAAATCAGGGGTAAGAGGGTATCTCCCATTGCCATTTAATAGAAATCAGCATAGTGCAGCTAGCCCTGCTTGGATGAGTCCCTTTTATGTAATCCTCCCTCCTCCCTCCATGCCTACTTCTGTTTACAGAAACCCATGTTATTGGGCAAGAGACATTAATGCCAAAATAAACCAAAGATTTTTCACCTCATGTGTCCAGGGTCACAGTTAAGTGCTGACTTGACATGGAAAATCAAAGGCACAAAGCCTTCCTCAAAGCACCAGTGGCATTTCCTCTCTCTGGGGTGAAGGGCTGCCACCAGCAAGATGGCAGCTTAATCCTTTGGGTACAAGGTACATAGCCACAATGTCTGCCTCCATCCAAGGTCTTTGGGAGCCTTTGTCTATTGCCTGCTGTGGCAAGAAATACCAAGGACCAAGACCCTGACTAAAGGGCAGAAGGGCCAAAACTCCTTGTTAGGAGAGGGAAATATGTTTACGAAGATAGGTTTCAGAAAGAGCCTCTATTTACTATTTGTAAAGTCAGTTTCTCTGAGGGAAGCCTGGTCCTTGCTTTAGTGGAGGGACAACAATGTCACTGCAGGCTTTGATGGTGCCATTAATATCTTTCAATAGTGGTGCATCAAGTGCAGGGCAGTAACAACAGTCTACCCTGGGGTGAAGACAATAAGGGGGTATGCTGTGTGTAGAAAATTAAAATATAAAAATAAAACCAACTAAAGTTGGTCTACTCTTTATTACCACCATGCAATGGCAATCTCAAACAATGTCTATTAAAGGACATCTAGACTCACTCTAATTTTTGGTAATTATGAATAAAGCCACTATGAATATCCATGTACAAGTTTTATGGTAACCATAAGTTTTCATCCAAGAGTACAATTGCTGGGTTATATGATAATTGCACATTTAGCTTTTCAATAAACTGCCCAACTGTTCCAGAGTGTATCATTTCACATGCCCACCAGCAAAATATGAGTGATCCAGTCCCTCCACCTGGCCAACTATTTTATTTTAACTATCATAATAAATATGTAGTGATACTTCAAAGTGATCTTAATTTGCATTTCCCTAATGCCCATTGATGTTGAACACCTTTCCACATACTTATTTGCCATCCATATATCCTTTTCTATGAAATGTCTGCTCATGTCTTTGGTTCATTTTCTAACTGGATTACCATTGACCCTTGAAGAACATGGGTTTGAACTGCATAGATTCACTTGTACATGGATTTTTTTCAACAAAATATGGATCAAAAATACAGTATTCACAGGATGTAATACCTGCATATATGGAGGGCTGACTTTTTGTATGCCCAGGGCTGACTGTAAGATTGAGTATGGATATGTGCAAATTTTGGTACAGGTAGAGGCCTAGGACCAATCCCCTATATACACTGAGGGACAACCATATTTGTTTTCTCACTGTTGAGTTTTAATATTTCTTTATATATTCTAGATTTGAGTATTTCCGCAGACATGTGGCTGAAAATATTTTCTCCCACGCAGTAGCTTGCCTTTTTGTCACCTTGAAAGGGTCTTTGGAAGAGTATTTAAATTTTTTTTAAAAGTCCAATTTATCAAATTTTTCTTTCTTTTTTTTATTATTATACTTTAAGTTCTGGGACACATGTGCAGAACATGCAGGTTTGTTACATAGGTATACATATGCCATGGTGGTTTGCTGCACCGATCAACCCGTTATCTACATTAGGTATTTCTCCTAATGCTATCCCTACCCTAGCCCCCCACCCCGACAGGCCCCAGTGTGTGATGTTCCCCTCCCTGTGTCCATGTGTTCTTTTTGTTCAACTACCACTTATGAGTGAGAACATGTAGTGTTTAGTTTTCTGTTCCTGTGTTAGTTTGCTGACAATGGTGGTTTCCAGCTTCATCCATGTCCCTGCAAAGGACATAAACTCATCCATTTTTATGGCTGCATAGTATTCCAAGGTGTATAAGTGCCACGTTTTCTTTATCCAGTCTATTACTGATGGGCATTTGGGTTGGTTCCAAGTCTTTGCTATTGTGAACTGTGTTGCAATAAACATATGTGTGCATGTGTCTTTATAGTACAATGATTTATAATCCTTTGGGTATATATCCAGTAATGGAATTGCTGGGTCAAATGGTATTTCTGGTTCTAGATCCTTGAGGAATCACCACACTGTCTTCCACAATGGTTGAACTAATTTACACTTCCACCAACAGTGTAAACACATTCCTATTTCTCCACATAATCAGCATCTGTTGTTTACAGACTTTTTAATGATCACCATTCTAACTGGTGTGAGATAGTATCTCATTTTGGTTTCGATTTGGATTTCTCTAATGACCAGTGATGATGAGCTTTTTTCATATGTTTGACGGCCACTTAAGTGTCTTCTTTTGAGAAGTGTCTGTTCATATCCTTCACCCACTTTTTGATGGGGTTCTTTCTTTTATTCTTGTAAATTTGTTTAAGTTCCTTGTAGATTCTGGATATTAGACTTTTGTCAGATGGATAGATTGCAAAAATTTTTTCTGTAGTTTGCCTGTTCACTCTGATGATAGTTTTTTTCGCTATGCAGAAGCTCTTTAGTTTAATTACATCCCATTTGTCAATTTTGGCTTTTGTTGCCATTTCTTTTGGTGTTTTAGTCATGAAGTCTTTGCCCATGCCTATGTCCTGAATGGTATTGCCTAGGTTTTCTTCTAGGAATTTTATGGTTTTAGGTCTTACATTTAAGTCTGTAATCAATCTTGAGTTAATTTTTGTATAAGGTGTAAAGAAGGTGTCCTGTTTAATTTTTCTGCTTATGGCTAGCCAGTTTTCCCAACACCATTTATTAAATAGGGAATCCTTTCCACATCACTTGTTTTTGTCAGGTTTGTCAAAGATCAGATGGTTGTAGATTTGTGGCATTAAATCCAAGGACTCTGTTCTGTTCCATTGGTCTATATATCTGTTTTGGTACTAGTACCATGCTGTTTTGGTTACTGCAGACTTGTAGTATAGTATAGTGATGTTAAGCGGGTTTTTCATATGATTATTAGCCATTTCTATATCTTCTTTTGAGAATTTCCTATTCATGTCCTTTGCCTGCTTTCTCCTTCTTCTTCTTCTTCTTCTTCTTCTTCTTCTTCTTCTTCTTCTTCTTCTTCCTCCTCCTCTTCTTCTTCTCCTCCTCCTCCCCCTCCTCCTCCTCTTCTTCTTCTCCTTCTCCTTCTTCTTCTTTTCTTCTTCTTTTCTTCTTCTCTTCTTCTTCTTTTTCTTCTCCTTCTTCTTCTCCTTCTTCTTCTTCTCTTCCTCCTCCTCCTTCTCCTCCTCCTCCTTCTCCTTCTTCTCCTTCTTTTCTTCTCTTTCTCCTTCTTTTTTTTTTTTTTGAAGCACAGTCTCACTCTGTCACCCAGGCTGAGGTACAGTGACATGATCTCGGCTCACTGCAACCTCCACCTCTCAGGCTCAAGCAATTCTCATGCCTCAGCCTCCCAAATACCTGGGACCACAAGCATAAGCCACCGTGCCAGCTAATTTTTGTGTTTTCTTTTTAGTAGAGGCAGGATTTCGCCATACTGGCCAGGCTAGTCTCAAACTCCTGGCCTCCAGTGATCTGCCTTCCTTGGACTCCCAAAGTTGTGGGACTACAGGCGTGAGTCACTGCACCTGCCCCTTTGCCCACTTTTTGATGGGATTTTTTTTGTTGTTTTTGCTTATTTGTTTGAGTTCCTTGTAGATTCTGGGTATTAGTCCTTTGTCAGATGCATAGTTTGCAAATATTTTCCCCCACTCTATAGGCTGTCTGTTTACTCTGCTGATAATTTCACTGTACAGAAGATTTTTAGTTTAATTAGGTCCCATTTATTTATTTTTGTTTTAGTTGCGTTTGATTTTGGAGTCTTAGTCATGAATTCTTTGCCTAAGCCAATGTCCAGAAAAGTTTCCCAATGCTACCTTCTAGTATTTTTATAGTTTCAGTTCTTAGATTTAAGTATTTGATCCATTTTGAGTTAATTTTTGTATAAGGTGAGAGGTGAGGATCTAGTTTCATTCTTCTACATGTGGCTTGCCAGTTTTCCCAGCACCATTTATTGAATAGGGTGTCCTTTCCCCACTTTATGTTTTTGTATGCTTTGTCAATACTTACAGAAGGCCGTAAGTATTTGGCCTTATTTCTGGGTTTTCTATTGTCTTTCATTGGTCTTCATGCCTATTTTTATACCATTACCATGCTGTTTTGGTAGCTTATAGCTTTGTAGTATAATTTGATGTCGGGAAATGTGATGCTTCCAGATTTGTTCCTTTTTCTTAGTCTTGCTTTAGCCATGTGGGCTCTCTTTTGGTTCCATATGAATTTTAGATTGCTTTTTTCTTGTTCTGTAAAGAATGATGATGGTATTTTGATTAGAATTGCATTGAATCTGTGGATTACTTTGGGCAGTATGGTCATTTTCATACTATTGATTCTACCCCTCCATGAGCATGGAATATGTTGCCATTTGTTTGTGTCATCTATGATCTTTTTTAGGAGTGTTTTGTAGTTTTCCTTGCAGATATCTTTCACCTCCTTGGTTATTTCTAAATATCTTATTATTATTATTTTTGCGGCTGTTGTAAAATGGGTTGACTTCTTGATTTAATTCTCAGCTTAGTCATTGTTGGTATATAGCAGTGCTACTGATTTGTGTACATTGATGTTGTATCCTGAGACTTTACTGAATTCGTTTATCAGGCCAAGGAGCTTTTGGATTATTCTTTAGGGTATTCTAGGCATATGATCATATCATTGGCAAACAGTGACATTTTGACTTCCACTTTTCCAATTTGGATGCTCTTTACTTCTTTCTCTTGTCTGATTACACTGGCTATGACTTCCAGTACTATGTTCAATAGAAGTGGTGACAATAGGCATCCTTGTCTTGTTCCAGTTCTCACGGGGAATGTTTTCAATTTTTCCCCATTCAGTATAATGTTGCCTGTGGGTATGTCATAGATGGCTTTTATTATCTTGAGGTATGTCTCTTCTATGCCAGTTTTTGTGAGTGTTTTTATAAAAAAGGGATAATTTTATCAGATGCTTTTTCTGCATCTATTGAGCTAATCATATGATTTTTTATTTTGATTCTGTTTATGTGATGTATCACATTTATTGACTTGTGTATGTTAAACTATACCTGCATCCCTATGATAAAACTGACTTGATCATGGTGTATTATCTTTTTAATATGCTGTTGGATTTGGGTAGCTAGTATTTTGCTGAGGATTTTTGAATCTATGTTCATCAGGGTATTGGTCTGTAGCGTTTTTGGTTGTGTTCTTTCTTGGTTTGGGTATTGGGGTGACACTGGCTTCATAGAATGATTTAATGAGGATTTCTTCTTTTACTGTCTTTTGGAATGGTTTCAGTAGGATTGGTACCAATTCTTATTTGAATGTCTGATAGAATTCAGCTGTGAATCCACCTGGTTCTGAACTTATTTTGTTGGCAATTTTAAAATTACAGTTTCAATCTTGCTTTTTGTTATTGGTCTGTTCAGGGTTTCTGTTTCTTCCTGATTTAATCTAGGAGGCTTGTATATTTCCAGGAACTTGTCCACATCCTCTACACATTCTAGTTTGTGTGTGAAAAGGTGTTCATAGTACACTTCAATTATCTTTTGTATTTCCATGGTATCAGTTGTAATATCTCCAGTCTCATTTCTGATTGAGTTCATTTGGATCTTTTCTTGGTTAATCTCACTAACAGTCTATCAATTTTGCTTATCTTTTCAGAGAATCAGCTTTTTGTTTCATTTATCTTTTGCATTGTTTTTGTTTGTTCCAGTTTCATTGAGTTTTGCTCTGATCTTGTTATTTCTTTTCTTCTGCTGGGTTTGAGTTTAGTTTGTTCTTGTTTCCCTTGTTCCTTGAGGTGTGACATTGGGTTGTCCATTTGTGCTCTTTCAGACTTTTTGATTGATGCATTTAACACCATGAACTTTTGTCTTAGCACCACTTTTGCTGTATCCCACAGGTTTTTGTAAGCTGTGTAACTATTATCATTCATTTCAAATAATTTTTAAATTTCTATCTTGATTTCATTGTTGACCCAAAGCTCATTCAAGAGCAGATTACTTACTTTCCATGTATTTCTATAGTTTTGAGGGTTCTTTTTGAAGTTGATTTCCAATTTTATTCCCCTGTGGTCTGAGAAAATGCTTGATATAATTTTGATTTTCTTAAATTTATAGAAACTTGTTGTGTGACCTATGATATGGTCTATCTTGGAGAATGTTCCATACACTGAAAAAAAGAATGCATATTCTGTAGTTGTTGGAAATAATGTTTTGTAAATATATGTTAATTCTGTTTGTTCTAGGGTATAGTTTAAGTCCACTGTTTCTTTGTTGACTTTCTGTCTTGATGATCTGTCTAGTGCTGTAAGTATAGTATTGAAGTCCTCCAATATTATTGTGTTGTTGTTTATCTCATTTCTTATGTCTAGTACCAATTGTTTTATAAATTTAGGTGCTCCAGTGTTAGGTGCATATAATTTAGGATGGTGATATTTTCCTGTTGGACTAATCCTTTTATCATTATACAATGTCCTTGCTTGTCTTTTTTTTTTAAACTGTTGTTGCTTTAAAGTCTGTTTTGTCTGATATAAGAATAGCTACTCCTGCTTGCTTTTGGTTTCCATTTGTGTGGAATATTTTTTACCACCCCTTTACCTTAAGCTTACATGAGTCCTTATGCATTAGGTGAGTCTCTTGAAAACAACACATACTTGGTTGGTGGTTTATTTAATTCATTCTGCTATTATGTATCTTTTAAGTGTAGCGTTGAGGCCCATTTACATTCGATGTTAGTATTGAAATGTGAGGTACTGTTGTACTTATCATGTAGTTGTTGCCTATATGTTTTGGATTTTTTTCATTGTGTTACTGTTTTATAGGCCCTGTGAGATTTATGCTTTAAGAAGGTTATATTTTGGTGTATATCAAGGTTTTCTTTCAACATTTAGAACTCCTTTTAGCATTTATTGTAGTGCTTGTTTGGGGGTGGCAAATTCTGTCAGGATTTGTTTTTGAAGAAGACTTTATCTTCCTTTCATTTATGAAGCTTAGTTTTGCTAGATAGAAAATTTTAGGGTGACATTATTTTGTTTCAGGAGGTGAAAGGTAAGACTCCAATCCCTTCTGACTTGTAAAGCTTCTGCTGAGAAATCTGCTGTTAATCTGATAGGTTTTGCTTTATAGGTTATCTTTTATCTCACAGCTCTTAAAATTATGTTTTTTTTAATCTTGACTTTAGATAACCTGGTGACCCTGTGCCTTAATGATGATTGTTTTGGAATGAATTTCCCAGGAGTTCTTTTGACTTCTTCAGTTTGGATGTCTAGACCTCTAGCAAGGCCAGGGAAGTTTTCCTCAATTATTCCCTCAAATAAGTTTTCCAAACTTTTAGATTTCTGTTCTTTCTTAGAATCACCACTTATTCTTAGGTTTGGTCATTTTACATAATCCCATATTCCTTGGAGACTTTGTTCATTTATTTCATTCTTTTTTATTTGTATTTGTCTGTTTGGGTTATTTCGAAAGTCTTGTCTTCAAGCTCTGAAATTCTTTCTTCTACTTGTTCTAGCTTATTGTTAAAATTTTCCACTGTATTTTGTATTTCCCTAAGTGTGTCTTTCATTTCCAGTAGCTCTCATTGTTTTTTCCTTTATGATATCTATTCCTCTGAAAAAATTTTAATTATATCCTGATTTTTTAAAATTTAAGTTGGTTTTCACCTTTCTCTGTTGTCTTCTTGAGTAGCTTACTAATCAACCTTATGAATTCTTTATCTGGCACTTCAGAGATTTCTTCTTGGTTTGGATCCAATGCTGGGGAGCTAGTAGGATCTTTTCAGGATGATTTAGAACCCTGTCTTGTCATATTACCAGAATTACTTTCCTGCTTCCTTCTCATTTGGGTAGACTAATCAAATTGTTCTTGAATTTATTTTTTATTGGACTGTGGTTTTTTTTAACTTCTTTTTTTCTTTCTTAAGGATCATACGCCAATGTTTATTTTAGCCTAGTTTGATTCTTGGTGATTTTAGGATGAAAACTCTGTATGAGTTCCTTATTTATAGAGAATCTTTTCCAACTGGCTTTCCCAGATGATGGTTTTAGTAGTTAAGTTCTTGGTGTGTGGGCAAGTTCACTGTTTCTTATGGGGTCAGAATGGCAGGGATCTCTTAAAGCTTATTTCCTTCTCTCATGGTGTACACTTTATTTGTTTATTTAATTTTCCCCCATTTTTATACTTGCTGAGTTGATGATTCAGGCTTCAGGTCAAGAGGAAACATATTCCTGTATAGGCACCAGTTGTAGCTAAGGCAGGTGAGATGTCATACATAATGGTAGGCTAAGACCCCAGACTTGATAAGGGTGTTGGAGGAGCTCTCAATGAGATGTGCTGAGGTTTTATAAGGGTGAAGAGTGGAAGCTACCTCAATTCCCCTGCCAGGCAAGCAGGAAAGCTATCCAACTCACAGCCTCAACCTTGTCCCAGTGTTCTGGCTATTCAGGTCAGATGGACACCTCTGATCCTATCAGCAGAGAGACCTGGGAGAGAAGACCTGCTATTCAGATTCTTTTGTCCCACAGGGTGTTACCTTGTTGTGGTCCCTTCTGCTAGGACTGTGGCTTCCTGAGAAACAGATTGCAGTGACTGGAAGATTCTCCTTAAACATGTGGAATATTCTCCAAAATTTTTAACATTTTTACTCCATTGTAACATCTGGGCCTGAAGATTCAATTTTTGGAAACTGTTAAATTACAAATTCAATTTCCTAAATAGTGACATAGGGTTATTCAAATTCTCTAATATATTGTGGGTGAACTGTGGTAGTGTTTGGATAAACTGGTCCATTTCATGCAATTTGTCCAATTTACACGTACACAGTTGTTCATAGTTATTATTCTTTTGATGCCTGTGGGGTCTGCAGCAATATCCTCTATTTCATTCCTGATATCAGAAAATTTGTGTCTTGATTGCTGGCAAGATGGCCAAATAGGAACAGCTCTGTCTGCAGCTCACAGTGAGATCAAAACAGAAGGTGGGTGATTTCTGCATTTCCAACTGAGGTACACAGTTCATCTCATTGGGACTGGTTGGACAGTGGGTGCAGACCAAGAAGGACGAGCCAAAGCAAGGTGGGGCATCGCCTCAACTGGGAAGTGCAAGGGGTCGGGGAACTCCATCTCCCAGCCAAGGGAAGCCATTAGGGACTGCATTGTGCACTATAACTCAAATACTGTGCTTTTCCCACAGTCTTCACAACCCGCAGACCAGGAGATCCCCTTCGGTGCCTACACCACCAGGACCCTGGGTTTCCAGCACAAAACTGGGCGGCCCTTTGGGCAGACGCTGAACTAGCTGCAGGGTTTTTTTTTTTTCCCCCATACCTTAAGGGCCAGCGAGAAAAAAATGTTCACTCCCCTGGAAAGCGGCTGAAGCCAGGGAGCCAAGTAGTCTTGCTCAGTGGGTTCCAACCCCATGGATCCCAGCAAACTAAGATCCACTGGCTTGAAATTCTCTCTGCCAGCACAGCAGCAGTCTGATACCGACTGGGACACTCGAGTTTGGTGGGAGGAGGGGCGTCCGCCATTTCTGAGGCTTGAGTAGGCAGTTTTCCCCTCACAGTGTAAAGAAGCCTCAGGGAAGTTCAAAATGGGTAGAGCCCATGGCAGCTCAGCAAGTTTGCTGTGGCCAGACTGCCAGATTTCTCCTCTCTGGGCAGGGCATCTCTGAAAAAAAGGCAGGAGCCCCAGTCAGGGACTTATAGATAAAACCCCTATCTCCCTGGGACAGAGCACCAGTGGGAAGGGGCAGTGGTGGACACAGCTTCGGCAGACTTAAAGGTCACTGTGTGACAGCTCTGAAGAGAGCAGTGGACCTCCCAGCACAGCATTCAAGCTCTGCTAAGGGACAGATTGCCTCCTCAAGTGAGTCCCTGACCCCCATGTTTCCTGAGTGGGAGATACCTCTCAGTAGGGGCCAACAGACTCCTCATACAGGAGAGCTCTGGCTGGCATCTGGCAGGTGCCCCTCTGGGAGAAAACTTCCAGAGGAAAGAACAGGCAGCAATCGTTGCCGTTCTTCAGCCTCCGCTGGTGATACCCAGGCAAACAGGGTCTGGAGTGGACCTCCAGCAAATTCCAGCAGACCTGCAGCAGAGGGGCCCGACTGTTAGAAGGAAAACTAACAAACATAAAGGAATAACACATCCACTCAGAGACCCCATTCTAAGGTCACTAACATAAAAACCAAAGGTAAATAAATCTACAAAGATGAAAACCAGAATGCCTCTTCTCCTCTAAAGGATCACAACTCCTCATCAGCAAGGGAACAAAACCAGATGGAGAATGAGTTTGATGAACAGACAGAATTAGGCTTCGGAAGGTGGGTAATAACAAACTCCTCTGAGCTAAAGGAGCATGTTCTAACACAATGCAAGGAAGCTAAGAACATTGAAAAAGGTTAGAGGAATTGCTAACTAGAATAACCAGTTTAGAGAAGAACATAAATGACCTGATGGGGATAAAAACCATGGCACAAGAACTTCGTGAAGCATACACAAGAATCAATAGTGGAATCGACCAAGCAGAAGAAAGTATATCAGAGATTGAAGATCAAATTAATGAAATAAAGCGTGAAGACAAGATTAGAGAAAAAAGAATAAAGAGGAACAAACAAAGCCTCCAAGAAATATGGGACTATGTGAAAAGACCAAACCTACGTTTCATTGGTGTACCTGAAAGTGATGGGTAGAATGGAACCAACAGGGAAAACACTCTTCAGGATATTATCCAGGAGAACTTCACTAGCCTAGCAACACAGACCAACATTCAAATTCGGGAAATACAGAGAACACCTCAAAGATACTCCTTGAGAAGAGCAACCCCAAGACATATAATCATCAGATTCACCAAGGTTGAAACAAAGGAAAAAATGTTAAGGGAAGCCAGAGAGAAAGGTCGGGTTACCCACAAAGGGAAGCCCATCAGACTAACAGCAGATCTCTCTGCAGAAACCCTAGAAGCCAGAAGAGAGTGGGGGCCAGTATTCAACATTTTTAAAGAAAAGAATTTTAAACCCAGAATTTCATATCCACCCAAACTAAGCTTCATAAGTGAAGGAGAAAAAAAATCCTTTACAGACAAGCAAATGCTGAGAGATTCTGTCACCACCAGGCCTGCCTTACAAGACCTCCTGAAGGAAGCACTAAACATAGAAAGAAACAACAGGTACCAGTCACTGCAAAAACAACAAATTGTAAAGACCATTGACACTATGAAGAAACTGCAACAAATGGGCAAAATAACCAGCTAGCATCAAATTGACAGAATCATATTCACACATAACAATATTAACCTTAAATGTAAACGAGCTAAATGCCCCAGTTAAAAGACACAGACTGGCAAAATGGATAAAGAGTCAAGATCCATCAGTGTGCTGTATTCAGGGGACCCATCTCACATGCAAAGACACACATAGGCTCAAAATAAAGAGACAGAGTAATATTTACCAAGCAAATGGAAAGAAAAAAAAAAAAGCTGGGGTTGCAATCCTAATCTCTGGTAAAGCAGACTTGAAACTAACCTGTTGGTTGTGTTTGTTGGTCAAAAGAGACAAAGAAGGGCATTACATAATGTTAGAGGGATCAATGCAACAAGAGGAGCTAACTATTCTAAATATATATGCACCCAATACAGGAACACCCAGATTCATAAAGCAAGTTCTTAGAGACCTGCAAAGAAACACAGACTCCCACACAATAATAGTGGGAGACTTTAACACCCCACTGTCAATATTAGACAGATCAACGAAAAAGAGAATTAACAAGAATATTCAGGACTTGAACTCAGCTCTAGACCAAGCTGACCTAATAGATATCTACAGAACTCTCCACTCCAAACCAAAAGAATATATATTCTTCTCAGCAACTCATTGCACTTATTCTAAAATTTACCACATAATTAGAAGTAAAACACTCCTCAGCAAATGCAAAACAATGAAAATCATAACAGTCTCTCAGACCACAGTGCAATTAAATTAGAACTCAGAATTAAGAAATTCACTCAAAACCACACAACTACATGCAAACTGAACAATCTGCTCCTGAATGACAACTAGGTAATTAATGAAATGAAGGCAGAAATAAAGATGTTCTTCGAAACCAATGAGAACAGAGATACAACGTACCAGGATCTCTGGGACACAATTAAAGCAGTGTGTAGAGGGGCATTTATACCACTAAATCCCCACAAGAGAAAGCAGAAAAGATCTAAAATTGACACCCTAACATCACAATGAAAAGAACTAGAGAAGCAAGAGCAAACAAATTCAAAAGCTCGCAGAAGACAAGAATTAACTAAGATCAGAACAGAACTGAAGGAGCTAGAGACATGAAAAAACCTTCAAAAAAATCAATGAATTCAAGAGCTGGTTTTTGAAAAAAGTCATCAAAATAGATAGTCTGCTAGCCAGACTAATAAAGAAGAAAAGACAGAAGAATCAAATAGACACAGTAAAAAACGACATAGGGCATATCACTACTGATCCCACAGAAATACAAACTATCATCAGAGAATACTATGAACACCTCTATGCAAATAAACTAGAAAATCTAGAAGAAATGGAGAAATTCCTGGACAAATACACCCCCTCAAGTCTAAACCAGGAAGAAGTCGAATCTCTGAATAGACTAATAACAAGTTCTGAAATTGAGGCAGTAATTAACAGACTACCAACCAAAAAAAGTCCAGGACCAGACGGATTCACAGCCGAATTCTACCAGAGGTACAAAGAGCAGCTTATACCATTCCTTCTGAAACTATTCCAAACAACAGAAAAAGAGGGAATACTCTCTAACTTGTTTTATGAGGCCACCATCATCCGGGTACCAAAACCTGGCAGAGACACAACAAAAAAGGGAAATTTCAGGCCAATATCCCTGATGAACATCGATGTGAAAATCCTCAATAAAATACTGGCAAACTGAATCCAGCAGCACATTAAAAAGCTTATCCACTACGATCAAGTTGGCTCCATACCTGGGATGCAAAGTTAGTTCAACATATGCAAATCAATAAATGCAATCCATCACATAAACATAACCAATGACAAAAAAGTCACATGATTATCTCACTAGATGCAGAAAAGGCCTGTGACATAATTCAACACCCCTTTATGCTAAAAACTCTCAATAAACCAGGTATCAATGAAATGTATCTCAAAATAATAAGAGCTATTTATGACAAACCTACAGCGAATATCATACTTAATGGGCAACAGCTGGAAGCATTTGCTTTGAAAACTGGCACAAGACATGGATGCCCTCTCTCACCACTTCTATTCCACATAGTATTGGAATTTCTGGCCACGACAATCAGGCAAATGAAAGAAATAAAGGGTATTCAAATAGAAAGAGAGGAAGTCAAATTGTCTCTATTTGCAGATGACATGATCATATATTTAGAAAACCTCATTGTCTCATCTCAAAATCTCCTTAAGCTGATAAGCAATTTCAGCAAAGTCTCAGGATACAAAATCAATGTGCAAAAATCACAAGCATTCCTATACACCAATAATAGACACATAGAGAGCCAAATCATGAGTGAACTCCCATTCACCATTGCTACTAAGAGAATAAAATACCTAGGAATACAACTTTCAAGGGATGTGAAGGTTATCTTCAAGGAGAACTTCAAACCACTGCTCAAGGAAATAAGAGAGGACACAAACAAATGGAAAAACATTCCATGCTTATGGATAGGAAGAATCAGTATCGTAAAAATTGCCATACTGCCCAAAGTAATTTATAGATTCAATGCTATCCCCATCAAGATACCATTGACTTTATTCACAGAATTGGAAAAAAACTACTTTTAACTTCATATGGAACCAAAAAAGAGCCCACATAGCCAAGACACTCCTAAGCAAAAAGAACAAAGCTGGAGGTGTTACGATACCTGACTTCAAACTATACTACAAGGTTACAGAAACCGAAACTGCATGCTACTGGTACCAAAACAGATACATAGAACAGAACAGAGGCCTCGGAAATAACACCACACATCTACAACCATCTGATCTTTGACCAACCTGACACAAACAAGCAATGGGGAAAGGATTCCCTATTTAATAAATGGTGTTGGCAAAACTGGCTAGCCAGATGCAGAAAACTGAAACTCGACCCCTTACTTACACCTTATACAAAGATTTACTCAAGATGGATGAAAGACTTAAACATAACACCTAAAATCATAAAAATCCTAGAAGAAAACCTAGGCAATACCATTCAGGACATAGTAATGGGCACAGACTTCATGTCCAAAACACCAAAAATAATGGCACCAAAAGCAAAAATTGACAAAAGGGATCTAACTAAACTAAAGAGCTTCTGCACAGCAAAAGAAACTATTATCAGTGGGAACAGGCAACCTAAAGAATGGGAGAAAATTTTTGCAATTATTATAAAAGCTTCCTTATTTCTCCACATCCTCTCCAGCTTCTGTTGTTTCCTGACGTTTTAATGATCACCATTCTAACTGCCATGAGATACTATCACATTTTGGTTTTGATTTGCATTTCTCTAATGACCAGTGATGACGAGCTTTTCTTCATATGTTTGTTGGCCACATAAATGTCTTCTTCTGAGAATTGTCTGTTCATAACCTTCACCCACTTTTTAATGGGGTTGGTTTTTTCTAGTAAACTTGTTTAAGATCCTTGTAGGATCTGGATATTAGACCTTTGTCAGATGGATAGATTGTAAAAATTTTCTCCCATTCTGTAGGTTGCCTGTTCACTCTGATGATAGTTTCTTTTGCTGTGCAGAAGCTCTTTAGTTTAATGAGATCCCATTTGTCAATTTTGCTTTCATTGCAATTGCTTTTGGTGTTCCAGTCATGAAGTCTTTGCCCATGCCTATGTCCTGAATGGTACTGCCTGGGTTTTCTTTTTTATGATTTTAGGTCTTACATTTAAGTCTTTAATTCATCCTGAGTTAATTTTTGTATAAGGTGTAAGGAAGGGGTCCAGTTTCAGTTTTCTGCATATGGCTAGCCTGTTTTCCCAACACTACATATTAAATGGGGAATCCTTTCCCCATTGCTTGTTTTTGTCAGACTGGTGAAAGATCAGATGGTTGTAGATGTGTGGTGTTATTTCTGAGGCCTCTGTTCTGTTCCGTTGGTCTATATATCTGTTTTGGTACCAGTACCATGGTGTTTTGGTTACCATAGCCTTGTAGTATAATTTGAAGTCAGGTAGCGTGATATCCCCAGCTTTGTTCTTTTTGCTTAGGACTGTCTTTGCTATACGGGCTCTTTTTTGGTTCCACATGAAATTTAAAGTACTTTTTCCTAATTCTGTGAATAAATTCAATGGTAGCTTGATGGGAATAGCATTGAATCTATGAATTACTTTGGGCAGTATGGTCATTTTCACGATATTGATTCTTCCTATCCATGAGCATGGAATGTTTTTCCATTTGTTTGTGTCCTTATTTCCTTGAGCAGTGGTTTGTAGTTCTCCTTGAAGCAGTCCTTCACATCCTTTGTAAGTTGTATTCCTAGGTATTTTATTCTCTTAATAGCAATTGTGAATGGGAGTTCACTCATGATTTGGCTCTCTGTGTGTCTATTATTGGTGTATAGGAATGCTTGTGATTTTTGCACATTGATTTTCTATCCTGAGACTTTGCTAAAGTTGCTTATGAGCTTAAGGAGCTTTGGGCTGAGACAATGGGGTTTTCTGAATATACCATCATGTCATTTGCAAACAGAGACAATTTGACTTCCTCTCTTCCTATTTGAATACCATTATTTCCTTCTCTTGCCTGATTGCCCTGGCCAGAACTTCCAATACTATGTTGACTAGGAGTGGTGAGAGAGGTCATTCTTGTCTTTTGCTGAATTTCAAAGGGAATGCTTCCAGCTTTTGCCCATTCAGTATGATATTGGCTATGGGTTTGTCATAAATAGCTCTTATTATTTTGAGATATGTTCCATCAATACCTAGTTTATGGAATGTTTTTAGCATGAAGAGGTGTTGAATTTTATCGAATGTCTTTTCTGCATCTATTGAAATAATCATGAGGTTTTTGTCATTGTTTCTGTTTATGTGATGGATTACGTTTATTGATTTGCATATGTTGAACTAGCCTTGCATCCCAGGGATGAAACCAACCTGATCATGGTGAATGAGCTTTTTGATGTGCTGCTGGATTCGGTTTGCCAGTATTTCTCATTGATGTTAATCAGCAATATTGGCCTGAAATTTTCTTTGTTATTGTTGTTGCTGTTGTGTCTCTGCCAGGATTTGGTATCAGAATAATGCTGGCCTCATAAAATGAGTTAGGGAGGAGTCCCTCTTTTTCTACTGTTTGGAATAGTTTCAGAAGAAATTGTACCATCTCCTCTTTTTACCTTTGATAGAATTTGGCTGTGAATCCGCCTGGCCCTGGACTTTTTTTTGGTTGGTAGGCTATTAATTATTGCCTCATTTTCAGAAGTTGTTATTGGTGTAATTAGGGATTCAACTTCCCTCTAGTTTAGTCTTGGGAGTGTGTTTGTGTCCAGAAATTTATCCATTTCTTCTAGATTTTTCTAGTTTATTTGCATAAAGGTGTTTTTAGTATTCTCTGATGGTAGTTTTTATTTCCATGGGGTCAGTGTTGATATCCCCTTTATCACTACTTATTGTGTCTATTTGATTCTTCTCTTTTCTTTTTTATTAGTCTGGCTAGCCGTCTATTTTGTTAATCTTTCCCAAAACCAGCTCCTAGATTCATTGATTTTTTTATTATACTTTAATTTCTGGGATACATGTGCAGAATGTGCAGGTTTGTGCCAAGGTGGTTTGCTGCACCCATCAACCTGTCATCTACATTACATATTTCTCCAAATGCTATCTCTCCCCTTGCCCCCCCACCCCCCAACAGGTCCTGGTGTGTGATGTTTCCCTCCTTGTGCCTGTATGTTCTCATTGTTCAACTCCCACTTATGAGTGAGAATATGTGGTGTTTGGTTTTCTGTTCCTGTGTTAGTTTGCTGAGAATGATGGTTTTCAGCTTCATCAATGTCTATGCAAGGGACATGAACTCCTTCTTTTTTCTGGTTGCATAGTATTCCATGGTGTATAATGCCACATTTTCATTATCCAGTCTATCATTGATGGGCATTTGCATTGGTTCCAAGTTTTTGCTCTTGTGAATACTGCTGCAATAAGCAAACATGTGCATGTGTCTTTATAGTACAATGATTTAGAATCCTTTGGGTATATACCCAGTAATGGGATTGCTGGGTCAGATGGTATTTCTAATTAGATCCTTGAATAATCACCACACTGTCTTTCACAAGGGTTGAACTAATTTACACTCCCACCAACAGTGTAAAAGTGTTCCTATTTCTCCACATCCTCTACTGCGTCTTTTGTTTCCTGACTTTTTAATGATCACCATTCTAAGTGGTGTGAGATGGTATCTCATTGTGGTTTTGATATGCATTTCTCTAATGACCAGTGATGATGAGCTTTTTTTCATGTTTGTTGGCTGCATAAATGTCTTCTTTTGAAGTTGTATGGTTTTGAATGAGTTTCTTAATCCTGAGTTCTAATTTGATCACACTGTGGTCAGACAGACTGTTTGTTATTATGTCTGTTCTGTTGTATTTGCTGAGTGTTTTACTTCCTTTATGTGGTTGATTTTAGAAAAAGTGCTATGTGGTGCTGAGAAGAATGTATATTCTGTTGATCTGGAGTGAAGAGTTCTGTAGATGTCTATTAGGTCCGCTTGGGCTAGAGCTGAGTTCAAGTCCTGAATATCCTTGTATTTTTTTCCATCTCATTGATATGTCTAACATTGAGAGTGGGGTGTTAAAATTTCCCATGATTATTGTGTGGAAGTCTTAGTCTCTTTGTAGCTCTCTAAGAACTTGCTTTATGAATCTTGGTGCTCCTGTATTGGGTGCATATATATTTAGGATAGGTAGCTCTTCTTGTTGCATTGATCCCTTTTCCATCATGTAATATCCTTCGTCTTTCTTGATCTTTGTTGTTTAAGGTCTGTTTTATCAGAAACTAGGATTGCAGCCCCTGCTTTTTTTTTGCTTTCCATTTGCTTGGTAAATATTCATCCATCCCTTTATTTTGAGCGCATGTGTATCTTTGCACATGAGATGGGTCTCCTTAATACAGAACAGTGATGGGTCTTGAGTCTTTTTTATCCAATTTGCCAGTCTCTGTCTTTTAATTGGGGAATTTAGCCTGTTTACATTTAAGGTTAATATTGTTATGAGTGAATCTGATCCTGTAATCATGATGCTAGCTGGTTTGTTGCACAATAGTTGATGCAGTTTCTTCCTAGTGTCATTGGTTTTTGTATTTTGGTACGTTTTTGCAGTGGCTGGTACCAGTTTTTCCCTTCCATATTTATTGCTTCCTTCAGGAGCTCTTGAATGGTAGGCCTGGTGGTGACAAAATCCCTCAGCATTTGCTTGTCTGTAAAGGATTTTCTTTCTCCTTTGCTTGTGAAGCTTATTTTAGCTGGATATGAAATTCTGGGTTAAAATTTTTTTCTTTTTTCTTTTTTTTTTTTTTTTTGAGATGGAGTCTCGCTCTGTTGCCCAGGCTGGAGTGCAGTGGCGTGATCTCAGCTCACTGCAAGCGCTGCCTCTCAGGTTCATGCCATTCTCCTGCCTCAGCCTCCCGAGTAGCTGGGACTACAGGTGCCTGCCACCATGCCTGGCTAATTGTTTTGTATTTTTTTAGTAGAGACGGGGTTTCACCATGTTAGCCAGGATGGTCTCAATCTCAAAATTTTTTTTCTTTAAGAATGTTGAATATTGACCCCCACTCTCTTCTTGCTTCTAGGGTTTCTGCAGAGAGATCCACTGTTAGTCTGATGGGCTTCTTTTGTTGGTAACCTGACCTTTTTCTCTGTCTGCCTTTAACATTTTTTCCTTTGTTTCAACCTTGGTGAATCTGACGCTTATGTGTCTTAGGGTTGCTCTTCTTGAGGAGTATCTTAGTGGTGCTCTCTGCACTTTCTGAATTTGAATGTTGGCCTGTCTTGCTAAGTTGGGGAAGTTCTTCTGGATAATATCCTGAAGAGTGTTTTCCAACTTGGTTCCATTCTCCCCATCACTTTTAGGTACACCAGTCAATCATAGATTTAGTCTTTTCACATAGTCCCATATTTCTTGGAGGCTTTGTTCGCTCCTTTTCATTTTTTTTCTCTAATCTTGTCTTCATGCTTTATTTCTTAAAGTTGGTCTTCAATCTCTAATATCTTTTCTTCTGCTTCATTGATTTGGCTATTGATTCTTGCGCATGCTTCATGAAGTTCTCGTGCTGTGTTTTCAGCTCCATCAGGTAATTTATGTTTTCCTCTAAACTGGTTATTCTAGTTAGCAGTTCTTGTCAACTTTTATAAAATTTCTTAGCTTCCTTGCATTGGGTTAGAACATGCTCCTTTAGCTCAGAGAAGTTTGTTATTACCCACCTTCTGAAGCCTACTTCTGTCATTTCGTCAAACTCTTGCTCCATCCAGTTTCGTGCCCTTGCTGGCGAGGAGTTGTGATCCTTTGTAGGAGAGGTGGCATTGTAGCTTTTGGAATTTTCATCTTTTTTGCACTGGTTTTTCCTCATCTTCGTGTATTTATTTAACTTTGATCTTTGACTTTAATGACCTTTAAATGGGGTTTTTGTGTGGGCATCCTTTATGTCGATGTTGATGTTATTGCTTTGTGTTTGTTAGTTTTCCTTCTAACAGTGAGTCCCCTCTTCTGCAGTCTGCTGGAGTTTGCTGGTGGTCCACTCCAGATCCTATTAGCCTGGGTATCACCAGTGGAGGCTGCAGAAGAGCAAAGATTGCCACCTACTCCTTCCTCTGGAAACTTCATCCCAGAGGGGCACCTGCCAGATGCCACCCTGACCTCTCCTGTATGCGGTGTCTGTTGACTCCTGCTGGGAGGTGTCTCCCAGTCAGGAGGCATAGGCGTCAGGGACCCACTTGACAAGGCAGTCCATCCCTTAGCATAGCTCTAGCACTCTGATGGGAGATCCTCTGCTCTCTTCAGAGCTGGCAGGCAGGAACATTTAAGTCTGCTGAAGCTGCCCCCACAGCCACCCCTTCTCCCAGGTGTTCTGTCCCAGGGATGGGAGTTCCATCTATGAGCCCCTAACTGGGACTGCTGCCTTTTTTCCCGAGACGCCCTGCCCAGGGAGGAGGAATCTAGAGAGGCAGTCTGGCCACAGCTGCTTTGCTGTGCTATGATGGTTTCCGCTAAGTCAGAACTTCCTGGTGGCTTTGTTTACACTGTGTGGGGAAAACCACCTACTCAAGTCTCAGTAATGGTGGAAGCCCCTCCCCCCACCAAGCTCGAGCATCCCAGGTCAACTTCAGACTGCTGTGCTGGGAGTGAGAATTTCAAGCTGGTGGATCTTAGCTTGCTGGGCTCTGTGGGGGTGGGACCTGCTAAGCGAGATCACTTGGCTTTCTGGCTTCCACCGCCTTTCCAGAGGAGTGAACAGTTCTCTCTCGCTTGGGTTCCAGGTGCCCCTGGCGTGTGGGAAAAAAAACCAAAACCAAAACAAAACAAAACAAAAAAAACCTCCTCCAGCTAGCTCAGTGTCTACCCAAACAGCCACCCAGTTTTGTGCTTGAATCCCAGGGCCCTGGTGGTACAGGTCCATGAGGGAATCTCCTAGTCTGCAGGTTGCAAAAACCATAAGAAAAGCGTAGTATCTGGGGCAGATAGCACAGCCTCACAGCTTCCCTTGGCTAGAACAGGGAGGTCCCTGGTCCTTTGCACTTCCTGGGTAAGGTGACACCCCACCCTGATTCTGCTCGCCCTCTGTGGGCTGCACCCGCTGTCTAACCAGTCCCAACGAGAGGAACCGGGTACCTCAGTTGGAAATGCAGCAGTCACCCACCTCCTGCTTTGGTCTTGCTGGGAACTGCAGATCAGAGCTGTTCCTATTCAGCCATCTTGGAAAAACCCCTTGGTTGTTTTAAATGCGTGCACACACACACACACACACACACACACACACACGTCTATTTAAATATAAATTTCACTGGGGATAAACCCTGGTTGTTTTATATATATGAAATATATATGTTTGGATAGATAAATAGATAGATAGATTCTTAAAACAACCAGGGATTCATCTCAGGAGTGGGATTTCACAGCACAGGTAATGTGCATGAAATGTGTATATGTTGTTTTAAATATATAAATGTTTCATTCATTTCTTTGTTGTTTTCTAGTCTCAATTTCATTGATTTCTGTTCTTACCTTTATTAGTTTCTGTTTTTTGCTTGCCTTCATCTTATTTTTCTCTTCTTCCTCGAGTTTCTTGAAGTGGGAGCTTAGATTATTGTTTTAAGGCATCTCTTCTGTTATAATGTAAGCATTTAGTGCTGTTAATTTTTTTCATTACTGCTTTTACTGCATCTCACAATTTTTGATATTTTTCAGCTCACTCAGTTTAGTGTATTTTTATTTTTCTTGAGACTCTCTATGAAATACACATCATTCAGATATATGTTGTTTAGTGTCCAAGCGTGTGTAGATTTTTCTGGTAATTTTTTCTGGTTTACTGGTTTTTAGTTTGATTTTATTAATGTCACACAACACATTTCTGTATTTCTGTTCTTTTAAATTTGTTGGGGATTATTTTATATCCCAGGAAATGGTCTATCTATTTTGGTATATGTTCCATGAGCACTTGCAAAGAATGTGTATCCTGCTGCTGGGTGAAGTGTTCTATAAATGTCAATGAGATTCTGCTGGTTGATGGTGATGGTTCTATATCCTTGATGATTTCTGGCTTGTTTTATCAAATGTTGATAGAGGTATGTTGAAGACTCCAGCTATAGTTAGACTGTATACCTAGGCTAAACTAAATTTATCTTTAAAAATGTCTTTCTTCCATAATAAATTAAAATTAGGTTATTGTAATGCTTTTACTTTATAAACTTTAAACTTTTTAAAAACATTTTTACTCTGTTAAGCAAACTAAATATGGCTGAGAAAGACTCTGCACTTCTATATTTGAGTCCTTGTGGATGAACCACAACCTAATTTAATACGTAGACAAGACTGAAAACCTAATTTAGGAGTATGTGTCTGTAACAATAGCTGAGCCTTGGCTAATCCCAGAAACCATACTTCAACCACTGATACGCTGCTGAGTGTTCAAACTGTGAATAATGCAAACACTGAGCTGTGACCAATCCAGTTGTTTCTGTACCTCACTTCCAATTTGTGTATGTCACTTCTCTTTTTTTTTTTTTTGTTTATAAATCTTCTTCCATGAAGTGGCTGTGCTGGCCTCCCTGAATCTGCTGTGATTCTGATGGCTGTCTGATTCATGAATTGTTCATTGCTCAGTTAAACTCCTTTACATTTAATTTGGCTGATTTTTTTCTTTTAACAGATGATGTCAGAAGTGGCATCTGAAGTAGAACTTTTAACGACCCCCAGGAGCACTGAGTGAACAAGCAAGGTAACTGCAAGGACCCAATTGTGTCGTTTGATCTATCAGAGGAGCTAGAGATCTTGGTTAAGTTCTCTTTTGGGTTTTGGAGCTTCATGGATTTGTGTTTTGAGCTCTTTGAGTTTCTTTGGGCGAATTTCTCATCCAAACTTGGTTTATAAGTCACTATAGAAACCGGACTTGGTCCAGGATTGGATTCGTTCCAGTGATTAACTGGCTTGGATCCAGTTAGAGGGCTCTTACACCTGACTGGGTCAGAAAAAAACTGGCAGTAAATGGCAATATTGTAGAAATTGAAAAAAAATTGGCTTCTGGATATTCATGAGGATTTTTACGTTCTACCCCTTTGTTTCACATTTTTTTTTGTGCACACTTAGGTAGGAAAAATCATTGGCTAAGTTCATCAGGGGAATCTGAGAGCAAAGCCAATATTTTAGGTACAAATTTAATTTTTAATTTCTGAAGAACTGAGTTCCTCTGGCTAACACATGCATAAATGTTAACCTGGGAAGCAGTGAAGTCTAACAGAAATGATGAAAGAGTCACACCTTATCTGTACTTCTGTCTGATTTCCTTGGATACAAACCTACTACATAATTAAAATTACTTACTTGCCAGGTTTTCTACCAAAAATTAAAATTCTGGAGAGTTACCATTATAACATGTATTTGAGACTACTGAAAAAAGTTTTATATGCAAGGTGTGTGAAGACAATAAAAAGTATTTTTGGTAAAATATTATAAGAAGGCATGGGAATGTAAATGTTTGCCTAGATTAAAGGGCTAAATGATTGTTTTAAATTACATAAGATAAAGGTAAACGTTTCACCAAGTTGTAAAAGGTTCGTAAAAATTAATATTGTAAAACAAATTTTGTCTGTAAACATATTGACTAAATTTAAAGAGGTATTATTATTTTTTCCATAACTTGAACATTGAAATAAAAGCACAACAGGGTTTTCTTAGAGCACTAATCTGCTCTTCAACAAAAATTTGTAAAGGGTAATAAAAGGTTTATGGGAATCTCACCTTATGGTCCAAATGATTAAGATTGAATCAATTTGTCTATAAGATTTCTTAAGAATTAGGGTTAACATTCATGGTACACTAATGCCAGGGTGAAATTTTGCTTTCTCTCTTGAACAAGATTTTCATGCAATAGTAAAGGACAATAAAAGATTTTTCTTTGCCTTTTGAATAAACTACCAAAAAAGAAGGGAAAGACAAGAGACAGACTGTTTGGAAAGCTAAGGTTTCTGCCTATCAATGACTAACAGTTTTTGCCTTCTTAAATTTTTTGAGTCATCATTTTGGCTAAATGAATGACTTACAGTACCTAGAATTCCATTTCATCATATCAAACTGTTTTAAAACTTTACCATATTTGATGGCCTTCCCAAAATCAAATTGCAGCTTCAAAATTATATTATGCGACCTCTAACTTGGAATGCTCCAGAGGGACCCTTAAGCACCCAGAGGAAAGGTAAACAGAATTATTTGACATAGCAAGTTACACGGGAAGCACTGTCAAAAAAATTAACTTTCCTCAGGTTATATTTTAGTGAATGATATTAATATATGTTCCTAGTATTCTCTGATGGTAGTTTGTATTTCTGTGGGATTGGTGGTGATATCCCCTTTATCATTTTTTATGGCATCCATTTGATTCTACTCTCTTTTCTTCTTTATTAGTCTTGCTATCGGTCCATCAATTTTGTTGTACTTTTCAAAAAACCAGCTCCTGGATTCACTGATTTTTTGAAGGGTTTTTTGTGTCTCTATCTCCTTCAGTTCTGCTCTGATCTTAGTTATTTCTTGCCTTCTGCTAGCTTTTGAATGTGTTTGCTTTTGCTTCTCTAGTTCTTTTAATTGTGATGTTAGGGTGTCAATTTTAGATCTTTCCTACTTTCTCTTGTGGGCATTTAGTGATATAAATTTCCCTCTACACACTGCTTTAAATGTGTCCCAGAGGTTCTGGTATGTTGTATCTTTGTTCACGTTGGTTTCAAAGAACATCTTTATTTCTGCCTTCATTTCGTTATGTACTTAGCAGTCATTCAGGAGCAGGTTGTTCAGTTTCCATGTAGTTGAGCGGTTTTGAGTGAGTTTCTTAATCCTGAGTTCTAGTTTGATTGCACCGTGGTCTGAGAGACAGTTTGTTATAATTTCTGTTCTTTTACATTTGTGTAGGACTGCTTTACTTCCAACTATGTGGTCAATTTTGGAATAAGTGCGGTGTGGTGCTGAGAAGAATGTATATTCTGTTGACTTGGGGTGGAGAATTCTGTAGATGTCTATTAGGTCTGCTCGGTGCAGAGATGAGTTCAATTCCTGGATATCCTTTTTAACTTTCTGTCTCGTTGATCTGTCTCATGTTGACAGTGGGATGTTAAAGTCTCCCATTATTATTGTGTGGGAGTCTAAGTCTCTTTCTAGGTCTCTAAGGACTTGCTTTATGAATCTGGGTGCTCCTGTATTGGGTGCATATATATTTAGGATAGTTAGCTCTTCTTGTTGAATTGATCCCTTTACCATTATGAAATGACCTTCTTTGTCTCTTTTGATCTTGGTTGGTTTAAAGTCTGTTTTATCAGAGACTAGGATTGCAATCCCCACCTTTTTTGTTTTCCATTTGCTTGGTAGATCTTCCTCCATCCCTTTATTTTAAGCCTATGTGTGTCTCCACATGTGAGATGGGTTTCCTGAATACAGCACACTGATGGCTCTGGATTCTTTTTTATTTTTGATTATTATTATTATTATACTTTAAGGTTTAGAGTACATGTCCACAATGTGCAGGTTAGTTACATATGTATACATTTGCCATGCTGGTGTGCTGCACCCATTAACTCGTCATTTAGCATTAGGTATATCTCCTAATGCCATAGCTCCCCACTCTCCCCACCCCACAACAGTCCCCAGAGTGTGATGTTCCCCTTCCTGTGTCCATGTGTTCTCATTGTTCAATTCCCACCTATGAGTGAGAACATGCGGTGTTTGGTTTTTTGTCCTTGCGATAGTTTACTGAGAATGATGATTTCCAATTTCATCCATGTCCCTACAAAGGAAATGAACTCATCATTTTTTATGGCTGCATAGTATTCCACGGTATATATGTGCCACATTTTCTTAATCCAGTCTGTCATTGTTGGACATTTGGCTTGGTTCCAAGTCTGCTATTGTGAATAGTGCCACAACAAACATACGTGTGCATGTGTATAGCAGCATGACTTATACTCCTTTGGGTATATACCCAGTAATGGGATGGCTGGGTCAAATGGTATTTCTAGTTCTAGATCCCTGAGGAATCGCCACACTGACTTCCACAACGGTTGAACTAGTTTACAGTCCCACCAACAGTGTAAAAGTGTTCCTATTTCTCCACATCCTCTCCAGCACCTGTTGTTTCCTGACTTTTTAATGATTGCCATTCTAACTGGTGTGAGATGGTATCTCAATTTGGTTTTGATTTGCATTTCTCTCATGGCCAGTGATGGTGAGCATTTTTTCATGCGTTTTTTGGCTGCATAAATGTCTTCTTTTGAGAAGTGTCTGTTCATGTCCTTCGCCCATTTTTTGATGGGGTTGTTTGTTTTTTCTTGTAAATTTGTTTGAGTTCATTGTAGATTCTGGATATTAGCCCTTTGTCAGATGAGTAGGTTGCAAAAATTTTCTCCCATTTTGTAGGTTGCCTGCTCACTCTGATGGTAGTTTCTTTTGCTGTGCAGAAGCTCTTTAGTTTAATTAGATCCCATTTGTCAATTTTGGCTTTTGTTGCCATTGCTCTTGGTGTTTTAGACATGAAGTCCTTGCCAATTCGTATGTCCTGAATGGTAATGCCTAGGTTTTCTTCTAGGGTTTTTATGGTTTTAGGTCTAACGTTTAAGTCTTTAATCCATCTTGAATTGATTTTCGTATAAGGTATAAGGAAGGGATCCAGTTTCAGCTTTCTACATATGGCTAGCCAGTTTTCCCAGCACCATTTATTAAATAGGGAATCCTTTCCCCATTGCTTGTTTTTCTCAGGTTTGTCAAAGATCAGATAGTTGTAGACATGTGGCGTTATTTCTGAGGGCTCTGTTCTGTTCCATTGATCTATATCTCTGTTTTGGTACCAGTACCATGCTGTTTTGGTTACTGTAGCCTTGAAGTATAGTTTGAAGTCAGGTAGTGTGATGCCTCCAGCTTTGTTCTTTTGGCTTAGGATTGACTTGGCAATGCAGGCTCTTTTTTGGTTCCATATGAACTTTCAAGTAGTTTCTTCCAATTCTGTGAAGAAAGTCATTGGTAGCTTGATGGGGATGGCATTGAATCTATAAATTACCTTGGGCAGTATGGCCATTTTCACAATATTGACCCCATCATGTCAGCCCAAAATCTCCTCAAGCTGATAAGCAACTTCAGCAAAGTCTTAGGATACAAAACCAATGTGCAAAAATCACAAGCATTCTTATACACCAATAACAGACAAACAGAGAGCCAAATCATGAGTGAACTCCCTTTCACAGTTGCTTCAAAGAGAATAAAATACCTAGGAATCCAACTTACAAGAGATGTGAAGGACCTCTTCAAGGAGAACTACAAACCACTGCTCAACGAAATAAAGGAGGATACAAACAAATGGAAGAACATTCCATGCACATGGATAGCAAGAATCAATATCGTGAAAATGGCCATACTGCCCAAGGTAATTTATAGATTCAATGTCATCCCCATCAAGTTACCAATGACTTTCTTCACAGAATTGGAAAAAAAAACTACTGTAAAGTTCATATGGAACCAAAAAAGAGCCCTCATTGCCAAGTCAACCCTAAGCCAAAAGAACAAAGCTGGAGGCATCACGCTACCTGACTTCAAACTATACTACAAGGCTACAGTAACCAAAACAGCATGGTACTGGTACCAAAACAGAGATATAGACCAATGGAACAGAACAGAACCCTCAGAAATAATGCCACATATCTACAACTATCTGATCTTTGAGAAACCTGACAAAAACAAGCAATGGGGAAAGGATTCCCTATTTAATAAATGGTGCTGGGAAAACTGGCTAGCCATATTAGAAAGCTGAAACTGGATCCCTTCCTTACACCTTATACAAAAATTAATTCAAGATGGATTAAAGACCTAAATGTTAGACCTAAAACCATAAAAACCTTAGAAGAAAACCTAGGCAATACCATTCAGGACACAGGCATGGGCAAGGACTTCATGTCTAAAACACCAAAAGCAATGGCAACAAAAGCCGAAATTGACAAATGGGATCTAAGTAAACTAAAGAGCTTCTGGGCGGCAAAGGAAACTACCATCAGATTGAACAGGCAACCTACAGAATGGGAGAAAATTTTTGCAATGTACTCATCTGACAAAGGGCTAATATCCAGAATCTGCAAAGAACTGAAACAAATTTACAAGGAAAAAACAAAGAACCCCTTCAACAAGTGGGTGAAGGATATGAACAGACACTTCTCAAAAGAAGACATTTATGCAGCCATAAGTCACATGAAAAAGTGCTCATCATCACTGGCCATCAGAGAAATGCAAATCAAAACCACAATGAGATAGCATCTCACACCAGAATGGCGATCATTAAAAAGTCAGGGAACAAAGGGTGCTGGAGAGAATGTGGAGAAATAGGAACACTTTCACACTGTTGGTGGGACTGTAAACTAGTTCAACCATTGCAGAAGTCAGTGTGGCGATTCCTCAGGGATCTAGAACTAGAAATACCACTTGACCCAGCCATCCCCTTACTGGGTATATACCCAAAGGACTATAAATCACGCTGCTATAAAGACACATGCACACGTATGTTTATTGTGGCACTGTTCAGAATAGCAAAGACTTGGAACCAAGCCAAATGTCCAACAATGATAGACTGGATTAAGAAAATGTGGCATATATACACCGTGGAATACTATGCAGCCATAAAAAATGATGAGTTCATGTCCTTTGTAGGGACATGGATGAAGCTGGAAACCATCATTCTCAGCAAACTATCGCAAGGACGAAAAACCAAACACTGCATGTTCTCACTCATAGGTGGGAATTGAACAATGAGATCACATGGACGCAGGAAGGGGAACATCATACACCGGGGCCTGTTGTGGGGTTGGGGGAATTGGGGAGATATAGCATTAGGAGATATACCTAATGTAAATGACGAGTTAATGGGTGCAGCACACCTACGTGGCACGTGTATACATATGTAGCAAACCTGCACATTGTACACATGTACCCTAAAACTTAAAGTATAATTATATATATATATATATATAATTATATATATATATAATTATATATATATATATAATTATATATATTTATAATTATATATATATATGCTCAAAAATTGTATTGGATTTCAAAATTTCTAATATGTTTGAGTGCTTGCTATTAATCATTATTATGGTTATTATGTTATTGTAGACAACAGAAAGAATGAAGTTTTCTTTTTAATTGTGTTTTTAACTATAATCCTTTGAAGTCATTTCCACAGTTAG
The DNA here is from genome assembly GCF_000001405.40 of Homo sapiens. Lineage (NCBI taxonomy): Eukaryota > Metazoa > Chordata > Mammalia > Primates > Hominidae > Homo > Homo sapiens. The sequence continues at coordinate 64,954,564 of NC_000023.11, forward strand.
TTGCTTAATGCTGATGCTGTTTCTGAAAAATTTCACAAGCATGCAAAATCCTAGAATATGGTGTCTTTTAGGAGGTTCATGAAAGGATTGAAAGGTCCCTGAAAATCACTCTTCAATACAGGTTTCTATAAAATCATATCATTTGGACCGGATAAGAATTCCTGAAATTTTAATGAAAAGGTGGACTGGTTTATAAAACTACTAACCCAAGTAGAACAGAAAGTTATGGAATAACAAGAAAATACTCTGCCAGATTTGAATGCTGAATCAGCCAATACTGAAATTGTTTAGGTATACAGTTTGAATAAACTCCACGGTCTAAGTCAAATTACCTATGATAACCCACCAGTTATCAGTGCTATGTACCTAATTTGGAGAAATAACTGGTATTCAAGAGGACATAAGTCTAATGTTAATTAAGCATGGACTCATGGAGAAGCAGGACAGCCACTTTGTCCTTCCTGAGTCGTTAAAGCTTTTGTTATTAAAGGTTCTGTATTCTGTGACTCATCATGGAAAAGACAAAATGATCCAAATTAATTATATATTAATGTGGTGTCTTCTAAATTCCTAAAATAGTTTATGAACAATATTTGGTTTGTCACACCCATATTCCTGGGAAAACAATCAAACCTTCAGGTGCATTTGGTTAGCTGATGGGCCATTTAAACATTTTGTATAAGAATTTCATTCAGTTGTCATTTTCAATGCATGTTTTCTGGTTGTATAAAAGTTTTCCCATGTATGAGGGTTGCTGTTATAACAGTAGATTATTATGCTACAGGGTATTTTCACCAGGTAAAGAAAGTTTTTATGGATCACTGACTGAGGACAATCAACCCCTTCACAATCTAGAACCCAAAAATTGGATCTTCTGAGAACATCAGAGAAAGGCTGTATTTGCCATCCACACTACAGCAAAACTTCAGGACCTTGAATTTTAAGTTCATAATCTCACAACTGAGAAGGGTCCCTCCACACTCTTGGAACTGTACACCCAGTGAAGCCCTTAAAGTAAAGCTAACCTGGGAAGTTTCTCCCCAGAAGAAGATGGCATCTCTGATGTGAATAGCTTTTCCCAAGATCAAAGATCAAGACTTCTCTAGCATCATGAGATTCTTGTCTAACTATTTTTTTCCTTGCTTATGCCTCTGAAGAATAGAAGTGAAAAGAGGGTCTGTTGTGTGTACTTATGGGGTATACTTTTATTTGTGAAGGATTTTGCAGCCAGCCTTATACATGGATAACCTTATACTTTGACAGATAAAAGACGAAGGCTCAATGTAGACAAGAAGCTTTAACGGTACACACGTTGCCTCATAATCAGTCAGAAAGGGAACATTGGTTCACTCCTCTTAACCCACATCATGGGTTAAAGTGAACATTATGAGGAGGCCTTTACTCTTCTAGAGGACATCATTTGTTAGATCTTTCTTCCTTGGTTTGGAGTAAAAGAAGCAATGATTAAAAATGTATCCCTCATGATAGGCTCTATAGCAGATTTTACTGTAAAGGCTATGGCTACACAACAGACTTTAAATTCTCTTGTGAAAGTTATACTAAATAATAGCATTGGCTCAATGGAAAAATATCTGTGCAGCTGCTGGCACTTGTCGCCTATGGAGAAATACATAAAATGTAGAATATAAAAATTCAGTTGTAGGGGATTAATGGAAAGACTGCTTAGTTAAGTGAGTAGACTCTTTAGCCCATTCTTTAATCTATTTAATTTTAAGTGGTTTGATTTATGGGAACCCTGGGTAAGGAGCATACTACAAACTGTTGGTGTTATCCTCCCAATAGTCATAATAGTAGTCTCCCTTGTGCGCTGCATTCTCTCAAAAGTTTTAAATGTTTGCATGCAGCCATCTATAGAATATCAAATGGTCTCTCTTCAACTGGGATGACAAGAGCTGAAAAAAATATGCAACCATGAACACATGGTAACTTATGAATTACACGCTGAGACCAGAAACCCAAAATGATGGTAACAGAGTGGCACTAAGGCCCTAAGTTTTGGTCACACCCTCACCTAAGTAAGAACCTGACCCGAAAAGTAGAGTTTTAAAACAAAATTATGGGAGGCCATTGTTTTGGACTGAGCTCTTGCATTAGGCCCTAACAGACCAAACCAAACAAACATGGAGTCACTCATACTAAATATGACATAATCAAACTAAGACTTTAAGGAAACACATAGATCCTAGAACAGACCAGATTTTGTTTTTCTCCTGCAAACAGGATGTTACAGCATAAGGAGGTACCCTCTACTCTGTCCTTGTTCCCACCTTGTAAAACCCACTGTTCTACTGTTTTCCAGTGGGTTTCAAGACCAAATAAGTACATTTACAATGGTGATAGTGACATCAATGACTAAAGTTTTGGTCAACATCTCAAAATTGAGAAAGTAACCAAAAGGGAGGAATTGTTAAAGCCAACTAAATATAGCCTGAGAAGGACTGTACTTCTACATTTGAGTCCATGAGGACAAAGCATAACCTAACTTATTAGGTAGACAAGATTGAAAACGTAACTTAGGAGTATGTGCCTGTAACAATAGCTGAGTCTTGGCCAGTCCTAGCAGCCATAGTTCAACCACTCATACACTGCTGAGGGTTCAAACTGTGTTCAAATAGTGCAAACACTGAGCTGTAACCAATCCAGTTGTTTCTGTACCTCACTTCCGATTTCTGTATGTCACTTCCCTTTTGTCTATAAATCTTCTTCCACTACATGGCTGTGCTGGAGTCTCTCTGCATCTGCTGTAATTCTAAGGGCTGCCCAATTCATGAATCATTCATTGCTCAATTAACCTCCTTTAAATTTAATTTGGCTGAAGCTTTTCTTTTAACAACTCTTTTGCAATAATACTTAGCTTGACACAAAAACATACTGTACAGCTGTACAAAAATATTTTATTTCTTTATATCCTTATTTCATAAGCGTTTTTTCTATGTTTGTATTTATTTATTTATTTTTACTTTTTGGACTTTTTGGTTAAACATAAAGATACAGGCTGGGCACAGTGGCTCAAGTCTGTAACCCCAGCATTTTGGGAGGCCAAGGCAGGAGGATCGCTTGAGGCCAGGAGTTTGAGACCAGCCTAGGCAACATAGGAAGACCCTATCTCTATTAAAAAAATATATAAATTAGCCAGGTGTGGTGGTGCATGCCTGTGGTCCTAGCTACTTGGGAGGCTGAGGTGGAAGGGTTGTTTGAGCCTGGGATGTCAAGGCTTCAATGAGCCATGATCATGCCCCTGCACTCCAGCCCGGGTGAGAGAGTGAGACCAGGTTTCAAAAATAAAAAAAAATAAAAATAAAAATAAAGACAGAAACACACATATTAGCCTAGGCCTACACAGGGTTAGGATTGTCAATATCACTGTCTCCCAACTCTACATCTTGTCCCACTGGAAAGTCTTCAAGGAATATGAAAACAATGCCTTCTTCTGGAATACCTCCTGGAAGTCCAGCCTGAACCTGTTTTACAGTTATTTTTTTTTAATAAGTAAGAGGAGTACACTCTAAAATAATGATAAAAAGTATAGTATAGTAAATGCATACACCAGTAACATAGTCATTTGTTATCATTTTCAAGTATCATGTACTGTAGATAATTTTATATGCTAGACTTTTATATGACTGGCAGTGCAGTATCATCACAAACGTGAGTAATACATTGCACTATGATGTTACAGTGGGTACGTCACTAGGTGATAGGAGTTTTTCAGCTCCATTGTAATCTTCAGGGACCACACTATGGTATATGTGGTGTATTGTTCACTGAAACATCATTATATGGCACATGCCTGTATATGTGTGTGTGTGTGTATTTGTGTGTGTGTATATATGTACATATATGTGTATATAAAAATTGTTATATTGGCCAATTTCCAAAATATGGTTTTCACACAGCAATCTCAAGTTAATATCCAGAATTCCTTGCTTCTATATATGGCTATCAACCACATTTTATCTGTTGACTCTTCCAGGGACAGACTCCCACTTTGCCTCAATCTCCCCACCTCCAAAATAACATTTAAGTGAATAGCCTTGTACCTGTCTCAGTAATTTTTTTTTGGTGGTGGTGGGGGGTGATTTATCCCAGGAGTTGGATTTCAGGGGCCCAGGTAATGTGCATTCTTACTTTGATTAAGCAGTGCCAATTTGCTCAGCAGGATGGCTATAACAGTTCATACTCTTACCAGCAGTGCATAAGGGCTCTTGTATCTGTGTTTGCATTCAGAAAGATGGAGAATTAAGAAGGTACTGGGGGTGGCACCCAATTGGAGACCTGTAGCAGAATATACCCTGAGCTGATCTCATTTCTCTCTTAAACAACACAATACTTCCTGTCTCCCCAAATTCATTCTCCCCTCTTTCTATAGCAATAGACCCTCTGATTTTCAGCTGGGCATGAAGTTGTCTGAAATAAGGACTATATTACCCCATCCCTTTTGCAGCTATTTGTGACCATATGACAACTTTCTGGCCAATTTTATGGAAGCAGAAATGATGTCTACAACTTCTGGATTGTGACTATAAATGGAAGAACCATTCCCATTGCTATTTTCCTATTGGATAAAATGTGTACACAACAGTGGGCTTGAATCATATAGATGAGGGCGAAACCCTGTATACAGTGAAGCAACAATATAAAAATAGCCTAGGTCCCCAATATCAAACACCACCACAAACCACAAATACCTTGTTCCCAGATCAATAATGTGAGGGAGAATTAAAACTGTCTTGTTTTAAACACTGTTATTTTAGGACTTTCTTAGATTAGCATTATTAATATCCTGGCTAATCAGTTATTTTATTTAATTGAATCTAGGATGCCTTTGAATGTAAGGTACACATTATTTTGTACACTACTAAGAAAAAATGCTACCAATTACAGTATAACAAATTGTTTTCTTATAATTCAAAATTTACATTTTATACAAATTGAAAGACCTAATGTAGACTTATTTAAGAGATTATTTTTATCAGACTTTTCTGGTCTGAGTTCTTCTTCATACAAAATAGCTTTCTATTTTGATGGAGAATCATGGTGAAATCTTTTTGAGGACATTTTAAATGACAACCTAAATACATGGTGGCAACTATGGACAGTACATGTTGGCAACCATGGACATAATTCAGTTTAAGAGAAGACAATATGAATAGTCATGGCAAAGTTCACATGTGCTCAGATACTGACGACACCACCACAACTGTATCCTGGCCAACAGCAGTCACATGTTTAAGCATGATTAAAACACCAATGGATTTTAAGACACACCCTGACTTTACATTTTTGAATGTAAAATATGTGTCTTAAATGACAAAATCTGATCTTTTGAAACCATATTTGAGAAATAACCTTGACTTTCACTTCTAGTCAAGATAGAGTAACAGGGACCTGATTTACCCTCCCAGGCATAACTAAAAACAGAAAAAAACTGACAAAATTATATGAAAAAATAGCACTTAAGTCACTGGACTTCAGGCAAGTAAGGTCAGTGATCTCCAAAAGATGGAAAGGCTTAGATGAGCCCTAAGATGGCTATATCTTCATGCCTAGATAAATATTCTAGGCTGCAGGGAAGGGAAACTCAGTCAGAGCCTGCTAGTCTCCTTCAATTGAAAAAAATGGAGCCATGACTCTGGGGAAGCCAAGGTATCAAAATTTTTCAGAAAAGAGTTTTGGAGAGTGTAGACCTATGTAGAAAGAGAACTCTATTGCAATAGCACCGTTTTAATTTTTTTTTAATGAAAAAAAGGGGACTCTCTCAATTTTCAGAGGATCCAACTCCACCAATTATTCAGTTAAATATTGATTAGCACACGTGTATAAGAAAACTACATAAGGCCAGGAAAATAACCACCCAAAGGGGACAGTGATCAGAGCCCACATGGACCTATTTCCAATAGCCAAGGTAGAAGAACTTCACAATTCATAAAGCATTAAAATACAAAGAAGGTTTTGCATTAGTACTGGGGAAATGACTTCTAGACAAAGCACTACTTTGGTTCCACTTAACTATGCTTAACAGCAAGACTTATAGGGATAAAACTGATACTAAGTATAGGAATACAAATACATGCAGCAACCAACAAGATGAAATTCACTATTTCTGGCATCCATTCACACTTTACTATTACCAGATGTACAAATAAGCAGGAAAAATATAACCCTTAAGATGGGTATTTGTGAATTTTCCAGTTTTCCTTCTACTGTTGAATTTCACTGTGGTCAGAAAAGATACTTGGTAGGATTTTGATCTTCTTACATTTGTTAAGATGTGCTAATTGTCTTAATGTGTTCTATCCTGGAGAATGTTCTGTGTACAGTTAGGAAGAGTATCTATTCTGTTGCTCTTGGGTTTAATGTTTTATATGTCTGTAAGGTCCATTTGGTCTGTAGTGTTTCTTAAGCCTGCTGTTTTTTATTGATTTTCTGTCCGACTGTTCCATCCATTATTAAAAGTGGGGTATTGAAGTCTCTTACTATTATTGTCTTTCTGTCTATTTCTACCATCAGTTTGTCAATGTTTCCTTATATAGTTCAGTGTTCTGATATTGGGTGTATATATATTTATAATTGTTGCATATTTCTGGTGAATTGACTGTTTTATCATTACATAATGTTCTTCTTTGTTTTTAAATGACGGTTATCTGTATTTTTAACCAAATGAAGTTGTCCCACAATTTGCTGATACTGTTTATTTTTAAAAATCTTTAACCCTATGTATTTTGTTTGGGATGATTTCTATTACTATTTCTGGAAGTTCACTAATCTTTTCTCCCTCTTTTTCTAAACTAAGAAATTTTTTGATCTTAGACATAATAGTTTTCATCTATAGACTTTTTATTTGAATCTTTTTTATTTCTGCCATGCCTCTACTTGGTCAGTTTTTCCTCAAGCTTTTTGAACATATGAAATGGATTTATAATAACTTTTAATGTCATCAGCTAATAATTCTATTAACCATGTGATTTATTGGTCAGTTTTGAAGGAAATAATGAAGAGAGAGCAGAAATAAGCCAAATAAAGAATCAAATTTTTTTAATGCAACTAAGAGGGTTTTTTTTGAAAAAATAAACAAAATTGACAAATCTTTAGCTAGACTAAGAGAAAATAGAAAAGAATCAACTAATTGAAATCAGAGATGAAAGATGACACACTACAACTGATGCCAAAGAAGTAGAAAGGATCATAAGACTACTATGAAGAATCACATATCAACAAATTGGATAACATAAAAAATGGATAAATTCCTATAAGCATACAATCTGGCAAGACTGAGTCCTGTATAAATAGAAAATCTGAATAGACCTGTAGTTAGTAAGGAGATTGAAACAGTAATTAAAAACTTCCCAACAAAGAAAAGGCCAGGACCAGCTGGCTTCACTGGTGGCTTCTGACAGACACTTAAAGAAGAGTTAATGCCAATCCTTTTCAAGCTTTTCCAAAAAAGTGAAGAGGCGACACTTCCAAACTCATTTTATGAGCCTAGCACTACCCTAATAATAAAGCTAGATGAAGATTCCACAAGAAAAGAAAACTAGAGGACACTATCTCTGATGAATATACAGGTAAAAATCCTCAACAAAAGACTAGCAAACTGATTTAACAGCACATTAAAAGTATCATACAACACGGCCAGTGGAATTTATCCCTGTGATGTGAGGAGAGATCAGCATGCAAAAGTCAATTAATGTGCTATATCACATCAACAGAATGAAAGATAACAGTCACATGATCATCTCAATAAATGCAGAAAAAGCCTTTGACAAAATTCAACACCCTTTCCTGATAGAAACTCTCAACAACTAAAAATAGAAGGAAATTACCTCAACACAATAAAAGCCATATATGAAAAGCCCACAGCTAAGTCATACTTAATGGTAAAACACTGAAAGATCAGCAAAAAGACAAGGATGTCCACTCTTGACATTTCTATTCAACATAGATCCTAGAGACCTAAC